>NC_000005.10:125109807-126359807 GCF_000001405.40 Homo sapiens | reverse complement strand
GTGTCTCATATGTGCATTCTGTAATCGGAATATATATTTCTCTTTAGAATATGTTTTGTGTCATACTCATCATGATTCTTTTCTCACTGTGGGGACTCAATGAATATTTACTGATGATAAACCTGTCATGCTGGAAAGCAAATTCACAGAGAAGCTGAACTTACTCAAACTTCCTTCTTTTTAGCTGTTCTACCGTGTCACTAATGCAGACAGTAAAGTTGCTCATTAATTAGAATAATAATGAAATGGCATTAAAGTTTTTCTTTCTTTTTTTTCACTCTGTATCAGACAAAAATCTGATTGGCTGAACTCAAATAATTAAATAGTTTTAGGTACTTAATTCACTTTAATCTAAGACCATTGCAAAACAAAGTGTACATTTGGAGATGATTTACTTGCATAGGATATACTAAGATAAAGATTTACAAATGAGAAAGAAGAGTACAATTTGCTTGAGTTCAAAACTAGGTAATAGAACAAGAGAGATCTATGCAAGAGATTATTTAGAATGCAAACAACTTATATTCTCTATCCTTTCCTTTCCTTCCTTTTTTTTTTCTTTGAGACGGAGTCCTGTTCTGTCACCTAGCTGGAGTGCAGTGGCACAATCTCGGCTCACTGCAACCTCTGCCTCAGACTCCCGAGTAGCTGAAATTACAGGCATGGACCACCACACCTGGCTAATTTTTGTATTTTTAGTAGAGATGGGGTTTTGCCATGTTGGCCAGGCTGGTCTCGAACTCCTGACCTCAAGAAATCTGCCCACCTCAGCCTCCCAAAGTGCTGGGATTACAGGTGTGAACCACTACGTCCAGCCCCTTTCCTATTCTTTCAATTAAAATTTGCCCTCAGGTTGTGTTAGATTGAATGCATTGATAATCCCAGCTACATTAATGGCCTCTATATATCCATAGCCTTTGCCTTATAGCTTTGTAATTTCTACCTACTCTAACTTGGACTGGTCTTGTTACTTGCTTTGGCTAATAAAATGTGGCAGAAGTGATACTGTGACAGTTCTGAGTCTAGACCTCAAGAAGCTTCGTGGGTTTCTACTCCTTCCCTGTGGTCACTATGACTACACGACTGAATTAGAGGTATCCTCCACATGAGACCACATGGCACAGAGCTGAGTCATTCAGGCTGTCGTAGACCACCCGGCTCCCCAGTGACCTGCCAAGTCCCCACAGACACAGTAGTGAGCCCAGCCAAAATCTAACTGATGTAGATCAACAGAACTACCTGAACACCTGTAGACTCATAAAAAATAATAAATAATTGTTTCCAACTGAGGTTTTGAGATGGATTTCTACACAGCAATAGCTAACTGCTTCAGATCCTATATTCATATCACTAATGCAGTAAGATGATAATAGCTCCAGGGGCAATTATGTTTTAACTGTTGCCAACCACTTGAGCTAAATGAGGGTAATTTTGAGAGGGTCTTCAGGTTCAGTAGGTCAGCAGGATGAACTTAGGCAATACAGTGGATCTTCCTGGGATCAAAGTCTGATATGCTTTAGAGGTCTGCTATCATGAGAATAGGAAAGGTAGCTTTAGGGTAGGGTAGATGACATCTATTAAAGATCTAAAAATTGTATTGTTAGTCCTACAAACTGTTGCCACTACAATCCCACTTCATCTCCCACTTCCCCTTCCGTACTTCCACTTCCCTCCATGGTCACCAGGCAAAGTTGAGAGTAGTACTCACCACCCAACTCTTCTCAGGTCTATGGGAAGCCCTTCTTCTCACCATTCTAATGACTGCACTCCAGGTTTTTTCACTGAAGGGGCAATACACCTTTAATGTGAGACAAACCTGGCTTCCAATCTTGCCTTTTGCCTAACATGTTAAGGGCCCTTGGACATGCTGAGGGTTTACTGCCTGTGTTATCCAGTTTTCTTCTCTGCGAAATGGTGATGAGAAAAGGCACTTGGCAAAGCTCTGTTTTTTCTCTTTCCTGCTTAACTCTACAAAGATACTTTCTGCTGATTTAGAAACTGCATTATAGGTCAAAGGTTTAGCAAATATTAACTTCCATTTTACTGCCTTTCTTAATAACAGGCAGACAAATGAAAGTTCAGAGATTTTACCTCAGGTGAATGGATCCAAGGTCCCACGTATTATTGGAGATGAGGCCATAAATACGGTAACAGTTTGATTACTCAGTTTGTGCTTTTTTTTTTCCAAAAAAAAGGAAAAACTCTATCTCTTACTCCATATTATGAATATGTAACAAAGTCATTCTTATGTAGGCAACTCTTCATAAACCACAGGGGTTCTATTTCAGACAAATAGAGGCACTTGGCTGCTTTCTCTAGGCATCTTATCTACCTGAAAGCCCCATATAGATGCCTCGTAAACTCAGCTTTTAGGAAAAGAGCTGAAGTAGGCTACTCAGACGGAAAGGCTGTTGGAAAGTTGGGGTAGTGTTAGTAATAATAAGCGACATCATAGTGATGGAATATTCTAGAAAAAAGAGCTCCAAGTTTGGTGTCAGAACACTTTACTAGTGGTAGAACTTTACTCAAGTTACCTTATCTCCCTTGGCCTCAGTTTTCTCTTATGTAAAATAGGGGCTTGGAGTAAATCAATGCTTTCCTAAATTGTGGTCTGTGGACAATTTCTCTAGCTTGTGTGGAAGTTGGCAAATACAGCACACAATTTTTGTCCCTTAGAGGTCTCTATGAAGGTCTGCATTTAATAAATCTATTCAACTTTATTAACTCAGGCTCAACCAGATAGAAATGGAAAACTGTTAATATCCTATAGGAAGAATCTCCTTTTGGAAATGCAGAGGCAGATGATTCTTAAGACTTTCTCTGTGTAAAGACATCTGAGCCAATAGAGAGATTTTAGTTCTATTGCAATTTACTGCAGAGTCCACTCTTACCAAGGAAGGAAATAGGGGAAAAAAAGGTCATATTTTATCGATTTCCTACTCCGCCAGGCAATGTGTTAGATATTTTACATATTCCTCATTTGCTCCTTGCAATAACTGTATGCAGTATTATTATTCTCACCTTACCAATATCGATTTTAACTACATTACTTAAACAAAAATAACCACTGACCCAGCTACTTGGGAGGCTGAGGTGGAAGGATTGCTTGAGCCCAGGAGTTCAAGGCTGCAGTGAGCTATGATCACACCATTGCACTCTAGGCTGGGCACCAGAGTGAGCCCTTTCTCAAATAAATAAATAAACAAGGAAAATCACTGAAGGCTTATTGAGAGAGTAACAATACAACATCAATGTAGAGTCAGTGGGATCAGTCCTAGATACTCTTCTCTATTGACACATTCTCTCAGTAATATTATTCATCCTATGACTTTAAATGCTATTTATATGCTGATGATGTCCAAGTCTTATAATTCCCCTCTTACTTCTCCCTATTAAATAAACACCTCAAACTTACTGTGACCAAAGTAGAATTTTTATTTACAGCTCTCCTCCAGAATTTTTCTTGTCTCATTTTACTGTTCTGATATGGTTTGGCTGTGTCTCCACCCAAATCTTACATTGAATTGTAATAATCCCCACATATCAAGGGCAGGGCCAGGTGGAGATAATTGAATCTTGGTGGCTGTTTCACTCATGCCATTCTCGTGGCAGTGAATAAGTCTCGCGAGATCTGATGGTTTTATAAATGGGAGTTCCCGTGCACACACTGTCTTGCCTGTCGCCGGGTAAGACTTTACTTTGTTCCTCATTCACCTTCCACAATGATTGTGAGGCATCCCCAGCCGTGTGGAACTGTGAGTCAATTAAAACTCTTTCCTTTATAAATTACCCAGCCTCGGTTATGTGTTTATTAGCAGTGTAAGGACAGACCAGTAAAGGGCTTCCTCATCCACCTGGTTGATGTAAAAGCAATTTAGGTGTTGTTGATTTCTCTCATGCCCTTGTTCCCCACGTGCAGTTCATCAACAAATCTTATCAGCTGTGCCTTCAGAACACATCCAGAATTTCAGTGCTTCTCTCCACTGGTATTCCTATTACTAGTCCAAGCTGCCATCTGTTATCTAGACTATTGCAGCAGTATTCCAATTGCTCTCTTCCCACTTGTATCACCTCTACAATCAGGATCCAGGATGATTTTAAAATTTAAAAATAAGAAAAAAACCATGTTACTCTTCCCTTTAAAATCTCCTAATTTTCTATTTCACTAAATTGCAACCTCTGGCCCTGCTCAGGTCTTTGCCCATATCTCCAGCCTCATTTAGCTCATGCTTCCTTTCATTGGTTTTTTTCCTAATCTGCAATATACCACACTTGTTTCTACCCCTGGATCTTTGCACCTGCTCCGCCCACTGACTATATAGCTTCCTTTCTGGCTCTTCTTGTCATCATTCAATTTCAACTCAAATGTCACCTTCTCAGGGAGCCTCCCCTGACTACAATGTCAAAAATAATCCTGGCTTGTGCAGAAACTATTACACCTCTCTGCTTTATGAAGTAAAAGAGTTGTCACTCTATCATTATCTTGCTATTTTTTTCCTCTGTACATTTCTCACAGCTAGAATGCAAATTCATGAAAGCTTATATTTTTTTGCTTTGTTCAACCCTGTGTCCCTACACCAATGTGTATCACAGTGCCTGGTACATATTGTTGCTCAATAGATATTTGTAGGACTGCTATGGTTTGAATGTGTTCCCTCCAAAATTCAAAGGTTGCCAGTGTGATAACAGGTGAGGCCTTTAAGAGATGATTAGGCCATGAGGGCTTCTCCCTTGTTAGTGGGATTAAGGTCCTTATAAAAGAGGCTTCGTGAACTGTTTAGTTAGTTTGCCCCTGTTCCTCCTTCCGTGTGAGGGTGTGGCCAAAAAACCCACATCAGAAGCCAGTGCCCCGATCTTTCCCAGCCTCGAGAATGGTAAGAAAATACATTTTTTTTTTTTTTTTTTTTTCATGAATTACCCAGTCTCAGGTACTTTGTTATAGCAGCACAAAGAGACTAAGACAAGGATTAATAAAATGTTATTTGTCTTGCTCGGCTTTCTAGCCATTTCTATTCGATACACATTTAAAAATAAACATTCATGAGGATAAACACAATGCCTTGGAGCAGATTCCAAACACATAAACTCATCAGAAAAACTGAAATGAGATTATCATCTGCACAGGATTTTTTAATTGCAAAAATCCTGAGGATAAAGAAAGGATAAAACAGTTTAAGAAATTGTCAAATGCTTTTCCATTGAGGCAGTGGTAGCTTAAGAGTAATCTGATATTTAATAATATGACTTATTATTTAACTGATATAACATACCAAATAGTTGTGGTACATTCTTGAAGTCATTGTTTCCGGGAAAGGACAGGGATCAAAACCACAAACGGCTAAATATGGCTTTTAGGAACTGGTCAGACCATTCTTTCTTATCCAATCACTCATTGCCAATGAGGCCACCTCTTACAGTGGATTTTCCTCTTCTAAATATCTGCACTGAGAAAGTAAAAGGCTAAGGGAAGAGTACTCACACAACTTCCTCTCAATATCCCTTCAGAACGAGCCTGTCTGTTATAACCAAAATCCAAGGAGAAGCTGCTAGACTGATACTGAACAAAATATCTATTTTGGTGTGATGTAACCCTTTCCTACAAGTTGGGGAGAGGTCGAAGAGAAAGTGGATAAGAAGGAAAATGAACACACTGTATACTCAAAGGAAAATAGACATTGTACCACAAAGTTCCATCTTTGAATTCTTGGCACCATCTAGTGGATAATGAGTCCTAATTTAGAGACCAGTTATTTTCTTAAATGGTGGTTCTCAAACTTTCTTAGTATGCCTCACAATTGCACAGAACTTGTACAAATACCCCACACCTATACATTCTGATTTTATAGGTTTGGTGTGAGACTTGGGCATCAGAGTTTTTTTTAACAAGCTTCCCAGGTGATTCTGTTTTAATTGATTGTGAAATTCAACTATCTCTTTGGAAGTTAGCTTTTTGTTTGTATGATATTCCCTCTTTCTTTTCCCCTTGTAAAAATATTTATATGTATATTTTACATTGTAAAATCAAAGTGAACTGTGAGCAACACTATTCTGAAGTTTCTCTAAGAATTAAGTGACATATTCAAGTAAAAATAGGTGAGTGTGAACTTGGGGGTGTAGTGGGATAGCCCCAAACACATGTTGCAAATCAGTGCTCAAGTCAACCAATATCCAACTAAATATGACAAACGTCATTTGTAATCTGCCTATTTCAGGTATCATCTTCCAATTGCTCATTATCTGCTATCCACTGATTTTAACAACTTAAACTTTTTAACTTCTCATTTTGAACTCTTACAAGAGCTACTTCATCATTTCATCCAGATCGAACTATAATGCAATTAATCAAAATTAGAAAACTAACACTGACACAATACTACTTCATACACAGGCCTTATTCAAAATTTTCAGCTGTCTTTCTAGGCTGCAGTCCAACCCAGGGGCCATGTTGTATTTTATAAGCATGTTTCCTTAGTCTCTCCAATCAAACAGTTCCTTGGTCTTTTTTTTTTTCCCCCGTCAATAAATTTGAGGAGTACGGGACAGTTTTGTTTGTTTGTTTGTTTGTTTTAAGAATATTCCTCAGTTTGGGTTTTCTGATGCTTCTTTCTGATTAAATTCAGGTTTTGTATCTTTGGTAAGATCGCCACAATGATAATCTTTGTGTTGTTCTCAGTGCATCAGATCAAGAAGCACACGATGTCAATTTCTTATTGATTTAAGTTTTGATCACTTGGGGTTATAGAGGCTCCTTGGGTTGTTCTCTTACAAAATAATCCTATATCAGGTGGTTCTAGAGGAGATGTTTCTGATTGTCTTGTAAGTTTTTCCTGGGAAGACACAGTCCACGGATAAATTTAACTGAGATAACATTGTTTGAAAAGATGATTTATGGAGGTTCAGGGTTTGCATAAACAGCTTAGGAGGTCCAGGATATCTGTGCACTTCCTAGGAGACCTTTTACATCAGACTTTCTGTGGCTTCCTAAGGAAATGGATATTGATGTTATGACCTCAGACAGGGAGCAGCAGGTACAGCTGGCACATGGATTCACAAATGCTTGACTGGCCCTCTGATTTCAGCTGTGACTATACTGGACAATTCTCTGCAGGCTTCCACTTATTTTTAGCTGAGATTGTCTCACTTCAAGTGCTTCATCTAATATCTCAGGTATTAGATTAATTTATTAATCTAAAGAAAATATAAAGAAATTAGATTTTTGGTGCTGTAAGGAACTTTCTAGGCCATGGCACATGCCCAGAGGTCAGGGGAATAACCCTTGATCTGTGGGGTCTGGGGGTCAATGGTTAAATACTCCTCTACCTCTCGTAAGTCAGGCAAAGCCTCATTATGAAGGTTATGAATACTGGGCCCAGGGTTTTATCCCACGGACAGGGTTTTATCCACGGCTTGAGCGGAAGAGTGACGGCAGGGAGAATGTTAATTAGGATCCTAGCCACTTGAATAACGTGGACGTTAGATTGATGTGGGAAGTAAATAGGGGCAGGAACAGATAACCAGGAGTCAACTACAGTTGTCTTGATTGGAAATAAATTGTGACCAAACTAGGCAGAGCAGTGCTGTAGAAATTTGAAGGTGGAGACCTGATAGTAAAACCCCAACTATGCTAGTACATTTCCCTTACTGACTTGGTGTGTTTGGTAGCCAATGAAATGGGCTCGGTCTCAGTTATCTCTTGCTGTATAACAAACCTCTCCCAAATGTAGTGGCTTAAATTGGCAATTTGTTCACGAAGTTGAGCAGGGCTCAATTAGGCAGTTATGTTGCTGCTGTTTCCGGGGGTATATTCAAATAATTAACTGTTATCAGGAGGTTGTCCTATGGTCTGAATGTGTCCCCCAAAATTCATGTGTTAGAAACTTAACCCCCAGTGCAACAGTGCTGGGAGGTGGGGCTTTTGGGATGTGTTTGGCTGAGCCCTGATGAATTAATGCTGTTATAGGAAGAGCTTGTGGGAGTAGACTTGCTCTTTGTCCTTCTGCTAAGGGAGGACACAGCATTTCTCCTCTCTGGGGATGCACTATCCAAAGCACCATCTTGGAAGCAGTGAGCAGCCCTCATCAGATGCTGGCCCCTTGATCTTTGTCTTCCCAGCCTCCAGAACTGAGACACTTCTGTTCTTGATACTCAGTCTGGGTATTCTGTGATAGCAGCACAAATGGACTAAGACAGGTTTGTTGGGGCCTTCAGAGTGTGTTCCGCCTGGTCTCTCCCTGCAGTGGCCTCTCTCACTTTTCTTACACGAAGGCCTCAAGTCCAGAAGGCAAGAGCAAAATTGCAAGCTTCTTGAAGCTCAAGCTCAAAAGTCACATAACATCACTTCTGACTTATTCTATCAGTCCAAGCAGTCATGAGTCATCCAACTTAGATTCACATGGTGGGGAAATAATCTATCTCTTGATGGGAGGAGCTAATACAATTTATGACCACTTTAAATTTTTCAGTGTATCTTGGTAGCTGATGAAATGAACTTTTGGTGTCTTCTTATCTGGGTTTGGATTTATAGCTAGAATTCAAATAACCATGTGCTGACAAACCACTCCTTCCTCTTACTAATACCCTGGTAAATATTCCAACACCTCTACTCTTGTTCCTGTTAAATATTTAAAGCCAGGACACTTGAACTCTATCATAGACTTAATCTCACGTAAGTAGAAGAATGTAGGAAAAAGCTTAGATTCTTGGAATATTTTCCAGAGCCACTGAAACTAATATCTTTTAAAAAACTACTGAATGTACTTCAAATGAGTTTTATGAAACTAAAGTTTTTTGTGAATTTGGGCTTTTTTTTTTCAAGGAAGAGAAAAACAATAAAGGGTAATTATATTTTCAGAATATGGTCTCAATGTTTATGGGACCATTTTGATAATTGCTTTAATTAACATCTTCATAACAGAATAAAAACTTCTCTTCAGTGCTAGTATTATGAAATATTGGTAAAAATGTTAGTGCCTTAAATATCAGTTAGCTAGTAACAATAGTAACTTAGAAAGTTTCATAAAGTGGCAGCACTGAAGTATCAAACTTACAAAGTATCAAACTTACAATTTTGTCCTTAAGGTATTCCCTGCATATTTGGGATGTTACCCTCAATCTGGAGAGCTTTTGATAATAATACAAGAAATCATTTTTTTTTTTTTTTGAAAGAGTCTCACTCTGTCACCCAGGCTGGAGTGCAGTGGCACGATCTCGGCTCACTGCAAGCTCTGCCTCCTGGGTTCACGCCATTCTCCTGCCTCAGCCTCCCGAGTAGCTGGGACTACAGGTGCCCACCACCATGCCCAGCTAATTTTTTGTATTTTTAGTAGAGACAGGTTTCACTGTGTTAGCCAGGATGGTCTCGATCTCCTGACCTCGTGATCCGCCCGCCTCGGCCTCCCAAAGTGCTGGGATTACAGGCGTGAGCCACTGCGCCCAGCCAAGATATTGTGTTTTAAAGAGGTAGCAACAGAATGCTAATATTCTTTCCCATGAGGAATGGTTAGGTCATGTATATACAATGTGTGGAAAGCTGTGGCAAAACTTGATCCCTAAGTGGGGTATTGGCTTCAGAACAGTTAGGGCTCTAAAGTCGGAACTGGAGAGGCAAAAAAGAGGTTTTGCTGAAGAGATGAGAACAAAGACAGCCTAAATCAAAACCTTTTTGGAAGGCTGTCTTATTTCCCTTTAAGCCAAGATCCCTGACTCAGTTCTGGGTATTTCTAAGATGGCCTTTCTGATTTATCTGAGAGCTCTCTTTAGTTGTATTTTTGATAAATAATAATTGTACATATTCATGGGGGACAATGTGATGTTTTGATACACTTATTCATTGTAGAATGATCAAATCAGGCAAATTAACATATCCATAGAGCTTTTTACCATTCTACTTCTCTCCTGAAACAGCTGCTTCTTAACAATTGACTTCAGGCTGTTTCCAGAGGTGGTCTTATTTACTTTTTGCTCTTTTGATTAAAGCTTTTATATTCTAACACTGGGATCCATGTATCTCAAAGCGTTTTCCTCAGAATACTTGTTTGCTTAGATGCTCTTGAAACAAAAATTCTATATAGCCATGACAATGCACAAATCATTGACACATGCAAAAACAAAGATGGATCTCACACATATAATGTATGGAAAATAAATCGACATGAAAGTACACACTGAACGAGTCCATTTATGTAAAGCTCAAAACAGGCAAAACTAATCTCTAGTTAAAGCAGGATAGAGGTTGTTTTGGGTGGGGGGTATCTTGAGGAGTGAGCACAAATGGGGCTTTTGTGTGCTGATTATGGTCTGAGCACTGGTTGCTTTGGTAGGCTTGCTTTGTGAAAGTTTATTGAGCTGTACGCTGATTTGAGCACTTCTCTACTTCTTTGTTAAGCTCATTAAGGAGTAGGACAATACAGAACAAATGGTTCTTCTCATTGACTTTCAAGTGAAATATGAGACTGGGTATCTCTAGTGGTTTGTTAAGGAAAGCATTGTTAGGCTGGCAACTTTTTTTTTTTCTGCATCCACTGTATTGTAGTGTTGATTTGGATTTTATTGGGTTTCAGTCTCCAAATAAACCAATAAGGGGTCAAACATCCAACAGATCAGTGGCAATCAGCAACAGAACAAAAACAACAAACAGCAAAGCAAAACACCATCAACACTGCAGTGCTATAGGACTGCATTTGATTGAAAAAAGAATCCTCATGCTCCACTAAGCCAGAAAAAGCTACCAGTATAAGGCATTGTTTCCAAGAAAACTTAAGAGGAAAGTGAAAGCTAAACATTGCTATCACTGAAGCCAATGTTATCTAGACATGTTCTTTATTTTCCCCGGAAATACCATCTAGGATTATGTCACGAGGTATCACTTGGAGAAAAGTTTTCAGCAGGAAAATTGTATATTTCTTAGAAGGGGGTGGGAAAATGGAAGTCATATAGACTGGTAAAAAAAATTAATATTTCATATTTGCCAAAATTCACATTTAAATGTTATATGTTCGTGGCCTTGAAACAGCCAATAGATTTGTCTCTGCCCAGGAGGCTGCACTGGGCAGACGTATTATCTTCCATACAGCAGTGACTGCTCTCACAGTTGGTGTCTCTGCCAGGAGGTTTGTAGACTGTAATAGAAGGTAGGACATGATACCTGAAATCATCATTCTTTTCTATCAGTAGAAAGAGTTGAAATAGGGTCAATGATGCTATCCTTAAGCTATTCCCTGCATATTTGGGATGTTACCCTCAATCTGGAAGTTAGAGGAGGAAAGATTAGCATTTTCAATTTCTGCTGACTTATCAGAGACACAATTGTGATGGGTGAAAATGGAGCTCATCTTTGGGACACAAAATTTAAGCTGACCTAAATACCTTATCTCATCTTGTTGTTAATGTGGTCCATGGGCTGAGAGATTGAATTCACTTCAGCGTTTGTTGAGTGCCATTCACCATGCAGAACACTAGGGATGAAAAGGCATGGGTCTCCCAGAATTGTGGGAGGGACGGATATGCGCACACGGTTATAATCAATGGCAAATGTCATTGCATAAAAATATAGGGATGGTGTTACACACAGAGAAAGCAACTCTACTGGTGGCAGGGAAGCCTACAGAGAAGAAAATCTTAAAAGCTGAGTGGGAATTTGTCAGACGATGCGGGGAAAGGACATTACAGGAAATATGAAAAGCAAGGGGGGAGGGATGAAGCTTGGATTTCCATGGAGGGGCCAGAGAGTGGTGAGGACTCTGGGATGTTAGGATTTAGAGAAGAAGGGGAGGCTGGGCCAGGAACGGTGGTGGCTCATGCCTTTAATCCTAGCACTTTGGGAGACTGAGGCAGGCAGATGGCTTCAGGCCAGGAGTTCAAGACCAGTCTGGGCAACATGGTGAAACCCCATCTCTACTAAAAATACAAAAATTAGTTGGGCATGGTGGCATGTACCTGTAGTCCCAGCTACTTGGGAGGCTGAGGTGGGAAGATCACTTGAGCCTGGGAGGTTGAGGCTGCATTGAGCTGAGATTGTGGCACAGCACTTCAGCCTGAGTGACAGAGTGAGACCTTATTGTCATCCAAGCTAGAGCTAGATTTTGGAGGATGTTGAATGCCCTGGGAAGGAATTTGGATCTTAACCTAAAGAGCAGTGGAAGAATTGTGAAAAGGGAGAAATGTGATCCTCCCTGTGTTTTAGAAAGGTAAGATCAGCAACCATTTGGATAATGGCTTATAGAGGGAAAAGCAAACAAGGAGATCGGTTAGGAAATTACTAGAACAATCAAGAACACCCTGAATGAGACTAAAGATGAACAACTTGGAAGGCAGAATCTATCCTGGATCTAAATGCTGTTGTAGGCATATAATGGGTTAGTATAAAAGCATGAAAACAATGTTGACCTATTTTAACAACCCAGAAAGATTTCCAAAATATGTTGTTGAATAAGTTTACAAAAACATGAGCAATAATATTCTAAATCTGTATCTGCACAGAAAAAGCTGAGAATATATGTAGTATACTAAAATGTTAATAGTAATATTTATTTGCTAATAGACTTTTGGGTAATTTTTGGAGAAAAGCAACTCACATGTCCAGTTAAGAATATAGGGCAGGGCGTGGTGGCTCACGCCTGTATTCCCAGCACCCTGGGAATCTGAGGCCAGTAGATCACTTGAGGCCAGGAATTTGAGACCACCCTGGCCAACATGGCAAAGTCCCATCTCTACTAAAAATACAAAAATTAGCCAGGTATGGTGGCACATAACTGTAGTCCCAGCTACTCGGGAGGCTGAGGTGTGAGAATTGCTTGAGCCTGGGAGGCAGAGGTTGCAGTGAGCTGAGATCATGCCACTGCACTGTAGCCTGGGCAACAGAGTAGACTGTCTCAAAAAAGCAGTATGTAAGGGCTTAGAAAAAGTCTTTTATATTCAGACCATTTTTAAAACCTAGTAAATAGTCTGGCACTTCAAGGTAAGTGGGATATGCAGAATCAAGAGGAGTACAGAAAATAATCAAAAGATAAATGGAAAATAAAAATATGATAGAATGTAGAAATGGAATTATTGAACTGAGAAGAGATGGCTGGGGAACAATTTTAAGGGTGTTTTAAAACTTATCTCTGGATGCCTTTCAAGTTGATCCCATTGGTAGAGTCTAAGAATGTTGCTCTATGAAGGTGGTAGAGGCTTACATGATCCATTAAGGACCCTCCCAACTATACGATTCCTTTTATCATCTAGTTTCATTGAATCAGCCTATGAAGGGAACCAAGTCTTGTATTAACTCTTGTAGTATTTCAAGTACTTTTTTCCTTAAAATATACATTTAAATATTAATATATATTTGAAGTATTTCATTCCAATTTCATAAAACAACACTGGCCACAGATGTAAGATTGAACTGATACTGTTGGATAATACAATTTACATGTAATTGTGTGGGACCAAACTGACTTTACCAATTCAGAATAAAATCCTATAGAAGGGTTGAGGGTTGAAGAGATAGCCAAGGAAAAGAGTTTGGAATTGAAAGAGAAGAAAAAGAATGACTAAGGTTAATTTGTAGGAAGATAAATGTATTTATGATGAAAGATCAATAGTTGTACTGCTATCTATTATGAGAAAATGAGGTGCATTTCAAAGAGGGAATCAATATTAAAGTCCATCTTGAGGGGTTTGTATGATGTACTTTTGAGGAACCACCTCTTGTAAGCACCCATCCTTTTGGGTCCTAGGTAAACATGTCCTTCTCCTCTTTAGACCCTGGGCTCTGGCTGCCTGCTTTAGATATTGATTTCCACCGTCATTGTTTCACCCTGTACTTTTCTTTGATTCTCTTTGCTTCCATTTCTTCATTCTTAAAGGGTTAGGATTAGCCTAGGTTGTTTAAAAATGTCTATGTATTAAAATCATGGGCTCCTTTAAGAAGATACATTTAGAGCTTTTCTGGGGAAGTTGAGGTAGAATGGCAGGGTTCCTTCTGGCTCTTCTCACTCCCTAAAGGGGTTCTATGGAGCCAGGCTTGAAAACTACTCAACTTGAATCTGTGCTTCCAAGAGCCAAGAGATTAGTGTGGCCTGGAGTATCCTGAGGACAATGAAGACCCTTGTGAAGATATTTTGCTTTCTCACATTGTTTTCTTAAAAAAAAAAAAAACCTGTGTTGCTGTGTCATCTGGTAGTGGCACCCAGGATCAATTCCTGTGATGGAGAAAATGAAGTGTAGCTATCATAAGTGGGAAAACTTTTTTTTCTCATCTGCCACGGTCTTACTGAGTGGTCTTCTGAAAATCTCTCAGGAGTGCCAAACATCATTTCCTCCTCACTGCTCCATAAAGACACAGTGAAGACCTCTGACTGAGATACACACCACTTTGAGGCTCTGGGAGAAAAGAGGGAACTAGTATCTGTCCTCCAAAGCAGTATCTTCCCTTTTACTTGACTTAGCAGAGGTTTGAGCTCTTCTGGACCTTGATGTTTCTGAGTATCTCCTTGTTCAGCAGAATACTTTTAGCCACTTGCCATCCAATGGCTTGAGTAAATGAGAGTTGTTGTTACATCTTTTGTTGAAAGTATTTCCTGCTGCCATTTTGGTCTTCCCATCTAAACACACTGTATGAAAGGAGTGTGGAACAATCTCATCTTTTAAGGGAAGAAAAATCATTTGTTCTGTTGCTGTCTCAGATGCAAGTCATTTCCAATGGATAACCCTTCCTCGACCTGGCAAGGCTGGTTAGCACAGACTGCAGAGAGCTTGGAACACGCTAAAAGATTGATTCAAGGCAGCAGAAACCTCTTATCTACGACCTTACTGACCTTTCTCAGGATTCACTCAAAAGCTGTATCTGGGACCTCTATTCTGTGGCTTTTGAACTAATATATCTTCATTAGGAGTTAGAAGTAAACAATTTTTTTTTTAAGCTCTAGGAAAGCAGTTTGTTTTGAACACAGTGGATTTGATCTTTAGAGAGAGGTGAACAGTTAACTGTTTTTTTCAGCAAATGCTAAAGATGATGAATGAAATGCCCACAGCTAAGAAGACCTCTTTACAACAGGGAGAGTTATTTTGGAAGGATTTTAAATCATTCACACAGTTACCAGGCTAGGATCACTTGGCTAGCTCTGATTGGTGACTTTTTCATCGGAGGTTTCACAAACAAAAAACAAACAACAAATAAACAAAAACTTAACATTTTATCTTGCAAACCTGAGTCAATATCCAGAATACCAAAGGATTATATCTTGCAAATTATCCTTGTTTAGGGTTTTGTCAAAAGGGTAAGCTCTCCTGATATGCCTGACAGCTTTTTTTGTTTGTTTGTTTGTTTGTTTGTTTGTTTTTTTGAGACAGAGCCTCAGAGCCTCGCTCTCTCGCCCAGGCTGGAGTGCAGTGGCACGATCTCAGCTCACTGCAAACTCTGCCTCATGGATTCAAGTGATTCTCCTACCTCAACCTCCTGAATAGCTGGGACTACAGGCATGCACCACCATGCCTGGCTAATTTTTTGGTATTTTTAGTAGATGGGGTTTCACATACTGGCCAGGCTGATCTGGAACTCCTGACCTCAGGTGATCTGCCCACCTCAACCTCCAAAGTGTTGGGATTACAGGCGTGAGCCACCATGCCCGACCCTGACAAACTCTTTATAAAATATGAGGCTTGCCCTCTGGAAATATGCAAGTGAAGGCATGCAGAATTACTTGATTTTTCCTCTACATGAGTCTTTAGTTTAGACACTGTTAGGGGAAAACATATATGGGCATTGTCATCTAAAGAGGATGTGTATTGGTGTTAAATCTTCTTAAATGAAGTCTTAATTACCTACAGAAATAGATTTGCCTGGGGTAGTTATACAGAATTTGAGGCATATTACTATTTTGATTAATTACAAAGGTTTACACCTGCCCTGCTTTTGTTTCTATAGCACTTTGCTATTCTAGCCATGAGTGATTTGATATCAGTCTCTGGTCAAACCCAAAACACTTATGTAGTTATGCACATAACTATATAAGTATATGATATTTTCTTATAGAGGAGTAGGAGAAAACATGACTCACTTTAGAAAGGTCTGCTTTATGACTTGAGTTCTTGGGTTTCCAACAAATGGCCTATATTTGCGTCATACACTTCTCCATGTGCTTGATATACATTGTCATTTAATCCTTTAAACAACCCTTGTGTGATAGGTATTATTATGACCCCTTCCTACAGATGAGGAAACTAAGGCACAGAGAACACAAATAATTTGTGGAAGGTCACCCTGTTAGTAAGTAACTGAGCTGGTATTAAAACCCAGCCCCCAGAGTGCAGAGCTCATGTCCCTGATGGCATTTTCTGGTGCTGCTACCATCACAAGGAAAAGACAGAATGGCTGTATTTGTCATTCATCTATTACAGTGTGATTGGAAGGAGAAAAGGGGTACAAAAATGTCCTAATAAGAGAATAGTGTTAGCCCTGGGATATAATGCATGTGGGAAAGTGGCATACATACCAGTGTGACTTAAAGACAAACACGTGCTAAATATACATTAATTACACTCCAGAATAATTTAGAATCACGGAAAAGTAAAAAAAGAAAATTATGAGTTGAATAAAAGTGAGCTAAAAGGCACAAAAAGATCTGGGAAAAACACTTGGATAAGGGAAATAATAACTAGTTACAGAATGTATGAAATAATTTTTCCCTTCTTAGGTAGAGTCTTTCACTTACTGAATTTATTAGACTTGGATAGAACACTTAATGTTTGGTTTGGGGAAAATATTTGGATTGGCCTAAAGTTGAAGTTACAGCTTCCCAGATTTGACTCACTTTATTAGGGTTCTCTTGGCGTGCCTCAACACATGGAAGTGTGGGATCCTCTCAGCCGTTGGGGCAGCTGTGTGCAGCCTGGGGGACACCTGTATGAATGTTGACACAAGAACCAGGGGGACCCCCTCATAAGGTGTTGGCTTTATATAACCCCCCCAAACTTAGATATAACCAATGAAAAAGAAGGAAATCCAAATTTACTAAAATCAAGTACCTTAGTAAAATGGGAACTCAAAAAATAAAGTCAGATTACTGTACCCCTATCTTTGACACGGAATTTTTGGCCACAGCTATTGTTACAAGGGATAGACTTTAAGTCATGCAAATGGGGATTATTAAATTTTTAAAAAGAGTCTCATTGATAAGGTTTGTGGGTCATCCCTGCAGAGTGCTGCTTTGGGAGTCTTGGATCCCTTTAGCTTACTGTGGAAAGGCAGACAGCCTGGAAACACAGCTTATAGAAGAAAAATCAATTGAGGCTGTAAATCCAAGAAACCTATTCTGATTTTTAACTTGTGTCTGAGTTAAACGTGCTCAGACTTACAAAAGAAGTTCAAATATTCTTACATGAAACAAAGTCCCTTTGTAAAAAGCACAATTGACAGAAAAGCTGGCACCTGCTATTAATCTTTTCTAGGAAAGGGCTGAGTTTTCTCTTCCACACATGTGGCAGTTTTTTTCTGGACTATGGCAGGGATATGCATTTGAAAATAAAAATCTTTCCCACAGGCTAGGCTTTTGGAACCACTATTTATGAAGCTATAGAGACTTGGATTTATTTCATTATCAGCTTTATATAAAAGTTTCATATATAAAGAATCCCTTTAGTAGGAGAAAGTGGGGAACTGAGCCAGGTGTCAATATCAGTCACCACCTCACCTGTCTATCAGCAGATTTTCTAGTCCCTGTCATGGCTTAGTCACCCTGCTGAAGGCTCTGATTCTTCCTTCCTGGAATTGGTCTTTTCCTTGAAACTCTTTGCCACAATAGGTGTTGTCTTGATTTCTTAATTTTGTTGTTGATGCTCATTTTTGACATCTCTGGCTTTCCAAATTTCCTGCTGCTTCTGGCCTTGACCTTGGTGAGCAAGGATTCTCAGAATGCACTTATGCCTCAAGCTGACATTAGCTTTTTTTTTTTTTATTACGCAGAACTATACACTTATTATAGAAAAATACACATGAGAAAAAGAATCAAAGGAAGAAAGGGAGAATACATAAAATCAACCCTAATTCTATAACCTAGAGGTGTCACTCTTAGCCATTTGGCGTGTATCATTCCAGGATATATAATCAAAATAGATATTATTCCAGGATATATAATCAAAATAATGATCTCTGCATAGCACAGATTATTCTAGAATCTGCTTTTTCCATGTAATATATCAAACACTTCAGTACAATAACCTTTACCAAGCCGTTATAAAAGGCTGCATATTATTTTCTTTAATGGATGTACCATAGTTGATTTAACATCGCCAGCATTGTTAGACACCTTATTTCTAATTTGTCAGTATTTTAAAAAACACTGTAGTGAATGTTCTTTGCTACATCACTGGTGCGGTCACAATGATTTCTTTAGATTACATTTCTAGAAGGAAAATCACCAGGTCGGTCAAGGCATGTGCAGAACTTGAAGCCTCCAGGTAGATGACCAAACTGCCCGCAGAATGTCTACTCCCTTTTCACCAGCCCCCAAAACCTGTGAGGCTGGCACCTTCCCTTGGCTTTTCAGGAGATGTTTTTTTGCTCATCTCTCAGATGCTCTGGTCTGGAGAAAACAAAAAATACAAAACTGACAAACGAACAACTTACTAGGAAGTAGATACTTAGGTTGAAGAGAACGATTGTAGGTCACATTCTGCTTGACTTCATGTGCTGTTATACTGTCCTATGTGCACAGCACAGCTCTTGCAGGAAACAGGTTGATGGTGCCAAAGGTTCTCTTCTTGGAAGCTAAGTGTGGGTCCCCAATTCCCAAGTCCTCTGAAGATGTGTACTCTTTTACAGTGCAGGTGACTTTTTTCTTTTCTTTTTGGTGGAGAGAGTGTCCATAACTTCTTTTAGATTTTCTAAGGGTCTGTAGGGCAGATAGGTATCCCTAAGAACCTGAATGATCCACTGTATCAGCTTCTTAGCTTCTTGTCTCATTAAATTAAAAGAATAAAAAACTTTTTTTTTTACAATTAATATTACTAAGCTTATATTAGATGCTCTGAGAATTGGCTTTATTTCTGAACTCACGTTTGCTGGAATCAGAGAAAAATGGCTATTCCGATATTGCCAGAAATTTGCTTCTGTGCCACCTCTAAGAATGGAGATGGGGCAGATTTGCCCTCCATTTTGGGAGGGGTTACTGTGAGGATGAGCCATAAGGGTCAGTGAAGTCAAAATCCCCGGCTCCTGGGCTTCAGCACTGCTTCTCCCAATGATGAATTTCCAAGTCCAAATGTGGACTTCTGCCAAATTAATTGTATAAGCAGGGAGGGGCCAGGAAGAGCAAAAGGTATGGAAAGTTTTGTTTTCTTCAATGAGGACATTTGCTATGGTCAATGTGTCCCCTCAAAATTCATATGTTGAAACTTAATCACTAATGTGATAATATTAATATTAGGAGGTGATTAAGTCATGAGGTTGGGCCCATCGTGAATGGGTCTAGCATCATTATGTAAGAGGTGTGAGGATGCTGTTTGCACTGCATCCATACGAGGATGCTCTAAGAGGTGCCATCTTGGAAGTGGAGAGTGGTACTCACCAGACCTGCCAGTGCCTTAATCTTGGACTTCAGCCTCTAGAAATGAGACACAAATTTGTTCTTTATAAATTACCCAGCCTAAGGTATTTTGTTAGGCTGGGTAATTTATAAAGAACAAATTTGTCTATAGCAGTAGGCTTGGACTAAGACAACATTCGAGACAATTAAGAATTAGAACCCTTTCTGAATATATGGTGATACTAAGAAATTCTTTTTAGGTAGAAAATGATATGGATAGGTGTGTATGTGTGTGTGTGTATACACGTATATATATTCAGTGGTAAAATACATTTTGCTTTGTCTTGAATTGCGAGGAGATGGCAGTTACCCATGGCTGACCAAAGACAAAATTGATGTATGAGTGAGTGAAAGTGAGGATGAGAGAAGAAACTGATTCTTAGTTGGTTGGGGTCTGGTTGTTAGGCATTATAGTTGAGATCTGAATTTAGGTTTATTTCCAGAGTACACAGAAGTGCACTTCCTGTATTCCAAAAGATTCTTTGCTTATTATCTAGGTTGTCTCCTGAGCTAGTATACAGTACTCCTGGGGTTCCAGAACATAAATCTTACCATCTAGGGTTTCTCTTACAAAATGCAGCATCTTTTATTCCCAGGACCCTGTAAGACAAGCAGATTAATAATCAGCAAGGTATTGGTAACTCCGAACATTTAAAAAATTTAAAGCTGATTTCAGGGTGAATGGCTGTAGCCACAATAATGTCAAATAATATTCATAACTGATTGAAAATAAGAAAGAAATCTAGAAGTCATATAGATTGACTAGACGATGCCAAAACAATTTTTATAAACATACCTCAAGTTCAAGGTCCGAGCTTCTTCAATGATATAATGCTGCCACCTGGTGGTTATGCCTTTTTACTGCAGTAAGATTGTGTAGTTGACTAATGCTTCAGTGAAAAGTTAAGACTTTTCTGGGCAGTAACTATTTGCAATTTTATCTGAGACTAAGTTGAATGTAACTTGTTCAAAACACAAACTTCAATGAATCACAGAGGCCTTGAATTCCCTTTATGCTCAAATTTCGTTGGTAGCGTCACGAATGATTAAGGAGAGATGAGGCATCTGTCGACATTGGTTACATTCTGATAATTTTTGTCATTAGAAACAAAGCCACCTTGACAATCGTGGTGTTGTGGGTTGATCTAACAACCAACGTTTTAATGTAAATCATGTTTGGAGCCCAGGAAGGAAACTTTAGCAGTAATAATTTAAAATGAGGACAGTATGGGAGTGTGGGAGAGGTCAGACAATTCTGAATGTGGTGGCGGTGGCGGCAGCGGTGGCGGCTGGGAGGGGGACCACTTGGAGGACAGAGTTGGAGTGCTCCAGAGCTATAATCTATCTAAAGCAATCCATGTCATACCCTGGGTGAGTTTTGGGTAGCTCACAAATGTTCTTATAAATTGCTTCAGATGTCAACAATAAAAATTCCTGAGGTCTCTTTGAAAATCAGAATATTGAAATGAACTGATGTTCCCAGCTGTATAATTGCCTCGAGCATGCGTTTTCCGGTTTGCTCCAGTCCTCACCTGGCAAGTTTCACTCATTTGCCAGACTGGACTCTGTAGCCATTTATATTTACAACCTCTGTTTCACAGCTCCTAGATTTTAATGGGATAAAAATTAAAACTGTGGCTGTTAGAGTTGGAAGAGAGAACCCCAGGGCATGCAGTCTAGTCCCCTTCTTTTCAAGAAGTAGAAAACTGGATTTGCCAAAGGTCACACACCTGTGGAAAGAAGAGCTAAAGTCTGGGACTTCCTGGAGCTTTGTGTATTTGCTAGGGCATGGTTTAGATTTTGGGTGACCTAATGCCAGTCAACTAGCTACAAGGTTTCTCAGCCACATTTGTACAGTTGGTACAGAGTGCTAATAACATTCTCAGAAACATATTTGTTTAGCCTTTAACACTTCACATTGATGGAATACATGAGTGTAGAAGTGTGTAGAAGCCAGACAGAACCCCCAAAAGAATTTCTAGGATATTATATCTCTTCTGCACTGTCCAAGATGGTAGCTACTGCCAACATTTGGCTATTTGAACTTGTACTTAGATTAGCTGAAGTTAAATAAATTCAGTTCCTCAGTTGCACTAGCCACATATGGCTAGTAACTACCATACTGGATGGCCCAGACATAGAACATTTCTACTATTGTAGGAAATTCTACTGGGCAGCACTAATGTGATTGAAAATGCCTTTTTTTGGGAGATACTTTTTATAGCTATATCTTGGTCTTTGTGATAAAATTAATCAGAATTATTTAACGGGCAAGAGTGGAGATTCATCTTAGTAACCTAATTTGGGCTATGAAGTACTATAAATGGGAGCTTATAAACAATAGAAACTTATTTGTCAGTTCTGGACACTGGGAAGTCTAACATTAGGGTCACTGCTTGGTTGGGTTCTGGTGAGGGCCCTCTTGTGAGTTGCAGACTGCTGACTTGTCACTGTGTCTTCACATGGTGGAAGAGGCAGACAGGTTCCCTGGGGCCTCTTTTATAAGGGCACTAATCTCATTCATGAAGGTTCTGCCCTGACGATCTAATCACTTCCCAAAGGCCCTACCTCTGAATACCACGACACTGGGGATTTGTTTAACCTATGAACTTTGGAGGGACACAAATGTTCAGACCATGGCAGGAATTAAAGCCTGGTGACAGTTCACTGTGAAAGCTACATACTGAAATGAGAAATTTCTATGTTAAAGGAAGGAATGAAATGTATCAAATGCACTGTTAGAAGAGGATGTATTTAGACGTAAAGTGAAGAGCAGTTGGATAAACTTGTATTTTAGGAGCTGAGCCTGACATGTAGTTTCTCTGAGCTTCATCCCATTGCTTCATGTATATGTTGGGTGTGGTTGTGGGGGATGGTCAAGGGCAGTGCCTGCCCAGCACCCAGCCTACCTTCTGCCACCAGCACTGGGGACCTTCCCCTCGCCAACTCCACACAGCCTCCATGGGAATCTCAATCTGAGGGCCCAGCCCTAGTCTGCCCAAGGGTAGGCACATAACCCCACCTAGGAATTTGAATCCTGAGCAGAATAACATCAACAAGACTCCAAATGGTTGGATTTGACTCATCCTTTTGGTGATTTTGAAGAGGCTGTCCATCATTTCTCTAGTGTTACCCTGGTTTTCATCTTTCCTTATACCTGGCTACTCATCTTGCCTTTCCAGTTAATCTATTTCTCCATTTCCGCTGCCTGTTTTTTTCTTCTTTTTTTCTCTCTCTCTCTTTTTTTTTCTTTTTTTTTGGTAAAGTTAGAACTCATTTATGTTGCATTCAATCAAATAATCGAAACCAATATGATGTTACTTGAATGCCATGAGGGATGGGAATGAGAACATAAGGTGAAGGAGAAAGGAGGGATCTTCCAGGAGTAAAACAAAAGGAATGAAAAGCTATAATAACACAATGACTTCGAGTAGGTCATATCCAATTGATTTGTACTCAGTGAGCTGTTGTGAGAAAGGAAAAGGCATCATCGCACGGTCCACAATGTTTGTTTTTCCCAAGGAACCCGAAGCAAATAACTGCCCCACACTTAGCACTCTGTTTTCAACACAGTCTCCCACCCCTGGGAACAGTCTTCCAATTTTTATTGACCTTAATTTAGCTTGGGACCTTATCCCCTTGTGCCTGTGGAGGTCCTGCAATGAATGGTCTGATTGCCTGCCTTTCAGTCCGGCCCGTCTCTGAGTTTGCCTACTCTCAGCACCAACTTAACTATTTCCCAGCATTTGCTTGTAATTTTAAAACATATCCTCTCCCATGTACTCTGGGAAACTGAGTATTTATAAGGCTGCTTTGAATAGTGAGGTGAACAGGTAGTATAAAAGTGGATTATTCCTCTTGAGGTTGAGGTAGTTAGGTGGTGAAAGGGTAGGGTCTGAACCTGTAAGGTTATGGGGAAACAACTGGGTATAGAAAATGGAAACCTTTTAATGAAGGCTCTGCAACCACAAATGGCCAATCCTACAACGTGGCTGAGAGGGTTTTATTTATTTTCCCAAAGCCCTTCACTGTCTTTTCCTGCTTCCTGAAGCTCTCCAAGTTTTACTGTGTTTCTGTTGACTGCCAGCATATTTTCTAATGGGGGCAGGGGGTCTGCTGCAGGATTGGCTAGACATTTTCAATAAGCCATTAGCGGCTGCAGCAGATGTTTCTGCATTTGCACAATAGTGCAATAGTGTTGCCTATTAGGAGCCAGCACACACAGTGGAGACTTTCAAATTCATAGCATACCAGGGCAAGAGAAGGACATTTCTAGAGTTTCTTTGAAAGGCTACTCAATCAAACTGCAGGGAGTTTTAGAGGACATTGACAAGTATGAATGCATTCATATGGAATTTTCATGGGCCAAAAATATTAGGTTATATACTAGAATCTCATGGTTAGTGACTCTCCGATTTTATAACTAGTCATGCTTCTCCATTATAACTCCCATTGATCACCACCAAAAAAACAAAAATGAGAACAAAACTCAAACAGATCTGACAAAAAGCCTCACCAATTTGAGCATTAGTTTCTAAGCCCAAACCACACCATTAGACTTTTGCTGCTGTATTCCTACTAAATTGTTACTCTCCTTTGCTTTACTAATTTGAGGAACAAATCAGGCAAACATGTTTTAACTTGTGCTATATGAATGAACAGTGAAATCAGGGTCAAGAACACCAGTAAATATATAAGTCAATAAAAACTGAAGTATTACTTGTAAAGGGCCACTTTATGAGGATTGAATCATTTGATATTTCCAAAATGAGAGAGTGCACCCAAATACATAGGGAATACCCCCAAGTAACATGTACACGGTAATATATCATTTTGAAGTATCAGTATGTATGATTCAGCTCTAATCACTACTTGAATTCACTACTTGGAAAAAAAAATGAGAAACATAGTGTTGGGTGGAAAACCTGATTCTATTACAGAGAACCATCCCTTGGGACAGGATTGTTCATGTCATCAGGCTCTGGCCTTCTAAAACCCAAATCCTTACCTCTAGTAAGTTGTATTTCTTAGATGTCAAATCTGTGACTAGAAGACAGCTGATCATAGGCTGTAGTTATATTAATTCTTAGTGCTGAGAATGTCTAATGGCATTGGACAAGGACAGCTGCAATATAACGTAATGTTTCTGTCTTCCATTTCATGCTGTACCTGACTTCTTTTCCCCCCACTCCCTGGAACATTGATTGATTCGGTAACGTAGAACGTTTGCTTTCCAGCTGGCAGATCTAATTGTAAATAAACAGCTGCTAGCTGCATTTAGACAGTGGATGATGTTGGCCGGTACAAGAGCAGGGTGTGTAGGGATGATTTAAGGCCTGTGCCGTAGAGTGTGTGGGCGGCTGGGGAGAGACCTAGGCAGAAGATGTTCAGGTACAAAGTCCATTATGGCTCAGTATAATCTCAGGGCTAAGTCTTAAAAATTTTAATTTAAAATAAGGGCCAGTACATGGATTGTAAGGGCCTACGATGGCCAAGACTATGGACTAAATATGAGAGAAATATAAATTCTCTATTATGCAGGAGTCTATTTTTTGTTTTTGAAAAATAGAATCAAATATTGGGCTAATTCTTGAGAATTATTTCTGTAAACAAGGTAGCTTTGAGAATTCTGAATGAAAGCAAGAAGATGAATGTGTGGAGGGGAATTTTTCCAAGTCTAGAGATGATGTGAGTGCAGTAACAGTAGCAACAAAAATGCCAGGACCTCAGTACATGTCACTGCCCTAGTTATATAAGGATTGGGTGGTTCAATCCTGACATCCTCAGTAATGGGACACTTAATACAGAACAGAATATTTCCGGAGTTGCTTGTGTTTGAGTCTGGACAACCATCTTGGTAAGCCTAGGGAAGAACACTGCAAGTATCAGCCATTATCATTGGTGTCAGCTAAAGCTGTGGCATCACACGTAACCTGAGCCAAAGATCTACATTCTTCTCTTTGCTCTTGGGAGAGGACCTCATGTGGACAGCAGCCTGTCCACCAGTGCTGGCATCAATCTGTGCCCCCAGCTGATCTTCCTGGAGTGGAGATGCCCCTTTCCATGGCTCAGCACAATTGTAAGCACCTCTCATTCTATCTGCCTTTATACCTGGGTGGGAAATAGGATCCTGGACGGCTCAAAGACAGATGTTGGCATGGTAGAGAAAATGTCCCTGGCTAGCTAAGGTGGGGGACTAAAGAGGGAGTGGATGAAGCCAGTCAAAATGTCCCTCTGACCAGGGACAGTGGTGAGATCATCCCTCATCCTCTACCTTCCCCATTAAAGAACTAAGGATGAGAATTTTGCTTTAAAGCAAGAAAAATCTCAGCCATATGACTGGACCAGCAGTGTGAATGAGTGACGAGACAGGCATGAGGCACCTGGTGGTATCAGAATGTTTACAGCATCTCCCAGTACCAATCTTCATCAGCACCCTGTCCACCTGGTATAAAGCCAGGTTCTGTGCTTGAATAGCACCAAAGCCATGGATAAAAGTGGAGGCAGGACCTGGAGGTTAGAAGGTGACCTGAGAGCACTTTGGTTTTCTCAGAGTTCTTGTTTTCTATCATAGACTGTCTTAGAAGCTGTGGCTTGTTCTTGCTTTGTATGTCCTGAATGCTTTATATTCTTTCTCTTCCATCTTCCCTCCATGGCCTTTTCTATTTTTTCTTACAAACAACATTCTTCACAAACTTTTCTCTATTTTATTTCATTGTTACCTGTCTCAGCAGAAGGTCTCCTCCTCTAGGTTGGAGTGCAGTGGTGTGGTCTCGTTTCACTGCAACCTCTACTTCTTGGGTTTAAGAGATTCTCCTGCCTCAGCCTCCTGAGTAGCTGGGATTACAGGCACACGCCACCATGACTAGCTAATTTTTGTATTTTTAGTAGAGATGGGGTTTCACTATATTGATCAGGCTGGTCTCGAACTCCTGACCTTGTGATCTGCTTGCCTCAGCCTCCCAAAGTACTGGGATTACAGGCGTGAGCCACCACACCTGGCCCCCTCCTTCTTTATGTCTGTTTTCCTGCTCACATGCCCTCTCAGCCATTCACAAAACACACTGGTATGTTGAAAGCCAAGCAACACTTTTCCCTGGAAATAACTGTTTTGTTCCCTAAAACATTTTATATTGGGAAAGGGAAAGGCAAGGGAGGTGATCGGTTATCTTATTTAATCATCACAACCCCTCAATGGGGCAGTTACCTTTGTCTGAAACCTGGATTGATTTCAATCTGCTGGGCTCCAAAGGCCACATTCACTCCACTACTGTGGGGAAGAGGTTCAGACGCTTTCTAGAGGCAGGTTATCTTGCTGCATCTAGTCTTCTTAGAGTAGCTGTATGCTAAGTATGGAGAAGGAAGACACTTTAAACTACAAACTGTGTGTCATATTCTAGCATATGAAAAGCTGCTGGCCTGGGCTGAATTCATATTCCTTTAACAGCCTGATCTATAATGACACGGACTCGAATCTATAATCTGAGTTTACTTAACAAGGTAATAAAATATTTAAAGTCAGTTCATTTAGAGGCTAGCAGGAATTAGATAGCAACTCACAGTATTTCCGACCCTATATTAGTATGCACAGCAGCACATTCTTAATTTTGGTTATAGCTGTTTTTCAGTTCTCATATCTCTGCATTTGCCATGGCTATTAGGACTGGAGGGAGCTTGTGGTGTCCTTGGAACTAAGGGAGAAGAGAAAATTATGACACTAAATAATACAAAATGGGTCTAGTCCTCATTGCAGTGGAAACCACTCAGAAAAGTTAATTAAACTCAGGAAATAGGCTGCAAGATAATTAAGTTTAGGCCTAATTTTACACTGCAGGCATTCTATATTGCTTTTGCAAGGGTCCAAAGGAACATGAGATAGAAAATCTCCAGGTTGGGGGCTTGATTCATAAAGGATCATTACCTGTAGTTCAATGGCCAGATAAAATGGTAATGTGTGGGTGGCAAATTATATATTGTAAAGTAAGTGATTATTATGCTATATATATAAGACAATCATAATTTCCTTTAATTATCAGTAGGACTGAAAATTATCAGTATATCTGGTATAGGAAATAATAAATGTATATACTTCAAATCAAGATATAAGACATTTTCTAAGTTAATAGTTGATAATTTCTTATTGAGCTTGGGTGTATGGTTTACTCTGATCTCTCTTAAATGATCTTTAATTGACAAATCATTGTATACAATTATGGGGTACAGTGTGATGTTATATATACAATACAGAATGATTAAGGCCAGTGTGGTGGCTCACACCTATAATCCCAGCACTTTGGGAAGTCAGGGTGGGCAGATCTTTTGAGGTCAGTTTTGAGACCAGCCTGACTAACATGGTGAAACCCTGTCCCTACTAAAAATACAGAAATTAGCCGGGTTTGGTGGGCATGCCTGTTATCTCAGCTACTCGGGAGGCTGAGGCAGGAGAATTGCTTGAGCCCAGGAGGCGGAGGTTGCAGTGAGCCGAGATTGTGTCACTGCACTCCAGCTAGGGTAACAGCATGAGACTCGGTCTCGAAAAAAAACACAAACAAAAAAACAATATATACACACACACACACACATATAGAATGATTAAATCAAGCTAATTAACATATCTATCATCTTGCTAATATATGATTTTTGATGGTAAGACATTTGAAATTCTTATCTGGAAATATACATTTTATTTCTCACTTTTATAGACTTGGGGTACAAGCACAATGGTTACATGGACATACTGCATAGTGGTGAAGTCTGGGCTTTGAGTGTACCCATCACCTGAACAGTGTACATTGGACCCTATCCAATAGATAGTATTTCATCCCTAACCACTCCCCAGCCTACTGGAGTCTCCAGTGTCTACTGTCTATTCTGTTGAAATATACATTTTAAATGTTCCCCATGCATGAAGACATTTAATCCTCACAACTCTATGCAGGAGGATTATTATTAACTGTTTTTTATAGAGGCTTAGAGAAGTTTAAGTAACTTATATAAGGATATTGACCTGGCAAGGAAAGAAACTGTTCCAAAAAACCCAATGTCTAGCTTGAAATTTCATGCGTGCGAGCAAGTTCTTTACTTGACGATAGTCATCCTGCAGGGCGACAAATCTCAAAATGACTGCTCCTGTCTGTCTGAAACTTTGTACCCTTCGACCAACATCTCCTCATTCCTTCCCTTGCTTTCCCCCCACCCATGCCACCTCTGGGGCTTGGGTATATTTTAAAATCCTAAGGAGGTGTCAGTCTTGATCACTGTCTTACTGCCTTGTGTGTGGTAGAATAAAAATCCTATCCCAAGTCAAAAGCAAATCCTCCATCTCTCCTTGGTCTGTCTCCATTAGAGGAGGGGGGTGTCTGCGTTCTGACTGAATTTACTTTTCACAGAGCTTTTATGGCTGCTACTCAGTACCATGTGGCCTTCAAGGGCAGAGACAATCACACTTTCAACTGTCTGGTGTTTACTCTGGTTTTCTTGTGCTTGATGTGAACTTGGCACTGCTTTTGGACAAAACAGAATTTATTTAAAATTGACCTAGGATTAGCCCTATTCCTTTAAACATTTTTTTTGCTTAAAAAATATTCTGTAGGATATGAAAAAACAAAAAAACAAAAACAAAAAAAACACACCAAAGTCTGTTTGCTACCCAAATGGATTAAGTTGATTTTATTTCTCTTTCTGGAAAGTTTTGAGTCAAGACAACTTGCCTTTGGTTAAATTTGATCAAGGGCCATTGTTAAGACTCAATGCTATACGATTTCCCATGCTGTCTGACATCAAAATGGACTCTTCAAGGTTCTTTCTTTCACTGTATGTAGTTTTACTGACATTTTGCAGGTGACTTGAAGTTTCCAAATGCATTCCCAGGTAAAGAAGTCACCAGGCCCAAACAAACATGAATGTAAGCAGGGATGTTAAATTGACATTTCCTATTGTCTTATAATTTTGGTCTAAAAACCCAATGCAGAGGACAGTTGGCACTGAGTGCCCCATGATCTACAGAGAGTGACAAGGAATAACCAGATTGCAGCCTCTCTAGTACCTATTAAGAAGGGGCTTTGACCCTGCTGCTCAGCCAGGCTTCGGAAGCGAACACTGAAGTTCACCGAAGGAGGGAATCTACTGGCATCATGAGCTGACTTAATGAGGAGTGTGTGGCATTTTTATCCCATCCATCCGAGCTGCTTACCTAGATAATGAGGGCAAAGAGAATGGCCACCACAGTTAGAAAACTGGTGAATCTCCTCATTCTTAAAAAAACATCTAGGATGGAATTAGAGAAGTTACTAAGGAGGAAATCCATGTTGTATCTTACCTGATCTGTTGGGTTGGATACCTTGACTGCCCTGCCATACACCTGCTGCCTCTTTCAGTGAGATCCCAAGTTAGGGGCCATACTGTCTTATCTAAGAGACCTCTTGGCATTCGTCCCTTAGAATGTCAACGTGAGCCAGGAAATGTGTCCTGTGGTGTGGCCCCGGACATCTAAAGAACCAAGAGTAATGTAATGATAGCTAATTACACTTAACACATTTATTGAGTAGTTGCTTTGTTAGGGACTTTTCTAAGTACTTAAATGTATGAATTCATTTAGTGCTCCAAAAAAAACTTGTGAGTTAGGTATTCTTCTTCTTTAATTGAGAAAACGGTGAGCACAAAAGTCTACACAGCTGGCAGACAACAGACTGAAGCAGTCTGTTGCTCTAGTGTCTAACCCTGACACCGTTCTACCTTTTGTTCTTCCAAAAGCATTCTGATTGCCTCAGTTACACACTCTGCGGCCAGAGAGGCCAGCCCCTGCCTGCTCAGTCACAGCATCCTGACCCTCAACTGACAGCTTACTAACTGCTTCCTATTGCTGATGAAGCAATGGCTTTATCTTAACCCCACATTTGACTCCAAGTGACCTTGTCCTTGCCCATCTTTGCTAGGACACTGAACTTCGTACCCATGTTTGGGTTAAAACCATCTGAAAGATATCAGGAAAGCCCCATGGATTCTGAGAACTATCACTAAGCACTTCTACTTGGAGGGTAGGTGGGGTGATGAGCCCAGGAAGATAGGTACTTTGAATCCCTGAAGTAGGAAAAACAGAGCCAGCAGTTTTCTTGACATAAGTATCTTTTCATCTGTTCAAGTCATGGAGAATGCCAGCTTCCAAGGAATGGTGGGTACAAATGCCAACAGAGAGCAGTACTAGCATTTGGATTACTTGCCATTAGAGTTATCTGGAGAGGTAATACAGAAGAGTAGCGAGTGCTGGAGGTAATCCCAGGGACTGCTAATATCAGGAAAGATCATGTAGGCAACTATTTTGCCCTTTAACCTCCACTGTGGTCTTTTAAAATGATTTTGAGAGACAAACTATGGATTGTTCTGATACAATGAAATTGTTCCTACCATTGTTAACACAGGACTTGAGACAGTTTTAATTCTGGAAAAGATATCCACTATGTCCTGTTAACATTTAGGAACTGATTTGGCCAATTTGAGATTTATTTCTAAATCTGTTTTTAAAAATCACCAGCAATTTGTAACTATGTGCACAGGTCGTCAGTACTGTAACATATTTTCACTGTCTTGCCCCTGGGATGTATAAATTTTCTTGTTCGTTGTCACATTGTTGATAAAAGAATTTTATATCATATGGAAACTTGAAGGCTTTGCTTTCAGCTATTACAGAGATGTTTCAATTAGGAAAAACAGAAGTTGTTTTCTGTTTTCTTTATTGAGCTTATGACTTTTAGCCTTGGTGATTGAATAAAAGAAGGCTCATGAACTCTCCCAGATAGTCAACTTCTTGAACATTTAACTATTTGGAGCCTATAGAGAAATACCTTCTGAGACTGAACCAAAACTAATATGGTTTAAACCTCTCCTATAACTACAAATTTCTGTGTCTTTTACAAAGGGAGTTTTATTGTTAGCAGTGGATTTGGAAAAGGGGGAACAAGTAGAGTTTCGCCTCTTGTTAAACAGAGGCATTGTCTTCCTCCTCCACAATGTGGCAAAGCAAGATTCAAATACTGTATAGAAAATAAGGCCTACCTTCATTGACGTGAAGTCCTTTCTGTCTTGTTTTATATATTCTTGTCGGTACCTGAAATGGTCTGTTACTGTGTTAACGGTGCTTGGGTAGGATAAGGGAAGAGGGGGCCAGTTCCCAAGCCCATGGCAGTGACCATCAGTAAGGGATGAAGGCTGAGAATACAGCATGCGTAGATGTATGGCAACAGTCCAGAAGTGGCTTTCTGGTGGCCTGATTTAGGAGCAGACGGGAAACAACCCTGTCCCCTGCTGTCCTAAATGCATTAGAAATATGGCCTTTGGAATAGGGAAAAGTGAGTGAGATCCTCTTATGATCTGAGGTGCATACACAAACCATTTGACTTGGCTTTAAAGAGAAGGGTGACCCCAAAATGCTGGAAGACTTGTGATAATCCAGGCAACTTAAGTTATGTGATAGGTTTGGATTTTAAAAGAAAACGTAGAGCTGGTTAACATCCATATCTCCTGATTACTGATCTAATACATCTCTGGTGGTTCCGTTTGAATGTCATCTGTGAAGTCTTATAAGATAATGTCACTGGAAAAATTACTTTTGTTATAATTATTTTGACTGTCAAGAGTGAATAGTCGCAACTGTGTCTCCTAACAAGTGGCATTATTAATGTTTAGTTGCCAGGTGGCAATGCATCTGACTTGGACCACCTGGGGTAATATTTCAGTTCCATCCCTTACTTCTGGGAGGACTTCAGCTGGTTCTTAGCCTTCCTGGGCCTCAGTGTCCTCATCTGTAAAATATATGAATTAAGTAATATGTAAAGCAGTAGAGTGTCTAGCACAGGGCAAGTTACTCTTAAGTATTAGCCAGTATCATTATTTTATACTATCTAATTTAATTAATACATTAACATAGGTCGAACATCAAAAGTTACAGAAGTATACATAGTGAAACGTCCACCACCCAGTCTGTCCCAGACATCTGGTTTTGCCTTCCACTGGCAATTATATTCTTTTGTCTCCTTTTAGTAATTTTATGTATATACAAGCAAATATAAATATATCCTCCTCCTTTTTAAACCAGTGGTAGCATACTATACGATGTTCTGCCCTTGCTGTTTAAAGTTTAATAATGTGTCTTTGAACTCATAAACATGCATGTAAAGAGGCTCTTATTTACTTTAATAGCTGCAACATACTAAATGGACCGGATTTACCATAATTTATTTTACTTGACTCTTATTAAAGGACATTTAGGTTGACATCAATTTCCACTATTATTTACTATACTGCAATAAATAACCCTGACCATATGTTATTTGCATATATCTGTAGGATAAATTTCTAGAAGTGGAATTGCTGGGTCAAAGAGTACATACATTTTTAATTTGGTAGATATTGCCAAATGGCCTTCCACAAAGGTTATATCCATTTACCATCTTAGCAGCAGTGAATGAAAGTGATATTTCCTCCTGCTAAGACAGTGCGTTCTCAAACTTTAGGGTGTTTGCCAATTTGATAAGTTAAAGATGGTATCTCTACCTAGTTTTAATTTATGTTACTCTTGTGAGGTTGAATGTTTTAAATGTTTACAAAGTATTTTTACTCACTTTTTCTGAGAACTATCTTTCCATATTCTTTGCTCATTTTTTATTGGATTGTTTTTATTTTTGTATTGTTGCATTTATTTTCTTTGAACAAAAGAAAATATATGATTATAAAAATGAAAACATGCATATGAGATTCAAAAGTTATAGAAGGGAATAAAAAGATAGATAAAATTTTGCTTTTCTCATCACCAGCTTGACCCTTTCCCTAAGATAACTATCCCTCGGAGTTTCTTTTATAGTAGAATATAAATTTTATGGGTGTGTAAAAGCATATATGTGTGTTTTCTTTACAAAGACGGGATATGCTTACACATATTGTTCAGTATTTTGCTTTTTTAATGGCTGCATATATTTCAGTAATCTCTTAACTGAGTACACTCACCTCAGGGGTCTTCAGATAATTCATTAGGGTGTGGGAAGAAAATACAGATCTTCCACTCATGTTTATTTTTTATCTCATTTAAAACTTTAAAAATTTGTATGTTTTATAACACACATTATATTAGTCAAGTGCATGGGCATATAATTAAAAATGTTTATATTTTCATACTAGGTTTCAGTTCAATTTTTTTTTAGCTGAAGGGGGGTATGCTATTAGAAATGTTTAGAGACAATTGCTAAACTTCAACCAGTCCTTTGTTAATGAATACTTAAGCTTTTCCTATAGTGACTAAAAAATGTGTGCAAATTCTTCGACATATTTTTTTCAAAAGGTGGAGCCTAATTTATTTTCCCTTGAGTATGGGCAAGACTTAGTGATTTGCTTCTAGAATATGGTAGAAATGTCAGTGTGTGACTTCTGAAAATAAGACAGTGTATTGTGGCATTGACCTTGGTACTTCTCTTTTTTGAGAACATCTCAAGTGTGTGATCTCTTTGGAATTATCTTAAACTAAATAGCGAGGTAGCTGTCTAGCTTACAATTTTTTTCCCTTTCAAATAAGTTATCTTAACACTATTTGTTGTCTAGTCTTTTCTAAAGGAAACATATCTTTTATCAGATAATAAATGAACAGTCATACCAGGGTCTTTTTAAAATTCTGTTTCATGGCTCCATCTTTCTCTTGTGGAAAGTCATATTTTATTTACTGTAGTTTTATATATTTATATTTGGCAAGGCTAATTCCTTGTCATTATACATAGTTTACATTATACATACATTATGCATTAGTCTTTTACCTGGCCATTTTTAAATCTTTAGTCTTCCAAGTAAACTTTAGGATGATATTCTCATGAAGTTGAAAAATGAAATAAAAAGTAGAAAGGCAGGAAGAAAAGAAAATTTCTCCAGGAATTTCGGTTATATTACATTGAAACTTAGATTAATTTCAGATTTCCTAATCCCTTAATCCCTCCTAAAAATAAGTCTTTCCTTGTAAGACTTTTTATGTGCCCTCACTCCCAATTAAGCCATTTTTAAAAATACAGTTCCTACCCATTTAACTTATACCTGTTTTTTCTTTCTGAAAGTCCTTTTTCCATTACATCTTACTTTTTCTATGTAGAAAACATGCTTTTTATGTGATTGATTTTGTAATCAGTTTAGTTTCATATGTTAATATGTAGCTTTTGAAAAGAATATCTGCATTTTCACATATACAATCATACCATCTACAAATACTGCCTTTAATAGTCTTCTAATATTAAACGTCTTTTATTCTTGATAAGAAACTTATTTGGTTATGGCATAATATTCTTTTAGTAAAACTCCTTGGGTCTATATGCTAATATTTTATTTAGCCTCTGTGCATATAAAGTCATAAAACAATTATAGTTTACTTTTATGCTGTATTAAGTTTTATATCATTCTTATGTTCATTTGAGAAGTTTTCTTTTGACATGGAAATGTATAAATAGATTAAAATTTTAAAGGTTTGAAAAAATTTAACATGAAAAACTACTGTTGGCTATTTCTTTTATAACTTCTTCCAGTTTTCCAATGTTTAAATTTCTATTTGTGTAATAAAATATATGCTTTAATCAGGATTTTGCCATTGCAAACTTATGTGATGAAACATCATATTTTTAATATTTACTACATAATAGAATTAAGTTGCCAGTAACTGCTGTATATCAAATCTAGGGAACTAGAAAAAAATAAGGAATTTGGGGATAGTGGCAGCAAGAGAGCTTTCTGACAGGTGCTATTTCCATTGATTGAAAATTAGAAACGATTAATAAATGGAAATGTTTTCTGTGCTTCTGAGAATGTAGAACAATGTTTATATTGAATAAAATAAAAAGGGATAGCCTTTCTTGATTTATAACTAAGGTAAAATAGGTTTTGGAATCAGATATTCAAAGGGGGAAATTACACTATTTTAAAAATAACTGGAGAATTTTATTTAAATTATGATCTTAATGTATGATTAAAGCATGTTATTACAGGTGTTACATTTTATAATGCAAACTCTATAAATTCTTTGAAGTCCTCACTTGAATATTCAACTTTCTAATATTTCTAATGTTTTTTCTTCTAATATGAATACAATGCTAAAAAACATGGGGCATTTAATACTTTCGTTGGGGGAAACTTTATACTCAATGGGCATAACAGTCTCAAATGGGCCAGTACTCTGACACATGGCTGGATACCAGTGAAAAATGTGGCTTGATCTTTGTAAGTGGTTTGTGTTATACCTGGTGTTCCCCCCTCGCCCAAATCATATATAAGTATATACTCACAAACCAAGACTTCTCCTTCTCTCTCTCATTGTCTTAAAAAATATCATTTCTGGTTTGGCGCAGTAGCTCACACCTGTAATCCCAATACTTTGGGAGGCTGAGGTGGGTGGATCCCGAGGTCAGGAGTTTGAGACCAGCCTGGCTAAGATGGTGAAACCCCGTCTCTACTAAAAATACAAAAATTAGCTGGGCGCAGTGGCGGGTGCCTGTAATCTCAGCTGTTTGGGAGGCTGAGGCAAGAGAATCGCTTGAACCTGGGAGGCAGAGGTTGCAGTGAGCCCAAGATTGTGCCAGTGGACTCTAGCCTGGGCGATAGAGCAAGACTCTGTCTTAAAAAAAAAAATCATTTCTGTGGAAAACAGTCTAATTTCTAAGTTTTTAAATGTATTTCATATTGTTGGACAACTAGAAAAACTGGAATCCTATTATAAAAGCCAAGAGAACAAAAATGGAAAACATCTTTTGTATTTTGTTCTGTTGTTTTGTTGTTTTTTGGATAGCTGTATTAACCCTAGGAAACCTTTATGATATTTTTGCAATCTGTGATATATAATAAACCATGTATATCTTCCTCTGTTTCAGAACCCTAAAGCCCATACTTTGAAATTTTGAGTAGGCAATTTCTGCAACAGCAGTGTATTTTTTTTTTTTCTGGACTAGTTATATTGAAAACTGGCTTTTCTCTGTCCTCAGAAGTATTGCTACCAAACTTCATGAATTAAATTTAACACTACAAGTCAAAATGTTTTACCACTTTCTGAAACCACAAAAATATTACTGGTGGAGCTACTTTGTGAATCAAGCCTTAGGCTCTGGATGTCACTGTGTTTCTTCACGTTGGAGATTTTTCATTTTCAATTAGACTGAAGCACAGACACAATAAAGGCAGAAGAGCTTATTCAAAAGTAAAAATGTAATTACAGCCTTTCTCTTCATGATATGGAAAACTCTTTTTTGCTGGGCTCTTCCACTGATGTTGTTTTACATAAGAAATTGGAAAGCCTCTTCATTTTTTGAATTTTTTTGTTTAGTTTAAAATATGTCCTCTATATTCTATAGGACATTAAAATAAATCTCTGTACTAATATTGTGTCCAACTTATCGAGACAATTGTGCAAAAGATTTGAGCTTTTATATCTATTTGTTTCACTGCTACCTCATTGTACAATGATAGGAAATTCATTTTATTCTCTGTATCTAAATCTGTTTTGTAGAGTAGAAAAATTTGTCCCAGGGAAGAATTTTTCACAAAGAATGATAATATTCATGACTTGAAACAGTTTTGAATTCTTCTTACATATGACAGTTCACATGTGGAAATAGTAGTTATACTTTAATGCAGTTCATCTTCAGGTACTCTGACCTTGAAATTAACAACTTTAGTAATTAAGAGGGATAGGATGTGAGAACAGTAGTGAAGATAGATTAAGCAACAGTGGTTTTACATTTTAAGTAGTAGGACAATAATAATCTTGACAGAATCTTGGCCTTGCTAATTGCAGAAGTTTGAACTTTCAGGTACGGTTTTCCTCTGTTTTCTGTGGCTGCAATCTAATATGCAAATTTATTATGCATATTATAAAGGGGATTTTACCAAAAATCAGTCTTATATTAAATAAGAAAACAATTTCAATGGACAATTTAAAGAGAAGAATTATTTTTCCTGCATCTTAGCAGAGATAAGTGGATCAAAACAATCAAGAGGAATAAAATTGTTAGCCAGGGATATACCTGGTGCCTAGGGTACCCTAGTATTCTTTATTATGAATATCAACAAATTACATTTTATTGAAAGTTATATAATTTTTTTCCATATATTGAAAATGAGATTTGGTATGTGGACTAAATATAATATTTTAACTTATTTCAGAACTGCCTTTCAATCATGACTGAAATTACACATAACTAGGTAGCATAGTGTTAACATCTATTTTCTTCCCACAGGAAAATGTATGGGAAGAGTTGGGAGGCTTCAATCCTTTAAACGTTTGATCAAAGAGCTTTTGAAATAATCTACTTCTTAATGTGTTATTTTGCTCAGCCAATGGGAGAGATTTATTTGAGGCAAAAAAATGCTTACCTATTAAGGTAAAATAGAGATAGTAGTTGGTGTTGGACTGAAAATAAGTGTGTTCAAGGTCCTTGAATGTACGAAAACCACTACCATTCCTATACACCAACAATAGCTAAGCTGAGTGCCAAATCAGGAAGGCAATCCCATTCACAATTTCCACAAATGATGAAATACCTAGGAATACAGCTAACCAGGTAGGTGAAAGATCTCTACAAAGAGAATTACAAAACACTGCTCAAAGAAAGCAGATGACACAAACAAATGGAAAAATATCCCACACTTATGGATAGGAAGAATCAATATTATTAAAATGGCCATATTTCCAAAAACAATTTACAGATTCAATGCTGTTCCTATCAAACCACCAACATTCTTCACAGAACTAGAAAAAAATATTTTAAAATTCACATGGAACCAAAAAAAGAGCCTGAATAGCCAAGGCAATCCTAAGCAAAAAGCAAAGCTGGAGCCATCATGTTACCCAACTTCAAACTATACTACGTGGCTACAGCAATCAAAACAGCATGGTACTTGGACAAAAATAGGCACATCAACCAATGGAATAGAATAGAGACCCAGAAACAAGGCCACATACCTAGGATCAACTGATCTTCGACAAAGCCGACAGAAGCAAGCAGTGGGGAAAAGACTCCTATTCCATAAATGGTGCTGGAATAACTGGCTAGCCATGTGCAGAAGATTGAAGCTGTTTCCTTTCCTTGTATCATAAACAAAAATCAGCTCAAGGTGGATAAAAAACTTAAATGTAAAACCCAAAACTATAAAAACCCTGGAAGATAACCTAGGCAATACCATCTTGGACATAGGAGTGGGCAAAGATTTCATGATAAAAACACCAAAAACAATCACAACAAAAGCAAAAATTAACAAATGAGATCTAGTTAAACTTATGAGCTTCTGCACATCAAAAACGTCAACAGAGTAAAGAGACAACCTACAGAATGGGAGAAAATATTTGCAAACTATGCATCTGACAAAGGTCTAATATTGAGTGTCTATAAGGAACATAAATTTACGAGAGAACTCCATTAAAAAGTGGGCAAAGGACACAGACACTTCTCCAAAGAAGACATACAGGTGTCCAAAAGCATATGAAAACTCAGTATTGCCGATCATTAGAGAGATGCAAATCAAAACCATGAGATACCATCTCTCACCAGTCACAATGACTATTAAAAAGTCAAAAAATAACAGATGCTGGCAAGGTTATGGAGAAAAGGGAACACTTACACGTTGTTGGGAGTGCAAATTAGTTCAACTATTGTGGAAAGCAGTGTGGCGATTCCTCAAAGAGCTAATTGCAGAGCTGCCATTCAACCCAGCCATCCCATTACTGGATGTATACCAGGAGGAACAGAAATCATTCCACCATAAAGACACATGCATGCGAATGTTCATTGCAGCACTATTCACTATAGCAAACACATGGAATCAACCTAAATGTCCATCAGTGACAGACTGGATAAAGAAAATGTGGCACATACACACCATTGAATACTATGCAACCATAAAGAATGAGATCACGTCTTTCGCGGGAACATGGATGGAGCTGGAGGCCATTATCCTCAGCAAACTAATGCAGGAACAGAAAACCAAATACCACATGTTCTCACTTATAAGTGGGATGAACTCCAGAACACAAAGAAGGGAACAACAGACACTGGAGTCTATTTGATGGTGAAGGAGGGAGAGGAGCAGAAAAAATAACTATCGGTTACTTGGCTTAATACTTGTGATGAAATAATCTGTACAACAAACCCTTGTGACTAGAGTTTTGTTTATATAACAAACATTCACATTTACTCCCAAACTTAAAAGTTAAAAAAAGAATAAAGGACAACCGAACTACTTTTACATGACTCTTTTGGTTTCCTCATGTTCTGAAACTTTTGTCTCATTCTTCAGCTTTTTAAAACTGTGTTGTTTGTTTAAAAAAATCAGTTAGTTCTAGCTCAGTGGACAGAACCACCTTGGATGTAAGTGCCTAAACCCCTTTCATCCCAGTCACATGGGATGGCTCTTCTGTTGGTTGCTTATTGTGGGATCTTTGTGCTGCTGGTGTGAGCATGGGCTATGTACTTTACATGGGATAGACCTGAGTTCTGTGTCCTGCAGGAGATTCTGCTTCTTCCCCAGCTACAACCGCAGGCGGATAGGCAGAACTATTTTTGGACAGAAGCTCCTATCTGGCTCCTAGCTTTAATTGCAGAACCTGATTTTGAGTCATGTGACTTGTATCAGCTTTGTTTGCTAGCAATTCCATCAGACCATTAAGGCCCTGGTCTCAACCTCCCATAGGTAGACCCAGATTCCTTTGAGCCATTAGACTTAAGTATTCATTATTACTGAGTTCCTTTCTATTTCTAATCCATGGAGATTTTTTTCTTGTCTTCAACTACACACGTATGTTTATACATCTATACCTATACATACTTTCTACATCTATACCTATATCCATTGTCTTTAATCTATCATTTTAAGTGCTAGCTGCTGGAAAGGGGAGGTTTTCACATGCTCTCAATATGCCATCTTGATCTGGGTACTCTCTTAATGCTGGCAAAATGCATTCTACTTTCCGGTAATGCAGTTTATTTGTTAGGTTTTTAAAAAGGCTTTTCCCCACCTTTATAATCAACTTCTTAGGAAGCATAGAATTTAAAATTTAGATAATAAAATCTACTTTTTTTTTTGTCGACAGTTGTGCATCGTATGTTCTTTTAGTGTTGAAATTTTGCTTGGCCGTAACTGCTAACTTTAGGTGACAATCAGCTGGCTGTTTTCAGGTTTGGTGCAAGGAATTGTAGTTGTCCCCAAGTTTCCTGACTGTGCATATGTACATCACAAAATATTCAATGGAAAGAGGTGAGCACTAGGACAAAGTATTTATATTTTTCATTAGAACTGTCTAATTCACTGGGAGTGGAACCGATTTACATTTTACCCATTACGTAAAGAGTTTCATGTGGAAACATGAGTTAATTGGCACCATATTTCTGATGTCTTCCAGCCGTGTTTAAGGGCCCTTTATAGATTATATCTCTAGCAGCTGCCCTGTGACCCATCTTTTAAATCTGGCTCTACTTTCTTCTTCTGGTTTTAAGTCATTTTGCTATGAAGTCTACAGTTTAATGAAAGGAAAATATCATCAGTAACTTTTGCCAAAATGGATGTGAGGAGTCTTTGAACTGTGGGACTGTCCTTGTAGTTTTTTCTGGGTATCAGTTGGTGTAATGCAATCTTTTCATTCTATTAATAATATGTTATGCATGGTCACATCCCTGGTTAATTAGACTTACAGTTTTCAATTAACAGCATTTTTTGATGATACATTATTATCCTTATTAGTGAGGTCATAGACTATATTATAACAAAGACTGAAGATTCTATTGTCAGCATAATCTTGAAAGAACCATTTAACTTTATGAAATGTATCTGGCGAAGGAACTTCATACTTTGTTTGATGTATAATTTGACCCCCATAAAGAACCGAAATGATTCTCTTTTCCCTCCCCTTCTTAGAATAAAATGTCCAGGACTTTAGATAGTGTGACTATTTCTCAGTTAAAATGAATAACATTGTCAGAAACTGAAATCTGAATTTTAAAATGTTGAGATGAGCAGATATTCAACAGTTTATCATGTCTTTGGATGAAATTTATAGTTTTGTGTGAAACTGATTAACTCCATTAGATTTTAATTATTGTTCCAAAATCAATACTCTTATGTGCATCAGGCAATTTCATTCACTTTTCTGAATATGAAGGTGGAGTTGGGCTGGACAGATTCTTTTAGTTGACATTAAAAATACTCTATTTGGGTTAGATTGTTTTAGTTTACTTTTTCCCCTACCATTTAAATACAAAAGTTATAGGAATCAGAAGATTTCTAAAGGCTTTTATCTGAACTGTCCAGCAGCTATTGGACAGTTGATTTTACCTGCTTTGGTTTTCCCAACTTGGGAGGCTGTAGATTGATCTGATGCTCTGAGAAATTTGCCAGTGGCCTCCATGGTGTGATGGGGAGGTAGAGTCAGGTGTGGGTACTTCTCTATAGTTCCACTTGCTTCTTCCCTATGCTAAATGCTGTGGTCAACTTCACAGTGAATAATCAGGTGAGTTGTTGCTTTTCCTAGTTATTACGTTCCCCCAAATGTAACCACAATTCTGACTTCTATGACCTCTATCTTTTTAAGTCCTGTGAAGTAGGTTGTATTATTATCTCTAGTTACAGTTGAGAAAACTCAGACTGAGATAGGTTAACGGTTTTGCTCCAAGTCGTATTGTCTGTAGGTGACAGATTATAGGTGCTAGAATCTCTGCCTTCTACAGCACGCTTTCTGTTCTTATCTTAATTCCCAGATAATAGGCTAGACAACAAAGCTACAAATTAAAACAGCCCTTAATCTCAAGGTGTTCCAACTTTGGCATGTTGTATCCCATTGTTTTCCAGAAAATGTTTTCAAAAACACCAAATCCAAAATATTCTCAAACTTCAGCAAAATCTGGAAAATAAATATGATAAAAAAAGATATGAACAAAATAGGAAGAAATATTCATCCAACTGAAAGTCTGGGGAAGGTAGATCCAGGGTTTGTTCTATTTATATTTTTATAGAATGATGATTCCTAGGTTGGTTTTGGGAGAAATGGGACCAATAATGCCTATTTTCCATGGGACCAATAATGCCTATTTTCCATGAGAATTCTCTTCTGTATAACTTTTTGCAATTCAGGGAAACCTGTGTTATTCTGAAATTTTTCAATTTTCTTAAGGCTAATGTGTTTTCCTGTTAATTTATGTGTCTTGGGAAAATGTTTTTAACTGAGAATGAGTCTCATTGCCTTTATTAGGTGAGTTGCATCTCGAAAAGCATAAACTGGGTTAGAAGAGACTCAGCCTTTGACCACAACAGACCTGCTCATGTGCATTGCTACAGAGTGACATTAGGGCTTGTCTGTGTCTGCCTGGGGACATAGTCTCCCTAGGTGTTTTTGGAAATAGGGAAGCATGCATTCGGTTGTCACTGATCCAGAAGGGGGTTATTATTGGCATTGAGATCCTCAGGGCCTAGAAGTGGAGGGTCTTGCATGCCATGTTAAAGAGTTTTGTATGTCACTCTACCAGCAGTGGTGAGTAATTGGAGGCTGAAATTATTTTGGGGAGAAGCTTAATCTGATGGTGATGGAGGGCAACTTTCAGAGGCAAAGGCCAGGGACTAGGCATCAGGTTAAAGGTGTATATAATAACTGACACAAGCAGAAACAGTTGTGTTTAGAATTTGGGAATGAAGAAGGACAGTTGGCTACATCTGCCTCAAATCCATCTTAAATATTGCTGAAGGAACAAAGTGATGTGTTTCATATTTTGGGATATGAAAGAATGGGGTGCTGAGGCAAAGGAGAAGCTTTCTTAACACCAGACGTAGCACAGAGGTAAGAAGTCTCTCCAATCCCACCCTGTCTACACTCATTCAGCTCTTGTTCTGACAGTCATGGAAACATTCTGTTCTTTCATCAGTGCCTAAAAGTGATCTGAACATTACTCAAATGCTTCCCTTCTTCAGGCCAAAGCAAATCAAATGTTGGTCCCCAATGCAAGAATAAAATGTATTAGTGACTTCTCTTCAGGCAGGAGTGTTAACAGAGCTACACAGAGAAGACAAACAGATGCTTCAAATGTCTCGGGAACTAATTTGGAGTTCAGCTATTTCAGGTCACAATATAAGAACAGTACGTTTTTTTTTAAACAGAACTTCTATGAATTCTGGCAATTTAGTGAACAATACATGTGATAGAAAAATCTGGAAATCTTAATTCCAAATTATTTCTCTCAGGGATTTAGATGGATTAGTGAATAATTCAGCTCAGTTTTAAGAGGAGGTCCAGTAATATTTTCTATATGAGATGTCTTCTAGATAGTAACTTCCCTCAGAATAGGAGAGAAGTCTTAATCATTTTGTGTATCTTAGTGTCTATCCTTGTACCTTGCTAATAGTAGGTGCTCAATAAGTATTTATTGATTGAATTGGTGAAGCTTGAGAAGTATATCCAGAAGCAATAGTTTTCACTGTGGAATACATTATTTATGAACTGACATGTTTCTTATTCAGCCAGACAAATCTCTTAATTACACAACGGTCTCTTGTTTTAATCTGTATTTTTTGTTATTTTAACAGGTGTGCTTCAGCAGGGCACAGCGTTTAGCAATTTAAATTAATTTAAATTACTACCATATTCAGTATTTGTGACAAAGGAAGTCTCATCATTCTGACAAGGGCTGGAGCTGACAGTGTTTTGAGTTTAAAATCCTTCTTAGAGAAGGATAATGTACACAAATGCCTTGCTTATATTCCAAAAGAGGGTGGGTAGAACTGGGACCATAGCCACATTCAACAGAAGCCGTCTATGTGCACATTGGTTGATTTCTAATTGTGAAGCTCTTTATTAGCTTAGTGATAATACACACAAGTATATCTGTATATAAGGTAAGATGTGTTTAGCACTACCTCTATAATTGCACAGGTGGTCAGTATCGCTTAATAATTTGGGGACATCTCTGGTTTCATCATTACTAGCTTACAGTATTGCTATCAATTCCTAACCATAACTTCAGTGTCCACAGTAGAAATTCTGAACACAAAATGAGCTTGGTGCATTACAAAAAGCATCACTTAGACTTTGTCAATTTTCCTTCCTTCTGATTAGAGGTTAACTCTTGAAGGTAGTGCCTGGATTATAAACAACCAGCATGTAGTTGTTGGGGGAGGCCCTCAGGTACTATTCTGAGCTTAGTGTCATGAGAGCTCAATGCATTTTGATGACACCTCTGATTTTTGTCCCAATGAGGTGGACTTGCTTCTGAGGTTTCCATTTCAACAGTGTCACTAAGTGCAGGGCTTTTATTACACTTTTGTTTGGATCTGTATAATTTTAGAATGTTGATTATTCAGATTCTGGGAAATGAATGTCTAAGAGCATGCACTTCCAAGTTTAAGTCTTGTTTCCACCAATGAGGAGCCTATGATACTGGGCAAGTTAAATAACCTCAGTAAGGCTTGGTTTCCTCACTTAAAAACATGAGAGTAATAATTAATGGTAGCTGCCTCATCAGGCTGCCTGAAGGTTAAAGGATAGATTAATATGCTTGAGCAGCACTTAGTTTAGGATCCGGCAGTTCATAATTGCTCAATAAATGTTAGCTATTATTATTTACTTCTAGTAAGTCTACCAGCTCTTATGCCATTTATCTCCAATGGCAGAGATGTCAAATACTTTTGTAGATAACATTTTCAAGAGATAAGTTACATAGGCTTGGCTCAACCTTAGAAATGCTGCATAAGACTTGACCGATCACTTTTTTCAGCTGAGAACTGGAAGGAGCAAAGCATGTGACAGAGGGGTAGGCTGGGTGTGCAATACTGTATTTCTCAACTAGAAGTTAAGCCCATTCTAATGTGAGCAGAAAAGGTAACCTGTGCATTGATGAAATGACATTGATTCAGCATAGATATGTGAACAGCTACTAAATGTAATCAGATCTTATGCAAATCAAATTCCTGAAGCAGCATTTTAATGACAACTCTCCTACAAGTAACACTTATTTCAGTATCCAATTTATGCTCATTAAATGAGCCCAAGTTTTTTTGCTATCTCTAAAGAAAAACTGTTAATAGGAACTCCAAGTCAGGTTTCATACATCTATACCTCTTTCTGTGATTCATATTTGAATAGCAAATATATAAATACCTTGTAAACCAAAAATAAAATTCTAAGGCCCTCCAACCATCTGAATGGCCCCTCTCCTCTCAGCCAAGGGCATTCCAAAGTTAACCTGAAAAAGTAGTTCAGGCCATGATGGGAAGGCAGGGGTTGGACATACTTCATTATACCCTCCTCCCTCTTGGAATCCAGGAAAGCTGACCACCACTAACATCAACACAAACCATCAGTCTTATAGGAAACATTTATAATCTATTCTCTCTGAAGCATGCTACCCGGAGGCTTCAGCTGCAGGATAAAACCTTGGTCTCTACAACCCCTTCTCTTAACCCAGACATTCCTTTCTGTTGATAATAACTCTTTCAACCAATTGCCAATCAGAAAATTTTTAAATCTATCTGTAATCTGGAAGCCCCCACTTCAAGTTGTCCCATCCACCCTTCCAGATGGAACCGATGTAAATCTCACATTCATTGACTGATGTATTATGTCTCCCTAAAATATATACGAGAAAGCTATACCCTGACCACCTTAGGCACACGTCATCAGGACCTCCTGAGGCTTTGTCACGTGCATTTCCTTAACCTGGACAAACTTTCTAAATTGACTGAGACTTGTCTCAGATACTTCTAGGTTCACAATATACATACACACACATATGTTAACCAGAGAGATTTTGAGTTTTAAATAAATGAGTTAAGTCCTCCTCCTTCAATTACATTGAAATAACAGTTCAAACTTATTTGTAAAGAGCAGTTTAGATGAGGTCAAGATGTTAGTGCCAATTTCTAAGCTAGACCCAGAATTTCATTGGGTGAAATTTTATATTAGAGGAAATATATTGAGAGAGTTTAAACCAAAAGTATTTTGATTTTGCTTTGGACATATAGTCATGAAATATTTTTCTTAGGTTTTTAGTGAGCTTCAAAATATTTAAGTTTTAATCTTCCAGTTTTATTTAGATACCAGAAACTGGTGTATACATGGGTATGTCTACATTTGAAGCAGGAAGTTGAGTTATTCACACCATGTCTCTTTTGTTCTCAACTCAAGCAAATTACTATTTACTAAAGGAAATTTGAGTTGAACTTTACATCAAGAGAAATCCTGTATTGTCTGCCTAGAAAGCCTCTTTGTGCAAACACACTCTTTCAGAGTTTGGAAACTCTGTATCATCTTTGGCCACTTGAAATAAAAGTGGTTATTTTGATCTAGAATTCTGAAATCTAAAGGTTGATGCTTTGAACACCTTTGTAATACACTTACAAACTACCTTGAAAAAAGTGAATTTTTCAGTGGGAATAGGTGAGTACTCTGATTCAGAAGCCATTATTCCTGCTGCAGAAATGCATTTTGGTAGGAGAGAAATGAGTGACACTTTCTATTTCTCATGTGAGATTAACCAAGAGTCAGTGTGAAAAATGGCTTCTGAGGAGTAGTTTCATGGGAAGCAGAACAACTTAGTTTCTGAATATTCAAGGTGATATGCTGCAAAGGAAAGAAAATTCTACCCTTTCAGAAGGAATGTGAGGTCACTCTCTTAACCTTGGTGAACTGTAGCATATCAGGGGCAAGGTAATAATTAAAAACTCATTTCACAGCAGCTGATTAAGCTTTGATTCATAATTATACTGTCTTTCAAAAGTCTCCTCTATCTGAGCGTTTTGAAAATATGGCTTCATTATTTGTTATATTTCCAAAGTTAGAGCTTCAAAGGTGCTGCAAAAACTTTCTCCATCATGTAGAAAATCATGAATAAAACATGCATATCCAGAATTTTAAATTAAAGTAATTAGAGCACATTCGAATCTCAAAAAAATTTAACATCCGTGTCAATGTGGAGAAAGATGCCTTTCATTAAATTACATCTCCTTCCTGTCCAACATTTTAAGCTGTCACTTTTAATGTAATGTTAGAAAAATAATTACTGTGATCAAGATAATTTTAAAAAGTAAATGTTAGAAAACTCAGACCACAACATTTTCAGAGTATCTCATTTCAATAATATTTTTTTCTATAAATTATTTGGAATTAGCTAAGCAATATCCTGCAATTTATAACAGCTTTCTGGGTCCAAGTTATGTAAGCAGAAGGCTGATGCTTAACCAAAGACCCAGATGGTTCTGGGATGGCCAGCAGATACGTACAATCTGCAGACTCTCACTTGTCTGCGAGATAAAAACATTTAAGGATTGGGTGTTGACATGCAGTACAGCTCAGAGGCAGCTCTCCATATGAAAGTGCAAAGCTAAATTTGAGACTTGAGAGTGTGCATTCAAAAGACTCCCAAATTTAGAGAAAATGCTAGCAAACCAAGGAAGATCAAGGTGTGTCCAGTGCAGAACCATGGAGATAGGTAGAGAGGTGGTCCTGTGGCACAAGTATCACACAGTCATACGTCTATTTTAATTAAGCATGTTCTATATACATACTATGTTAAATTTTTCTTTCCAAATCCCACTTCTTCTGGGAGGCTGGGAAACTCTCCAATGTCCTGGAGAGTTCCCTTGATGTTTTGTTGTAGTAGTTTCATGGGTTAGGATCATAGATTTAAGTCTTTAACCCATTTTGATTTGACTTTTGTATATGACAAGAGATAATGGTCTAGTTTCATTGTTCTTCCAGTTTTCTCAGCACCATTTATTATAGAAAATCTCTATGTCATTTTCTCATGGACTGAGACACTTCTATTGCTACTGTGGAAATCAAGGGAAACATAGTTAATTTTATCCACTAACATAATTTTGTCTGTTAGCATAAAAACAAACTGCCAGTGATGCTGGTCCAGGAGCAGTACCTTGAGGCTCACTGTGTTAGAGCAATGGTTTTTAATCCTGGCTGCACATTAGATTCACCTGGGCCTTACTTTGGACACTCTGGTTTAATTGGTGTGGGGCAGGGTCAGGTCAACTGCAGGTTTAAAATCTTCGCAGGTGATTCTAATGATCAGAGAGTGTTGAGAACTACTGAGCCTCAGTAATTGCATTATAATCCCACCTGCCGACCTTGAGGAAACATACTCATTAGACTAGAGGCTCCATGTCAGCTTGCTTCTGCATAAGGTGGGTATCCAGGATGCTTTTGGGGGATAATCTGTTTCTCCAGAACACCAAATGGCTGATGTTTGGACTTGTCTGGGTGTATGGAATTTTTGGCATTGGGTCTGCCAGTTTGTCTGGAGTAGTCAGGGTTTCTGGAGAAGTCAGACTTTCCCTTGATGTGTCTGAAGGGGTTGGGTGACCTGGTCAATCAGGGGATTGGGTAAAATGTTGTATCTCTCCAGCTTCTGACAACCCTGTAAAGACCTAGATAATGTTCTGCTTTGCCTGTTGGAAGCGAGAGCAGAGATATCTAGCTGGTATTCACTTTCCCATCAAAGTTCTCAAAACTTGGCTGTTAGGCTTCTGAGAGATGACAACCTAAGTTCAGGGAGAAGATGCCTCCAGTTAGAGGTTGAGAATAGGGCTAGATGCAGGGGAGACTTCATCCAGCTCACACCCTGTGGGGGCCTGTCCTGCAGACCCTGACCGAACGACGGATGAATAATGTACACTGACAGATAATCTTGCCTGTCAGTCCTGCTGAGGGTCCGGGCCCCCTCACAGACACCAAGGAAAGTGATGTAAAGAGTCAGCAGCCAGGCCTTGACTAGCTGTCCCTGCCGGCATTTATTCAGCACATATTAAATGACAAAGGCTTTGAGTCAACATACCTGTGGGTAATTAATCTTGTCGTGCCCCCACCCCCCCAAAGCCATCCTGCCCACGAATAATTAAAGTTAGTCTTAGGACCACATGAATAAACAAGCTATTTAGATAAACTACTCTACATTCCTTTGTATTTGTACCCTAAGCTCTCTGGCTCCTGAAAAGAGAATCTGGCTGCCTTCAGCCAAACTATCTGAAGTTATGCAAAACTCCCTGGGCCTTCCAAGAGGGTTTCTATTCCTATAATTTCTTCTGCCACTCTGACTGATCTTCCATAACACCCAGTCTGGACTTCCTACCCTTCCTCTCAGTAGCTCACTCTGACATGGCTCTGCCCAGGACTGGGTCATGTTAGGCTGTGTGGGTGGAGAAACTCCTGACTGCTAGACCACACCTCCCACCTCTGAGCTTTTGGTAGTGAGGAATGGACTGAGAATGTTCATGAGGGAGGATGGGGTCTGTGAATAGAGTGACAGAGCAAACTCTGGTTTGCTCAGACTCTCCTAGTTTTAGTACTGAAAGTCCTGCATCCAGGAGACCCCTCACCCTGAGCAAATCAGGTCTGTCAGTCACCTCATATGTAAGCCTAATTCTGAGTCCCTGGCCTGCACTTAGCATTTCTTTTTCTGTAAAGTGGGAATAGTAATATGGGTTACTATAATAACTAAATGACAATATGTAGAGACCTAACAGTTCCTGGTACAGTCATCACTTAATAAATGGTGTTTCTTTTTCATTTTTAATTTTTGCGGGTACATAGTAGGTATATATACTTATACTCATATCCATGAGATACTTTGATATAAGCATCATAGAAAATGGGGTATCCATTCCCTCAAGCATTTGTCCTATGTGTTATAAACAATCCAATTACACTTTTTTAATTATTTCAAAATGTATAATTAAATCATTATTGACTACAGTTGCCCTGTTGTGCTGTCGAATACTAGATCTTATTCTACCTATTTTTTTGTACCTGTTAACCATCCCCATCTCTCCCCCAATGCCCCATTACCCTTGCCAGCCTCCAATAACCATCCTTCTGCTCTCTATCTCCATGAGTTCAAATGTTTTGATTTTTAGCTCCCACAAACAAGTGAAAACATGCGAACTTTGTCTTTCTGTGCCTGACTTTTTTCACAATGACCTCCAGTTCCATCAGTATTGTTGCAAATGACTGTAACTCATTTTTTATGGCAGAATAGTACTCCATTGTGTATATGTACCACATTTTCTTTATCCATTTATCTGCTGATGGACACTTGGGTTGCTTCCAAATTTTGGATATTGTGAACAGTGCTGCAACAAACATGGGAGTGCAGACATCTTTTTGATATACTGATTTCCTTGCTTTTGGGTATATTCCCAGTAGTGGGATTGTTGGATCGTATGGTAACTCTATTTTTAGTATTTTTGGGGAAGCTCCAAACTGTTCTTCATAATGGTTTTACTAATTTACATCCCCACCAACAGTGTATAAGAGTCCCATTTCTCCACACCCTTGCCCAGTGTTTGTTATTGCCTGTCTTTTGGAAAAAAGCCAATTAGCTGGGGATGAGATGATATCTCATCGTAGTTTTGATTTGCATTTGTGTGATAATCAATGATGTTGAGCACATTTTCATATGCCCATTTGCCATTTGTATGTCTTTTGAGAAATGTCTATTCAAATCTTTTCCCACTTTTAAATTGGATTACTAGTTTTTTTTCCCTAAAGGATTCTTTGGGGTCCTTATGTATTCTGCTTATTAATCAGATGGGTAGTTGCATATATTTTCTCTCATCCTGTGGGTTGTCTCTTCACTTCATTGATTGTTGCCTTTGCTGTGCAGAAGCTTTTTAACTTGATGTGATCTCATTTGTCCATTTTGGCTTTGGTTGCCTGTGCTTGTAGGGCTTATTCAAGATATTTTTGCCCAGACCAGTGTCCTGGAGAGTTTCCTTGATGTTTTCCTCTAGTAGTTTCATAGGCTGAGATCATAGATTTAAGTCTTTACTCCATTTTGATTTCACTTTTGTATATGACAAGAGATAATGGTCTAGTTTCATTCTTCTTTCAGTTTTCCCAGCACCATTTGTTACAGAGACCATCTTTTTCCCAGTGTATGTTCTTGACACCTTCATCAAAAGTGAGTTCACTGTAGGTGTATGGATTTGTTTCTGGGTTCTCTATTCTGTTTGATTGGTCTGTGTGTCTGTTTTTATGCCAGTATCATGATGTTTTTGTTCCCCAAGCTCTGTAGTATGATTTGAAGTCAAATAATGTGATTCTTCCAGTTTTGTTCTTTTTGCTCAGGAAAATTTTGGCTCTTCTGGGTCTTTGTGGTTCCATATAAATTTTAAGATTGGTTTTTCTATGTCTGCAGAGAATGTCATTGGTATTTTGATAGAGATTGCATTGAATCTGTAGATTGCTTTGGGTAGTATGGACATTTTAACAATATTGATTCTTCCAATCCGTGAACATGGAATATTTTTTCATTTTTTTGTGTATTTCTTTTATATACATCAGTGTTTTATAGCTTTTATTGTAGATGTATTCCTCTTCTTTGGTTAAGCTAATTTCTAGGTATTTTTATTTGTGGCTGTTATAAATGGGTTTACTTTTAAATTTTTTTCACATGTTCACTGTTGGCATATAGAAATGCTACTGATTTTCACATGTTGGTTTTTGTATCCTGCAAACTTAATTTATCAGTTCTACTTTTTTTTTTTTTGTGGAATCTTTGGGTTTTTCTAAATATAAGATCATAACATCTGCAAACAGGAAAAATTTGACTTCTTCCTTTCTAACTTGGATGCACTTTATTTCTTTCTCTTGTCTGATTCCTCTAGCTAGGACTTCCAATGCTATATTGAATAATACTGGTGAAAGTGGGCATCCTTGACTTATTCCAGATCTTAGAGGAAAGGCTTTCAGTTTTTCCCCATTCAGTAGGATACTAGCTGTGGGTCTGTTGTATATGGATTTTATTATGTTGAGGTACATTCCTTCTATACCTAGTTTTGTGAAGGTTTTTACCATGAAGGGATATAGAATTTTATCAAATGCTTTTTAGCATCAGTGAAAATAATCATATGGTTTTTATCCTTCATTCTGTTGATATGATGTGTCAAGTTGATTGATTTTTTTCATATGTTGAACCATCCTTACATCCCTGGGATAAATGCCACTTAGTCATGATGAATGACTTTTCAATGTATTGTTGAATTTGGTTTGCTCATATTATGTTGAAGATTTTCACATCAATATTCATCAGAGATATTCACCTGTAATTTTCTTTTTCAGACGTGTCATTGCCTGGTTTCGGTATCCCAGTAAAACTGGCCTCATAGAATGACTGGAAGTATTCCCTCCTCTTCCCCTTCTATCTTTCAGAATAGTTTGAGTAGGATTGATACTAGTTCTTTAAATGTTTGGTAGAATGTAGCAGTAAAGCCATTGGGTTCTAGGCTTTTTACTGGTACAGCTTCAATCTCGTTAGTTGTTATTGGTTGGTTCAGGTTTTGGATTTCTTCATGGTTCAATCTTGGTAGATTGTATGTGTCTAGGAATTTGTTCATTTCTTCTATACTTTCCAATGTATTGGCATATAGTTGCTCATAGTAGCCATTAATGACCCTTTAAATTTCTATGGTGTCAATTGTAACATCACTGTTTTCATCTCTGATTTTGAGTTTTCTTTTTTTTTTTCTTAGTCTGGCTAAATGTTAATTCTGTTTTCAAAAAACCAATTTTTTGTTGATCTTTTGCACTGTTTTGTATTGCATTTATTTCTGCTCTGATCTTTATTTCCTTTCTTCTAATTTTGGTTTTGGTTTGCTCTTGCTTTTCTGGTTCTTCAAGATGCATCATCAGGTTATATATTTGAGGCTTTTCTTCTTGATATAGGCACTTATAGCTATAAGTTTCTCTCTTAGTACTGCTTTCTCTGTATCCCATAGGTTTTGATATATTGTGTTTCCATTATTTGTTTTGAGAAAATTTTCAATTTCTTTATTTCTTCATTGACCCACTGGTCATTTAGAAACATATTAATTTCCTTGTGCTTATATAATTTCCAAAATTCCTCTTGTTTTGATTTCTGGTTTTGGTGTGTGCTTTTTCAATATAGCAGGCATCTGAAACTATTTAAAGAATTCCTCAGTATTTCATATAGTAAGTCAGATAAGAACCCTAGGAAGCCTTGCTAAACATCAGAAGTTTAAGGTGGGAGAGCTCATATGAAGATCATAGATACTGAAACATTTGAGAGTGTCCTCAAAAATGAGTAGAATCATGACAAGCAAAGGATGTAGGGAGATGTTCCAGGTATAGGGAACAGCAAGACAAAATAGAGGTAAGGAAACAGGAATTGTGTTTAGGGATTATAGAACTCAGGTGATTTGGCTGGAACAAATAATTGTAGAAACAGATAAATTAAAAAGGGTAAACTGGGAGACTTTAAAGTCAAGGTGAACGGCTGGTTAATTTAGTACACAGTTTAGAAATGTTGAAGTATGAGTGTTTTAAAATGTTTTTTTAGCAATAAGAGAATACAATAAGCAGAAAAAATAGAACATGAACTAAGTCTGAAAGAATTTAAAAGCATTCCTTCAAGTAAATACTAATTCCAAGAACAGGTGCCAAGTGATTTTTCAAACATTTTCCAAGTAAATTTTTTTTGTTTTTTAAGTTCTGGGGTACATGTACAGGATGTGCAGGTTTGTTACATAGGTAAATGGGTGCCATGGTGGTTTGCTGCACAGATCAACCCATCACCTAGGTGTTAAGCCCAGCATGCATTAGCTATTTATCCTGGTGCTCTCCTTGCCCAACCCCACGACAGGCCCCAGTGTGTGTTGTTTCCCTCCCTGTGTCCATGTCTTCTCATTGTTCAGCTCCCACTTATGAGTGAGAACATACAATGTTTGGTTTCCTGTTCCTGTGTTAGTTAGCTGAGGATAATGGCTCCCAGCTCCATCCATGTGTCTGTAAAGGACATGATCTTGTTCCTTTTTATGGCTGCATAGTATTCCATGGTGTACATGTACTACATTTTTTTTATCCAGTCTATCATCGATGGATATTTGGGTTGATTCCATGTCTTTGCTATTGTGAATAGTGCTGTAATGAACATATGTATGTATGTATGTATCTTTATAATAGAATGATTTATATTCCCTTAGGTATATACCCAGTAATGGGATTGTTGGGTTGAATGGTATTCCTGGTTCTAGGTCTTTGAGGAATTGCCACACTTGTCTTCTACAATGGTTGAACTAATTTACATTCCTACCAACTATGTAAAAGCATTCCTATTTCTCCACAGCCTCACCAGCATCTGTTGGGTTTTGACTTTTTAGTAATAGCCATTCTGATTGGCATGAGATGGTGTCTCATTGTGGTTTCGATTTGTATTTCTCTAATGATCAGTGATATTGAGCTTTTTTTCATGTTTGTTGGCCACACGTAAGTCATCTTTGGAGAAGTGTCTGTTCATGTCCTTTGCCCACTTTTTAATGTCTTTTTTTTTTCTTGTAAATTTAAGTTATTTGTTGACTCTGGATGTTTGACCTTTGTCAGATAGATAGATTGTAAATTTTTTTTCCCATTCGGTAGGTTGTTGTTCACTCTGATAGTTTCTTTTGCTGTCCAGAAGCTCTTAGTTTAATAAGATCTTATTTGTTAATTTTTCCTTGTGTTGCAATGGCTTTTGATGTTTCTGTCATGAAATCCTTGTCTGTGCCTATGTCATGAATGATATAGCCTAGATTTTCTTCTATGATTTTTATAGTTTTGGGTTTTACATTTCAGTGTTTAATCCATCTTAATTTTTGTATAAGGTATAAGGAAGGGGTCCAGTTTCAATTTTCTGCATATGGCTAGCCAGTTCTCCCAGCACCATTTATTAAATAGGGAATCCTTTCCCCGTTGGTTGTTTTGTCAAGTTTGTTAAAGATCAGATGCTTGTAGGTGTGTGGTCTTGTTTAGGAGTTCTCTCTTCTGTTCCATTGATGTATGTGCCTGTTTTTGTGCCAGTACCATGCTGTTTTGGTTATTGTAGCCTTGCAGTATAGTTTGAAGTCAAGTAGTGTGATGCCTCCAGCTTTGTTTTTGCTTAGGGTTGTCTTGGCTATATGGGCTCTCTTTTGGTTCCACATTAATTTTAGAATAGTTTTTTCTAATTCTGTGAAGAATTTCAGTGGTAGTTTAATGGAAATAGCATTGAATCTATAAGTTACTTTGGGCAGTATGGCCATTTTCACAATATTGATTTTTCATATCCATGAGCAAGGAATGTTTTTCCATTTGTTTGTATCCATTTGTTTGTATCCTCTCTTATTTCCTTGAGCAGTAGTTTGTAGTTCTCCTTGAAAAGGTCCTTCACTTTCCTTGTTAGCTGTATTCCTAGGTATTTTATTCATTCATGATTTGGCTCTGTGCTTGTCTGTTGTTGGTGTACAGGAATGCTTGTGATTTTTGCATTGATTTTTATATCCCAAGACTTGGCTGAAGTTGCTTATCAGCTTAAGAAGCTTTCAGGCTGAGATGATTGGGTTTTCTAGATATAGGATCATGTTATCTACAAACAAGGACAATTTGACTTCCTCTCTTCCTATTTGAATACCCTTTATTTCTTTCTCTTGCTTGATTTCCCTGGCCAGAACTTCCAATACTATGTTGAATAGGAGTGGTGAGAGAGGGCATCCTTGTCTTCTGCTGGTTTTCAAGGGGAATGCTTCTAGCTTTTTCCCGTTCAGTGTGATGTTGTCTGTGAGTTTGTCATAAATGGCTTTTATTTTGAGATATGTTCCTTCAATACCTAGTTTATGGAGAGGTTTTAACATGAAGGGATGTTGAATTTTATTGAAGGCCTTTTCCGCATCTATTGAAGTAATCATGTGGTTTTTGTCATTAGTTCTGTTTATGTGATGAATTATGTTTATTGATTTGTGTTTGTTGAACCAGACTTGCATCCCAGGAATGAAGCTGACTTGATCGTGGTGGTTCCAAGTGATGTTCAAAGAGGAAAGAAATGCCCTTAAGAGGCTGTCTTATTAAATGTGTGCTTATAAATACTGGGAATCAAGGATACTCTATCCTTATCTCTTTAGTAATTCCTGGAAGGGCTCACTCTTCTAAAATAGCTATCAACTTATGAGGTATCAGTCAATCATTTGAATTGTAGTCATTGTATTCCAACAATGAGCCCAGAAGCACATCATGCACTGAAGATGGAAAATAATGCCTCAAAGGATATTTCCTGCCCTCAAGTAACCAGTCGACTGGGTTGGAGAGGAAAAACTGCTAAGATAGAAATTATAAAGTGGATCCCAATAGAACAGTATGTGGCCAGCCAAATGATTTACTTTTTAGATCCTACAAAACCAGGTACATTCTAGTCCTAAGACCTACTATTACTGTTTTCTTTATTGCTCTACCTCAGTTGTATACCTCACATTTGAATAGCACATAAAATGGAATGCAAATTTCTCCCACAGCAAATGCATCAGGCTGTCTTTATTTTGATCACAAATACATAAATCATAAGATGCCTCTTAAAGTTCATCTTAGGGAACAATATAACTCAGTCTATGAGCAGTTTAGAATGATTTACAATCATCTTCTCATTTAAAAACAGTCCTACTCTAAAGGAAGTAAAAAAAATAGCTTTTTTTGGGGGATTGAAGTAAGTTATTTGCTTTTTTTTTTTTTTTTAAAAAAACTGACTCAGGTGGTTAATTTGCACAGTTTTGAAAGCTGGCTTCTTGCCAATCAACTTAAAAAAATTAAACAGGGATATAAAATTCAGTTTATTTAAAACTAACCTAAGAAAGGAGGAAAATATACTTTTTGATATGATTGTTGCAATAACTTGGAATCAAAGTTTTTAGAACTTTTAAACTTTTTTTTTAAAAAGCTTTGTTTTAACTGTTTCTGATATGAAAGTAAAAGCATGTGTAAAATACTTTCAATTGAATATTGATACATTCCATAAGGTCCTCCAAAGTATATGACCCTGTCTCTGCCTTCTAAGACTTTCCAGTAAAGTGATGATTTATGTGAATGAAAATCAAATATCAGGCAGCCTATAGAAAGTGCTCACTAAATTGAATAGAAAGTAAATATATTAATGCGGGTCAGATACTATAGCTTATACCTAAAATCCCAGCACTTTTGGAGGCCAAAGTTAGGAGAATTGCTTGAGCCCTGAAGGTTGATACCAGCCTGGGCAACATAGTGAGAACCCATCTATACAAAAAATTAAAAAGTTAAAAAGTAGGTTGGTGTGGTGGTGCATGCCTCTAGTTCTATCTACTCAGGAGTCCGAGACAGGAAGGTTACTTGAGCCTAGGAGGTCAAGGCTGCAGTGAGTTACGATCTCGCCACTGTACTCAGCCTGGGCAACAGACTGAGACCCTGTCCCTTAAAGAAATGCTTGTGGCCAGGCGCGGTGGCTCAAGCCTGTAATCCCAGCACTTTGGGAAGCCAAGGCGGGCGGATCATGAGGTCAGGAGATCGAGACCATCCTGGCTAACACGGTGAAACCCCGTCTTTACTAAAAATACAAGAAAATTAGCCAGGCGTGGTGGTGGGCACCTGTAGTCCCAGCCACTTGGGAGGCTGAGGCAGGAGAATGGCGTGAACCCGGGAGGCGGAGCCTACAGTGAGCTGAGATTGTGCCACTGCACTCCAGCCTGGGCGACAGGGCGAGACTCCGTCTCAAAAAAAAAAAAAAAAAAAAAAAAGCAAGCTTGTTAGTGTGTGTGTTTAATTATTGAAATCAAATGAACAGTTTACATCTAATATATACCAGATATCAAAGTAGTTCCAATTGAGGCAGAGTGATGGCAACTAGCAGAGAGAAGTTTCTCTTTAGATATAATGGAAGTTTTTAAAAATTTTTATTTTTTGTAGAGATGGGGGTCTTGCTGTGTTGCCCAGGCTGGCCTCGAACTCCTGGCTTTAAACAATCTTCCCATCTTGACCTCCTAAAGTGCTGGGATTACAGATGTGAGTCACCTTCCCGCCCACTGAAATGTATTTTTATTGAAATGACTTAGATGCTTTTCAATTAGAAAAGTGTTTTACTGCAACAGAAGTAAACTCTACTTGAGTCCAATAACAGAGGGGGTTTGTTTCTCTTTCTGTTTTTGTGTTTAATCAGAGGTCCAGAGAGAGGCAGGCCAAGATTATTGCAGCTGCTTTGTGATGTCAACGTGCATCAAGGACTCAGGCATCTCTATTGCCACGGTTCCTCATAGTTGGAAGTTGGCTACTGTGCCTCTAGTCATCATATTTGAATACAAAAAAGGGGAAAAATGAAGGGCCCCAGAGCTGAAAGGACATGCCAGTCTGCCTCTTTCCAGATTGTTCCATAGTCTTGTCTAGTAGTGTGTGAGACCCACGGGCAGTGTGTTGGTGATGTATTGGCAATGTAACCAATATTTAACTTTCAAGACCAGCGTGCAGGGTGCTGAATGATAAAAATGAAGTGTCCTTGTTAGTAACTAGGGACAGCTAACTCTTTCCAGTTTTGGATAATGATGGGAGAAATATTTGGTAGTACTGCCCCTTCGGAACACTCATGTACTAGCTAGGTGTGCATGGCCCGTGCTTCAGCCTGAAACACAGAAAGTCACCAGTGTGGCTATCAGTGGAAAATTGTTAGTCAGATGTATATGAAACAGGTGCTAGAAATAGAAGTACATGCAGAGAATAGGCTGAATGCACTTGAATAGTGATTTTGTTGTTCATTGTATGGTGTAAATCTACAAATGTTAATTTGATAATGTTTTAAGAAATTTGGTGGCAAACTCTTTAGTTATCAATGAGCTCAAATGAATGGAAATACAGGCATAATAAACTTTAAATACTAAAACATTTTTAAAGAAACTTGATAATGAATGGATAACATTTGCTACCCACCGCCTGCAGGGGCCATAGTGGTACCATTGACCACATGAAAACTGGAAGACACCAATCTGCGGAAGCATCATCAGTAGCTACTCCAAAAGTTAGTAATTCTAAAAGACTGTGCCCAAAGGCAGCGATTTAATATGTGTAGCTGCAGAAGGTGTGTTTATGAAATATGATTTTTGTTTAGATCAAATGAGTCTTCTAAATTAATTTTTCTTATTTTCAATTCCAAGTTTTCTGGTGCACATACAAAAGTGAAGCAATAGGTATTACACTGCTGGCTCCAATAGTAGAAGAACTTTGCAAACAGAAGAAAAAATAATTTTTTATTTTTTTGAACAGAACATTTTTTTTTTGTTCTGGCAATCTGAATGTAAATGTTAGTGGTGCACAGATTTGAAGTAACATAATCTTACAAAATTAGAAAACCCGTGAAGCTGGAATATACTTGGAATTGGTTGTGGTACGCATAATGCATAATGGTATCCAAAGAAGCTATACAGTTATATATATACACAACAGAAATGTGTAGTTGTGTACAACAGCAGGCTTGTTCATTCTTCTTCATAGCACCACAATTTGCAATAGACAAAGAGTGGAAACTACCCAAATACTCAATGATGGTAGAATGAACAAATGAATTTGAGTATATTCATCCAGTGGAATCACAAACAATAGGAATGAACAACCAATGACATGCAACAGTGTGAGGAATCTTCTAGACAAGCTGACACATAGTCAATTTGATTCCACCTACTAGAAAGTTTAAAAACAGACAAAGCTGGTCTAAGGTGTCAAAACAAACTTGTCCAACCCAAGGGCCATGGGTCGCATGTGGCCCAGGATGGCTTTGAATGCGGCCCAACACAAATTGGTAAGCTTTCTTAAACATTATGAGATTTTTTGCGTTTTTAAAGGCACATCAGCTATGATTAGTGTTAATGTATTTTATGTGTGGTGGAAGACACATTCTTCTTCCAATGAGGCCAAGGGAAGCCAAAAGTTTGGACACCCCTGTAAAAGTTAGGTTAGTAGTTACTCTGGGTGCAGAGCAGAGGGGAGGAAAGAATGTAATCACTGTAAAAAGTGTAAGGGATCATTTCCAGGGTGCTGGTAATATTCTGTTTCTAGATCTGGTGCTGGCTACAAGTGTGTTTAGTTTGTGACAATTCATCAAACTGTATATTTATGGCATGTGCGCTTTGCATACTTCTATATTTCAACAATGGTATACTTTAAAAAGAATAGTGACTGGAAAACAGTCTGCAAGCAAATACCAATAAGGAAAGATCTTAATGAGCAGATGTATGAAGAGAGCAACCTCCAGTTTGTAAAGTTGGTCAAATATCTCCTTCAAGATTAGAGCGACGCTCTGGTAGAGGACTATGCTTTATATTGTGTGGCAATATTATTTTTTAATTGCAGGAAAACTCAATGTTGAATTTCTTGAATAATTTCCTAAACAAAATAATGAACTTAAGAAAATCTGTAGTTGTCACACAGAAAGTAAGAAGAACAAATTTTTCCTTGTGAGAAAGCCTGAGATACAGAAAACAAAACAAAACAAAATAAAATATTAGACTATCAGTGAGCACTTTCTTTACTGCCCATGATCAACCAGCTTGTGGAAATGTTTGAGCTTTTGAACATAAGCTTTTAAATCAACATAAGTGTCTTACACTGGCATTAAACGTTTTAAAAACAAATACTCCAAGCCTTGTTGTATATTCAAAATTAAGAATCTTTAAGCAAAAAATTCAACAAAACACTACAACTCCAGCTTTTTAGCAAATTTCAATTACTGAAAACAACATGTACCAACAGGAGCACATTGAAAGTTCTCCCTAAAAAGCAAGAGAATAAACAACTTGGTCAAAGCTAAATGGTTTCAAATTTTAATTTAAAAATTTTATACTAGTGATTGGCAATATCTCAATTTCTTGAATCTTTTCATAGAGTTTCATTTTCAATAGAATAAACTTATATATTGGATTAGAATGAAATTGAGAAGCCCCAAGGTTTTACAACATTAAAATTTAGTGTAACATTTAAAATAATCAGAGACAGAGATATTTGACAAGTTGTGCTTGTACCCTGTAGGGAAGTAAAAAGATAATACCTGTGAAATATATTTGGGCTAAAATGTTTATGCAATGAATTTCAATAAGAAAAAATTGGAGTTTAGACTATTCTCTATTTAGCAGTTTGCATTCAGCTTACCTTAGCCTCTTTAGAGACAATATACTCTCAATTAAAAACTACGGTGTGTATGAGTCATTTGAAGATGTCAACAAGTTCAAATTTATTAGCTATAAATGCAAATTTAATAAATATTACAGATAATTTAATGAAAATCCAAAACAACTCAATTAAAAGAAAATACATTTTTAGAAAAAAAGTAACATGGTATTATGGACAGATGTGGCCAGTAAGTTGAATACTTTTATTTTTAAAAAAGTTTTAATAACATTATTCTGTAGGACCATTAACATAATAAAACCATTTTGTTGCCCAATAAAGACCTATTAAAATTATATAATTATTTTTAGTACCCCTTTGACTATCAACAGTATCCTAGTCTTGACATTCATTGCATTGTCAACTTAGTTATATTTTTTCCCTAAAAAGCTTAGTGTTGAGAATATGAGTTTCTCATCCAGTAGTATCTTATCTACTCTGCAGTGATTATGGGTAATGAGTTACAATCATATACCATTCCATTATATTGCTTCTTTAATTAAGACTTTTTTTTCAGATAAGCAAGAAATACGAGGTTCTGTATTTTATTATCTTGAAGTTCAAATTTCTGATTCATAATTCTAACACCTGTGCTATCTTAGGGTTAAATTGATTATTTTCTCTCTTCACGATGGGCTCTATTTTCTTATTTTCATCATGTATATAAGGAGAGACTCAGTAAATAATGCTTACTTTCTGGAATGAGCACACCTTCTATCGTGCCATTGACGTGGTGGGTTGGGCCAGTCCAGGGTCTTGTGAGCTGGGTTGGGTTTGAGCTTGGTTGTTGCTTTAGTTACAATTGGCACTCCATGGGCTTCAGTCAGCCAGAAGTCGAATGCAGTTTCCTATTCAGTGTGAGGTGTGGAGTCCCAGAACATTTTTTCCAGTGGTCCTGCCCTCAGACTTCAACAGGCCCAGTGTGCCTGTACCTCAGTGGTAAGTCTCTCTCAGTATTCCTGTCCCTTCCCTAGTGGTAGATTGCTGTTGTCAAGTACTCTTGCAGAATTCTGAGTGCTGGAGGTTTCCTCTCATTCGCCTGTTTTACCTTCAGACTGAGGCAAGCCCAGCATATCAGTGCTACAGAGGAGATCTCTCTTCATTAACTTGCTTTACTCTAATCTTTTTCATGACCCCCCTTGGGTTAGGTCTGTGAAAGAGTTGTTGGATGGGTGTAGGCTCTGTTGAGGGCAGAGTTTGGGAAGATGGGGAAGGGGGTTGGGAAAATAGGGGAATGTGGTTCCCAGGGATCTTAAACTATTATATCAACCCTTATTCAGCTTTCAAACCTTTGTCAAAATTTAGGTTTTTTTTTTTCTTACTTGCATCTATGGCATCTTCCTCTTCCTCCTGCTGCTCTACCAGAGGTGAAATAGTTAATGGGTCTTGTCTCTTCTTTGAAGAGCTTGTCACTCTTCGAGTTAGTTAATTAGTTTACCTAGTGACCTTAGTTCTGTAATAGGCTCGAACCATATTATTTGTATTTATTCAGCCTGTTCTCATTGTTGGGGGTGACAGTAACATTCACTTGTGACTTTCTACGTTAAGTGTTGGCAAACTTTGGTCTATGGGCCAAATCTTGCCCATCACCTGTTTCTGTAAATAGTTTTATTGGAACACAGCCATACCCATTTTGTAGCCTTATTTTATTTATTTATTTATTATTATTATTATACTTTAAGTTTTAGGGTACATGTGCACAACGTGCAGGTTTGTTACATATGTATACATGTGCCATGTTGGTGTGCCGCACCCATTAACTTGTCATTTAGCATTAGGTATATCTCCTAATGCTATCCCTCCCCACTTCCCCCACCCCACAACAGTCCCCGGTGTGTGATGTTCCCCTTCCTGTGTCCATGTGTTCTCATTGCTCAGTTCCCACCTATGAGTGAGAACATGTGGTGTTTGGTTTTTTGGCCTTGCGATAGTTTGCTGAGAATGATGGTTTCCAGCTTCATCCATGTCCCTACAAAGGACATGAACTCATCCTTTTTTATGGCTGCATAGTATTCCATGGTGTATATGTGCCACATTTTCTTAATCCAGTCTATCATTGTTGGACATTTGGCTTGGTTCCAAGTCTTTGCTATTGTGAATAGTGCCACAATAAACATACGTGTGCATGTGTCTTTATAGCAGCATGATTTATAATCCTTTGGGTATATACCCAGTAATGGGATGGCTGGGTCAAATGGTATTTCTAGTTATAGATCCTTGAGGAATCGCCACACTGTCTTCCACAATGGTTGAACTAGTTTACAGTCCCACCAACAGTGTAAAAGTGTTCCTATTTCTCCACATCCTCTCCAGCACCTGTTGTTTCCTGACATTTTAATGATTGCCATTCTAACTGGTGTGAGCTGATATCTCACTGTTGCTTTAATTTGCATTTCTCTGACCATTGATGATGAGCATTTTTTCCTGTGTCTTTTGGCTGCATAAATGTCTTCTTTTGAAAAGTGTTCATATCCTTTGCCCACTTTTTGATGGTTTTTTTTTTTTTTCTTGTAAATTTGTTTGAGTCCTTGTAGATTCTGGATATTAGCCCTTTGTCAGATTGGTAGATTGTAAAAATTTTCTCCCATTTTGTAGGTTGCCTGTTCACTCTGATGACAGTTTCTTTTGCTGTGCAGGAGCTCTTTAGTTTAATTAGATCCCATTTGTCTATTTTGGCTTTTGTTGCCATTGCCTTTGGTGTTTTAGTCATGAAGTCCTTGCCCATGCCTATGTCCTGAATGGCATCGCCTAGGTTTTCTTCTAGGGTTTTTATGATTTTATGTCTAACATTTAAGTCTTTAATCCATCTTGAGTTAATTTTTGTATAAGGTGTAAGGAAGGGATCCAGTTTCAGCTTTCTACATATGGCTAGCCAGTTTTCCCAGCACCATTTATCAAATAGGGAATCCTTTCCCTATTTCTCGTTTTTGTCAGGTTTGCCAAAGATCAGATGGTTTTAGATGTGTGCTGTTATTTCTGAGGCCTCTGTTCTGCTCCATTGGTCTATATATCTGTTTTGGTGCCAATACCAAACTGTTATGGTTACTGTAGACTTGTAGTATAGTTTGAAGTCAGGTAGCATGATGCCTCTAGCTTTGTTCTTTTTGCTTAGGATTGTCTTGGCAATGCGGGCTTTTTTTGGGTTCCATATGAGCTTTAAAATAGTTTTCTCCAATTCTGTGAAGAAAGTCATTGGTAGCTTGATGGGGATGGCATTGAATCTATAAATTACCTTGGGCAGTATGGCCATTTTCACAATATTGATTATTCCTATCCATGAGCATGGAATGTTCTTCTGTTTGTGTCCTCCTCTATTTTGTTGAACAGTGGTTTGTAGTTCTCCTTGAAGAGGTCCTTCACATCCCTTGTAAGCTGGATTTCTAGGTATTTTATTCTCTTTGAAGCAATTGTGAATGGGAGTTCACTCATGATTTGGCTCTCTTTCTGTTATTGGTGTATAGGAATGCTTGTGATTTTTGTACATTGATTTTGTATCCTGAGACTGCTGGAGTTGCTTATCAGCTTAAGGAGATTTGGGGCTGAGACGATGGGGTTTTCTAAATGCACAGTCATGTCATCTGCAAACAGGGACAATTCGACTTCCTCTTCCTAATTGAATACGCTTTATTTCTTTCTCTTGCCTGATTGCCCTGGCCAGAACTTCCAACACTATGTTGAAAAGAAGTGGTGAGAGAGGGCATCCCTATCTTGTGCCAGTTTTCCAAGGGAATGCTTCTAGTTTTTGCCCATTCAGTATGATATTGGTGGTGGGTTTGTCATGAATAGCTCTTATTATTTTGAGATATGTTCCATCAATACCTAGTTTATTGAGCGTTTTTAGCAGGAAGGGCTGTTGAATTTTGTTGAGGGCCTTTTCTGCATCTATTGAGATAATCATGTGGTTTTTGTCATTGGTTCTGTTTATGTGATGGATTACGTTTATTGATTTGCATATGTTGAACCAGCCTTGCATCCCAGGGATGAAGCCCACTTAATCATGGTGGATAAGCTTTTTGATGTGCTGCTGGATTCAGTTTGCCAGTATTCTATTGAGGATTTTTGCATCGAAGTTCATCAGGGATATTGGTCTAAAATTCTCTTTTTTTGTTGTGTCTCTGCCAGGCTTTGGTATCAGGATGATGCTGGCCTCACAAAATGAGTAAGGTAGGATTCCCTCTTTTTCTGTTGATTGGAACTGTTTCAGAAGGAATGGTACCAGCTCCTCTTGATACCTCTGGTAGAATTCGGCTGTGAATCCATCTGGTCCTGGACTTTCTTTGGTCGGTAGGTTATTAATTATTGCCTCAATTTCAGAGCCTCTTATTGGTCTATTCAGAGATTCAGCTTCTTCCTGGTTTAGTCTTGGGAGGGTGTATGTGTCCAGGAATTTATCCATTTCTTCTAGATTTTCTACTTCATTTGCATAGAGATGTTTGTAGTATTCTCTGATGGTAGTTGTATTTCTGTGGGATTGGTGGTGATATCCCCTTCATTAGTTTTTATTGGGTCTATTTGATTTTTCTCTCCTCTTCATTAGTCTTGCTAGTGGTCTATCAATTTTGTTGATCTTTTCGAAAAACCACCTCCTGGATTCATTGATTTTTTTTTTTTTTTGAAGAGTTTTTTGTTTATCTATCTCCTTCAGTTCTGCTCTGATCTTAGTTATTTCTTGCCTTCTGCTAGCTTTTGAATGTGTTCGCTCTCGCTTCTCTAGTTCTTTTAATTGTGATATTAGGGTGTCAATTTTAGATCTTTCCTGCTTTCTCTTGTGGGCATTTAGTGCTATACATTTCCCTCTACCCACTATTTTAAATGTGTCCCAGAGATTCTGGTGTGTTGTCTTTGTTCTCATTGGTTTCAAAGAACATCTTTATTTCTGCCTTCATTTCGTTATGCACCCAGTAGTCATTCAGGAGCAGGTTGTTCAGTTTCCATGTAGTTGTGCGGTTTTGAGTGAGTTTCTTAATCCTGAGTTCTAATTTGATTGCACTGTGGTCTGAGAGACAGTTTGTTGTGATTTCTGTTCTTTTACATCTGCTGAGGAGTGCTTTACTTCCCACTATGTGGTCAATTTTGGAATAAGTGGGATATGGTGCTGAAAGGAATGTATATTCTGTTGATTTGGGGTGGAGAGTTCTGTAGATGTCTATTAGGTCCGCTTGGTGCAGAGCTGAGTTCAAATCCTGGATATCCTTCTTAACTTTCTGTCTCAATCTGTCTAATATTGACAGTGGGGTGTTAAAATCTGCCATTATTGTGTGGGAGTCTAAGTCTCTTTGTAGGTCTCTAAGGACTTGCTTTATGAATCTGGGTGCTCCTATATTGGGTGCATATATATTTAGGATAGTTAGCTCTTCTTGTTGAATTGATCCCTTTACCATTATGTAATGGCCTTCTTTGTCTCTTTTGATCTTTGTTGGTTTAAAGTCTGTTTTATCAGAGACTGGGATTGCAAGCCCTGGTTTTTTTTTGCTTTCCATTTGCTTGGTAGATCTTCCTCCATGCCTTTATTTTGAGCTTCTGTGTGTATCTGCATGTGAGATGTTTCTCCTGAATACAGCACACTGATGGTTCTTGACTCTTGATCCAATTTGCCAGTCTGTGTCTTTTAATTGGGGCATTTAGCCCATTTACATTTAAGGTTAATATTGTTATGTGTTAATTTGATCCCATCATTATGATGTTAGCTGGTTATTTTGCCCATTGATTGATGCAGTTTCTTCCTAGCATCGATGGTCTCTACAATTTGGCATGTTTTTGCAGTGGCTGGTACCAGTTCTTCCTTTCCATGTTTAGTGCTTCCTTCAGGAGCTCTTGTAAGGCAGGCCTGGTGGTGACAAAATCTCTCAAAATTTGCTTGTCTGTAAAGTATTTTATTTCTCCTTCACTTATGAAGCTTAGTTTGACGGGATATGAAATTCTGGCTTGAAAATTCTTTTCTTTAAGAATGTTGAATATTGGCCCCCACTCTCTTCTGGCTTGTAGAGTTTCTGCTGAGATATCTGCTGTTAGTCTGATGGGCTTCCCTTTGTGGGTAACCCGACTTTTTCTCTCTGGCTGCCCTTAACATTTTTTCCTTCATTTCAACCTTGGTGAATCTTACAATTATTTGTCTTGGGGTTGCTCTTCTTGAGGAGTATCTTTGTGGTGTTCTCTGTATTTCCTGAATTTGGATGTTGGCCTGCCTTTCTAGGTTGGGGAAGTTTTCCTGGACAGTATCCTGCAGAGTGTTTTCCAACTTGGTTCCATTCTCCCCGTCACTTTCAGGTACACCAGACAGACGTAGGTTTGGTCTTTTCACATAGTCCCATATTTCTTGGAGGCTTTGTTCATTTCTTTTTACTCTTTTTTTCTCTAAACTGGCATAGAGGTATCTTTTTTTTGGTTTTTGTATTTAAAAATATTCTGAATTTCTTATTTTTTAAATGAGATTTTTTTTATCATAAATACCTGCATTGGTAGCTTGACTTGAAAATTAGGTAGATTTGATAACACTGGATCCACACTCTTGCATGGCATCCATCTCCTGTAACTGAGTACTGGCTGTTACAGACTGTATTAGGCCCTCTTTACCAAGATTGGTAGCCTGCTTAGACCTTGTAGAAATTTGAGTTTGTAATTTCTGGTGCATAAGGAATATATATTCATTATGTAACACAAAAGGCTTTTTGATTCAGAAATTTATATTCTGGTCTAATTGATTCTTTCTAAACTTCAAGGGCGGTTAAGATATAGGCTGTTGATTGGGCATGCCTATAAAAGTAAGCTAGTCGCAACTCGTCTCTAAGCATTTTAGCTTGAAACACTCTCCAAATTATTGATAAACTATCTTGTGTTTAAAGACCATTAAAGAAGGGACATTTTTCTTTTTGAAGATGGACATTTTCTGCTATTAGAGAAATGGGAAATCAGTGGAGAGTAACTATTTCTAAGCTATTAAAAGGAAATTAGGTTCTTGTAGTTTTTGAGGTGTATGTATATTTAAGGGTTAAAAATGAATTAAAGTACCTTAGCTCTTCCATTCTCTACATTCCTAATGTGCTCTAAGATGAATCACTACCACTATCCTTTTAGAGTTGACATGATTAATTCCTTTCTATTACTTAAGAGTAAGCATAATGAAGCATAATGAGTCTATTCTTTTTTAAAATAACAACTTTATTGAGATATAATTCACATACTATAAAATGCACCCTTTAAATTTTGAAATTACAATTCAATAATTCTTGGTATACTTAAAGAATTGTGTAGTCATCACCACTATCTGGTTTTAGAATATTTCATGCCCCCAAAACAAACCCAATAACTCCCCATTCCCTCCTGCCCCTAGCTCCAGGAAACAACTAACCTCCTTTCTATTTTACCTCTTGTATCTGACTTCTTTCGCTCAGCGTGCTTTCAAGGTTCATCTATGCTGTAGCATGTATCAGTACTTCATTCCTTTTATGGTCTAATGACGTTCCACTGTATATACCACATTTCATCTACATATTCATCAGTTGGTGGACATTTGGGTTATTTCCACTTTTTTGGCAGTTACGAATTATACTACAGTGAACACTTATGTACAAGTTACGTGGACATATGTTTTCACTTCTCTTAGGAGAATTGCTGGGTCACGGTTACTCTATGCTTAACGTTTTAAGGAACTGCCAAACTGCTTTCCAGAGTGGCTGTACCATTTTGGAATCTCACTAGTAATGAATGAGGGAGGGCTCCAATTTGTCCACAGGCTCGCCTAAACTTGTTATTGTTTGTCTTTTGATTACAGCTATTTTTGGGAGTATGAAGTGATACCTCTTTATGGTTCTGACTATTATTTCCCCCATTGAATTACTTTGGTTATCTTGTTAAAAATCAATTGACTATAAGGGTAAGGGAATATAACTGAACTCTTATTATATTCTATCTCTATGTCTATCCTTATGCCAATACCAAACTGTCTTGATTACAGTAGCTTTGTTGTACTGTACTATACTGTACTGTAGCTTTGGAATCTGAAAGCGTGAGTCTTTTTATCTTCTTTTTTAAGGTTGTTTTGGCTATTCTGAGTCCTTTCCATTTCCATATTAATTTTAGAATCAACTTTCCAGTTTCTTCCCAGAAGACAGCCAGGATTTTGATAGGTATTGCATTTACTCTGCAAATCGGTTTGGGGAATATTGATATCTTAGCAGTAGTAACTTCTGATGCATGAATATGAGATGTCTCTTCATTTATTTAGGTGTTTAATTTTTTAAATTTTGTTGTTTTCAATGTACAAGACTTCTACTTTTTTTTGCTAAATTTATTTCAAAGTACTTAATTCTTTTTGATGCTTTTATAAATGGAGTTTTCTTAATTCTGTTTTTGAATTATTTATTTATAGTGCTTAGAAATATAATTTTGCACATTAATCTTGTATCCTGCAATTTTGTGAACTTCTTTATTAGTTCTAATATTTTTTTGAATGCATATCTTAGAATTTTCTATATACAATATCATGTCACTTATGAATAAGATCTACTTCTTTCCAATATGGATGTCTTTTATATCTTGTCAAATTTCTTGAGCACTTTTATTATGAAAGGGTTTTGGATTGTATTAAATCACTTTTTGCCTCTAGTGAGATAATTATGTAATCTTTTTTTTGTAAATATTATTTTACATTTATTGATTTTCGTATGTTATACCTACCTTGCATTCTTGGGATAAATCCCACTTGGTCATACTGCATAATCTTTCTTATATGCTGCTGGATTCTGTATGCTAACATTGTGTTAAAGATTTTTGTGTCTGTATAAACAATATCGTTCTATAGTATCCTTGTGATATCTCTGTCTGGTTTTGGTATCAGAGTAACAGCAGCTTCATAGAACAATTTGGGAAGTATTCCTTCCTTTACTAATTTTTGGAAGAGTTTATGAAGTGTTGATGTTTCTGCCTTTATTTTTCTTTACTTCTTTTCTTCTCTGATCTTTCCTTCTATTTGCTTATTCTGGTTTTAGTTTGTTCTCCTCTTTCTAGTTTCTTAAGGTGCATAACAAAATTATAGATCTGCAATCTTTTTTCTTATTTAATATAGGCATTTACAGCTATAAATTTGCCTTTAATGTGTTAGCTGTATGCTATACATTTTGATACTATTTTTGTTTTTATTCCTCTCAAAGTATTTTTTAACTTCTCGTGGTCTTTTAACTTATTGGTTATGAGTGTGTTAATTTCCACTTATTTGTGAGTTTCCCAAATTTCCTTCTGTTATTGAATTCTAATTTTTATTTCATCATGGTTGGAGAGTATATTTTGTATGATTTCAATCCTTGGAAATTTACTGAGGTTTGCTTTCTGACTTAAATACAGTTTATCCTGGAGAATGTTCCTTGTGCACTAGAGAAGAATGTATTCAGCTGTTTTGGTGGAATGTTTTACAGATGTGTGTTAGGTTTAGTTGTTTTATGGTGTTGTTCAATGCTTCTCTTCTTGTTGAACTTTTGCCTAGTTCTATCGATTGTTGAAAGGAGGTCTTGAAGTCTCCAACTATTATTGTCAAATTATTGATTTCTCCCTTCAATTCTGTCAGCTTTTGCTTTATGTATTTTGGGCCTCTATTGTTAGGTACACATACATTTAGAATTGTTATCTCTTTTTGATGCTTTGACCCTTTTATTATAAAAATCCTTACTTATCTCTTAAAAATTTTGTCTCAAAGTGTATTTTGTCTAATATTAGTATATCAACTCCAGCCCTATTTTGGTTAATGTTTGCATGGTGTATTTTTTTCCTATTCTTCTACTTTCAAGTTACTCAAGTTTTTGAATCTCAAGTATATTTCTTGTAGGTAGCAAAAGATGAATCTTTTAATAATTCCATTCCAATTTCTAGTCTTTTAATTTATGTGCTTAATACATTTATATTTAGTGATTTAGTGTAATTACTAATAAGGAATGACTTATAGCTGCCATTTTTCTATTTGTCTGCATGTCTTTGCCTTTTGTTCCCTATTACCTGTCCTCTACTAATAACTTTTGTATTAAAGAAACATTTTCTAGTGCGCCATTTAAATTCTCTTGCTGTTTCTTTTGCTATAGTTTTGAAGTTATTTTCTTAGTGGTTTTTCCGGGGATTAAAATTATCATCTTAACTTAAAACAATCTAGTTTGGATTAATAACAACTTAATTTCAATAGTACACAAAACTTTTTTTCCAATATAGCATTTTCTATTTAAAGCTTATAAAGAAGCAATATATTGTTTAGGCATAATACATACGTGGTAAGGCATTAATGAAAAGCAAGGGACAATAAACATAAAAGCTCACTGTAAAGCTTCACCTCCATGGGTGGCAGGGGAGTGGGATAAGATCAAAGATTTTTTTTTTTTTTTTTTTTTTTTGAGATGGAGTCTCGCTCTGTGGCCCAGGCTGGAGTGCAGTGGCGCCATCTCGGCTCACTGCAAGCTCTGCCTCCTGGGTTCACGCCGTTCTCCGGCCTCAGCCTCCTGAGTAGCTGGGACTACAGGCGCCCGCCGCCACGCCCGGCTAATTTTTTGTATTTTCAGTAGAGATGGGGTTTCACCGTGTTAGCCAGGATGGTCTCGATCTCTTGAGCTCGTGATTCACCCGCCTTTGCCTCCCAAAGTGCTGGGATTACAGGCGTGAGCCACCGCGCCTGGCTGACCAAAGATATTCTTAGTATTTTATTTCTTAAACGAGATAAGCATATAGGTGTTGTAGTTATAATTTTTTTTTTACATTAAAACAACTAAAAATTTACTTATAGTAAAATTAAGGCTTTCTTTTTGGCATACAGTTCAGACAAATGCCTAGAGTTGTGTTAACAGCCATTGCAGTCAGGATACATAACTGTTCTATTTCCCCCAAATTCCTTTGTACTGCCTCCTTTTACCCAAACCCTCATCCTATTCTCAACCCTTTCCTAGAATTTTGCATTTCCAGAATGTACAAATAGAATTATACAGTATGTATTTTTTTGATCCAGGCTTCTTTCCATCACTTAGCATGGTGGGTCTTAAACAGTAGTGATTTTTCTCCCTAGGAAACATTTGGCCGTATCTAGAAACATCCTTGGTTGATTAAATTGGCATAGTGAGGGAGATGCAACTGGCGTCCAGTGGGTAGAGGCCAGTGATGCCTGCAAATATACCTTACAACGCTCGAGATAGCTCCCCACAATACAAATTTATCTGGCCTGAAGTCTAATAGTGCCGAGGTTTAGAAACCCTGTTAGCACAATGCATCTGAGATTTGTCTATGTTGCTGAATGTTGTTCCTTAGGATGTACCACAGTTTGTTTTTTCATTCTTGTGTTGAAAGACAGTGGCTTATTTCCAGTTTTTCTATAAACAGTTACATAAGTTTTTTTGTGTCAACATAGGGTTTCATTTCTCTGGGTGCCTTTCTAGGAGTGAGAATCCTGGATTATATGGGTTCACTTTATAAGAAACTACCGAATTATTTTCCAGTACTCCTGCACCATTTTGCATTCTGACCAGCAATGTATGAGTTTCCAGTTGTCTGGACAACCTTGCCAACATTTGTTGTCATCTTTTTCAAATGTCGATTCAGCCTTGCATCTCTAGAGTAAACCTCAATTGCTCATGATGTATTATTCCTTTCATATATAGCTGGATTAGATTTACTAATATTTTGTTGAGGACTTTTAAAATCTATATTCATGAGGTATATGTGTCTGTAGTTTTATTGTAATACCTTTGGGTTCGAGATCAAGGTAATGCTGGCTCCACAATGAGTTGGAAAATGGTCCCTTCTATTTTCTGGTAGATATTGTGTAGGGTTGTTATTATTTCTTCCTTACGTATGTGGTAGATTTTGCTAGTGAAACTGTTTGGATCTAAAGTTTTCTTTATTTGAAAATTTTAAATAAAAAATGCAATTTGTTCATAGATACAAGATAATTTAGATTATTACTACTTTAGTGAGTTTTTGTAGTTTGTATATTTCAAGGAATTGGACCATTTCACCTAAGTTGTCAAATTTATGGGCTTAGAGTTGTTCATAGTGTTTCCTTAATGCACTATTGATGTCTGTGGAGTCTCTGGTGATATCCCCTGACATCCTCTGTATCGGTAATCTGTGTTTTCTTCTTTTTATTTTTTTTTTGATCTGTGTAGCTAGAGGTTTGTTGTTTAGAAACACATACATCTGCGATAAAACTTTGAAGATAAGCAACAATAAACACAAGTTCAGTGTAAAGGTCACCTCAATAGGTATCAGGGGAGGGGAATTAAACCAGGAGGTTCTAGGGCTTCAAAGATATTTATAATATTCTAGTTCTTAAAGAAGATGATAAACATATGGGTAAATAATTATTAATCTTTAATTCACTATAATACACATATTTGTATGTGTGGCATATGATGTATTCATCCTAAAAATGACATAATAAATTTCTCAAACTTGCAAATAACCTGGACTCCATAGTTTTGTGGGGATGTTGGATTTAGATTGACAAGTAAAGGATGATGGCCCTAGGAGAAATGATCATTAAGACGAAAGATCAACTTTCTGCTTCCTTTACCTAACTCCAGGAGGAGTATAAAATAAATATTACTTCTTTTTGCTTTCCTGAAACCCTTGCTGGAGGTGAGAATTCATTCTCACACTCTAAACATCCTTTCTCGTGACTAGTCTACAATTATTTTTAAATTCAGAGAGTATTTTGACCCTGTGAAGAGACTGTGAAAAGTAGGGTGTGCCTAGTGGTTTGTATGTGGAATGCCCCAGGCAGAGGGACTTCCTAGGAGCCAAGCTGTTGCTTGGCTATCTTTGTGTCATACGTGACTTCTGTTCGAGTTCCAGCATTAGCGGGAGAGCCTCACATATATTGCCAGCCCTCTCCCTGCCCAGAACTCTTGTGACTGGCCCTAAGGCAGATCAGGTGTTTATTCCATATCCTTGATGACAAAGAAACTGTGATCGTGTTCTGGGGAATGTCCCTTTTCCCATTCAAGTGTATGATCATATTTTCAAGCAATCACGTTTACATTCAGCCTGGAAACTTTCTGCCCAGTTCTTAAGTTCTACTGCCAGCAGCTTGGATACTACAGAATGCTGATTTAGCTCATAGGATGCATTGAACCACTTTGCCATGGTAACCAGCAGACAGACCTGAGAGAAGCAAGGCTGCAGAGAAACTGTAGCCATCACCAAACAACAAATCAAAGGGAAGTGTCTCAGGAGAGATTTCTAATTATCATACATTTGTCCTTGCAGCCAAACCAGGATGCAGTGGAAATGGTGCCTTTGGCACTAGCATCTTAGGTCACAAAATCAGGTAAACTCTCCTGGGCTCCTTTGGGAATTCCACAGAGTCTCCTGCTGCCTTAGGTGTATTGAAATAGATTCTTAGATTGACCTTTTCCTTACAGTTATCACCAAGTCCTTGGCAGTGATAACTAAAGTGCTGTACAGCTTAAGGTATTTTATGGACAGCAAGGCAATTTTAAAAAGTCTCACATCTGTGAGCCTGATATAATAGCTAATAGCATCTGAGATGATTCTGACATCTTAACGAGATTGCCTCTGTTTATTCCTTATTTTATTCTTTTTTGCATTCTCTTTAATATAAGCAAGCTTAGTTCAATAATCTTTAATGCAAGTGAAGTACTAACTGATATGTTTATATGCAAATATATACAAATCATATAGTAAGATAGGGCTTCTAGAGTAACAACTGGTAACATCCATGTTTACTTATGAAGAAAGTGCTCAAGGTTACAAAGCTATCACTAAAGATTTACTAATAATTTGCTGGGGAAATAGTTGTTGAAATCCTTTTTCTGCTTTTAAATGTCCTGAGATCAAGGCTGTCTGATTCTTGAGACAGGGAGAATGTGATAAATGAAGACACAACATCACATGAATAAAATTCGAATTGCCTGTGCTAAGAGAGTGGCTTTGAACTTCTCCTTGCAGTCAGACCAAACTGCAAAGGCATCTGCGCTAGTAGAGGTCTTTAACGCATCTGTTCTGCATTAATTCATATTTCTGAATGGCATATGCTAGAGGCTGGCCTGAATCACCTTTGTTTTATTAAAGGTGCATTTAAGGTCAACGACCACTAACTGCGTTGTTAAATATTGATTTAGCCATTTGAATTAATGTAATTTTCAGTCCTTTTTCTACTTAATATACACCAGGACTCCCGTGACCCAGTCAGACAGAAGATCAATACATGGGCACTCAGCTTGTATTGAAGCTGGGGTTGACTGCTTGCTTGTTTTCCTGTGAAAACCAAAGTGTTCAAGATAATGGGCTATTGGCTTATCTACTTATCTTCTGCAAAACTTCTGAATGCTTTCATCTCTTGCAGGATGTTTTTGACCTATTTAGTGATCAGTGTTTCTCAGAGTTCTGAGTGATTAGGTTTCCTTTGTTGAGGAACAAATGGTATCAAGAAAGCAAAAACCCAAACATGAAACATTAAAATAGCCAGGTCGGCGCTACATGGATTCACATTTCAAGATTTGAAACAAGCCTTAGGTTACTTTACTCAGCACTTTCATCTTACTGGTGATGAAACAGAGTTTAAATGACTTTTCAAACTGCTAGAGTCAGAACTAGAATCCTGGACTTCTAAAGATTCTCTTTTCATTGATACTGTAGTATGTATCATTTATTTTTCTGCAAACTGAGGCAAGTAAAGGAATTTTGTGACCATAGTCATTAAAAATATTGTATTGGGCTTAGAGGAGGTTGGTATTAAAAATGAAATAGTTTATTTTACTGGACGCTAAATGGAGACTCCATCCCTATGAGCTGCCATGAGAATATTGCCTCCTTGGTAAACTTTCAGCTTAGCTCTCTAATCTCTAGATAATACCAACTGGCTTCACTTACTCTGGTTTATTGAGATCAATTAATCTGTAGTTCTTTTCCTGCCTACCCTCCAGTTAAGCCTAGAGGTGCCAGGGGGCTGTCTTTGCCACTGTGTACAAAAAGTGTGCCTAAGAATGCAGCAATCATTTGAGGAAACAGTCAAGATTCAGAGACCAAGCCCTGGCAATGTGAAGTGTCTGGATTTAGACATGCCTAAAGCTAGTGATACCCCTGAAAATTTAGATTATGTAAGTTGAGTAAATACCCTTATTTGCTTAAACTTTTTTTTTTTTGAGATGGCGTCTGGCTCTGTTTCCCAGGCTGGAGTGCGGTGGCGCGATCTCGGCTCACTGCCAGCTCCGCCTCCCGGGTTCACGCCATTCACCTGCCTCAGCCTCCCGAGTAGCTGGGACTACAGGCGCCCGCCATTGCGCCCGGCTAAATTTTTTGTATTTTTAGTAGAGACAGGTTTCACCATGTTAGCCAGGATGGTCTCGATCTCTTGACCTCGTGATCCGCCTGCCTCCGCCTCCCAAAGTGCTGGGATTACAGGCGTGAGCCACCGCGCCCAGCCTTTTTTTTTTTTTTTTTTTTTTAAATATAACCAAGAGTCTCAACTTCCTGATGAATACATAAGCTGCGTTGGGGTATTTGAGAAATACTTGGATCTTGATGGTGTAGTATCAAGCTTCAAAGTCATGGGGTAGTTTCACAAAGATTTCTTACAGCATTTCTAAATGTGTTACAACAGGTCAGGTAAAAGGTCTCAGGTAAACATCTATATCCAAGGTCCCTCTTTTCAATCTGTATCTGGACAAACAGATGTACAGTACGACCATTGTAAATTGCCATTTTATGTTCAAAGTCATTACATAATGTCAGTGCTTCCAGGGTTTAATACTATCTTAATGATGGTAGGGTATAGTCTTCATTGTAAAAGCTAAAATTAACTAAGTTGGTTTTTTTGGTCAAAACTTTCACTTTAGAAAGTTTTCTGTTCCAAAACCGAAATTGATTATTAAGAAAGGAAAGCACAGAGACTGAAATTATAGACTTTTTAGCACTGGAAGAATAACCTTGGAGATGGTTCAAGACTCTCAATTTACAGGTAACACTGAGGCCCTGAGGCCTCAGCTGTACAGCTCCTTTAGTGGTGGAACTGACACTAATACCCCCATTTCCAATTAGAACACTTCCCTCTGTTCTGACATTCACAGCCTGATGGACTTGCTTGTCTCCTCTTATTTGGTAGCATGCTGGGAGATACTTTCTATCACTGGGTTGCCTGGGGTAAAAAATTTCTAATGTTTAGATGATACAGGACAGTAGCACAATTTACTGACAGCTGTGGAAGTAATTTAGTTTATGTCCACATTTTCTAAGTGCAAGCAAAGGTATTGTAGCACTCCAGTCCCGGTAGAGCTTATGAATATAATTAGAAAATAGAAGTTTAAACCAGGCAAAAAGAATTAAATTAACTGGAACAAACACAATAAACAGAGACAAATCTTTTGTCTCAGCACCTGGTTACAAAATGAGGCCCAGGGATCAGTGACGAGAACCACACAGCTTTTAGGTAGTATCTCTACCTGCAAAAGATGGTAGTGGGGGCAGATTTGTTCATTCCATTTCTCTGGGCAGTTTTATTCACATCACATAGACCTCCTCACAAACACTCTGCAGTTATGTGCAATTAAATGAACTTATTGACGTAAAGGAGACTTGATATATTAAAAAATGTTAAATATTAATGATTTTTGCCTCTATGTATTAGATGTAGTGTTCATGGAGAAAAAATCTGTTAAGAACTATAACATCAAAATTATAAAATGTCTGGATGTGAAGTTCATAAAGCTGAAACTACTTTTTTCTTAAACAAAGGCAAATGCTTTGTGTAGATGGATATCTCTTTTTCTGTGTTCTAGGCATTTGCTTTCATTTTTGTAACCCTTTTAAGTGCTACATGAGGCACCTGGCCCTAGAGTGAAAAGAGATTAAAAACACCTTGGGGAATCTTAATTCCCTCTAAATCACTTTTTTCTCCCTTAAAAAAAGAAGTTAGTCTTGAATGAAATATGGAACCTTATCCACCTTGCGAATAATCTGCTCTCTTCTCCTCTTGCCCCAGAGTTCCAGAGCTTGCTGACAGATAGGCGGTGATTAAAAATTCTCATCGTGCCCATGTGCTTTGTGCCCTCTCCTTTGTCATTCTGCAGTTGGGTATCAAAGCTGTAGCATCTATGTTCTTTGAAGACTAAGCAGGTTGGACATGCAATTTAGATGAAAAACAATTACTCTGTGTTAGCTTGCTTTTGGCAAGAGTGTATTAAGGCTCATCTCACTGATGGGAAACAAAAGCTGCACTTCATCTTCATGAATTTCTAATGAGGGAGAGAGAGAGGAGGAAACAGTGAGTTTTCTGGCAGGAGCTTTTCTGCAAAACCTTTCTCTGATGAGTGGGTTCCTTTCTTGATAGAATACCCTCAGTATTGGCTTGGATGATAATGTGTTTCTCTCCCATGCACAGATGGTGCAAATGATCATGTGGTTCTACTGGTGGGGAGCCTTTGAAACACAAAAAGAGGGCTAAGCAGATGAAGTACATTCTGTGGCATTTTTTTGAACTTATGAGGGGAAGAGAATTAATAGCCATATTGTACTGGTATCTTTTGTTATAAATGTGTTTGGTTTTGAGAAAACAAGCAAACAAAAGGCAAATTTCCATATTTGTGAATCATCTCTGCTTTAGGTGAAATTGAACCTTAAGAAACAGCACTTTATCTCCATGAGTTCAGTTCAGATAGGTACATTAGATCACCAACTTGTGGATAACATGTCACACATTTTTTGTGATGTCAGAATGAGTTCTTGGCCTTGGCTGTTGAGGACAGAACGTCCTGAGCCAAATGGGACAGTGGCTGAGTGAGGACACCAAACCTATTCTTAGGAGGTACATATTGCCAACAATATTATCCAGATAAAAAACACAAAAGAAACACCAAAGGCAGTACTGAAAGGGAATAAAGGTCACCCCAGGCCAGCAGGCATCACATGTGTCTGCAGGAATGAGTGTTAGGGGAATAAGGCCACATTTATGGATATGAGACCTGTGCAGTTACTTGGGGCCCTGTGCTCAGAAGGCCTCATGCTTGGTTTGAGATAGGGTTTGGCTCTGTGTGCCCACCCAAATTTCACCTCAAATTGTAATCCCCATAATCCCCCCATATTGAGGAAAGTGACTTGGGGGGTGACTGGATCATGGGGCAGTTTCCCTTGTGCTGTTCTCATGATAGTGAGTATGGTCTCACTAGATCTGATGGTTTTATAAGTGTCGGACAGTTCCTCCTCCACATGTTCTTTCTCTCACCTGCCACCATGTAAGACATGCCTGCTTCCCCTTCCCCCATGATGGTAAGTTTCCTGAGGCCTCCCCAGCCATGTGGAACTGTGAGTCAGTTAAACCTCTTTTCTTTATAAATTGCCCAGTCTCAGGAAATTCTTTATAGCAATGTGAAAATGAACTAATAGACTGAAATTGATGCTCTGTTCTAGTTGTCTTGAAATTCTTACTAACTTTTGAACGTGGAACCCTACATCTTCGTTTTGTACTGGTCCCCACATATTTTATAGCTGATCTGAAGGAGGAGAGAGAGATGATGGGGGATGAAGGGTATGGAATTGTATGCTATGGCTGCCTGCTGTCGAAGTTCTCCAGGTATGACATTAGAGTACAACTTTCCTACTATAACCAGTAGAATCAATTGCTGCTTGAGGGCAGGCAGAGTGAATGGTATCTTCTGGAGACAGCTTTGAAAGAAAGATAGCTTTTCCCCCGTGAGCTATGTGTGTCTTCACATATTCACCTCAGCATGTCATATTCTTAGAGTCCAAACCTGTACCGTACCTGATGTTAATACTACGTGAGTCACTTCAAAAATAAGACATGTTTTGTTGACTCGTGGCTAACATGTAGAAAATCTATAATTTTTTTCCTAGAAAGCAAGGCCTAGATTTTAGTTCAGGCTATGAACAGATTTTTATTTCTGTATGATATTTGTGGTTTTAAGTTAAATTGGAATTTTCCCTTATAGTCTGTGGTTAAATTCTAATCCCTAAACTAGTTAACATTGGAGATCTGGTAAAATTCTACTAAATTCTTCAACTTTAAATTATCCTATAATGAGAAAGTGGCTCTAGGCTTGATATAGATATATTATAGGACATTTATGAGAAGCAATAGAGCATAGAGAAAGGGCTTTTATTGAGAGAGAATTGGATCCAAGTTCTGGTTCTGCCACTTAAGAGCTGCATGCTGTTAGAAGAGTCATTTCATTGCATTAAGATAGTTTCCTCAATAGTAAAATCAGGATAAGAATATTACTTTTCATGGGTTATGTCAGTATTAAAAGAAATAGCAAATGTAAAGTGATTATAATAGTTCATGGATGCGGGGCAGGTGTTTTTAGAAGTATATGAATTTAGACTGGGCATGGTGGTGTGCACCTATAAACCCAGCTCCTTGGGAGGCTGAGGAGGGAGAATCGCCCGAGCCCAGGCATTTGAGGCCGCAGTGAGCTATGATTGTGCCACTCTTCTCTGGTCCAGCCTGGGTGACAGAGTAAGACCCTGTCTCTAAAAAACAACAGCAACAAAACAATATGAATTTACTTATTTGTAGTTACCTGGCTATTATTCACTCTTCTTAATGTTAACCCTGTTGTATGGACTAACCTCACTATTCAAAGCCCATGTTCAAATGAGATTTCATCCTAAATGCATTTAGAAAAGAAAGGAAAACAATCAGGAAAGTATAAACTAACTTAGTTTTTAAACATATTTATTCATAAAATGTTTATAACTTTTCTATATAAAGTATGTGACTTTTTACCCAATGGGCTTAGAATTAGATCTATATAGGGTGTACATAAAAATTTTTTCAACTCTGAATCTGAATGTTTCCCTTTGTCTTTTACATCCTCCCAAATGTCCACATAGATAGTATCAACCCTCAATGCAAATTATAAGAATGTTATCTTAAAATGTAATAAAAAGTGACCAAGCTGATCTAAACCCCACAACAGCATGAATAGTTTCCATTTATCTAGCATTTAGTTCACTCCTAAATGGTAAGTATATCAGTTGTAAGTCCACCGCCATGTGTCTCCCTTGGAGAAGGCCCTATTTCATGGGCCTTCCTCTGGTTTCCATCCTATGAGGGAGGCACTCTGTTTTGGGGGTTGGGGTAGGGTTTAAAAACATAGGATGTTTATAAATTCCTGAGGAAACTTTAAAATGTAAATACAATATATGAAAGAAACTGTAAACATCTCTTGCAAACTTATTTTGCAGAGTTTTTAACACTATACAATTCAAAACTCTAGACTAGCACAACCACCATCTTTGGTGATGCATTGTTCATTCTGATTTTCCAAGCCATTGAGAATATTCTGCACTTGGTGCTGAGTGATTTCATGAACTGCCATCTGTGAATACAATCCTAAATTTATTCAGTGTGTGGTTTTGATGAGGAGGCAGGTTTATGTAGGACCTGTTTTTTTTTTTAAAGTCTGGGTTTTGAGAATGCAGCCAAGTAATTCATCCTGGTCTACTCATATTTTCTTAAAAGGATATCATGGATGAACCATTAACCCTTTGAAATAAAATCACCCAGGAAGAAAGCATGATAAAAAGTAATAAAATTGTTATAATTTAGAGAAAAACTTCATAACATCTCAAAGTAACACCATATAAACTGTATATATATTTTACAAAAAGGATCAGTTACACTTTCCTGAGAGCACATATTGAGTAAAATCAACATTAATATTAAAAACTTTCTATTAAAATTTCAGATTGTTTGCTTTTATAAAATCACCTTATGTATACATGCATATACCCTCATCTCTAAACTTACACACATTTCACATTGCTGCATAGGTCTGGTAAATGTATTTTATGCCTTCCAAGGGACATGCATTTTTAAATGAATAAATCACTTAAATGAGTCGAAGGGTTGGTACACTGTGTTAACAGAGGGAAACTTCTATCACTTTTAGAAAATATCTAGGCTCTCTTTCAGAGACCTTCTTTTCCTGTAAATTCCTGGTTAAACTAAGAGAACAAAATCCAAAGTCAATGAAATTTTTACTAGAATAGTTCTAATTTTAATATGGTATTTGGTTGTAGTGGTAAGGGGGAGCAATTTAGGAGAACACTGCTTTCCTTTCCATAATTCTTTGAAGTTATTTATTTCTTTACCTAACTTTTTTACACCAGGAATTTTTGATTAGCTATAATGTACTTTCATCATACCATTTTATGGCTTTTAAAAATGAAGTTATAATAAGCAACACTGAGTGACTTGCATTAGGGCAGCCACTGTGGATGGACCCTTTTGCGGGGAGTATGATTCAGAAAAAAAAAGGTCAGCATCACAGTCAAAAAAACGTGGGTTTGGGGCCTGCTGACTTTCTTCAGCATATGTAGCTCTAGAGCAATTGTATATATGCAATTCTTTGTCAGACTTCATGACTAAAACACCAAAAGCAATGGCAACAAAAGCCAAGATTGACAAATGGAATCTAAACTAAAGAGCTTCTGCACAGCAAAAGAAACTATCATCAGAGTGAACAGGCAGCCTACAGAATGGGAGAAAACTTTTGCAATCTATCGATCTGACAAAGGGCTAACATCCAGAAGCTGCAAAGAACTTAAACAAATTTACAAGAAAACTCCATCAAAAGGTGGGCAAAGGATATGAACAGACACTTGTCAAAAGAAGACATTTATGCAGCCAAGAAGCATATGAAAAACTCATCATCACTGGTCATCAGAGAAATTCAAATCAAAACCACAGCGAGATACCATCTCTAGCCAGTTAGAATGGTGATCATTAAAAAGTCAGGAAACAACAGATGGAGAGGATGTGGAGAAAAAGGAATGCTTTTACACTGTTGGTGGGAGTGTAAATTATTTCAACCATTGTGGAAGACAGTGTGGTGATTCCTCAAGGATCTAGAACCAGAAATACCATTTGACCCAGCAATTCCATTACTTGGGTATATATCCAAAGTAATATAAATCATTCTATAGACACATGCACACGTATGTTTATTGCAGCAGTATTCACAATAGCAAAGACTTGGAACCAACTCAAATGCCCATCAATGTTAGACTGGATAAAGAAAATATGGCACATATACATCATGGAATACTATGCAGCCATCAAGAAAGGATTGATTCATGTCCTTTGCAGGGACATGGTTGAAGCTGGAGACCACCATTCTCAGCAAACTAACACAGGAACAGAAAACCAAATGCTGCATATTCTCACTCATAATTGGGAATTGAACAATGAGAACACATGGACACAGGGAGGGGAACATCACACAAAATGGGGCCTTTTGGGGGGTGTGGGGCTATGGGAGGGATAGCATTAGGAGAAATACCTAATGTAGATGATGGGTTGATGGGTGCAGCAAACCACCATGGCATGTGTGTACCTATGTAACAAACCTGCACGTGTCTGCACATGTCTCCCAGAACTTAAAGCATATTAAAAGATTTCTTTGTCTTAGTTTCTTAATCTGAAAAGGTTATTGTTTAGATTGGAAGTGATGTGCAAAGCACCCAGTACACTAGATAGAATGACATAGTCGATGGCTAACAACACTAATTACAGACAGGTATGTGCGGAACCCTCCAGACTTCCTATTCTGCACACAGTGTGCATAAAGCCAGAGAACACAAAAACTTATGAAGTGCCCTGAACTCCTTCCTACAGAGTAGGCTTTGAAAATCTACAGTAACATACATCCTTATGCTACAGAATAGAGTTGTGCTCAACAATAGCCTTTTGACCTTTCTTTGGTTTGGCTTATAACAGAAAATAATGGATTTTTTTTTTTTTTTAGGTCTTGGAGTACAGCATCATGCTAAAATGAAGTAGTTATCTTTACCAATAAATATGAATATTGTCTTTTTTAGAAGAGTATTTTCCACTTATATTCCTTACATTATAAATACATAAAATCTAGTCATGTTTTTTTGCTTGAAATCAAGACTTTGTTTAGCTTAAATGACTGAGCAGAACTTCCAATGCTGCCATTCTCAAATGCTGTGTGTTTTTTTTTGGCGGTGAATTTCTCTGTACTTAATTTCTTTGTACTTAAATTCAGAATTTCTCTGTACTTAAAAATTAAAACACAGGTGGCATTTTTTCCTTAAAAGCAGTTCAGAGATCTATCTCTATTTTAGATTATCCCAAATTTCTACTTAAGAGACTTGAATTTTAATAATCAGCAATCAGATCTTTCTACGCATCAGGCTGTTGGCTGTAATTAAACAAAATGCCTGGAGTTTTCCAGTTGGATGGATATGACAATGAATCAGTGATCAAAAATTGTTGTCGAATGAAACAATACCAATAGGGGCCATCTGCGTTTGCTCAGAACTCATATGGTTCTGGCATGTATCTACTTTTCTATAAATCTTGAGCTTCAAAGAGGCTGAAAATTCTTTTTGTAATGATTTTTCCTGGTTGATTTTGTTTAATAAAACTAATGTACAGTTTTTGAGAATGAACACGGAAAAGGGCATTGGGAACATGTGGCTTTTGTCTAATTTCCAGGACAACAGGCTAATACCTTTGAAAACAAAATCAATTCTGAAAATGATATGGAACATATGCTAGAGTAATTTTAGAGTCTGCATTCATCTTGAACATGAAATCTTAGAACCTTTGAGAGTATTCAGTGGAAATCCAGAAATCCTTTCTGGTTCTGACACATTTCTTCTTCTTTCAATAAAAACCAGACCTGGGCTGATGCCAGCATTAAGCCCTGGGGCAGCTGGAATGAAGCTGACACCAGGTGAAATTCCACGATCTATCATACCAGCTACACAGGGAACTTAAATACTTCACCCCCAACATTTTGACACAATGCAATTATTTTGTTTTTGACAGATGGCATTTGTTTGTTTGAAAAGGTTTTTGCTAAAAGTACCATCTTCAGATAAATGTACTCAGATTTGTATTTTAGAGGTATTTCACAGCTGCACTTTTATAAATAGGTCGAAAAATAGCCAGATACTGATTTATGTTTGACAGCTCATTTTAGTGGTATTCAGAATTTCTGCAAGGATACTTTGGCTTATTCCCTTGAGTCTTCACAGCTCATGAAAACTCCAAACAGTATTAAAGGCAAAAAAAAAATCTTTAATATGATATGTTCAAATCTCAGTGGATTATCTTGCTCCAGATTTTCCAAACTAGCTTCAGTTTGGAACCATTTCCTTCAATTCTTTGTTTGAACAATTATTGCAGTTGGCTGAATATGTTCAGTGAATAATGAAAGGCTTACTCAGTGTTAATTTAGACAAGAAAATGGGCCAGGTGTAGTGGCTTATGCCTGTAATCCTAGCACTTTGGGAGGCCAAAGTGGGAGGATCCCTTGAGCCCAGGGGTTTGAGTCTAGCCTGGGCAACATAGGGGGAGACTCTGTCTCTAAAAAATAAAAAAGCCAGGCATGGTGACACCACACCTGTAGTCCCAGCTTACTTGGGAGGCTGAGATGGGAGAATTACTTGAGCCGGGGAGGTTGAGGCTGCAGTGAGCTGTGATTGCACCATTGCACTCCAGCCTGAGTGACCAAGCAAGACTGTCTCAAACAAACAAACAAACAAACAAAAATTGCCCAGGTCAAAGTGCTGTATCTGTGGATAAGTGTGCTTTGTATGTATTGGTTTTTCCTGTTGGTAAAAAACATGGATTCTGGAGCCTGACTGCCTGTCTTCCAAATGGGCTCTGAAGGGAATGTTGCATTCGTTTCCAAACTTCTTGTTTCAGTTGCCTCATCTGTACAGTTTGGATACTAGCAGTACCCACTTCTGTCTTTGTGATAATTTGCTGAGAATGATGGTTTCCAGCTTCATCCACATCCCTACAAAGGACATGAACTCATCCTTTTTTATGGCTGCATAGTATTCCATGGTGTATATGTGCCACATTTTCTTAATCCAGTCTATCATTAATGGACATTTGGGTTGGTTCCAAGTCTTTGCTATTGTGGGAATTGAACAATGAGAACACTTGGACACAGGAAGGGGAACATCACACACCAGGGCCCTGTTGTGGGGTGGGGGGAGGGGGGAGGGATAGTGTTAGGAGATATACCTAATGTAAATGACGAGTTAATGGGTGCAGCACACCAACATGGCACATGTATACATATGTAACAAATCTTCACATTGTGCACATGTACCCTAGAAGTTAAGTTAATATACATAGAAAATTTAGAAATGCTTGACTTATGGGGGATCTGCAATTGTATATATGTGTATATGTATACATGTGTGTATATGTATACATGTATGTATATGTATATATATATCTAGATGTATATGTATTATATAAACTAGTACAAATAGCAACTGATAATAATCTTTCATGTTATTCCTATTTCCATCATTAACTATGTGAAAGTTGTACTACTAAATGTGTTGAGTAGCTTATGAAATACCGAACTAGAGTCTATCAAAGATATAAAGAAAATACATGTAGCTGTTTTGAAAAAAAATTATCATAATTTCTCTCATTTGATCCTCAAATATTTTCAAGGTCCAGAGAGGATTTAAGTTGCTGGAATAATCCACCCAGTCTTCGAGATGTGATTATATAATTGATGGTATGTGGATATCACTGATCACAAAACACAATAAAGGACCTAAGGCAACATCTTTGTTCTTTCTCAATGTGGGGAAAATGTTTTTGTTCTACTTGGTAAGTGGCCTCTGCAGTGTCTCTTGGAGACCTCAATAAATGATTATTTTCCAGCATTCCATCACATGCCAAATGTTTTACTCCCATGTCCCTGAGGTTCTCGTCTGTCAGCACTTGTCTTGCAGCTCAGTACAGACAGGGCATGGGTAAAGTGCACAGTGAAGATTGGTACAGGAAAGTCTGAAGCCCTTTCTTCCTGAAGATGAAAAATCTTCTGGACTTACCCGCACCCCTCCAGATCTTAAGACTGACTCTTGTTTGAAGATGTGTGTTTTGCTTTACTTCCTCTGTGAGTGCTCAGCACAGAGCGGTATCTACTTTTCTGGTTTTACATTTTTCATTTTAAAGATCCAATTACCTCAAGTCCTTTTCTTGAATATTGCAGTGGGCCTGCTGACCTAATAATTCTCTCATCTCTAATTTCAATCATTATCTCTACTTGAAGTTGCATCACACATACGCACACCTGAATGTGTGAGAAGGACAGAGACAATTCCCCCCGCAGGAAGAAATGGCTCATATCATTTGAGAGCCAAGTCTCAAGGGCATCATCAGTGTTATTTCCTCATGTTCAGTGGCATTTTCTGGTGTGTCGTATTAGATTTAGTTATAGTATCACCAACTATAGTAGCGCAGCCGCTCTGCTCTTCAGAAATGCTGAAACAGGCACAGCCTGGAGGCGCTAGGAAAGTCCATTGCTCAGTGAGTCTAAAGGTCCAATAGTTCGGAATCTTTTCTAAGTCCATTCCTTTATCATTCTTTGTGGCTGCTGGAGCTAGCCGGTGGTTGGTTATATGTTTTTTTTAATTTGATGTAGTATTGCCAAATCTCTGATAAATTTACAATTCCTTTTTCTTGGGGATTTGGCAATGAGAAGAAGTTGCCATTTTCTTGAAGGTGTTTGAAAGGATAACTCTGAACTTCATTTCTAGAATGTATAATGCTGTGAAATAAAGGTAATATGAAAATAACGACAGCTACCATTGTTGAGGGTCTGCTTTGCACCGAACACCATTACAAGTGTTTGAGGTATCATACATTTTTTACCTGCACAAGAATACAGTAGTCTTGCACGGTAGGTATTTGCACTGTACCATAGGTAAGCTCAGAGAAGAGGGTTCTTGCTTAAGATGGCATAGTACGAAAGAGAGAGGAAAGCCTTCTTGTGACTCATCCTCTCTTTGCAGAGGAGCTTAGCTTCTGAGATGCTCCAGTGTATCTTGTGGGTCTAGTGCATTTTGTTTTCTGGAAGAATTGCCTACTGATGGGGATGCCAAACAAAGTGCCGACCCACTGAGAAATAGTGTGAGACCTTCTGCTTCTCGGCTGCTTTGGGTCATCTGTGAGTGTTGCAGTCCTTAGGGGAGGATGTGAGGTGGGTTGCCAGGCAAACAGGGCAGCTTGCCTTCTGCACAGTCTACTTATCACAGGGCCTGGCTGACATTCATTCATTCATTTACTTATTTTACTTGTGTGTGTATATATATACACACACAACATATAATTATATATTAAATTAAATATTAAGTATATATTATATATAACATATAATTATGTAATATATTTTTATAACCAATATATATACACATACCATAATTATAATTTTAGTCATTTTTGAATATACTTTCAGTGACACTAAATGCATTTACAGTGTTATGTAACCATGACCACTGTCAATACCCAAAACTTTTTTCAACATCCCCAACCAAACCTCAATGCTTGTCAAACAATAACTCTTCCTTTCTCCCACTGTCCAGCCCCTGGTAACCTCTAGTTTATTTTTTGTCTCTAAATTTGCCTCTTCCAGGTAGCTTGTAGAAATAGAATAATATAATATTTGTCCTTTGGTGTCTGGCTTATTTCATTAAGCATAATGTTTTCTTTCATTCCTTTATTATTATTATTGTTATTATTATTATTATTATTATTATTGAGACAGAATCTCACTCTGTTCCCCAGGATGGAGTGCAGTGGTGTGATCTTGGCTCACTGCCACCTCTGCCCCCAGGGTTCAAGCAATTCTTGTGCCTCAGCCTCCCAAGTAGCTGGGACTACGGGCGTGCACCACCGCGTCAAGCTAATTTTTGTATTTTTAGTGGAGATGGGTTTTCACCATGTTGGCCAGACTGGTCTTGAACTCCTGGCCTTGAGTGATCCACCTGTCTTGGCCTCCCAAGGCACTGGAATTACAGATGTGAGCCGCTGTGCCCAGCCTACTAAGGCTAATGTTTTCAAGGTTCATTCATACTGCAGCATATGTTATCAACTTAATTCCTTTTTATGACTGAAAGATTTTATTGCATGCATATACCATATGTTTTTCCATTTATCTATTGATAGGTTAGTTTTTGAGAGGAAGCCATTGGATGATTTAATTCCTCAGGGGACCTCATGCCACACGTGGCACACACAAAGGTTTGTTTTTGGGCATATGTGATTTGCTGGAGTTCTAATACCTTCAGGATGAAGCACACAGAGTAAAGATTGACAGCTTAAAATCCATTTCTACTATTTATTGAGCCCTAAGTAGACATCTGCTGCTGTATTTGACAATAGATGTCCATAAGCAGTTAAGGAGTTCAGTCTGCCCTTAGGGAAGCTCAACACAGGCCCATGTGCATGCACACACTTGCACTCCTTCACACCCCCAAACACCATCCCACTCCATACATGTATACCCATCTTCCCTTCCCAGATCCCTCCCCAAACAGTTAAGTTACCATGGAGGTATGCATCTAAATGAGTTATAGAAAAGATGGGAAGTCTCAAGGGGGAAAAATGGCTGTAACTTTGGATGATCAGGCTTGCCTTTGAAAAAAGAATTTGAACCCTTGTAGAGGATGGAGATGCTTTGTGTAGAATGAAGCCACCTTCATTCCTCTCCCACAGAGGGTACATCTAGAAGAAGAAACTACTTGAGCAAAGTCTGAGCTCAGAGATGGGGAGGTGTGACAGGTGGGAGGAACAGATGGGAGAAGGCTTTTAATTCCAGGCTGAGGAAATTGACATTTATCCTGCAAGCAGCCGAGAACTTTGGTACAGACAAATGACAAAATTGCAAAAAAAAAAAAAAATCATAAAATTTGTGTTAAAAAATCTGTAAATCATAATCTGCATTTATTGAGGGGCTCTTATGTGCAAGGAATAGTATTGGGTTAGGCACTGGGAAAGATGACAGTAACACCAAAGATGGAACCTGGTAAGTTTGAGTAGTAGGAGAAAGGAAGCAGAAAGGAAGGCAGAAAATAAAAATTTAAGGGGAGGGAGGAGTCAAGAGTGTAATCTCAAAGTTAGCAGGAGAGGGTTTACAGGAAAGCATGGTTATCTGTGTTAAAAGCTATACTAAGATCCCAGAAAAGAAGAATGGAATCTCTGCTATTGGTTTTGACAAGTAGGAGGCAGATGGTCTCAATAGGCAGAGACTCTGGAGATCAGGGTAGTGTTGTTATAGGCATTTGAACCAGAGCAACCCCATCTTGAACAGGGGTTGGGTAACATAATGCTGAGACCTACTGGGTTGCATTCCCAGATGGTTAGGCATTGTAAGCCACAGGACGAGATAGGAGGTTGGCACAAGATACAGGTTGTAAAGACATTGCTGATAAAACAGGTTGCAATAAAGAAGCCAGCCAAAACCCACTAAAACCAAGATAGTTATGAGAGTGACCTGTGGTCGTCCTCACTGCTACACTCCCATCAGCACCATGGCAGTTTACCAATGCTATGGCAATATCAGGAAGTTAATTTATATGGTCTAAAAAGGGGAGGCATGAATAATCCACCTCTTTGTTTAGGATATAATCAGGAAATAACCATAAAAATGGGCAGCCAGCAGCCTTTGGGGCTCCTCCACTTAGGGAATCCCTTTACTTTCATAATAAACTTGCTTTCGCTTTGTATTGTGGACTTGCCCTGAATTATTTCTTGTGCAGGAGTCAAGAACCCTCTCTTGGGGTATGGATCTGTTCTCCTTTCTGGTAACAGTGGGGCTAGAGAAGAGGTAAGTATAGCAGTAGCTGGAGAAGCCAATATGCTCAAGAGAACAGACTATTACTATGATATAGTATAAAGGGAAACCAAAGCATATTTTTGTATTAGTGGGAAAGAATGGAGAGGCACAGTTTGATTAAACAGACAGAAGAGTAATCAATGGAACAAGTTTTTTTTTAAATTTATTATTTATTTATTTATTTTTTGAGACAGTCTCGCTCTTGCCCAGGCTGGAGTACAATGGCATGATCTTGGCTCACTGCAACCTCTGCTTCCCAAGTTCAAGCGATTCTCCTGCCTCAGCCTCCTGAGTAGCTGGGATTACAGGCATACACCACCACGCTTGGCTAATTTTGTATTTTTAGTAGAGACGGGGTTTCTCCATGTTGGTCAGGCTGGTCTCGAACTCCCGACCTCAGGTGATCTGCCTGCCTTGGCCTCCCAAAGTGCTGGGATTACAGGTGTGAGCCACCACTCTCGGCCTGGAACAAGTTTTTAAAATAAATGGTGATTTACAGAGACAGATCTGGCAATGGCACACAAACTGGACTGAAGTTTGTAGGTTACCAGAGGTCAGGAGTCTGTTTGTAGAGCTGTGGCAAATAGCAGTGGAGATGTCACTGAACTGCATCCTGGACAGAAATGGAGTAAAGGGATAGAAATAGTTATCAATGAAGCTTCAGGAAAAAGAATAGGATTTGGTGTTGGCATAAAGACTGACAAGTAAATACATCAAAGAAACTGCAAATTTGGTTTGGGTATCAGAGGCATTTAATATATGGGGTCCATTTCTGCTGCATTCTCTAAAACACTCCAGGTTCACTATGACACTGCTTGTCCAGGGCCTCTGACAGTGACCCTGAAGAAACACCAGACTCTGTTTTTCTTTGAACAGTGTCCTTTTGTATTAGGATTGGTATTATATGATCTTCCAAAACTAATTTCTCTGATTACTGTGTATGTCCTCTGTCATCTTTCTTCCCATGAGGGAGCAGCCACTGAAAACAGGCTGAGTCATTAGGGGAAGAAAGAGGCTCAAAGGCCATATCCGCAGGGACTAAATGACTGACTTGGCAGGATAAGAGCCGTGAGCTACTGCACAATATACCTACCTGTTCACATAATCATCTTGTTGTCAAAGCTGCTTTTTTGCTTCCTTCCGTTTTGCTCCTGCTTCAAACTTATTTTTGGAGCATTTTCGTGACCTTGAACATGAAATGAAATGAAATGGTGATGCCACTTCTCAAGAGAGCTGTGTTTAAGATGTGCTTGTTCATGAAAGAGAATCATCAGAGTTCCCCAAGGGCTTAACCTTCATCCGCTTTTCAAAGAGAAAGGCTGCCTCCTTCCCCTCACACAGAAAGCTCTCCCCAGGTTCCTTTCCCTCTCCTCTTCCCACCGCTTTCCTGCACAACAGCCAATTTTTAAAATCTTTTGAGTCTTGTGGTGTAGATGCACCATCTATAGTTCAATAACATGGTAACTTTCTCTCTTTTTCACTTTTCTCCCCTGCCACCTCACCAGTTTCTATTGTATTCCTATAATGAAGAGCGAAATGTTGAAATTGTGTGCACGAATTGCTAATTCAACTGTTGCTCACAAGTTGGGTGCATGTTTGGGAAATCTTAGTATCTATAGCAGAATCCGGATGAGTGTTGGATGTAGTTTGATGGCAATAGAAACTTTTTTCCTTTATGTAGGATTTCGTTAAGGAAGAGTCAAAGAAGTGTCTACCCCATAAATGTATACAATTACAATTTATCGGTAAAAATATTTTAAAAAGACAAACTCAAAGAGGGGGTTATGTTTTTTCAAGACATCTATGTACATTTCCCCTGTCCCTGCAACCTCCAACCATCCCATGGATGTGGAACTACTTTTTCGTTGCTTATGATTTGAATATTTTATAGATAAGTGAAGCTCTTCCTGAAGAGTCACTCAGGCTATCATGAAGGAAAATAAGAGAACAAGACTTTTGGTGGGACTGGATAAAGACAATGTAGATGGGAAGCTTGTGATGCTGCAGAAGGAGGAGGAGGCTGAATGCCTGGGGCACAGAGCTGAAATTAGCAAAATGGTAGCAAGAGGGCTGAGGAAGAAACCACAGTGAAGGATGGGCTTGGTTTCACTGCTCAGAAGCTGGCCAGGGTCTAAGAAGACCAGTTTGGTTGGCAGTCATTCTTCATATCAGTGGGAACTTTCTTCCACTTGCTCCAGTTATTCTCAGTTGCAGAGTGCCTGGCAGTAATTTACAGGCCTCACTTGAGCTTCTAAATTAAGGTCACTCATTTTCTGGACACCCAGTAAAAGTGCTTCCAAGAGCAATTGTTGGACCCCAGGTGAGCCCTGGATCCCTTGTATTGGGGGAGGAGATGACAGAATTCTTTCAGTGCCGCTTCACCAGCTGGAAATCTCCATGGCCAGCAATGCTTCTGCCTGGGCTTCACTTGGGCCCACTGGGCTCACCCTGCCCACTCAGCCTGGCAGGCTGCGCTTGACTTGTGCTACTGGCCCAGATCTCATGTGTGCCATGGCTCTGCACTCAGCCTGTGGCTGGTCTGGGCATGCTGCAACCAGCTTCTGCTTTGGGTGCCAGCATTTAGACGAGGGGAATGCAGCAGCGCCAACTGTGGAGCCCCAAGGGGTGGTACAGCTTTTGCTCAGGGAGTCCTGCAGTCTGAGCCCCCAGGAAGAGTTACAGCTCTCATTTGCTCTTGTTGCTTGCTGCTTTGGCAAACAGGCTGTGTCACAGCTTGTTTGCTCTTACCACTAGCAGTTCAGCGAATTGGGGTGTGCGGTGCCCAGCAGCTTTTTCTCCTCTGCTGCTCTCATTGAGTGGGAGAGAGGGTACAGTGTTACAGCTGTTTTCACACCCACTGTTGGGTGACTTCTGAGTTCTTGTCCCCCAACCAAGAGGAATGAGGTAGGTGGATACCAGAGAGTGAGCAAGACAGAAAAGAGTTTTATTGAGCAACAGAAAAACTCTCAACACAAGAGGGGACCCAAAGTAGGTGGCCCTTTGTGTGAGAGGGGGCCAGAAAGCAGGTAGCTGTGAGGCTGAGTCAGGGTTTTTTATGGGCTCAGAATGGGGGAGTTCATGCTAATTGGTCTATGAGTGGGACTGGAAAAGGCACAATTTGATTGGCTAAAAGGACTCGAAGTTCTTACTCTGGTCTTGGACTCCACCTGGAAATGGCAGCTTGGTTTTCACGCTTCAGGCTGTCGTTGGCTTGAAGGTCAGGTTTCACCGGGGACCCATCACTGTTTGCCTTGGAATTTGTCTGTCTCCCGCTGCTATCAAAAACAACTTTGGTGCCTGCAGTTAGAGGCCTGATGATCTCAATGTTAGTCTGTGGGGAGTTGATACCCACAATTACAGTCTGGAAATATACAAAGTGTGAGTCTTTACCACTTTGGACCTACCCCTACAATGTCTTTTTCTTTTGTTCTGGGTGAAATCTTACCCAATAAAATGGGTCATCTTTTCTGGCAGAATTACTTTTCCTTCCTCTCTGTTTACCTTTGCTTATTCTTCCTTTACTTAAATTTCCTTTCTGATAAATTTTGAAGAAAACAGTGGGCCACCCTCAAAAAACCCAAACTACTCATCTAACTTAAAAAAAAAAAACCACACATTTGTGATGAATTTTCAGGCATAAATCTCTGAATTTGTGTGTGTGTGTGTGTGTGTACGTGTGTGTGTGTGTGTGTATGTGTGTGTATATATATATATATATTTCAATTATTTTCTCACTGTGAAGGTAGCCATATAGGAAAAGCTGAGATACACCAGATGAAGGCCCCTGACTTAGGTTTTGTAGTTTGGCTACACAAATGTGAAAATGTAATAACTGTCAAAAATATTTGATTTCATGAAATTTATTCTTGCTTTCACATATAGGCAAAGATACTTCCTCTTAAAATGACATAAAATTGTTCTGCATTAATATCTAATACAAGTCTCCAATCTATGAGACTTAGGCATTTGAAGAACTGTGGTAAGAACAAAAGGAATAGCTCTATAGAGAGGATGGAGGTCAAGCGTTTTAAAATATTTGAAAGAAGTTTGAAAATACAGATTTTGATGCTGACTTTGAGTGAAACTTGAATTTCTTTTTTTAAAATAATTTTTTGAGTGGAGGAAATTAGAAAAGAACAGAAGCATCTTCTAAAAACACTTCTTCAGAAAATTCCTTCTTCCCTTTGAAATTCTAAGAAGACAATTGCTTTCCAAAGCATTAAGAATTAGCTTCTTTTAGATTCTTTTCTGACAGCTAGCTCCAAATAATCTAGCAATGTCTTTTCAAGAATATAATCATAGGTAGGTTGCTTCATAAAAGAAGTTGAAACTGTGCTTATTCTTTTTCCCTCCATATGTATATATATCTCAAAAATAACCATGATAAAAATAATACAAACTATCCAAAGAACACAAACAATAAGAACACTGGCCAATATGTTAATTTATTTAATGTGGCCAGCACGAGGGCAAAGGAGCAGCTATGACTGACAGTTACTGTATGATATCAGTAAAATTCATTCTCTGTGAGATGTTTCCTATATTGCTAATAGATTTACTCTGAGCTGATCCTGTATACAGTGTACAGGCAGGCATGCAGGGAGAAATGTAGCAGCGATTTAGAAAGGGAAGTGGCCTGGGATGATAGCCCAGCTGGAAGTAAGGATGTTCCTGTGTCGAAAATCAGTGCAGTTAAAAGGATTTAGTAGCCAGATTATCAAGTTAATAGCTGGAGGGCTTAATCATTGGCCTCAAGATTTCTGCTGCTGCTGTGATTTAAATGGGAGGGATAATGCAACAGTCATAGTCCCTTGAACTAGGTGGGTTTGAGTCCTACAGCTTCACATTAATAGGATTCCAGACCCAGTGTTGGGGGTTGTGCGGCGGAGGGGTGGTGGTGGGCGCTGTGAAGTGATAAGAGACTAGAGGAGCCAGGGGCTATGAATAGAGGGCAGATTCTAATTATAGAGACTTCTTGCTTCTGTCGTCTGCAGGTCTTGATGTTTTAAGGTCTTTCTCTGTAGTGCTGAAGTCTTATTACAGATACCTAATCAACTTAAAATCTAGGATCTCAGTGTTAAATGTGTTATATCTGCTGGACAATTCTAAAAGCATATTGCTAGTCACACCTATATTACACCTGTGGCATGGGTAGAAAAGAATGAGATTTGGGCTTCCAGATGGATGATGTAATTTCCAGACCTGGAACTGCCACTTCAAACTCTCTGGACTGGAGCAAATCATCTATCCTCTATGCCTCAGTTATTTTGTCTATAAAATGGCAATATAAAATAGCCTCAGTTATTTTGTCTATAAAATGGCAATACTGCCATGGCTCCTACCTTCTCCAGGGGAGGCTGTGAGAATCAAAGGAGAAATACCTGTTCAGATCATTTGCCCATGTTTTAATGGGATTACTTGTTTTATTGCTGTTGAGCTGAGTTCCTTGTATATTTTAGATATTAATCCCTTGTTGAATGAATAGTTTGCAAATTCTACAGAATCTCTTCACTCTGATTGTTTTGTTTGGTGTGCAAAAGCTTTAGTTTCATCTTGTTCCATTTGTCTGTTTTTGTTGGCTGTGCTTTTGGAGTTTTAGCCATAAGATTTTTGCCTAGACCAATGTCCTGAAAAATTTCCCCTGTTTTTTCTAATACTTTTTAAATTTTGGGCCTCATGATTAAGTCTTTAACCCCTATTGAGTTGATTTTTGTGTATGGTGAAAGGTAGGGTTTTAATTTTATCCTTTATGTGGATATCCAGTTTTCCCTGTACCATTTATTGAAAGGAGTATTCTTTTTCTTTTTCTTTTTTTTTTAAAGACAGAGTCTTGCTCTGTTGCCTATGCTCTGGAATGCAGTGGCGCCATCTTGGCTCACTGCAACCTCTGCCTCGCAGGTTCAAGTGATCCTTCTGCCTCAGCCTCCCAAGTAGCTATGATTACAGGTGCGTGCCACCATGACTGGCTAATTTTTGTATTTTTAGTAGGGACAGGGTTTCACCACCTTAGCCAGGCTGGTCTCAAACTCCTGACCTTGTGATCCACCTACCTTGGCCTCCCAAAGTGCTGGGATTACAGGCGTGAGCCACCGTGCCTGGCCCGCAAAGAGTATTCTTTCCCCAATGTGTGTTCATGGTGCCTTTGTTGGAAATCAGTTGGCTGTAAATTTGTGGATTTATTTCTAGATTCTCCATGTGTCTGTTTTTATGCTAATGCCATGCTGCTTTAGTTACTATAGCCTTGTCACAGATTTGGAAGTCAGGTAGTGTGATATCTCCAGCTTTGTTCTTTTTTGCTCAGGATTGCTTTGGCTATTCAGAATCTTTTGTGGTTCCATATAAATTTTGTAATTTTTTTTTATTTCTGTGAAAAATGACTTTTTTTAAGAAAATAAAGATTGCGTTGTATCTGTAGATTGCTTTGGGAAGTATGGTCATTTTAACAATGTTAATCTTTCCAATCTATGAGCATGGGATCTATTTCCTTTTGTTTGTGTCCTCTTCAATTTCTTTCATCAGTGTTTTGTGGTTTTCCATGTAGAAGTCTTTCATCTTCTTGATTAAATTTATTCTAGTTAGTTTTTGGGTAGCCATTGTAAATGGATTGCTTTCTTGATTTTTCACCTAATTTGTTATTGATGTATAGAAATGCTACTAATTTTTATATGTTGATTTTGTATCCTGCAACTTTATTAAATTTATCAGTTCTAAGAAATTTTTAGTAGTCTTTAGGTTTTTCTCTGTATAAGATCATATCACGTCATCTGCAAAGAGGAAAAATTTCACTTCTTCTTTTCTAATTTAATGCCTTTCATTTCTTTGTCTTACTCTGATTGCTTTGGGTATAATTTCTAGTATTATGCTGAATAAGAGTGGTAAAAGTGGGCATTCTTGTCTTATTTCAGTTCTTAGAGGAAAAGCTGCCTTTCCTCTAAGAAAATGATGTTAGCTGTGGGTTTGTCATATGTGGTTTTTATTTTGCTGAGGTATGTTCCTTCTATGCCTAATTTGTTAAGAGTTTTATATGAAGGGATGTTGAATTTTATCCAATGCTTTTTCTACATCTATGGAGATGATCATATGATTTTTGTGCTTCAATCTGTCAATGTGACATATCACATTTATTGATTTGCTTATGTTAAATTATCTTTGCATCCTTGATCATGTAGTTTTTGATAGAATTGTTCAGTTTACTAGTATTCTGTTGAGAATTTTTGTGTCTATGTTTGAGGGATGTTGGCCCATAGTTTTCATTTTTTGTTGAGTTCTTGTCAGGTTTGGTATCAGGGTAATGCATAGAATGAGTAGGAAGAATTCTCTTCTCTTTAAAGTTTTGAAATAGTTTTGAGAAGAATTGGTGTTAGTTCTTTATAAGTTAGCTAGAATTCAACATTGAAGCCATTTGGTCCTGGGCTTTTCTTTATTGGGAATCTTTATTACTGATTTAATCTCATTACTCATTATTGGTCTGTTCAGCTTTTCTATTTCTTCATGGTTGGTGTTTTTTGTTTGTTTGTTTGTTTTTTCCCTGAGCTGATAGTCCAGCAGGGAAAATCTAGATAGGCTTTATGTGTCCAGGTTTTGGTATCAGGGTTTTGTTATTGGTGTATAGAAGTGCAAACTTTTATTTATCCATTTCCTCTAGGTTTTCTAGTTTGTTAGTGAAGAGTTGTTTACAATAGTCTGTAATGGTTTTTTACATTTTTGTGGCTTAAGTTGCAATTTCTCCTTTTTTTGCTTGTGATTTTATTTATTTGTGTCTTCTCTCTTATTCTTGGTTAGTCTAGCTAATGGTTTATTGATTTTGTTTACCTTAACAAAACCCAACTTTTCATTTTGGTTGATTCTTTGTATTTTTTTCCAGTCTCTATTTTGTTTAATGTTGCTGTGAGATCTCTACGTTTTTCTTTCTACTAATTTTGGGTTTGGTTCGTTATTGCTTTTCTAGGTTGTTTATTTAAAATGTTATTTTATAATGTAGGCATTTATTGCTATAACCTTCCCTCTTAGCACTGCTTTTGCTGTATTCTGTAGGTTTTGGTATGTTGTATTTATATTTTTACTTGTTTCAAGCAATTTTTTGATTTTCTTCTGAACTTCTTCATTGACCCAATAGTTATTATGGAGCATGTTGTTTAATTTCCATGTGTTTATACAGTTTCCCAAGTTTCTCTCATTATGGATTTCTAGTTTTATTTCACTGTGGTCTGAGACGATACTTGAAATTATTTTAATTTTTAAACATTTGCTGAGAGTTGTTTGGTGGCCTAACATATGGTCTATTTTAGAGAATGTTCCATGTGCTGATTAGAAGAATGTGTATTCAGCGGTTAGATGAAAACTGTAAATGTCTGATAGGTCTAAAATGTAGTTTAAATTCAATTTTTTTGGTGGATTTCCTGTCTAGATGATCTGTCCAATGATGAGAGTGGGGTGCTGAAGTCTCCAACTGTTAACTGTATTGGAATCTATCCTCCCCATAGGTATAATAATATTTGCTTTCTATATCTTGAGTACTCTGGTGTTGGGTGCATATATATTTAGAATTGCTGTTATCTTTTTTGCCAGATTGATCTCTTTGTTATATAATCTTCTTTGTATCATTACAGTTTTTGACTTAAAGTCTGTTTTATCTGACGTAAGTATAGCTACTTCTGCTTGTTTTTTTTTTTGTTTTTTTTCCATTTCTAGGGAATATCTTTTTCCATCCCTTCACGTTCAGTCTGTGTATCTTTACAGGTGAAGTGAGTTTCCGGTAGGCAGTGTACAGTTGAATCACATTTTTAAAATTTATTCAGCCAGTCTGTTTCTTTTACATAGCTGATGTAATCCATTTACATTCAAGGTTATTGATAGGTGAGGATTTATTCCTGTCATTTTGTTAATTGTTTCCTATTTTTTGTATGTCCTTTGTTCCTTTCTTCTTTTCTCATTGTTTGTCATTGCAGTTTTGTGGTTTTCTGTAGTGATAACATTTGACTCCTTTCTCTTTTTCATTTGTATGTCTGCTCTACCAGTGAGTTTTATACTGTGATATGTTTTCATGATGGTGGTAGTTGTCCTTTCACTTCCAGACATAGGACTCTCTTAAGCTTTTCTTGCAGGGCTGGTTATGGTAATGAATTCCCTCAGTTTTCGCCTGTCTGGGAAAGACTTTATCTCCCCTTCAATTTTGAAGGATAGCTTTGCTGGGTATATTATTTTTGTTGGCAAGGTTTTTCTTTTTTTTTTCTTTCAGCAATTTGAATATATCATTCCATTGTCTCCTGGCCTATAAGGTTTCTACTGAGAAATATGCTGTTAGTTTGATGGAATTCCTTCATATGTGACTTGATGCTTTTCTGTTGCTATTTTTATTTATTTTATTTATTATTATTATTACTTTTTTAAAGACAGAGTATTGCTTTGTTGCCCAGGCTGAAGTGCAGTAGTGTGATCTCAGCTCACTGCAATGTCCGCCTCCTAGCCTCATGAGTAGCTCGGACTATAGGCATGTGCCACCACACCCAGCTAATTTTTGTATTTTTAGTAGAGATGGGGTTTTGCCATTGTATTAGTCCATTCTCACACTGCTATAAAGAAATAGCTGAGACTGGGTAATTTATTAAGAAAGAGGTTTAATTGACTCAGTTCCATATGGCTGGGGAGGCCCCAGGAAACTTACAATCATGGTGGAAGGCACCTCTTCACAGGGTGGCAGGAGAGAGAATGAGTGCTGAGCAAAGGGGGAAGCCCCTTATAAAACCATCAGATCTTGTGAGAACTCACTATCATGAGAACAGAATGGGGGAAACTGCCCCCAATGATTCAATTATCTCCACCTGGTCCCACCCTTGACAGATGGGGATTATACAATTAATACAATTCAAGGTGAGATTTGGTTGGGGACAAAGAGCCAAACCATATCAGCCATGTTGCCCAGGCTTGCCTTGATCTCCTGAGCTCAGGCGATCCACCTGCCTTGGCCTCCCAATGTGCTATGATTATAGACGTGAGCCACTGTGCCAGCCTCTGTTGCTATTTTTAGATTCTTCTCTTTATCTTTGACTTTTGACAGTTTGACTATAATCTTCCTTGGAAAAGACCTCTTTAGATTAAATCTGTTTGGGGAATCATTGAGCTTCCCTTATCTAACTGTCTATATTTCTTGCAAGGCTTGGGAAATTTTCATCTGTTTTTAAAAATAGGTTTTCTATGCCTTTGCCCATCTTTTCTCCTGGAACTCCCTACATTTGAATATTTGGTCACTTTATGGTGTCTCTTATACTACTTGGCTTTCTTCATTTTTTTTTTTTTTTATAATTTATTCTTTTTATCTGCCTGGGCTATTTCAAAAGACCTGTCTTGAAGTTCAGAAATTCTTTCTTCTGCTTGTTCTAGCCTAGTGTTTAAGCTCTTAATGGTGTTTTTTTTTAATCCATTGAATTCTTTAGTTCTAGAATATTTCGTTCTTTTTTATGATATCTATCTTTTTGAATTTCTCATTCAGATCATGAATTGTTTTCCTGATTTCTTTGTATGGTTTATCTGTGGTCTTTTGTGTCTCACTGAGTTTTAAAAATGTCTTTTTGAATTCTTTGTCAGGCATTTTATGGATTTCCTTTTTGTTGGAATCTGTCATTGGGGAATTATTGTGTTCCTTTGAAAGTGTCACATTTTCTTGACTTTTCATGTTTCTTGTGTTCTTATATTGATATCTGTGCATCTGATGTTACAATTGTTTCTTCCGATTTTATGGATTGGAATTTGTAGAGAAATACTTTTAAAAATAGATGTATCTGTAGTTTTGGTTGGGCAGGGCACTTTGGTTTTGATTCTGGGTGGGTAAAATATGTGGTCTCTGTTTATTTCTTTTGCTGTAATCGGTGACTGTGGATTCCTCAGGGTCCATTTGTAGTGCAGGCTGTAGCATGGCTTTGCTGGAAATTGGGATGTCAGGCAGGATGGTCCTCAGGCCTCAGTGCTGGCAGCAGTAGGCTGGGTATGGCAGTTATTGGGCCTCCAGGCAGCATACATGAGCATTGGTGGTAATGAGTTCAGGCAGGCCAATCCTTGGGTTTTCATGTATCTTGCTTGTGTGCTGACAGTGGCAGTGGTGGGCTAAGTGGGTGGGCAGTGTGTATGGCATTGGCAATGGCAATAGCAATGGTAGGTCAACCCTCAGGCCCCCAAACATCACATGCAGGTGCCAGTCGTGGTGCAGCAGGCTGGGCAGACCAGTGCTAGGTGGCACGTGCAGATGGTTGCTGCTGGTGGTGGCAGTGGCAGGCTGTGTAGGTCCATCCTCAGGCCCCTGGAAGGTGCCAATGGTGGTGGGTGGGATGGATTGATCCCCAGGTCTCTGAATATACATGTGCTACAGGTGAAGGCTGTGGGTAGGGAGGGCCTGTCCTTAGGTTCCCTGGTGGTGTGCATGGGCATGGACTACAGTGGGCAGGGTGGGTCAATCTCCAGGCCTCTGAATGGTGTGTGTGTGCGTGTGTGCCAGTAATGGTAGTGGTGGTGGTGGGTGATACAGGCCCATACTCAAGCCTCTGAATGGCACACATAGGCACTGATGGTAGTGGGCATCATGGGCCTGTTGTCAAGTCCCCTCACGTTGTGTGTGGGCTCCAGCAGCAGTAAGTAGGCAGATCCATTGCCAGGATCCCAGATGGCACGCTCAGGCACCAGTAGCAGTGGTTGGGCCAGACATTACATTTTACTGGGCTTGGATATTGACAATTTTGCATCTATTGGCAAACTCATTTCAGCATTGGCTATATATGTGTCCTTTGAATATTCACTTAAGCTGTTTTTGACATCTTACTAATTCTCTCCATTAATAAGTTAAAATCTTGACATATGTTCATTTTACATTTGTATGAGAGTCATGATTTTGCCTTTTAAAAAACTGTCCTTTAACACATGTTTCCATAGAGCAAGTGTGATCATACTGATCTTTCAAATGATGAAATTCTTGATGCCTTTTCTGACTTTAGTACCATAATCCTTTGCCTTATGGGAAACATTGAATAATTTGTACCTTTAACCCTCACTCGTGAATTAGTGTTCAATGACAATATTCACCACTCTCTCAGATCTCAGGCCAAAGGACCAGGCATTAGCCACTCAAAGCCCTACTCTGAGAGGTGCCATGCTCAGAAAAAATAAAAAGATTAGTATAAACAAGTCGGGGGCTACACATAAAAATATGGTGTCTTTGATTCTCACCTCTGTACTCTATTTTAGGAAGTTATTGTATATATGCAATAGTGTAAACTGAATTATTAAAAATATAAATGAATGTACTACATAATAACTACTATGATTATAACTGATGTGAATTCCAATCAATATAAAATTAAGCAGTTAAAAGAATAGCATTTTCAGGAAGAAAGGATGAAACTGATGAGTTGTAGAACCATGGAGATTTATTGTTGGATTTACAGTTTCCTCTTAGAGCTGTTAGTTTCTTACTTCCAACTGTTTGATTTAATCTTATGTTAATTAGGGGCAGAGGAATCTGGAGCATATACTTTCCTTCTGGTAGTGGGGTAAGAGGTTAGGTTCTATGATCATTCTTGCTCAGGAATATTACTATCCTGTTAAGATGAGTAAACTCTGGTCTTAGCATGGCTAGCATAATACTTTGTGTCTTTCATTTGTGAATTGTCAAGAAATTGATTCTTATTAAATACATTTATAAAATGCTCCCCAGAAAATACTGGATTCTCCAATTAATATATGCTATGGTACCTGAATGTTGTATCTCCCCAGAATTTACGTGTTGAAATCCTAAACCCCAAAGTGATCCTATTAGGAAGTAAGATCTTCTGGGGGATGATTAGGTCACGAGTGCAAAGCCCCCATGAATGGGATTAGTGCCCTTAGAAAAGAGGCCTTAGAGAGCTGCCTTGCCCCTTCCACTGTGCAAGAACTCAGTGAAAATGTGTCATCTGTGGACTAATAATTGGCCTTCACCAGACACCAAGTCTGCCAGTGTCTTGATCTTGGACTTTCTAGCTTCCAGAGCTGTAAGAAATAAATTTCTGTTGTTTATAAGCCACGCAGTTTGTTTTTTATACAGCAGCCAGAATGGACTAAGACAATATGATTATCACTTCACATGTGACTATTGATGTCTGATGTAATACCTCAGTTCTTATGTTCTTGGTTTAAAAGACTTGAAACAAGAGACACACAGCAAAGGAGATGTGGCATAGAGTAATTTATTACAAAATAAAAAGTATTTTGAAAGTTAAGTGCAGGATAGACGGTACACACACACACACACATACACACAGGGAGGGAGGATTCAGGGTGGGCTGTTCATAAGGTTGAGACAGCAAAGACTGGCACTAGGGAGACTCCCTTTATGGGAGTCTTACATGATTATTCATAAGGAGGTGGAAGGAGGTGTTACTAGTAAGCATGTTCTGGGTGTTTCTCTGGGTGCACATATGCAGTAGCTGTATATACTTGTTCATACGTCGCATGTCTCGTTAGTATCTTAAATATTCAATTAGGGGTGTGTTTTGTACTATTATAATGAGCAAAGGCTCAGTTTGAGGACAGGTAAAATCAAAATGTGTGTGCTCTCTAGAAGGGAAAGTCTCTACTGAAGATAGCTTTGCTTGAATGAGCACAATTACAATGTGAATGCTAAGGCTTATTGTATTGACTCTATGGTCATCATGGTTGCTGCGTCCTGAGAACATAGTCACTTCCTTGACTACCTATCCTGCCTCATAACTGCAAGACTTTTAGATAGTATGACCTTTGTTAATTCCCACTTATTTCTTGTCTTTAAAATTTTCGGCCAGGATCGGTGGCTCACGCCTATAATCCCAGCACTTTGGGAGGCTGAGGCGGGCGTATCACTTGAGGTCAGGAGTTCAAGACCAGCCTGGCCAACATGATGAAACTCCGTCTCTACTAAAAATACAAACATTAGTCGCGTGTGGTGGTGGGCACCTGTAATCCCAGCCACTGGGGAGGCTGAGGCAGGAGAATCACTTGAACCCGGGAGTTGGAGGTTGCAGCGAGCCGAGATTGTGCCACTATACTCCAGCCTAGGCAACAGAGTGAGACTTCTTCTCAAAAAAAAAAAAAAAAAAAAAAAATTCATAAAGGTTTTCCATTTTTCTCTTAAATTCATTATTAAAATATATCTATTCTATTATTTCCACCTCTGATGATATAAACTTTGGTTTATTTTTATTATCAAAATAACTTTGTTTTTTAATTAAAACAATATATCAAAAATAACATAAATCATTGTAGAAAAGGTAAAAATATTGATAAAGAATTCATTTTCACCCATACTCCATCCTTCAGAAATAAGCACCATTCCTCTGAGTACTTCATTTCAGATCTTTTTCTATGAATAAATGTGGATATATTTTACACACATAATAAAAATTATCATCTTGCAATTTTTAAACTTATTTCATCAAAAGTAATTTCATGAAATCCTTCTATATTCATTATACATATTTTAGAGTGTATGTTCTTAACCCTGGCCTCTGGTGTTGGGGTGGATCAAACCCCAGTTCTGGTTGTGTGACCTTGGGAAGTTTCTTAACTTGACTAAGCCAAAGTTAGTTCATCTATAAAATAAATTTAATATTAAGTACCTATTTTATAAATTTGTTGTGATGATTAAATGAAATAGTATATGTAATGTATCCAACACATAAGAGCATTAAGTAAGTGTTAACTATTATAATTTATCATTAAATATGACTCTATCTGTCTAGTTTTTCAGGTTAAATTTCAAGTTGAATTGGGGTCGAGGAAAAGGGGATTGTGGAGAGTTGTTTTTCTTTCATTGCCTTTAGAGATAATCTTAAATGTGTTTGTTAATCTGATCACATAACAAAATTTATTAGTAATTTCCTTCATGCTGTTATCCTGGGTTAGTGGTTTCTGACCCACTTATCTGCAGGGTTAAGGGTTATACTCTTTGTGTGATTGTTTATAGCTGAGGGTGAGCTACAATGTTCATTATTAGATTAGACTGTAGTGCTAGCATTCAGGAGACAACTGAACTTTTGTGCTTGGCAGCTATGGAAATTAAATTTTGGCAGAATGTGGCCATTAATGATTAACAAAAGAACTCTATGCTTGAGTTCCTCTTAACAGCTAAGCTCCTACTGGGTTTCTGGGGATGCAAAAGTCATGACAAATCAAATCACATCTAATTCAAGCAATATTTATTGCAAACTGGTCATACATACAATTGATGCTAAATCCCATGCCGTTTCTCTATTTCAGCAAGGAGATGTTTAAGCATGGCAGATAGTGCATTTATGGAATTCAATCAGTTTTTGTTAGTGAAACCAGTCTAGTTCGTTGATGATGATGTCAGAATGACTGACTAAACAGCCCTTTTAAAATCAAAATTATTTTGTGCTAATATTTTCTCTTTTTGCCTTCATTTATGATAAGCATGTAGTAATTTGAAAGTGAAATTTAAGACACTGGGAATTATATTTTCTGTCTTAATTGAATCGGCCAACTCACTGTGTTTTGATTAAAGACAGGTACTTGGTTTTTAAAATATATAATTTTTGACCATGCCGTTGCTTACCCTGTTTACTTTTTTTAAAAGTAAAGACCTATCAATTTTTAAAAAGTTATTTTAAAATAGTAAAAATATTCTGAATAATATAAAGCACAAGAGTTTGAAGAAAAACACAAATTGAAAAGATAAAGTTCAGAGAACTAAATGACTGGTCAAGCTCACACATCCGTCAATGGCAGGCCTCACCTTGCATTCTAGGTCTGTTCATACCCGGGCTAATAATGCCCCTTCTATGGCATCACACAGTTTTTTTCTATAAATGTCTTATGAAATGAATGTATAGCCATAAAAACTGTATATGCACATTGCAGATAAAACACATTGTTCTTTTTGTACTATTTAAAATGAATAGGCTTGCTATCATCAACATTAATTAGAAATACTTTTCTTATTCTTCATACAAATTAGAAATAAGCTCGAGATCATTTGGGCAAGTTGGACTTCTTGAGTGGCCCAGTATACTTGAACTAACCCTATTTTTCCTTTGTGATGTACTTGGGGCAGATCTGCATGTTTGGAGGTTCAGCCCTTTAGTTGTGAGGGAGTGGAGACCTGCAGTCTTCTGGGTTTCCCCTTTTCCCATCAACTTTTACTTCCTTGCTCATGCCCCACCTCCCACCTCTACTTCCATGCAGATTGACACCCTTTCCACTGTTCCACGTAGCTTGTTTTATGAACTGGGAAGGATGAGCCTAGGTAAATTTTGAGATGAGATAATATTATGCATAAACTGTAATAAAGTAAAATGATCTCTTATTAAAATCCTTCAATTTTAGCATTTTATGGACCCCACTGATGATTTCAATTTCACTGTCCTTGTGTACCTTGTGTAGAAAATGAGAAGTTCACGTCTTTGTGACTTCTAATGCGAGATGATGTCTTTCAGAAAAAAAATCAAATAGCTTTTTTCGAGAGTGGGTGTATAAGAATTTTGCAATGCTTTTGGAGGTTTGAAAAGCTTAGCTATGTAGTATTTTATTTGTCATGTTATAAAAAAGTAATGTTGACTGCATTTAAGAGTCTTAAGTACTTTTCATTTTTATGTCTGGCGTATTTCATGATACATACGTTTGTATATATTTATTTTTTTTTAGGGGAAAAATCGTGGCATTGTGTCACCTTATGTATTTCTTTAGAATCAAATTTTTTCATACGAAACACTGTAATCACCAAAAAGCAGAAGACATAACTTTAAAAAAAATGCTATCTTATAGACTCTGAATAAAATATAAAGAAGTATACTAGTTGAGAATCTTCCAATATTACTTTAAGTATCTTTTAAGGTCAAGTTTTAAGGTTAGCCTTTTAACTTCAGCATTGCTTTGCTTGTGATTCTCTCTCATACAGATGATAAAGTGCTTAATTTGTTGATGTTTTATTTGCCTAGAGATCATATTTTCCCCTGAGATTTGTCCTGGGATGTTGCATTAGTATTGTCAAAAACTGCATGTGAATGTCACTGTGGTGTCACAGAAACTCATATTCAAACTTGGCATTTTATTAGTTCTCATCACCAAGCAAGTTACCTGATTTGAGTCTTAATTTTCTTTGGTGACCATGGAGTTTGTGAGGATTAAAGCATCAGCACAGATGGAGGCATAGAGAAAATCTCAATACGTGCTGGTTGTCTGTTCCTTCTTTTTATAAGCAAAACAAATGGAAGAATAGAGCCTAGTATGGGATGAATTGTGTCCCCGGCCACACCACAAAATATGACCTTGCTCCCAGTAGCTCAGAATATGACTTTTTTGAAAGTAGGTTTGTTGCAGGTGCAATTAGTTAAGGTAAGGTTACACTGGAGTAGGGTGGGCCCTGTTAAAGAGTTAGGCACATTGAAATTTTAAAGAGTTTATTTGAGCAGACGGTGATTCATGAATTGTGCAGTGACAAACCACAAGTTTTTTGGCTTACACCAAAGGGATGTGATGAGGAAACTTTTATAAGATGCAGGTGAAAGAAAAAGATTTGATTGGTTAAATTGGAGCAGTAGCCTTAAAGTCCCTAGTAGAGGTTAGCTGGCAGTTTCTGATTGGTTAAGGTAAGTTTCATTTTGCGGTTTACATTATGTTTCTATTTGCTTAGGTAGGAACCCAAGGTGCTAAGGCTGTCTCAGCCTAATGGCCTCCCAATTAATTTTAATAGCCAGTAATACAATATGACTGTTATCCTTAGAAGAATAAAATTCAGACACAGAGACACAGGAAGGTGACCATGTGAAGACAGAGGCAGAGATTAGTTTTTCTTTCACGAAACAAAGGAATGCCTGAGGCTACCATAATCTGTAAGAGCCAAAAAGTATCCTTTCCAAGATGTCTCAGAGGAAGCATGGCCCTGCTGACACCTTGATTTCAGACTTCTGGCCTCCATAACTCTGAGAACCAAATTTCTGGTTTGTTTGTTTGTTTATTTATTTATTTTGAGACGGAGTGTCTCTCTGTCGCCCAGGCTGGAGTGCAGTGGTGCGTGGTCTCAGCTCACTGCAAGCTCCGCCTCCCAGGTTCACGCCATTCTCCTGCCTCAGACTCCCGAGTAGCTGGGACTACAGGCGCCCGCCACCACGCCCGACTAATTTTTTGTATCTTTTAGTAGAGACGGGGTTTCACCGCGTTAGTCAGGATGGTGTCTATCTCCTGACCTCGTGATCCACCCGCCTCGGCCTCCCAAAGTGCTGGGATTACAGGCGTGAGCCACTGCGTCCAGTCCAAATTTCCGTTTTAAGCCATCCACTTTGAGGTACTTTGTTACAGCAGCCCTGGGAAATTAATGCACAGACCAAGTAGACCTGGAGGTGTCAAGTTGTCTTGGGATCACCTCCTGGCTTGTCCATCATCATCAAGTACTTTGGGATTCTAGGACTTCGATGCTGCATTGTGTGTGCAGCTTGGGAAGAGTGTGAGCACACCCCGATACTCTGCATTTAGGATTTTAAATTTTCTGGGTTCTGATTCTATTTGAAAATATTATAGATGCTTTTGATACCTTCCTAAAGGAAATACACACATAGGTGTACAACGTTTTGCACCAAATTTTGTGGCCTTCACCATCCCTCTAGGGAATTCATAATACAAGGTTAAGAATTCCTGCTCTAGTAGAATTTCACTCTTGGACTGCTGCTTGTAAAAACAAAGAATAAACGTAGCTAAACAGACATTGAACAAGTGGTGTAATCAAATTCACATTTAACAAGATAATGGTTATTAGAAGTTCATGGATAAAGAGATCACCTTGGGAATTCTATGTATAAACACAGAAGTTTTGACTGTGTGCTTAATTTACATATTTGCCTCATAGCATTGTGGAAAATTAGTAGAAACTAATAATTAGAGCCAGCATTTCTTATGTTCTGGGTACGGTGGTAGGTGCTTTATGCTCATTATCTCCAAATGCTGGCCTGTGTTAGGGGTGGGGGTGGCAGGAGGGCCATTTAGCCTTATTCTTACTCTCATTCACGAAGGACCTCAGATTTAGACTTTTGATGTTATCTTCAAATTTGGTTATACTCACAAGCACAGGAGCACATCAAGAGAATCCAGGAACTTACTCATCATGTAATTTTAGATTTTTGGACCCTTAATAGACTATGTAGCCTGTAGTGCATTTTGAATGACTATTTTAAAATTCTGAACTTTCCATAAGAGTAGCACAATCATATACATACATATTTTTTCAGATAATAGTTCATGAAATATAAATTTTTAAAATAGCTCACCATTTTTGAAACTTGTTTTCACACTTTTCTCTTTTCTAACATTCTTAGAATCTTAGAAACTAGCAGTGGCCTTGGGCCTTTCTTGACCTTTGCAAGGTTCTCCACACCACAGCCCTTCAAGATTTCCCATTACATAGACAAGGGAGAGGGATTTCTCCCCAGGTCACCCTGGCCTATCTGCTTCAGTAGACAATGTGGGGCCTGGGGAGATGGATTTTTAATAGCTTCTCAGTGCTTGTGATGTACACTAAAGTCTGAGAACCATCAGGCTAAGGAGAAGAAAGCCAGGACTTAAACACTCCATAGGGAAGGTTTTTGGATCTCCTAGGCTGTTAAACTTCTAGAGTTCACTGTGCCTCTTGAGAGAGGGTGATGTATACGACCATGAGTCCCTACAAAGATTTCACATTTAGAGAATGTCAGAGCAGTGAAAGACAGTTGACCTCAGTGAGCACCTACAATACTTGACTGAATTTGTGGAGCAGAGAAGTAATGAGTAACTCTACAATGGAAAATAAAACTCATGTCTTAATTCTGTATCACAGTGACTAACCCACTTACTACTTGGCTCATGGTCCATTTAACAGCTATGAAGAGGGGAGACCACTGCAACCATTCTTTCATTGCTCTGAGATTTAAAAAAATATATATACAAATGATTAAAAGAATAGACAATAACTGAATTCAGACAGCAACAATGACTCACATAATGGGGAAATTGAAAATAGAAAGAGAACCAAAGGTCTGTATCAAGCAACCCAGGCCATCTTAGTAAGGCAGGTAACCTTATAGTGCTATGCTCCTGGCCATTGCCATTATTCCAGTTTTTTCTTTCTTTCTTTTTTTTTTTTTTAAATTTAAGTACTAGGGCACATGTGCACAACATGCAGGTTTGATACGTAGGTATACATGTGCCATGTTGGTTTGCTGCACCCATCAACTCATCATTTACATTAGGTGTTTCTCCTAATGTTATCCCTCCCCCAGCCCCCCATCCCCCAACAGGCTCCAGTGTGTGATGTTCCCTGCCCTGTGTCCAAGTGATCTCATTGTTCAGTTCCCACCTATGACTGAGAACTTGCGGTGTTTGGGGTTGAAATCCTAGTCTCTGATAAAACAGACTTTAAACCAACAAAGATCAAAAGAGACAAAGAAGGCCATTCAATAATGGTAAAGGGGTCAATTCAGCAACAAGAGCTAACTATCCTAAATATATATGCACCCAATACAGGAGCACCCAGATTCATAAAGCAAGTCCTTAGAGACCTACAAAGTGACTTAGACTCCCACACAATAATAATGGGAGATTTTAACACCCCACTGTCAATATTAGACAGATCAACAAGACAGAAGGTTAATGAGGATATCCAGGACCTGAACTCAGCTCTGCACCAAGCAGACCTAATAGACATCTACAGAACTCTCCACCCCAAATCAACAAAATATACATTCTTCTCAGCACATCACACTTATTCTAAAATTGGCCACATAATTGGAAGTAAAGCACTCCTCAGCAAATGTAAAATAATAGAAATTACAACAAACCGTCTCTCAGACCACAGTGCAATCAAATTAGAACTCAGGATTAAGAAACTCACTCAAAACCGCACAACCACATGGAGACTAAACAACCTGTTCCTGAATGACTACTGGGTAAATAACGAAATGAAGGCAGAAATAAAGATGTTCTTTGAAACCAATGAGAACAAAGACACAACGTACCAGAATCTGAGACACATTTAAAGCAGTGTCTAGGGAAATGTATAGCACTAAATGCCCACAAGAGAAAGCAGGAAAGATCTAAAATCAACACCCTAACATCACAATTGAAAGAACTAGAGAAGCAAGAGCTAATTCAAAAGCTAGCAGAAGGCAAGAAATAACTAAGATCAGAGCAGAACTGAAAGAGATAGAGACACAAAAAAACTACAAAAAATCAATGAATCCAGGAGCTGGTGTTTTGAAAAGATCAACAAAATTGATAGACCACTAGCAAGACTAATAAGGAAGAAAAGAGAGAAGAATCAAATAGACGCAATAAACAATGATAAAGGGGATATCACCACCGATCCCACAGAAATACAAACTACCATCAGAGAATATTATAAACACCTCTATGCAAATAAACTAGAAAATCTAGAAGAAATGGATAAATTCCTGGACACATACAGCCTCCCAAGACTAAACCAGGAAGAAGTTGAATCTCTGAATAGACCAATAACAGGCTCTGAAATTGAGGCAATAATTAATAGCCTACCAATCAAAAAAGTCCAAAACCAGATGGATTCACCACCGAATTCTACCAGAGGTACCAAGAGGAGGTGGTACCATTCCTTCTGAAACTATTCCAATCAATAGAAAAAGAGGGAACCGTCCCTAACTCATTTTATGAGGCCAGCATCATCCTGATACCAAAGCCTGGCAGAGACACAACAAAAAAGAGGATTTTAGATCAATATCCCTGACGAACATCGATGCAAAAATCCTCAATAAAATACTGGTAAACTGAATCCAGCAGCGCATCAAAAAGCTTATCCACCACAATCAAGTGGGCTTCATCCCTGGGATGCAAGGCTGGTTCAACATATGCAAATCAATAAACATAATCCATCACATAAACAGAACCAACGACAAAAACCACGTGATTATCTCAATAGATGCAGAAAAGGCCTTCAACAAAATTCAACAACCTTCATGCTAAAAACTCTCAATAAACTAGGTATTGATGGAATGTATCTCAAAATAATAAGAGCTATTTATGACAAACCCACAGCCAATATCATACTGAATGGGCAAAAACTGGAAGCATTCCCTTTGAAAACTGGCACAAGGCAAGGATGCCCTCTCTCACCACTCCTATTCAACATGGTGTTGGAAATCCAGTATTGTTATCCTTAAACGGCAGCTTTGAAATCTTGACTATCCACCTAGAGAACATGCAGATTGAAGAAGATTCTTAGGGCAATGTCCCTGTCCCTGCCTTAAAGGCAATAATGTATTACTGGGCACGGTGGCTCACGCCTGTAATCCCAGCACTTTGGGAGGCCAAGGTGGGCAGATCACTTGAGGTCAGGAGTTTGAGACCAGCCTGGCCAACTTGGTGAAACCCCATCTCTACTAAAAATACAAAAATTAGCTGGGTGTGGTGGCAGGCGCCTGTAATCCCAGCTACTCGGGAGGGTGAGGCAGGAGAATTGCTTGAACCCGGGAGGCAGAGGTTGCAGTGAGTCCAGATGGTGCCATTGCACTCCAGCCTGGGGGGATGAGAGTGAGACTTCCTCTTAAAAAAAAAAAAGACAATAATGTATTATAATTGATATGGTTTGGCCATGTCCCCACCCAAATCTGATCTTGAATTATAGTCCTCATAATCCCCACATGTGATGGAAGGGACCAGGTGGAGATAATTGGATCACGGGGGTGGTTTCCCCCATCCTGTTCTCGTGATGGTGAGTTTTCACAAGATCTGATGGTTTTATAAGGGGCTTCCCCCTTTGCTAGGCACTCATTCTCTCTCCCTCTGCCTTGTGAAGAGGTGCCTTCTGCCATGATTGTAAGCTTCCTGAGGCCTCCCCAGCCATGCTAAACTGAGTCAACTAAACCTCTTTTCTTTATAAATTACTCAGTCTTGGGTAGTTCTTTATAGCAGGGTGAGAATGTACTAATACGTTAAGAATTTAAAGGCAACAGTCAGTACTACAAGAAACTAAGTCACAACAAAAGCTAATGTTTATTAAGTCTGACAGCCTAAATTACATATGAAATAGTCTAATAATCAGCAATTAAAAATCTTAAATTTTCTTTAAGCAATTATTTTTTCAGTTTTTAGGAATGTTCTAGTTGCATTAGGCATCTTACATGTGTGTACTACATACTCTTCCTAGCAGGAGAAGACTTCACAAAGCAGTCATAATACAGAGCATGTTTTCTTTGAAAGTGTTTACTTGGGAACTGTACTAATCTATTAACTTGAACTGTTCTTTGTTCTTTCTAGAGGGAACACTTCTTATTTTTCTTTTTTACTCTTTCATCACTATTTGACTCTTTGTATTTTGATTTCCCATTTGAAATATCTTACCGAAAATTCTGGTGTGTGGGAGTTAACAAAAAATTATTTACATAATAATAAGGCTAATCTTTTTTTTGAAATAAGATTCCCTTTTCTACTCCACAGAAAGTCTTGCAGCTGTATTTTTAGTCTTTGTTTTACAAATGTCTATTTGTCTTTTTCTCATTTCTTATCTTCATTTAAAGAATACTGGTTCTATTTCCTTTTAATATAGACAACATTTAAAAAATACATGTTCACTACAGAAAAATATATTGACAATTTATATAAGCCAAAAGGAAGATAAAATATAGAGTTTATGCCACCCAGTCACAATTGCTCTTACATTTTTAGCACATTCTTACAGAATATTATGTATATATACCTCATATAAAATACATGGTTGATTACATTATTTTACTTTTATTTTTATACAACTTTCTTGGTTAAGAAATATACCTCCAATATCAGTTCAAATGTCAGAAACACATTTCATTGTATGGATATGCTATAATTTACTCAATCATTTCCTTACTGTTGGATATCTACTATCTTTCCAGTCTTTATTTTAAACAATGTTAAAACATTCTATAGTTAAATCTTGCCATAATTCAATCTCATCTTTTGGATCCTCCATAAATTTTGCAACTTCTATAGCATTAATTTTTTATTTGTTGATGTTTTAAAAAGGTTTTTAAATTTTAAGATTCAACAAATATTTATTTATACTATATGTAATTTTTTATTTGATGATGTTTTTAAAAGGTTTTTAAATTTTAAGATTCAACAAATATTTATTTATACTATATGTAAGTGTTTCAGCTTTCCTTGTAAACGGGAGACTCAAGGCATAATTCTTTGTAATTAAACCCCATGATCTTGCTCCTGGGTATCATGTAACTGATCAGTAATAGTTTATATAACTTTAAAAAGACATTCAAACACATACACCCCTTATTTCTTGCAATCAACAGTTCTAAATAATGACCCTTGATGATGCGAAAGGTTTAGCCCAATGTGCCACACACTTTCACCTTTTTATCTGTTGAAAATGAGAAAAGATGGGCTTAGTGAGTTGTGGGCTCTCCTGCTCTAGCTTGGGAGACCTTAGCTCACACTGGCAATCTTTCTTTCATGATAGACAGTCAAGGCTCAAGCGACTCTCAAGAGATAAAGCGATATTGTGATAAAGAAGCTTCTCCTACGGGAACATTAGGCTTTGGTCAATCCTTTATTAATTAGAAAATATGTGCCTGATTTTTAAAAGTGCATTTAACATTCAATCTATACAGTAACAAACTTTAAAGACTTTAAATCCTTCTAGCCTTTTTGCACTACTAATTATTACCTCACCTCCAAAACATCATACACTTTTAGAAGTAATTGAAATAAATACCCTTGAAAACTTATGCCAACTGACAATTTAAATCATTTCTCCAAAATAATTGATTTACAATTAAAAGCCCTATTAAAATTTCTTAGAGCCAATCACTTGGAGACTCATTTTGCTAAAAGCATAATGGTCTTTTAAAAGGGATTTCTAGTATAATTTGGGATTTCAATACATTGTGCTTATGTTTTCCAAGCAGGTAAGACCTTGTGATTTAGAGGAATATATCTTTGGAGCACAAATAATTAGGATACCACCAAACACAAAGGCTTATGAGAGGTCAAAGTATGAGAGATCACATTCATTCAGGAAATCAGCAAAACTTTCAGAGGAGGAAGCATTTGCAATGTACTTGGAAACATGGATAAAACTTAAGTACTCCAGGGCAAAAGGGAGGAAGTGTAGGTATGGGTTTGTGGGTTTGTGTGTGAAATAGAGAACTGCCATCATTGTTTATGAAATAACGAATCATTAAGTTTTCCCAGGGCCCGGTGTCATGTCCTTGAGATTCCTGCACCTTTGTATTTGGTTTTTAGGGCAATGGGAAGGGAGGAAAAGTTGTATTAAAAAAATTTTTTTTTAAACATTGAAGTGATGTGGTTGCTCTATATTTGAAGAAGGTAGTGTGTGTATAGAACAAACTAGTGAGAAGGCAAGGAGAAATGGTTCAGAGGTCTTAAGGAGAACTCAAAGTGAAATTTGGCTATTGGGATCTCCCCAGGAAGAATCTATGGCATTGATGAAATGAATATCTAGGAGTAACGTGTTTCAGACTTGGGGTCTGGGGGAATGAAAGTATCATGAACAGAGATAGTGGAGGCCAGAAGGAAGAGCTGGAGAGATGGAAGTTGAGCATCTTGAGGAAATGTGAAGAGAACAGGGGGAGGGAAAGGGAAAAAGTCAAAGTGACGAGTAGGAAGAAGACAAGGGACCATGAGCAGGCCATCAACCTTTATTGAAGGGGCTTTAAAGGGGATGAATCTTGAGGCAGCCACTGAATTCGTCCCTTAGGAGATTATTAGGAAAACTAGAGAGACTGGTTTCAGTAGAATCTTAGGTGTGGAAGTTTGAAAAGAGTTCAGAAAGGAGAGGATGTAGATAGTAGGATATAGATCTTTGGAGAAGTGTCCTTGATGACGTGTAGGGTTTCTAAAATAGTTCTATTGATATGGTAGAGAATAACAATAAGGAGGAAATTTGAAGGGCAAGCAGGGCTCACTTGTCTATTCAGTAAATATTTTGTCAGCCCACTTTTGCTATGCATGGTACCAGGCGATGGCATAAAATAACAAAAACAGAAATAATGTCTCATGAAGCCTGGAATGGGGAAGACAGCTATTTATCAAATGATCCCAGTAGTTCAGATATAAACTCTGGACAAGTGCTGTGAAGGAGAAGTACATGGGGCAGAGAGAGAATGAGAAAGAACTGATCTATTCTGAAAGGTGGTGTCAAGGATGCACTGGTGAGGAAGCCAGCAGAGAGCTGAAGTAGGCTACAAAGGAAAAGTAGCGGGGGCCACGCAAAGAGGGTTGGAGGGAACTGCCTCACAATATGGAAGACCCCTCTGAATTAAAGGGTGGGCAGGAGGTGAGACTGGCTAAGAACATGGCCCATTGCAGGAGCCAGAAAAAGCCTAGAGTTAGAGGGAAGTAGTCCTTTGTATTCTAGGGTAGATTAAAAAGGCAGGTTATGGGTGTTCATGGCAGGGAGGAGGCAGTGCACAGAGAAGAAAAATTAGATTTTAGGAGCCATCTTGTTTTATGCCAGATTAATAAATACAAGCCACTGTTTATTAACTCCAAAGACTGTTTCGTTTTATTGAAGAGCTTGAAATATGTTTCCTGCACACTAATTTTCAGACCTACAGTTTTTAGTAGGTGTGACTTGCTTTAGGGAGCAGATGTATTTCTGGAGAATTGTAGCTAATTCACATCTTTGTAAATTGACTCATTTTAAGCACAGCAGGGAGTCTGCTTTTTAAAGGAAACCTATGGTGCATCCTTTTATAAAGTGTAGGATTCTTTGGAAAACAAATGTTTTGTAAATCTCTTTCAGCAGAAGGGAACGAGGGTGCAACAAGGCTGAGAAACATGTATATTCATATATACAGAACTTAGGATTCAATAACTGGCAAAAAAGGCCTTTTGAAGACAAGAGCAGCTTCCCTTCAAATTCTTTGGTCTGTAAATATTGTAGTAGGGAAGCCTAATCTGGGCCTCATATTTATTTTTAGAAAGCTCTTAAATGTAAACAGTCTCTGGTTTCATTTTAATTGGAGATCACAATTTTTTGAGAATTCTAAGGCAATAGTTTCAGAAGAATGGTGCAGGTGTCTGTAATCTTAGAGATACGCACTTCTGTTTCTTCATGTTCTTCTATGAGTAGTTGCTGAGAAAAAATGATGTATTTGTGGAAAGAGGTAGCATCCATCTCCTTGATTACTTATTCTCAGGGAGCTTATGTAATATTGCTTCTGCAACGCAATTCAGATGTTGCGGAATTGTGTTGCTGGGGCTTCCAGGGTGACACTTTGCAGACATTATCCTGAAGAATGATTGTGATGTGTTTTTCTTCTCTAGTGTTGGCTTCTAGGACTACTTGATGTGGAATTTATTTAGAGAAGAGGAACTTTTTCCAATTGCTCATCTTTTTCTGAGAATCAGAGATTTCTAAGAGTTTCTATGCCTAGTCTAGGATTTGGCATGACAGATATTTGTTTGATGCAGAATAAAACACAAAGTACATGCAACCTTTATTCAGCCACATTGTAAGTGTATTCTATGTGCTTTCAGCTGCAGTGAATTATATTAATAACCTGTTATTGTAAAAATGTCAATAGTTTTTTCTGTCTCTTGGAATGATTATCTGTTAAAAGTATAGGGTTCATTTTAACACTTCACACAGAAGAAAATGTAGCTTTTAGTAAAATGTTTTCAGGCATTTTTTTTTGAGATTAGTCAAAAAATAGCTATAGAGATGACACAGAGAAAATGTTTAAATAGTACATAGGATCAAAAATAGTCCCCTTTTCCATTTATACATAGGACACATAGGACTTTATTATCTTTCTTTACTGTTGCACTCTCACATCGATTTCCTTTTCTGTAAGCAGGTTTGTCATTTATAAAGAACAAATCCACATGTGTGGAAGAAGAAAAAAACTCCTGAATTTTCCCACTCCATGTCCATCTTAGCATATGTTCTTCTTGGGCACAACATAGTAACACACTGGGTTAGAGACTCTGGGATATCTTAATTGATTTTTGATCTAAGTATGAATGCTACAAAGAATTAATGTGAAAAATTGCACTTATTTCTCAGTTTAGCTGAGATACCTTTATGAGCCCGTACTTGATGATACCAGTGTTGTGGGCAAGATATGTAGTACTGGCCAGTCATTCAGGGTTCTAGGCTTAAGTCATCAGAACAATCTTGGATTGGTTTTTATGGATAATTGAGCATTGTATAGTTATTTATAATATTTTAAAAATCACACCTGCCATCAAGGTGTCAGGATCTGGCTGATTGCAACAACTCTCTGAGTCTACTTTCTAGTTCAGGCCCTCCCCTTTTCAAACTTTCCTGTGTATTGGTGCCAGATTCCTGTTTCTAAATAGCATTTTGTTGGTCCTTAAGAACTCACAATTGTTTTTCATTACCTGTGATGGTGAAGAATACCTTTCAGTCTAGCTTTCAGAGCTTCCATGGTCATATTTTGCCCTAATAGTCCAACATGATCTCCATAAAAGAGTTTCTTCAAAAATGAACTCTTTTAACCAGTTGGGAAGTCTCACTGGTCTTCCCTCTGCCCATATATCATGCACACATTTTTAAGTTCCTGTCTTTGCTGATTCTGTCCTTGTACTTTTTCCCTAATACTGATGCCTCCTCTGTCCATCCAACCTCTTCCTGGCACTGAAGACACACCTCTCATTGGGTGTGCGTGGAGGACTTTCCCAAGGATGAGGTCAAGGTTGTAGGCTTTGTATGATCTTATATTAAATAGCTATTGGATTGTATCAGAGCTACATTTATATTTAAAGACTAGGGCAATTATCATTAAACACAAGTAGAAAAATGAATGAAAGAGAAATCAAGGATAAAAGCTTAAACAAGACCGGAGAAAGACAAATGGGAAATTTTTGGAATGGTTGCTCAGGAAAAATGGACCCACCTCTTCCTGAACATCTGGGCAGATCAAGGTCTATGGTTCCTTGTGACAAACGCTTGCTCACCTGAGGGTTGCAGCAGACAGCTAAAGACATTCATGAGAATTTATATTGGCCTTGAGCCATCACCTTCCCATGATTCTTCCTTCCATCTTCCAACATCAGGGGCCCAGTGCTATCTGCTGCAATTAGACACAACTGAGATGTAAAGATATATCTAGAGCTGCTGGCTCCATTATATAACAGAGGAAGTAGAGGGAAGTGGTATGTTCGTGGGTCATTTTCTCTAAGCTCTGATTCCAGCTTTGTTGATCTAGAAACTTCATCCAACAAGGCATCCAGAAACAGTTGGTCTTCTAGATATTGACTCACAGTATCTAAGCTCTCAAGAGGCAGGAGTGTAAATCAGAATGTTAGCTTATTAGTTGATAGTAGTATTTCTATCCAGGGACCAGAATGTATCCAGGGACCACTTGGGTACCCTAGAAACCACGAAATCTGAAGGAAGGACCAGGAGGTGTCCTGGTGGGCATGCACTCAGGACAAAGGGCACAAGGCCATCTGGAGAAGTGCTTCCCTCAGCCCAGGGAAAATTCTGGTGAGTTAGTCCTATTCCACAGAAGAGAAATTAATAATGTTAATGTGAAGACAGGAACTGAAACATGCTCCCTCCCAGACAAGAATTAGGGAGGAGTAATTTGGCCTGTAGAATGTTTGATGACACTTAGGGAAGGGTTCAAGAGGGAAAACACAATAAGGCCATAAAGTATTACTTCTCAAAGAACTCAGTATAACTTATGTTAATGAGAATAACATAAATTTCCAATAGAAACAGGTGGGTTTATATTTAAAAATTTTTGTGTGTGTGGAATTGAAATATTTTTGATTTTAGAGCCTCTGGGAGTAGCAACTGCAGCTTCTCTCCTCAGTGGATACTGAGCTAGATATTCCTTTCTGCAGAGTTTCACTAACTCAACAAAGCAACAAAAGTCACTGACACTCAAAGCTTAAAGCAGTAAAATTGCAAGACCGAAGAAGGGAGAGAACACTTACCCAAAGAGGAGGGGCTGATCTTGAGAAAAAGGAGAGTGGGGTAGATTCTCTCAGTGATAGCGTTGGAAGGTGGGAGTATGAAAGGTTGTGGCAAGTCAAGAAAGAGGAGAGGTAGGGAACAAGGGGTGAAAGTAGAGTGCCTTTGGGAGATTTGGAGAACATCCAGATGTGGGATGGATAACCCTAGCCCTGGACGCCTTGCCCTGGTTGGTACTGAGAAGAATAAAGTAGCTGACTAGAGGCAAATACTGAGTTTCCCCCTACCTTTACCTTAGCCATCCTGCCGCTGAACTCTCTATGACTTGGAATAGGCACTGAAAGGTTTAAGAACCATTGAAGCTTTCATCCAAGTCCAGATTATGTTTGTTGCAGGGAAAATCTGATCGGACTGTAACTAAACAGAAGAAATCTTTCAGCCTTAAATGCCTTAAAAGCTTCAATTCAAACTCACTTAAAAGGGGAATTTGTTGATTTATATAATAAAAATATCCATTGTCTTCAAGTGTGACTTTATGGGGTTCAAATCTCTTGCCAGGACCCAAATGTCTCCTGCCCTCCGTTGGCTTTCTGTGTTTTCTGAACAAGTCTGAACAAGTGGCCCCCTCAGTTCCAGGTTCACATTTGCCCTGTTTCAAGTCCAGTGGAAAAAACTTACCACTTCCTGATAGTTGCACTGCAGGTTCTGGGTTCCTGTTTGTGTGGCCACGCCTGGTCCATTCTTACTGCTCTACATGGGACGCAGCGAGCTTTGGCTCTGGGATCAGACTTGGCTTCATTGCTAATAAATGGACTGGACATGGAAAAGGGTGGTTTCCCAAAAGTCAGTTACTTGAAGAATGAGGAGTGGAATCAGGGTCGGAGCAAACATCAATAGCCATTGCATTCCCCTCCAGAGACATGGATGGTTAGAAGCCTTACTATTATTGTGGATTACCTGATGGAAGACTCGTCTAACTGCAGAATAGATGGTAAACTGGAGAGTCAGTCAAGTCTAGCTCCCCAACTTGCCCCTTCTTACAGAATTGCTGGGAACAAACTCTGTGGAGCAGGAAAAAAACCAACAGCAAAGTATACAATAATGATATATGTCTTCACTGAGCAACTAGTTTGTGTCAGGTACTAAGCTAGCATTTTACGTTATTATTCAAATAACATATTTTAGAGACTGTTAAAATATTTCTAGAGATTAAAAAAACAGGATAAAAGAGGCTAAAAAGATCTAAGTTAATACAGCTGGGAAATGACTTTTTCTACAGAACACCATCACTACCTCTAATACTTATTTGTCCGGCGTCTGTGTCCTTCACTAGAATGTAAGCTCCTTGACAGCTATTGGGAGGCAGATTTAAGTTCAATATATAAATAACCTTCAAATAATTAAAACCTCATAAATGCAACAGGCTGCTTTTTTTTAAATCATCACTAGAGGCAGTTGAGCATGTTATGAAGGAGATTCAACATCTGGTGAGAGATTGAACTAAATGGTCACATATTCAAAATCTGTAGGTTTACAGCTCTTCACTGTGCCAGGCCATTCCTGGATTGTTGACTTTGGAAAGGACTGGAATGTGTTATATGATGCATAAATGCGACTTTAAGTTTTATATTAAAATGAAGAAGCTATGGTTAAGAATAAGTGTACGTGAAAGAAAGCATAAAAAGGCAAGAATGAGAGGGGGGGAAAGGAAAGGGGAGATGGAGTGTGTTGAGAGAGAGAGGCATTCTGTGTGCAAGAAGGATCAGCTCAATATTGAACTTTTGTTCTTCATAAAGGATGTGCATTCTTTTTTTTTTTTTTTTTTTGAGTTGGAATTTACCTCTTGTTGCCCAAGCTGGAGTGCAATGGCGCGATCTTTGCTCACTGCGACCTCCGCCTCCCGGGCTTAAGCGATTCTCCTGCCTCAGCCTCTTGAGTAGCTGGGCCACCACACTCAACTAATTTTTTGTATTTTTAGTAGAAACGGGGCTTCACCATGTTAGCCAAGCTGGTCTCGAACTCCTGACCTCAGGTGATCCGCCCGCCTTGGCCTCCCAAAATGCTGGGATTACAGGCATGAGCCACTGCGCCTGGCCAGGATATACATTCTTTACAGCCACTTTGGCACCATCATCACAGATATTGTAGGAAGATACAGTTCCCTCTAAAGATGGGAAACAGTCTGAATTCTATGCTTTTTCTCACACAATCAATAACACCTGGAGAGTGACGTGCATGGTATGAGTAGCATGGAGCCCGTATCTGCTGTGTAGGCTGATTCTTGCATGTATTGTATCTTATAATATTTAATAGTTAGTTTTGGAACACTCTATAATCATTACCTGATCTTCATGTGAGTGGCGCCATTCCCAATTTTAAGATGAAACAATGGAAGTGATTTAATACTCTGGGAGTAAGCTTCAGGGCTACAAACAGAAGCTTAACCACCTTGGCTATCAGTTTCATGCTTAAGTTCTTTGATGAGCACTTTTTTTATTTTTTTAATCAAAAAAGTGTTTGGGAAAAATCTGCCATCCGGGCTGGAGTATGGTTGTCTGATCATAACTCACTGAATCCCGAACTCTTGGGCCTTAACCTCCCTAGTAGCTAGTAACATGTGCCACCACTCCCACCTAATTTTTAAATTTTATTTATATTTTTGGTAGAGACAGGTTCTCACTATGTTGCTAGGGCTGGTCTCAAACTCCTGGCCTCAGGTGATCCTGTCGCATCGGCCTTCTAAAGTGTTGGGATTACAGGTGTGAGCCAATGCACTCAGCTGATGAGAACACCTTTTAACCAGAGATGGTTGAACTGGGGTTGGTCCACAGATGTGCTTTCTGCAGCCTGGGTCTGCCTGGCATTCTGTGGGAACTGCTGACATTGTCTTGGCAGCTGGAGTCCTCCCACGTATCTTTGAAGGTCATGAGGCTGCCATATCTCATTTGGTCCAAATGTTGATTGCTCGTTCAGAATGTTAATCCTGTGGTCTCCAATTCATAATTCTTTTTCTTGGAATTCTAGTCGCTAAGTGTGAGTATGTTTGTGTCTGTACGTTGGTGTGGGTGTGTGCATTATCGTACTATCCTTGCTTGACCTCTACTTGTGCTTCCTTGCTTACTACTTTCAAAGACTTTCTTTGTATTGTTCTGCTAGCAACCTTCTGAATACCAATACGAGAAAATTATTTTTTTTCTGGGGAAAAATATTGCTGTGTATCCTGACATTTTTGGCAAGTCGTTTTCTACTCACAATGGGAAGTTGTGATAAAGTGAATTATCTTTTGTGCAGAGTTGTTTTCCTTTGTGTTTGTCTGTGCCTACCATTCTCTGTTTTCTATTAAATTATTATTTTCTCCATGTTACTTTACAAGTTGTAATTGCTTTGTTATCAGAAAGAGAAAGGTAGGTTCATTTTATCCTTTTATCACTGGGCGTCTTGGTGAATGAATTGTAGCACTCCTCATTACCATAGCTTTGTTCTGCTCAGTTTTTAATGTTAATTGCCCTTGTCATTCCTTGTAATATAAGCTATAGAAATGTTCTTTCAAAGAAGAGAGATATTAACAAGTCAGAATATATTTTCGAAATGAATTGATAAGGAAATTTCATGTTTCATCTCAAAGCATTAATTAAATGACAAGGAGCTCATGAAGTGAAATAAACAAAGGATGGACAAGTGATGTTGACATAGCAAGTCCAAGAAAGAAGCACATGAGTTCGTGTTTAATTGAAAGAGAACATTGTAGGGACTGGTCACTCATTCTACTGCCCCCAAATTTATAATCCTTTCAAATGTTTTAATTCTTTTACACATGGGTACTGGTCTCCATCGTTCTCTTCTTTAAATGCCAACCTTCCTTCTGCTTTTGTTCCTCTTGATGAGAGAACGCATATTTGTGTGTTTACATTCAGAATTGTTACACTGAAAGGGGCCCGAATGTGTACAAGCCGAAAGCTCCACACTGTCCTCTTCTGCCAGTTAGCGGTATTGCCTGTCAAACTGATCTCAAATGAGGTGAAAAACTGTAGGAGTGAGTACTTAGTGAAGTAGAAAACAATTACATTCCTGTGTGATAGAGTTACTCTGGGGAATGGACCAAGAGATAGAGGGGCAGAGAGTGAATTTCTTGCCCAGGTTAACCATAGGGTGAGTTTCTTAAGGCAATTGTATTCTTTGGAAGCACAGTCCCATTTTATGCCTTTTTGTTTTACATTTTCTGTCTACTTAAACTCTGTTACTCTTACAGATTCTGAACTAGTCCAGCTCTACTTTGGAGAAGAGGTAGGGACCCTCATCATCTATTGCTTTTGCTATTTGAACAGAGAGAACAGTTTGTGCTCCCAGTTCGGTAGTTTTCAAAAAACATATTTTCCCCCAAAGCCAGGAGAAGCATCCTAAAATTTTCAAGAGCATAGCAACAAGCACACTTCTATTTTTCGGATCCGTACTTCACTCTCTTTAGTTGCAGATGAGATCTGGCAATCCTACTTCTGGCCTGAAGTACATTTGTGTTTTAAGTACATCTACAGTCTAAATCCTATCCAGGTTTGTTTGTTTGTTTTGCCAGGAGCAGTGGAAGTTGTTTTCTACTCATAAGGGGATCTTTTTGTGCAGAGTAGTTTTGCTTTGTCTATGCTCATCATTTTCTGTTTTCTATTAAATTATTTTCTCCATTATTACAAGTTGTGTTGTTTGTAATTGCTTTCTACTGGAAAACTGCTTTGTGGTTTTCTCCCAATGTGTGGGTAAATATATCATCTGCTTCTGAATTAGAAAGATATTTTTATGTTGACTTCTAAAGATTCTTTTCCCGAACCCCATGTGGTCCTCTTCACCTGAAAAGCAAAGACCCCTTCCGTTCAAAATTGTTATTTATGCTGGTTGGAGTATTAGTAAATAACATTTGCTCTTCCATTTCTAACACCCAGCATGGAGTCTAACACATCCTGGGGTTCCAATATTTGTTGAATAAATGCACGGAAGGTATGCCTTCTGTTCTCAAGGTATTTGGAGTCAGATGGAAGAACTTACAGTTTAGAGTTGATGATCCCAGAAATTTCTGTCCTCACCTTGACCTTTTCCCTGAAACTTGCTGCAAGCTTATTCACTGGATGTTCCAGGATTATTTAACTTTTTGATGACTCTGAGCAATTCTAGCTAACATCTGGAGACAGTTCACAGTAAGACACATGCGGACCAAGCCAATGCCCATGTTTCTTGTAACTCCACTATAATAAATTACTTCCTTGCAGTAACCAGAGGCAGACTTACACTCCAGTCTGTGATTGGCTACATGTTTCTGTTTCTGGTCTGAGAGATCCCTTCAGCCCTCTGCTTATGTACAAAGCAGATGCTCATGTACAAAGTGAAGATGATTGGCATGTCCAGAGTCCAGTAGTCGAACAAGGCTTCGCGTTGCATTCTCTCAGCTCTCCTTTCTCACGCATCCTCTCCACTTTTTTAAAAAGTCAAAAATAGCAGATGCTGGCAAGGTTGCAGAGAAAAGGGAACCCTTATACCCTGTGGGAGTGTAAAGTACTACTTCTCCCTCCTCCTACCCTCCCCTCTCCAGTAGACCCCACTGTCTGTTGTTTTCTTCTTCGTGTTCATAAGTTCTCATCAATTAGCTCCCACATATAAGTGAGAACATGCGTATTTGGTTTTTTGTTCCTGCATTCGTTTGCTAAGGATAATAGCCTCTAGCTCCATCCATGTTCCCAAAAAAGACATGACTTGTTCTTTGTGGCTCCTTTCTCACGCATCCACTCCTTAGGGGAAGGATGATCCAAAGTCATATTTATAGAGTTTCGCATCTCCAAAACCACCTCTTTTTTTCACCAAGGGAAGAAAATAGATATGTTCTAATTTCAAACACAGGTAATGTTTGAAATTAGAATTCAGATGTTCAGATTACTAAACTAGTGCTACTTCTATGATATTATAATACTTTTGAATATTTAGTGACTTTAAGAAATACTTGATTGACTTGGTGATACTGATTATGGTACTTAATTATGCCACTTGTGATCTAAATCAAGTTTCTCTCTTTTCCATGATGGCCAAAGCCTTCTAAGAACCTATCATTTTGACAATTCATCCTTGATAATTTCTTTCAGGCTTTTACAGCTTGGCTTTTGTATCCATTGCTTTTACTCAAACTGTAATTATCATTTAAACTGATAAACCCAGTGGTTTTACTCACTGGGCTTCCTGAATTTTTCTGCAGTATTGTCCCTTGGGTCTTTACATATTTCTTTTTTTTTTAACTTGTATTTTAGGCTCAAGGGTACATGTGCAGGTTTGTTATATAGGTAAATTTTATCTCATGGGGGGTTTGATGTACAAATTATTTCACCACCCAAGTAATAAACATAGTACCTGATAATAGTTTTTTGATCCTCTCCATCCTCCCACCTCTACCTCAAGTAGGCCCTGGTATCTGGTATCTGCTGTTCTTTTGTATCTATGTGTACTCAGTGTTTAGCTCTCACTTGTAAGCTAACATGTGTGGTATTTGGTTTTCTGTTCCTGTGTTAGTTTGCTCAGGATAATGACTTCCAGCTCCAACCATGTTGCTGCAAAGGACATGATTTTGTTCCATTTTATGGCTGTGTAGTATTCCATGGGGTATATGTACCACATTTACTTTATCCAGTCTACCATTGATGGGCATTTAGGTTGATTCCATGTCTTTGCTATTGTGACCAGTGCTGCAATAAACATATGCATATGTGTGTCTTTATGGTAGTACAACTTGGATTCCTTCGGGTGTAGACCCAATAATTGATTGCTGGGTTGAATGGTACCTCTCTTTTAAGTTCTTTGAGAAATCATCAAACTGCTTTCCCTAATGGCTAATTTACACTCCCACCAGCAGTGTATAAATGTTTTCTTTTCCCTGTAACCTTGCCAGCAACTGCTGTTTTTGACTTTTTAATAATAGTCCTTCTGACTGGTGTGATACGGTATCTCATTGTGGTTTTGGTTTATGTTTCTCTAATCAGTGATGTTGAGTTTTTTTTCATCTGCTTGTTGGTTGTATGTCTTCTTTTGAACAATGTCTGTTCATGTCCTTTGCCCAGTTTTTTTTTTTTTTTTAGGTTTTTTTTTTAACTTTTAGGTTTGGGGATACAGGTGAAGGTTTGTTACATAAGTAAACATGTGTCATGGGGGTTTGTTGTACATATTATTTCATAACCCAAGTATTAAGCCGAATACCCAATAGTTACCTTTTCTGTTCTTCTCCCTCCTCCTACCCCCCACCCCTCAAGTAGACCCCACTGTCTGTTGTTTTCTTCTTCGTGTTCGTAAGTTCTTATCATTTAGCTCCTACATATAAATGAGAACATGCGTATTTGGTTTTCTGTTCCTGCATTAGTTTGCTAAGGATAATAGCCTCCAGCTCTATCCATGTTCCTGCAAAAGGCATGACTTGTTCTTTGTGGCTGCATAGTATGCCATGGTGTATACGTACCACATTTTCTTTATCCAGTCTGTCACTGATGGGCATTTAGGTTGACTCTATGTCTTTGCTCTTGTGAATAGTGCTGCAAAGAACATTCACTAGCACGTGTCTTTATGGTAGAATGATTTATAGTCATCTGGGTATATACCCAGTAATGGGATTACTGGGTCAAATGGTAGTTCTGATTTTAGCTCTTTGAGGAATTAACATGTTGATTTCCACAATGGTTGAAGTAATTTACACTCCTACCAACAGTGTATAAGGGTTCCCTTTTCTCTGCGACCTTGCCAGCACCTGTTATTTTTTGACTTTTTAATATTAGCCATTCTGACTGGTGTAAGATGGTATCTCATTGTGGTTTTGGATTGCATTTCTCTAATGATCAGTGATACTGAGCTTTTTTCATATGCTTGTTGGCCACAAGTATGTTGTCTTTTGAGCAGTGTGTATTCATGTCCTTTACCCACTTTTCAATGGGATTATTTTTCTCTTGTAAATTTAAGTTCCTTATAGATGCTGAATATTAGATCTTTGTCAGGTGCATAATTAGCAAATATTTTCTCCCATCCTGTAGGTTGTCTATTTACCATCTTGATAGTTTCTTTTCCTGTGCAGAAGCTCTTAAGTTTAATTAGATCCCACTTGTCAATTTTTGCTTTTGTTGCAATTGCTTTTAGTGTCTTTGTCATGAAATCTGCCTGTTCCTGTGTCCAGGAGGGTATTGCCTAGGTTGTCTTTCAGGGTTTTTATAGTTTTGTGTTCTACATGTAAGTCTTTAATCCATCTTGAGTTGATTTTTTTAGAAGGCATAAGGAAGGGGTCCTGCTTCAATCTTCTGCATATGGCTAGCCAGTTCTCCCAGCACTATTTATTGAATAGGGATTATTTTCCCCACTGCTTATGTCAGCTTTGTCAAAGATCAGATGGTTGTAGATGTGTGGTCTTATTTCTGGGTTCTCTTTCTGTTCTATTGTTCTATGTGCCTTACCAGTACTATGCTGTTTTGGTTATTGTAGTCTTGTAGTATAATTTGAAGTCAGGTAATGTGATGCTGTGTCTGGAATTGGTGGGTTCTTGGTCTTGCTGACTTCAAGAATGAAGCCGCGGACCCTTGTGGTGAGTGTTACAGTCCTTAAAGGCGGCACATCTGGAGTTGTTCGTTCCTTCCGGTGGGTTTATGGTCTTGCTGGCCTCAGGAGTGAAGCTGCAGACCTTCACAGTGACTGTTACAGTTCATAAAGGTGGCGTGTCCAGAGTTGTTCGTTCCTCCCGTCCGGAGCTGTTCATCCCTCCCAGTGGGTTTGTAGTCTTGCTGGCTTCAGGAGTGAAGCTGCAGACCTTCGCGGTGAGTGTTACAGCTCAGAAAGGCAGAGTGGACCCAAAGAGTGAGCAGCAGCAAGATTTACTGCGAAGAGTGAAAGAACAAAGCTTCCACAGAGTGGAAGGGAACCCGAGTGGGTTGCCACTGCTGGCTCGGGTGGCCTGCTTTTATTCCCTTATCTGGTCCCACCCACATCCTGCTGATTGGTCCATTTTACAGAGAGCTGATTGGCCCATTTTACAGAGAGCTGATTGGTCCATTTTATAGACAACTGATTGGTCCATTTTGACAGAGTGCTGATTGGTGCATTTATGATCCTTTAGCTAGACACAGAGTGCTGATTTGTGCATTTATAATCCTTTAGCTAGACACAAAAGTTCTCTAAGTCCCCACCAGATTAGCTAGACATACAGCGCTGATTGGTGTGTTTACAAACCTTTAGCTAGACACAGAGTGCTGACTGGTACATTTACAATCCTTTAGCTAGACAGAAAAGTTCTCCAAGTCCCCACCCATCCCAGAAGCCCAGCCAGCTTCACCTCTAACTGGCACTCACCACAGGACTCTGCAGCTCCTAGCCCAGGCACTCTGGCAGCCCAGAAGGAGCTCGTCCCAGACAACCAAGAGGAAAAGAGGGGAAGCGAGAAAGAGACGGAGACCCTCCATCATGGCCAATGACCCTGCAAAGAGGGAACGGTGGTCCAGGCATGGGACCCAGACTCTGATCAATCCCAGCAGTCGTCGGCCAGACGCACCAAGTGTGGGGCCTGCCAAGCCTGCGCCCACCCGGAACCCACGCTGGCCTGTGAGCACTGCACACAGCCCCGGTTCCTGCCTGTGCCTGTTCCTCCACACCTCCCCGTGAGCAGTGGGAGCTGGCTCCAGCCTCAGCCAGCCCCAGAGAGGGTCCCTCATAGCACAGTGGCGGGCTGAAGGGCTCTTCAAGCGTGGCCAGAGTGGACACTGAGGCCAAGGAGGTGCTGAGAGCAAGTGAGGGCTGCTAGCACGTTGTTATCTCTCAATTCCCCCTTTAAACAGGACACCCCAACTGCTGTTGGGAATTTGGCTGATGACCGCTCTAGCTACTTCCTGCTGGATAGGGGTGAAGAAGCAGCCCTGCAGTTGTAGTATCCTCTAGAGGGGAAGTGGTTTGGTCCAGGGGTCCTCAGTAGAAGTCGTTAGTTGAGCTCATTTGGGGTTCCCTTTGTAAGACCATCTGTAGCTTGATGGCCTAGATTCTAGAGGAGACAAATTTGACAAGGTTAAAGATACAGGGCCCAAAGGCAAGTAACAGCAAGATGGCTGCCATGGGACCTAGAAAGGGGAGAAGCCATGTTGTCCAACTCCAGAGGTTGGTATAAGAGTTTGAAAGGCGTTGTCTGATTTCAGAAACCTTTTCCTGCAAATGCAGGGTGGCATCTCGTACTATCCCTGACTGGTTAGTGTAAAAATAACACTCTTCCCCTAAGAAGGTGCAGAGTCTTCCTTTCTCAGCAGTGAGGAGGTCTAGGCCTCGGTGGTTTTGGAGAATCACTGCTGCCAGAGAGTCTATATGGGATTGTAGAGTAAGGATAGATTTCGTTGTTCCTTGCAAACTGTCTGAGAAATCCTTTGAGAGTGTGTGGTAGTAGGATAATCAAGTAGATAAACTGGCTATTCTGGTTCCTGTAGCAGTAGCCATTCCTAACCCTATAAGTAGGGGTATTAGCACGGATGGCTCTGTGCTGACAGACTTGAACTTTGAGGGGTACTGATAAGGTCTGATTTCCTGGGGCAATGTTAATGTTGGGACTTAGAAAGACTAAGGCACAGGTGCCTGTCCAGTTAGTGGGGAGGCAGATATAGGTCGATGTTCCACATAAGAAGAATATACCTTGGCTGGGTAGACAGAACTGGTTGTATATGTCAAAAAGGTGTGTGAATTTGTGTTTTTCATTTTCCCATACTCCTAGAGTACTTGCCAAGGTAGCTCCAGTGAGCGGCTGGAAAGGGGTGTTGGGAGCAAACTGAGTGGCTCCCTGTGTTCTATTTTCCCATTGGAGAAAAAAGTGTTTTGTATCCACTAGGAACCATTCAAGAGAGTGATTGAAAGAGGGGATGAGAAGGCATTCACGAGTGGTAGGGGCACTGCTGGAGGGAGTCCAGGGATGAATGGTCATACAGGGAGTATGTTTGCCATTACAAAACCTGGAGTGTTTGTTAAGCAGGGAGGAGGTGATGATTTTTGGGGGCCTTGAGAAGCGGACAAACCATCTGAATGGAGCTGTTCGGGTGACTCGGAAGTTACTATGATCAGTTGGGGCTTGAAGTTGTAGGGTGTAATTACACTGATGGGGTAGTAGGTGCCCCAGGGCCAGGCCTGATAACAGGTTGCGTTGGATGCGTAAAGGGGCTTGGAAAGTTAAAATGGTATTCATAGTTACAGGGCCATGTATCGGCTTTTCATCGCTTGTGTAATAGGTGAGGTTGGAAATGTAAGAACGTAAAAGTTGGATTGCATGTCCTATTAGGGTATTCTTGGTCCTATCAGAGATGGGGAAGTCAGTCAATGATTGCATATTTAGAAGTCAGAAAGGGTCTTTTCCTTCATAATGAGGGTGGTAGGTTAAGTTGGTAAAGACCCAGTTTTTTGGGGGAATGGGATTGGCAACGTAAGCAGAGGTTGATAGAGAGATTCAAAGCCAACAGTCATTTGCCAGGGAAGGATTGGACTGGTTTAACAGAGAGTGCGTTAAGTTGAGAGTCTTGTAGAGACAATTAGGAGCTAGTGGAAGGGGAGGTTGTGATTGTGTGAGGTATCCAAGGAAGCAGGAGGGATATACGTAGGGAAAGAGCAAATAAGAAGGTAAAGAGGGTGCTCTGGAAGACAAGATTATTTTATCTAGTCTGAGTTAAAGGTAGGAGTAAATTGCTGTCAAAAGGAAGGAAGATTGAAGAAAGAAGGTTGATGTGATTAGGATTTTCATCCTGGTAGGAGCTACAGTATATAGTCCTATTGCAAAGAGTATGGTTAGTATGCTGTTTTCACTTACCTTTTTTAAGGAGGAAGGGGTTTTTCCACAGGATCAGTGGTAGGAGCCTTTTTAGTCTGGGATGTTTCCTTCTGAAATAGGAGATGTAAGTCCTCCAATGGTTCACAGGTGTATCGAGGGTGGTCTGGCTGATCTTGGGACTCCTGAGCTGAGGGTCCTGCAGGTTCCTCAGGGGATGTCCAAAGTTTAACTCGGGTGTGGTGAGTCCAAGATTCCACTCCTGCCACCTTAACTGCAGTGGGGGTAGAGAAGATTACTGAGTATGTTCCTTCCCACAAAGAGTCCATAGATGGGCAGGTAGAGGGGAGAGATTTGACCAACACTAGATCTCCTGGTTGAAACAACTCTGTTCCTTTTTTTCTGTGACATCCTTCAGGTAGGTTTTTAAGGTTTTGTTTATATTTTGCCAAAGAAGTTATATCTTTGACCAAGTTGGCTGTTCCCTGATCAAGTAGGAGGTCATTTGTGAGAAAAGGTTGTCCATATAGCATTTCATATGGACTGAGCCTCATTTTGTGAGGAGAATTTCAGATTCTCAACAAGGCCATGGGCAAAAGAGTAGGCCATGGGAGATGAGTTTCTTGTGTTAGTTTCCTTAAGTGCCTCTTGAGTGTTTCATTTGCCTTCTCGCCCTTCCCTGAGGATTGTGGCCTCCAGGTACAGTGAAAGTGATACTGTATCCCTAGCACCCTGGAAATTCCCTGAGTTATCGCGGCTTTAAAAGCCAGACCATTGTTGCTCTGTAAGCTTTGGGGAAGCCCAAATCTAGGAATTATTTCATGAATTAGGACTTTAATCACTTCCTGAGACTTCTCTGTCTTGCAGGGGAAAGCTTCTATCCAATTTGTAAAGGTATTAACACAGACCAACAAGTATTGAAATCCCTTTGACTTAGGCATATGGGTGAAGTCTAACTGCCAGTCCTGTCCAGGATAGTGACATATTCTTTGTTCCCCCAAAGGGGCCTTACGATGGACCAAGGGATTATTCCATTGGCACAACTCACAGGCTTTGACTACCTGTTGGATGGTTCAGAGGAGATTTGGCCCTTTGAGTGTTTTCAATACCCATATGAAAAGTTTGGTGGAGGGTTTTAAGTATTTTCCACTGGCTGGCTTCGGGTATCAGTACCTTTCCTTCTTCTGTCATTAACTACCCTGAGGAGAGAAAACTATGCCCCTGTGAAAGTCCCCATTCTCTTTCAGTCGGAGAATACTGGGGCTTAACCTCTTGGAGGGGGTTGTTCCATACCAAGGGTCCTTCAGTAGGTATTTCTAATGGGGGGGTCCCGCCTGGCAGCAATTTTGGCCTCAGCATCTGCCTGACGGTTTCCTTCTGCCTTTTCTCCTTCACCTTTCTGATGGCTTTGGCAGTGTATGACTGCCACCTCCTTGGGTTTTTGCACTTCGTGCAATAACTCTATAATTTCCTTGTGGTATTTAATGGGGGTTCCCCCAGAGGTTAGGAACTCCCTTTCTTTCCATATCGCAGCATGGGCATGTAGGATTAGATAAACATACTTGCTATCTGTATACACATTTATTCTTTTTCCCTTTCCCAGTTCTAAGCTCGGGTAAGTGCCACTAGTTCTGCTAACTGGGCACTGGTCCCTGGGGGAAGACGCTTACTTTCAAGTATGGTTACATCACTAACTATGGCATAACCTGCCCTTCATATCCCATTCTCCACAAATGAACTTCCATCGGTATATAGGTTAAGGTCAGGATTAGTTAAGGGGACTTCTAAGAGATCCTCTCAGGTGGCATAACTCTGGACTATAATTTGTTGGCAGTCTTGCTCGATTGGTTCCCCATCCTTTGGGAGAAAAGTGGCAGGGTTGAGGGCCATGCACATATGTATTTGAAGCACTGGTCCCTCAAGGAGTAGCACCTGGTATGTAAGTAGTTGGCTGTCTGATAGCCATAAACTTCCTTTGGCACCTAGCATGCCATTTACATCATGAGTAGTCCAGACAGTGAGATCCTTTCCTTGTATTATCTTGATAGCCTCTGACACTAAGACAGCCACTGCCACAACTACCCATAAACAGTGAGGCCAGCCTTTTGTTACTACATCAATTTCCTTACTTAGGTATGCCACTGGTTGTGGGGTTGTCCCACAAGTCTGAGTAAGGACTCCAAGAGCTATCCCTGCTTTCTCTGTGATGTATAAAGAGAAGTTTTGTCCTGTGGGAAGGCTTAAAACTGGAGCTTGTACCAGGGCCTTCTTTAAGGTTTTGAAGGCTGTTTCTGCCTCTGGTTCCCATTCTACTAAATGAGTATTTGCCCTCTGGGTCTCCTTGATTAGAGTATAGAGGGGCCTGGCTATCTTGCTGTATCTGGGGATCCACAGTCGGCAAAAGCCAGTGATTCCAAGGAACCCCCCTGCAACTGTTTTAATGTCCTGGGGTAAGGATAAGCCAGTATAGGCTGTATTCATTCCTTGCTGAAGGCCCTGGTCCCTCTGGCTAAGATTAGGCCTAGATATTTGACCTGCTGTAGGCAAAGCTGGGCCTTCGACCTCGACATCTTGTACCCTTGATTAGCTATAAAGTTGAAGAGATCTAGAGTAGCCTGCTGGCACGAGGCTTCTGAACTGGTAGCCAAAAGTAAATCATCCATATACTGAGGGACCAGAGGGCCTGGACTTGAGAAGTGGCCTAGATCTTGGGCCAGTGTCTGACCAAACAGGTGAGGGCTATCCTTAAACCCTTGGGGCAAGAGAGTCCACATAAGTTGGGATGTGTGGTATGTGGGATCCTCAAAGTCAAAGAGAAACTGGGAGTCAGAGTGCAGGGGAATACAGAAGAAGGCATCCTTAAGGTCCAGAACTGTGAACCATTCTGCTTCCTCTGGCATTTGAGAGAGCAGAGTATAGGGATTGAGTACAACTGGATATAGAGGAATTACTGCCTCACTGATGAGTCTGAGATCTTGCACTAGTCTCCACTGACCATTTGGTTTTTGTACTCCTATAATTGGGATGTTGCAGGGACTGCTACATTTCCTTACTAAACCTTGAGCTTCTAAGTGTTTAACAATATCCTATAAACCTTTATGAGCTTCAGGCCTTAAGGGATATTGCCTTTAATAAGGAAAAGTGGTGGGGTCTTTTAGCCTGATTTGGACTGGGTGGGCATTTTTTGCCCTTCCAAATTGTCCTTCCAATGCCCAGACTTCAGGGTTGATTCCCTCTTCAAGTAGGGGACAACAAATGGGTAACTTGTTCCCCATATTCATGTAGATAATAGCTCCAGCTATCTCTCCAATTAAGGTCGAAGGTTTGCCCTAGACCCTGTAGGACATCTATGTACCTATCAGGATCATCTGAAAACTTACCCAGGTCTGCCTTGATCTGCTTTAAATCAGAGAGGGAGAAGGGGACATGTACCTGGGTTGGGCCAAATTCCCCTCCCCCTACAGCTTGAAGGGGACATAACCGATAGCCTGGGGGTTTTTGTGGTCCTTTGGAGATTTCTTGGCTTATTTCCTTCTGGGCAGGGGAGATTTGAGGAGGCTTATCATTAATAGGAAGGGGATCTATAGGGAGCCTAAGATACGGGTGTAAGCTGAGAGGTCCTCCTGTGGGATGTAAATTGCAAGCTTTGCATAGTTGTGTATTTTCCTTCAATGAAAAGAAAGCTTGGACATAAGGTATTTCACTCCATTTGCCTTCCCTCTTACAGAAAAGGTCAAACTGCAGGATAGTATTGTAATTTGTACTTCCCTCAGGTGGCCATTTTTCCCCATCAGAGAGAGAATATTGGGGCCCGGCTGTAGGGCAGAAAAAAATGAGCCACCTCTTTTTCAGGGTTTGTGGGTCAAATTGGTCCCAATGGCTTAGGACGCATTTCAAGGGTGAGCCTGTTGATGCCTGAGTGTTTCCCATCTGAAAGCCAAAACTGCCCATGGTTTTGGTTTGTTTTGTTTCTCCCCCTGCCCGAGAACCTGCAACAGTCCCTGGACCCTCCTGATGGGCATAGTTGAACTCACCGACGCAGCAGCAGAAACACTAGTTTTCCTCCCAGACCACAAGGGGGACTGAGGAAGGTTGGATTTAGTGGCCCTTACCAACACATTCTCGAAAACCTGCACCCTTGTCTGTCCTCCTAGACCACAAAGAGGACTGAGAAAAATCGGATTTAGTGGCCTTGACCGACGCATTCTCGAAAACCTGTTAGAGTCCTAAGCGTTCTCCTGTTGGTATTGGGACCTTACCTGTGTCCTATAAAGATGTTATGCCCCAAAAATGAAGTGAAGGGCCATACCCTGAGGGAGGGGAGGGATCTCCAGAGTTGGAAGAGTGACACCTTTTCTTCTCACTTATATAAATAGGAAGGATAAAATTTCTGAGGCTCCCCATATCCTAGCTTCAGGAATAACTTTTGTTAGCCCTGCTAGTCTGAGGGAGGGATCCTAAAATTCCAGATAGTCCCCACTATGATGGGGCTTTGGGCAAAAATTATGTCTTTCTGATTGGTGAGCCCAGGTGCCTAAAGAAGGTAACAGAGTCCTGGAGTTTATATTAGAAATCATTCTCATAGGAGAAACTAGAAAAGCACCAAAGACAGGGAGAGATTTTTAGAAGTGGGACTAGCCTCAGAGAAGAGAGGTGAGAGGAAGTTTGTTTGGCAGGCATTAGGACCCAGGAGGCAATGGTCAGGGTAGATAGAATAGATGGGTGAGTCTCCCTTGGGTGACATGACTTTGAGAGTTCTGCTCATGGCCACAGGGTCAACCAACTTGTTGTTGGGACCCCGGAGCTGAATGGCTTTCCTCTCTGTCGACCCTTGGCTCAGCCCAGAAGTACAGGAAAAGTGGAAGCTGGTTCCAGGCAAACAAATGCTCCAAACTCCGAAGAGGCAGGGATTGTTAGAGAGCCCTTTCCCAGAAAGCCTGACACCAGTGTCTTTAGTCTGGCAGCCATGCTAGTTGCTCTTAACTGGCCGACAGGTGCCTGGTATTTAACCTCCGAATTCTAAGGAAAAATAGGACAGAATAGCAAGTGAAAGGGGTCCAGTGGTACTCACCACTTGGCGATAAGCGATGGTTCCTTCGTGGTCACCAAAATGTGTCCAGAATTGGTGGGTTCTTGGTCTCGCTGACTTCAAGAATGAAGCCGCATACCCTCGCAGTGAGTGTTACCGTTCTTAAAGGCAGCACGTTTGGAGTTGTTCATTCCTTTGAGTGGGTTTATGCTCTCATTGGCCTCAGGAGTGAAGCTGCAGACCTTCGTGGTGAGTGTTACAGCTCAGAAAGTTGGTGCAGACCCAAAGAGTGAGCAGCAGCAAGATTTATTGCAAAGAGCGAAAGAACAAAGCTTCCACAGTGTCAAAGGGGACCCGAGTGGGTTGCTGCTGCTGGCTCAGGTGGTCTGCTTTTATTCCCTTATCTGGCCCCACGCACATCCTGCTGATTGGTCCATTTTACAGAGAGTTGATTGGTCCGTTTTACAGACAGCTGATTGGTCCGTTTTGACAGAGTGCTGATTGGTGTGTTTACAATCCTTTAGCTAGACACAGAGTGCTGATTGGTGCGTTTACAATCCTTTAGCTAGACACAGAGTGCTGATTGGTGCATTTACAAACCTTTAGCTAGACACAGAGTGCTGATAGGTGTGTTTACAATCCTTTAGCTAGACACAAAAGTTCTCCAAGTCCCTACACGTCCCAGAAGCCCAGCTGGCTTCACCTCTCACTGGCACTTGCCACAGGACTTTGCAGCTCCTAGCCCGGGCACTTTGGCAGCCCAGAAGGAGCTCATCCCAGACAACCAAGAGGAAAAGAGGGGAAGTGAGACAGAGATGGAGACCCGCCATCATGGCCAATGACCCTGTGAAGAGGGAACAATTGTCCAAGCATGGGACCCAGCCACTGATCAAGCCCAGCAGGTGTCGGCTGGCCATGTCGAGTGTGGGGCCCACTGAGCCCGCACCTACCCAGAACCCACGCTGGCCTCTGAGTGCTGTGCACAGCCCCGGCTCCCCCCCGCGCCTGTCCCTCCACACCTCCCTGTGAGCAGAGGGAACTGGCTCTGGCCTCAGCCAGCCCCAGAGAGGGGCCCTCATAGCACAGCAGTAGGCTGAAGGGCTCCCCAAGTGTGGCCAGAGTGGACGCCAAGCCAAGGAGGCACCGAGAGTGAGCGAGGGCTACTAGCACATTGTCACCTCTCAATGCCTCCAGCTTTGTTCTTTTTGCTTAGGGTTGCTTTGGCTATTTGAGCTCTTTTGTGGTTTTACACTTTTTTTTTTTTTCTTGAGACAGAGCTTTGCTCTGTCACCCAGGCTGGAATACAGTGGCACAATCTTGACTCACTGCAACCTTCGCTGCCTTCCGGGTTGAAGCAATTCTCCTGCCTCCCAAGTATCTGGGATTACAGATGTGCACTACCATGCCCAGCTAAATTTTTCATTTTTAGTAGAGATGGGGTTTCACTATGTTGGCCAGGCTGGTCTCAAACTCCTGACCTCAGGTGATCTGCCTGCCTCAGCCTACCAAAGTGCTAGGATTACAGGTGTGAGCCACCATGCCTGGCCATACAAATTTTAAAATAGTTAATTTTTTTTAGTTCTGTGAAGAATGGTGTAGATAGTTTGATAGGAATAGCACTAAATTTGTAAATTGCTTTGGGCAGTATAACCATTTTAATGACATTGATTCTTCCTGTCCATAAGCATGGGATGTTTTTCCTTTCATTTATGTCTTCTCTGATTTTTTTGAGCAATGTTTTATAATTCTTATTGTAGAGATCTTTCCCCTCCCTGGTTAGCTGTGTTCCTAGGTACGTTATTTCCTTTGTGTGGCAATTGTGAATGGAGTTGCCTTTCTAATTTGGCTCTCGGTTTCGGTGTTGTTGGTATATAGGAATGCTAGTGATTTTTGTACATTGATTTTGTATCCTGAAACTTTGCTGAAGTTGTCTATCAGATGGAGGAGCTTTTGGGTTGAGACAGTGGGGTTTTCTAGATATTGAATCATGTTGTCTGCAGACAGATAGTTTGGCTTCCTCTCTTCCTATTTGGATGCCTTTTATTTATTTATGCTGCCTGACTGCTCTGGCTAGGACTTCCAGTACTATGTTGAATAGAAGTGGTGAGAGAGGTGAGTGGTGATCCTCATCTTCTGCCAGTTTTCAAGTGGAATGCTTCCAGCTGTTGTCAATTCAGTATAATGTTGGCTGTGAGTTTGTCATAGATGGCTTACTATTTTGAGGTATGTTCCCTCAGTACCTAGTTTCTTGAGAGATTTTAACATGAAAGGATGTTGAATTTTAGTGAAAGCCTTTCCTGCATCTGTTGAGATAATCATGTGTTTTTTGTTTTTAGTTCTATTTATATGATGAATCACATTTATTGATTTGTATATGTTGAACCAACCTTGCTTGCTGGGGATGAAGCCTAGTTGATCACAGTAGATTAGCTTTATGATGTGCTGCTGGATTCGGTTTGCAAGTATTTTGTTGAGGATTTTTTCATTGATGTTCATCAAGGATATTGGTTTGAAGTTATTTTTTTGTTGTTGTGTCTGCCAGGTTTTGGTATCAAGATGATGCTGGCCTCATAAATGAGTTAGGGAGGAGTCCCTCCTCAGTTTTTTGAAATAATTTCTGTAGGAATGGTACCAGCTCTTCTTTATACATCTGGTAGAATTTGGCTGTAAATCCATCAGATTCCAGGCTTTTCTTGGTTGGTAGCTTTGCCTACTTTTTAATGGGGTTGTTTGTTTTTTGCTTGCTAATTTGTATAAGTTCCTTACAGTTTCTGGATATTAGACCTTTATTGAATGCATAGTTTACAATGTTTTTTCCATTCTGTAGGTTGTATGTTTACCCTGTTGATAGTTTCTTTTGCTGTGCAGAAGCTGTTTAGTTTAGTTAGGACCCATTTGTCAATCTTTATTTTTACCACAATTGCTTTTGGCATCTTTGTCATGAAAACTTTACCCTTTCTATGTCTAGAATGATATTGCCTAGGTTGTCTTCCATGGTTTTTATAGTTTGGGGTCTTACATGTAAGTCTTTAACCCATCTTGAGTTGACTTTTGTATGTGGTATAAGGAAGGGGTCCAGTTTCAATCTTCTGCATATGGCTAGCCAGTTATCTTAGCATCATTTATGGAATAGGTAGTCTTTTTCCCATTGCTTGTTTTTGTTGACTTTGTTGGATATAAGATGGTTGTAAGTGTGCAGCATTTATTTTTGGGCTCTCTGTTCTATTTCATTGGTCTATGTGTCTGTTTTTGTGCTAGTACCATGCTGTTTTGGTTACTGTAGCCTTGAAGTATAGTTTGAAGTCAGGTAACATGATCCCTCCCACTTTGTTCTTTTTGCTTAGGATTGCCTCGGCTATTTGGGCTCCTTTTTGGTTCCCTATGAATTTTAAAGGAGTTTTTTCTAATTCTGTGAAGAATGTCATTGGTAACTTGATAGGAATGCAGTGAATCTGTAAGTAGTTTTGGGTAGTATGGCCATTTTAATGATATTGATTCTTTCCACCTATGAGCACAAAATGTTTTCCATTTGTTTATGTAATCTCTGATTCCTTTGAGCAGTGTTTTGTAATTCTTATTGTAGAGCTCTTTCACCCTCTGGTTAGCTGTATACCCAGGTATCTTATTCTTTTTGTGACTATTGTGAATGGGATTGTGTTCTGATTTGGCTCTCAGCTTGGATGTTTTGGTGTATAGAAATGCTACTGACTTTTGTACACTGATTTTGTATCTTGAAACTTTGCTGATGTTATTTATCATGGATCTTTACATATTTCTATAGTACTAGGAGATGATGCTTAATTTTCCTTTTTTAAAAAGATAACATCAGGGACATTGCACTCCTTAGCTGACACTTTTGTATCTCCAGTAATTAATTTTTAAAAAACGTTTTTAATTATTAAAAATTTTGAACCTAAATAGAAGTAGAAAAAAACAGTATAATGAAGCCCTGTTTCCATGACCCAGCTTCAATAATGGTCATTGCTTTGTTATTCTGATTTTATCTATCTCCTCATACTTTATTTTTCAGGAGATTAAAGCAAGTCTCAGACTGCATATCATTTGAACTACAAATAATTCCGTATGTATCTCTAAAACATAGAGACTTAAAAAACCCAGATGGCATTAGCACACCTAAGGATTAATGGTTATTCTTTGAATCATCCAGGAATTGGTCTGTGTTCAATTTCCCTGTTCTTGTCATCTATTTTGGAATATGAATCATTTTTGTATTAGAATTTTCCTCATACTGGATATGGCTGTCTGAATTTGGGTGTCTTCAACATGTCCCCTGTCCCCTAAATTTTCTGTAAGCTGATAATTAGATCTAGAGCAGCACTGTTCAGGAGAGGTATGATGCAAGTCACGTATGTAATTAAAGTCTTGCTAAATTCCCTTCCATAGGTGCTGTACTGTTGTGCATTTCCTCCATTAATGTATGAAAGTGGACTTTCCTTAAAGCCTTGAAAGCAGTACACTGAATTGTCAAGCATAAGGACTTTTGTTAGTTTGATTTATCCGAAATAGTATCTCAGTGTAGTTTTAACTTACACTACTTATCAAGATCCAGGTTAAGCATCTTTTCATATTTAAGGGCTATTTTCATTTCTTCGGTGAACTCTCCATATCTTTTGCCCATTTTATATTGAACTGTTGATTTTTTTTTCTCAGTTTTTTTCTTTTCCTGCCACAGGGTCTCACTTTGTCACCCAGGCTGGAGTGCAGTTGTGTGATCTTGGCTCACTGAAGCCTTGACCTGGGCTCAAGTGATCCTCCCACCTCAGCCCCTGCCAAGTAGCTGGGATTACAGGCATATGCCACCATGCCTGGCTAATGATTTTGGTATAAATACAAATTGCAAACATTTTTTCACAGACCCTTTTTACCTTTTCTTCTGGCTTTTTCCTCTTCTCCATCTCACATGTAGTAGTGCTCCATGTTTCTGCTGTTACACTTCTTATCATTGCTCTTTCCACCTGATTCCTCATGAGCTCATCCATGTCAGGAACTCAACACACTGATAGCCAAACTGTGGGCACTTCAAGATTGGGACTCATGTTACATTAATTTTTGTATTTCTAGCACCTGATGCAGTGGCTAACTCACCTGAGCCATTCAATAGGTTGATTGTTTGCATTTCTATGCTGTGATACTCAAATATTATACCTTTAACCTCTACTTGTGTATCTTTGTTGTTCTTGCCACCTAGAATTTCCTTCTACTTTTCTAGGTCTGAACCTACTGAAATGTGATGCATCTTTTAAGGCTCATCTCTTGTGCCCCTTCCTCTGTGAAGGCTTTTCTGACTTCTCCAACTGCGTGTGATCCTGTCTTTGAAAAGTTTTCCACATTGTATCCTCTTTTGATACTTACCCTGGGACCTCTTCCTCATATGTACATCTTTTGCAGAGATTAGCACACAGGCTGCAATTAAAACATATTTGTTGAATTAAAACTATATCTAAATGATGGTGTTATTTATCCATTTTATGTATTTAAGTCTTATCTTACCCATCTAAGTTCTCATAAGTTTCTTGAAAACACATCAAATTAGACTCAAAGACTGGAAATATTTAAAGCACTCAATTAACACCTTATTAAATCAAAATTAACTTGTTTTAAAAATAGACTGTAATAACTAGTGTAAGTTGCAGGACTAATGGGTATTATTTTAGAGATGATAGTCTATATGATATAGCTGGAAAAGAAATGCTTTCTAGCCCAAGCTAAGCCATAATTAGCAGATAAGCACTTAACCTAAGAAGCTTATCCCTGGGTAAGTTACTTCAACAGTCTGAAGATGTATATAAATATATAAAAACATATATATTTATATATTTAAAATTTTATTTATTTTTTAGAGATAGGGGTCTCACTATGTGCTCAGTCTGGTCTCGAACTCCTGGGCTCAAGGGATCCATTCGCCTTCGCCTCCCAGAGTGCTGGGATTACAGGCATGAGCTACTGTGCCTGGCCTTTTTATACTTTTTAGATACTGGCTACAAAATTCTTTTCAAAATATTGAGTTACTCATACCACTCAGTTCAAAGAACATTATTTTCCTTAGGCTGTGTAAGTCTCCTTATTTTAATTACTCATTTAGTTATGCTTTATCTAGAACCCCACCTCCATTCCTGCCTATCCTGTAACATTTACTTGAATGTGTTTGGTATATGTCTTTATGTATTCATGTATCCTTATAAAATATAAAGTGTTTTGCATGACTTTGGGTTTGGTTGTATGACTGTTTTGACCAGCAGAATGAGGGAGAAGTGACAGTATACCAGATTTGAGTGTAGCTCTTAAAAGACCTTGTGTGTTTTTATTTACTATCTTGTGCTGTTGCTGTCACCAAGAGATGTATGTGCCAATGCTATCCTGCTGGTCCTAGGAGGACCATGACCACTGCTTGCAGACTGTTGATTAGAAAACTCTGATTTTATTTTTTTTAAAATTATTATACTTTAAGTTTTAGGGTACATGTGCACAACGTGCAGGTTTGTTACATATGTATACATGTGCCATGTTGGTGTGCTGCACCAATTAACTCATCATTCAGCATTAGGTGTATCACCTAATGGTATCCCTCCCCCCTCCCCCCACCCCACAACAGTCCCCGGTGTGTGATGTTCCCCTTCCTGTGTCCATGTGTTCTCATTGTTCAATTCCCACCTATGAGTGAGAATATGCGGTGTTTGTTTTTTTGTCCTTGCCATAGTTTGCTGAGAATGATGGTTTCCAGCTTCATCCATGTCCCTACAAAGGACATGAACTCATCCTTTTTTATGGCTGCATAGTATTCCATGGTGTATATGTGCCACATTTTCTTAATCCAGTCTATCATTGTTGGACATTTGGGTTGGTTCCAAGTCTTTGCTGTTGTGAATAGTGCCACAATAAACACACGTGTGCATGTGTCTCTATAGCAGCATGATTTATAGTCCTTTGGGTATATACCCAGTAATGGGATGGCTGGGTCAAATGGTATTTCTAGTTCTAGATCCCTGAGGAATCGCCACACTGACTTCCACAATGTTTGAACTAGTTTACAGTCCCACCAACAGTGTAAAAGTGTTCCTATTTCTCCACATCCTCTCCAGCACCTGTTGTTTCCTGACTTTTGAATGATTGCCATTCTAACTGGTGTGAGATGGTATCTCATTGTGGTTTTGATTTGCATTTCTCTGATGGCCAGTGATGGTGAGCATTTTTTCATGTGTTTTTTGGCTGCATAAATGTCTTCTTTTGAGAAGTGTCTGCTCATGTCCTTCGCCTACTTTTTGATGGGGTTGTTTGTTTTTTTCTTGTAAATTTGTTTGAGTTCATTGTAGATTCTGGATATTAGCCCTTTGTCAGATGAGTAGGTTGCAAAAATGTTCTCCCACTCTGTAGGTTGCCTGTTCACACTGATGGTGGTCTGATTTTATTTCTGAAGATATTTTGCTTGCTGCCATTATCTTGGATATCAATAAATATGACCTGTAAATAATATAACAGGATTCTGTGGAAATACCATCATTAAAATGGATTAGGGATCTATTAAAAGTGCAGATCCTTTGTCTCATTAGTGATTCTGAGTCAGAAATTCTATGGTGGGGCCCAGGAGTAAGCATTTTCAAAGGTATAACCAGTGACTCAGATGAAGATGATTCTTGGACCACATTGACAAATACTGGTTCTGTTTTCTTCCCTATAATATAATGTAGTAAATATACAGGTATAGGAAACTTATCTTTCTTTTATTTATCACCAATCTATCTTGCTTATATTTCTCAAACATATTAATTTTTAAATATACAATGAATATGTTTAAGAACATATAAATGAATAAACTGTCACTTTATAAGGGATGGTTTGCTTCAAGATGGCAGTTCACCAATGATCTCAACTACTATTTCTACAGATTGAGTTTATCTGTTTCAAATTCTTCCGTGACAAAGAAATCTGTTCTTCTGGCCTCTTAATTATCAACTTTTAAGTCACTAAGCAAAGTCTACCTTGATTAGCCCATTGAAATTAACATTGCTAGTCTATGTGTAGATAAAAGAAAGCTGACTAGATAATGTGACTCTACAGTTGCTTAAAGCCTCTTTGCTCTGAATTATATACTTGTCTCGTCTACTTGGTCATAGGACGCAAGAGTCCACAGCATTGGAGTTTCCTGATAAAATGCCTTTGTCATTTGGGAAGGGGTAACACATTTTCTTTTAATGGTCATTGATACCTTTGGCTGAAATGTTTTTTTTTTGTTTTTTTTGTTTTTTGTTTTCCAGATTTTTAGCCAGTTACCTAACAAGGACTTAGAGAATGAATAGTTTTGATCACCAGATAGGGGACAAGAAATATCAGGAGGATGTATCATTTTACAGGATGGGCCTAACGTTAGGTTTACCTGTACAAACTGGGCAAAGGCAGAGCTTATAGGAAAGGGGCCTGGATGGTCATTTGGACATACTTTTACTTTGCATTATTTTCCTAGGAAAAGGAAAAGAAGGCTTCATTTATAATGGTGGCCCTTCCTATTTTTTTTTAATAATGAATGTTTATGTCCACTTAAATAGTGCTACGTACACGTTTGTAAAGTTGAAGACTTTAAGTCAAGAAATAGTCATTAGGCGCTAATTGTTGGTTTAATGCTAAAATTAAAATAAGGACCCAATAATTTTGCAGGGAAGCATTTCTCATTTGCATATTGATTAAAAAGTATCTGAAGATTGGAGCTAGAGTTTCTTGAACACATAAGCTTTGCATATAGATCATATTTTTTTTTCTTGTTAGAGTTGGGAAATATTCTTTGCCTGGGAAGGATTTAGAGTGGCTAGAGGGAGAATTGAAAATTTATAAAGATCTCCTTAGTGAATTTCATGTAGCCTCCTTAGCTGTGTTGTGTACACACTAGCGTGTACCCAGGTGTGTATATAGTGGATGGATGTTTACACTTATATTTTTCTTTAAAGCTAAAAGCAAAACAAAAGTTTTCCCCAAACCTTCTTTTAAATGTTGAGCAACATTGATTTTTTTTGTTAGAATTAAATTCTCTGTACATGTCCAGGGGTTGTTATTGTCATTGCCTTCAATCTGGAACATCTGTAAGGTTTGGTTATGTTTTGTTTTTGTTTTACCCTTTGCACCTGGGCTTTGGCATTATAACCATATGGTATTTGATAAGACCTGCCCAGGACAATCTGAAGGATTTCTTTGTGAGATTGGAGGATTTCCTTTGTTGTCATTCTTTTTTTTTTTTTTGTCACATATCAAATGTTTTCCCTTGTCACTTGTGATTTTTCATCTTTTTTGATCATATCATTAATGCTATCTAACATTTTATTTAGGACCATATTTTGCTCACAGCTGTCACAAATGTAATTAGGATTTTGAGGTGGAAGCTAATTTGATTTTTTAAATTTTGCTTTCTATCCACACTGCCAGTTGATAAAAAAAAAATAGTGGAGTGTTCAGCGGGCCCCAAGAGCACCAAGTTGGTTAAATAATATGATTTGATAGTGATTAAGGTGAAATTTTTAGCAAGCAATCAATGTCATTGCCAAGTGCTAATCTTTATACAATGTCACTTGTTTGAAGCACTAAACATCCTTTATGAGCCATCTCTTAAAGTTAGATGTCAGTGTCAACTGCTTTTGAGATATTGCTACAAGTTTGTCCCTTCACATTATTTTCAAAATGGTACAATAGAATATATAGTTGGAGCTACATGGGGATCTCATTTTGATGGAAAAATAGGAATCAAATATATTAGCTACCTAAGAGGGTCCCTCCCCAGGGGTAGCTGGCTTTATATCACTGTTTTTATTTCATTGTTTGTGTGATGGGAGTGAAAGAAGAATGAATGGGTATGTTTTAGCTCTTATTTGACCAGATCTTATTCAAAAGGCATTTGAACATCAAGAATTACATATAACAATCATTGATAGTATATTATTTTATATTATTAGCACAGGGTTATAAAGTATGTGATATATTTAATAAAAATATTATTTAATATAAATATATTAAATATACATATTTAATAAAAATATATCACATACTTTATAACTTAAATATCTTAATGTCCTTCATCCTTTGGTTCAGGAGTAGGCAAGCTATAGCTTATGGGCTAAATACTATTTACAGCCTGTTTTGTAAATGAGGTTTTTGCGGAGCACAACCATAGCCTGTATTTGTGTATTGTCTATCACAGCTTCATACCACAATAGCAGAGTTGAGTATGATGTGCAAAACCTAAAATATATACTATCTAGCCCTTTGCAGAAAATGTTGGCTAACCCTCACTTTGGTTGAATCCAGTATCCTAGTAGTGTAGCCTTGTTGGAGTATTTGCTCATTTTTCATAATTATATTTGGAAACATTGATTAAAAATGTTTACCCTTTATTCCACACTTTGTGTCCTTGAACACAGACTTTATTTCTAGAATGAATGAATTTTAGTCCCAGGATTTATTGAGTCTGTGAAGAGGTTGTCATTACTTTGTGTTGTATGTCAGTATCTGATGATCCTACACGGAGGGCAGGACAATCCTGGGTAAATTTTGTGGTGTATATGTATGTGAGAGAGAGGGAGAGGAGAAACACGTTTCTTTTGAGTTTCTTTAAATTTCCTTTTAGTTATTTATTTTGACTGTTTTACCCTTCCGTTTCTTGCTAGATTAAAATCTGCTTTCCATGCCTGGCTGTAATGTTGACTTCAGTCAACATTTAGAAAATGGAGACAGTTGCCGTTTACTAAATACTGAAACTTGTTTGTTTTTACCCACGTAATACATGTCCTGTCCAAGGTAACAAATCAGGACAGCAGAAGAGCTTATGATGAAAAACGGGAAGTCCCCTACTTTAGCCCCCCGACTCCCAGGCTCATTTCCACTAGCACCTCTTTTAATCATTAAAACATTTTTCCAAATAAAATTGAAATTGGTAGCTATCCAAACAAAATTGTCAACCACTATTTTTTGATTTAATGACCTTGAACAATTTCTACTTACTTTCTATTATGGAAGATGAGGATTGGTTTCACTTACCCTCTATGTGCATCTCCTGCTCCTAAACTTTAATAGTTAATCATTATTTTCAGCTCTATTATTGGTTCTCTTCATAACTTTAGAAAACATATCAATAATTCTATTTCCTTTTTCCCTTTAATTAACTCAATTTTGCTCTAAGGTGGAAAATTAGTGTCTCTACCCTTTCCTCTGCTGCTTCTTTGTTTTTCTCCTCCCATTTTCCTTCAATTTAGTTTTTGCTTCTGTATTGTCAAGGTTGATAACATTTACATTCTGTACTGCAATTGCAACCATAATTTCTGTGCTGTCTGCCTATGTTTCTTGCCTTTGAGGCAAATAAAAATCAATCTTTATATTACTATGGGTATATAATTATTTTTTACTGCCAAGACATGTAGTGTGCTATGATTCTATTTCTTTTTCTTTTGAATTCCCTTACATCCCACCCACCCCCAGCCATTCATCAGAATAAAATGAAATCCTTTATTTTGTATCTATTTTTCTTTTATAGTAGTTCTCTTAATCAGATGCTGGCCAACCTGGTTTGATTTTATATGCCTCTTTTCTTTTTGCACATACTTTCAATTTCTTTGTTTTTTCTGTTCTATATTATAAAAGATTCTTCAGCTTTATTTTTGATCCACCTTATTGCATTTAAAATTTTTGGCAGTTGATCCTCCTGCCCATTTTACTTGCTCTTTTTGGAGAATTCCGTGATTAACAGCACTTTTCACTTCAGTCCTCTCTTCCGATGATGGCTTGAGTGATAGCTCCCTCTGCTTTTCTGTAGATTTTGTACTATCCTATTTTCTACTCAGCTATCCAGAAACCTGTATCTGGCCCATTGATGTTTCATATGTTCTCAGTGCTTCTGTGAATTTACTTTCTTGTGTCCTTTTTAACTGCAGTGTTTTACAGGAGAATAGGCAAATGCATATGCTAAACCTACCATCTTGAACTTCATTACTTTGACTTCATATTTCACTGTTTTTTTCTTCCTTTGAGAAGCCCAGGCCACAGCACAATTTAAAATAAATACCAACATATTTACCCCATACATTTAAATTAATTTTCCTTTATTCTTTCAAGAAAGCTAACCACTATTTCTGAAATATTTGGTCATAACTGAGGTTCTTATAAATGCAATAAACACACATTTTAATTTTACTTTGTATGATTTTTTCAAGCCAGTTTTATTTTCAACTTTTCTATGTGCTTATGTATTATTTGAATTCAAAGTTTTAAAGTTTGAGATCCTACATTATTTTTAACATCTATACTTAAATTACAACCATGTCTATAGATTTCACATGCATTCAATTAATTACATAGTTTCTATAAAGACAGTTTAAGCTTAAACCCACTTTTCTCCCCTCTTTTTCGATTTGCTTTTCTAATGAATTTCCCTTTGACATGCTTTTGTATTTACATATAATTTAGCAGTTCTTTTTCTCAAGAAGCTTTAAGCACAAAATCATACACTTCCCCACCCCCACTTCTTGTTTTTAGGTGAGATGTTTTGTGTGTGAGTAGAGATTGCCTACTATTTTTCTTATTAGACGTCTTCTCAAATTCTTTTTGAAATGATAGCCATGGACCTAACTGTGTGTCCCCTACCACCCTGTCTCCCTCATATATTGAAGCCCTAACCCCCAATTGTTACTGTTTTGGAGACAGGACCTTTACGGAAGTAGTTAAGATTAAGTGAGGTCATAAGTGTCGGGCCATGAGACGATAGAATTAGCGTCCTTATGGGAAGAGAAACTAGAGCGCGCTTGTGCTCGCTCTTTCTTGCTCTCTCCTGCTCTTTCCCCCTCCCTCCCCCGCCTCCCCGCCTTGTGAGAACACAGAGAAAAAGCAGCCTTCTGGAAGTCTGGAAGAAAGCCCTCACCAGGAACTAAATTTGCCGCTACCTTGATCTTGGACTTCCCAGTCTTGAGAACTATGAGGAAATAAATTTCTGTTGTTTAAGCCACTCAGGCTTTGGTATTTTGTTATGTTAGCCCAAGCTGGCTCAACAGGTATCTACCGAAGTATTGAGTTGTTTTCCACTTCTTCCTACCTTCCTATTGCATAGGTTCTGATGTAACTAGTATAACTGGTTTATTGAATGGGCTGAACTGGCTCAGTCAGGAATGGCTTTTTGTCTCTTATCACACTGTCTTGGAGAAAGTTCTTTTGGATCTCTCTCGCTCTTCACTATCTGGGAAGAATCTATAGATTTCTGGTCTATTTCAACTACAAAATAGTCTGGTTTTAAAGTGCCAGTCTAGTTCAATCTCAAACCTCAGTTTTGCATCCAGTTTGAAGAGTTTGACTACCTCTCCTGCTACAGAACTGACTGGGAGAATGGAGTACGGTCTGTTTCTTTGCATTCTGTGCTCTCCAGTCCTTCCCTATGTGCTCTGCCTTTGGCTCCCACAGGGTCCATGGTATGGGGAGGGTGGGTTTAGAGGAAAGTCGACAAAGATTCATATTACTGATGCTGCTATAATCTGGTCCATGATGCCTACTGTCATGACAAGTGTTCAAACAGTGGCCCCCCTCTCCCCTCTTCCACCCTCTGCCTTTCCTCATATGAGTTAGTGCACATGCTCCAGCTAATCTCTTGTGACTTGTCCTCACATATCCCTGCTCTACCAGTATACCTATAGGTTCTTCCTGCTGGGGAGCGCTTTTCCAGCAGGCAGCTTTCTTAGGTGGGGTCTTTTTATTTATTTACTTCTTTAGTTTTATATTCTATAGGTTTTTGGGGAACAAGTGGTATTTGGTTACATGAGTAAGTTCTTTAGTGGTGATTCGTGAGATTTTTGGTGCACATCACCCAAGCAGTATACATAGAACCCAGTTTGTAGTCTTTTATCCTTCACCTGCCTCCTGCCCTTTCCCTTGAGTCCTCAAAGTCCGTTGTACCATTCTTATGCTTTTGCATCCTCATAGCTTAGCTCCCACTTACGAGTGAGAACATATGATGTTTGGTTTTCTATTCCTGAATAGAATAATAAGTCTCTAGTCTCATCCAGGTTGCTGTGAATGTCATTAATTCATTCCTTTTTTATGGCTGAGTAGTATTCCATTGCATATATATACACCACAATTTCTTTATCCACTTGTTCATTGATGGGCATTTGGGCTGGTTCCATGTTTTTGCAATTGCGAATTGTGCTGCTATAAACGTGTGTGCAAGTATCTTTTTCATGTAATGACTTCTTTTCCTCTGGGTAGATACCCATTAGTGGGATTGCTGGATCAAATGGTAGTTCTACTTTTAGTTCTTTAAGATCTCTCCATACTGTTTTCCATGGTGGTTGTACTAGTTTACACTCCCACTAGCAGTGTAGAAGTGTTCCCTTTCCACTGCATCCACACCAACATCTATTGTTTTTAGATTTTTTGGTTATGGCCATTCTTTCAGGAGTAAGGTGGTATTGCATTGTGGTTTTGATTTGCACTTCCCTGTTCATTAGTGATGTTGAGCATTTTTTCATAAGTTTGTTGGCCATTTGTATATCTTGTTTTGAGAATTGTCTATTCATGTCCTTAGCCCACTTTTTGATGAGGTTGTTTGTTTTTTTCTTGCTGATTTGTTGGAGTTTCTTGTGGATTATGGATATCAGTCCTTTGTCAGATGTATAGATTGTGAAGATTTCTCCCACACTGGGTTCTGTTTACTCTGCTGACTGTTCCTTTTGCTGTGCGGAAGCACTTTAGTTTAATTAAGTGCTACCCATTTATCTTTGTTTCGGTTGCATTTGCTTTTGGGTTCTTGGTCTGAAGTCTTTGCTTAAGCCAATGTCTAGAAGGGTTTTTCTAATGTTCTAGAATTTATATAGTTTCAGGTCTTAGATTTAAGTCCTTGATCCATCTTGAGTTGATTTTGTATAAGGTGAGAGATGAGGATCCAGCTTCATTCTTCTACATGTGGCTTGCCAGTTATCCCAGCACCATTTGTTGAACAGGGCATCCTTTCCCCACTTTATGTTTTTGTTTGCTTTGTCAAAGATCAGTTGACTATAAGTATGTGGGTTTATTTCTGGGTTCTCTATTGTGTTCAATTGCTCTATGTGCCTATTTTTATACCAGTACCATGCTGTTTTGGTGACTATGGCCTTATAGTATAGTTTGAAGTCAGGTAATGTGATGCCTTCAAAATTGTTCTTTTTGCTTAGTCTTGCTTTGGCTGTGTGGGGTGGTTCCATGTGAATTTAAGAATTTTTTTTTAAAGTCCTGTAAAGAATGATAGTGGTATTTTGATGGGAATTGGATTGAATTTGTAGATTGCTTTTGGCAGTATGGTCATTTTGACAATATTGATTCTACCTATCCATGAGCATGGGATATATTTCCATTTGTCTGTGTCATCTATGATTTCTTTTAGCAGTGTTTGTAGTTTTCTTTGTAGAGGTCTTTCACCTCCTTGGTTGGTTATATTCCTAAGTATTTTATTTTATTTTTTGGAGCTGTTGTAAAAGAGGTTGAGTTCTTGATTTGATTTTCAGCTTGGTCACTGTTGGCATATAGCACAGCTACTGATTTGTGTACATTAATTTAGTAACCTGAAACGTTGCTGAATTCATTTATTAGTTCTAGGAGCTTTATTGGAGGAGTCTTCAGGGTTTTCTAGGTATACAATCATATCAGCAAACAGTTTGACTTCCTCTTTACCAATTTGGATGCCCTTTATTTCTTTCTCTTGTCTGATTGCTCTGGCTAGGACTTCCAGTACTATGTTGAATAGAAGTGGTGAGAGTGGGCATCCTTGTCTTGTTCCAGTTCTCCGAGGAAATATTTTGAACTTTTCCAAGTTCAGTATTATGTTGGCTGTGGGTTTGTCATAGATGGTTTTTATTACATTGAGGTATGTCCTTTGTATGCCAATTTTGCTGAGGGTTTTAAACATAAAAAGATGCTGGATTTTGTCAAATGCTTTTTCTGCATTTATTGAGATGATGTGATTTTTGCTTTTAATTCTGTTTAGGTGGTGTATCACATTTATTGACTTGCATATGTTAAACCATCCCTGCATCCCTGGTATGAAGGACACTTGATCATCTGGATTATCTTTTTGATATGTTGTTAAATTTGGTTAGCTAGTATTTTGTTAAGGATTTTTGCATCTATGTTCATCAGGGATATTGGTCTGTAGTTTTCTTTTTTTGTTATGTCCTTTCCTGGTTTTGGGATTAGGGTGATACTGGCTTCATAGAGTGATTTAGGGAGGATTCCCTCTCTGTCTATCTTGTGGAAAGGTGTCAATAGGATTGGTACCAATTCTTCTTTCAATGTCTGATAGAATTTAGCTGTGAATCCATCTGGTCCTGGCCTTTTTTTCTTGGTAATTTTTTTTTTTTTTTTTTTTTTTTTTTTTTTTTTACCATTTCTATCTCGCTGCTTGTTATTGGTCTGTTCAGGGTTTCTAATTCTTCCTAATTTAAGCTAGGAGTGTTGCATATTTCTAGAAATGTATCCATCTCCTGTAGTTTTTCTTGTTTATGCATGTAAATGTGTTCATAGTAGTCTTGAATGATCTTTTGTATTTCTGTGGTATAGACTGTAATATCCCTTATTTTGTTTCTAATTGAGCTTATTTGGATTTTTTCTTTTCTTTTCTTGGCTAATCTTGCTGATAGTCTAGATTTTTTCTTTTCTTTTCTTGGCTAATCTTGCTGATAGTCTATCAATTTTATTTATCTTTTCAAAGAACCAACTGTTTGTTTCATTTATGTTTTGTAGTTTTTTGTTTCAATTTCTTTTAGTTCTGCTCTGATCTGTTATTTCTTTTCTTCTGTTAGGTTTGGGTTTGGTTTATTCTTGTTTCTCTAGTTCCTTGAGTTGTGACCTTAGATTTTCTATTTCTGTTCTTTCAGACTTTTTGATGTAGGCATTTAAGGCTATGAACTTTCCTCTTGGTACCATCTTTGCTGTATCTCAGAGGTTTTGATAGGTTGTGCCACTATTATTGTTCAGTTCAAAGAAGTTTTAAATTCTCATCTTGATTTCATTGTTGACTCAATGATCATTTGGGAGCAGATTATTTCATTTCCATGGTTTTGAAGGTTCTTTTGGGGTTGATTTCCAATTTTATTCCACTGTGGCGTGAGAGAGTATTTGATATAATTTCAATTTTCTTAAATTTACTGAGACTTGTTTTGTGGTGTATCATATGGTCTGTCTTGGAGAAAATTTCATGTGCTGATGAATAGAAAGTATATTCTGCAGTTGTTGGGTAGAATGTTCTGTAAATATCTAAGTCCATTTTTTTCTAGGTTATAGTTTAAATCCATTGTTTCTTGGTTGACTTTCTGTCTTGATGACCTTTCTAGTGCTGTTAGTGGAGTATTGAAGTCTCCCACTATTATCGTGTTGCTATCTATCTCATTTCTTTTTTTAAATATATATATTTTTATTATACTTTAAGTTCTAGGGTACATGTGCATAGCGTGCAGTTATGTTACAGATATGTATATATCTGCCATGTTGGTGTGCTGCACCCATTAACTCATCATTTACATTAGGTATATCTCCTAATGCTATTCCTCCCCGCTCCCTATCTCATTTCTTAGGTCTAGTAATAATTGTTTTATAAATTTGGGATCTCCAGTCTTAGGTGCATATATATTTAGGACTGTGATATTTTCCTGTTGGACAAGGCCTTTTACCATCATATAAGATCCCTCTTTGTCTTTAACTGCTGTTGCTTTAAAGTTTGTTTTGTGTGTTATAAGAATAGCTACCCCTGCTCACTTTTGGTGTCCATTTGCATGGAATGTCTTTTTCCACCCCTTTACCTTAAGTTTATGTGAGTCCTTATGTGTTAGGTGAGTCCTCTGAAGGCAGCAGATAGCTGGTTGCTGAATTCTTATCCATTTTGCAATTCTGTATCTTCTAAGTGGAGCACTTAGGCCATTTACATTCAATGTTAGTATTGAGATATGAGGTACTATTCCATTCATTGTGCTATTTGTTTCCTAAATACCTTTTTTTTAACTGTATTTTTGTTTTATAGATCCTGTACGATTTATGCCTTGAAGAGGTTCCGTTTTGATGTATTTCCAGGACTTGTTTCAAGATTTAGAGCTCCTTTTAGCATTTCTTGTAGTGCTGGCTTGGTAGTGGCAATTTCTTTCAGCATTTGTTTGTCCAAAAAAGACTATCTTTCCTTCATTTATGAAGCTTAGTTTCACTGGATACAAAATTTTTGGCTGATAATTGTTTTGTTTAAGGAGGCTGAAGTTAGGGCCCCACTCCCTTCTAGCTCTTATAAGGTTTCTGCTGAGAAATCTGAGGTTAATCTGATAGGTTTTGCTTTATACGTTACCTGATGCTTTTGTCTCACACCTCTTAAGATTCTTTCCTTTGTCTTGGCTTTAGATAACTTGATTATGTTCCTAGGCAATGATCTTTTTGCAGTGAATTTCCCAGGTGTTCTTTGAGCATCTTGTATTTGTGTATCTAGATCATTAGCAAGGGTGGGGATGTTTTTCTTGATTATAACCCCAAATATGTTTTCCAAACTTTTAAATTTCTCTTCTTCCTCCGGTATGCCAATTATTCTTAGGTTTGGTTGATTAACATAATCTCAGTCTTCTTGCAGGCTTTGTTCTTTTTTAAAATCTTTTTTCTTTGTCTTTGTTGGATTGGATTGTTCGAAAACCTCGTCTTCAAGCTCTGAAGTTCTTTCTTCTGCTTTTTTGATTATATTGCTGAGACTTTCCAGTACATTTTGCATTTCTCTAAGTGTGTGTCCTTTATTTCCTGTAGTTGTTATTGTTTTTTATTTATGCTATCTATTTCATTGAAGATTTCTCCCCTTATATCTTGTATCATTGGTTTGATTTCCTTAAGTTGGACACCTTTGTCTGTCATCTCCTTGATTAGCTTAATAATCGACCTTCTGAATTCTTTTTCTGGCAATTCAGCAATTTCTTCTTGGTTTATATCCATTGCTGGTGAGGGTTAGGTGTGTCTGAGCTCAGACTCTTCTCTAGTGGGACTTGCTGTGGCTGCTGTGGGGGATGGGGATGTGGTTCCCAGGTCAATGGAGTTATTCTCCTAGGAGGTTTATGGCTGCCTCTGCTATATCATGCAGTTGTCATGGAAGTGGGAGAAAGCCAGCAGTTACAGGCCTCACCAGCTCCCACAAAACCCAAAAGGCTGGTCTCACTCTCACTGTGCCCTCACCAACAGCACTGAGTTTATTTCTAGGCAGTAGGTGAGCAGGGCTGAGAACTTGCCTCAAGCTACCAGCTGGCTGAGAAAGCAAGCAGGGCTTTCGCACCTCCCTACCTGTCAGAGTCTGCATACTGGATTCACACCCTCCCCCGAGTTCTGGCCAGGAAACTTTGTGTCCAGAACAAAGTTTTGGTTGGAATTGTTAAAAAGTTCAGCTGTGGTCTTTTCCCAGTTACTCTGGCAGCCCTCCTCAAGGACCCCTGTGAAACAAGTCAGAAATGCCTTCCCTGGGGACCCAGAGAGCCCACAGGGCTTTTCCTGCTGCTTCTTCGACCCCTGTATTTTGCTTGGCTCTCTAAATTGTCTCAGCTCCAGGTAAGGTTAAATCCTTCTCCCATGATATGGGCCTTCAGGTTCCCCAGTGAGGGTGTGTGTTCAGGAGCAGATGATCCCCCTTTCCCATGTTCACAGTTTGGGCACTCAGTGTATTTGGGCTGTCTTCTGGGTCCTGCAGGAGCAATCTGCTTCCTTCAAAGGGTCTGTGGATTTTCTTGGCTTTCCTTGTATATCCCTGTAGTAGTTCTTTGGGCAGAAATTCATGACACGAGTCTCCACATGCTGCTGTGTCCGTCCAAGTGGGAGCTGCAATTTAGTCCTGCCTCCTATCTGCCATTTTGTTTCTAGATGCAGCCTTTAAAGTCATTTCATGCCTTGCTACCCTCCAAGGTGTCCCTTTGCCACAGGAAACATCAAGTATTTGTTCACTGCGGTTTGAATAAATGCTGTCCTCCTTTTTTTGCCTTGTAATTGTCATTCCTGTCACTGTCATTTGCTTAAACAACATCCTGTTTGATGCTTCTATAGGGATGAGGCTAACACTAGTCTTTGCTTGCTGAATTTCTCCCAAATTAGGGATTTATTTTAATTTCTCCAAAGAGTTTTCTTGTACTCCACTGCAGTAGTGACGTAGGGCTGGCGTCTGATATACTCAACAAGGAACTGTCTGCTAGGGAGAAGCCATTTCCCTTCCCACAGAAACTCCCAGTATCTCTCTCCTCTTGGCTTGGAGATGGAGCACGTATGGGAGGCAAAAGGGGAGCACTGTGGCTCACCATCTGTACTTCTATACACAAAGGGCACCTTCCTTCACATCAACTCCTTAATGTATCTCTAGCATTCTGTTACATGGCATGGAGGTGGGAAATGGACATTGATAGGCTAATGTTGTAAGCTTCTGTTTTTGTTTTTGAGACAGAGTCTTGCTGTGTCATCCAGGCTGGAGTGCAGTGGCACAATCTTGTCACACTGTAACCTCTGCCTCCAGGGTTCAGGTGATTCTCCTGCCTCAGCCTCCTGAGTAGCTAGGATTACAGGTGCCTGCCATCTCTCCGTCTAATTTTTGTATTTTTAGTAGAGATGGGGTTTCACCATGTTGGCCAGGTTGGTCTCGAACTCCTGACCTCAGGTGATCCACCCTACTCGGCCTCCCAAAGTGCTGGGATTACAGGCAAGAGCCAACTTTTAATAAGTTATGAGAATAACATCCATCTTTAGAAAGTGGGTTTCTTATCACCTATCATCCTGAGTTTTGATACTTTAGCTGAAATTCCACAGTTGCAGGAAAAATTCCATTTAACGTTGTGTTATACCACTTAATTTGTTTTCACAAATGCTAGCCTTTCTTTCTAAGTCAGACAGAGGAATACTGGAATGAATAGAAGGGGAAAGGAGACCTTCCCTTCTACAAAAATTCAAGGTGACTTTATCTATTTGTCTCCAGAGAAAATGAGTACCTTCCTAGCTTCCTTGGTGCACTCCTCTGACAAAGTCTCTTTAAGTTGAACAATCAGTTTGTATTTTCTTCCCTACCAAAAGTCTTTGTTTTACCCACACCAATGCCCCTAGCACATAGCAGAGTACATAAATTATAACTGGTACTCTATAAATGTTGCTTGAATTATTGGCTATGAGCTTACTGTTCATTATAAAATGGAGATTAATATGACATGGCCATTTGAAAATTCCTAAAGATCTGAATTAATGATGAAGTTGTGGAAAGAACAAAGTTGTACTGAATGTGGTACATGAAGAGGAAGGTCACGTTTATATGACCAGAGAGGAATTGGAAAGGATAATCAGTCTCTTTCTACCTTCAGTTACTATCTCCAACTATTCTACATTTAGAATCATTCTAAAGTCAACTGTGCTAATCCTGACAGCAGTTTATAAACTGGCAGGGAGTAAGGGTCACAAAAATACTTTTACTTACTACTATACATTGGAGAATCTCTAACATTTCATTAAAGCACAAAACATGTCTATATTCCATGCTTGAAAGATCCAAAACTCATGTTCTTTAGGTAGAAAAACTTTTCAGTTCAGAGCTATATGCATTCTGTTGATGCTACATGATGAGATTGGCAGTCTCTTTCAATGAATGTGTGGCAGAATATTATTTTCCATGGTAACATACTTTTGTAGCACCAAGAAGGGATTGACTCTGCAGTAGCTTCAAGCAGAAGTACATGTTGACTCTCAGGAAATAAGCTGTTACCTAAATTCAACTATTTGGAACAGGTACCAACCCAACAGAGAAAATTGCATTCTATATAGAACACTGGTGTATTCAGTTTGCTACAGCTTAAAAAGTCTTGGTGTGGAAGAGCCAAGTTCAAACAATCTGATCACAGAAGGATCAGAGAAAGGAGGAGTGATGGAGGAAGACTGCGAGGGCCTTTGTGGCGGTGCTTGAGGGGAAGGGAATAGACAAAGCACCTTTGCTTAAGAATGTCCAGGAAAACTGACACTGGTGATTTTACCCACTAACCGCGCAGTATCAAAAGAACAGCAGAATAGCGATTTGTTGTTTATGTAAATAAAAAAGTGTCAGTCGAGGAAAGACTGTACTCAGCATGCTCTTAAAACATCTGCTCTCATAAAACACTTGAAAATAATCACACACTAACAGGAGAAAAACAGCTGTGCGTGAATCAATAGACTCCACCATACGTGTGCCTGGAATATATGTACAATAAAATCTTCAGAAATAGGCCCCTGGGTATTTGGATCAGTGGACAGACTATTGATTATGTGTAATTTTACTGTGAGCTGTTATTTAGCTGTATGGAATATACTGTGCCTGGAGTCCAAGGGAAAGTATCTACTCATGGACGTGTTACTTAAAGCATTTTACACTAACTCTTTCAAAGCAATATATAAGCAAAAATTACCCTCAAGGGAAGTTTTTGAAGCATGAAGGGATGATGTGTCTGCAACTAAGTATAGTCATGGAGGCAAGGTTGCAACCAAGTGCTTCCCTCCTCCCAACTTGCGCTAAGTTGTATCCTACGGCGAGATCCTGTTCTTTATCTGTTTTGTCAACTCTCTCCAATATGATTAGAGTTTTTTATTCATAGAGGCAGAGCAGTTTTGAAAGATCCAAAGGCATGACCTGTAAGGATCTTAATACCCCTTTTTTCATCCACCCATTTCTTTCTCTAGGCAGTAGAAAAATGTGATATAAGGAAAGATTGGATCTTTTCTTTCTTCATTGTACCTTTTAAAATTTTATTTCTGGAAATGCTCACTCTTAAAATTCATTTTTTTCTTAATCTGTTGCTTATGTAATTATAGTTAACACTCCAAAAAATGTGAGTCGGCTCTCATCCTTCAGATATTGGTGATTACTGGGAAAGTACGGGAAATCCTGTTAGCTTTCGCTCTTCATGTCCAATGGTGAAATGTACTGATTTCTAGGGTTCTCTTGTAAGGTACTACGGTAGAGAATTCCATCTAGATGCTATTTTTCTTGTGTTAAAAGAGCATTCCAAAATTTATCAGCCTTTACCGGATTCAATCAGGTAACCACTCAGAGCTGCTCAAGGGAGAGTTGGGCTTTTCACCACTGACATGTGGAAAAGCAATCAGACACTGAATTATATGGCTGGCTTTCTTTGTCTTCATCTGTTTAAAGTACTCACCCAGCCCCAGTGAAATAACAGTGCCGTGTGTAAAAACCTCATTCATCATGAAGTTGGTAGGGAAACCTGAACAAATAGCTGAAGGGCTGCCTTCACAAAAGGCAAGAACAGACAGTGTTTTGATGTTTGCAGGGATCATGCTGTGAACATGATTTTGCTTCCCCTTGCCCTCACTCCCACCTTCCAGGCTTTAAACATTTGGGCCCTAAGACTTTAGTCAAAAGCAGACAGAAAGTGAACTACTTGTGGAGGGTAAATATTGCAGCTGTTAAAATAATAGCATTTCCAGGTCTTAAATATATTGTTAAAAACAGAACCTTAAATATATTGTTACAAACAGCTTATGCACCTCTGTGTATTAAGGACTATGCCAACAGCAAGGCCAACTAAGATCATCTAAGTTGAGGTGTAAGGGACTAGACACACAGGGCTATCTATAGGTTGGAATAAATGGCTTGAGCTGACCACCCCCATGGGGATTAGCTACTCGGTAGGTTATTGTTAGTGGCTTAAAATTTAAAGTTGGCCTGCTTTTGGGGCACAGTTTGATTCTGGTTTACATTCAAGTCTCTTCATTTTGTGTCTGGGCTTAGGGGATGTAAAGAAATGTTAATATTTGCTGAAGCCAAATATAATTAACACTGAAATTTGGTCTCAGAAAGATAATACATTATAGGGTGCATCATTTTTAGATTATTTGCAGTGTGGATCACCCATACAGTGGACCTTCTATAGTGTAGATAATTTGAAGGAATTTTAGAGGATGTTAGGAATGAATTCTCAGTCTGTTTCATTTTAAGAGAGAAGTCATTAAAATTGGATTTCTTAAGGAGATATGACTAAATCTCTTCTGACTAAGAAAAAGATAGAGTTTCAAGAGAACCTAGGGATAAGATTTGTGGCAACCCAGTAAGCTCCTTGTTTTGGCCTTGCAAGCCACTTGATACTGGATGTGGGCTGGGTTGTGCATGTGTGCACACCTTGGTGGGGCCGTTGGGCGAGCACTTACATGGAGTCCACAGTGGTGAATTTAATTCATCTTGGAGGCTAACAAGAAAGGTAGTCTTCTTGTCAAAAAATGATCACTATAATAGAATTTCCATTGCTGTACCATGTCACGAGATGAAGACTCAAAAATTTAAGATACGGATTAATTAGAGCACGAAGTGCTCAGGTTAGTGAAGTCAGTCTAGAGAAGATAGATGGTATATTAATGCCAAGCATTTTGCAGAGTGTATTGGAGAGAAACAAATCTCCTAAGGAATCTTGTTGGAATAGCAGCATTTTACGAATAGTTTAAGCAATTATTGGGTATAGAGAGGGGCAGTTTATTCTACGGAAAAAAAAAAAAAAAGCTATGGCTCTGATATTTTTGGGCCAAGGTATTTGGGCCTACATGAAGCCAAGGTAGGGACAAATATGTATTCACATTGTAGATAAGCATCAGCAGCACTTGGATAATTCAAAATAAGAATTTCAAACTGATGCAAAATACAGCGCAAATGATATGCATGCAAAACCTGAAAGAATCAGGAGTGAAAACTTTGATGTTTGCCAATTATCATTCTGTTTAATTGTGAAACATGTGGATAGCTCTCATTCCATACTGTGAGTTCTACTCTTTTCAGCAAATCCTTTTATTTTCTTCATAGAAATAAGTCCAGGGTCACAGGGAGGGGAACATCACACACCGGGGCCTGTTGGTGGGTGGGGGGCTAGGGGAGGGAGAGCATTAGGAGAAATACCTAATGTAGATGATGGGTTGATGGGTGCAGTAAACCACCATGGCACATGTATACCTATGTAACAAACCTGCACATTCTGCACATGTATCCCAGAACTTGTGTGTGTATGTATATGTATGTGTGTATATATATATACACACACACACACACACACATATATTATATATATATATATAAAATATATATATATATGTCCAGGGTTAAAAATTCTAACTATTCTAGATACATATCTGTGAACTGGGTTTTAATAGTTCTGGGGCCCAAAGCAGCAAAAGCAGCTAAGCAGTACCACTCAAAAGTATGCTACTTTAATTAAGCGTACTTTACTGAAGAGATTGGTATAGCATCAACTGGCCATATCCTCACTTGCTAGGCCTTTGAACTTTCTCTTTGTTAACTCCACCTTTTCCTGAATTCCTTATCATTGTTTCTCTATCTCAGTACTAATAAATTATTGGGTTCCCAAATAATCAAATAAAATCCTAGTATAATCTTTCTTATAAAACAAAATATAGTAATCTGTAACAAAAACATCTCAAACAATCAGGGTACCATGAGCATGGTATGATAGGGTATTGAACTGACAGTCATTCTACTCCCTGCTCTGCTCTGTTAGACAGTTGACACTTGGTGAGCCTCTGAATCCTTCTGGGTATAGGTTTCCTTATCTACAAAAGAATGGAGTTGAATAAGATTACTGCTCCCTTCTATGTGGTTTGTAATATTATAGAAATTTGACAGAAGTTTGTTACATTAGAGTAGCAAATTTCATATACATGTATATATATCACTCCATCCATCTGGCCAATTCAGGGATAAAAGAAATTTAGTAAAAGAATACTTGATAGGCCACAGAATCAATAGGAGGAATTGAAAGCTTGAAAATCACGTTGGGGCCATGCAGCCAGAAAAAAAATGCCCAAGCTGGTGCCATAGAACGGGCCTGGTGAAGAAACTGCTGAAGAAAACTGAGGCTGCTACCTCTGATTGGAGTTCATCCACTGCCACTTTGGCCCCAAAGTCTCTTCTCCTTCGCTCCACCCCTCAACCCTTGGGAATTATCCTAGTTCCTACATCTTAGCTCACTGCCTTCCAGTTTGAAGGCTGGGGCTGAAGCACCTGGTATCTGGGGCCCAGGGCATGAGCCTGCATGTTACCTATTGGAGGAACCCCAGCAGTGAGTTTCTGGTATTTTCAGCACCTCTCTGGAATTTGGTCCTGTCTCCCACCAGGACCATTAATGTGGGGAATTTCCCAAATGTAAACAAGGTTTCTGGAAATGACAAATGTTAGCTACGTCATCTCTATCCAGTGTAGTAAACAAATATTTTATTCTGTGATGGAGAATTTCTCTATTGAAGTGCTTGAATTCAGCCTGTTTTTGGTTAAAGCTCTCAGAGATCTGTGTGTCTTCTCTAAGAGTAGCCTTCCTGTTCCGAGGTGACTAAAGCTGTTTCTCATCGCTCACTTCCAGTTTCTACCAAAACAATCTTTCTTTTTCTTTCCTCTGTCCTTCCCTGCCTGCTTGCCTTTTTTCCTTCTCCTCTCTTCCTCATTATTCTCTGGAATGAACAAGTCAGAAAGTTATTTCTCTTTTGCCAACTACCCATTGACTTGTAGCATTTAAACCTACATTTAAAAAATGTTATTTATAAGTTGTTTGTATAAGAATGTACTCAGGCATCTGCCAGGATTTAGAAAATTTTATTGCTTCTTTTATTACAAGGACAAGTTAGAGAAGATTTGGAAGGGGAAATAGAGGTTGTTTTTGTTTTTTGTTTTTGTTTAGACAAGGTCTCACTCTGTCACCCTCGACTAGAGTACAGTGGCAGGATCTCCACTCACTGCAACCTCCACCTTCCAGGGTAAGTGATTCTCCTGCCTCAGCCTCCTGAGTAGCTGGGATTACAGGCACGTGCCATTGCCACCCAGCTAATTTTTGTATTTTTTAGTAGAGATGGAGTTTCACTGTGTTGGCCAGGCTGGTCTCGAACTGCTGACCTCAAATGATCTGCCTGCCTTGGCCTCCCAAAGTGCTGGGATTATAGGCATGAGCCACCATGCCTGACCGGAAATAGAGTTCTTAAGGGAATCTTGATGTACACTGGGTGGGAACAACATAGGATCCAGAAAGTATGTTTGCGTAGCCCCTTGTGGGGAAGCTCTTCAAAAAAGAGGATGAAGATTCACTCCTCTTCCATAATACTGAGGATAGTGCTATGTTACCCAGTGGTTGGTTGGGAAGATCACACTCTGGTATGATGTTGAGTCACTTAATGCACCGAATCCATGAGAAGCTAGACTTGTGTGTGAAAAATTACAGGGCTTATATGAAAAATGCAGCTCTCTAGCTCAAATTGGGAAATGCTACAAAGAAGCAATAAAACCAAACAGGACACCCCACTCTAAGCCTAGAGAACAGTAATAAGTGAAAATGACTGCTAATGGCATATTGTCAGTGATATAATATTGCTGCCCTTTGGATGTCAGAACTGGACTTTTTCTGAATTTATTATAATATTCGCAGGGGGAGAATGCATGTTCATTACTAGTGCTTAGAGCATCTGGTAAGGTAACCTCTAATTCTGCTTAAATGGAAGTCGACAAAGCAGGTACATGTTATCCTGGTTCTTGTGAATTAGTCTTTAGGGATGGCTCTTATTCAGCATGCTTGAATTATGTGCCATTCTTAGAACAAGGCTTAAACATCCAATGACACTCAGTGGTTTAATCTATGTAAATAAATCTCAGCCATATGAATCTGACACAAATTACCTCATTCAATGAATTGAGCGATTGCAAGGACTACAATGGTCTGAATGCTGCTTTATATATTGACTTTGTAGATCTAAACCCCCTGCTTATCCACGGAAGTAAAAGTTAGTGCTCATCAGAGGTCCAGGTTACATTTGAATAGATAATACTATCTGGTTGGATACAGACCTTGGATAGAATGTGAAGGCCAAAGCAGGAAGGAATTTCCTTTAGGTGAATTATTATATAAGTATAAGGTCTTATGTTTAGCATCCCAGGAAAGAGGGGTTATTTTTGTAGGGAATATTTCAGATGTACAAGAAATAGACTTTGTTATGAAAATTTTTTCTCCATCAGTCAAGATAGCAGGGAGACTTCATAAAAATAGACTAGATTACTAGAATACTACCACTTTGCATCATATTTCCTTCATTTACAATATTTTCTGTATGATATTGAAGAAATAACCTTGAGGTGGATCCAGTGTTGTTAAAACTTATTCGAATTGCTGACAGCAATCTGGCTGTGTTCAGGAGCTGAATTTTCAAATCATTTAGATGGAGGCGAGTCCCAGAATAGGCTTCCCAACGTCTGCTGGGCCCCAGGTGCTTGTGAAACTCTCAATTTGTTGTTGTAGAAGCTCTGGAGAAATATCCCAGTTGCCACTGACAGAAGTTATCAGGTGAATTGGAAGGAGATGAAGTGAAGAGAAGGAAAGAATGAGAATTGTTTATGCAAATGACATGAAAATGAACAAAGGAACAAATGAGGAAAAGGCACGTGGCAGTGGCTAAGTGGAGTTACTGAGGGCTCGGATGGAATGTCACTAGCAATCTCACATATAAAAAGCACAGGGAAATGCTGCCATTAGGATTTGTTTAGAAAAGGAAGTTGAGGTGGGGTTGGAGTGGTTGGTCAGAACATTTGTGATGGTGGCTTTTTGTGCAGTTGAGAGCTCAGATGCTGGCTTAATCTACTTTTGCTGCATCTGCTACCACTATTGACACTACCACTAACTCCTGGTGGAGCGTTGAGTCTTGGTAGGTATCATGTTAAGGCATTGGTGCATATTATCTCACTTAGGAATTCCAAAGAATCTTCAAAATGTGTAAAATGTTAAAAGTCCTATACCTCCTACCTTACTGTTGCAATCATCCAGTGCCAAGGGTAACACACATAACTTTCCAACTGTAAAATGGCAATAACAAGAATTAGTTCACGGTGGTTGTTTAGGGATCAGTGAAATAACTCCAGTACAGTGACTAGCAACATGATAGGCATCTAGCACACTCTAATGTCAACTTTTTCTCCCCCTTTCTATATAAACTAGTTCCTTATCTATAAACATTAATAAAATGTTCGAACTAAAAGGAATTTTAATATAATATTTAATGTAATCTTTGCCCTTATCCTGTATTATGTAACTTTGGAATTCAACATACAAGTTGTGTTTGATTTATTGTTATATCCTTGTTACTTACGCTAGTGCCTAATGTAATACTTTGCATGTAGTGGGTACTCAAAATATTTATTGAATTATAGTGAGAATACCAAGACACAGTCTCATTGGAAATGAGTCTTTTCAGATTGGAAGCTTTTTAAGGAAGCAAATATCATAGGCAAGCGAAACATTACAAATGGGATATTTTGAAGCCGTAGTTTCCCAGGGGCAAATCCTGAGTCAAGGAAATATAGCAGAAGACCACATTGCCTGGTGTGTTCTCAAGTTTGATAAAAAGTTTCTTTTTTGGAGCACAAAGGAGTAATTTGTTTTTTTGCTCAGGACGTCAAGATGATCTCCAGTGAGGGCCTGTGCACAATACTTACTCGGAAAGAATTCAGCTTGTCTAGAGCAAATAAGTGCTCAACTTATGTGTCATCTTTCTAAGGTGGACTGAAACACAGATGTACTGAAGTGAGCAAGCTCTTTAATCCCTAAAGTAAAGTAATACTTTCTCAGAAATAGTGTTTTCCAATAATTCACAGCAGAAGTTTTTATCACCACCTTTTATATCTGGGTTCGGTAGGTGTGTAACTTTTTCAAAGGCTAGGATCAAATCTGAGTGGACAAAGATGTAATGGAGACAGAGTTTTATATCTTCTTGCCTTTAACACCACTTACAGTTTGGGAAGGAAGCCTTAATTCTGTCAATATTCCATTCCAGTATGTAGTGCTATAATTGAAAGTTAAACTGGAGGTAGGCAAAATTTAGGATATTGCAGGCCACTTCATTAAACTTGTTAATTATTGTAAAAATTGGCTGCAATCACTATATCTAGAGTATATTGGTTCTAATGAGTGAGAAAAGGAAGAAAATTATAGAAACAACAAAAAACATTGTACTCTGGAGCTAGACTCCTTAGGTTTGCATTTGGTTTCTATATTTACTACACGCACAGTTTTGGGCAAGCTGCTTCATCTCTCCATGTTTCTGTTTCCTAATCAATAAAATAGGAAAAGTAATAGGAACTATCTCATTGGATTTGGTGAGGATTAAATGAATTAATATATATAAAGTATCTGGCAGAGTGTCAGGATGATGGTTACTATATATTAGTTGTATTCTTTCTTTCTTTTTTTCTTTTCTTTTCTTTTTTTTTTTGAGACGAAGTCTTGCTCTATCACCCAGGCTAGGGTGTAGTGGTGCGTTCTTGGCTCACCGCAACCCCTACCTTCCTGGTTCAAGTGATTCTCCTGCCTCAGCATCCCTAGTAGCTGGGATTACAGGTGTGCACCACCACACCCAGCTAATTTTTGTATTTTTAGTAGAGATGGGGTTTCACCATGTTGGTCAGGCTGGTCTCGAACTCCTGACCTCAGGTGATCCACCAACCTCGGCCTCCCAAAGTGCTGGGATTACAGGCATGAGCCACTGTGCCTGGCCTAGCTTTTAAATTTCTAATCTTTTTAGCTTTTTGTCTTCATCATAATATCAGGATATGTGCCCACAAATTGGGGGATTTGTCAGTGTATGTGCATGTGTATGCAGGTATGCTTTTTTTTCTTTTAGGTAAGTGGGTTTTACTTCAGAAAGTTAGTCATTACCTTTGAAACATCCTCCAACTAATCCAATTTGAAGAAGTGCCAAACCTTAGAATCCTGTCTTCATCACATGTGGGCCTGTGTAATAAATGAACATATTATGGAGTGAGGACATAAAATTCAATGTGTGTAGGTGGACAAGAAAGTTCACCCAAAAGGATGAGTTGGGAGTTCCAGAACTTTACAGAAGATGTTTTATATATTAAGTGGAGTGTTGTAGCTTTTTTTTTTTTTCCTTCCTGCTGAGGTCTTCTCAGAGCTGCATATACTCTTGTTCAAAATCTCAATATTCCAAGTGGTGTTTTCACAGCCCCAAGGAAACACTGGGCAGAAGGGTGAGGAAAGCAACAAGCAGGCTCCTCATCAGCAGTTTTGACAATCTGGGAAAGGAGAATCTAGTTGATTGTGTCAAAGCAAACTGAATATGGCCTGAGAAGGACTCCATACTTCTGTTGACTCCTTGTGGATGAACTGTAACCTAGCTTAACTGGCAGACAAAATTGAAAACCTAACTCAGGAGTAATACATTGTAACAATGGCTGAGTCTTGGCCAATCCCAGCAGCTATACTTCAACCACTCATAGACTGCTGAGTGTTCTAACTGTTCAAATAAGGCAAACACAAACCTGTAACCAATCCAGCTGTTTCTATACCTCAGTTCCGATTTCTGTACATCATTTCCCTTTTTTTCGTCTATAAATCGTCTTCCACCATGTGGCTGCTCTGGAGTCTCTCTGAATCTGCTGTGACTCTGGGGGCTGTCTGATTTGCAAATCATTCATTGCTCAATTAAACTCCTTTAAATTTAATTCAGCTGAAGTTTTTAACGATTGGTAGAACTTAGAGGCAATTGGAGGACAAAAATATTCCTCAAAGAGGTATGGTTTTTAAAAGTTGATCTCACAAGGATAAATCAAGTGTACTTCCTATATTACAAGTGAAAATTACAAGGAATGCTTCAATTTAATATTCTGTATTTTTTTTCTCACTTATAAAAGAGCATGTACTTTTCTTGCAAAGACCCGGTTGTGGTTCTTAATTCTGTCACATACAGGTAGTAAGGCTGTGAGCAGGTAGCTTGACCTTGCTTAATCCCAGCTTTGGCATCTGTTTAATGGTGAGGACAAAAACACCAATTACCTGTGTTTGAGGAGGTGTATTCAATGGGATTACTGCCTGAGGAGCAGTAGGCATCTAACAAAGACTGGTCATTGTTATTGTTGCTCTGACCACGCCTCCCACACAGTCTTTAAATCCTCCTCTCGGTCCTGTCTTTTTTTTTTGTCTCAAAGTCTATAAAAATAAGATCGTCAAAAAATTAAAAGTTGAAGATTTCAGCAAATACAACTTAATTTCTGATTATCCATATCACTTTAAGGAAGCGTCAGAGTGTAAAAAAAGAGAAAGTTTTAAATTACCTTTTGAGATTTTCATAATCTCTATCCCTTATATATTTGTGAATTTTTTTGATAACAGTAATCACCCAAAAGGTCAAGAAATAGGTAGGTGAGGTGAGGGAAGCACTCCGTGGTACTTAGAAGATGAATGGTTAGCAATGGATGTTTATTTATCCTGATACATATTCATATTTTACATCAGTTTCTTGAACTCTATGAAATTTTAAAAAAGGAACATTTTAATTTGGTACAGCTGTTTCATGAAAACCATTATTAGCATGAAGAGAAAGTGCTATTCGAAGCAATGGTACAAAGGTTTAATTTTTATTTCCAAGGGAAAACGTGCACGTGCAGTAAAAGTAATAAAGGAAAGCTGAGTTTCCCTTGAGGTATGCGAGGCTGAATGAAATCTGCTATATTATCCTTCAATCAGCCACTTAAAAATTTTAATTGTGAAGACTGTTAATCACAAGGAAAGTAACCTTTTCATGAGCTTTTCTTTGTTGAGGGGAGTGGAGGAGGGCTACATTCTTTTATCAGCTCCTTAGGAAGAATCTTTCCTTATTTCAGCGTTTTTGGGCAGCTCTCATTCTCCTCTGGGCTTCAAGCATTGACTTTCAGGCTAGTTAAGCTGTATTGCTTAGGAAAAAAAGCAGACCAGTAGTGAACAGGCCTTAAACAAGTAATATTTTGTCACTGTAAAATGTCTCCAAACTAAGCATGCCCCTAATCCCTGTAGTGTGTACAGGCAGGGCCCAGAACACTTCAAAAGCCCCTGTTCAGAAGCCCCTGACTCAGCAAACCTACAGTTGTGCAAGCCCCTCTCTGTGGCTCATTCAGTGTCAGAGTGACACAGCATGTGTCATTTTGGAAACATACTACAAATTGGTATGCAATGTAGATTTCTTGATTTTTCTTTTTACACATTCAGTGGCAATCAAGGGAGCTATATAGTGTGGTGACATTAGAAGATGATGATTTTACGAGTCCGAAATTTTAACTTTCCACATATCTTGTGAAGAAACTTACATGTCATTGAGGTTCATGACATTTTCTGGGTTTGGGATGAATTGGGAACCGAGAGGATGATGAGAATCAATGAAGCCACACCCCTACAGTCCAAAGGAAGCAGGGAGCAAAGCAGACTAACCAGACAGTCCCAGCAAAGCACCTCTGGACAAATGAGGTTAGCATCAGTACTGTTACTGGTGCCATCAGTCTCTTCTACACCTCTGCAGGGTGAAGTTTGGTATGGAGTTGCTGTGCCTTCAGTGTTTCTGCCACTGAAGAAACACTGGTGAGTCACTAGGTGCCAGCCACATTAGAACAGGAGTATGCCTTTCGAGTCCTCCAAAAATCAAAGGGAAGTGGAATAGCATAGCACAGAAAACATTTTGTGGCAGATTGCTTATGTTTTAAAAACAGCTTTATTGAAGTATAGTAGACATACTATACATTGCACATATTTTAAGTGCACAATTTGATGTTTTGATATATGATTATGTTGTAGAAAAAAACGAGTTCTTGTCACAGGACCAGGAAAGATTAGGCTCACAGACACTTTGAAGGGTGAGGGGGGACAGAATTTATTGGGCAAAAAGGAAAAAGGAGAAACAACTCAAAAAAGTGAGATGGAGTCCTGCTGATAGACTCTCCACCTCACAGACTGAATTCTAGTCACCCCCCAGGAACTGGAGAGGCCAGGCTCCTCCCTGTTGCAAACGATGCGAACTTCCCAAGGCTACACCCCAACCTCCCAGAGCGCAGGCTGGTGGGAGATTCTCTAGGGACTACTTTTTACTTGGCTATTTCAATTATACTTGTGAAACCACCACTACAACCAAGATAATGAACAGATTCATCATTTTTGGAAATTTCATCATGCGCTTTGCAACCCTTCTTATATTCACAGGCAACCGTGGTCTGCTTTCTGTTACTATACATTAGTTGGCATTTCCTAGAATTGTATATAAATGAAATTGTGCAGTATGCATTTTTGTTGCTCTTTTTTTGGTTTGGTTTCTTTCATGCAGCATATGTATTTTGAGATTTATCCATGTGGTTCATAACATCAATTGTTTATAAAGTTTTATTACTGAATAGTATTCCATTGCATGTGTACACCACATAACGATAATCTTTATCTGGTTGATGGACATTTGGATTATTTTTTCACAATTGCAGATGTAGCTGCTATAAACATTGGTATACATGTTTTTGTGTGGACATATGTTTTCATCTCTGTGTAAATACCTGATAGTGGAATGGTTGGCCAGTATAGGATATGGTTAATTTGTTTTAGTTGAGATAAATTCATATGCCATAAGATTCTTCCTTTTAAAGTGTATAATTCAGTTTTTTTATATTCACAAGGTTTTATAACAATCATCACTAATTCCAGAATATTTTTATAACTCTCCTCCACAAAAAAACTTCTGTACCCATTAGCAGTCACTTCCAAATTTCCCCCTCCCTCCAGCCTCTGGAACCACTAATCTACTTTGTGTCCCTACAGAATTGCCTATTCGAGACAGTTCAGATAAATGGAATCGTCTAATATGTAGTCTTTTGTGTCTGACTTTTTTCACTTAGCATAGTGTTTTCAAGGTTTATTCATGTTGTAGCATGTATCAGTATTTCATTCCTTTTAAGGCTGAATAATACTCCATTATAAGGATGGATACATTATAAGGATACACCATATTTTGTTTATTTATTCCTTAATTGATGGATATTTATGTTTCCACTTCTTAGTTATTATGAGTAATGCTGCTATGGAAACTCATGTAAAAGTTTTTGTGTGAATATGTTTTCAATTCTTAGGTGCGGATAGAAGTAGAATTGTGGGCTCATATGGTGCTGTGGTTTGGATATGATTTGTTTGTCCCCACAAGAACTCATGTCGAAATGTACTCCCTGCTGTGTGGTGTTGGGAGGTGGGGCCTAGTGGGAGGTGTTTGAGTTGTTGGGGTGGGTCTCTCATGAATGGCTTGGTAGTGAGTGAATTCTCACTCTCATGGGAATGGATTAACAATTGGAGAGAGCAGACTGTTGGAAGAGCCTGTCTTCTTTGGTTTTACTCTCTTGCTTCCTCTCTAGCTATGTGAGCTCTTTGCACATGCAGCTCCCCTTCCACTTTCTGCTATGAGTTGAAGCAGCCGGAGGCCATCACCAGATGCAGCTGCCCAATCTTGGATTTTCCAGCCACCAGAATCATGAGGCAAATTAACCTTTTTTCTTTATAAATTACCCAATCTCAGGTATTCTGTTATAGCAATACAGAATGGACTAAGACATATGATAACTTTTTTATTAATGTGTTTGACCTCTTGAGGAGCTGTCAGACTGTTCTACAAAGTAGCTGCACTGTTTTATATCATGACCAGTAGTGTGTGGGGTTTCTGTTTCTCCACATTCTCACCAGAACTTGTTACTATCTGTTTCTCTTTATTACAGCCATCCTTGTCAATGTGAAATAGCAACACTGCAGTTTTGGTTTGCATTTCCCTAATGACTAATGATGTTGAATATCTTTTCATGGGCTTATTGGCCATTTGTATATCTCTTTGAAGAAATGGCTATTCAAATTATTTGCCCGTTTTTAAATTGGGCTCTTGGTCTTTTTATTGTTGAATTGGAAGAGTTCTTAATATATTGTGTACACTAGATCCTTATCAGATATGTGGTTTTCAAAAGTTTCCTCCCAGTCTATAGGTGGTCTTTTCACTGTCTTGATTATAGCCTTTGAAACACAAAGGTTTTTCATTTTGATGAAATCTAATTTATCTATTTTTTTCTTTGCTTGTACTTTAGGTGTTATATTTAATGTTTAGCTTTTTAAGAAACTGCCAAATTATTTTCCAAAGTGTTTGTACCATTTTACTTTCCTATCAATGTATGAGTGTTTCAGTTTCTCTACGTACTCATCAACACTTGGCATGGTCCATCTTTAATCTTAGACATTCTAATAGATTTATAGCAGTATCTCATAGTGCTTTTATTTGGCTTTTTCTTAGTTATTGATAATGTTGAACATCTTCTCACATACTTTTTTTGCTATCCATTTGTTACCTTTACTAAAGTGTCTGCTCAAATATGTTGCCATTTAAAAAATGGACAGTTTGTTTACTTATTGAGTTTTGAGTATTGTTTATATATTCTAGAATCAAGTCCTTTTTCAGATATATGCTTTGCAAGTTTTTTTTCTCAGTTTGTGGCTTGTTTTTAGTTCTCTTAACAGTGTCTGTTGAAGAGCCAAAGTTTTTAATTTTGGTAAAGTCAATTTACTCTTTTATAGGTTTTGGTGCTATATCTAAGAATATATGGGAAAAGAAGAAAAGAGGCTTTAAAAATGTGTGTGTATGTACTTTTTCTTTGATTAGTTTGTAGTAGACTAAGCTTAAGGATAAGGAACACGTTCTACTTGTATCCCCAACCTAGCACATTGTAGGTTATGAACAAACTTCTGCAGAAAATAGAATGAATCAAAATTAAGGAGTGATATTTGTGCAAAACTATCAAGTTGAAATTATACTTCAAACTTTCTATAAAGAAAAATAAAGCCAAAATAAATTTCAGTGAATATATTTGCCCTCATTCCAGTATGACAAAAAGATCCAAGGCCATCTTTTTCCTGACTTCCGTAAAGACAATTGTGTAGCTACAATGAAGCTTTCTCTACCTCTTATTGGATGCAGAAGACAGGGACTTAAAGCAGACTGCAAGACAACATTTGATGTGGACTTTGGACTTGTGAGATTAACTGAAATTACATACACCTAAGGATTTGCTAAGAAAATTTGAATATAAAAATAATAGTCCCGATTTTTGTGTGTTCTCATTAATCTAGGACTCTCTGATGCAGCTAAATTAGGTTGATTTTAATGAGAGGAGGCACTTAAGTGCATTTGTGTTTGTAATTTTTACAACATTGTTCCATGTTTCAATCCTTAGAGCAAATGTCAAAAAAGAATTATAATACTTGCATACCTGACAATTTTAATTGTTCATATTATGGAGAAATCACTGATTAAATCATATATTCTGACTTCTTTTAGTTATCTGGAAAATCTTAACAGCTTCAATGACATGACATGTATATTTCCATGTCTTTGTTCTTAAACACTTGAAAGACATTAATCAAACATGTCGAAGGATCTTTTCTATACAAAGACCTGATGCAGTGTCAAAATCCTACTCAGCACATCAGTATAGGCAGCCACTACCTTTCTCTTGGTGTTGGCTGATGAGATGAAATCTATTTGCCATTCTGCCCCAATTGTAGGGTTTGTACTCTTAATAAGTGCATATCCTCTTTTATTTGTGAGAGCTAATAGAATTGTGGACTTGTTCACTCAAAAAGCATTTAGTAATTGCTTTCTATGTGTCAGGCCCATGTAAAGTGTTGGGGATAGAAAAATGAGTAGAATACATTCCCAGCATCCTATAGTCTCATAGACACGATGGGGCAATGCACAGTTTCCGTGTAGATTGGCTTGTCAGTGTATTCCTGACTAGCTTCTGGTGAGTGTTGCAGTGATGATGAAATAATCTACCCTTATAAATGTTTATATGGAGTAACAAGAAGTGCTGGTTATGAGGCACAGCAAAACATTTTCCATGATTTCTTAAAGAAAGGGACTGACAATTCATTTATGGTCAATTTGAACCCCATACTGGTAAAATGTGTTGAATAAAACCTAAGTAATTAATTTGTTATTTGCTATCCTGGTACTTTCCTTCCTACCACCACTTTGCTTTTCTACCTCCTCCAAAACAACGGGTCCACACTTCAGATATGTTTCCTCTTTGCCTATTTCCTGTTTTTGTAAAAGAGAGAAACTAATTTTACCTATTTAACAGTTCCATTGGACTGAGGAAAATAATGCATAATAAAATGCTTAGAAAAGTACCTATTTCAGTAAATATTAGTTTTTAAAACATTGTTGTTATTGTTGTTGTTCAGTTGAAACATTTGCTTAGACTTCCCTCCATGTACATTTGGCTTCCGCTCATTGTGTCAAGTAGACTCTCAAAGCATGTAGCACTGAGGCTGAAATGCATGACTCAAAGACATCACCAGAGCTTGTGAACATACAGTCACACTGAAAATGAATATCATCTCAAATCTGGGCAAGAAATTATTGGCAAAATAACCCCCAGAGTCTGAATTTGGCAATTAATTTCATCAGCTATAAAAAAATGTTAGAATTATTCGGTACTTAGTATCAACAACAATGAAGCAATTGTTAATAAATGGAGAGAGAACATCAACCAGTTTGCCAAGGGAGGCCCAGCTGTGTATGCGCAGGCAGCCTTGGCAAGAAGCTCGGGTGGCGGTTTGGGATGGCATGCCATTTGTCCTTCATGTTTCCACAACTGGCAGCCAGTCCTACATAAGCTTGGCTGACAGGCAGTAATCTAATCTGGTATCCTATTTATTCCATTTTTCTCTTCTCAATACAACTCCAGCTTCCTTTTGGTTCAGCATTTTGGCATTTGTGATCAGTACATCATATTCCATCTTGTTGACTTTTTTTGGCCTTGGCATAGTCAAGATTGTGAATCTTCAGTTTGACTGTTGTATGTTTGTCTATCTGATCATTATCTCAGTCAACAAGCATTTAGCCCCCAGTGGTCCATAGACAATATTAGCCTCTTGTATAGATGTCAGGATAACTGACACTTCACTCAGTTGCCCAGGATGCATGACGGCATTTGCAAGCTCCAAGGGCTCATTTGGAAGGCATGGTATGTGCCAAACCCTCTAGTATTCTCTTAGCATCCAGACTTTGTCTAAGTCCAGAGAAAGAGAAAATAGTCTGAATAAATGTCCAGAGGGCTCTTTTCATTAAAAAAGCTTCTCCTTCTGACATACCACTTACTTGTTTAATCTCTGTCTTTCTTCTTAAAGGGTAAACTCCATAAAAGCAGTACTCTGGCCCTTTAATTCACTAATGCATCCCTAGTGCATGGAACAGTTCCTTCTAAGACCTTAATAAATATTTGTTGAATGAATGAATAAATTCACTCAGTAAACTTTCTGGGCTTTGATTAAGTGCTAGCATTGTGCTAGGACTTAGCCATATCAACTAACTTCAAAGACTAGTTTCTTGTCCTGGTGGAGTGCATATTATAGTTGGGGAGTGAGACAATGTTAAATGAAAAATAATCACAAATTTGGATGATAGATTGTGAGTAACTGTTATGAAGGACCATATAATTAAATAATGAATGATTGACTGGAGAAGATGGGCAAAGCCAGAGAAGATCTAAAAAGAATAATCCAGCCACATGAAAAAGCTAGAGGTAGATATTACAAAGGGCTTGGTATATTGGAAGAAAAGAAAAAAAACTGGTGTGGCTGAAATGCAGTAAGCAAGAAGGAGAATGAAATAAGGTTGGAGAGAGACAGAGGAACCACTTTATGCAACCCTGTAGCTCATGGTAAAATAAAATGCAATGGTAAGCCATTGAAAAATGTTGATCAGGACAGTGTCATCTGATTAATAGATTTAAGAGATTACTCTAAAAGCTACCTGGAAATTTCACTGGAAGGGACTAAGAGAAGAAGCAGTGGAATCTGTTAGAAGACATTTCCGGAGTCTAAATGGAAAACGGTGACTTCACCAAGGTGATGGCATTGGAGTTGGAGAGAAGTGAATTTAAAATACACTGGAAGGAAGCACTGACTCAATGTGGTGATAAATTCAATGCACAGAAAGGGGTGAATAACAGTTGAATGAATTATTACTAGGTTTCTATAGGCACACTTGGGTAAATGGTAGGGCCATTCAATGGCTAAGTGGTAGTAGTATTTACTGAGATAGGAATGACTTTAGGAAGGTATATTAGGGTTCTCTAGAAAAACAGGACAAATAAGTTCTCCAGAGAAATGGAAAATTATATATATATATTTCATGCAACAGTTTAGATATATAAAATAAGGAATTGATTCACATGACTAGAAAGCTGAGAAGTTCAAAATATTCACTTATTAAGCTGGAGAGCTAGGAGAGCCAATGGTATATGTTCTAATCTGAGGGCAGGAGATGACTGATGTCCCAGTTCAGCAGTTAGGCAGGAGGAATTCCCTCTTAATAAGCCCTTTTATTCTTTTAAATCTTCAAGTGATTGGTGAACCCCACTCACATTATGGAGGGCAACTTGCTTCACTCAGTCTACAGATTCAAAAGTTATTCTCATCCAAAACCACTCTCACCAGACACATCCAGAATAATGGTGGACCAAATATCTGGGTATACTGTGGCCCAGTCAAGTTGGTACACAAAATTAACTATCACAGAGGGGCAGATTGGATGTGGAGATCAGTAGCTTTATTTTTTCATATTCAGTTTGAGGTGTTTATAATCCACAAGCATGCAGAGTTTAAAAGGTAAGTTTGATATATAGGTCAAGAGATCAAAGGGGAGATCTGAGCTGGAAACATAAATTGGGGGATGTGGCAGAGATGGCTAGTTTGCCTACCTAATATCATTCTTCCCTTCTACCTTATGAATACAATTCTGTTTGTTTCGGTAGTATAAATAGGTTCAGCTATAAAATCTGCATTTCCCTTGCACATTGGATGGTCACATGACACAGTTCTGTCAATAAAATGTATATAGTAATTGTGAGGTAATTCTGAGAACTAAAACTAAAAAAGGGGAGAAGACTCATTGATCTTTTGCTGTTTTCTTCTTGATTAAATTACTGATGTATCTAACTTGTGATAATGTAAAAAACACATGCTAAAGAAGGATGAACAAAATGATAGAGGAAGCCTAGAATATAGTCAGTGTGTCAGCTCTGGACTATGTACCTCCAAATGTCATCTTTCTGGAGAAAAGCCAAACCCCTAATGTGTTTAAGCAGCCCTTATTCAGATTTCTGTTTCTTGCAGCTGACTGCAATTTTCAACTGATACAGAGTGTCATTAGCATATAGATAGCCTATCAGTCAGGGTGTTTTTGGCTGCAAGTAAGAGAAAACCTGACTTAAAAAATAACATTTAAAAATTTGTGTTCAGCCTGAGCAACATAGCAAGACCCTGTCTCTTAAAAAAAATAAATATAATAACATTTTAAATCTTACATGACTGGTACTCTAGAGGAAGCACAGACTCCCGAGATTAGTTGTTCCAGGTACTCCTCAAGGACATGCTGGGACTGATGTACTTTGTTAATTTCTGCTCAGTCATCTTCTGCTCTGGCTTCATCCCATTGACTTCCTGTTCATGTCCAGTGATAGAGAAAGCACCTTTGCATCAAACATTAAATATAAGTACTTCATTGTAATACAGATAATTTATCCTTGAATGAATCATTGTCTTGATCCTCAGTTTTGAACTAATTACCAGCTGGAGAGAAGAGATTATCCTTACTGAGTAGGGCAATTCAGGAACTCTTCTTCAAATGGAAGTCAATATTCAAACTCTAGTGCTATTATATAGCGGGGAAAGTTTGGGATAGGTGTTGAGGATTTAAACAAATGTTTAATATATTTTACCCCTTTAATGACTTCACATCCAAACTTAGCTTCTTCCCAACTAGATACACACCCTTACAATGCTCACACCAGCATGAAATACCTTCAGTTTTCCCCAAATGAGATGGTTCAAAGTCTTCACTGCTATAATTCCAGATTTTTGGTTGAGTTGCTCTTTCTCTTATATAGTTGTAGCTTCTAATTGTATTAAGGCTAAGATACTGTTATCTTCCCTTAACATATTTAATATAAAGTAGTAGAGAAATAACAAGATAAGCACAGTGAAAATTGTGGAAAAGGGCAGTAGCACACATGGTTCACTGGAACATGGCATAAACCATAGCCTGCTGGCTGGAAATAATGAGGACTTTCTGACCTGGCAGTGCAGTGACTACTTGTGTTACATTATAGCAGCATCCAGTTCTGCTCTTTGGAATAAATTCACTTGTCAATCTTCCTCTATTACCCCATGTCCTGTCTCCTGGGGAGATTACTCATATCCATCAATTTTTATATGAGATGGACATGAGATAGGATGCCCTTTCTGGCGCTACACAGATATAGTAGCTTACCTCCTGTAAAGTGTGTCCAAGGGATTTAAGATTTAAGTTACAGCTGTTTATGGTAAAGCTTGGAATTTCTTTAATTTATTATTTTCTTCAAGTTTTAGTAGGCTTTTGGTCCATATGTATTTGTAGTTTTCATTGCATAATAACCACACCAGCGGATATTAGTGTGGTCATGGTCTTTGAGTTTGGTTTTGGTCTCCTAAGCAACAAATCACTGTTTTCTAGAATTTTAGTTGAATGGCTTCTATCTACATTTGGTCTGCCCCTGGAAGAGATCTGAAGCAATAACCTTGGGCTAGTGGACATCAATATGTTGTATCCTTTCTCAGGCAGAGAATCCTTAATTGGAACTAAGTCTCATGTCTTTCTTGTGGCTTAATCTTATATTGTTCCAAACTAGCTACTTTCCAACCTGTACCAGCATTAGTATTTATTAAAGTAGGTAATTCATTTCTGTAACCTAAAGAATTTCATAATTTTGGACTACAGAAAAGAATCCTTTCAAGCTACTTTTACTTTTTTAGGTGCTTACAGTGGGCCACATTCAACCCGTTTGTCTCTTATAAGATTTTGTTGATGGCCTTAAGAAGTATTAAAAACACTCTAAACATGTTTCTTACCAAGTCTCTAATGCTATAGCCTTGGTTGGCATATTGACAGAGTTTCAACATAAAGAAGGCCATAGTTTAATGGATATACTCAATATAGTGTAAAAAGATTACCAACTTACTAGAAAGAAATAATAGGATCTTCTCTGTTCTGTATCCTTTATCTTTTGACTAAACCAGTCGGTTTTCTACACTGCTTTATTTCATGGTATCAAAATCTGTATTAGTTGAAATGCACTCACCTGAAAATAACAGAAATTTTACACTGGGGGTGAAAGCCACAATTCAGTCAGGGCTAAGAATGGGCCTCAGGTCTGGCTAATCAGACTAGAGTCTATCTCCTTGGCCACAGTGATTCAGGGTTATATGTGGCAGCCAAGATAGTCCAGTTGGAGCTAATCATAAGAGATTATGATCCTGGAGCTGTCAGGGGCCATGATGTGAAGCCAGAGAAAGAGGCCAACTCAGTGGAAAACAGAGCCAAGAGCTGGAGAGAAACCAATTTCTGATGACATCATTGGGCCTCTGAATCCAATCCTGTATGGAGCTAGCATTCTTTCTGGCCTTCTCAATTAAGTGAATCAATATTTTTTTTTTCTTAATCTTGTTTGAACCAGCATTTCTCTCATATTCAACAGTTTAGATTTCTGGGTTGATTTGAGTAATCGGATTATAAAAAGTCACTCAAACTCATTGAAATAATTTGGGGGGATAAAAGGGATGTTTAAGTTTTCCTGTAATTCCTTCATTTCTATTATGTGAGCTCACATAGCTATTTAGCTTCAAAGTCAAATTAGATATTCTTTCCTACTGGTTTCCAGTAGCTTGTACTATTTGATGCTGTTTAGAAATGTGTAAACACAATGCTGGCCACTAAATATTAACCTTGTTAGAAATTTTTAATCTAAGAATTAGTGCCATATCAATAGTGATATATTTTCTATAAGTTTTTGAGCTGGTAAGATTTACTTGTGTCCAACAATATACTTCACTCTGGCTACTTGCATTGGCCTCTTTTCACACCACACACACAGAAGAGAAAAGTGTATGTTTGATAAGAGAGGGTTTTCTTTTCTGACTTTTTGTCTTGAAAGAATTTTAGACTTACAGAAGAGTTGCAAAGATAGTACAGTTCTTATATACCCTTTGCCCAACTTGTCTTAGTGTTTTATTTTTGTTTTACTTTAAGCTCCAGGATACATGTGCAAAACGTGCAGGTTTGTTAGATAGGTATACGTGTGCCATGGTGGTTTGCTGTACCTATCAACCCATCATCTAGGTTTTAAGCCCCACATGCATTAGCTGTTTGTCCTGATGCTCTCCTTCCCCTCATCCCCCAATCCCCCACAGGCCCCAGTGTGTGTTATTCCCCTCCCAGTGTCCATGTGTTTTCATTGTTCAACTCCCACTTATGAGTGAGAACATGTGGTGTCTGGTTTTCTGTTCCTGTGTTAGTTTGCTGAGGATGACGGCTTCCAGCTTCATCCATGTCCCTGCAAAGGACATGATCTCATTCCTTTTTATGGCTGCACAGTATTCCGTGGTGTATATGTACCACATTTTCTTTATCCAGTCGATCATGGATGGGCGTTTGAGTTGGTTCCAAGTCTTTGCTATTGTAAATAGTGCTGCAATAAACATGTGTGTTCATGTGTCTTTATTGTAGAATGATTTATATTCCTTAGGGTATATATGCAGTAACACGATTACTGGGTCAAATGGTATTTCTGGTTCTAGATCCTTGAGGAATCGCCACACTGTCTTTCACAATGGTTGAACTAATTTACACTCCCAACAGTGTAAAAGTGTTCCTATTTCTTCACAGCCTCACCAGCATCTATCGTTTATTGACCTTTTAATAATCATCATTCTGGCTGGCATGAGATGGTATCTCATTGTGGTTTTGACTTGCATTTCTCTAATAATCAGTGATGTGCTTTTTTTCATATGCCACAAAAATAAATGTCTTCTTTTGGGAAGTGTCTGTTTATATCTTTTGCCCACTTTTTGATGGGATTGTGTGTATTTTTTCTTGCAAATTTGTTTAAGTTCCTTGTAGGTTCTGGATATTAGATCTTTGTCAGGGGGTAGATTGTAAAATTGTCCTCCCATTCTGTAGGTTGCCTGTTCATTCTGATAGTTTCTTTTACTGTGCAGAAGCTCTTTAGTTAGATCTCATTTGTCAATTTTAGCTTTTGTTGCAGTTGTTCTTGGTGTTTTCATCCTGAAGTCTTTGCCCATGCCTATGTCCTGAATGGTGTTGCCTAAGTTTTCTTCTAGGGTTTTTATGGTTTTGGGTTTTACATTTAAGTCTTTAAGCCATCTTGAGTTAATTTTTGTATAAGGTGTAAGGGAGAGGTTCAGTTTTAATTTTCTGCATATGGCTAGCCAGTTTTCCCAGCACCATTTATTAAATAGGGAATCCTTTCCCCATTGCTTGTTTTTGTCAGGTTTTTTGAAGATCAGATGGTTGTAGATGTGTGTTGTAATTTCTGAGGTCTCTGTTCTATTCCACTGGTCTATATGTCTGTTTTGGTACCAGCACCATGCTGTTTTGGTTACTGTATCCTTGTAGTATAGTTTGAGGTCAGGTACATCATGCCTCCAGCTTTGTTCTTTTTGCTTAGGTTTATCTTGGCTATACAAGTAATTTTTTTTGTTTCGTATGAAGTTTAAAGGTTTCTTCTAATTCTGTGAGGAATGTCAATGGTAGTTTGGGAATAGCATTGAATCTGTAAATCATTTTGGGCATTGTGGCCATTTCCACGGTATTGATTCTTCCTATGGGTGATGGAATGTTTTTTCATTTGTTTGTGTCCTCTCTTATTTCCTTGAGTAGTGATTTGTATGTTTCCTTGAAGAGGTTATTCACATGTCTTGTTAGCTGTTTTCCTAGGTGTTTTATTTTCTTGTAGCAATTGTGAATGGGAATTCACTTATGATTTGGCTCCTTGCTTGTCTGTTATTGGTGTATAGGAATGCTTGTGATTTTTGCACATTGATTTTGTATCCTGAGACTTTGCTGAAGTTGCTTATCAGCTTACGGAGATTTTGGGCTGAGAAATGGGGTTTTCTAAATGTAGAATCATATCATCTGCAAACAGAGACAATTAGATGTCCTCTCTTCCTATTTGAATACCCTTTATTTCTTTCTCTTGCCTGTTTTCCTGGCCAGAACTTCTAATGCTATGTTGGATAGGAGTGGTGAGAGGGGGAATCCTTGCCTTTTGACTGTTTTCAAAGGGAATGCTTTCAGCTTTTGCCCATTCAGTATGATATTGGCTGTGGGTTTGTCATAAATAGCTCTTATTATTTTGAGATATGTTCCATCAATACCTAGTTTATTGAGAGTTTTTAACATGAAGGATGTTGCATTTTATTGAGGCCTTTTCTGCATCTATTGAGATGATCATGTGGTTTTTGTCATTGGTTCTGTTCATGTGATGGATTATGTTTATTGATTCATATAGGTTGAACAAGCCTTGTATCCCAGGGATGAAGCTGACTTGATCTTGGTGGATAAGCTTTTCGACGTGCTGCTGTATTTTGTTTGCCAGTATTTTATTGAGGATTTTCACATTGATGTTCATCAGGGATATTGGTCTAAAACTCTTTTTGTTGTGTCTCTGTCAGGCTTTTGTATCAGGGTGATACTGGCCTCATAAAATGAGTTAGGGAGGATTCCTTCTTTTTCTGTTGATTGGAATAGTTTCAGAAGGAATGGTACCAGCTCCTCTTTGTACCTCTGGTAGAATTCGGCTGTGAATCTGTCTGGTCCTGGACTTTTTTTGGTTGGTAGGCTATTAATTATTGCCTCAATTCCAGAACTTGTTATTGGTCTATTCCAAGATTCAACTTCTTCCTGGTTTAATCTTTGGAGGGTGTATGTGTCCAGGAATTTATCCATTGCTTCTAGATTTTCTAGTTTATTTGCGTAGAGGTGTTTATAGTATCCTTTATCATTTTTTACTGTGTCTATTTGATTCTTCTCTTTTCTTCTTTATTAGCCTTGCTAGCAGTCTATCAGTTTTGTTAATCATTTCAAAAAATCAGCTCCTGGATTCCTTGTTTTTTTGAAGGGTTTTTTGTGTGTCTGTCTCTTTCAGTTCTGCTTTGATCTTAGTTATTTCTTGTCTTCTGCTAGCTTTTGGATTTGTTTGCTCTTGCTTCTCTTGTTCTTTTATTGTGATGTTAGGGTGTTGATTTGAGATCTTTCTAGTTTTCTAGTGCTATAAATTTCCCTCTTAACATTGCTTTAGATGTGTCTCAGAGATTCTGGTACACTGTCTCTTTGTTCTCATTGGTTTCAAAGAACTTCTTGATTTCTGCCTTAATTTTGTTACCCAGGAGTCATTCAGGAACAGGTTGTTCAATTTCCATGTAGTTTTGTGGTTTTGAGTGAGTTTTTTAATCCTGAGTTCTAATTTGATTGCACTCTGGTCTGAGATACTGTTTATGATTTCAGTTCTTTTGCATTTGTTGAGAAGTGTTTTACTTCCAATTATGTGGTTGATTTTAGAATAAGTACGATGTGACACTGAGAAGAATGTATATTCTGTTGATTTGGGGTGGAGAGTTCTGAGATGTCTATTAGGTCCACTTGATCCAGAGCTGAGTTTAAGTCCTGAATATCCTTGTTAATTTTCTGTCTCATTGATCTAATATTGACAGTGGGGTGTTAAAGTCTTCCACTATTATTGTGTGCGTCTCTAAGTGTCTTTGTAGGTCTCTAAGAACTGGTTTTATGAATCTGGGTGCTCTTGTATTGGGTGGATATATATTTAGGATAGTTAGCTCTTCATGCTGAATTGATCCCTTTACCATTATGTCATGCCTTTCTTTGTCTTTTTTGAGCTTTGTTGGTTTAAAGTCTGTTTTGTCAGAAACTAGGATTGCAACTACTGTTTTTTTTTTCTTTCCATTTGAGGATAAACTTTTCTCCATACCTTTTATTTTAAGCCTATGTGTGTCTTTGCATGTGAGGTGGGGCTTCTGAATACAGCCACCAATTGGTCTTGACTCTATCCAGTTTGCCAGTCTGTGTCTTTTAATTGGGGCATTTAGCCCATTTACATTGTTATTGGGTTAACATTGTTATTGAATTTGATCCTGTCATCGTGATGCTAGCTGGCTATTTTGCCCACTAGTTGATGCAGTTTCTTCATAGTGTCATTGGTCTTTATATTTTGGTGTGTTTTTGCAGGGGCTGGTACCAGTTTTTCCTTTTCATATTTAGTGCTTGCTTCAGGAGCTCTTGCAAAGCAGGCCTGGTGGTGACGAAGTCCCTCAGCATTTGCTTGTCTGGAAAGGATTTTATTTCTCCTTTGCTTATGAAGCTTAGTTTGGCTGGATATGAAATTCTGGGCTGAAAATTCAAGAATGTTGAATATTGGCTCCCAGTCTTTTCTGGCTTGGAGGGTTTCTGCAGAGAGATCAGCTGTTAGTCTGATGGGCTTCCCTTTGTAGGTGACCTGGACTTTCTCTGTGGCTGCCCTTAATATTTTTTCCTTCATTTTGTCCTTGGAGAATCTGTTGATTGTGTGTCTTCGGGTTGATCTTCTCATGGAGTATCTTAGTGATGTTCTTTGTATTTCTTGAATTTGAACGTTGGCCTCTCTTGCTGGGTTGGAGAATTTCTCCTGGAGTGAATAACCTGAAGTGCATTTTCCAACTTGGTTCCGTTCTCTCCTTCTCTTTCAGGTACTCCAGTCAATAGTAGGTTTGGTCTTTTTACATAGTCCTGTATTTGTCAGAGGTTTTATTTGTTCCTTTTCATTCTTTTTTTCTCTTATCTTGTCTTCCTGCCTTATATCAGTAAGATGTTATTCAAACTGATATTCTTTCTTCTGCTTGATCAATTCAGCTATTGATACTTGTGTATGTTTCACGAAGTTCTTGTGCTGTGTTTTTCAGCATTATCAGGTCATTTAGGCTCCTCTCTAAGCTGGTTATTCTAATTAGCAGTTCCTGTAACCTTTTATCAAGGTTCATAGCTTCTTTGCATTGGGTTAGAACATGCTCTTTATCTCAGTGGAGTTTGTTATTATCTAACTTGTGAAGCCTACTTCTGTCATTTCATCCATCCCATCCTCCATCCAGGGTTCTGTGCCCTTGCTGGAGAGGCATTGTGATCATTTGGAGGATAAGGTGCACTCTGGCCTTTTGGGTTTGCAGTGTATTTTTGTTGATTCTTTCTCATCTTCATGAGTTTGTCTAGTTTCGACCTTTGAGGCTACTGACCCTTGGATGAGGATTTTGTGGGGACTTTTTTTTTTTTTTTTTTTTTTTGGTGATGCTGTTGTCATTGCTGTTTGTTTTTCTTTCAATAGTCAGGTCCCTCTTTTGCATGGCTGCTGTTTGCTGGGGTTTATTTCAGGCCCTATTCATCTGGTTCACTCACACACCTGGAAATGTCACCTGAGGAGGCTGGAGAACAGCAAAGATGAGTGTCTGCTCCTTCCTTTAGGATCTCTGACTCCAAGGGTCACCAATCTGTTACCAGTAGGCATGCTTCTGTATAGGGTGTCTGACAACCCCTGTTGGAAGGTCTCACCCGGTTGGATGGCACAGGGAGCAGAACTCATTTAATAATACACTTTGGCTGTCCCTTGGTGGAGGGGGTGTGCTGCAACTGGGGGAAACCCACTTGACTGGGCTGCCCGGATTCCTCGGAATTAGCAGGAGGAAAGACTAAGTCTGCTGGTCCATGGAGACTACAACCAGCCCTCCCCTAGGGGCTCAGTCCCAGGGAGATCAGAGTTCTGTCCTTGAGCCCCTGGCTGGAGTTGTTGGAGTTCCTGCAGGGAGGCCCCACTCAATGAGGAGGGAAGGGTTACGGTCAGGCCTAAAGAGGCACTCTGGCCGCAATCTGCCAAAGCCAGTGTGTTGGGCTGTGGGGAATACCTCTAGGGACCCAGCCGTCTGCCTCTGTGGCTCTAGCAGGGGAAAAGCATAGCCTGGAGCTACAGAGATGGCTGCTGCCCTTCTCTTGCCCTGGGAGCTTAGTGTGTTAGGCAGCTAGCAGTCCCAGTGTTGGTTGCCACCCTCCCACAAAGAATTCAGATGGCTCAGCAGGCAGCCACAGCTGTGGTGATGGCTGTCCCTCCCCCCAGGAACTGGGCAGCCTTAAGATAATTCTAGTTGAGTGGCTGTTGAGAATCTGCATGGCTCCATGGTTGGGATCTCAGGCCCTGGTGATGTGGGCTCATGAGTGGGAGCTTCCGATCTTTGGGTTGCATAGTTCCATGGAAAAAGCATGGTTTCCCAGGCTGGGTAGCACGCTCACTCATCACCTCCTTTGGCTGGTGGGTGGGGGCTCCCCTGCCCATTGTGGCTCCCAAGTGGGCCGCTGCACCACACTGCTCTTCCTTCCTCTCTATGGGTCATGCCAACCACCTAGTCAGTCCTGATGACAGAACCTGGATACCTCAGCTGCTAGTGAAGTATTCATCTGCTGTTTTGGCTCTTTTGGATGGGAGCCTCCGATCACCACTGCATCTGGTTGGCCATCTTGACCCTGCCCTGCCTTAGTGTTAATATCTTTTGTAGTCATAGTATAGTGATCAAAACTAAAAAATTAACATTAGTACAATATATTAAACTATAGAATTTATTCAGATTTTACCAGTTTGTTGTATAATCTTTTTCTGAGCAATTAAAAATGAAAATTACCTTTTGTATATTTGGTTTTTTATTAAGAATTTCAAATAAATATAGCTGATTGTACTTAATAGTTTAAAACTATGCATAAACTGTTGGGCCATTGTTTGTAACTCACTATGCTACTTGGAGAGTGGCATTCAAACATTAGTAGTGGGGGTACGTCTTGTTTTGCTGTATAATAGAGAAATTGCTGAAAATCTATAAATAAGCTTTGTATACATTACAAAGACATTTTACTTTTTATAGGTGCAAGATTTACTTATAACTTATGGTTATAAGTTATAAGGTTTAATATACCATTATACTATAATAAATAAGGAAGAAGTCACTTATTTCCCAAAGTGACCCCAAATGTGTTCCCTTGGCAATTTGGTGCTTCCCTTTCAAATCTGCTTAAATTAACATCACTTTATTTGAGAGTAATGGAAAGTAATTTTTTACAGTTATGAGATTCAGGGGGTGTAACATCGCACCAGGAAAGGTGAATTGTGTGAGTATTCAAATACTAACGTTGGAAATTAAATTAACTCACACATCATTTTCTTAGAAAATCCACATATTAGGGCAGAAAACTGTTAAGAAATACTATGAGCTAGAGCGTAATATTTTATAGTAAGTAGAATCAACAGGATATATTCCTTGGACTAAACTGAAGTTCATTAAAAGAAGTAGATTTATAGAGAAGATGCCATCTGGCTATTTATTTAGAGACAGGGTCTCACTCTTTCAGCCAGGCTAGAGTGCAGTGGTGCCATCACGGTTCACTGCAGCCCTGACTTCCCAGGATCAAGTGATCCTCCTACCTCAGCCTCCCAAGTAGCTGGGACTACAGGTGCATGCCACCGCACTTGACTAACTTTTTAAAATTTTTCTGTAGAGACAGGGTCTCTCTATGTTGCCTAGGCTGGTCTTGAACTCTTGAGCTCAAGTGATTCTCCCTCCTTGGCCTCCCAAAATTTTGGGATGATAGGCCTGAGCCACCACTTCTGGATTATTGTATGTTTATTTTAAAGGGGGCAGGAACCAAGGTATTTTGGTATATTTAATACATATAGACACACTATACTTAATGAAAACTATCTTTGATATATTATCAAAATAGCTTGCCAGACATTTCACATCAACTTCACATAGAGTAATAGAGAAACCTTAACTTCTGTGGAAAGTTCACTCTATCACCATAGCAAAACGATGTTTTCAGAGGCCTGAAACATTGCTAGTAGTTTGAGAGTTTTTTCTGACTTTGTTCTTTTTATATAACTGACACATTTAACTTTTCACTGAAGCTGTTATCAATGCTAAGAACTAACTAGAGTTCAATAAATTTGAGGTAAGTTTATGGTATTCCTTTTGTAGTTACATAGACTTTGCTCTGTAACTTGGTAGTTGTGTGATTATGCAAAAGTTACTAAGCCTCTTAAACGCTCAGTTTTATTGTTTCTTAAGTGGCAATAAAACTAATTTGCAGTGTTGATGTGAATACTGCAAATTTATAATTTATGTAAACTGACTCTTGCATATATTCTTCTTTATTTTTCTGTATTTAATGTGAGATCTTACAGGCTATTTAGGAGTATTTTCTCAACTATATAAAATATGTTGAATCCTTACATTTAGTGACTATGAGAGAAAAAAATATGGATATTTTATGAAAGGACTTAAAAAGTTTGTGGAAAAATGAAATCAAAAGTTAAAAATAGAAAATTATACATATACCTAATGTTAAATGACGAGTTACTGGGTGTAGCACACCAACATGGCACATGTATACATATGTAACTAACCTACACATTGTGCACATGTACCCTAAAACTTAAAGTACAATAAAAAGAAAAGAAAATTAAACTTTATTTCTCAACACAATCTCCATCAAGTTGAAGACACTTTTGTAAGTGATGATACCAGCCATTTTATCCCTAAAGAACTGAGGATCCTGGAATTTAACCATGTCAATGCAGTATTTTAAAAATATTAACTGAAGAAATATGGATGCCCTTTAAATATTTTTTAAGATTAGAAAACAAAAAGAAGTCAGAAGAGGCTAAATCAGAACTGTAAGCTGAATGCCTAATGATTTTTCATTGAAATTGTGGCAAAATTGCCCTTGTTCAATGAGAGGAATGAACAGGAATGTTGTCATGATTGAGGACTGTCTGGTAAAGATTTTCTGAGTATCTTTCTGTTTAAAGCTTTAGCTAACTTTTCTAAAACGTTTTAATAAAAAGAAGATGTTATTATTCTTTGGCTCTCCACACAGTCAACAAGCAAAATACCTTGAGCATCCCCAAAATCCGTTGCCATGATCTTTTCTCTTGACTAATCCACTTTTGCTTTTAGTGGACCATTTCTACCTCTTGGTAGCCATTGCTTTGATTGTGCTTTGTCCTCAGGATAATACTGGAAAAGCCATGCTTTATCTTCTGTTATGATTCTCTGAAGAAACACTTTATTGATCGTCCTTGTTTAAAATTTCCACTGAAACCTCTGCTGTTGTCAGCAGCTGATCTGGGGTGTAAAGGTTTTGGCACATATTGAGTGGAAAGTTTGCTTAATGTTAATGTTTTAGTCAGAATTGTGTAAGCTAAACAAATTGAGATATCTATGGTGTTGGCTATTGTTTTTGCTGTTAATCATCAGTCATCTTCACTTAGGGCATGAGCAAGATTAATTTTTTCAGCAAAGAAGGCTCCAACATGGCTGAATAGTGTCATTTTGTACTCATCTGCTCCACTAAGAAGAACCAAAAGAGTGGGTATTTAATCAACTTTGGATAGATTATCCAGGAGAGAATACTGGAATTCAACAGAAAGGTGACAGGAAATACCTAAAGCAAGGAAGAAGATGGAAGTGAGGCAGCCTGCTTGACTGGGATCAGCTGGGAGCTGAGAGGCTCCCCAATATGGGGAAAGGGTAAGTAAGAGACCCTCAGCAGTTCACATTCTCACTGTGGACTCCTGGAATACTAGCCATGGGAGAACCCCTTGACTCTCGTGGGCCCTGAAACTAACACAGGGAGCTGCGGGATGGATTGGATTGTGCAATGGCACTGATCCAAGGAGGGAGCTTATGCTGGGTCCTACAGCAAGGTGACATTTTAGAGCCACACTCCCAACAGACTATGCAGTGTCCTGCATCTGGGCAGTGTTGGGGCTGAGGTGCAAGGGTAGTGTAGCTGTGGTACAAGAGAAGCATGGTTGCTGCCCCCAGGTATTGTGAGTGAATGAGGGGATGAGGTGTGACTGAGGTTCTGGCTATCACTATGGAGACTGGGGTAAAACTGGCATGTTCCTCACCTGCCAGCCCAAGATGCCTGCAATTGAAGGCAGCACTACCTTTCCAAGTGGCAGGGAAGCAGCATGGCTGCTACCTCAACCTGAGCATTCCATTGGTGGCCTAGGGATTGCCTTACCCCTGCCTACCATGGCTGGTGTCTGAACCTATTAACAGAGAGCCTGAGTACAGGCCTGGTTTCAACCTCTAACACTTGCCATGGCACCCAGTCAGGGTCTAGGAGATTGCCCAGCCCAGTCCAACACCACTGGCACATGAATACTTTTCCCAGGTGCCTGAGGTTGGGCCTACCTAAGCAGCCGCTACCATAGCACATGCCTGGAGACTGGTCTGCCTAGCCCATGGCAACCCACTGCCAATACCAAAAAAGACTGCTTGGGACCCAGAGGGTCATTCTACCACTGCCACTGTCATCACTCATGCCATGCTGCCTACCCAGGACCCTGAGAACCCACTCGGCCCACTGCTGAAACTACCAGCATCTAAGTAAGTTACTTGGACACCCAAGAATTAGCCACTGGTGCCAGCATATGCTGCCCTGGGGCCCAAGGGCAGACATTATCACCTCACTGCTGCCACCACCGGGGCCTAAAGACTGACCTGCCTGCTGTCCCAATCCCCAGCAAAACTTCAACACAGCCTCCACTAATAACTGCATCGTAAGCCACTGAGGAAATCACAGATACCACTGATGTTGTTTACAGCCGAAGAAGTCATACAAAGAATATATCACTGCATGTACTCAGAATCAAAGCCAAAGTGTGTTATACAACCAGCAACATAGATACACGTTCAGGAAAAAAATCCTCTTCTATGGAAGTAAATTAAAAAAATTGGAAGAAGCAACTGTTACATCAGATACATAAAAATCAATGTAAGGACACAAGAAACATTAAAAAGCAAGAAAACATGACACTTCCAAAGGAATGCAATAATTCTCCAGCAACAGATCCCAATCAAAAAGAAATTCACAAAATCTTAGAAAAAGAATTCAAATTATTCTAAAGAAGCTCAGTGAGAAAAAGATTTTTCAAAAATAATACATATTAGAAAAACAATTCAGGATATGAATGAGACATTTAACAGAAGGACAGATGTAAAAAAGAACCGAATTGAAATTCTGAACTGAAGAATCCATTGAATGAACTACAAAACACATTTGAAACCTTACAAAACAGGTTTCAAGGAGAAGAAAGAATCTCAGAACTTAAAGACAGGTCTTTTGAAGAAACCCATACAGACAAAAATAAAGAATGAGCAAAGACTTCATGACATCTGGGACACCATAAAGCAACCAAATTTCAAATTATTGTGGGCTCAAAGGTGAAGAAAGAATGAAACTGTTAGAGAACCTATCTAAGAAAATAGTAGATGAAAACTTTCCAAGTCTAGGAAGAGATTTAGATATCCAGATACAGGAGGCTCTGAGATCCCCAAATGGATACAATGCAAAAAAGTCTTCTCCGGAGTACATTATAGTCAAACTCTAAAATCAAAGACAAAAAAGAATTTTAAAAAGACAAAAGCATCTAGTTTACCTATAAAGAAACCCTCATTAGACTAAAAGCTGATTTTTCAGCAGAAATCTTATAGGCCAGGAGAGAATGTGTTGATATAGTCAAAGTACAGAAATAAAAAAACTGCTTGCCAAGAATACTATAGCCAGAAAAATTATGATTCATAAATGAGGAAGTAGTCTTTCCAGAGAAGCAAAAGCTTGGGAGTTCATCATCACTAGACTGGTCCTACAAGAAATGCTCAAGGCAGTCCTAAATCTGGCAGTGAAGGACAACATTTACAATAATGAAAACACATGAAAATGTAAAACTAACTGGTAAAACACACAAATGAGGAAGAGAAGGAATTCAAAAGTATTGCTACAGATAATTGTCAATCCACAATGAAAGAAAAAGGAAAGAATATATAAAATAATATGACAGAAACAAAACCTCACCTATCCATAATAACTTTGAATGTAAATGGATTAAATTCTTCACTTGAAAGATAAAGACTGGCTGGATTAAAAAAAGATTGTAAATCATTTTCTTCTGTAGAACAACATTTAACAAAATTTAAAATTTTGGTAAATTAAAAATTTTATAAAAATCTCAGGTCAGAAAGCCCTAAGTAACTGAAAGGTTGTATATAATTTTTTTAATGTAAGGTTATCTTCAACATATTTTATAAAATAAAAAGTGCTCTAATAAAGATTCTGAATTAAAGCCTTTAGAGATTTAAAAGACAAATACCCTTTATGATGTGATAAAACCCTCACATATTGAGGAAAACAGTAAATTCGTCAAGCAATCGTGAAATTAGGAACATTCTTCTCATGTCATGTATTAATAGTAAACTTGAAAGGATCTTACTATTTTTTTCTAGCATTTATCTCTACCTATCCATCCATTTGTCTATTTGTTTATCTATCTATGAATGATAGGGCCTTGCTCTGTTGCCGAGGCTGGAGTGCAGTGATGTGATTATAGATCACTGTAGTCTTAAACTCCTGGGCCCAAGCAATCTCCCTGCCTCAGCCTCCTAAGTTCTAGCTTTTAATTAAATATAAGACGTACAGGACAAATATTATGAACAGGGTCCCTCTACAGTCTTTGTAGTGCCTGGCTGGGGAGAAAAGGGAATGCTACATCTGCTTATGTTAGTGCAGGGTAGAGATGGTCTATTTGATGGGGAAGGTGGAGGGAAGGAAGGGTTCAGCCTCTCCCGAAGTTATTGTAGAGTGGGACTGGTTAAGAGGGTTCCACCCCATAGTATCCACAGTACCCAGGGGAGAGGGAGGATGAGGGATGCTGCAGCTTCTTTGTGATGAGTGCATGTTTACATGGAGCAGTTCCACAGTCTTTGCAATGCCTCGTGAGAAAGGGGAGGGGCACAGTTTCTTTTGTGGTGTTTGCCTAGAGTAGGGAAGATATAGTTAAAATATCTGTTCTGTCCTGTCCTGCAGTTTCTGTGCCATAGGGCTGCCTTTTCCCTGTTCTGTGGCTATCAAGAACAATACTGGGAGTGAGAGGGGGTGCTTTTTAATTTTTTGGTCTGCATCTTTTTGTTTCTGGGCTTCATGCTGCTTTAGTGCCAAAGCCAAGAGACAAAAACCAAACCAAGGAACTCACTACCACATTCTCCCTTTAGTCTACAGGTCCCTAGCCAGTCTGCCTTTTTTCCCTACCTTTCATAGTCCTGATATATATATATATATCATAGTCCTGATACATATATATATCATAGTCCTGATACATATATATATCATAGTCCTGATATATATATGTATATCATTGTCCTGATATATATATATCATTGTCCTGATATATATATATCATTGTCCTGATATATATATATATATCATTGTCCTGATATATATATATATCATTGTCCTGATATATATATATATCATTGTCCTGATATATATATATATCATTGTCCTGATATATATATATATCATTGTCCTGATATATATATATATCATTGTCCTGATATATATATATATATCATTGTCCTGATATATATATATATATCATTGTCCTGATATATATATATATGTCATTGTCCTGATATATATATATATGTCATTGTCCTGAGATATATATATATGTCATTGTCCTGAGATATATATATATGTCATTGTCCTGAGATATATATATATATGTCATTGTCCTGAGATATATATATATGTCATAGTCCTGATATATATATATATCATTGTCCTGATATATATATATATGTATATCATTGTCCTGATATATATATATGTATATCATTGTCCTGATATATATATATGTATATCATTGTCCTGATATATATATATATGTATATCATTGTCCTGATATATATATATATGTATATCATTGTCCTGATATATATATATGTATATCATTGTCCTGATATATATATATATGTATATCATTGTCCTGATATATATATATGTATATCATTGTCCTGATATATATATATATGTATATCATTGTCCTGATATATATATATGTATATCATTGTCCTGATATATATATATATGTATATCATTGTCCTGATATATATATATGTATATCATTGTCCTGATATATATATATATGTATATCATTGTCCTGATATATATATATATGTATATCATTGTCCTGATATATATATATATATGTATATCATTGTCCTGATATATATATATATATGTATATCATTGTCCTGATATATATATATGTATATCATTGTCCTGATATATATATATATGTATATCATTGTCCTGATATGTATATATATATGTATATCATTGTCCTGATATATATATATATGTATATCATTGTCCTGATATATATATATATATGTATATCATTGTCCTGATATATATATATATATGTATATCATTGTCCTGATATATATATATATATGTATATCATTGTCCTGATATATATATATATGTATATCATTGTCCTGATATATATATATATGTATATCATTGTCCTGATATATATATATGTATATCATTGTCCTGATATATATATATATGTATATCATTGTCCTGATATATATATATGTATATCATTGTCCTGATATATATATATATATGTATATCATTGTCCTGATATATATATATATGTATATCATTGTCCTGATATATATGTGTATATATATATTTAGCTTTATATATTTTGTTCAGCATATTTAATTGTAATTAGTGGGATGAGTAGGGTAGAATGTGCTACTTCATTATGTCTAGAAGCCTTAGCTACTTTCTAGTGGTTATGTTACATCAAACTTTTTAAGAGTGAGGATATGAGCTTCTAACTTCCATCTTCATATTCATAATGGATTTTTAATTAATTGCCATAAATAGGAATGACCTATAATGACAAACTCTTAGTAAAATAAGTAAAATGCAAATATGACATTAACAGTTTTGTTAATTTAGGGTTGTAACTTAAATATACCTTATTCTAAGTTATGCTCCTTAGGTTCTTAATGTAATTTGGACACAGAAAGATATAGACAATAGCAATTTTTCTTCATTTGGAATTATAATTCCAATTTTTTTTTCAAGGAATTACCTCTTTTCTCTTTGAGGAACTATCTTTCAAAGGACCTTATGCCCACCCCTTGAATAGTGGAAGATAAGACCCAAGCTAGGCCAATTGTGTGTTCTCTCTCAGGATTTGAATTATGAGCAGAGTGACAAAAATGACTGAATAGGTTTGGATTTCATCCATCCTGACAGCTACAGAGCCCTGTAGATAGCTTTTGTTTCTTTCCCCAAAAGAGTAAAGCTTGGCACATGGGCTTGTGGGCAGAAAGTGTGTTTCAGAAAGTGGTTCCAACCAAGGAGAGTATAGGGCTAAGAAGAATAAACAGGAAAGGAAGGAAAGTCTATCCAGAGTTGCATTATCAAGGGGATCCCTGCTCTGAGCAATTGTGTTTAATCTTGCTGGGAGCCATATACGTAACCACATTGAAAGCCACTTAAAAGTATCCATCAAGGCAATAGAAGAGGGTAATATTTTTTCTAGCAGCCTACGTCCCTTCAGTTGCCACATGCATCATGACCCGTTTCACATCTTCAGGTTTTTATGCATGTGCTAGAATGACCGAGTGGTTGCCCACAGACATTCTATTGGTAGGGAGTTGATCCAAGAAGATGTGAGGTGAGGTCAAGTAGTCCACTTCCATCACACTTCCATCAGTTTACCTTTTCAAAGACCCAAAGATGTCTTCGTGTCCTTCCTCACCTTAATCCGATGAGAAATCCCCAAATCAACTTATAATACATTTTTTTGCTTATGTTAGCTGAAGTGAGTTTCTATAGATTGCAACCAAAGAACCCTAACTGACACATCCGTTAATGTTTTCTTTCACCAGGAGATAGTTTCATCTCTAGTAAAGTCTATTTCCTTAGTTGCATCTTGGCATGTCTATCAAAATACTTATGTTATACTTCAAGGACCATATAGCTATTGTTAAAATATAATCTTCTGGCGCCAGATGCTGATGATCCCAAGTTAGCTTCTCATTCTTTACCGTTAGGCCTAACTTATTTACATGGTATTTAATGACTTGTAATGCTTCAGGTTTGAATAGATATAAACAGGCAGCAAATTGAAAATACAGGTTAAAGAGATACAGGTGGATGCTATCACACAAATAGTATTTGGTTTTCTGAAATTACAATTATGACGGTCCTGAATGATCTCTGATTCCACTGTATTATAATGTGACAGATGTATATTGCTGAGATTTCTCTAGTGATGTTCACTGTTGCTTCCTTGTCATCTTTAATAATAAAGCAACTGGACAGATTAAATTGAAATGATTTATTCTCTGTGAATGTGGTAGTCAAAGCATACTGTCATAGTAACAGGTTAAACCTTTTCCACTAGGAGCTTATTGTGCACAATAGGATGGTACAGCTAGAAACTCCCTTACATCCCATTGTGTCAATGATACAGTAAGTATGTTTATATCTAGGAATTGATGGAACATCCTTTTGTGATTACTTGCATCAAAATTTAAAAATGCTAATTATACTGAAGTGCAGTATATTTAAAAAGTGTACACATCATAAGTATGATTGAAATTTAACAAATTAAACACAAATACAACCAGCACCCAGATTAAGACACAGGACATTATCAGTACTGCAGAAGCTGCCTCATACCTCTGTCAAGTCATAATCTCATACCTTGGGTAATCACTATCTTGACTTTTACCACCGCAGATTAGCTTTGCCTGACACATTTTTTGTGTGTGTGTCTTCCATTTATTTTCAGTGAGGTGTAATTTTCATTTAGTGAAATAAATCTTAAATGGTGCAGTTTAATGAGTTTTGAGAAATGCACACACTCAAAAACATATGCCTACTTGTGGCCCCAAAATTTTTAAATTTTTAATTAATTTCCATAAGTAGGAATGGCCTATAATTATAAACTCTTAGTAAAATAAGTAAAAAGTAAATATGATGTTAAGTTTTGTTAATTTATGGTTGTAATTTAAATATACCTTATTCTTCTAAGTTATGCTCCTCAGGTTCTTAATATAATTTGGACACAAAGATATAGACAATAGCAATTTTTCATTTGGAATTAGAATTCCATTTTTTTTTTTTGAGGAATTACCTCTTTTCTCTTTGACGAACTATCTGTCAAAGGACCCTACGTCCACCCCTTGTGTATTGGAAGATAGGACCCAAGCTCCGCCAATTGTGTGTTCTCTCCCAGGATTTGAATCATGAGCAGAGTGACAAAAATGACTGAATAGATTTGGATTTCATCCATCCTGACAGCTACAGAGCCCTCTAGATAACTTTTGTTTCTTTCCCCAACAGAGTAGAGCTTGGCACATGGGCTTGTGGGCAGAAAATGTGTTTTAGAAACTGGTTCCAACCAAGGAGAGTATAGGACTAGGAAGAATAAACAGGAAAGGAAGGAAAGTCCATCCACAGTTGCATTATCAAGGGGATCCCTGCTCTGAGCAATTGGGTTTAATCTTGCTGGGAGCCATATATGTAACCATGTTGAAAGCCACTTAAAAGTATCCATCAAGGAAATGGAAGAGGGTAATATTTTTTCTAGCAGCTTACATCCCTTTGGTTGCCACATGCAACGTCACCCCAGATTTTTCTGTGCCCTTTTCCAGTCAACTCCCCTTTTCCTCAAAGCAACTATTTTGATATCTTGCACTATAAATTAGTTTTGCTTGTTCTGGAAATTCACTTAAATGGAATCAAAGGTATGTACTTTTGTATCTGGCTTCTCTGTTCAGCGTGAAGTTTTTGGAATTTATCCATGCTGCTTTATGCATACTTAATTTGGCTTTTCTATTGATGAATAGTATTTCATGATATACACCACAGTTTATGTATCAAATCTCCTGTCGAATGACATTGGTATAGTTTTGTTTTGCCTATAAGTAAATATGTATCTATGAACATTCTTGAATATGGCTTTTTCTAGAATTAGCTTATTATTTATCTTCGGTGGAACTTTTGGGTCACAGGTAGGCATATGTTTAATTGAACATAAAATTCCCAAACCATTTTCCAATGTGGTTATAGCATTTTACACTCCCACCAGTATGCTATCAGAGTTTCATTACTTTAAATCCTTGCCAATATTTGGTGGTGTTAAGTCTTTCGAATTTTTGCCATTTATGTTGGTGTGTCATTTTACCTCAGGGTTTTGAGTTATAATTCTCTAATAATTTCTCATTGTTGATGAACTTCAATTTGTTAATATTTTCTTTAAGGTTTGTGATATCTATGTTCTAAGAAATCTCTGTCTATAGTAGGGTCACAAAGACATTTGCTCCTTTTTTTTAAATAAGATTTGTGTTTTGGTTTTTATGGTTAGGTCTTTAATTCATGTTGAATTAATTTTTGTGTATGATTTAAAGAGGAGTATATTAGAATCTCAAGTTGTTTGAACACTATTTTGAATAGACTCTCTCTCTCACCCACTAATCTATTTGTTCATTATTAAGCCAATAGTACTGTTTCCTGATTACTTTACCTTCCAGGTCTTGATGTTTTATCCAAGTATTCAACCCAATATCTTAGAATGATATAATTACAATACTGTACAGACTCTTTCAGAAAATAGAAGCAAAGGGAAGGCTTTATAATTCTTTTCATTGTTTTGTTTTGTTGAGGCCAGCATAGCCCTGATATTAAAATCTTAAACAGATATAGTAAGACAATAAAATATCTGAACAATATTTCTCATGAATACACAGACAAAATTCACTAACAAAATACTAGTGAATGATTGGTTTAGATTTGTGACCCCTATCCCGTCACCCACCCCACAGAAATCTCATGTCAAATTGTACTCTCCAGTGTTGGAGGTGGAGCCTAGTGGGACGTGATTGGATCATGGGGTGGATTTTCCCTGTGGTACCGTGTTACAGTAGTGAGTGAGTTCTCGTGAGATCTGGTGGTTTAAGAGTGCATAGCACCCCATCCCCCTCTCTCTTCCTCCTGCTCCAGCCATGTAAGATGTGTCTGCTTCCCCTTCAACTTCCACCATGATTATAAGTTTGTGGAGGCCTCCCTGGAAGCCGAAGCTGCTATGCTTCCTGTACAGCCTGTGGAACTATGAGCCAATTAAACCTCTTTTCTTTATAAATTACCCAGTCTCTGGTATTTCTTTATAGCAATGCAAGAACAAACTAATACAGTGAATCAAGTCTAGTAACATGTGAAAAGGATAATAAAACATGACCAATGAGTTTATCCAGGAATGTGAGCTTGGTTTGCTATTTGAATATCAATCAATGTAATTCATTTTACTAACAGAATAAAATAGAAAATCATCCTAATCTCATTAGGTTTGAAAAAAGCCATTGGCAAAGTTCAATATCCCTTCATGACAATACTGTGTTAGACCATTCTTATGTTTCTATAGAGAAATATCTTAGTCTGGGTAGTTGACAATGAAAAGAGGTTTAATTGGCACATGGTTCTGCAGATAGTACAAGAAGCGTGGAGCCAGCATCTGCTTCTGGGGAGGGCCTCAGGAAGCTTACAGTCATGGCAGAAGACAAAGGGGGATCAGGTGTTTCACATGGAAAGAATGGGAGCAAGAGAGAGTGAGGGGAGTTACCATGCACTTTTAAACAACCAGATCTCACAAGAACTCACTACTGTGAGAATAGCACCAAGGGATGGTGGATCTAGCATGCTGGAGTCTGTAGGATGGTGGCCTCCTTCCCACAGCTCCACTAGCCAGTGCCTCAGTGGGGACTCTGCGTGGGGCCTTCAACACCACATTTCTGCTTCACACTGTCTTAGTATAGATTCTCTGTGAGGGTTTTGCCCCTGCAAGCCGGCTTCTGCCTGGATGCCCAGGCTTTCCAATACATTCTACAAAATCTAGGCAGAGGATGCCAAGCCTCCTTTACTCTTGCATCTTGTGCACCTGCAGGCTTAATGACATCTGGAAACCACTAAGGCTTATGGCTTGTGCCCTCTGGAGCAGCAACCTGGGCTATAACAGGGACCCTGTGAGCTGAGGCTTCAGCCAGTATAGCCTGTATGGGAGAGCAGTGTTTTGAGGATGCACACAACAGTGGGGACTTGGGCCTAACTACAAAACCATTCTTTCCTCCTGGGCCTCTGGGCTTATGATGTGAGGGGCTGCCACAAAGATCTCTGAAGTGCCTTTGAGACCTTTTCCCCATTGTCTTGGATATTAGCACTTAGCTCCCTTTGAGTCATGCAAACCTGTCTTTCAAGGGGTTGCTCCCTGGCTTGCTTGAATTTCTCTCTTGATAATATAATGCTTTTTCTTTGCCACATAGCCAGGCTGCAAATTTTCCAAACGTTTACATTCTGCTTCTCCTTTGAATATAACTTCCAATTCTAAATCATTTCTTTGCTACCATATCTGAATGTACGCTGTTAGAAGCAGTCAGGCCATATTTTGAACACTTTGCTGCTTGAAAATTTCTTCCACCAGATACCCTAAGTCATCATCTCCAAAGTTAAAACTTCTATAGATACCTAGGGCATGAACACAAGGTTTTTTTTTGTTTTTTTTTTTTTGCCAAGGCATAACAACGACCTTCACTCTAGTTCCTAATAAGTTCCTCATTTCCGTCTGAGACCTCGTCAGCCTGAACTTCACTGTCCATGTCACTATAAGCATCTTGGTCCCAACCATTTAAACAGTCTCTAAGAAGTTCCAAATTTTCCCGCATCTTCCTGTCTTCTTCTGAACCCTCCAAACTCCTCTAACCTCTGCCTGTTACCCATTTCCAATGCTGCTTCCACATTTTCAGGCATCTTTATAGCAATGCCCCACTCCTTGGTACCAATTTTCTGTGCTAGACCATTCTTGCATTGCTATAAAGAAATACTTGAGTTAGGTAATTTATAATGAAAAGAATTTTATTTGGCTCATGCTTCTGCAGACAGCACAAGAAAAACAGCATCAGCATCTACTTCTGGTGAGGGTCTGAAGAAGCTTACAATTATGGCAGAAGGCAAAGGAGGAGCAGACATTTCACATGGCAAGGGTGGGAGCAAGAGTGAGGGGAGGTGTCACCCACTTTTAAAAAACCAGATCTCACCAGAACTCGCTCACTATTGTGAGGATAGCACCAAGGAGATGGTGCTAAGCCATTCATGAGAAATCCATCCCTGTGATCCAGTTACCACCCACCAGGCCTCACCTCTAACATTAAAGATTACATTTCAACATGAGACTTAGGGGGACTTTTACCCAAATTCTGTCAAACACCTCTCAACAAATAAGAATAGAAGAGGATTGCTTTAATCTGATAAAAGGCATCTATAAAAATCTATGGCTGTCCCGGCACGGTGGCTCACACCTATAATCCCAGCACTTTGGGAGGCAGAGGTGGGTGGATCACGAGGTGAGGAGTCCAAGACCAGCCTGGCCAAGATGGTGAAACACCATCTCTACTAAAAATACAAAAAATTAGCCTGGTGTGGTGGTGGGTGCCTGTAATTCCCAGCTACTCGGGAGGCTGAGGCAGACAATTGTTTCAACCTGGGAGGTGGAGGTTGCTGTGAGCTGAGATTGTGCCACTGCACTCCAGCCTGGGTGACAAAGCAAGACTCTGTCTCAAAAAACAAAAAACAAAACAAAACAAAAAAACTATGGCTAATATGTTTAATATTGAAACATTAACTGATTTTCTTTAAATTTTGGAAAAAATGTTCTCACTGTTTCTATTCAACTTTTATCGGAACTCCATACCAATAAGATAATAAAACATTAAAGGAATACAGACTGGAATAGAAGAAGTAAAACTTCTTAAATTAAACTGTGTAATTTGCAGATGAAATGATTGTGGTTATAAAAAATTCTATGATATTTACAAGAAAAATAAAACTAAAAGGGTACATTTAATAAGGTTGGGGATACAATATTAATATATAAATTGTATTTCTATATACTTTCAACACGGAATTTGAAAATTAGTTTAAAAGTTAATATTATTTATAATAGTATTTAAAAACAAATACTAAGGAGTAGACTTAATAAAAAATATTTAGTAACCTTATATGGGAAACTGTAAAACTCAGCTGAGAGAAGTTAAATAAATCCTAATAAATATATATACCATGTTAATGGATTGGACATTATATTAAGTTGTTCATTATACCCAAACTGACCTATAGATCAAATTAATTCATATTAAAATACAAATGTATTTTGAAGAAACAAGATAATTCTGAAGTATATATAAAATGCAAACCACCTAGAACAACCTACAGCAAATCAAAATGAAGGAAAAAATGGGGGGGGGTGGAGCCAAGATGGCCAAATAGGAACAACTCCAGTCTGCAGCTCCCAGTGTGAGCGATGCAGAAGATGGGTGATTTCTGCATTTCCAACTGAGGTACTGGGTTCCTCTCACTGGGGAGTGCTGGACAGTGGGTGCAGGACTGTGGGTGCAGCACACCATGTGTGAGCTGAAGCAGGGCGAGGCATCACCTCACCCGGGAAGCGCAAGGGGTCAGAGAATTCTCTTTCCTAGTCAAAGAAAGGGGTGACAGATGGCACCTGGAAAATCGGGTCACTCCCACCCTAATACTATGCTTTTCCAACGGGCTTAACAAACGGCACACCAGGAGATTATATCCCGTACCTGGCTCAGAGGGTCCTACACCCACGGAGCCTTGCTCATTGCTAGCAAAGCAGTCTGAGATCAAACTGCAAGGTGGCAGCGAGGCTGGGGGTGGGGCGCCCGCCATTGCCGAGGCTTGAGTAGGTAAACGAAGCGGCCAGGAAACTCGAACTGGGTGGAGCCCACCACAGCTTAAGGAGGCCTGTCTGCCTCTGTAGGCTCCACCTCTAGGGGCAGGGCACAGACAAACAAAAGGCAGCAGAATCCTCTGCAGACTTAAGTGTCCCTGTCTGACAGCTTTGAAGAGAGTAGTGGTTCTCCCAGCACGCAGCTTGAGATCTGAGAATGGGCAGACTGCCTCCTCAAGTGGGTCCCTGACCCCCGAGTAGCCTAACTGGGAGGCACCCACCAGTAGGGGCAGACTGACACCTCACACGGCCAGGTACTCCTCTGAGACAAAACTTTCAGAGGAACGATCAGGCAGCAGCATTTGCGGTTCACCAATATCCGCTGATCTGCAGCCACCACTGCTGATACCCAGGCAAACAGGGTCTGGAGCGGACCTCCAGCAAACTCCAACAGACCTGCAGCTGAGGGTCCTGATGGGTAGAAGGAAAACTAACAAACAGAAAGGACATCCACACCAAAAACCCATCTGTACATCACCATCATCAAAGACCAAAGGTAGATAAAACCACAAAGATGGGGAAAAAACAGAGCAGAAAAACTGGAAACTCTAAAAATCAGAGCGCCTCTCCTCCTCCAAAGGAACACAGCTCCTTACCAGCAATGGAACAAAGCTGGATGGAGAATGACTTTGACGAGTTGAGAGAAGAAGGCTTCAGAAGATCAAACTACTCCGAGCTAAAGGAGGAAGTTCGAACCAATGGCAAAGAAGTTAAAAACATTGAAAAAAAATTAGACAAATGGATAACTAGAATAACCAATGCAGAGAAGTCCTTAAAGGACCTGATGGAGCTGAAAACCATGGTACGAGAACTACGTGACGAATGCACAAGCCTCAGTAACCGATGTGATCAACTGGAAGAAAGGGTATCAGTGATGGAAGAGGAAATGAATGAAATGAAGTGAGAAGAGAAGTTTAGAGAAAAAAGAATAAAAAGAAACGAACAAAGCCTCCAAGAAATATGGGACTATGTGAAAAGACCAAATCTACGTCTGATTGGTACACCTGAAAGTGATGGGGAGAATGGAACTAAGTTGGAAAACACTCTGCAGGACATTATCCAGAAGAACTTCCCCAATCTAGCAAGGCAGGCCAACATTCAAATTCAGGAAATACAGAGAATGACGCAAAGATACTCCTCGAAAAGAGCAACTCCAAGACACATAATTGTCAGATTCACCAAAGTTGAAATAAAGGAAAAAATGTTAAGGGCAGCCAGAGAGAAAGGTCGGGTTACCCAAAAAGGGAAGCCCATCAGACTAACAGCTGATCTCTCAGCAGAAACTCTACAAGCCAGAAGAGAGTGGGGGCCAATATTCAACATTGTTAAAGAAAAGAATTTTCAACCCAGAATTTCATATCCAGCCAAACTAAGCTTCATAAGTGAAGGAGAAATAAAATACTTTACAGACAAGCAAATGCTGAGAAATTTTGTCACCATGAGGCCTGCCCTAAAAGAGCTCCTGAAGGAAGCACTAAACATGGAAAAGGAACAACTGGTACCAGCCACTGCAAAAACATGCCAAATTGTAAAAACCATCAAGGCTAAGAAGAAACTGCATCAACTAATGAGCGAAATAGCCAGCTAACATCATAATGACAGGATCAAATTCACACATAACAATACTAACCTTAAATGTAAATGGGCTAAATGCTCCAATTAAAAGACACAGACTGGCAAATTGGATCAAGAGTCAAGACCCATCAGTGTGCTATATTCAGGAAACCCATCTCACGTGCAGAGACACACATAGGCTCAAAATAGAGGGATGGAGGAAGATCTACCAAACAAATGGAAAACAAAAAAAGGGAGGGGTTGCAATCCTAGTCTCTGATAAAACAGACTTTAAACCAACAAAGATCAAAAGAGACAAAGAAGGCCATTACATAATGGTAAAGGGATCAATTCAGTAAGAAGAACTAACTATCCTAAATATATATGCTCCCAATACAGGAGCACCCAGATTCATAAAACAAGTCCTTAGTGACCTACAAAGAGATTTAGCCTCCCACACAATAATAATGGGAGACTTTAACACCCCACTGTCAACATTAGACAGATTGAGACAGAAAGTTAACAAGGATATCCAGGATTTGAACTCAGCTCTGCACCAAGCAGACCTAATAGACATCTACAGAACTGTCCACCCCAAATCAACAGAATATACATTCTTTTCAGCACCACACCACACCTATTCCAAAATTGACCACATAGTTGGAAGTAAAGCATTCCTCAGCAAATGTAAAAGAACAGAAATTATAACAAACTATCTCTCAGACCACAGTGCAATCAAACTAGAACTCAGGATTAAGAAACTCACTCAAAACCGCTCAACTACATGGAAACTGAACAACCTGCTCCTGAATGACTACTGGGTATATAACAAAATGAAGGCAGAAATAAAGATGTTCTTTGAAACCAACGAGAACAAAGACAAAACATACCAGAATCTCTGGGACACATTCAAAGCAGTGTGTAGAGGGAAATTTGTAGCACTAAATGCCCACAAGAGAAAGCAGGAAAGATCCAAAATTGACACCCTAATGTCACAATTAAAAGAACTAGAGAAGCAAGAGCAAACACATTCAAAAGCTAGCAGAAGGCAAGAAATAACTAAGATCAGAGCAGAAGTGAAGGAAATAGAGACACAAAAAACCCTTCAAAAAATCAATGAATCCAGGAGCTGGTTTTTTGAAAAGATCAAGAAAATTGATAGACTGCTAGCAAGACTAATAAAGAAGAAAAGAGAGAAGAATCAAATAGAAGCAATAAAAAATGACAAAGGGGATATCACCACCGATCCCACAGAAATACAAACTACCATCAGAGAATACTATAAACACCTCTATGCAAATAAACTAGAAAATCTAGAAGAAATGGATAAATTCCTGGACACATACACCCTCCCAAGACTCAACCAGGAAGAAGTTGGATCTCTGAATAGACCAATAACAGGCTCTGAAATTGAGGCAATAATTAATAGCTTACCAATGAAAAAAAGTCCAGGACCAGATGGATTCACAGCCGAATTCTACCAGAGGTACAAGGAGGAGCTGGTACCATTCCTTCTGAAACTATTCCAATCAATAGAAAAAGAGGGAATCGTCCCTAACTCATTTTATGAGGCCAGCATCATCCTGATACCAAAGCCTGGCAGAGACAGAACAAAAAAAGAGAGGATTTTAGACCAATATCCTTGATGAACATTGATGCAAAAATCCTCAATAAAATACCAGCAAACTGAATCCAGCAACACATTAAAAAGCTTATGCACCATGATCAAGTGGGCTTCATCCCTGGGATGAAAGGCTGGTTCAACATACGCAAATCAATAAATGTAATCCAGCATATAAACAGAACCAAAGACAAAAACCATATGATTATCTCAATAGATGCAGAAAAGGCCTTTGAAAAAATTCAACAACCCTTCATGCTAAAAACTCTCAATAAATTAGGTATTGATGGGATGTATCTCAAAATAATAGCTATCTATGACAAGCCCACAGCCAATATCATACTGAATGGACAAAAACTGGAAGCATTCCCCTTGAAAACTGACACAAGACAGGGATGCCCTCTCTCACCACTCCTATTCAACACAGTGTTGGAAGTTCTGGCCAGGGCAATCAGGCAGGAGAAGGAAATAAAAGGCATTCAATTAGGAAAAGAGGAAGTCAAATTGTCCCTGTTTGCAGATGACATGATTGTATATCTAGAAAACCCCATTGTCTCAGCCCAAAATCTCCTTAAGCTCATAAGCAACTTCAGCAAAGTCTCAGGATACAAAATCAATGTACAAAAATCACAAGCATTCTTACACACCAATAACAGACAGAGAGCCAAATCATGAGTGAACTCCCATTCACAATTGCTTCAAGGAGAATAAAATACCTAGGAATCCAACTTACAAGGGATATGAAGGACCTCTTCAAGGAGAACTACAAACCACTGTTCAATGAAATAAAAGAGGATACAAACAAATGGAAGAACATTCCATGCTCATGGATAGGAAGAATCAATATTGTGAAAATGGCCATACTGCCCAAGGTAATTTATAGATTCAATGCCATCCCCATCAAGCTACCAATGACTTTCTTCACAGAATTGGAAAAAACTACTTTAAAGTTCATATGGAACCAAAAAAGAGCCCGCATCGCCAAGTCAATCCTAAGCCAAAAGAACAAAGCTGGAGGCATCACGCTTCCTGACTTCAAACTATACTACAAGACTACAGTAATCAAAACAGCATCGTACTGGTAGCAAAACAGAGATATAGACCAATGGAACAGAACAGAGGCCTCAGAAATAATGCCACATATCTACAACTATCTGATCTTTGACAAACCTGAGAAAAACAAGCAATGGGGAAAGGATTCCCTATTTAATAAATGGTGCTGGGAAAACTGGCTAGCCATAAGTAGAAAGCTGAAACTGGATCCCTTCCTCACACCTTATACAAAAATTAATTGAAGATGGATTAAAGACTTACATGTTAGACCTAAAACCGTAAAAACCCTAGAAGAAAACCTAGGCAATACCATTCAGGACATAGGCATGGACAAGGACTTCATGTCTAAAACACAAAAAGCAATGGCAACAAAAGCCAAAATTGACAAATGGGATCTAATTAAACTAAAGAGCTTCTGCATAGCAAAAGAAACTACCATCAGAGTGAACAGGCAACCTACAGAATGGGAGAAAATTTCTGCAACCTACTCATCTGACAAAGGGCTAATATCCAGAATCTACAATGAGCTCAAACAAATTTACAAGAAAAAAACAAACAACGCCATCAACAAGTGGGTGAAGGATATGAACAGACACTTCTCAAAAGAAGACATTTATGCAGACAACAGACACATGAAAAAATGCTCATCATCACTGGCCATCAGAGAAATGCAAATCAAAACCACAATGAGATAACATCTCACACCAGTTAGAATGGCGATCATTCAAAAGTGAGGAAACAACAGGTGCTGGAGAGGAGGTGGAGAAATAGGAACACTTTTACACTGTTGGTGGGACTGTAAACTAGTTCAACCATTGTGGAAGTCAGTGTGGCGATTCCTCAGGGATCTAGAACTAGAAATACCATTTGACCCAGCCATCCCATTACTGGGTATATACCTAAAGGATTATAAATCATATTGCTATAAAGACACATGCACATGTATGTTTATTGCGGCACTATTCACAATAGCAAAGACTTGGAACCAACCCAAATGTCCAACAATGATAGACTGGATTAAGAAAATGTGGCACATATACACCATGAATACTCTGCAGCCATAAAAAATGATGAGTTCATGTCCTTTGTAGGGACATGGATGAAGCTGGAAACCATCATTCTCAGCAAACTATCACAAGGACAAAAAACCAAACACAGCATGTACTTACTCATAGGTGGGAATTGAACAATGAGAACACATGGACACAGGAAGGGGAACATCACACACCGGGGACTGTTGTGGGGTGGGGTGAGTGGGGAGGGATAGCATTAGGAGATATACCTAATGCTAAATGACGAGTTAATGGGTGCAGCACACCAACATGGCACATGTATACATATGTAACAAATCTGCACGTTGTGCGCATGTACCCTAAAACTTTAAGTATAATAATAATAAAATAAAAAAATAATATAAAAGAAAAAAAGTTGGAGGACTTACAGTACTTGGTTTCAAGACTTACTATAAATCTATTAGATAACAGTGTGGCATCAATGTGTGTGAAGACTAATAGATTAATAGAAAATAATAGAGTTCAGAAAAATATATGTATACACATATTCCTATATATTTGTACACAAATATTCCTATATACATAAGGATAACTGGATCAGTGAAACAGAAAAGGAAGTCTAGAAATAACTGTGTGTGTGTGTGTGTGTGTGTGTGTGTGTGTGTGTGTGTGTGTGTATCCAATTGATTTTCAATCCAGGTGCAAGTTAATTGAGAGTTCTTTCTTGAAAATATTACTGGAACATACGGTTATCAATGGTGAAAAGAGACTTTGACCCTATCTCAGTCCTTTTACAACAGTTCATTTAAGGTGACTAATTGACTCAAAAGCAAAAACAGAACTATCAAGCTTGTCACAGATAATATCTTTGTGACTTTCGGGATGTCAGAGATTTCTTGGATGATGCAAAAATCCTTGTGATACAGAGGAATAGCAATATGGTATAAAAGTAAATGAGTTTAGAGTCCTATCCATCTTTGTATCTGAACTAAAACTTGAAACCACCAGTGCCAAAGTCAAAAGCAAAACGAAAAGCAAAAAATAACTGTGTAATTCTATAGGTGAGAAACAAATATTAATTTTTTGAAAAGATGCAACAATTACTGTTCACGGATCTGAAATGTCATTTTAATCAATTGTCATTTTTTTACCCTATGATTTTAAATAAAAGGGATAAAATAATGTATGCCTTTAAAAAACATAATTGGCAATTTCAGTTATTTTTATTTAGTTACACCATGTTGTCACTGGGATTAGTATTGACATATTACCCAACGTATAGAGTAAAAGACATATGAGCTCAAGAAGCAACATCCTTGACTCTTAGTTCGGTGTAAACCTCACTTCAAAAAAATCACTGAGAAATAAACAACAAATAATCTTGTTTCTTATATGTAACTCAGAAATTTAATTATCGTAAACTATCTGAGTACCTTGAAGATACACACCTTGTAAATGAAAACCACTATACTTAGATCTTTCTCCATTTTCCCTTGAAGTTTTCTAAAATTGAAACATTTCCAAACAATGACCAAGAAAATCAGTTTTACAATAATTTTAGTACCTTCCCTTGTGTAGTTTAGTTTATCTATAAAGATATCACAGGTTAAGGGAGAGGTTTATTTGGTTAAGTTACCATATGAATGTACAACTATTTTCTACAATTTTAGTAAATTCTAGAATGGGTTAAATTTGAATGCCTGATTCATGATTTCCCCTTCATAGTGGAGGCAAATGGTAGAGAATAAAAAAGTTGGGCATTGAATTCTAGTGGTTTTCAAAGAGGATGGAAAGTAGGGGTGGAGGAATTGGTGTTTTGAGTTAGGTGAGAGACAGGAGGATGAGGAGGAGGGGGGGTTGTGCCCCCATTTGGACATTTCACAATATCTGGAGTCATTTTTGTTTGTCACACTGAGAGTAGGGTGCTACTGATACTTAGTGGATAGAGGCACAGGACAGCTTTCCAAAACACATTTAGCCCCAAGTGTCATAGTGCTGAGGCTGAAAAATCTTGTTGTATTCTTATGAACTTGGGTTCAAATACTAGATGTGCTCCTTGATACTTACGTGATCCTGGTAACATTATTCAAATGGGACTTACATGTATTTTCAGTGTTGTGAGGATAAGCTACAAGGAATAGGAAGTTATAACAACGCTAGGAACATAATAGACTTTTAATAATTGTTAGCTCTTATTACTGTTACTATTACTTTGCATTGTATTAATTTTACATTTATATGAGACTCCTTAATGTTCAGTTTGTAATTGTCTCATCTTTGAGAGGGGAGAGGAAAATACATAAAAAAGGTACTAGCTTGTATTAGGGAGTTTCTTGTGGTGTTTTCCCTTGGGGCATAAAAAGAGGCCCAAAGGTTATGCTGACAATGTGTAAGGTTATATATCAAATATATTTTGGCTTAACATGGACCACAAATCAAAGACAACTTTATGCTGAATAGTGAGATAGCTAAACAGATACTTGTTTTGATTTCTAGTATTACTAGTTCTGTCTCCAAAAGTAAGAGAGAACTGTTGAACCAATAATTGGGGCCCATTTCTCTGGTGAGAAATAGGGCATTTAAAATTATGCAACTTGTAATGGTGTTTATTTTAGAATGTATAAAATATTACCTATTTTGAAGTGTCTTGTTGAGAGATACAAATGCGGCTCTGCACATAGTGCTTATGCTGAGAAAGGGAGATTAAACTATTTCTAAAAACCTCCCTTGTATAAAGGACAACTGAAAATCTTGGGGGTTATGCCATCAGTATAGTAGATAGTCAATAAGTATCATCAAATAGATTTGCTTTCTTATTGCAGGGTTTTCTATTGTAGAAAATGGGTCATAGAGTCTAAAAGTAGAGCTTTGATGTCTACCAACTAATTGAGCTACGCCAACAGGAGGCATTCCTTCCTTCATCAGTATTTACTGAGTGCTTATGGGTGCCAGGTCTGTGTTAGGAACTGGGAGTATCATCGTAAGCAAGACAAGCTAGTGGGGGAGGCATGCCACAATCAGATAATCATATAAACCTGTCTCTTTGAACTGTAAGAAGTACTATGAAGAAAAATTAAAGGAACTCAGCAGAAGTAAAAAAAAAAAAAAAAAAAGCTCTGAACAACTTTATTAATTCCTAAAGACAATTGTGCATTATTTACTTTATTTGTTCATTCATTCATTTATTCTCTTTCATGTGTTCAACTGAGAAACTATTAAACTACTATTAAGTTACTGTGCTAGCTGCTGGGGAAAAATGCAAACAAGATACTCCTTTTGTCTTCATGGAATTTATGATTTAGCTCTTTGAGTAAACAAATATTTTAAAGAAAGAGGAAACACCACCATTTCCCTTGTAAAATCACAAATGAGAGAAAAAAGAAAACCGGATGAGTTACCTGCAGATCAAATTAAATCACCCAGATATTATTAGTGCTGCCGATTACACACTGACCTTTGTGACAACACATGAACGTGTCTGCCATTTACTGTCAGGATTTGCTAGGAGAATGGGGAGACTTCATTGACATCATTAAATAATGATTTCGCTTATTGAAAAAGAGGGATAAGATACAGAGAAGATTGTCAGCAGAATTTCCTGATTGCATTATAGTTTCCTAGCAGGCAGGAGACTGTTTCTGACTTTCAGAAGACTTATCTTTTGTCATCCATTTCTAAAATGAATTCTATTTGTTTTAACATTCATTCACAAAACATAAACTTTCTTACTTTATCTCTAGTAGATAGAAATTATGATTAATTTTAAAATAGCATGACTCAAGTTTAATAATATATTTTTATAAGTAATCATTTAAAATTTCAATTATTCAGGCTTAATTACTATCTTTTCTATATGAGTCCATTGCATACCTTGTAAACATTTTGAATAATCACATGAAATTACAATGAATACACAATAATTGTCATTAATTTTAAATTAAGTGTATTTGTCCACTTTGAAAAATAAATTTTAAGTGCTGCTATAAATAACTCGGGAAGATGAATTCATTTTTACATGAGAGAGAGTGTTACTTTGGATGTTTGTAACTATAAATACTCTTTTTCTTCTCAAAGAATAAAAATAGCTGATAGAATTTAAATGTTTCTTTTGTGCCATGCACATATAATGACTATTAGATGCACTTTACATGGATTATTTAATTTAATCTTTATGCAATAGTAAGAAGCAGGCCTCATATTATGTTTAATTTTAAAATGTAGAAAAAAAAGGTACAGAGAGGTTAAGTGATGAGCTCAAAACTGTATGTCTTCTAAGAGTTGATAACAAGGTTTAAATCTGAATGTCTGAAATCCCAGAGTTTTAACCACTATTTTAGCTTCATTTACTTTTTGTATTCCTACTTCTGCCTTCTGTCTTTCCTCTACAACTTCTCTCACTTCTTTCTTCATAAAACAATCTAACACAGTGACCTCTTTAAAAGGGGCCAAAGCAAGACTCCTATTTTGTGTGGTCAACTGTCTTAAGTTACAGGCATACCTGGCAGATATTGTGGATTTGGTTTCGGACAACCACAATAAAATTGATATCACAACAAAGTGAGTCACACAAATTTTTTGGTTTCCCAGTTCATATAAAAGTTATGTTTCCATAATACTATAGTCTATTAAGTGTGCAATGGCATGTGTGAAAAAACAATGTACATACCTTAATTTAAAAATCTTTATTGCTAAAACATGCTAACAATCATCGGAGCCTTCACCAAGTCATAATTTTCTTCCTGGTGGAGCGTCTTTGCCTTGATGTTGACTGCTGCTGACTGATTAGGGTAGTGGTTGCTGAAGGTTGGGGTGGCTGTGACAATGTCTTAAAATAAGACAACAATTAAATTTGCCACATAAATTGACTCTTTCACAAAAGATTTCTCTGTAGCACGCAATACTATTTGATAGTATTTTACCTACAGTAGTACTGCTTTCAAAATTGGGGTCAGTCCTCTCAAACCCTGCTGCTGCTTTGTGAACTCAGTCTATGTAATATCCTAAATCTTTTGTTATTTCAACAATGCTATAGCATCTTCAACAGGAGTAGTTTTTAATCTCAAAGCACTTTCTATGCTCACAAATAAGAGAAAACTTCTCATCCATTCAAGTTTTATCATGCGATTGCAACAATTCGGTCACATCTTCAGGCTTGCTTCTAATTCTAGTTCTCTTGTTACTTCCGTCACATCTGTAGTTACTTCCTCTACTGAATTCTTGAACCCCTCAAAGTCCTCCATGAGGGTTGGAATCAACTTTTTATAAACTCCTATTAATGTTGATATTTTGAATGCCTTCCACGAATCACGATTGTTTTTAATGGCATCTAGAATGGTTAATTCTTTCCAGAATGTTTTCAATTTACTTTTTCCAGACCCATCAGAGGAATTACTATCTATGTCAGCTATAGCCTTACAAAATGTATTTCTTAAATAATAAGACTTGAAAGTCAAAATTACTCTTTGATGCATGGGCTGCAGAATGTTAGCAGAATGTTGTGGGAGCTAGCATGAAAACAACATTAATCTCCTTGTAAATCTCCATCAAAGTTCTTGGGTAACCAATTGCCTTGTCAATGAGCGGTAATGTTTTGAAAGGAATCTCTCTTTCTGAGCCATAGGTCTCAACAGTTGGCTAAAAATATTCAGGAAACCATGCTGTAAACAAATGTGCTGTCATCTAAGCTTTGTTGGTGAATTTATAGAGCACAGGCAAAATAGATTTAGTATAATTTTTAAGTGCCCTAGGATTTTCAGAATGGTAAATGAGCACTGGCTTCAACTTAAAGTCGGCAGCTTCATTAACCCCTAACAAGAGAATCAGCCTGTCCTTTGAAGCGTTGAAGTCAGGCATTGAGTTATCTCTAGCTATGAGAGTCCTAGATGACATCTCCTTCCAATAGAAGGCTGTTTAATTTACATTGAAAATCTGCTGTTTGGTGTAGTCACTTTCATCAATTATCTTAGCTAGATCTTCTGGATAATTTGCTACAGCTTCTATATCAGCACTTGTGGCCTCACCTTGCATTTTTATGTTCTGGAGATGGCTTCTTTCTTTAAACACCACAAACCAAGCTTTGCCAGCTTACAAATTTTTTTCTGCAGCTTACCCATCTCTTATCCTTCATAGAATGGAAGAGAGTTAGGGCCTTGCTCTGGATTAGTCTTTGGCTTAAGGAAATGTGCTGGCTGGTTTGATGTATCCAAACCACTAAAACTTCTCATATCAGCAATAAGCCTGTTTCACTTTCTCATCGTGTGTTCACAGAAATAGCACTTTTAATTTGCCCCAAGAGCTTTTCTTTTGCATTCATTAGTGGCTGTTTGGCCTAAGAGGCCTAGCTTTTTGCTTTTGACATGTCTTTCTCTCTAAGCTTAATCATTTCTAGCTTTTTATCTAAAGTGAGGTATGTGTGACTCTTTCACTTGAACAGTTGGAGGCCATTGTAGGGTTATTAATTGGCATAATTTTGGTAATGTTTTGTCTCAGAGAATAGAGAAGCCCTGAAAGGGGTGAGAGAAGGGGGAATGGCAGGTCGGTGGAATAGTCAGAACACACACAGCATTTTTTGACTAAGTTTGTTGTCTGATATGGTTTGGCTCTGTGTCCCCACCCAAATCTCATCTCGAATTGTAATCCCATAATCCCTACATATTGAGGGACTGACCTGGTGGGAGGTGATTGGATCATGGGGCCAGTTTCCCCCATGCTGTTCTTGTGACAGTGAGTGAGTTCTCACAAGATCTGATGGTGCCATGATTGTAAGTTTCCTGAGACCTCCCCAGCAACGTGGAACTGTGAGTCAGTTAAACCTCTTTTCTTTATAAATTACTCAATCTCTGGCAGTTCTTTATAGCAGTGTGAGAGTGAACTAATATGCTGTCTTATATGGGTATGGTTTGTGGCACCCCCAAATAATTATAATGGTAACATCAATTATTATAACAGACATAATAAGTTTAAAATATTGCAAGAATAATCAAAATGTTACACAGAGACACAAAGTGCACAAGCTGTTGGAAAAATGGTGCCTGTAGACTTGTTTGATGCACATAAAGCTTCAATTTATAAACGCAGTATCTGCAAAGTGCAGTAAGGTGAAGTGCAATAAGAGGTGCCTGTACTGACTCACAGTGCCTCTAAGTGCAATAACTTGTTTTCAAATTAATGATTGGCACTATCTTGATAAATTTATTTAGAAAAAAGAATAGTCGATAGGAGAGTTATAGTACATAGTGTCTATGGAAAAATAACTTTTTCTTTTTTTTTGAGATGGAGTGTCGCTCTGTCACCAGGCTGGAGTGCAGTGGCACAATCTCGGCTCACTGCAATCTCTGCTTCCCAGGTTCAAGTAATTCTCCTGCCTCAGCCTCCCGAGTAGCTGGGATTACAGGTGCATGCCACCACACCCAGCTAATTTTTCTATTTTTAGTAGAGACGGGGTTTCACCATGTTGGTCAGGCTGGTCTCGATCTCGTGACCTCATGATCCACCCGCCTTGGCCTCCCAAAGTGCTGGGATTACAGGCATAAGCCATGTGCCTGGCCAGAAAAATAACTTTTGTTCACATGCTCAAGTTGCTTTGGTTAAAATATAGAATGCTAAAGCATAGGCTTTATTTTATAAAACTACATTTTCTTAGTGTTCTTTTTGCTTGATTAAAGTCATATCTAGGAGATATGATTTGGAAAGATTCTTTTCTTCAATCTGCCTGACGAAAAAATGCAGAGATATTGCAGATGTGTTAGCGTTGCTATCATGTGAAACATTAGCCAAAACTGACCAATCAAAACACATTGCCGGAATGCGACCATTTTATAAACAGACTGATTTTCAATGGATAAATACAACTCTGAACTTCAACCTAGGAAAGTTGAGTGTCATGACAGCTTATCTCTTAATAAAATGTAATGTTGGGGGGCTAGAATCAGAGTCTGGGTCCTTGGTACTTAATTCTTACAGCAAATTGCTTTTTCCTTTACAAACTATCATTTTGTCTCTACAGCATCTTCAAACTTCATTCTTTATTCTTCTATGGCTTTGGGAGCCAAAAGAGAATCATCCAGCATTAAGAGTTCCTTTAGTGATGCTGTTACATAAATTCTGTAATAGTGATTGATGGCCAGTTCTACTTAAAATAATTTCCATGGAGGAGATTTGTCTTCCCTCTTGAAAGCCTTCTTCACTGTTTTAAATCATTCTTGATTTCTTATGCCACCAAAACCCTCTTCTCTTTTTAAATAATAACTTATTTCCTACCATCTTTTTTTCTATGAAGATATAAAACTGCTGGCCACTGGCTTGCTTGTAATGGAATCTTCCATAGTTATAGATAGTTAAGTTGCATATTAGATACTCACTTCTAAGACTTACGTAAACCTAACTTTAGAAGAATAATTGTCCTAACTGGTTTACAGAATTGCTGTTTTTCTTGTGTTGCTGATGCTACCTCACACTGAAAATTTTCAAAATGCTTTGATAAATCCTACTAAGTTTCATCTTACAGAAGAAGTCATTGGAGAATCTCCTTATAGTTGTCTTTTTTATTTAGATGGAAATGAAATCCTCGTTCCAAAACACAGGTGATGGGACCCAAACTAGGCCTGAAGCCTGGTCTCCTCTACTTGTTATTTTAATTAATCTCTCAGATTTCCTTGTAGAGTATATGTGTTGAGTCCCAAAGTGTTCTTTTACATTCAATATGCAGAATTCATAAATTGAGCCAATTTCAATATATATTTGCTAAGCAGCGAGTAAGCAGTGAATATTGAACAGGTGTTCTGAGTTAAAAATATAAATAAAGCTTCAAAATGCTTACGGCAGTAAAAGGGTAGACCCAGAACGACAAAGAGTAAAGAGCTGTCTTGGGAGAGGTGTTGATTGTGGGGTGTTTAGCAAGGTTGGTTTAGTTGACTTGGCTAGGTACATAAGTATATTTTTCTTACGTTCTTTTTCTGTCCATGTGTCTTCAGAACTTATATAGGACAAACTTTCCAGGTGGGAAAGTGCTGTTTATTAACAAAAACTATGATGTAATTGTAAATAAACCATTATGGGGGAAGTTACAGGGAGAGGGTGTTACTTGAACACATCCTTGAAGGATAGTACTACTTTGACAGTGAAGGTTATAGGTAGGTATAAGAAAGCCCTTTCATACTCAAGGCACAGCACAGGCTTGATGGTAAAATACAAAGGATATTGTGAAGGTAAGCCCATTAAAGATGACAGGAGATAATTGTGGCAATGAGACTCAGAAGTGTAGGATCACCATTTTCTTAATAAGTGAACTCAGAATGTGTCATTTTGAAAGAATTTCAGAATAATGCACAGTCAGGAATTCAACTGGAGAAATTATCAATCACAAAGAGCTTATGGGATGCACAAAGAAGCATGGAAATTTTAAGAAAAACAAAAGAACTTGGAAGAAGAAGATGAGAAAGATGTTGAAGGAAAAAGGTGCTCAGAAAAATAAGTAGAGAACATCTAGATGAAATACGTAATTCAGACTTTCACAATTGCCTGTGGGTAATCCTATGTCAAAGCATTACCTTATTCAATCCTTCAAGAACCTAGACTATAATACAAAACTTGTGTTCTCTAATATGCAGCGAATTTCAGAGTCTTCAACAGCACTTTTATTTTTCAGAGTGGAGAACATCAGTTCCGAGGTAGAACAAACTCATTCTGTCTGTTAGCACCTTCAACTGAGAATCCACAAAGAAAAATAGTTTGATTTTTTTATAGCAGTGTATAACACAGGTTGAAAGTGATCAGAAGATGATGTGTTAAAGTGGACTCAGAAAACAGTCCTCTTTTAGATAAATGCTTTTGAAAATGAGTGGGCATAAAGCTCTATTTGGTATCTGAACAGTACATGCTCTTAAATCTGTGTTCCTCAAGAAATGATTTCAATTAGGAAAAAAAATCCGTTTAAATCTGGATCTACTAATAACCACTGTATTAAAACATAGCTACACAATCTTGTCCTTTATTTCTCTTGGGCTTAAGCTTTACTTGTGGTTAGTCATGTGCAAAATAAAATGAGAACATCTACTGTCAATTTAAGTTGATTCCCATCTGCCATGAATGGTAACCCATGATCTCTTCTCCGTTGGGTATTTTCGTTGTGTTCTTGCTGCTATTTTAGAGAGAATCTGCAATCACTTATTCTGTATGTCTCACCCAGTGCTTGAAGAGAGACAACACTTGAAAACATAATGGCCAGATGATCTCAGGATGCAAGAATCCTTCAGATGTTTGCCGAGAACTATTGAAAGATGCTTCAATTTGACAAAAGCAGGAAATGTTAATTTCAGCTCTTTTATAAATAGAGGGATGATCCGTAAAGGGAAAATTGTTGTCACAGCAAATGTACACTTGAGTGATTCAAACGTAATTGGTTATATGATTCATTTTGAATATATTTACTGTAACAACTCGTAAACCACTTTCAAATTCAGCTGTTGAATAGACTCTTTTTTAAAAAACTAAATAGCTCTGAAAATTTTTATTTTTTCTTTCTAAAACCAACCTTTTTTATACCTTTGTCCTTGATCATATGTGCTATATGTAACCAGCAACTTGTCTTCTATTTTTCTGTCCTCTGATACCCATGCAAAATTCCCAACATATTAACATAAAGGAAGCATATTAGCATTATCCAGTTGGTCTCAGTGGCAGAAAGATTTATGGTATAAGTATATATTAACTAGAGAGTTACTTAATTATGAAAAATAAGGTCACATTCCTTTAAAAATTCTATTAAATCAAGATGCTCAAAGCAATTAGGGTATGGTTATTCTTTGCCATGCCTTCTTGCTTTGTTAACTACTTGTCCAGGTATGACCAAGAAAAGAGAAATTCGAGTAGAGTGATGATTTAGTGACTAGCTGCAAGTAATTTGCAACACGATTAATTAAAACAAATCCTTATATGGAGCAGACAGAATTTGTCTCTTGGGTACATCACAAATTTATTTTGGATGAGTCATTCTGAAAATGAAGTATTCTAAAATTCAGATAATGCATACTTTAAATCAGCAGAAATGGGAGGAAATTTCTTTCCCTCTATTTTATATGCTTTCAAAAAATCTGATTATAAAAAAAGCAAGTTTTTGGTGCTATTTTGGAAATACAAGGGAAAAAATCCTGTGATTCTGTTACTCATAATGTTTAAAAGTATTTTGTTTCTGAAATGTCCAGTCTCTGCATATGAAATTTAAAAAAAAATGGAGTCATATATACACAATTTTGTAGGCTGCTTTGGGAACGTTTCTTTTCCAAGTGCCTGCTTGGATTTCTACATGCCTTACTGGGCTCTTTGAAAATTGGATTCCTCATTCCAGAGACAGACACAGATCCACAAGGAATGCAGCTGTGTCATGGATATGCCAACATGCATTTTCCTAGAAATGCGAGACACTTCTTCAAAATGTTAACTTTGCCTACTGATTTGTGAAGGTTTAGATATTAGTAATTAAGGACTGTTAAAAATAAACTTTAATGCATATTTTAGGAGGGATAGTTGAAGAAGGAAAGCGCCTAGAAGGCCCATTAAGTAGTTAAGGACAGAGTTGGCTCAAAGCCAGAATTATGAAGGTATGAGGAAGGCAGTTAGCTGGGTTGGAAAGATTTCATCTCTCCTTCTATGCAAAGAACAGAATTGTTACTTAGCTGAGTGATCATATGTAGGAATCACCAGAGTTGGTTGGCTCTCTCAGTGGGGTTTAAAGTACAGTGTAAATAGGGTAAACTCTTCATTGTGGCATCTATAAAGCCATTTACATTCAGACAGCAAGTGAAGCAAAGCAAATAAACTCTACTCTGGCTGGGAATAATTCTGCCCTGATGAGGTCAGTAATATCATTTTGTATTCTTCTTGAACTGTAGCTAAAGAAATAAAAAAAATGATCACACTGACAGCAAAGAGAAAATTATTTGCATAGTGGGTGGATAATATGCTGTGAGGTCAGATTCTTAAATACTGTGGTTGGAATATATTTTTTTTAATTTTTATAAGGCTGAATGATTTTATTACCACTAATAACCCTTGTGGCTCTGGAAGCTTAAATAATCTGGGTAATCAAAATTTATGCTTTAGGATGGAAGATGATTATCTGCAGATGAGAGGAAGGAAATTCCTTTTTTCCCAATCCTCTGTGCTAACTACACTGTGGGCGAATAATCGCATGGAGCATTTGGCTAAGGATTCTGTGTTGGAGGCAGGCAGTCCCTCTGAAAGATCACATTTTGGTGGCTGTAGGCAATGAACTTTCCCAGTTTACTCAGTTCTGAGTAATCTAAAACTCTACTCAGAGAAAAAGGACCACATGGAGATACTGCAAAGAGAGGTAGAATAATGTGAGATGTTTGTCCTCCTCTTTGAGGAGTTCATTCCTCAGACTGTTGAGGTTTATTTTTTTCTTAAGATTATTTTAAACTAAAGCAGCTGTTTATAATGGTATTTGTATTTGCTCCACTGTATAAGGGTCCTACCATTTTAGAGAGTCTCCCTTCCCCAAATTCATGAGGATGGCTAGTTTGGGTATTTTAAATGAGAAGTTGGGAAGAATAGGATTACAGATTTGCCAGGCTTAATCTGGATTCATGGTACACAGGAATTTTTGTCATCATACAAATGCAAACAAATTCTATTTGTGGATTACTGTCAAAATAGTTAAAGGAAGACTATACAGAGCACAGCTAACAAATTAAAGAATGTGAATTTCTTCTATAATTTTTGGCGAAAGAAACATATTACTTTAAGTTTTTCTAAATCTGATTAAATCTGACCAAGAGCCCCTACCCAGGAGGGTGGCAAGAAATCTAAGCTCATGTACTTACTACCCATCCTTCCAAAAGTGAACTTGTGTCCCAGTTGTCTTACACAGTTTAAAAATGTAATCTCTAAAAAATCTGAGCATGTAGTGTTCTAATATATTTATTATAAAGCATACAAAGGGAGAACTACAAAGAAATATATACAGTAATATTTTTTATAAGTATTTTAACTTTGATATTAATGGAATAAACCTTTGTCATTATTATTTATAAAGGTATTGGCAAAGCTTGATTGGGTGTGCTTTATTAGTTTCGAGAATCTTGATTGTATCATATCAGTGACTTAAGCGTTGAATCCTAAGTCCAGTTTGACATTTGGTTTTAATGGAATCAAAGCTGAGAAAAGATATCTAATAAAGATAAGTAGATTTAGATGGATGATGTGCACACTTGACTCCATTCGTTAAATTATAAGTTTTTTTGGAACCAATAATAGAAAGGTTTTGTTAAAATTCATCTGTACATTTCCCTGTTCCATGATGTCAGTAAGCTAGTGGTTCTTAAACATTAACACTAAGGTGTTCCTTGGTTACATTTTCAACTAAAGGGTTCAAAACCCAGTGAAACTCTGCACAGATGATTTTACAAATGGCTAGAAAATTGTATTCTAAGTTTTTAAAATGCATGGATATAAGTTTTTAGTAGATAATATGCTCACTTAATTTTGGCAGCAAAGTCACATTTTCATCTCCAAACATCTGTTTTCAAAATGCTGTCTCCGTAGCTCAAAATTCTTGCAGGATGTAGGTTTTTGAAAAAAAATTTAAAAAATGTCTTCACCTTTACCTTGGTGGAGAAAATTAAGGTGTTTATTATTTTTTATGGAAGGTAAACAAATTTGAAATTTGAAACATGTCTTTTTGTAAAAACATACATGTAACTTATTCCATCTGGGCTGCTTAAACAAAATGCTGTAGACTTGTTGGCTTATAAGCAATAGAAATTTTACTGCTCAGAGGTCCAGAGGCTGGAAAGTCCAAGATCAAGGAACCAAAAGATTAAGTGTCTAGTGAGGGCCCAGTTTCTTATAGACAGTCATCTTCTCACCTGGACCTCACATGACAGCAGACATCTTTTGTAAGGGCAATAATCCCATCCCTATAACCTCATCACCTCCCAAAAGCCTCAGATCCAAATACTGTCACCTTGGGCATGAAGATTTCAACATATGAATTTTTCCAAGGGACATGTAAGACAATAGCATAACTTATCTTTAAATTTGCTGGCTCTTTTAAGTACGTTGCTGTTAGATAACATAGAATAAAACATGTCACACCCCATCTCATTCCACAGTACTGAAAGAGTCTCTGTTTGAGATTATATAAACCTACAAACAAATGCATGAAAGCTGAAATATATAGCAATAAGTGAAAAGTCAGTAAAAGCATAAGCAAACTGTGTTACCTGTCCTCATTATAGAGCTACCATTTTCCCCTGGTCAGCTGAATACTGTGGCCAGTGCAGGAAAGTCTGACAAATGAACTATGGTGTTAATAACTAAAGTATTATTTTTTTTGGATAAAATTGTACCTAAACACATATCTAAACTTTAGAGATATTTAATAATTATAAGGCATATGTTTCTACCTGGCAAATGACTGCAGTACATCCTTCAGGGTGTGCCATATGACCTTTGACCCACACTGATACCAAGTCACCGTGTCCAAGCCCTCATGGCTCTGTTCCTTCTGTGCCTGTCTTCAGCCTGGGAATGTTTGTTGAGCCTGGGGCTTGGCCGCTCAGTGTCTAGCCTCTTTACAGAGAGCTACTCTGTTTGAGATCCAGCCACCTCTGTGTGGTTCTACCAGAAAATGGAGTAACCATTCTCTGGATCCATCAAATATTCTATTAGGGAATGGTCTGTGTCTGCCACTCAGATTGATATGAACAGAAGGCAGGGAAATACTGGGTAGAAGAGGGTGGTTCCCTGGCAAAGGCACCACTCTCAAGCCTGGAAACTCATGGCTGTAAATGGGAACAGGCATTCCTATTTTTGCTCCCCAATGTTGCCTTTTCCAAGACCAATCTGGCCTGCCATGCCCCTATCCTGCACCCATATAAACCCCAAACCACAGGCTCCATGAGTAGAAGAGTGGCAGAGTAGTAGGGCAGTGTGGCAGAGAAGGAGAGAAGATAGGAGTTCAGCTTGGGATGGGTGGAGAGGAGATTGGCTTCAGGATGGCCGGACTCCAAGGAAAGATCATCTTCTCACTTGATCCCCTTTCTAGCTCTGCATCCATCCTGCTGAGAACCACCTCCATCACTCAGTAAAATCCCCACGTTTACCATCCTTCAAGTCCGTGTGACGCGATTCTTCCTGGATGCTGGATAAGGGCCCAGGTACCAAGAGGGCAGGGTAGAAAGACCGTCACCGTGACGCTCTACTGAGCTGGTTTAACACTTAGCTGTCTGTGGATGGCAACTGCTAGAAGAACATTAATCATAACATACTCCGAGATGCTACTGTGGGGCTGAAGCCCAAAAGCACTTGCCTTGGCTCCTGCACCTGCCCATCTGTGTGTTTCCCATCCCATAAGGGATTTGAGCATGCAGCAAACAGGCCACGCTCCTGTCGCAAGTCCTGAGAGGGGTCAGGGAACTCTCCCATCTCAACATGAAGTTTCGTATGCAATTTTCGACAATTCATCACGAGGTTCTAGGCTCCTGACTTCCCACTGACCGTTACTTTTTAATATCTTGACGATGTTCAAGTCTGGATTCACTGGGTGGAGCTGGGATGGCGGGAAGTGAGGGGAACAAGCCCATGTGGTAGATTTGAAGAGTTTGAGGAAGGCTTACTTACCTTACACTCATCTCCAACAGAAAGCCCGGGATTTGTCAGTCGGAATACTAGCTCCAGTGCTTACTGGATGGGTGACCTTAACGAACTAAGTAATTTGCCTGAAACTCAGATTCCTCTTCCCCAAAATAGGCATAAAAGTCTTACCTTTAGGAGCTGGCATGAGGATCAAGGGTAATGTATTTAAAATGCATAGCACACTAACCAAAGTATTCAATAAATGGTGGCTTTTAACTGATTTTCTCCTCTCCCTTTTTTTTCTGGGTGGGCCTGACCCTTCTGGTTATTAGGAAGGGAGAGAAAGAGTCGATCAAGTGGCCAGCTGTGTCACTAGCTCAGGCCCCAGGCCAACTCACACAAGCTACCAGAAGAAAGACATCTGCAATTTTAAGATGTTTCTTACAGGCAACTCTAACAGCAGGTAGAAGACATGACACAGCATGGATGAATTGTCTGCATTGGTATTGACCAAAGTCAGTGACACAAAGAACAGGTGTGTACCATAACCAGAAGTTCTCAATGATACATGCTCAGATTAGTTCTTTTACACACATTTTAACTACTTTTTAGCAGAACATTATTCTTTGCTTATAAGAAAACCAGTTCTGATATCCTTCACAGAACTTGTAAGATATCTACCCCAAGGTAGTTCACTTCTGGCTTTGTCTCTAATTACTATTTGTTCAGTTTTATTTGTTGCACCTTGTTTTTCTCAGGATATATTAGCATTTGGTGATGATGCTATGACCTGGGCAATTGGAAATGCCATGTACACAACTGTTCTTGATTTACTCACTACATTCATGGCTTACCTCACTTTTGAAGTCAAAAGAATGTTTAACACCTCCATAGTTCTAAGACCTTCCCCATGGTCCTAGTGCCTCATACATTTGTGCTTTAATTCATTGACTTCACTCATCTAATCCTACTATCCAAGCCTGAAGCAAATTTCCTTCCTGTATCCAATTTGCATTGCAAATTCTTTTTGCAAAAATGTTGACTCAACTATCACTATGATTGTTGGTGTTATCTTGCCATTCTAATTTGCTTACTTTTGTTTAAAGCTCTAACTATGGGTTAGCTTATCAGAGCGTTGGAGTTTACTTGGGGAGAAAGGAGGAGAAATAATTTGATAATTTGTGCCATTTCCTAGAGAAAACTTGCCTAAATGAGATATGCATTAGTGGTGTAGGAGATGCGGGGGAGGTTGTAGGTAGCCAAAGGGACTTGAAGTCACTTTATGCCAGTTGGGAGAACTTGAGAAGCAAGGGGGCACAGAAAGAGAACCTTAGAAGGAGGCAAAATCAGTCTCAATCTAGTTTAATTTTTTTTGCTTTGGTCTCGTCCTAGGTAAGGTTCTTCAACCCTGGGAATAATTTCATTTCTGATACTGTAACCCCAAGGCTCACAGTCCTCTCCTTTCACTAGGGACAAAATGCACTTCTCCTCCACTTTTTTCTTAATAGGGTAGTCTGGTAGATCTTATCAAGAGACTTTCTGCAGGGGTCTTTTGTAATTCTAGTTATATTTTTGTTGGTTTTTATTTTTATCAATGTTATACACTTCTCAAGAGTCTCTCCTGCCATTTCCTGCCAGGCCATTTGCTCTCACACAGACAGAGGCAATCACTGCCAAACCATGAATATAGAGCTAAGTAACATGCATATACTTCAAAATTTATATTGTCTATATAATCCTTCATATGGAAGATGAGGATGTCACTTGCTTTCAGCCTACTTCTATGTACTACCCCATAATTCTGGCCCCTGAGTCTCTTCACTGTGTTTTTTATTATAATTTCATTTGAGCCAATATGAAGTTTGACATTATTACAATACTGTAAATGCTGTTTGTCACTGATTCATAGAGTACACTATGGTAATTCTTTTTTTACACAAATTTTTCCCTAGAATTAATAATTGTCCTTTATGGATATTGTTTACCTAGATTTCTGAAAACATATCTATGAATAAACCTCAAACGATCCTTTTTGTGTAAGTTTCATTTTTATGTGTTCAAATATATTAGTGTTTTTTCAATTGATCGTCTTTGAATAAACCTCTCCCAGAGGTCTCTGGCTTGTTTTGATCTGACCTGGTTGCTCTCTAGGTCTTGTGTGTGGTGGTCTTGGACTGGTATCATAGCATATTGGGAGTTCCTTTTACATCTCTCTTGTTTGAAGACCCTGGGTCCTTGATCCATGCCCTCCTCTTTCTTGTTTTACTCCCTCACTTTGATGCTTCCCGTGTTCCTGTGGTTTCAGTAAGAGGGGAGTGCAGAAAATAAACTTTTGAGAACTCGGAAGTCTGAATATTGTTTTATTCATTCTATCTGCCTACCATAACTTTGGTAGGGTATGAGATTTTATGTTGAAGATAATTTTCCCTTAGAATGTTAAAGGCTTTGCTCTATTTTAGGTGTTAATAAATTGTTTCTGTAAGAAGTGGAATGGTAAATAGGTTAAGTCTTTGTGCACTATGCAGCTCTGCTTAACTACTGAACTAAGCTTTGTAGCATCAAAGCAGCTATATAAATATGTAAACAAATTAGCATGGCTCTGTTCTAATAACACTTTTTTTCTTTTTAAATAAAAGGTAGTCATGTACTTTCTCAACCCTGTCCTATTCTAGCTTCCACTGTGGCTATGAGATAACCAGTTATTATTCTTTTATTTGAATGAAATTCTTTCAGGAAGCTGATAGGATCTTCTATTTTAGGTAGTGCTCTGAAATTTCACAGTGAAATGCCCTGGTACACATCTATTTTAAATAATTTATTTGAACAAATAATGAATAATTTCAATCTGGAAATGTATGCTCCTTAACTTGAGAATTTTTAAAAAAATCATTTCTTTGATTTCTTGCCTGTTTTCTCTTTCTTGAATTTTTATTTGGATGTTGGGCTTCTTTGACTGATCCTGTAATATTACCTTTTCTCACTCTCTCTCTATTTTTTCCCTACTGTCTGGGAGACTTCTTTAAACTTTATCTTCCCTCTTTCTGATTAATTTTTATAATTCTGTGTTTCTATATTTTTAATATCTAAAATGCTTGATCTCTGAAAGATCTTTTAGAATAACATCCTGTTCTTGTTTCATAGATAGAAAATATTTTTATATTGAATATATTAATAATTTTAAAAATGAGTGTTTTTTATATTGTACAGTCTCTATTTCCTTAAAGTTGTCATTGTTTTTGGTTATTCATTTTGACCTCTGCCTTTCCTAATATATGCTTTCATCAAATGTTTGGTGTTCCGTGGCTATTGCCCTATATTTAAGAGAAAGGCGTCATAAAATGTTCTTGGTAGAATTCGTTGACTGTGGTGCATTTCTTTAGGAAATTCTCAATGTAAGTATATTTAGGTCTTAGGTAAGTTTCCCCAGAGGAAAATTTTTCATTTCTCTGTGGAAGTGTATTCTGGTAGCCAAATGGGGAATAAATCATATAGTATTTTGTGACCTGAGTGAAAGATTCAAACTAAGGTCCTCAACATTTAAAATATTTCCCTTTTTTCACTCTGAAAGCCACTAGTTCTCTACCCTTATGGTGTTTTACCAAATGTTTAGTTATAGCATGTGAGTTTGTGAGGACATATGCCTTCTACTTTACTATTGTTTAAAACCTGGCACATAGTAGATACTCAATAAATATTTGTCAAAAATGAGTTTTATATATTGTATATAAAATATATTGGAGATATTACTGACCTTTAAGATCTTATACTATTATTAGCAAACAGAATGTTCTCAGAGCTAAATGCACTGTTAAAAGTAATACTTTATTCCTATATTTATTTGCATATAGTGTTGAGGACCATCCATTGAATTTGCTCTGTGTAAAGGGTGATTTAAGCTACATGCTTTCTCTTAGAAAAATCTAGACCGTCCTGGACTTTGGAGCCAACAGAATAAATTCCAGTCTCCAATTTTGTGAAATGCGTGCATTAGCAATTCAGACATATGGTGCTTTTGATTGCATAGGTCTTTTCAATGCATTCATACCTGCCTGCATGTCACACACGTGATCCATGAGCTTAGCCAGTGAATGAAGAAAGCTATCTTGAATGTCAGGATAAAAGCACTCAGGATATTTCCTAGAATTTTCTTCTTAAAATCAAGTAGCAGGATTAAGACAATGTACCAAGAAATTTGAATTGAGCAGATGTTTTCATCCAAACTAGGAATCTGATAATGTGCTATACAATTGATGCAGTATCTATTATACATTGATTGTTGCAATGACAGTAGTGGTATGAACTCTCATCATCATGGAGTGATGTAAACTCCTACAACTTATTACCAAAATGTTTGAAAAATGTCAGAAACCAATAATCCAACAGGCATTATGTAGTATGGGTGAGTGCCTAATTTTTTTTTTTTAGATTTTTATAAATATGTATCTTGAATGATTTATGTTAAAAGATAAGAGACAGTATTTTGCTCACTAGTCTGTTTATTGAGGGAGGAAAAGATAGAGAGGGTGAAGATAAAAGAAAAATGCCAAAATTTTACTGAGAGGACAGAGTTACCCGTAGGGTGCAGTTATGGGTGTAAAAATTCATGTTTCACTTTTTAGAGCTACCATTTTTATTGACTTTTGGGCAGAATTATTTACAGAAAAGAAAAATGTAACTTCTGCCAACAAACTTGACTTCTTAGGAATCTACAAACAATTCATTAGACTTGAATTCATTATAGTTGAACTTAAAACGTGTGGCAGCTGTGAAGGTACTTTTCTGTTCAGAATGAAAGAAATTGAAGAGGTCAAACAACTTGTCTCAGAAAACAATGATATGGGTTCTCCAGTGAATTTGTTTCCACCTTTATCTGCTGGCAAAGAACTTGGTGAATAGTAATACAGGTCTTGGTGAAGAGCCATGCAGGTGATGATTGACATCTTTTTGTCAGCAGTCGGTGCTGTTCTTCACACTTTTCCTGACCCAGCACTGTCAGTTTTCAGGTTGTGCTTCCTTTGTATTTTCACTTTACATTGCTGGTTGTTTTTATAGGAAGTGTGTGTATGTGGGTGTGTACACCGGATTTAGGGAAGATTCAGTTAGGGCTATCCTGGGTCAGAATAGATTCCAGCCAGTTTTCTAAAGCATAGTGAGCAAATTTTTTTTTTTTTTTTTTTTTTGAGACAGGGTTTCGCTCTTGTTGCCCAGGCTGGAGTGCAATGGCACGATATCAGCTCATTGCAACCTCTGCCTTCCAGGTTCAAGCTATTTCCTGCCTCAGCCTCCTGAGTACAGGCGTGTGCCACCACTCCTGGCTAATTTTTTTTTCAATTTTTTTTAAAATTTTTTTGTTCTTTCGTAAGTAGAGACGGGGTTTCTCCATGTTGGTCAGGCTGGTCTTGAACTCCTGACCTCAGTTGATCTGCCCACCTTGGCCTCCCAAAGCGCTGGGATTACAGGCGTGAGCCACCGCACTGGGCCACAAATTCTTAAGTAACTTACCTTCTTCATGTAACAGAAACTTAGTGAAGGCCAGACGTATGCCCAAGGAGACCGATTTTAGCACTCATAGGGCCTGAATTCTCTGATCCTTCTCATGTCTTGCCAACCATACAGACACATACTCATACCCTGAAAGGAGTTCCGAAGATGTGGCTTTCGGCTCCTCTAGGTGACAGCCCTGAGCTCTCTGAGCAGGCAAGCTATAATTCTCACAGTAGCCCTTCATTTCTTGACTCTCCTTTAACCCTCTGCACTTAGAATTCTTGCTTTACTATAGCTCATTCTCCATTTTGTGAGGAAAGAAAAGCTTTATGAACAGGTTATCCACACGGTGCTTCAGAGAAAAACCAGGCAAGACATCCTTAAGATACTCTTCTATTCCTTTTTTCATCCCAATTATTACAATTTAATCTTAAATCTATGGTGTAATCTTTTCAGTCTCTGTTGCAGAGATCACTTATTGCCCCTTAAGTTCCATTCTTCCCTCTTTCTTTAGAAATACAACCCATATTTTTAGTTATGCACATGCCTGCCCAGGGAAAGATGGCATTTATGAGCCTCACTTATACCTAGATATGGTGACATAACTAAGTTTGGGCCAAAAATTGCCAATAGAAAAAGTGTAACTTTGGGGTGACAGCCTTAAAGATGAAGTGACTTACTCTTGTTTTTTTTCCTCCTTTCAACTAACTGGGGAATGGCAAGTGGAGCAACTGTGGAAGCCACTTGTGGAGATGGCGAAACCCCACTCTCACCAAGGACCGCTCACATGTAGACTGTTACATGAAAGGAGACAGCATTCATCTTATTTCAACCACTGTATTTTAGGAGTCCTTTATTCAGCAGCTTAGGGTGTACCTTAAATAATAAAGGCTTTATCTTTATTAGTCTTTCAGTTTTCAGAAGCACTCTATTGAAACACACATGCTATTGGGCAAACATGAAAAAAATGCTCAATGTCACTAATGATCAGGGAAATGCAAATTAAAACCACAATGCAATACTACCTTACTCCTGCAAGAGTGGCTGTAATAAAACAATTAAAAAAAATAGATGTTGATGTGGATGTGGTAAAAAGGGAATGCTTTTACACTGTTGGTGGGAATGTAAACTAGTATGACCGCTATGGAAAACAGTGTGGAGATTCCTTAAAGAACTAAAAGTAGATCTACCATTTGATCCATCAATCCCACTCCTAGGTATCTACCCAGAGGAAAATAAGTCATTATATGAAAAAGGTACTTTGACACGCATGTTTATAGCAGCACAATTTGCAATTGGAAAAATATGAAACCAGTACAAATGCCCATCAATCAATGAGTGGATGAAGAAAATGTGAGATATATATATGTACACACACACACACATACCATGCAGTACTATTCAGCCATAAAAAGAAACAAAATAATGGCATTCACAGCAACCTGGATGAAATTGGAGACCATTATTCTAAGTGAAGTAACTCAGGAATGGAAAAACAAACATTCTGGGTTCTCTTTCACAAGTGGGAGCTAAGCTATGAGGATGCAAATGCATAAGAATGATACAACGGACCCTGGGGACTCATGGGGAAGGAGTCGGAGGAGGGCAGTGAGAGATAAAAGAGTACACACTGGGTACAGTGTACACTGCTTGTGTGATGGGTGCACCAAACTCTCAGAAATCACCACTAAAGAACTTACTCATGTAACCAAACACCACCTGTTCCCCCAAAACTTATCAAAATAATAAATAAACAATACTTATGCCATTGGGAAGGGATAGTACAAATGTTGTCAATAACATTTGTGTTGGTGGGGAGTTGAGAGTCTCTGAAATGGGACACAGGCTTGACCCTGGAATTGGGGTAGTAGATATTAGAAATTAAACACTAAAGAAGAGAAGTAGCGAAAGACCACTGGTTAAGAAATTTGCTAGCAGGATGTTTTTTTTTTTTCTTGAATTTATTTAGGAATGGCAAACAAAAATATTCCTAGAGGACTCCCATATAGACTCATAGGCCTAATTCAAACTTTATAATTTCAGATGGAGAATTACCACAGAAAAGTACTTTTCTTGTCATAATTCAAGTAAACCTCTTTCTAATTGAATAAATCAATTTTGTTTTATTATAATTACGATTATGAGATACAATATAGTGACCACAGAAACATTTTTTTTAAGTGACCAAGAAATCAACAATTTCTTGAACCACCCATATTGGAGTCAGCTAATGTATTAATATGAAGCCCTTTACCAACTACCGTGAAGAATCGGGAACATAAATGAGGGATTCTGCTTTTAAGGCACTCACAGAGGCTGGAGAGAAACCACATCGTGTCATATGATAAAGTAACTGAGGGGGTCAAGGCAGGGCTTATTAGATGCCAAGTGATATGAGCTGTGGGGATTCAGAGGATAGAGTCTCATGAGGACAAAAATAGTTAAGCCTTCCTGGGAAATGCAGGTCCTTTCTGTGACTTGTAAAGATAAAGTTTCCAAACGATAAAAAAAATTGCTTATTTTTTTCTACAGTGTAACAATAATGAACAAAATCTAATCATTTCAAACAAGTGGGGCTTGGGACTCAGAATATCTTGGTTTCAATTCCCACCCTGATACTTACTGGAGATGTGTCATCTTGGACAAATTATTTAACCTCTTGGAGTATTTCCTCCTCTGTAAAGTGCGTTTAAGTAATACTTTATAGAATTTTTGTGAAAGTTTAATGAGATAATTTGCCTAAGGTAAGTTATTAACAAAAACAGTAATAATTTCAGAGGCTGATGTTATCACCCAAGTGATTTTGCATGACATGGAAAAGACATTGTTCTTGCTCTCAAGGATTTTATGACCTGAAAGAGCTACTTGCTAGCTTGAGGAGTGATGCTGAAAGAATGAGTGCCATGCTGGGGGCCGCGTTGTCTGTACTTACTGGCAAAGTCCTTGTGTGTTTCTAAGTTCTTTATCACTATCTCCTGTGACAGATGTCCTTCAATACCTTATTTGCATTCAGTATATTTTTTCTCATATAAAATCTTTGTGGATTGCTTTCGTTTTCATTTGAAAATCTTAAGTTTGCTATAGAGTAATATATCAGATAATTTAGAACTAAAATTTTTTGGGGATTATATACCCTGCTCATTTCATTAAATAAAAATGAGAAACTCAAATAAGATGAAAATTATTTTAGAGTTTGCATGAATAAAGTTATTTTTGATCCTTATTTTCAAAGGTTTCAAATAAAAAATGAGCAGAAGGAAAAAAATACACTGGGTTTTTTCTTACTGAAAATTCTAGATCTTGGTTACCAAATATATTAGCTGTATTATGGACTAGATGTTGTAATGGTTTCTGCTAATGATGTCAAAATAATGCACAGTGTTGAATTTATAATTCAAGTATTCTAATATACTCTTCATACATACATTTTTTAAAATGTGAATGTTTATTCAGCTTGTTCTATTTGAGAATATTTTAATCCTTTATGAATATATACAGACCTCCCAGGCGCAGACTCTGAATCCAGCAGCATCAACTCAAATTTCAGATCCATGAAAGAATTATGCTAGCAATTATGAGGCACGCTCTTTTTGAGTTCATAGATCTTTATTACACACATACAAGATGCATAATTTGAAATGATCTTTTTTTCTTTTTAGAAAGAATAAAAAGTCTAAAATTCTATTGAGAATGACAAAAGAGACTGAATTATTCTACATAGTATTTTACCTATTGTTTCTGCTTTGCTTAACCTATATATTCTCCTAAAAATCCACGTAAAAGAAGCTTTATATTTTTCTCTCAGTGTTAAGGAGAAGGAATGATTGTAGTCATAGCGAAAGAAAGTGTTTTTTAAGATTCTGAGAAAATTCCTAAACCGTAGGAATGCATTCATCGAAAGGAAGACATTGTGCTATTACCCAAGGGATTTTACATGAATGGAAAATACATTGTTCCTGTTCTCAAGGTTTTTGTGACCTAAAGGTAAATTAAGAAAAGATGTGACTATCACTGAAACTCTGAGCTACATTTTCCTGCAGCCTTTCCCCTTTGCACTTTTCTGGACTGAGAAGTATTAAATGTGAGTAATAATTATTTTTAAAAGCTCCCCTTTAAGGGAGCATCAGCATTTAAAAACTATCAAAATATTTCAGTAAAGAAGGGGGAATGAAGAGTTTTGACTATGCCTATTTTTTTTGGCAGAGGGGAAAGAGCTGGTTGCTTAAAACATGTGGGAGGGTAAGTTCACTCTGAGTCATGGAGAGTTAATGTTTGTTTTGATGTCAAGTTCCTGTGCCCACATCCTCTGAATTGGAAACATTATCCTCACCCCAGGATTGAGTCTTGATTACCCATTGTCAATATTCCTCCCAAAGGGATTATTTCCTCCATCTACATAGATATTATTTAATTGCTTATTAGCTCCTTTCAGGGAGAGCAAACTAAATATTTAAGGGCTAATAAATTTTATGTGTGTTTATTAGTAAGGTATTTAGATATTGCCTCTTTCATAGAAAAACTAAAATTGCAACCACTGCTAAGGAGTAAAATTGTATCTGTCATACTAATCTTTTCTTTATCATATTTTGATAGGATACGTGCAGTAATTTAAAAAATTGAATTAAATAGATGAAAATAGAAATTTTGAAAGCATGTTCAGAAGAGTTTAAAAGTTGAATGACAGAGAAAAAGAGTAGAAAATGAAAAATAAACTTCGCTCTCTTTTGCAATAATGACTCTCCAACACTTCACCTTTATATAAAGCTCTCCAGCAAGTATTTTAGAATTCCCCTTTTCCTATGCAATTACATTTGATTATCAGTGTAAATGCATTTGCACAAATACATCAGGGTAAATACATTTATCCTTTAAATGCTTTCTTTTCCAAGGTATATAATTTCATGTTTCAACTGAGATCTCTGATCTTATGATGTGAAAATGAATTTAAATAAGCTGGTTTGTTATAAAGAGGGAGTGTTTTGAAAATCCTAAAATCACTGAATGCTAGGATTTATTGTTCTTCTGCCTTATATTTAACATTGATTTCCAGAATAAATGGCACAGGGCTTTTTCATCAGATGAATTCTTCCCAGTCTTGGATAGATTGTCTGCCAGGAATTTGTCTCATTTTCTGTCCTTGGCAGGACAATTGAATGAAACTTTTAGGTTTCCTTGGCTTCTACTTATGGGAGTCTCAAACCTAAGAACACCTTTTATGCAGCCAGTTTTCTTCTTTTACTCCTTTTGGACTATTCACTTTTAGTCCTCCACTGTCAAAGGTGCCACCATTCAGGGGTGTGTGAGTGTGTGTGTGTGTGTCTGTGAAGTGGTGGTATTGATATGGATATGAGGCAGGGAAATACTGGGTAGAAGAAAGCGGTTCCCTGGCAAAGGCCCCACCCTCAAGCCTGGAAACCCGTGGCCCTAAATGGGAAGAGGCATTCCTCTTTTCAGGCCCAAATGTTGCCTTTTGACCTGCCACGCGCCCTATCCTCTACCCATAAAAACCCCAAACCCAATGTTCCATAAGCAGATGAGCAGAAGAGCATCAGAGCCACATGGCAGAGAAGGAGAGAAGAGAAGGAGCATCCAAACATGGAGAGGAGTTCGCCTGGGGATGGTTGGAGAGGAGATTGGCTGTGGGATGGCCAAACTCCAGGGGAAGATCATCTTCCCACTCCATATTCTTTCCAATTTCTCATCCATCCCGCTGAGAGCCACTCTCTACCACTCAATAAAATCCCCACATTCACCACTCATCAAGTCTGTTTGACCTGATTCTTCCTGGACAGTGGGCAAGGACCCAGGTACCAAGAGGGCAGGGTGTAAAAGGCTGTCACTGTGACTCTCCACTGAGCTGGTTTAACACTTAGCCGCCTGTGGATGGCAACTGCTAAAAGAGCGTTAATTGTAACACATTCCCTAGATGCCACTGTGAGGTCAGAACCCAAAAGCACTCGCCCTGGTTCCTGCAGCTGCCTGTCTGCATGTTCCCACTCCTGTAAGGGGTTTGAGTACACCAAGCTCAAACAGAGCAAGTGAGCCACATCCTGTTACAAGTCCCTCCAGTAGGTCAGGGAACTCTCCCGTTTCAGTACTGGGGAGAGGGCAGATGACATGCCAGTGAAGAGACAGAGTGTCAATAAGAGAAATGCAGGAAAATACATGTAAAGTTTTAGAGTCTGAAGGCCAGCTGAACTGTGTCCCTGTCATCACTATGCTTTACCATGTGGTTTTCCATGGTCTGAAAAACTGTCCAGGTTTATAGTGGAATGTCCCAACACAAGGTGAAAATGATGCCTGGATTGAGACTATTTCTTGGCTGGTTACTGTTACTAGGCTTTTGTAGTTTTAATGTTATGATGTGCAGTATTATCTTCTATTTATCTGTCTTTTTATTTCCATTCTGTATAACGGTGCCAGGATAGTAATAATTACTATGAACCTCACAGGGGCTATTTTAATAATTAAAGTGATAACATCCTAAGAAGCAATATAGAAAGAAAGCAAAGTGAGTAAAGTAAGATGTATTTAATGAATAATTTAATGCAGCAGTTTCCATTGTCCTTGCAAAACAAATTAATAAGATGCAGTGAACTTCAATTTATTCTTTTTAAGTGCTTTCTCTTGAAAGTCACTAGAGCATTATCATCAAGCAAACATAAAAATTAGGTAGCATTCTCTGTCCTCAGAGCTACAATGTTCCCTTTTGCTTTGAAGTCAGTCACAAAAATTATATTTTTATGTAGAATTCAAAAGATACCTTAAATTTTTTAAAAAATTTGACTAGTGGGAAATTTGCAATGTAATTTTGTGGGTAGAATTTCTTTCTGAGACCATTCTCCCACTGAAAAAAAGTTCAAGGCCTGTGGAATAAATGGGGCTTCTGACCATGTTTTAAGAACCCCTAATATTCCCCTTCTCCTCTCCGAACCCCTAATAGTCCCCTTCTCCTCTCCTCCTTAGCTCTACATCCTTGTCTTCCAATCTGCACAGTTTCCTTTCTCATATACTAGGGAGGGCATTTACCCATGCTAGAAAAGCAGCTTCAAACCCAAATGTTACAGGGGTCAAACTGATAATCTAAATAAGTAAGGCAGGCCAGGTGCAAGGTAAAGGGTTTGTGGGGGCTGTGGCAGATGACAGGTGCCTGCTCCCTCTATGGGAAACAGCCCATTCAACACTAGGAATAGTGACCATTCCAGTACACAGGTCAGGTGGTCACATCCCTAACTTTTACAGGGGAGCCAAAAGTTTTGTTTCTTAGGTCAACTTTCTTGATGTTTGCGTGTTAGTAAGTGATTCATATTTTTTCAAAAGAATATGACAGCAAGCAATGTACTCTTGCTGGCTGCCCTTGAGCAATTATTTAACAAAGTTGGCCCTAGAATGGCCAGGCATTATTCTTGGGCACTCAGCTTAAAAACTGTCCAATTTGGACATTCTCCTAATAGAAGCTTTTCTGTCTTTCAGTGACTATAACCATATACTTCCACGGATATAATAATGCCCTTGTTTTACAGTATATTTGGTAGTTTCCTAAAAGCTTTTACACATATTGGTTTATAAAGCTTTAAGGATAACAAATGAGATTTGGCAGTGCTAACGTTATCATTACAGATGAGGAAACTGAGGCTTGGAAGGTTTGCATTCCTTGCCTTAATGTTATAACAAAAATAAGAGGCACAGGTGGATCAAGGATTTATATCTTCTGACTCCTCGCCCAGGGCATTTCCTATTCACTTCAGTCTTTTGAGATCTGTAAATAGTTTAAATGTATAATACATTGTAAAATCTCAGCACTCAAGCCCTTAAGAAGTACTTGAAAATCATTAAAAACTCATTTCAGTTCCTTGAGAGGTAAACATTATAAAAAGAAGAAAAGGGATTCAGGCTCAATCATTGTGAGAATGTTGTCAGTTTCAAATTGTATTTCTTGCCTTTGTATTTCCCAGTTTGATACTCCATTGACTAGAATTTTATATGTTCATCATTATTCCCTGCTGTGATTCTAGACCTAGCATCTCCTTGACATGAGAAATCATTTTAAGCATACCGTGAGTGCCTAGTGCATAGTAACAATTGTCAGTGAACCACAGAAGAGAAATTAAGACTTGTCTTTGCACATATAATTGTGAGAGGAATACATGATCTATAATAATGCAAATATTTGTAAGATTTTTAAAATAAATGTAATGCAGGCACATGGAAAAAACAAAAATTAAAGGATGCAGAAGAGATGTCCTAGTTTAGGTTTCTCCTGTGAGGAGATTTTAAGATAAGAGCCTGTGGGCAGGTAGTTTATTTGTGAAGTGTTCAAACAGAGAAGGGAAGGACTAAGAAGAATTTTAAAATAAATAAGAAAGTTATTGGCCAGGCGCGGTGGCTCACGCCTGTAATTCCAGCACTTTGGGAGGCCGAGGCGGGTGGACCACCTGAGGTGGGGAGTTCCAGACCAGCCTGACCAACATGGAAGAAACTCTGCCTCTACTAAAAATACAAAAAAATTAGCTGAGTGTGGTGGCACATGCCTGTAATTCCAGCCACTCGGGAGGCTGAGGCAGGAGAATCTCTTGAACCCGGGAGGGAGAGTTTGCAGTGAGTCGATATTGCACCATTGCACTCCAGCCTGGGCAACAGGAGAGAAACTCCATTTCAAAAAACAAAAAACAAAAACAAAAACAGAAAGTTATGATAAAGGGGCATTATTGAGTTCATCCCACTGTGGACAGCTGCAGCTCATCACGCGATATCATATGAGGACTATGTAGAATACCTCAGAATGACCTGTCCAAAGATCAACGTGGAGAAACATTTGATCATTGATTTCCATACACCCAGAGTTGCCCATAGACACACAGGGGCACCTCTGACTTGTTTTGAGCACTACAGTAGCATCAGAGAAGCCTTGGGGTATAGCAGGAAGGCATTGAAGGTGGTGTGCACTTGAGGTAAGGAGCCATTTGTGTGAAATAAGTTGAAGCCTGACTCAAAAGGTCACAGTTAGCGTGGCTGGAAACACAGATGGGGCCAAGGAGCTGTCAGACTGTGCACAAGAGTTGGATGATGCAACAGCTTGTAAATAAGAATAACAGATTTCCAGTTGGGTATTTTTGCCTTTATAGTGGTACATCATAAAAATAAATAGTATTTAATAAACTAAACAGTATTTATTTATTTATAAACTTTATATACTCCTTTCACTCCTCCTCCTAACTTGTTATAATTTTTAGTTATTTTACTGGTAATGGTGTAGTTTTAAATAATATACTCAAAAGCACTATTTCTTATTTTAATAAATTTTAGTAGTTTCTTTTGATTTTTTAGTGAGTTGAGATTTTTGCCTCTACCTTTGCCTTCATTTATCTGCTCCCACATCTGCCTCCAGCAGTTGACAGCTATCCCTTAATTTTTATTTTTTACTGTCAAGGTTGATAGCTTTATGTTCTGTTTTGTATCCTTAATTATCTGTGCTTTCTCTGTAGTTTGATCTACAAGTTAACAACAAACAGCATTTAGCTACTTATCTCACATATAAGAATGATATACTAGAATTATATATTTTCCAATGGATCTCAAATCGTGACCGTTGTACAACTTGAATAAAAAATTTCTATGATTAAGGTCCAAATGAGTTATCTTTAATGCCATCTGAATCTGAAAATTATGTCATATAGACTTTACCCTGTATGTGTATGCATGTGTATATTTCCCTGGAGTTTCTAATTGCCTTTCATTTCTTCTTGTTGAAAGAAAATGAATGTCTTATTTACCATATCACTTTAAAGGTTCTACCCTTTAATCGTTGTATCTCCGGAACGGCATTTATTCTATACATTTCTTTTTGAAGACCATTTTGGTGCTAACTGGTTTCTTGATATACTTTTGACCAATGGCTTTTTGTACTTATTCCACTTTGATTTTACTGTGATACTATTCATTTCACTTCTCTGTTCTTTCTAGTGTTTCTTGGATTTCACATTTTTCCCTTCCTTGATTTGGACTGATTTTGCTTATTTCAATATGTTTTCAAGTAATTAAACTGTCTTGGCAAGAAGTCATGAGTCTTTACATGCCTAAAATGTCTTTATTTGCACTCATATTTGATTGATAGTATAGCTTGTCTAGAAATCTAGTTCAAAATAGTTTTCCTCTGTTCTTTAAAAGTACCACACATTGTTTTTTTGTATAAATGAGAAGTCTGATGCCATCCAAATTCTTACTTTCTTTTGTATGCAACCTATTTCCCCAAACCTTGCCCTGGAAACTTTTAGGATATTTTATTTCTTTACCTTAGAATTGCTGACATTTAAAACAATACATCTTCTAATTCATTGCCTAAGAGCTCCTTTTTATAATAGGTTACTTATTCATGAAACTAATTTTGGATTATTGCTTGAAAACTTCTTTTTATACCATACGGAATCCACCACGGCCTGGATCCTATGTGCTCTTAATTTAAACACCATCTTAAAAATGAGAGTTTTGGACTTGGCACTGTGAACTCAACACAGTCCCTCTGTCAGAATATTTGATACTTACTGTTGTAATGGCTTTGTTAATTGAAGACTGGATAAATTTTACCCTTGGATTAGTTCTTTTTTGGGTACATGTGAATATTACAGGGCAATACTGGCGAAGACCAGTCAATGGTAAAGTACAGCACTATGGTATCAACCTACAAAATGATCTGTAACTTAACCTCGTCTTCAAGAGCCCAAACCAGCCTGTTATCTATTTTTATGTGTATAGCCAGACATCCAATGTATCTTGATTTCATTTATTCTTCTCAAACCTGAAGTAAATTTTAGTTTTAAGCTAAAAACATAAGGTTTAAGTCTGTCTTCAATGAATCTACTTGGCACTGAGTAGGGTCCTGTAGTCTAAAGATTTATGACTTTTATGGTTCTGGACATTGTCGTCCTCTTCTTTTTTTTCCCCCCTCATAAAAATGTGGTATAGAGTCAATACGCCAATAGCCTCAGCTTTTTCCCCAGGAGGTTTACTAAACCCGTTTGCAAAAGATTTCTCTGATACATTTGGTTGAACTGCAAATTACCACCATGAGTTGCTGTTTGCTCTGCATATGTTAGGGGGAAGGAAAATGGTCCAGGTTTTATTCCATTAGCATCCCTGTTTTAATCCCACCTTCTCACTCCTGCTTCGGAGCCTGGAGTCCCTAGAGATAAGCCAAGAAGACTGAATCCTACTTTATTGCAGCTCACACCTGAGCATATTTTTAACTTGCTTTGCTCTCTTTTCAACCGTCAACATTCTTTTCCCAAATTTCTATCTTTCCAAAATCTGTTGAACTCTCTAGCATGCTTGTGGTCTCCCGCGCCAAATTAATTCTCTCCACTTGCTTGGTTTAATTCCCTATTCCATTTCTTCAAGATTATTTTTATACCACCTCTTGAGGAAGCTTAAGTAGTATCCAATTATATTTTTGTTTAAATTTCTTAATATAAGCCTAAACCCTTTCTTCCCCTGTACTTAATTTTGTCTTGAGAAGCTCTGATTTAGTGTGAGTTTTCACTATAGGCTTGATAACAGAGGTACTGGTATTTAGTGCTAAGAGAGAAATAGATGTGATACTTGTAAAAATAACTAGTACCTCTTCTAATAGTTTCCTTTTTCATGCAAATAGTCATAAAATACTTCTCCTACCTCATTCACAAGATTTGATATCCGTTTAGTAGATGGGAAAAGTTTTGATTTATGAGCTCACTGTAAAAAGAGAGAAAAATATAAAATTATATGGTAATGTTTAACAAAAGTTATTGTTATGTGGTGAGCCTGCTTTTCTGTCAGCTGGGAGTCTTGTGTAGATAATAAATCCCCACCAGTGATTTAGCATGTATAAAACACATCAATCCTTTTTATTGTATTTTGTGAGCCTTGACATTTATGATAATTTCCTCATATCTACTTAAAACTCTTTCTCTTATGATTGCATTATTAAAGTGGATTTTTTGCCCTTGTTGGCTTATCTCATTAGCATGTGTTTATCATATATTTTCAGGGTAATTACCATTTTGGAATAATGCACACAACATTAAATGGATTCCCTAGTTTTAAAAGGTGTCAAGAAAAAGGCGGCAGCTTTCACCCCTCCCATCTCTAATGTAGTCGAAAGACTACAAAAGACATTTTGATTTCTTGTCACTTGGGTCAATTGGATAATGGCAAGGATAATACGAACCCCTACTGTGTGTCCACAGTTGGTCCTGGATTGGAAAAAAAATGATGAGAACACATTTCTATGGTATCCTCATTTTCAATGTCTCTGTTGTCCACCAATCAGTTTTCTAAATTTGGAACTTAAGAAAGGACAGTATCTTAAATGATATTTGTATGAAAGCAGGAAAAATCTCTTGTTTCCTTATCTCTTAGAGTAAGAGTTTGATATGAAAGTACAATTCAGGGAAGTGGCCACTTTTTATTTTCTAATTATTAAGTAAAATAAGATCTACTCCTATCCGGTCAGTCTTCAAACAAAATGGCTTTCCTTTCTCCATTCATATATATGTATGCATATAAAGCAGTAGCTAATGCTCTCTGTAGTATTAAAGATGAATGTGAGACATGAAGATGTGGATATACATTCTAACTTGTCAAAAAACCACTAAATATATAATATAACTCCATATAATTTCACCATTGTATGTGTACTGCATAGCACTAAATTACTTGAAGTTGGTTATCAATTTTTAGTGTTCTGGGCATTTGTTAGTTTGCCAGAATGTAATGAAACAAAATGAAGTTTTTAAAGCATTTTCTTTGCAGTGCTTTTTGCTGTTGTTGTTTTTGCTGTTGTTTCATTAGAAATCTTGTATTAATTTATTGAATAAAACAAATTATAGAGAATAAAGTCAGTATGCATCATAGGTTTGAGTTATAATTCTATTAGAGGCACAGTATTTTAAGGGTGGAATTAGAAAATAATGCTGTATGCATTACATAAGGATGGAAATGCTTCTAATTTAAAATCTAATACTTAATAATTCATCATATTTTTCATTCCTGTAAAACTTCAAGCATATATAAAACTTTCTAATTTAGTGGTCTCAAGGGAAAGATAAAAAAGTGAAAGTGACACAGTATTCATTCAACAAATTTGTTGAAAGCCTACTCTATGCTAGCCACTCCTTTAGTCCTGGAGATATAATAGCAAATATCCTGTCTCCAAAAATCTGCAGTCCAGTAGAGCAGACAGATGAAATAGAGTAGAAACATAAATACAAATAATCACAAAATTGTGAACAGGATGAAGAAAACAAACAAGGGTTAATATTTACTAAGTAGCAGTGGTGCAAACCAACTTTAAGTATGGTGATCTGGGAAAGGAAAATGTCATAAAGAAATGACATTTAAGCTGAGGCATAAAGACTGAAGAGGGGTTAGCGATGCCAGAAGCATATGCAAATGCTGAGAGGCAGGACTTAGTAGCATCTATGAATACAGAGGTGAGTCCTTAGCAGAGGGCAGAAAGTTCATGACACAGGCTGTTGAGAGACTGAATATACAAATGGACAGTGGCTGGCCATATATGAGAACAGAACTTTGGTCCACAACCTGCAGCAACCAGCCCAGAAAACCAGCCCCTTATCTATAATAAACAACCCAGGAAGCCAGCCTGCTGTATATCAGACTTGCAGGAAGCCAGATTGCTATCTCTAATGACAATCCAGGAGGCTAAACAGTAACTTCCGTAACAATTGGCACAAAATGGCCAGGGCTTGATTAATAAAAGCTGTCAGCTTTGTGTGTGTGTGTGTGTCCCTACTTCTAACTTAGGACCTAGCAGAGAAAGCCAAATATGCATCCCTAACCAATCACATAGAATGCCTACTTCTAGTTAGCTGCCTGCCACTTCCCCATGCCAACAGCCAATCAGGGCACATCTGAAGCCTTCCCTTTTTCCTACTGTAAAGTTTTCTTGCCTTGGCTTCCTTTGAGGCTCTGCCAAAATGCAAATAATAGAGTTGACTTCCTTGCTATAGCAAACTCTATATAGACTTTGCTTTTCTCATATCGTTGGTCTTTATTTCCACACTTTAGAGGTGACAATAGGAACTTGAAGTTTATTCTAAGTACAATGGGAAGTCTTGGAAGGACTTCAAGTAGGGGCGTGACATGATCTGAATAATATCTTTAGACCACTTGTGCAAATATGTACGGAATTAATTGGATTGGGGCAACAGAAGAAATAGACCAGCTGGGAGGTTATTGTAGTATTTTGGGTGAGAGAGGATGTGCTGAAGACTGATGGCAGCAGTAGAAATGGAGAAAATTGGATAGATTTGAAATATATACATTTAAGAAAAGAATTATCTGTTTATAGGAATAGAAAGTAAATAATGTGATAAGTCACCTCTCTTGAGGTTTTATTATGTCCAAGAGTGTCTGTTTAAGCTAGTTACAATTAGAAGGTAGAGGACAGCCAGCATCTGAAATAGTCTTTCATCAACACACATGTGGAATATTAGAAACTTCAGACTTCTGGTTCTTATCAGGTATTTACTTATTGTTTTTGCTCATTGTTCTAGTTCTATACCTGACATGACCACTATTTCTGATACTTTCTCTTGTCTTTTTTTCTCCTGTGCCCATGTAAGATGTGCCTTTTGCCTCCTGTCATGATTCTGAGGCCTCCCCTGCTATGTGGAACTGTAAGTCCAATTAAACCTCTTTTTCTTCCCAGTCTTGGGTATGTCTTTATCAGCAGCATGAAAATGGACTAATACAATAAATTGGTACCAGGGGAGTGGGGTGTTGCTGAAAAGATCCCTGAAAATGTGGAAGCAACTTTGGAACTGGGTAACAGGCAAAGGTTGCGACAGTCTGGAGGGCTCACAAATAAAAGAGGAAAATGTGGGAAAGTTTGGAACTTCCTAGAGACTTATTGAATGGCTTTGCCCAAAAAATGCTGATAGTGATATGGACAATAAGTTCCAGGCAAAAGCAGAAACCCCTGATAAACCTATCAGATCTTGTGAGACTTATTCACTATCATGAGAATAGCATGGGAAATACCAGCACCCATGATTCAGTTACCCCCTGCCCCGACCCCAGGTCCCTCCCACAACACGTGAGAATTCTGGGAGATACAACCCAAGTTGGAGATTTGGTTGGGGACACAGCCAAACCATATAATTCCACCCCTGGCCCCTCCAAATCTCATGTCCTCACATTTCAAAAACCAATCATGTCTTCTCAACAGTTCCCCAAAGTCTTGACTCATTTCAGCATTAACCCAAAAGTCTGCAGTCCAAAGTCTCATCTGAGACAAGGCAAGACCCTTCCACCTATAAGCTTGTAAAATCAAAAGCAAGCTAGTTATTCCCTATCTACTGTGGGGATAGAGATATTGGATAAATACAGCCACTTCAAATGGGAGAAATTGGCCAAAACAAAGAGGATACAGGGCCCATGCAAATCTGAAATCCAGCAGGGCAGTCAAATCTTAAAGTTCCAAAATGATCTCCTTTGATTCCAGGTCTCACATCCAGGTCATGCTGATGCAAGAGATGGGTTCCCACGGTCTCGGGCAGCTCCACCCCTGTGGCTTTGCAGGGTACAGCCTCCCTCCTGGCCGCTTTCATGGGCTGGCATTGAGTGTCTGCAGTGTTTCCAGGTGCACGGTCTGGTGGTGGATCTACCATTCTGGCATCTGGAGGATGGTGGCCCTCTTCTCACAGCACCACTAGGCAGTGTCCTGTAGGGACTCTGTGTGAGGGCTCCGACCCCACGTTTCCCTTCTGCACTGCTCTAGCAGAGGTTCTCCATGAGGGCCCCGTCCCTGCAGCAAACTTTTGCCTGAGCATACAGGAGTTTCCATACATCTTCTAAAGTCTAAGCAGAGGTTCCCAAACCTCAATTCTTGACTTCTCTGCATCCGCAGGCTCAGCACTACATGGAAGCTGCCAAGGCTTGGGGTTTCCATCCTCTGAAGCCATAGTCCAAGCTGTACATTGGCCCCTTTCAGCCACACCCTTGGTGTGGCTGTTACATAGGGAACCAAGTCCCTAGGCTGCACACAGCATGAGGACCCTGGGCCCAGCCAATGAAACCACTTTTTCCTCATAGGCCTCCAGGCCTGTGATGGGAGGGGCTGCCGTGAAGGTCTCTGACTTGGCCTGGAGATGCTTTCCCCGTGGTCTTGGGGATTCACATTAGGCTCCTTGCTACTTATACAAATTTCTGTAGCTGGCTTGAATTTCCCCCCAGAAAATGGGTTTTTCTTTTCTATCACATGGTCAGGCTACAAATTTTCCAAACTTGTATGATCTGCTTCCCTTATACAACTGAATGCCTTCAACAGCACCCAAGTAACCTCTTGAATGCTTTTCTGCTTAGAAATTTCTTCCTTTGGATACCCTAAATCATGTCTCTCAAGTTCAGAGTTCCACAAATCTCTAGGGAGGGGGGCCAAATGCCTCCAGTCTCTTTGCTAAAACATAACAAGAGTCACCTTTACTCTAGTTCCCAACAAGTTTCTCATCTCCGTCTGAGATTACCTCAACATGGACCTTATTGTCTGTATCGCTATCAGCATTTTAGGCAAAGCCATTCAGCAAGTCTCTAGGAAGTTCCAAACTTTCCCACATTTTCCTGTCTTTTTCTGAGCCCTCCAAACTGTTTCAACCTCTGCCTGTTACCCAGTTCCAAAGTTGTTTCCACATTTTCAGGTGACTTTTTAGTAATACCCCCCTCTCCTGGTACCAATTTACCGTATTAGTCCATTTTCATGCTGCTGATAATGACATAACCAAGATGGAAGAAAGAGAGGTTTAATTGGACTTACAGTTCCACATGACTGGGAAGTCCTCAGAATCATGGCAGGAGGTGAAAGGCACTTCATACATGGTAGTGGCAAGAGAAAAATGAGGAAGAAGCAAAAGTGGAAATCCCTGATAAACCCATCGATGTCATGAGACTTAATTCACCAGCACAAGAATAGCATGGGAAAGACCGGCCCCCATGATTCAGCTACCACCCCCTGGGTCCCTCCCACAACACATGGGAGTTCTAGGAGATACAATTCAACACATAGGAATTCTGGGAGACACAAAGTTGAGATTTGGGTAGGGACACAGGCAAACCATATCGAGTATACTATGGTAAGAAAAATCAGAAAGTTGATGCCTGTGAAGTAGTAGTGGTGGTGATTAACTGGAAAGGGGCATGAGGGAAATTTCTGTGGTTGATAGTTATGTTTTATATTTTGATTTAACTTTTTGGCATGTAGATATATGAAATAGCAAAAGCCATTGAGCTGTGCATTTTTGCTATATATGTAATATTCTATTATAAAAATAGGACACTATAAAACTAAAAGTCAATTGGAAAAGAGAATGTGATTATATATGGGGAAATGCTAATATACTGTCAATAAAAAAGGGAGTTACAAATTTGTGTGTATATTATGCTCTAATCCTAAACCATGTAAAACGGATGTAAGGAAAAGACCTAGAGTAGATATGCTGCAACGTAGCAATCAGGATTAACATTGATGCTGGTAGGATTATGCATATTATTAAGCAATTAAGATAGGCAGTTGATCAGTTAATTTAAACTCTGTCAAAGCAGAGAATCAAAAGTAAAGTGCATATATATCCTAAATATTTTAAAATTTTGCGCTAAATATTCATTTGTTTTCTTTAAGAACACAGGCCTTTTCTTTTTTTGAGTACTATCCTGCTAATTGGAGTTCACATTTCTTTTTCTTTTATAAACTACTCCTTTTTGGCTTCTTTAGCAAGGATTTAAAGAGGTTTAGGAATGATCTGAGTACAGATTATTATAATTTTTAAAAAATGTATTATGTCCACACCTAATTAAACAGCAAATTTTAATTACTTTTTATCAAGTCTTTCCAAAGAACTCAAATTATTTTTATAGGCTCAATAGCTTTCTTTTCATATGCATATTTTCTGGGTTTATATGACATTTAATTACACTTCATAAACACAGTAATAGGTACAACTGGCATAAATGAGTTTGTGAATAAATAACCTTATTCTGGTAACCATTCTGGCATACAAATCAACCTATGGGAGGAGATATTGCAAATATTGCCAGATAGGCTTGCCAGCCGTAAGCAAATTCAGTATCCCCTGGGCATTTATTTCTGTATGTTTTACAGAAAAAAATAGAGTGTTGATCTAGCCAGTCTGTTAAATGGATACCAGTTAAGAGAACTTTTACAAATTTCCCAAATTGATCATTTATTTTTCTAGTCAAAAAAACCAAGCGTTTATATTAAAGTTAATGTTATGAGCAACAAGAAAGTTAATACTAGCAAAACCATCTTAAAAATGATTAAAGGAGCTCTAAATTTTGAAACTGTGAGATTACCTCATGTGTCTAGCCCTCCTTTGACAAATTTTTACTTCTTAGTTTTGAGAAAGGGAGACATATGAAGAATAATATTTCCAAATTCTCTAGAACCTGAGTTCAGACTCCTCAAGGAGTGGATGGTGCATTCTGCCCACAAGACAGCTTGGAATAACCTTTGGAAATATGAAAACGTATTCTCAGGCCAGAGGCAATTTGTGAACTTTTCCCTGCCTCAAGCCATAGCATAAGGACACACAAGGAAATTAGAAACAATGCACATTAGAAAGTAGATGGGCTTTGGGATCTGACACTTGATCAGGAGGCCAAATTGATTTAGTTTTTGTATACTTCTAATACTACCTACCTTAGTTCACTATTTCCAGTGTTCACTTCATCCCAGTGTAACTCAGGAATACATTCTGATTAGCCTAAACCAATCATGTTCTTCATCTCAAACCCCATGTCTTTTCACTCTAACCTCTTGTTTGAGTAAAAATATCCAAGGAGCTTCCCATTGATGATGTTTTCCAGGTTAAACAGATTGGCTTACCACCCCCACCCCACTCCACACCCCGCCCCCTGCAGTTGAATTAACAGGATTCAAATTTTCAGGAACTTAGTGTTGCTATTTGTGCTGTTTACATTGTGAATCTCTTTACATAGTTTACTGGGATTTGTAATACAAACTAGGTTCTCTAAATCTGTCTACATTTCAAATTAATGGTTGTTATGTAGTTAAATTTCATAATTATTTGCATGGCTAAACTCAGCAATGTTCTTATTGATCTGCTCTCAATAAAAAGTTTCTAACTGGGAATGTTTGTGAATCTTTGTAGAGTTACAGTATGGTGAGTATAAATTCATATACATGCTACTTTGGTAGTTTGGAGCCTACTTGTCCCAAATCATACCTTATTTGATTAAAACAAAAACTGGTTTGAAAACAAACACAGGTATATAAAAAACTATGAATATATGTGAGGGTTTCTACCCTAGAATGAAGAGCTTAGCAACCAGCTTTGTGATATTTAAATGCAATTCAAGCTAACCAAAGGTTTTGTAGACTTGAATTATGTGACCAAAGACTGAACCAATGTCAGGAAAATACATAAATGATTAAAATGACCACCTGTATTATGAAAAAAATGGAAAGATTTGTTTTCTATTTTAATTGTTTTTGACATGGGAATCAAATTCTGTCTGCATCTCAGATTAACTACTGAAAATTTAAAGTCTTAGAATAAAGATTTTTTTTAAACTTTTTTTCTGAGAAATTAAAATGGAACTTTCTTTTTAAGTTGTGCATTTGCTTTTCATATACAAAATTGATATTGATTTGAGTACTATGGTTAACTAACATGAACAAAGAAAAATATCCCAGTTAAGAATGCCATATTTGATTTTCCATTTTAAAGAGGTCAGGCTTGGCAGTTAAAAAAAAACAAGAAAGCTCAGTTATCTTTAAGCATCGGACTAACACTTCAGTATATTTTTGTTGTTGTCATGTAGATAACCTGTTCTTAGCCCACACATGTTAGTACACTAGTTATATGGCAAATCTCACATTACATGCTCAATTATTTGAAAGGGATGATATTTGTCATTATTATGAATTCTCTGGTGACTTTGTCATTGTAACTAGACCTAGGCCAGTTCAATTAAAGTCTAGTGTTTCAAACTGCTAAAGAGATAACAATGGTCAGCTTACACATGTGAAAATGTAATGTATGTAATAACAAAGGAAATACAAAGTGAAATAACAATGTAGCTTTTCTTCCACCAAATTATAAAAATGAAAAATAAAATATTCATGAGGGAGTGAACAAATGACCACTGTTATATATGCCAGGTGGAATTTTTGCAGAATTTTGCTCCTTAGTTCAGCTAAAACTGGGTTCCTGTCACAAGACCAGGAAAATGTAGGCACGTGGACACATTGAAGGTGAGTAGAGCAGGATTTTACTTGGAGAAAAGGGAAAAAAAGAAAAAAACGTAGCAAAGTGAGATGGAGTCCTGCTAGCAGGCCCCCCACCTCACAGATTGAATCCTGTGCTACCACACAGGAATTGAAGAGGCAGGCTTCTCCCCTCCCTGCCCGTGGTTCCACCCCATTCTTTCAGTGTGTATGTGGGCATGCTCAGACAAGGCCCTGGGCAGGGAGGGGAGCATGTACGAAAGCATCCAATGTAAACACTGGTGGGCGGGTTGGAGATTCTCCATGGACCCCTTTTTAACTGCCTAGGCATTTGGCTGTCTGAGAATTATACAGTATTATAATATTTTTGAAGACAGGCCAAAAGTCTTAAGAATATTCAAATTCTTTAAGAAACCTAACATATTCTAGAATTTTGCCTAAGGAAAAAATCAGATATATACAAAATAATCATGCCCTAGAACATAAGGTAACATTGTTTATAACTTTGAAAACTGGAAATAAGCTAACATTTGAATAATAGAGAATTGATCAAATTAGTTATGAAACACCCAGAAAATAAAAGTATTTTATATATGGTATAATATGGTGTGATAGAAAAAATATGAGTGTTTTTGTTTAGTTTCTAATTTTTTCTAGTGGTATGATTGGTTTTTAAGTTTGGGTAAATGGTCGTTGAACATATGTTTTATTGTATTTGATAATTGATTACTGTGGGTTAAGAATTTATGTATCTTTGCAGGGGTTCCTCTGCTTGCTTTGTTAACAATGGTCTCAATTGAACAGAAGTCAGCATTTCCTAAATGTACTCCTATGAATACTATTGTAATAAGGGATGCAAAATATTCAGATTACAAGTTATGTGTGCAGAGAAAATACAAATTTCTATTTTATGTATTGATGGTTGATCTTCCTCAGTAGCTTCCACCTGCTGAGCAGGAAAATAAATGTAACTTAATGTTGAATCTGTTAAAACCTTAGATCTAATAATTTAATACCTTTGGTAATTCCATTCTTTTAAAAATGCCCATTTTCTTAGATTTCTCAGTCTTTTGTCCTCCTCCAAACTCTTCTGAGAGATGACCCTCTAGGAAGGGAGAATTTATGCCATATTGTGGAAGAACAAGAGCCTGAGATGGTTGCACCCTGGTTTCCTTAGTAACCCTTGGGTAGCAAAGCTTATAAACCAGCAGAGCCAAGAGTCACAGAGACAGAAAGAAAAAATCTGTTAGTCATTAAATGAAATTGTGAGATGTGTGACTTTTACTACTTGAGTCATTGTATTAGTTTGTTAGAGCTGACATAACAAAGTACCACACATTAGGTGGTTCAAACAACAGAAACTTATTTTCTCACAATTCTCAAGACTGATCTCAAGTGAGATCAGGCGTCGGCAGGGTTGGTTTCTTCTGAGGCCTGACTCCTTGGCTTGCAGATGCCTCCTTCTAGTGATGCACATGGTCTTCCCTCCGTGTGCATCTGTGTCCTAATCTCTTCTAAGGACACCAGTCATATTGAATTAGGGCCTTAGTCCCTTCAGGCTGCTACAATAAAATACCGTAGACTAGGTAGCTTTTATAAAACAGAAATTTATTTTTCACAGTTGTGGAGGCTGGGATGTCTAAGACCAAGGCACCAGCAAGCTTGATGTCTGGTGAGGACCTGCTTTCTGGTTCACAGATGGCACCTTCTAGTTGTGTTCTTACATGGTGGAAAGGGCAAGACAGCTTTTTGGGATCTCTTTTTAGAAGGGCACTTGTGTGGGTTTCACTCTTATGACCTAATCATCTCCCCAAAGCACCACTTCCTAATGCCATCACTTCGGAGTTTAGGATTTCAGAATATAAATTTTGGAGGACAAAAATATTCAAATCATAGCAGGGCCCATTCTTAATGATTTCATTTTAATTTACTGATTTAAAGGCCCCGTCTCCAAACACAGTCAGATTCCAAGGCATTGAGTGTTAGGACATCAACATATACATTTTATGGGGATGGGAAGAAAAAAATTCAGCCTATAAAAATCAGCGTTCTTTGTATTCTGGATGTGGGATAAGACGCATACATTGGTCATTGGTTCAGAGCATATTTAGCACTGTGTAGGACTATACCCCAAATCTGTGAGATATTTCCTTCCAGCTTCTGAATGATGTTCTGCATGCAAGGATCATTAAATATCGTAAGTTCCACCTGATTGCCTTATTTCTTTCAGAATAAAACGGCTGAGTTTTTTGTTAAAATCATAATATTTAAAAAATACCACCTAATCAATTCATGATTACTAATCACAATAAGGAGAGTCTCCAATGGGAAAAACTGCTACTCCTTTATAATGGAAAGGGTCCAGTAGTTGACTGGTTACCTGAAACACTGGACAGTATCCCAAGGCTCAGCATTGTTCTCTGTTCCTGGCATATGAGACACACTTTAGCCAGATGAAGTTTATTGAAGGAAGGCTTGAGGGCTCAATTTCTGCATAACCTCTGACTTGCCAACATGGCTACATTGTTTTGAATGTATTTATCAAGCTCCGGTATAGCTGTATGAAGAGCCAACCTTATAGCTGCCTGTTCACTGGGAGTGTCCTCTTTAGTGAGAGCCTTGTGGTGAGTCATCAACCAGTGAGAACAATATTCTTGCACCTTAGGCTATTTCACATACTTCTCCAACTCTCCTTTAATCAATTTCTTTTCTGTTTTTCACAAATGCTTGGCTATTTTTAGGCAAAGTATTAGCCACATCCGTGTATTGTTGTAGATCTCTGCCTCAGGTCACATCTCTTTTCAGGCAAAGTCGGCCAAAAAGTCTACACTCAAGATCAGCCCGCTCATTTCTCACTACATTAAACATACGCTTAAAGTATGGCCTGACAATTTACTTCTAAGAATTTGCTGAAGGCATATAAAAGCACATATTGATAAAGGATTTGTACATATGCATTCTGGGTGGTTTTATTCTTAATAACTCCAAAATGGAAACAATTAATATGTGAATAGATAAGTTATGATGTAAATAAACCATCAAATGCTACCAAGCATCACAAATAAACTGCTGATTTATGTGTCAACATGAACAAACTACACAGATTTTGTGTTGAACAGAATAAAACAGGCAAAAAATATATACTGTATGATTTCATTTATTTAAACTACTAGAACAGGCAAAACTAAAGTGCTAAAAATCACATCAGTGGTTCTCTATAGTGGGAGTGGGTGTGGGGACAGGGACTGCAAAGAAGTACTGGTCTACGCAGACGTGCAGTAACCAGAACTCATCAAACTGTACACTTAATTAAACTGTGGAATTTATTGTATGTGAATTATACTTAATAAAGTTGATTTAAAAATAAGTTCTGTTCAATGGAATTTCTCCGTTTTTCAATATCATCCAAGGCTACTCACAAGTGGGGCTATAATGACTATAGCAATACACTTGCCACTCATACCAACATTTAATAAAGTGCCATCTGCAAACAAGGCTTGAATGATTTTCTCCCCAGCCATAGAGAATTTTCTCTAAGGCCCTATGTGTGGATTTAGGAAATATGGCTTATGTGGCAGGCACATTGGGAAATGGATCCATCTGCTCATGTAAAATTCTTGTGTTTTTATGACCTTCTCAAGCCGAATCTTGCATATATTACTTCTACTTGGTAAAGAGAAACTGTTGGGCATTCCAAGTTTTATGAGTTGATGCATCAGATAACACCAAGGTCATGATGAGCAGTACAGATCAGAGGCTACTGTTTACTCATGTCCTGTGCTCATGTTTCTGATCTCTAGAGGACTATCAGCAGCAAGCAGTTATTTTTTATTATAAAAGGCTCACTGAAAAGAGCATAGCTTTGTTTCAGAACCCAGGTGTCACTGTTGTGATTCCCTATCCAGTTTTGCAGTATGCTCCCTGGTATTCCAATCTGCCTCAGAGACTAAGTGCAATTGAACCTTCGTGGTCATAAAGAACAACTAGCAAAGCTATTTATGCCAGACAGCTTTCTCTTGCTCTAGGGTATTCTCCTTGTTAACAGCCTTTCGGGCTATTCAGAAAAATAGTTTTGAACAGCATATTTGAATATGGCATATGTTGTTTCTAAAACCCAGGGTCCCACATACTTCTGTACCATGTAGAAGTAGAAAATGTACAGTAAAATATGTCACTTCTGGACACATAGGAACAGCCATAGGATTGCAGGCCTTGACTTTTCCTTGAATTTACTCTGAATTCTGGCACATAAATGTCAGTCTGAGATATCTAGAGTACCTGCTATCACTCACTCTCTAAATCCTAGTAATGTGATGACATCACCATACTAGAGGAATATAATCCATGAGACAGTTAGATGATTGAAGCTTTTGCAAACTGAATTGTGACATAAAGACAGAATTGATAAGTCTTTTGTGTATGGTTGTCCTTTCAAAAATTTTCCCCTTCTTGATTAATAGCTGCATACCATCTTCTAGTTTATGTGCTAATTTGTTCCAGTAAAGAGTTCTCATCTTTATTTTCAGCAAATTAAGTTTAAACAATAATCCATTGTAATTTTTCAAGCTTTTTTTCATAGTGCACCTGCATGGGTTTAACACTTGGGCTTTCCAGCTTGACCTGGCTAATATATATCCCTATGTCAGTAGAAAGGCTAACCTGGAGTTTCAGGAGACAGGCAGGTGACCTGGGTACTCAATTCATTACATTGCACCATTGACCAATGTATGTTTTGTTTCTCCATATCTAGAATACACAGAAACATGACCCAAGTGATAGACGTATATAAGTGGCAGGTTTCACTATCACATCAGATGACTCACAGAATTTTTGTTTCTGTCTTTATAACCCTTTGTTTTGCTGGTTTAGAAGCCTTAGTACTTAAAGGGTGTGAAGGAACCCAGAATTCAGCAATCTCAAGATCCCCAACTCTTTTATTTCACAGCCTTCTCTTCAGGAAGTATTCTAAGACTGGCTTAGTATCTCCCAACCCAAAGTCAGAGGAGGAGAAATGAGTTCAAACCTTAAAACTTAAACTTGGTCTTTTTGTTTATAGCAGAGAAGTTTAATTTTTCCTCACACCTACTTGCTTTGAAATCTTTACATAATTCTAGAAATCTTGACTATCTGATATTCCTGTTCAAAGAAGGATATTAAAAGTGGAAAATCAGAAGAAGTGAAGGCCTGCTGGAAGCAACACACTGTTGGCATGAAGAAAATAGAAAAAACTGATACATAGTAGCAAAAGACAAGAAAAATATTGCTAATATAAGAATTCAGAATGTTATCTATAGACTCTCTATGTATTCTAAATGCTCTGACATGAATAGGTATTACCTTTACATTCATAAAAAAGTGTTATGGGATATTCTGAAATCATTATACTACCTGGAATCAGGTAGTATAATGCCTTTAGTTTTGTTCTTTTTGTGCAAGGTTGCTTTGGCTATTAGGAGATTTTTTGTGGTTTCACTTGATTTTAGGATTGCTTTTTCTATTTCTGTGAAAAATGCCATTGGAATTTTGATAAGATTGCATTAAATATGCAGATCACTTTGGATAGTATGGAAATTTTAACAATTTTCTAATCCATGAACATGGAATATCTTTCCATTTATCTGTGTATTCTTCAATTTCTTTCATTAATGCTTTGTAGTTTTCAGTGTTTAGATCTTTCATCTCCTTGGTTAAATTTATTCCTAAGTAGTTTATTTTATTTTTTTTCATGTTATTGTAAATGGAATTGTTTTCTCAATTTCTTTTTCAGCTAGTTGGTTGTTAATATAAAGAAACACTACTGATTTTTGTACGTTGCTTTTGAACTTATACTTTACTAAATTAATCTATTCTAACAGTTTTTTTTAAAGTAGAGTCTTTAGGATTTTCTATATATAACATCATACCGTCTTCAAATGCAGTCTGTTTTACTTCCTCCTTCCTGATTTGGATGCCTTTTATTTCTTCTTGCCTAATTGCTCTGACTAGGGCTTCCGGTACTATATTGAATACAAGTGGTGAGAATAGGCTCACTGTTTTGTTCCTGATCTTAGAGGAAAAGCTTTCAGCTTTTTACCATCAAGTATAATATTAACTGTGGGCTTGTCACCTATGGGCAAGCCCACAGTTAATATTATATTTATTATGTTGAAGTACATTCCTTCTATACATAATTTGTTGAGATTTTTAATCATGAAAGGATGTTGACTTTTGTCAAATAATTTTCTGTATATATCGAGATGATTGCATGATTTTATGTTTTATTTTCTTAATGTGGTGTGTCACATTTATTGACTTGTGTATGTTGAACCATCCTTGTGGCCCAAGAATAAATCTTACTTCATCAAGGTGTATAATCCTTTTAAAGTGTAGTTGCATTTAATTTGCTAGTATTTTGTTGAAGGTTTTTGCATCTATGTTTATCAGGAATATTGGCCAGTAATTGTCTTTTTTTGTAGAGTTTTAAACTATGCTAATTCAGACAGCATGGTACTGGCATAAAAAATGGACGGATAGACCAATGGAAGAGAAGAGATGGCACTGACATAAATCCATGCACTTAACAGCTAACTGATCTTCAACAAAGGTGCTAAGAAAACACACTGGAGACAGTAGTCTCTTTAATAAAGGGTACTGGGAAAACTGGACCTTTATCTCATACCATTTACAAAAATCACCTCCATCACTCAGGAAAACCCCCCAATTCATCATTTTGAGTCCGAGTGTGACCTGATTTTTCCTGGATGCTGGGCAAGAGCTCGGGATGCAGAAAGCTGTCACACTGGCCCTCTGCCTTTGCAAAAAGACAGAGGGTCCACTGAGCTGTTTAACACTTAAGCCATCTGTGGACAGCAAGGCTAAAAGAGTGCACTGTAACACAAGCCCACTTGGGCTTCAGAAGTCACAGTCTCCCACCCCTGGACACTGCCATGGGCCCGGAGCCCAGGGCACTCGTTCTGGCTCCTGCACCTGTAAATCTTTCATCCACATGGTCCAAAGTGGTATGCCCCTTCACTAAAGCATGTGACTCAGAAGGTAAACACATCGTTTTTATTCATATCTTGCTGGTCACACCCACCTGCAAGAGAGGTTGGAAAATTCAGTCTTTCACCTGAGTGTTTATGTGCAATCTACAAGCTGAAATTATGTTAAACGAAAAACTTTAGACAAATTTAACATAGCTTATTTGAACAGAGAATAATTCTTAAATTGGGAAGCATTCAAAACCAGAAGAGGTTCAAAGAGCTCCATTCAAAGGCATGGGCAGTGAGTTTTTTAGACTCAACACCGAAACAAAGTATATAAATCACCTGATTGGCTACTTATCTTATTTAGGCATGGTGTGATGAGACATTTACTTTATTTGGGCATGATCTCGTCAGTTATCTACCTGTGATTGGCTGAAGCTTGGCTACTTGTGTTTGACTGAAACTTGGCTGTTTATCAGAAAATATACTCCTAAATAAAGTTTGTTTGTATATTAAGTTATGTTGTGGTAGAAACTCAAATTATGAAGAAATTGATATGGATAGGAGACAAGAAAATGCTGGGTAGAAGAGAGTGGTACCCCTGCAAAGGCCCCATCTTCAAGTCTGGAAACCTGCGGCCCTAAATGAGAAGAGGCATTCCTGTTTCCCTGCCCCAAAGTTGCATTTTGGTCCACCACACCCTCCTGTCCTGTATCCATATAAACCCCAAACCCCGGCTCCACAAGGAGATAAACAGAAGAGCAGAAGAATGTCAGAATGGCATGGCAGAGAGAAGAGAAAGAGCGTCTGAACGGCAAGGGGAGTTTGGCTGCAGATGATTGGAGAGATTGGCCACTAGGCGGCCAAACTCCAAGGGAAGATCATCTTCCCACTCCTTCCCACTGAGAGCCACCTCCACCACTCAATAAAATCCCTGCATTCATTCTTCAAGTCCGTGTGTGAACTGATTTTTCCTGGATGCTGGACAAGAACTTGGGATGCAGAAAGCTATCACACTGGCCATCTGCCCATGCAAAAAGGCAGAGGGCCCACTGAGCTATTTAACACTTAAATTGTCTGTGGATGGCAAGGCTAAAAGAGTGCACTGTAACACATGCCCACTTGGGCTTTGGGAGTCACAGTCTCCCACCTCTGGACACTGCCATGGGGCCGGAGTCCAGGGGCACTCGCCCTGGCTCCTGCACCTGTCCATCTGCATGCTCCCCCTCCCGTAAGGGGTTTGAGTGCAGAGTGGCCAAACAGACAAGCCATACCCCTGTTGCATATCCTGGGAGGGGGTCAGGGAACTCTCCCATTTCAAACTCATCAAGCCAATGGCTTCCTGGCTATTTAATTTAACAGACTTTTTGGGTGCTTCCCAATTTAAGAATTGTTCTCTGTCCAAATAAGCTATGTTTAATTTGTTTAAAGTTTTTCCTTTAACACAATAGAATTTCAGTTTTTAGATGGCACATAAACACTCAGGCGAAAGACTGAATTTTCCAACCCCCCTTGCAGGTGGGTGTGACCAGCAAGGTATGAATAAAAATGATGTGTTTACCTTCTGAGTCACATGCTTTAGTGAAGGGGCATACCATTTTGGACCATGTGGATGAAAGAAAAACAGAGCATCATTCTAATGCTCTACCATGAGAATGCCAGAGCAAGAATAAGAGATGTCTAGACATCTGATTACTTTGCAGAATGGGATTGCCATAGGAACTTACATAAGAGAAATAAATTCTTTCTTTTTTAAACTATTGTTGTTTTAGACTTCATTAAAGCATCCACCTCTATATTATAAGCAACCTTATATCATTTATTATCTGTATCACTCGTGTTTGTTCCTATAGATACCTTAGAATTTTAGTTACCTTCTCACTTACATATATCTTCTTCACCCAATGTGAAGAGGGATCACAACTTTTGTATACAGTTATGTGCAATGCAGTCCCTGCCATACACATCCAGGTCTATCACAGTTCATTATTTAATAACACAATCATACTCTATTTCTTCATTATCTTGGAGAATAAACTGTTTTACGTAAGTGCATTTACAAATAATATCCAAGCCTCAAAAATATTTCAAAGATCTTTTAAAATTTATTTTTTAACTTTTCCATAAGTTATTGGCTGTGGGAAGGAGATGACAGGAGGGCAGCCAGTTTTAAGAAGAATATCATGAGCTCAGCCTCAGTGTGAAGTGAGGGTGCATTACCCAAGACAAAACATCAAGAAGGAAATTAAGAAGATGGGTAAAATGCTTAAAAACAATAACTCCATCATTAGATAAAATGCAAATAGTTTTTCTGAATGGAAGCCTCGACTAGCAGGAGTGTGGACAACTCTCTTAATTCTCTTCATAAGTTCCTGTGCCCAGGGACAGGAACTTAAAAGATGGCAATGCCTGTGCACAGTCCAGGAGAAGAAAATTACATCGAGGAGAAAAAGCAGCAGGATCCTGGGGCAATTAGTGTGGAAGCAGAAGGCAGCAAGCTGCTGCCATCCCTCATTTCTTTTCAATGAGCTTCGCTCAAACACACTTGAGTGATGACGGTATCTTAACTTAGGGGCAGTGCTGCTCTCTGCCTGAGATATTGATCATAGATCAGGAGAAAAGCTGTCTGCCCAGCCTCATTCTCTCTGGCTTTGGGAGTGCTTGGCTAGGAGACTCTGAATGAGGCATTACAGTACTTACTTGCACATCAACCGTTCACATCACTTCCTCCAATAGATCTTTTGACATAGGATGTTCTTGTGCTGGAGAAATGCTACAGAAGCAATTATTGATCATTCCATTCCAAAAGTGATGAGCCAACATTTATGGTAAAAATGACAGTCCCTTATTCTTGATTCTTAAACCAAAAAGGGCCTGAAAAGCATTTTTTTTTCCTGTACAATTATGGCAAATTTACTTGGTGGAAAAATCTGATCTGAACCCTTATAAGGCTATTTACCATCTTTTTTCATTTTTAAAGCATTTTTTGATGAAATCCATATGTTTCGCTGTAAAAATTATTCTGTTTGATAATGAACAGCCAGCCCAGACCCTACTGGTGGTGGTATCTATATCTGAAATCTGTAGTATATTATGTTTGGAGAATCCCCAAACAATTCTGAATGCTGAAATATTTCTGTCTTTGAGGATTTTGAATGAGGGATTGTAGACCTGTATTTTGTAGGTTTCTCCTGTATCACCCACAATTCATTTGTGTTATTGGGTAGAAATAGACATTTTCTCCTGTTGAGCTTTAGCTTTTGGTTCAGTCTTGTTGAAAGAGAAAACAATCCAGCAAACCTATTCCTGGAGTCAGTTCTTTTAGTCTCATGTAAAGCCTGCCAGGATCTCCAGGGATGCTGTGACACACAGCATTCCAAACAGAGAACTAAGATACTGAGTCTGCAAAAGGGAATTTGGGATCATAGAGGAAACTGCATTCAGAATCCATGAGATGCACAATCCTTTACATTTACTTCTACCAATATGATATAAGTACTTTCTACTTAAACTTTTCCTCTCCTCCCCTAAGTTAGTGTACCCTACATAGTGTGTATATATATAGCCTTTCTGTGCTCTACTTTTTCACCTGTGCTCAAGGATAGATTTTTTTATTAACTTGTTTATCTTAAGCTGACAATGTTTAATTGTTACTTGTTTTGAAATTTACATATTAGTAGAGAATAAACATTAAAGAAAGCCATTAACTATTAATTGTGCATTTCAGGAATCAGCTGGCTGGAGGAATTTTGGAAGGGGTGAGGCATACACTTTCTTCTATGTTCCTGAAACCACAACATTGTTAGGACTCATCTGTTCATGAGACCAGACCAATAGAAAATGAGCACTTCGTGGATAAAAAATACAGATGGAAACTTAGTGGTGAGTTAGACATAGTTCAGAGTTCTGATTATAAAAGAATTTTCTTCATGAAATGGTTGTTACAAATATTCTATAAGAGTATAGTGTTTTTATAGCTGTGTGCAAGCACACACATGTCTTTGTTTTGTGTTGTTTTTATTTTTATTTTTTCTGAAAAGCATCTCTACAGAGAAGTCTGATGTCTGGTACTTGCCAATGTCATATGCAGCCAGGTTGTATAAAGGAGAAGGTATATCTGGTGAATTCCCATAATCTACGACACTCATGAGCCTGAATCTGCACAAATAATAGTTTGCCAGAGATGAGGCAATCCATGCATCTCTCCTTCTGGCAGTTTATTAGTCTATTCTTGTGTTGCTATAAAGAAATACTTAAGGCTGGGTAATTTATAAAGAAAATAGGTTTAATTGGCTCACAGTTCTGCAGTCTGTACAGTAAGCATGGCATCAGCATCTGCTAGGCTTCTGGTGAGGCTTCAGGGAGCTTTCAGTCAATCACAGTGGAAGGCGAAGGGGGATTCCAGCATATGAGCCCAGCCCAGAGTCTAGGACCTCCTTCTTTTCTCTCTTGCTCCTTCTCTGGCCATGTGACATGAGAGAGAAGAGGGAGGTCCTAGGCTCTTTTAAAGAACCTGATCTTGCATCAACTGAGTGAGAACTCACTTATAACCAAGAGGATGGTGCTAAACTGTTCATAAGGGATCCGGCCCTGTGACCAAATCACCTCCGACCATGCCCCACCTCAAACATTGGGAACCACATTTCAACGTGAGATTTGGAGGGACAAACATCAAAACCATGGCAGGCAACATGGGAAGAGAACCTTGAAAACCTTGGCATTGCATTGGAGTGGCCAACATGCAGGCTCTCCTTCCTTCTGCAGCAGGAGAAGTTTAGAGTAATGAGTTAAAGTTTGAGAAAATAATGCCCAGAATCGAACAAAAGGTTTTAACTTTTCTACAAACACAGGTACACAGCAATGAGAAAACCTGTATCCTAGATCAATAACAGTTCAGTCACCCCATGAACAGTGTCACCCCATGCTTCCTAGACCACCCCAGCAGGTACAATGTCGTAGACCATACTTTATCAAACTAATTTAATGAATGTATTAGTAACATGCCTTTATGTCACTGTAGTAAGGAGTAGTGTATGCTGCCTAGCATAGGGTTGTGCATTGCATCATCTGTCACTATTCTGCTGGATATTACAGTGCATTTCATAAGCACCATAGCATTTACACTGCAGACCTGCAAGATTACTTTTTATAGTCCCTATTATGTAAAGTCTAACTTCACGTCTCTGTAGCTGTATGAAATACACTGTTTGCTTCATCTCTGTCACCTGCCACCTTTAACATTCAAGGAAATATATTATCACCAATCACTGCGAGTCCTAAATTATGACATCTTGACAGAAAAGGCTTTTTTTATCCACTTGTTTTGTTGAGCTGGCAGAGTCTGCAGAAAGGTTGGGGGAGGAAAGAAGAGAAAAGTTCTGATTAAACAATATCTTAATATAGTGGTGTCTGTGGGTCAAAAACGTTTTTGTTTTTATTTTCTAGTTTCTTTGATTATCACTGTGTAATAATGAGTAAATAAAACTCTTATGGTTTTAAAAATTTGACCATGATATGAAAAAAGCGGAAAGAAAATGTCAGACTTAAAGTGATAGTGTATTTGAAATATTAATATGGATCTCATTCAGAGAAACTTTTTGTTGCTTTCTACCTTCTCTTTTTTGCTGTACAAATGGACTAATTATATGGGACAGAAACACATTTCGAATGAAAGTTAATGTTTAGTTTCAGGTACTTCAACTAGCCTCTGCATATCATTAAAAGTTATTGCAAAGAGCATCCTAAAATGTTCTTCATAACAAATGTTAGTGCCTTTTGGGTGTGAGAACTACATGCTGCTATAAATCCTTTAAAAATGTTGGTGAGTGACTACAGCTTTATGATTGACATGTTTCTCGGTTCACTTTAGAGGCAGTTTAATATTTTTATGTGGAAAAACTATAGAAGAGATCATGTCACTTTGATTTAATTGTTTCTTGAGGACTTATTATTATTACCATTTTTGAGATGGAGTCTCGCTCTGTAGCCCAGGCTGAAGTGCAGTGGCAAGATCTTGGCTCACTGAAACCTCTGCCTTTCACCTCCTGAGTTCAAGTGATTCTCCTGCCTTAGCCTCCCAAGTAGCTGGGATTACAGTTGTCTGCCATCATGCCTGGCTAATTTTTGTATTTTTAGTAGAGATGGGGTTTCATCATGTCAGCCACGCTGGTTTCAAACTCCTGACCTCAAAGGATCTGCCCGCCTTGGTCTCCCAAAATGCTGAGATTACAGGCATGAGCCACCATGCCCAGTCTTGAGGAATTGTTTATACCTAAATATTATCCCTTTGTAGAGTGGTCAGAAGCACCAGAAATTGAGGAAAAAGGATCAGGTACCTACAATTTGATCCTTTTTTTTTACAGCATCTCACTGTTTTGTAAGAAGATGTATTTTAATGATTCATTTCTTCAGCTACTTCCTAGCAATGGGCATAAGATTTTGCATTTACCCTGTTCTATGTTGGTCCTACAAGATACCAAACAACCAATTTAATTAAGAAAACTGACAGATATAATTTAATTGGCTTACAAATTAACTGATTTAATTGGCAAAGCAGGGATCTTTTAGAGGTGAAGGGTAACTGGACAGTGGAGCCAGGGGTGGGCATTATTCCAGGACTTGATGACTGTAAACTTTATAAGGTATTCAACAGAAGATATGCATCAAAACATGAGATGACCCACTAGAGACTGTTCTTCTTTGGCAAGCAGCATGACTGAGTTGAATTTGAGCCAACTACCTGTCCCTTAAAGATGCCTAAGAAAAACAAACATGCCTGTAAGTCAAAGTGAAGAAGTCAGTTTATTGCAATGGTGGACGTTAGATGGAAGTTGGTGTATAATTTATTCTTTCTTAAATTTATGTTTAGTATCGGCCTCTCTTCCAATAAAAGAGAAGGTATGATTTTTTTGAGTTTGTGTGGTTTTGATAGGGAAATTTGAACACCAGTTTAATGGCTTTAATCCAGAAAAATGGAGTAGTGGAGCCATATCTTTGGAGGAAGCTTTGAATTCTCAGACCAGTAGAAAGACATTTAGTTTACTAAGAGATACTCCTTTTTACTCTCTCTCTCTCTCTCTCTCTGGTGGGATAATATCTTGTAATTAAAACGATTTGAAAGAGGCTAGACCACTGAATCATAAAATTCCTATCGTAGATACTATAGGTCCCATGACTAGTGTAGGCATTTTGGCTGTTTTTCTCTTAACCATTGGCTTTTGTTTTATTCCGCTGGGCTGCTTACATTGGGTGATTTTAGTTTTGCTTTTGTACCAAGCGGTCTGAATTATCTCTTACCTATTATTTAGAATCAGTCTCTTTCCTAACTTCTAAACATCTTTCTCTGTGCTACATCTTCTTAGATGGTATTGTCATTAGCATATTATCTGCGTGTTTCTCTTGAACACATTGACTTGCTTCGATGTTGAAGACACCAGCTCCAGAAAACTTGCATTCTAGACCTGACTCTGCAGCTCACTGACTTTGTGACTTTCAGCAAATTGCCTAACCTTTACAGACGTTGCTCCACCACTGAAAAAATGAGGATACCAAAACTCAATTACCCATACTCATAGCAGTTGTGAGACTGGAAAATGAACAAATGGATGTAAAAATGATGTTTAGGCAAGGATAAGTTTGCTGTGTTTTCAGCCTCATAGTTGAGGAGTTGTGGGCTCAGACAGTTTAAAAGATTTGCCCTAGTCACACAGTGAGTTGGTGAATGAGTGAATGATTAACTTTTCTATCTCTAATTCAGTATTTTTTATTTAAAATTTTAATTAATTCATTTATTTTGGAGTTATAAACATTTGTTGGTGAACATTTTGTTAAAGTATAATATATATAGAAAAATGCATATACCATAATTATACAACTGGATGGAATTTCACAAAGTGAAACAGATCTCATAAATAGAACATCACCAGCACCGCAGAAGCCCTGCTCTCCTCCGCGCCCCCGCCACCACAGACTACCCTGCCTCTTTCTAGATGTAATCCTCTCTACCTTCAATCCAAGGATAACTATACTTGACTACTAATGCCATAGACTAGCTTTGACATTTTATGCAATAGAAGGGGAAGAGGAGCTGTGATGCAGACTTTTCAGCCTCAGCTCATCCCATGAGGAGCTCTGAAATTAACGTGTGGTCAGAGTTATCCCATGTTGGGCCCAAATGGCCAGGTATATTCCCTTTTCTCCATCAATCATTGGCTATGAGTGAGGCAGCTCTCTGCCACTGAAGTGCTTTCTGAAGAATTTGACAGCTGAAAGTAGCCTACTCACAGCTTTCTCAGCAGTGAAGACAGCATATCCTTCCTTAAGAGTATCTGAGTGGTGCATCTCTGTGTCTATCCAATTATAAAAATAGAAACACACGGTATTTACTCTTTTGTTTGATCTTTTTGCTCAACATCATGTTTATGAGATTTATCCATGTTGCTGTGTGTAGCTGTTGTTCATTCTTTTTGTTACATAGTATTCTGTTTGAATATACTACCAATTATGTATCCATTATATTATTGATGAATAACGGGGTATTTTCTGGTTTGTGGCTATTACAAATGGTGCTTCTATGACAGTTATACAGTACATATTTTTGATGGTGAACATTTGCATGTGTTTCTTTTGGTGACTGAATGTTGGTGGTTGGTAGTTAGGCATGTATACACAGGAATAGAATTAATGACTAATATGTATACATACATTCAATTTCAGAGGATAATGCCAAGCAGTTTTTCAAAGTACATGTGAGTTGTTCCACATTCTTCCTTGCCAACAATTGGCATTGTCTCATCTTTTCCATTTCTAACTTTCTGGTATATATATATATGTATATATAGATACTGCGTTAAGGTTTTGGTTTGTATTTCCTAAATGGTTAATAAAGCTGAATCTTTTTAAAGAAAAATTTTTATTAAACACTTAGATATTTTCTTTTGTATAATGTATTTTCAAGTTGGCTCAAACAATGGAAGGAAAATTCACTTGAAAGTAATTTATCAGGTAGTATTTCCATGAAAAGTGTTACTATCCTACGACCCTAGTAGGATAATAAAGGAAATGGAAAGGAAAAGAAGCTAAATAGTAATGGCATATCAAGCAATTTGCACAGAGGATGACTTTGGTTCGGAGCTCCCACAGAGAGTGTACTTTCACAAACCTAGATGGTATAGCCTACCACACACCTAGGCTATAGGTTATCATCTCATTTCCTCCTTGCCTCCCTGTAACCACTATTGTTCTCCATCTCTGTATGTTTAACTTTTTTGTAAGAATCTACATATAAGTGAGATCGTATAATATTTTTTCTTTCTGTGTCAGATTTATTTCTCTTAGTATAATGTCTTCCAGTCTTATCCACATTGTGGCAAATGGCAAGATCTTATTGTTTTTTAGGACTGAATAATATTCCATTACACACACATACACACAAACACACACATATCACACCACACACACACACACAAACACACCCCCCACAGTCTCTTTCTCCGTTTGTCCACAACCACTAAGGTCTTCTTGGCTATTGTGAATGATGCCACAATGAACATGAGAGTGCAGATACATTTACAAGATTACAAGGTGATGATTTTATTTCCGTTGGGTATATGACCAAATGAAGGAATGCTTGGTCATGTGGTAGTTCTATTTTTAGTTTTTTTAAAAAAATTTCCCATAATGGCTGTAACAATCTACATTTCTACCAATGCAGTATGAGAGTTCTCTTTTCTCTGCACTTTAACCATTTGTTATCTTTTGGCTTTTTAAAAAAAGGTTTTTTTAATTTTTTTTATTATTATACTTTAAGTTCTAGGGTACATGTGCACAATGTGCAGGTTTGATACATAAGTATACATGTGCCATGTTGGTTAGCTGTACCCATCAACTCATCATTTACATTAGGTATTTCTCTAATGCTATCTTTCCCCCCAGCCCTCACCCGCTGACAGGCCCTGGTGTGTGATGTTCCCCACTCTGTGTCCAAGTGATCTCATTGTTCAGTTCCCACCTATGAGTGAGAATATGCGGTGTTTGGTTTTCTGTCCTTGTGATAGTTTGCTCAGAATGATGGTTTCCAGCTTCATTAGTGTCCCTGCAAAGGACATGAACTGTTTTTTTTATGGCTGCATAGTATTCCATGGTGTATATGTGCCACATTTTCTCAATCCAGTCTGTCATCGATGGACATTTGCGTTGGTTCCAAGTCCTTGGTATTGTGAATAGTGCCGCAATAAACATACGTGTGCGTGTGTCTTTATAGTAGCATGATTTATAATCCTTTGTGTATATACCCAGTAATGGGATTGCTGGGTAAAATGGTATTTCTAGTTCTAGATCCTTGAGGAATCGCCACACTGTCTTCCACAATTGTTGAACTAATTTACATTCCCACCAACAGTGTAAAAGTGTTCCTATTTCTCCACATCCTCTCCAGCATCTGTTGTTTCCTTACTTTTTAATGATCGACATTCTAACCAGTGTGAGATGGTATCTCATTGTGGTTTTGACTTGCATTTCTCTGATGACCGGTGATGATGAGCATTTTTTCATATGTCTGTTGGCTGCATAGATGTCTTCTTTTGAGAAGTGTCTGTTCATATCCTTTGCTCAATTTTTGATGGGGTTGTTTTTGCATGTAAATTTGTTTGAGTTCTTTGTAGATTCTGGATATTAGCCCTTTGTCAGATGGGTAGATTGCAAAAAATTTCTCCCATTCTGTAAGTTGCCTGTTCACTCCAATGGTACTTTCTTTTGGTGTGCAGGAGCTCTTTAGTTTAATTAAATCCCATTTGTCTATTTTGGCTTTTGTTGACATGCTTTTGGTGTTTTAGTCATGAAGTCCTTGCCCATGCCTATGTCCTGAATAGTATTGCCCAGGTTTTCTTCTAGGGTTTTTATGGTTTTAGGTCTAACATGTAAGTCTTTAATCCATCTTGAATTAATTTTTGTATAAGGTGTAAGGAAGGGATCCAGTTTCAGCTTTCTACATATGGCTAGCCAGTTTTCCCAGCACCATTTATTAAATAGGGAAACCTTTCCCCATTGCTTGTTTTTCTCAGGTTTGTCAAAGATCAGATGGTTGTAGATGTGTGGCGTTATTTCTGAGGGCTCTGTTCTGTTCCATTGGTCTATATCTCTGTTTTGGTACCAGTACCATGCTGTTTTGATTACTGTAGTCTTGTAGTATAGTTTGAAGTCAGGTAGCGTTGGTGCCTCTAGCTTTGTTCTTTTTACTTAGGATTGTCTTGGCAATGAGGGCTCTTTTTAGGTTCCATATGAACTTTAAAGTAGTTTTTTCCAATTCTGTGAAGAAAGTCATTTGTAGCTTGATGTGGGTGGCATTGAATCTATAAATTACCTTGGGCAGTATGGCCATTTCCATGATATTGATTCTTCCTATCCATGGGCATGGAATGTTCTTCCATTTGTTTGTGTCTTCTTTTATTTCATTGAGCAGTGGTTTGTAGTTCTCCTTCAAGAGGTCTTTCACATCCCTTGTAAGTTGCATTCCTAGGTATCTTACTCTCTTTGTAGCAATTATGAATGGGAGTTCACTCATGATTTGGCTCTCTGTTTGTCTGTTATCAGTGTATAGGAATGCTTGTCACTTTTGAACGTTGATTTTGTATCCTGAGACTTTTCTGAAGATGCTTATCAGCTTAAGGAGATTTTGGGTTGCGACAATGGTGTTTTCTAAATATACAATCATGTTATCTGCAAACAGGGACAATTTGACTTCCTCTTTTCCTAATTGAATACCCTTTATTTCTTTCTCTTGCCTGATTGCCCTGGCCAGAACTTCCAACATTGTTGAATAGGAGTGGTGAGAAACAGCATCCTTATCTTCTGCCAGTTTTCAAAGGGAATGCTTCCAGTTTTTGCCGATTCAGTATGATATTGGCTGTGGTTTTGTCATAAATAGCTCTTATTATTTTGAGATGCATTTCATCAATACCTAGGTTATTGAGAGTTTTTAGCATGAAGGACTGTTGAATTTGTTCGAAGGCCTTTTCTGCATCTGTTGAGATAATCATGTGGTTTTTGTCATGGGTTCTGTTTATGTAATGGATTACGTTTATTGATTTGTGTATGTTGAGGGAGCCTTGCATCCCAGGGATGAAGCTGACTTCATTGTGGTGGATAAGCTTTTTGAGGAGCTGCTGGATTCGGTTTGCCAGTATTTCATTGAAGTTTTTCGCATCGATGTTCATCAGGTCTGAAATTCTTTTTTTTGTTTCTCCGCCAGGCTTTGGTATCAGGATGATGCTGGCCTCATAAAATGAGTTAGGGAGGATTCCCTCTTTTTCTATTGATTGGAAGAGTTTCAGAAGGAATGGTACGTGTTCCTCTTTGTACCCCTAGTAGAATTTGGCTGTGAATCTGTCTGGTCCTGGACTTTTTTTGATTGGTAGGCTATTAATTATTGCCTCAATTTCAGAGCCTGTTATTGGTCTATTCAGAGATTCAACTTTTTCCTGGTTGAGTCTTGGGAGGGTGTATGTGTCCAGGAATTTATCCATTTCTTCTAGATTTTCTAGTTTATTTACATAGAGGTGTTTATAGTATTCTCTGATGGTAGTTTGTATTTCTGTGGGATCGGTGGTGATATCCCCTTTATCATTTTTTATTGCATCTATTTGATTCTTCTCTCTTTTCTTCTTTATTAGTCTTGCTAGCAGTCTATTAATTTTGTTGATCTTTTCAAAAGACCAGCTCCTGGATTCATTGACTAAAATTTTAAAGGGTTTTTTGTGTCTCTATCTCTTTCAGTTCTGCTCTGATCTTAGTTATTTCTTGCCTTCTGCTAGCTTTTGAATGTGTTTGCTCTTGCTTCTGTAGTTCTTTTCATTGTGATGATACGGTGTCAATTTTCGATCTTTTCTGCTTTCTCTTGTGGGCATTCAGTGCTATGAATTTCCCTCTACACACTGCTTTAAATGTGTCTCAGAGATTCTGGTACATTGTGTCTTTGTTCTCATTGGTTTCAAAGAACATCTTTATTTCTGCCTTGATTTCGTTACGTACCCAGTAGTCATTCAGGAGCAGGTTATTCAGTTTCCAGGTAGTTGTGTGGTTTTGAGTGAGTTTCTTAATACTGAGTTCTAATTTGATGCACTGCTGTCTGAGAGACAGTTTGTTGTGTTTCCTGTTCTTTTATATTTGCTGAGGAGTGCTTTACTTCCAATTATGTGGTCAATTTTAGAATAAGTGTGATGTGGTGTTGAAAAGAATGTATATTCTGTTAATTTGGGGTGGAGAGTTCTGTAGATGTCTACTAGGTCTGGTTCAGAGCTGAGTTCAAGTCCTGGATATCCTAGTTAACGTTCTGTCTTGTTGATCTGTCTAATATTGACAGTAGGTTGTTAAAGTCTCCCATTATTATTGTGTGGGAGTCTAAGTCTCTTTGTAGGTCTCTAAGGACTTGCTTTATGAATCTGGGTGCTCCTATATTGGGTGCATATATATTTAGGATAGTTAGCTCATCTTGTCGAATTGATCATTTTACCATTATGTAATGGCCTTCTTTGTCTCTTTTGATCTTTGTTGGTTTAAAGTCTGTTTTATCAAAGACTAGGATTGCAACCCCTGCCTTTTTTGCTTTCCATTTGCTTAGTAGATCTTCCTCCATCCCTTTATTTTGAGCCTATGTGTGTCTGTGCATGTGACATGAGTCTCCTGAATACAGCACACTGATGGGACTTGACTCTTGATCCAATTTGCCAGTCTGTGTCTTTTAATTGGGGCATTTAGCCCATTTACATTTAAGGTTAATATTGTTATGTGTGAATTTGATCCTGCCATTATGATGTTAGCTGATTATTTTGCCCGTTAATTGATGCAGTTTCTTCATAGCATTGATGGTCTCTACAATTTGACATGTTTTTGCAGTGGCTGGTACTGGTGGTTTCATTCCGTGTTTCGTGCTTCCTTCAGGAGCTCTTGTAAGGCAGGCCTGGTGGTGACAAAATCTCTCAGCATTTCCTTGCCTATAAAGGATTTTATTTCTCCTTCACTTATGAAGCTTAGTTTGGCTGGATATGAAATTCTGGTTTGAAAATTCTTTTCTTTAAGAATGTTGAATATTGGCCCCCACTCTCTTCTGGCTTGCAGGGTTTCTGCCGAGAGATCCACTGTTAGTCTGATGGGTTTCCCTTTGTGGGTGACCCGACTTTTTCTCTCTGGCTGCCCTTAACATTTTTTCCTTCATTTCAACCTTGGTTTTTCTGACAATTATGTGTCTTGGGGTTGCTCTTCTGGAGGAATATCTTTGTGGTGTTCTCTGTATTTCCTGAATTTGAATGTTGGCCTGCCTTGCTAGGTCGGGGAAGTTCTCCTGGATAATATCCTGAAGAGTGTTTTCCAACTTTGTTCCATTCTCCCCATCACTTTCTGGTACACCCATCAGATGTGGATTTGGTCTTTTCACATAGTCCCATATTTCTTGGAGGCTTTGTTTTTTTTTACTCTTTTTTCTCTAACCTTGTTTTCTTGTTTTATTTCATTAATTTGATCTTCAATCACCGATATCCTTTCTTCCACTTGATCGAGTCAGCTATTGAAGCTTGTGCATGCATCACAAAGTTCTCATGCCATAGTTTTCAGCTCCATAAGGTCATTTAAGTTCTTGTCTACACTGTTTGTTCCAGTTAGCCATTCGTCTAACCTTTTTTCAAGGTTTTTAGCTTCCTTATGATGGGTTTGAATATGCTCCTTTAGCTTGGAGAAGTCTGTTATTACCTACCTTCTGAAGCCTACTTCTGTTAACTCCAAAGTCATTCTCCATCCAGCTTTGTTCCATTGCTGGCAAGGAGCTGCAATCCTTTGGAGGAGAAGAGGCGCTCTGATTTTTAGAATTTTCTGCTTTTCTGCTGTGGTTTCTCCCCATCTTTGTGGTTTTTATCTACCTTTGGTCTTTGATGTTGGTGACCTACAGATGGGGTTTTGGTGTAGATGTCCTTTTTGTTGATGATGATGCTATTCCTTTCTGTTTGTTGTTTTCCTTCTAACAGTCAGGACCCTCAGCTGCTGATCTGCTGGAGCTTGCTGGAGGTCCACTCCAGACCCTTTTTGCCTGGGTATTACCAGCAGAGGCTGCAGAACAGCAAATATTGCTGCCTGATCCTTCCTCTGGAAGCTTCGTCCCAGAGGGGCACCCACCTATGTGAGGTGTCTGTTGGCCCCTACTGAGAAGTGTCCCCCAGTTAGGCTACATGGGGGTCAGCGACCCACTTGAGGAGGCAGTCTGTTCGTTCTCAGAGCTCAAACACCATGTTGGGAGAACCACTGCTCTCTTCAGAGCCCAGATGGAAATGCAGAAATCACCCGTCTTCTGCATCAATCATGCTGGGAGCTGCAGACCAGAGCTGCTCCTATTCAGCCATCTTGGAACGAATCTCTTGACTTTTTGATAGTAGTCCCCCTAACAAGTGTGAGGTGACAGCTCACAGTGGTTTGGTTTGCATTTCCTTGATTAATGATATGGAACACCTTTTATATAACTGTTGGCCATTTTTTTTTTGTCTTCTTTGGAGAAATGTCTATTCAGGTCTTTTGCCCATTTAAATTTTTTTTTTATTATTGAATTGTATGTGTTATCTATGAATTGTGGATATTAACCTTTCATCAGATACAGAATTTGCAAATATTTTTTCCTAATCTGTAGACTGTTTCATTTTGTTGTTTCCTTTCTTGTACAGATGCTTTTTAATTTGTTGTAGTTCCATATTTTTATTTTTGTTATTGTTGCCTGAGTTTTTAGTATGGTATAAAAAAAATCATTGCTGAGGCCAGTGTTCAGATGATTTTCCCCTGTGTTCTCTTGTAGGAGTTTCATAGTTTCTGATCTTATATTTAAATCTGCATTCCATTTTGAGTTGATTTTTTTGTATGATACAAGGTAAGGGTCCAATTTCATTCTTTTGCATGTGGAAATCCAGTTTTGCCAGCACCATTTGTTGAAAAGATAATCCTCCATGTATCCTCTTGGTGTTCTGGTAAAAAAAAAAAAAAAGTTGACCATATATGTTTGGTTTTATTTCTGGGTCTCTGTCCTATTCTACTCATCTTTGTGTCTTTTTTTATGCCAGTATGATACTGTTTTGATTACTATAGCTTTGTAATATAGTTTTAAATCAGTGCTATGCCTACAACTTTGTTTTTCTTTCTCAGAATTGTTTTGGCCATTTGGCCAAACATTTTATGCTTCCATGTAAACTTTAGGATTGCTTTTCTATTTCTGTGGAGAATGTCATTGAGATTTTGATAGGAATTGCTTTGAATCTGTTTATTGCTTTGGGTAGTATGAATATTTTAACAATATTCTTCCAATCCATGAGAACAAGATACATTTCCTGTACGTTTATTTATGTCATCTTTAATTTCTTTTAACAGTGCTTTACAGTTTTCAGTGTACAGGTCTCTCTCCTCCTTGGTTAAATGTATTTCTAAAAAAATTTTTGGTTGCTATTGTAAGTGGGATTGTTTGATTGATTTCTTTTTCAGCTAAGTCATTATTTGTGTATTAAAATGCTGCTGATTTTTTTGTGTTAGTTTTGTATTCTGCAGCTTTAGTTAATTCGCTTACTAGTTCTAGCAGTTTTTTTGTGTGAAATCCTTGCAGTTTTATACATAAAGAATCATGTCATCTACAAATACAGATAGTTTTAATTCCTTCTTTTTGATTTGAATGCCCTTTTGTCTATTTTTTCTAATGTGATTGCTCTTTCTGGGACTTCCAGTAGTATGTTGAACACAAGTGGCAAGAGTAGACATCCTTGCCTTGTACCAGGTCTTCGTGGAAAAGCTTTTAGTTTTTCCCCATTGATTATAATGTTAGTTGTAGAGTTTTCATAAATGGCCTTTATTATGTTGAAGAAATTTCTTTGTTTACCTAAACTGTTAACAGTTTTTATTGGCTGGGTGTGGTGGTTCACTCCTTTAATCCTAGCACTTTGGGAGGCCAAGGCGGGCAGATCACGAGGTCAGGAGATTGAGACCATCCTGGCTAACATGGTGAAACCCCATCTCTACTAAAAATACAAAAAATTGGCCAGGCATGGCAGCGTGTCCCCGTAGTCCCAGCTACTCGGGAGGCTGAGGCAGGAGAATGTCGTGGACCCAGGAGGTGGAGCTTGTAGTGAGCCGAGATTGCGCCGCTGCACTCAGCCTGGCTACAGAGTGAGACTCCGTCTCCAAAAAAGAAGAAGAAAAAAAAAATTTTTATCAAGAAAGGATTTTGGACTTTGCCAAATGCTTTTTCAGTGTCAATTGAGAAAGTTATGTGGGTTTTTTTGTATCTTTTGTTCTGTAAATGTGATGTATCACGTTGATTTCCATATGTTAAACCAGCCTTACATGTCAGGGATAAATCCCACTTTGTCATGATGTATATTCTTTTTTAATTTTTATTTTTATTTAAATAGTTTTGGGGGAAAAGGTGGTGTTTAGTTGGATGGAAAATTTCTTCAGTGGGTAATTTCTGAGATTTTGGTGCACCCATCACTCAAGCAACATACTCTGTATCTAGTGTATAGTCTTTTATCCCTCATCCCCTTCCCATCCCTCCCCCACCCCAAGTTCCCAAAGTTTGTTTATCATTCTTATGCCTTTGTGTCCTCATAGCTTAGCTCTCACTTACAAGTGAGAACATGCAACATTTGATTTCCCATTGCTCAGCTACTTCACTTAGAATAATGGTCTCCAGCTACATCTAGATTGCCACAAATGCCATTATTTCATTCCTTTGTATGGGTGAGTAGTGTTCCATGGTGTGTGTGTGTGTGTGTGTGTGTGTGTGTGTGTGTGTGTATATATATATATAAAATTAGGACTAATTTCCTTCCATTGGCATGAGATATATATATATTCAGTCGAACTTATTACGAAGTTCAGCTAGGAGCTTCCTTCACTCTGTGGACCCTCCCCAATTCTGCTGGTTGCCTTCTTTTCCCCAAGGACCTCTGTGAGATAAGACCAGATATGGCCTCCCTGTGCTTGAGCTGAGGACCAGGAGTGCCTAGAGGGCTCTTCCTGCTGCTGCTTCTACTTTTATATTTAGCTTGGCTCTGTAAATCCATTTTAGCTCTAGGTAAGGTTAAATCCTTCCATGATCTGGATTTTCAGGTTTCCCAGTGGGGATTTGTGTTCAGAGGACTACTTTTCCCCCTCACACTTTGGGAGCTCACAGGTTTTTAGCTGTCTTGGAGTGTTTGCAGCGGCAAGCCACTGCTTTCAAAGGATCTGTGAATTCTTTTGGTTTTCCTGGTATGTTCCTGTGGTGGTTCATAGAGCAAAAGTTCACAATGTGAGTCTCCTGATGCTGTTCTGTCTATCTTAGCAGGAGGTGCACCTTATTCCTGTTACTTATCTGCCATTTTTCCTTCTCTTTTTCTTAGACTAATTGAAGATTTGCCCATTTAATTTTTCATAAAACTAACTCAGTTTTATTATTTCTGTGTTTTTTCTGTTCTCTATTTGACTTATTTTTGTTCTCGTTTTTATTATTTCCTTCCTTCTGCTAATTTTAGGTTTAGTTTGTTGTGTTTTCTATTTCCTTGAGACATAATGTTAGACTATTGATTTAATATCTTTCTTTTTTAATGTAAGCAGTTATTGCTATAAACTTTCTTCTTAGAAATTCTTTTGCTGTATTCCATAAATTTTGTTATGTTGTGTTTCCATTGCTGTTTGTCTCAAGATATGTTAAAATTTCCCTTTTAATTTCTTATTTGATCCATTTGTTGTTCAGATGTATACTGTTCAATTTCCACGTATTTATGAATTTTCCAAAATTCCTTCTGTTGATTTCCAGTTTTCTACCAAAGTGGCCTGAAATAATGATATATGTAATTTCAATCTTCTTAAATGTGTTAAGACTTGGTTTAACAAATTTAACATACGATCTAGCCTAAAAAATATTCTACGTGTGCTGGAAAAAAATATGTATTCTACTGTTGTTAAATGGGAAGTCTTGTATTTGTGTTAGGTCCATTTGTTCAAAAGTACAATTAAAGTTCAGTATTTACTTGGCTGGGAGCGGTGGCTCATGCCTGTAATGCCAGCACTTTGGGAGGCTGAGGCAGGCGGATCACGAGGTCAGGAGATCGAGACCATCCTGGCTAACACAGTGAAACCTGTCTCTTCTAAAAATACAAAAAATTAGCCAGGTGTGGTGGCAGGCACCTGTCGTTCGAGCGACTTGGGAGGCTGAGGCAGGAGAATGGCATGAACCTGGGAGGCTGAGCTTGCAGGGAGGCTGAGCTTGCAGTGAGCCGAGATCGCGCCACTGCACTCCAGCCTGGGTGACAGAGTGAGACTCCTTCTCAAAAAGAAAAAAAAAAAATTTCAGTATTTACTTATGGACCTTCTCTCTAGTTGATCTGTCCATTGTTGAATGGAATATTGAAGTTCCCTACTGTCGCATTGCAGTTTATTTCTCCCTTCATATCCATTAATATTTGCTTTGTGTATTTAGATGCTCTGATGTTGTGCCATAGATATTTACAGTGGTTATATTCTCTTGGATTCACTCATTGAAATAATGACCTTCTTTGTCTCTTTTAACACTTTGTGACTTGAAGTCTGTTTTCTCATTTATAAGCATAGTTAGCCTGCTCTCTTTTGGTTACCAATTGCATTGAATATCTTCTTTCATCCCTTCGCTTTCAGCCTATGTGTGTTCTTAGAGCTCAAGTGGGTCTCTTTTAGTCAACATGTAGTTGGCTCTTATTTTTAAAAAACATTAATTCAGCCACTCTGTTTTTTGATTGGAGAATTTAATCCATTTACATTCAAGGTCATTAGTGATAGATAAGGACTCCCTATTGCCATTTGGTTATTTGTTTTTGGTTGTTTTGTATCTCTTCTGCTCTTTTCTTTCTCTCTTGTTGTCTGCCTTTGTGATTTGATAATATTCTGAATTGTTAAGATTTCATTACTTTCTCATTATTGTTTGTATATCTTCTATAGTTTTTTTTGTGATTACCCTGAGGCTTACATAAAATATTTTGTTATCAACTATTTAAAGCTGATGACAACTCGACTTCTTCACGTACAAAAACTCTAGACTTCCACTCCCTCACACACAACTTACGTTTTTGATGTTACAATTTGTGTATTTTTATATGTTTAATCCTTAACAACTTGTTATAACTTTTGTTATTTTTAACTGTTTTGACTTTTAGCTGTCATACTAGGGATATGTATAATTTATATACCATTATTTCAGTACTGAATATTCTGGATTTGACTTTATTTCTGAGTTAAATATAAACTCTCTGTATGTACCAGTGACTTTTATACTTTCATATGTATTCATGATAGTAATTATCATCCTTTAGTTTCCTTTGAAGAGCTCCTTGAAGCATTTCTTATAGGACCGGTCTAATGGTAACAAATTTCTTTAGCTTTTGCTTATTTGGGAAAGACTTTATTCTCCTCCATTTCTGAAGGACAGTCCTGCTGGATATAGTATTCTTGGCTGACAATTATTTTCTTTCATAACTTTGAATATACCATCCCATTTTTTCTGGCCTATAAGATTTCCCCTGAGAAATTCAATGATAATATTACTGTGATTCCGTTACATGTGACTTGATGCTTTTCTTTTTCCTTTTAAATTATCTCTTTGTCTTTTGATTTTGACAGTTTTATTATAATATGCCTCAGAGAGAACCTCTTTAGTTGTATCTGTTTTTGGACTTTTGATCCTCATGGATCTGGTTGCCCATATTTCTTTCAAGACTTGAGAAGTTTTCAGCAATTATTTTGTTAAAGAAACTTTCTGCCTCTTTCTCTGTCTTTTCCTCTTTTAAAACTGCTGTAATATGAAAATTTGTTAATGGTGCCCCATAAATCCCATAGGCTATCTTCATTCTTTTTATTCTTTTACCCTGTGATTGAATTGCTTTAAAAGAGTTATCTTCTAGTTCACAGATTCTTTCTTCTGTTTGATCTACACTCAATTTGTAAATTTGTAAATTTTCATTTTTTGGGCATCACTTACTGGAGAATTATTGTGTTTAGCAGAGGGAATCTCTCTATTGTGTTTAGCTGAAGGAATCATGTTTGACACAATCCACAGGCAGCCATGGCACCATGAAAAGTCAGGGCACAGGTGCCTAGAGAGGCTGTGGAGCTAGATTCCTGGGCTCAGGATCTTGCAAAACTACTGTAGTACCTGGGACTTGAGGCGCAGGTTCATTTTCCAAAACACAGGATGCAGTCCTTTCACTAATCCAGTATTTGTTGCTCTGAGACATACCCTAGAATATTTTGCCTTGGAGCAGGAATGTTGCTATGGTTCTGACCCTGGAGGGCAAGGTGCAGCACTGGCAAGGCTCTAGGGAAGAAGAGGTGCTCTGGAGACTCGGCTCCTGAGGAGCAGGGCACAGATGCAATTGTGGCCCAGAACTAATGGAGCATAGCAGCAACTTGGGATCTGGCTGATGAGTTAGCACACAATGGTGACTCCAGATCTTGAGATAGTGGGACATGGCGCTAGGCTAGGCTTTGTGAGGCCAGGTACAACAGCAACAAGGACTCAGAAATGGCAAGACGCTGCTGGGGCTTGGGCCATGGGGAGTGGAGAGTAGCATAGCAATGCCTCCACTTTCTGGAGATGCAAGTTGCCACAGCAGCTCACATTGCAGGGAGCTTGTTCAGTTCCAGGTATGTGGGGCATTGTGGCAGTTCAGCATGGAAGGTGAGGTGGCACGGTTCAGCCAAGGCTCTAATTCCTGGGATATAATGTGCTATGCCTGCTTAGCTCCAGAAAGCATGGCTACATGGGTCAGTGAAACCTCCACATCCTTAGGGGAGAAGGCTATGGTAGTGGGAGATGCAGCTGCTGTGATGTGCCACAGGCTTAGGGTCCCTGGGGATTAGGTGCTTCCTCACCTGTGACACTGAGTAGGGGGATCAACTGCTCCACTCTGCTGGAGGCCTGAAGTCTCCTGGGGGTGAGCTACCACTTCAGTTTGGCCCTAAGGGGAAATTGTACCAGCAACTAGATGAGGAGGATAAAATCACTCTGTAGTAGCTTATTCTGAGCTGATAGGTCATAGCAGCAGTTGGCTCAGGGCTGCACACTATTGGGTGGGCATGTTGCAGTGGCAGCAAAGCCTCAGAGATGGAGGGATGCAATGTCTATTGCCCTGGGAGCAGGATGCCCACATACAGTGACTCTGGTTCCAAGATGGTGCAGTGCAGTAGCAGCTAGGGGCATGGAAGAGGGCACAATACAGGCTCTTTCTCTGGAGGTAGCTCAGGGTATGGACTCTGGGAAGCTCCATCAGCTGGACTCAAAGCCTGTGAGACTGCAGGAGTCTCCAGTAGTAAAGACTAAGGTGGCTGCGGCGGTGATGGGAGCTGCTCATGTCCTCTTGCTTACCATTTCCCTGCATGAAAGAGTCTCCCCTAGTTCTGAGTTGATGCTCACTGCCAATGGGGTGGCTGAGGCCAGGTGTTTCTTTCGCTTTCCTTTGAGGCCATTCTGAATTTCTTGGCTTGACAATATTTCCACTGCTTCTTTGCTATTTTCTGGAACCCTCCTTTAGTTATTTTGGTTGAAATATAGTTGTTAGTCATTTAATGAATTCATTTATTTTTTTCTTGTGAGAGAAAGAATGCTAGGAGCTTCTATCTGCCATCTTGTTGATGTCACTACTCATTTTATTTTTTCTTATATGATTTATGAGCAGTGTTTTTAAACATTATTTGTCCATTTAATCTAAACAGTCAAATTTATTACTATAAAGATTTTCAGTATCTTCATATTATTGATATCTTTAATTATTTATGTTCATATTTTTTAGTGTTCTCCTTTTTAATTTTTCTTTTTCGTTCTGTTTTCTTGTTCTGCTTTGCTAGGGGTTTCCCAGTGTTACTGATCCTTTCAAACTATCAGCCTTTGGCTTTGTATTTTTTTAACTGAATATTTGTTTTTTTATTTCACCGATTTGTTTTTGTCTTTATTATTTCCTTCTTTATACATTTTCTGGTTTGATTGTTTATTTCTAGCTTCTTGAGACAAAAGCTGAATTAATTTATTTTTAGGCTTGTTTCTCTTCTAGTATATGTACTAAGGCTAAACTTCCTTTTAAGCACTAATTTTGCTGCATCCCACTAGTTTCGTCCTGCTACATCTCACTAGTTGATTATCATTTTGTTCATATTATTTTTATATTTCTGTTGTGTTTTGTTCTTTGACCCATGGGTGAGTTAGAAGTTTACTATTTCATGTATAAGAGGCTTATTATTTCTAATTTATTTGTCTATACTTTTATTTCAGTAGGTATTTTCTAGTTTTTTAAAGGTTGTATTGAGTTATTACTGAAGTCTAAATTAATTTTACTCTATTCACAAAACAAAATAAGAAAAATTTTAATTTTAATAAAATTTGGTAAAATCTGTTTTATAACCCAGAGTGTGGTATCAAATTTGGCTAAAGTTTCATCACGATATAATTCTGAAAATAATATAAATTATGTTACTGTTGAGGGCTGTTCTACATATATGTCAAATAGATCAGTTTTGTTAATTGTAGTTAATGCTAATTCACGTGTCCTTATGAAATGTTTTGTGTTTGCCTATTATATCAAGTACTACAGAAACTGTGCTAATGGCTTCATTCTGTGAATGTGTCTATTTCTCTTTCTAATGTTGCGTCAGTTTTTACTTTGAATATTTTTGAAGATATTTTATTACAAATGTCTGGATTTAGAATTGTTATAGCTTCTTGTTGTGTTTACCACTTTATCATGATGAGATATTCTGTTTCCCTAGTTATTCAAGTCTGCCTTGTGTGATATTAGCATAGCTAATCCAGCTTTCCTTGGTTAGTGTATGCATGGTATGTTTTTCAATTTTAGGTTAACTATTTCGTTGTTCTCATACTGAAGGCATGTCTCTTATAGGCAACATATTGTTTGTTTTTGATTTTTATCCACTGTGATAAAGTTAGCTTTCTACTTGGAATATCTATTCTAATTTTTTTTTGCTTTAGCTCTATTGAGAATGCCCTTTCTGCTGGCTTTTTGTTTTTGCTGACTAGAATTCTGTTCTGTGTTCAGAAATGGAGAAATCCCCCAGGGAAAATACAGCTGCAGGTAATCTGTTCACTATTCTCACCAGTGTTTTCAATGGTGTGTCCCTGAGCTTTGTCACCTCACTATACTTCAACATTTGGCAAATAGCTTGAAGAAAAAACCAATTGTGTGTTGAGGTCCTTCAAAGTTTCCAGATGTATCGCTTCATTCCCATAGTAATGCCAGAAGCGCTCCTGGTTTTACCTTCCCCAAGCAGAAACCTTGTCCCTGGGCCAATCCCAGATTTTCAGCCTCTAGCATAAGTTAAATGTCAACAAATGTCCCCAAAGAGCAGATAGTTGCAGTCCATTAACTCAATACCTATAATTTCCGATGTGTAAAAATTTAGTCCTTAAATTCTCATTGCTTCTGCAGCCATCAATGGGTCATTTAATAGATATGCACATATAGATATACAGACATATCCAACTTTATTGATTGTTTTTGTAGAGTGCTTTTCTACTGGAAATTAATCCGTCATGTCTCAAGTTTTTCACTTAGACCAAAATAGTTTCTCTAGTTTATAATTTATTTGTATATTAAAGAATTACATTATTATTGCAGAAAAATTAGAAAATGATGATATGAAAAGAAGAAAGGTAAATTCTTCTTTAAATACACTGTTTTGGTAATCTATAACTAATATAGTTTGCATGTTTTGTTCCCTCCAAATCTCATGTAGAAATGTGACCTCCAGTGCTGGAGATGGACCTAATGGGAAGTGTTTGAGTCATGAGAGAATATCCTTTATGAATGGCTTGGTGCCTTCCCTGTGGCCATGAGTTACTACAAGATCTGATTGTTAAAAAAAGATTCTAGGACTTCCTGTCCCTCTGTCTTACTCCTCTTTTACCATGTGACATGCCTGCTTCCCCTTCACCTTCTGTCATGATTGTAAGCTTCCTGAGGTTCCCATCAGAAGCAGAGTAGTTGCTGGTGTCATGCTTGTACAGCCCATGGAGCTGTGAACCAAATAAACTTCTTTTCTTTATAAATTACCTAGCCTCAGGTATTCCTTTATAGGATGTAAAACAGACTGTTTTGTGTATTGTTTGCTACAAAATAACTGTATATCAAACTACCTCATATCTCAGAGGTTTAAAAATCATTTTATTGTTACCCACTTTGTGGGTCTGGTAATGTTTGTCTGGATAATTCGTATGATTTACCTGTGTCGTTTCCAAAAGACTTCATTTTCAAGATGTCATCCTAATTCACATATTTGTCACTTTGGTGAGACCTCTTCACGTGGCCTCAACTTCTTACAGCATGGCAGCCTAAGGGTAGCTGACCTTCTTATATAGTGACTCAGAGCTCCATGCAACTAAGAAAAAGGCTGGTAGTTGTTTTAAAGCCTGGCCTCAGAACCAGAATGGCATGATTTCCTTCATACTTTATTGGTCAAACCAGTCATAGGCCAGCCCAGATTCAACAAGAAGGAAGTAGAGTCCATCTCTCTATAGGAAGAGTATCAATTTGCAACCATCTTTAGTCTGTCTTGTTCCATTCAGAGAATTAGTCTCAGTATCTTGGCAAAATAGTAGAATAATAACAACAGCTAACTTTCATTGAGTACTCCCACATTGTATATGATTTCATGTAATCTTTATAACACTATGAGGGAATACCTATGAATATATCAAATATTTTATTTAATATCTTATTTACTTTTATATAGCAATTTATTTAATTACACATGTAAAACATGAACACGTACTTGATAGAGAAAAAGCTAAAATGATACAGAAGTATAGAGAGTAAAAACAAAATTTCCTCTAAAATCCCTCCCTCAATTTATCTTTTCTGAGATAACTCCGGTTAACAATCTAATGTGTATCTTTCCAGAACTTTCATTTGAATTTTCATACTTGTATATTTGTTACCAATCACACTTGGCCCTGACATTTTTGGTGCTAGACATGGACACGATGCATTCATGCAGAAAGTATGGCTCAAAGCTATGGTCCCACACAAATGAAAATAAGAAAGCCTAACCTGCTCCCAATTATTCAAGGTTCTTGTCTTTCCTCTTGTCAGTAAAATATTGTTAGCCATTTCCCAGTACTTTGATGACTTTTCAATGCTTCAAGCAAAGTCATAGTTTTCATTTCCTGGAGATTGTTTTCTTTTATTATCAATCATAGGTCTGTAATCCATGTCAAAAATGTAGGTGACCAACGCATTTCAAACAAGGTTAATGTCAGCTAGCTTGGCTTCACACATAAGTGCGATTTATTATCACTTAATTATTATACAAGTCTGATCATTAAATATCTCCCTTAGGAAAAAACAGATTCCTAGCTTTATAAGACTTAAATAAATAACCTATTTATTTTTTAATGTGACTTCCATATAACATGAGTTTTACTTTAAAATTCTTATGTATATAAATATTTAAACATTTCAAACTAATAAAAATGCAGAAGAAAGCAAAGTTATTCACAGCATCATTTAGTTTTAGGGACATAAGTCAGCACAAGTTCAACAATCTTATCATCATGCCCAGCAGAGAATTACCTTCACCAGGCTCATGAATAAGAATTATATGTCTTTAGGTGAAGCATAATTGTGATGGCCAGTTTTAGTTTTGATTCCTTAAAATAACATATTTTTAAAAAACTATACAAGCCTAAATTTAAGGAATCAATTATTATCAATAGCAGTCATTCATACTATAATGCTTTCAAAATTCAAATATTTGTATCTCTGATTTGGTCACATTTAGTTCCATGTTCATGTGAACTAGAAATGTACTTTGTATCTATAATGCATAACCTTCTGTCTGAACACATGATCCTACCTCCTTTGCTCTTTTTGGGGGTATCTTCTCTGTCATTTATAATCTCCTGTTTTCAATATGCAAGCTTTCTCTCTTCCTACAGGACTCCTCATCTTTAAGTGTTCAGGATTTCTCTATCCTAAGACAAGTTTCATCTTTTCCCTTCATCTCTGCTTAATCTATTGATGTGGCCTTTTCTTTCTGTTAAATTTATTGAAAGAGTTCACTGGATGTTTCTATTTTCTTTTGTCCCTCTGCTCCTAGATCAGTGTTCATTTTCAGCACCAGGCTGCTGGACCACCACCCCTTTTCACAGTTGATGCTGTTTGTCACCACTGCTTTTTTTTTTTTTTTAGAATGAAAATAGATTCTTTATTGTAGATGCCCCCCTTAGGTAAGAGATTAAGCAGGGTCGGTAAAAACCAGGGCAACAGGCCACAATTTTCACTAAACCAGAATATATTTGGATGTTTCTTACAAAATTTGTCCCAATCACACAAATTTCAAAGACTGGGGGCTCTGGAGCAGAGAAGTTTCCATAGAGTACTATTTGCACCTTGATGCCTCCCTTAGCCCTCAAATACCTGAGAGTTCACCCTTAGGGGGTCATCCTTTTGGAGTAAACATTCCCTCTTTCTCTGATTTTCTTATTTTTTTTTATGTTTTATTATACTTTAAGTTCTGGAATACATGTGCAGAACGTGCAGATTTGTTGCATAGGTATACATGTGCCATGGTGGTTTGCTGCACCCATCAAACCATCATCTACATTAGGTATTTCTCCTAATGCTATGCCTCCCATAGCCCCGCCAGCCCCTAACAGGCCCCAGTGTGTGATGTTCCCCTCCCTGTGTCCATGTGTTCTCATTGTTCAACTCTCACTTATAAGTGAGAATATGCTGTGTTTGGTTTTCTCTTCTTGTGTTAGTTTGCTGAGAATGATGGTTTCCAGCTTCATCCATGTCCCTGCAAAGGACATGAAATTATCTTCTTTTATGGCTGCTTAGTATTCCATGGTGTATATGTGCCACATTTTCTTTATCCAGTCTATCATTGATGGGCATTTGGATTGGTTCCAAGTCTTTGCTATTGTGAACAGTGCTGCAATAAACATATATGTATTGGGGGAACCCACCTCCAATATTTCAATGTAGGTTCTTTCTATTTTCCATAAGTGTCAGCTGGCTGAGAAATAAAGAGAAAGAGTACAACGAGAGGAATTTTACAGTTGGGCCACCAGGGGTGACATCACATATCGGTAGGACAGTGATGCCCACCTGAGCCGCAAAACCAACAAGTTTTTATTAAGGATTTCAAAAGGGGAGGGGGTATATGAACAGGGAGTAGGTCACAAAGATCACATGCTTCAAAGGGCAAAAGGCAGAACAAAGATCACATGTTTTTGAGGAAAGAGGACAAGGGCAAAATCAGAACTACTGATACGGGTCTATGTTCAGCTGTGCACGTATTGTCTTGATAAACATCTTAAACAAAAGAAAACAGGGTTCTAGAGCAGAGAACCGGTCTGACCACAAATTTACCAGGGTGGAGTTTCCCAATCCTAGTAAGCCTGAGGGTACTGCAGGAGATCAGGGTGTATTTCAGTTCTTATCTCAACTACATAAGACAGACACTCCCAGAGCAGCCATTTATAGACCTCTCCCCAGGAGTGCATTCCTTGCCCAGGGTATTAATTATTAATATTCCTTGCTAGGAAAAGAATTTAGTGATATCTTCCCTACTTGCGCGTCCATTTATATGTGCTCTGCAAGAAGAAAAATATGGCTCTATTTTGCCCTACCCCGCAGGCAGTCAGACCTTACGGTTATCTTCCCTTGTTCCCTGAAAATCGCTGTTATTCTGTTCTTTTTCAAGGTGCACTGATTTCATATTGTTCAAACACACGTTTTACAATCAATTTGTACAGTTAACACAAATATCATAGTGGTTCTGAGGTGACGTACATCTTCAGCTTACAAAGATAACAGGATTAAGAGATTAAAGTAAAGACAGGCATAAGAAATTATAAAAGTATTAATTTTGGGAACTGATAAATGTCCATATTAAAATGAAATCTTCACAATTTATGTTCAGAGATTGAAGTAAAGACAGGCATAAGAAATTATAAAAGTATTATCTGGGAGCTGATATATGTCCATATTAAAATGAAATCTTCACAATTTATGTTCCTCCGCTGCAGCTCCAGCTGGTCCCTCCGTTCGGGGTCCCTGACTTCCTGCAACATACATGTGTATATGTATTTATAGTAGATTGATTTATAATCCTTTGGGTATATACCCAGTAATGGGATTGCTGGGTCAAATGGTATTTCTGGTTCTAGATCTTGAGGAATCACCACACTCTTCCACAATGGTTGAACTAATTTACACTCCCACCAACAGTGTAAAAGTGTTTTTATTTCTCCACATCCTCTCCAGCACCTGTTGTTTCCTGACTTTCTAATGATCACCATTCTTTTTTTTTTTTTTTTTTTTTTGAGACGGAGTTTCGCTCTGTCGCCCAGGCTGGAGTGCAGTGGCGCGATCTCGACTCACTGCAAGCTCCGCCTCCCGGGTTCACGCCATTCTCCTGCCTCAGCCTCCCGTGTAGCTGGGACTACAGGCACGCGCCACCATGCCCGGCTAATTTTTGTATTTTTAGTAGAGACGGGGTTTCACCGTGTTAGCCAGGATGGTCTCGATCTCCTGACCTCGTGATCCGCCCGTCTTGGCCTCCCAAAGTGCTGGGATTACAGGCGTGAGCCACCGCGCCCGGCCTAATGATCACCATTCTAACTGGCATGAGATGGTATCTCATTTTGGTTTCTGTTTCCATTTCTCTAATGATCAGTGATGATAAGCTTTTCTTCCTATGTTTTTTGGCCACATAAATGTCTTCTTTTGAGAAGTGTCCCATCACTACGCAAAAATCACAAGCATTCCTATACACCAATAATAGAGAGCCAAATCATGAGTGAACTCCCATTCACAAGTGCTACAAAGAGAATAAAATAACTAGGAATACAACTTACAAGGGAGGTGAAGGACCTCTTAAAGGAGAGCTACAAACCACTGCTCAAGGAAATAAGAGAGGAGACAAACAAATGGAAAAACACTCCATGCTCATGGGTAGGAAGAATCAGTATCATGAAAATGGCCATACTGTCCAAAGTAATTTATAGATTCAATGCTATCCCCATCAAGCTACTATTCACTTTCTTCACAGAATTGGAAAAAACTAAATTTCATATGGAACCAAGAAGCCCATATAGCCAAGACAATCCTAAGCAAAAAGAAGAATGCTGGAGGCATCATATTACCTGACTTCAAACCATGCTACAAGGCTACAGTAACCAAAACAGCATGGTACTGGTACCAAAACAGAGATATAGACCAGTGGAACAGAACAGAGGCCTCAGAAATAACGCCACACATCTACAACCATCTGATATTTGACAAACCTGACAAAAGCGATGGGGAGAGGATCCCCTATTTAATAAATGGTGTTGGGAAAACTGGCTAGCCATATGCAGAAAACTGAAACTGGACCCCTTCCTCACACTTTATTCAAAAATTAACTCAAGATAGATTAAACACTTAAACATAAGACCTAAAACCATAAAAACCTTAGGAAAAAAAAAAAAAAAAACTAGGCAGTACCATTCAGGACATAGGCATGGGCAAAGACTTCATGACAAAACCACCAAAAGCAATGGCAACAAAAACCAAAATTGACAAATGGGATTTAATTAAACTAAAGAGCTTCTGCACAGCAAAAGAAACTATCATCAGAATGAATAGGCAACCTACAGAATGGGGGAAAATCTTTGCAATCTATCCATCTGACAAAGGGCTAATATCCAGAACCTACAAAGAACTTTTAAACAAATTTACAAGAAAAAAAAAAGCCCCTCCACTGCTTTTTTTTTTTTTTTTTTTTTGAGATGGACTTTCACCCTGTCACCCAGGCTGGAGTACAGTGGCACAATCTGGGCTCACGAGAAGCTCTGCATCTCAGGTTCAAGAGATTCTCCAGCCTCAGCCTCCCAAGTAACTGTGACTACAGGTGTGTGCCACCGCATCTGGATAATTTTTTTTTTTTGGTATTTTTAGTAGAGAGGGGATTTCACCATGTTGGCCAGGCTGGTCTCGAACTCCTGACCTCAGGTGATCTGCCTGCCTTGGCCTCCCAAAGTGCTGTGATTACAGGCTTGAGCTACCGTGCCCAGCCTACCACTGCTTTTTAAATGAAAATCTATTTTCCTTTTACTCTCAGACCATGAGTCACACTTGCCTGGCTCTCTGATGTGATTTCTTCTTCTGTGACATTTGCTGGCTTTGTGCAGCAAACATTTGGCTATCTTATGTTCTGTGGCCAGATCTCTTCAGTAAATGCCATTCTCCTGGACTAGACTCATCCACTTTTAGGATTACCACTGCTATCCAAATGAGACTTTAAGAAAACATTAAGAAAACCTTTTAGATTGAAATAATTGTAGACACTCAGAGCATTGCAAAAATAGAGTCCCCATGCACCCATCAGGCAGCTTCCACAATGGTGACATCTTATGTAATTATAGTGAATTATCAGAAACAGAGAATTGATTGACACAATACAATTAAATAAACTACAGACCTAATTAGACTACAGACCTTTCACTACTTTTTGCATCACTTTTTTTGCACATATTTATGTGTAATTCTATGATATTTTATTGTATATATGGATTTGTAAAACCACTATTAAATCCATGATACAGAACTATTCCTTCACCACAATGGAACATCACAGTGCTAACTCCTTATAGTTATACCCTCCATCCTCTTCCATAACTTCCAAAAGTTATGGAGGGTATAACTAAAAGGAGGGTATAACTAAAAGAACAAATGGAGGGTATAACTATAAGATGTATCTACTCTCCATTGCTGTAATTTTGTCATTTTATAATTCTATCTAAATGAATCCTAAAATATGCAACTACTTTAGATTGGCTTTTCTTCACTCAGCATAATATCCTTAAGATTCATCCAAGTTGCTGCATGTATTAATAGTATTTTATACTGTTACATTGCTGAGTAATATTCCATTTTATGGATATGTCACAGACAGTTTAATCATGAACCTATGGAAAGATATACATATTGTTTCTAGTTTTTAGCTGTTACAAATAAAGCTGCTATGAACATTCATGTACAGGTTTTTATGTGTACTTAAGTTTTCTCTCCTCTAGGATAAATACCCACTGGTAAGTCCTACCAGCAATGTGTGAGTTACTCACTTTCCACCTATCTTCACTAGCATTTATTAGCATGATAGTATTATCAGTGTTATCAGTGTTTTTATTACCATTTTAACAGGTGTGCAGTGGTATCTTGAGTTTTTAACTTGTGTTTTCCTAACGGCTAGCAAAATTTAACATCGTTTGATGTATTTATTTGCCATCCATATATCTTCTTTAGAGAAGTGTCAGTTCAAGTCATTTACGTACTTTCTACTTGAATTGCTTGTTTTACTACTGTCATTGTGAGACAGTTTTTTAAATAAATTCTGGGCATGACCCCTTGGTCAGACATATTTTTCAGATAATATTTGTGGTTTTAAAGTATTTTCTCTAGTTAATGGCTTATTTTTATGAGCCTCTTATCATGGTCTCACTCCTGCCATTTTAGTATTTTTTACTGCTTGTTTTGTAGCCCTCTCTTGCTTCTTTCCTTCCTTCCTGTCTGCCTTTTAGTGAATACAGTTTTCTCTGGTAGTATAATTTAATTTCTTACTTTTTATTCTTGGGCTATATGTTATATGTTTTTTGATTTGTGGTTACCATGAAGCTTTCCAATACTATTTTATAACCCATTATTTTAAACTGATAACAACTTAACACTAATTTCACAAACATACAAAAAGAAAATTAATAAAAACTATAAATTTTAACTTTGTACCCCCTGCTTTTTAATTTTTTGTTGTTTCTCTTTATGTTTTATTGTACTACGTCATGAAAAGTTGTTGTAGTTATTATTTTTGATTTTGATTTTAGTCTTTCCGCTTAAAAGTAGTTTATACATCACAATTATAGTGTTATAATATTCTGTGTTTTACTACTACCAGTAAGTTTTGTACCTTCTGATGATTTCTTCTGCTCATTTATATCCTTTTCTTAAAGGTTGAAGAACTCCCTTTAGCATTTCTTGTAAGACACATTTGGTATTGATGAACTCCCTTAGCTTTCGTTTGTCTGAGAAAGTCTTTATTTCTTCCTCATGCTTGAAGAATATTTTTGCCTGATATGGTATTCTAAGGTAAAGGTTTTTGTTTTGTTTTATTTTGTTTTTCAGCACTTTTAATATGTCATGCCACTCTCTCTTGGCTTGTAAAGTCTGCTGCCAGGTGTATTTAAGCTCCGTTATATATTGTTTGTTTTTTTCTCTTGCTGCTTTTAGGATTCTTTCTTTATCCTTAATCTTGGAGAATTTGATTATTAAATACCTTGAGGTAGTCTTCTTTAGATTAAATCTGCTTGGTGTTCTGTAATCTTCTTGTACTTGGATAGTGATTTTTTCTCTAGGTTTGGGAAGTTCTCTGATATTATCCCTTTGCATAAACTTTCTACCCCTATCTCTTTCTCTACCTCCTGTTTAAGTCCAGTAACTCTTAGATTTGTCCTTTTGAGGCTATTCTAAATCTTGTACATGTGCTTCATTGCTTTTTATTCTTTTTTCTTTTGTCTCCTTCACTGTATGTTTTCAAATAGCCTGTCTTCAAGCTCACTCATTCTTTCTTCTGCTTGATCAGTTCTGCCATTAAGAGACTCTGATGCATTCTTCAGTATGTCAATTGCATTCTTTTTTTTTTTTTTTTGAGACAGAGTCTCGCTCTGTTACCAGGCTGGAGAGCAGTGGTGCGGTCTCGGCTCACTGCAACCTCTGCCTCCTGGGTTCAAGCGATTCTCCTGCCTCAGCCTCCCAAGTAGCTGGGATTACAGGCACGTGCTACCATGTCCGACTAATTTTTGTATTTTTTTTTCAGTAGAGATGGGGTTTCACCATGTTAGCCGGGCTGGTCTTGAACTCCTGACCTCGTGATCCACCCGCCTCGGCCTCCCAAAGTGCTGGGATTACAGGCATGAGCCACCGCGCCTGGCTGCATTTTTACTCTAGAATTTTTGCTTCATTTTTAAAAATTATTTTAATCTCTTTGTTAAATTTATCTGATAGAATTCTGAATTCCTTCTCCGTGTTATCTTCAAATTGTTTGAGTTTCCTCAAAACACCTATTTTGAATTCTCTGTCTGAAAGGTCACATATCTCTGCTTTTCCAGTATTTGTCCCTGGTAGCTTATTTAGTTCATTTGTTGAGGTCATATTTTCCTGGGTGGTCTTGATGCTCGTAGATGTTTGTTTGTGTCTGGGCATTAAGTAGTTAGGTATTTATTGCAGTCTTTGCATTCTGGGCTTGTTTGTGTCCATCCTTCCTGGGAAGGCTTTCTATTTATTTGAAGGCACTTGGGCCACAAGCCCAATAATGCTATAGTTTTTGCAGACTTATAGAGGGACCCTTGGTGGTTTTGAATAAGATCCAGAAGAATTCTCTGGATTACCAGGCAGAGACTCTTGCTCTTTTCCCTTACTTTCTCCCACACAAATAGAGTGCCTCTCTCTGTGCTGAGCTGCCTGGAACTGGGGTGTGGTGGTATAAGCACCCCTGTGGCTACCACCACTGGCACTCTGCTGGGTCAGACCTAAAGCCTGCACAGAACTGGTCTCACCCAATGCCCGCTGTAACCACTACCAAGCTACCACCTATATTCACTCAAGGCCCTAGGGCTCTACAATCAGCAGGTGGTAAAGCCAGATTTGTGTCCTTCTCTTCAGAGTTCTCCCAGACCCTGGGTGTATCCAGAGATACTGGCGAGGAGCCAGGGATTGGAGTCAAAAACCTTAGAAATTTGCCAGATGTTCTGTTCTACTACTGCAAAGTTGACACTCAAACCGCAATACGAAGTTCTTCCTGTTCTTCCTTCCTCTTTCCACAGGCAGAGGAGCCTCTCCCTGTGGCCACCACCAGCCCACAGAGGGTTCTGCCAGGCCACTGCTGATGTTCACATAAAGCCTAAGGGCTCTTCAGTCAGCTTGTGGTGAATGCTGCCAGGTCTGGGATTCACCCATCAGGGCAATGGGCTTCTCTTCGGCCCAGGGCAGGTCCAGAAGTGCTGTCCAAGAGCCTAGTCTTGGACTGAGGGACTATAAGAGCCTGCTTGTTGCTCCACCCCACTGTGGCCAAGCTGGTACCTAAGGTGCAAGACAATGTCCCCTTTACTTTTCCCAAACTGAGGGAGTCTTTTACTGCAGCATCCATAGCTAGGAATGTGCTGGGTTACATTTGAAGTCAGCATGTTTCAGAGGCCAAGGCTCGTGGTGAACTACCTGGGTATTGCTGCTGGTTATTCAGGGCCTAAGGATGCTATAGTTAGCAAGTAGTAAATCCTGCCAGGACTGAGTTCTTCCCTTGAAGTCAGCGAATTCCTTTTTGGCCTAGAGTGTGTCTAGAAACGTCATCCAGGAGCTAGGGTCTGGAATGAGGTCCTCACAACTCTGCCCAGTGCTCTGTCCTACTGTGGCTGAGCTGGTATCCAACATGTAAGACATAGTCCTCTTTACTCTTTGCTCTCCTCTCCTTAAGCAGAAGGAGAGAGTCACTTTTGTTGCTGAGAGTTGTGCTGTCTGGGGTTAGGGGAGGAATGGCATCAGTACTCCTTTAGCTGCCATGATTGGTGTCTCTCCAGGTCACATGCCCCTAAAGCCCACTGGCTTTTAGCTCAGCCCAGCCCTAGGAGTTGCCTAGGAGTTGCAGTCCTTGTGTCCTAGTTGCCCTTTCAAGTTTACCTAGTACGCCAGAGCACTATTGGCCCATGGGGCAAGGTTTGCTAAGAAACTCAAGTTCCAAACACTGGGATGGGCAATTCCCCTCTGTCTAGATCTGGTCCAAATGTTCCTTCTGTGTGCTGGTGCTAGCTGAATCCAGTATGACTTTGCTCTATGTTGTGACAGTGTAGCGCTAAGTTCAATGTAAAGTCTCTCAAGTCACTGTGCTCTCCCTTCCACAACTGCACAGACTTAGCTCCATGCTGCATGGCTGCTTTGGGGGGATGGGGGAAGGGTGGCATCAGCAATTCAAGACTATCTCTCCTGCCCTCCTCAATACCTCTTGCCATGATATGAAGTTAAAACCAGGTACTGTGATTGCTCATCTGATTTTTGGTTCTTGTGATGGTGCTTTTCTGCATGACGATAGTTGTTAAAATTTGGTGTTCCTGTTGGGGGAATGAACAGTGTAGGATTCTATTCTGCCATCTTGCTCCACCCCTGACTAACACATTTTTAATCCTACTTTTGCTTTTGAGTGGAGTGGCTAGATTTTACAAATATAGAATGCTGAATTAAGTTTGAATTTCAGATAACTGGGAAATAATTATTTAGTTTCATATGTTCTAAGTATTAAATGGGGGATACTTATCCTAAACAATTATTTGTTGTTTATCTGAAATTCAGTTTTAGCTGGGCATCTTATATTTTACCTGGCAATCCTACTTCTGTGTCTCAGGAGAAAGAAAATCTTTTTACATGGATGTCACACAGATTTCTAAGACTATTGCATTGAGCTTATTACTTCTACTTTCACACTTACATCTATTTCTGAATTCTCGTTCTCAGCTATGTCCTTACCAGCCACCTCGGAACCTAAGTTGAAAACAGAATTATCCTCAACTGCGTCCTGTCTCTCATATCACTTCTCATTAGTCAGCAAGTTATTTGTGCTATAGAAGCATCTCTGAGACATAGCCTCTCCTGTCCATATTCATTGTTATTCATTTCCTGATTCTCATAATCTCTCTTAGAAATGTGTTCCATTTTCCAAAGTCTTCCTCTTCAAGTCCTTCTCTGTATTGCCACTAGAGTTAGATCATGGGATTTCTTACTCCAGGGATTTTAGGATGCATTTCTCACTGTCTCTAATTATCTTTCCTCATTTTTACTTGCTAAACTTATGCCTTCTTCAAGAGTTACTCTCTTTGCTAGTGCTATGGGGGCAGCATTGTCTGGGTTTATGATTCTGGATTAATGCCAGTGTCTATATTAATAAGAAAGGAAGGGTGACTCTGTCCCGATATTTAGCAGGGGCAGGGAGTTCCCTCAGTTTATCTGACTTGACATGGTAAAAAAAAAAAAATGAATGAACATGTTAGTATGAATAGCTATAAAGTTGGGAGTCTCTAAGCAAGGAGCTCCAATACAGTGATCAATGTCAACAAGAATGTTGCCATAGCATAGACCAGTATGCTTTTTAATTGATGGAGACCATCTTTAAGAGGAATACCATGTGGTAGTAACAAAGGCAACTTCAGCTGAGAAATGAAGCTCGGCCGGGCGCGGTGGCTCACGCCTGTAATCCCAGCACTTTGGGAGGCCGAGGCGGGCGGTTAACGAGGTCAGGAGATCGAGACCATCCCGGCTAAAACGGTGAAACCCCGTCTCTACTAAAAATACAAAAAATTAGCCGGGCGTAGTGGCGGGCGCCTGTAGTCCCAGCTACTTGGGAGGCTGAGGCAGGAGAATGGCGTGAACCCGGGAGGCGGAGCGTGCAATGAGCCGAGATCCCGCCACTGCACTCCAGCCTGGGCGACAGAGCGAGACTCCGTCTCAAAAAAAAAAAAAAAAAAAAAAGAAATGAAGCTCATAGTACAATGCATTATATTGTACTTGCTCTCTTTTCCCTGTGCACATTTTTTTGTGTGTAACATGTTCTGTTTGCTTTAGCGGGTCACCACTTTATTAACAAATTTACGTTTCCTGTTTCTTTAAAGAACCACTTTCACCCTGACCACATTGCTAGAGTGTCACTATGTTCCCTAATCAATTTCTGTAAACACATAACCATGGGGTCCATACAGCTTCAAGAGTCACATTTGACATGCCAATCCTGCTGCATGCTCCTGGCTGCTTTGGCTGTTGTGCCACTTGAGCAGTCTCGCCATGTTCATAGGGGGTTTGCATTAATAGTTACAGTTTTTTTCTGTGCAAGTACCTCTCATCATCTTCTGTCAGTGTTTTGCTTATTTGTTTGAAGAAAGTATTTGTCTTTATACCTGTTTGGGGCAGATTATTATTTCCGGACACAGTAGCACTAAGATTTGCTCTCAAAAAACACACACACCTCATCTCTCTATTCTTTCCCATTTTTCCCCTTTGAAACTGTCATATCTGGTTGACAAGGACTAATGCCAATCTCTGCACACAAAATCCCATTGCAAACAGAAAAATCTCACAGCATTTTTGGAAAATTTTCCTGTTTCCTTAGACTTCTCACTTATTTGTTCTAGGCTTTATAACTGAAAACTCAACAGCTTTCTATTTTTATCTGGGGGTTCAGGCATATCTGGTCTTGTTTGGACATTGTTGTGACAATCCGAGAGTTTCTTTCTGCCTGGGAAAGATAATATATTTTGCTTAATGCTGGAGTTCAGAACCGTCTGGGCAAACCTGGTGAGCTATTGGGTGGCCTCATTTCACAAAAGTCTGTTTGAAAGTTAGAGCTAAAGAGACTTCCAGGTGAGAAAACATCCTAAGGGAAGAATCTGGCTACAGTAACTTGGCCCAGTAACTTATCCTTTCTTTATTAAAGGCAAGCACAGGCCACAAGCACAGCACTGTTGCTTTGACATTAGTCTTTCTTCTGCCCTACTCCATGGAAGTATGTTCGGGTACTTGGCAGAGAAAAGGCTAAGAGTAAAAAGTAAAGAATGTCTTACTGAACTCTGAAATATATATTGAGGGCTCAGCTCTGCTCTGAGTACCTACTAATATGGTAAAATGTCAAAACTATCATCTCAAACTTTCCCCTAGCTCTGCAATTTGGACAGCCCAAACTGATCATCAGGCAGGAACACTGTGGCCAGAGGAACTGTGGGAAAAACAGCAATTGCTGAGACAGGAGCAGAGGCTGTTCTAACCCCACTGCAGCAATAGAGAATAAAGTCAAGGACCTGGGAAATAACAATGGAACTGGAAAACTGCCTTCCACAGCCAATGGACTAGCTGTGGCTACTGGCATGCCCCCTGCTCTGCCTATCAGACTAGTATGACTAGCAGTGGGAGGGGGTGCTCTTGAGCATGTGTGAAATAACTTTGTGTGTGGAACTCCAAGGAATAATTGTAGAAAGGGGGTCCTAAGCCAGGTTAGAGCCTAAATTTAATTAAATTTAAGCAGTCTGGTCATTAGGGACATTTGCAGACGTTATGAGTTATGTTTGAAAAGATAATAGTATGATGACCATAGAAAAGTAATGTCTTGGCAGGAGTTATATTATTTTTAATCCTTGAGGCAATGTGTGGTAAATGTTTTAATATAATACAAAGCAGAAGGTTTTGTCTATGTTAAATCAAATGTGGCCACTTAGGCAATTATTCCTACATGTATATTCTTGCATCAATCTTCAAATGCCTTCATTCCATTTACATTAAAAAAGAATCAGAACTTAAGTCCCAAATTCCAGATTTCAGCAAATTTGATTCTGTGCACACACATTGTATGAAGAAAGGAGTGATTGGTTCAAGTGTCTGCTTTCATAGACAGGAAATAAGACTTCACTCAGTGCCCAGATCAGCTGTGTATATCAAGAGCAGGTTTGATTTTCATCCATTTCTGCCTCAATAATGCCTTCCATCTGCCATCAACTTGCAAATCCCTCCATCCTGAAAAACAGATGAATCCTTTGAGTGATCTTGAAAAATCAGCCCATTCACATGAAGGGACAGGGAAATAGGTTTCTATTCTTTGCCAAGTGTTTTCTCATCACTTCTTTTACCCACATGCATTCTTTAGGTTGGCTTAAGAGGTAAAGAGTAGAAAGTGAGGCTGGGCATGGTGGCTCATGCCTGTAATCCCAGCCCTTTGGGAGGCCAAGGTGGGTGGATCACTTGAGGTCAGGAGTTCGAGACCAGCCTGGCCAAAATGGTGAAACCCATCTCTACTAAAAATACAAAAATTAGCCAGGCCTAGTGGTGCACAATGGCGATCCAGCTACTCGGGAGGCTAAAGCAGGAGAATTGCTTTAACCCAGGAGGTGGAGTTTACAGAGCTGAAATTGTGCTACTGTACTCCATCCTGGGCAACAGAGTGAGTAAGATTCTGTCTCAAAAAAAAAAAAAAAAAAAAAAGGCATTCCATCAGAGTGAAAAACCATAAATTTAATATGCTTGTGGCCCACTTTTCAGTGAGAAGTCCCAGAGGAAATACAATCTAATCTATTAACCTAAGAGAGAAAGGCTGTTTGCAGTCATACTCATTGCTCACATACATTTATTAGCCTAACTTTCCTACTTGCATTATCTAGAGACAAAAATATACTCAAGGAATGTGTTTGCTTCCTACTGGATATTAAAACTATGCTACAATAATTTGAACATTGTATTGCTGACCTAAGTATAGACAAAGAGGTATCAAAAAGGATAGAAAACCCAGCAAAAGACCCAAGTAATAAAATAATCAGAATTTCAAACCAATGGGGAAAGATTTGTATGATATCAGCATAACTGGGTAGCCATCTGAAGAAAAATGAAAGTGAACTCTTAAGCCAAGATAAATTCCAGATTGATCAATGTTTAATAAGAAAAAAATCACACTTTGGGAGGCCGAGATGGGTGCATCACTTGAGGTCAGGAGTTCGAGACTAGCCTGAGCAACATGGAGAAACCCTGTCTCTACTAAAAATACAAAATTACCTGGGTGTAGTGGCACATGCCTGTAATTCCAGCTACTTGGAAGGTTGAGGCAGGAGAATCACTTGAACCTGGGAGGTGGAGGTTGCAGTGCGCCAAGATTGTGCCATTCCACTCCAGCCTGGGCAACAAGAGCGAAACTCCATCTCAAAAAAAAAAAAAAAAAAGAAGAAAAGTCACAAAGATAATAAAATATGTCACAATTTAAAAATATAATTTTAAATTTGATATAAAATCTGGAAGCCAGAAAAAAAGATTGATGTAAGTTCAACTGCAAAGACTTTTGCAGGACCATCTTCCATCAAAAGCAAACAAACAAAAACATTGTCAAAGGAGAAAAAAGGGATTTACAACTTGTATTACAGACAAGGGTGAATTTTGTTAATGTTGACAGGTCTCTTAAAATCCAAAAGAAAAAATGAATAGACTAATACAAAAATGGGCAAAGATTATGATCAGGAATAGTATTATAAATGTGTCTAAAATTTATGTAAATATATGCAACTTTTATGTAAGAGAAATGTCAAGACTACAAATTTTCTACACAACAGATTTGCAAAGAGCTAATCAACACACAGTACTGACATGGGTGTAGAGCCTATATATGTAGGATCACATATATCTGGTCAGAAATTTGATAATATATTTCAAAATATGTAATACCCATGTCCTTTTACAGAGCACTGCCACTTCTGTGTAGAAATATAGTTATAATCATAAAGACAAGAGATGACCTACAAAGATAATTGTAGTAACATTGTTAATAACAAATGATTGAAAACAAATACATTCAATAAATTTGTTAAAAGTGGTTATTTTCATATTGTAAAATACTATGTAGCAATGTAAAATAATGAGTCTACTGTAATATACTGTATCTTCAAGACATATTATTAGAAGGGAAGATTAAGATTTAGTACAGTGTGCATAGTCTGTTATTTATAGATACATATATTCATTAGCTATATGCAAAGAGTTATTCCTCTGGAAGTAAACCCCCCACCCTAATCACAGAGTATCTCCAGGAGGATGTCTTAGAAATTTGTTTCTGGGGACATAAATGGTGGCAGTGGGACAGGGGTGGGAGAGAGAATTCCTTTTTACTGGATAGCCACATGTATTTTTGAACTTCATCCTTTATGTATGAACTATTCTAAAAATGATTATAATCTCAAGTGTAAATATGTGAATAATGGCCAGGATCTTTGCCATTTAAGCCTCAAGTTTATCAAGCATCTCTCTCTAATTGTAGCAACTGTACTACTATTACACACTAGCCAGCTTTTCTTCTATTAATAATTTCCTGAAGGAGCGGAACATCTCAAGATATGAGTGTTAAGTATTCTTGTAAATATTTTTTGTTTTACTGTTTTTTTTTTTTCCCCAAAGAAGAGAGAATACCAAGGAATATACTTTCAGATGTTACAAGAATTAATTGCCGAGGCCAGTGGATCATGAGATCAGGAGATCAAGACCATCCTGGCTAACATGGTGAAACCCCGTCTCTATTAAAAATACAAAAAATTAGCCTGGCACTGTGGCGGGTCCTGTAGTCCCAGCTATTCAGGAGGCTGAGGCAGAATGGCGTGAACCCAGGAGGTGGAGCTTGCAGTGAGCCAAGATCGCGCCACTGCACTCCAGCCTAGGTGACAGAGCGAGACACCGTCTCAAAAAAAAAAAAAAAAAAAAAATTAATTAAAAATGTAAGGTTATAACTTTAATTATTACTGTATAGCACACAATTGCAGGAGAGTGTTTTAATCTTGGCACTATTGGGATTTTGGGCTGGAGAGTTATAAGGCTTATAAGCCTGTCCTGTGCTTATAAGATGTTTAGCAAAATTCCCAGACTGTACCCACTAGGTTCTAGTTGAAACTTGCCACCCCCAAGCTGTGACTACCCAAAGTGCCTCTAGATGCTAGAAAATGTGCCTGAAGTGCAAAACTCCCTGCCCTGTACCTCTCCCTCTCCCATCAGTTGAGAACTACTGAATTATAGTCAATCAGCATTTATGTGGTCCTCAGATGTGCAAAGCCCTAAGCTAGAGGATGTGAAGTCTTGCTTTTCTTTGTGTGTTTCTACATAGTTTTTTTTTTTTTTTTTTTTTTTTATGCCTCAGTAAACATTGTAAGGTGGCTTTTTGTCCAGAACTGGTTCCTTCCAGTGGGTTCTTGGTCTCGCTGACTTCAAGAATGAAGCTGCGGACCTTTGCAGTGAGTGTTACAGCTCTTAAAGATGGTGTGTCCGGAGTTTGTTCCTCAGATGTCTCCAGAGTTTCTTCCTTCTGGTGGGTTTGTGGTCTCGCTGACTTCAAGAATGAAGCCGTGGACCTTTGTGGTGAGTGTTAACACCTCTTAAAGGTGGTGCAGATCCAAAGAGTGAGCAGCAGCAAGATTTATTGTGAAAAGCAAAAGAACATAGCTTCCACAGGGTGGAAGGGGACCGGAGTGGACTGGGGCTGCTGGCTGCAGTGGCCAGCTTTTACTCCCTTATTTGGCCTCACCCACGTCCTGCTGATTGGTCCGTTTTACAGAGCGCTGATTGGTCCATTTTACATAGTGCTGATTGGTCCATTTTACAGAGTGCTGATTGGTGCGTTTACAACCCTTTAGCTAGACACAGAGTGCTGATTGGTGTGTTTTTACAGAGTGCTGATTGGTGCATTTACAATCCTTTAGTTAGACACAGAGCACTGATTGGCGGGTTTTAACAGAGTGCTGATTGGTGCATTTACAATCCTTTAGCTAGACAGAAAAGTTCTCCAAGTCCCCACTAGACCCAGGAAGTCCAGCTGGCTTCACCTCTCAGCTTCACTCTTAGTGGAGTTTTGCTTATCTTTTCATAGAAATAGCCACTTTCCTAGATGGTCCACAGATGAATAGGTATTTGATATCTTAAATGAAAAATAATAAAATTTTCTAAGGGTAAATTTACTACTATGTTGTTAAAAACAATTTAATTGACAGAGTATATCAGACTAGCGTGTCAGGCTTTGAGAAGAGCAAAGCCAGTTGTCATCTCCTTGGATAACTGAAAATATGGCTCTTATAACATGAAGACCAAAACATTTTTCTAAACATCAAAAAATTAATTTATTTTTACAGCTTCACACAGAGTACAACACACATATTCTTGTTTTACTTTGGAAACATGTACCTTCTAAGACTCTTAATAAGGTTGTTCCTTGTACTCTTAATTAAGTCTAAGAATGTACATATTTCATTTCCCCAAGTTTAGTTATTTGTAAGTGCACATTTTTTTTGGTTAAGTTTGGAAGAAATTTAATAATTATTTCTTTGTTTATAGTTTATTGCTATACTTCTGGAAAAGGATATAGCATAATAGATAATAGCATCTTTTATTTCCAAAGCATTATGTGGCTTTCTAAGTGATTTTATATATACTGACTCATTTGAAATGATTTTAGGAAGCACGTGGAACATAGTTGATCAGTAAGCATTAATTATCCAGGTTACCTTATTTAAATCATCAAGGAAAACACCAGAAGTTTCTCCACTTTAATGAACATGAACTATCAATTGTAATCTAATCTTTGTTTTTGTTATCGGTTATTTTCAATTTTGTGATAATGCAGGAGTTGTTAAGAAATTACTTTTAGGCAGCTAGAAAGGGTAAAAGTTCTGGGTGGAATTTTCCTTTTAAAAAAAAAAGCAGCCCCAAACCATCTTTTCTCCAACAGAGAACAGCCTGATAGATATGCAAACTAGGAGCTTTCATATGTAAATGAAGGCAGCTGTACCTGGAAGCCAGGAACATTCAATATGGCATCTCCCGCCCTCTTTTCCTTGTCACAGCAGCCTTCAGGTAAACCCACCTGTACAGGCAACTGCCAGGTGGAGGCCACATTTGCATAATAAAAGACTAGGGTGGGAGGGCCAGTCTTTTCCCGGGATATGTAAGTGGTACCTGGTCAAACCAATCCCCTGGACCCTATGATGTAAATCACTCACTACTTCCTCAAGCCTCTGTACAAAATAAATGCATTCAGCTGCAAACCGGAGACCCTCTTTTGGGTGACCCACTTTCTCAGCATGCGGAAACTTTTTCTCTTTTTCTTTTCTTTTCTTTTTTTTGAGACAGAGTGTTGCTCTGTCGCCCAGGCTGGAGTGCAGTGGTGCTGTCTCGGAGTTTGAGCTATTCTCCTGCCTCAGCCTCCCTAGTAGCTGGGACCACAGGCGTGTGCCACCACACCCGGCTAATTTTTGTTATTTTTAGTAGAGACGGTGTTGGCTAGGCTGGTCTCGAACTCCTGACCTCAGGTGATTCGCCTGCCTCAGCCTCCCAAAGTGTTGGGATTACAGGCATGAGCCACCACGCCTGGCCTCTCTTTTTCTATTAAGCCTTGTGCTCCTAAACCCACTCCTCGTGTGTGTCTGTGTCCTGAATTCTTTCTTGACGATGACAAAGAACCAGTGTATATACCCCAGACAACGGAGCCATTTCAGTGACATGGTCATTACAAATTTATCACGCATTTCAACACTTTTCTTTTAATTTCACTGAGAATGCTCACTGTCAACTGCCTACCTCTATTTCCTCCTCTTCACCCCACCCCCAAGAGAAAAACCTGAAGAGAGAAGGCACTGTCCTACATATTGAGTTTAAATTGATTAATGGCCAGTTAATAAGAGGAAACAGGAACCATTCGGTCATCTGCACTATAGGATTTGTAGTCTTCAAAACAAGTTAATTCTGATTTCATTTGTTTTGATAAAAGTCCAAGCACACAGATTCATACCATCTGTCTTAGTTTTGATAGTCTTTGTTATGTTTGCCTTTTAGCCTCTTAAAAAAGACAATTGAAATTACAATGTATAAACAATATGAAATAGATCCAACACTGAGTTTTCAAGGAGGCATATTGTCACCAATTGTTATGAGCCAAATGAAATAGGAATGTCTTGTTCCCTTTGGTTCATACAAGATAGAGTTTGCATAGCCTAAATTGTGTGCTTTTTCTTCACTGCCATAACCAGGCAATTAAATGCAGACACTCAAATATGCATAAGTGCAGTCGCAACGGGAAACAGCACAGTAAATAGAGATAGTCCTAGATGTTCTTAGATTTGGGATAATGGGTGTACTAGGGACATTATTTTCCACTGACTAGTCTTATTTTTCTAAGATATTTTTTGATATAAATGATGAATTAATTTTTAATAAAACTGCAGATAGGTAAGAATAATTAACTTGACAAACTAAAAATAAGGTGTTGGTTCAAACTTAGGCTTCAGAATCTTTTTTTTTTTTGAAATCTAATAACAAAATCCAACCTGGTACATATTAGCCATTTGTTATGGCATCTAGAGATTTGTGAAGCTTAAACTTGAACTCATAGTAATCTAGAGGAAATGTTTCGACCCCAAATGAAACTTCTCCCCAAAGCTATTATATACACACTTTTCAAAATAAATACCAACAAGTGCCAGTCTTTAGAGATGTATTTTATATGAAAATTGCTGTTTGAAGTAGAACACTGGTTTTCAATTTCAAATTAAAAACATAATGCACCACCAAAGGTGCTGATTTGTTTCATCTATCGTAAACCAGAAGTGTTATTAACCAAGAAGACTTCTTTGGTACCATGCTCCATTAAACTGCATTTTCAGATGTGTGGTTAATTCTCATAACTGTTAGATAAACAGTATCATATATCATTTAAAAAAACCCAAACCATCCTGAAATGCCTTCTGAAGTAATTGGCAGTGCAGTGTCTGTGTAAGCAAATAGACCTGCCTGTGTGTTCTTAGTAATACCCAGAGGCAGCCTCATCCATTAAAGTTAGTTTTATTGAAGGGAGATTTATTGGTTAAGACATCGGTCTGTTTCTAACTCTTTTGAAAAGGCATTACAGAATCTTTATCATCCACCTTGACCATCTAGAGAGCAGACTCTTGATTTTCCAAATACCATCTGCAAAAACTGGACTTGTTAAATTTCCATGAGATTAGATGCCTTTTTTCATCAGTTTCCAGCCTTTTTTCAGCTTCCTTAATCAAGGAGAGTCTCCTTGCACTGAATATGCTCATTACAAACAAATTAGCGTTAAAACAGTGGCTTCCCAACCCCAGGAATGTAAGTGCTAATGAACAGAAAAAGGGTCGCCAGTGAAAAATAACTCAGGCAAGCTACATCTCCGCACCACTGTTTGCAGCACTTGGGAAAAGGTTCTAATATTAATGCCTCTTGTCAGAAAACCCTTACAACCTCTATTAAATCATTTTCTCTATCGACAGTGCTGTAGTTATAAATAGGCTCACAATGAATTCTGAATTCTCTACATGTAAATCATGCCACGTACCATTATCTGATATCCTTGAATTAGGTATGCGTGGCCTTGGGGGCAGTAAAGGATAGGTCGATGCAGCCAGCTGTCTCCTTTAGTAATAACTGCTGTACGTTAAAGACTAACAGCCAGACAATAAATAACATTTTCAAATCTGCATCTAGACTTTGAGTAGGAGAGAAATGAATAATGATTTCCTTGTGTTAGATTAGACTTAAGCAAAAGGTCAAACCTTTCAGCAAAAGGAACAACAGCTGTACAATCCAGTTAATCATAGACAAAATTGTGTGTGTGTTTAAACCTGTAAGCAGGATAATTAATGGGTCTACTCACTTTCAGTGAACGCCATCGTGCCATTTTATTCTTACAAACCCAATGTTCTTTCATGTGTATTGCTCACTCCTACTCTCTCTCAAAGAAGGTGAGAGGTTATTAAATCCAGTTTAGAACAAGAAGCTAGAAGTAATTCATATTTGAGCATTATATTTAAATCAAGTGCATCTTTTTAATGAAGGCAAGGTCTTTGTGTATAGATTATATTGAGTTAGAATTATATGTTTTTATAAATATAGCAAAATATCTGGATCTATTTGCATATCTTCTATAAGAACATAAAATTTCTGATATTGACTGAGTTTAGTAGAAAAGTGATATGCAAGAAGAATCAATGCTCTCAAATTAAACAAATGACAACAAAAAACAATAGGGATAAATTGGTTCTGTGAAGAACCTGCTGAAATTTTAATTTTCTTCATCCATATAGCTCTAGAAAGATCACCTACATCAAAAGATTGAAGTCATATTAATGTTTCTTTTATGAGAGGAAAGACCCGATGAATTGTAGTTTCTTTGGAAATAATTTTTATTTTATTTTATGTGATTGTGTGTGTGTCCAAATTGTGCTTTAATTTAGCTGTGGTACAGGATCTCAGCTGCTAAAATGTATTCTGTTTAACTGCAGTAAACTGCAAGAAATAACTGCAGACTTTTAACTGTTTACTTCCCCAACTTCCCCTGTCTCTATGTTTCTGTGCAAACAATACAAGTAAATCTCCACCCACACCACCCCCCTTTTGGGATGGAGGTTTTCAGTAGTGATACCAATATTGTTGTTTTTGCTGGCAAGTAATTCACCAGTGGCTCATTTTCATCAGCTTTTATTTCACAGCAATTGTAAAATAAACCACTCGTAGCACATGTTGTTAATGTCTGGTCCCTGGAGTGTAACTGATGTTCCACGGTATGGGTCATGTGCTAGCTAAAGTGTGCATTAAAAAGGGAGAAATTAATAGTACTACCACTGATTCAAACTAAATGGTATTCAATGGGTATTGCCATTGCTTTAATAGTATCATAGCATTTTATTTTGCTGGTTTCTTTTAGAGTCTGATTTTAAAGCAAATTTAAGGGGATAAAACAACATACTAACATAATGAATACTCAGCACAGAACTGGTCAGATACTGATGTTTCATTTTCACATTATATTCTTTTCATTTCGTTTTTGACCTTCATTTTATATTTGGCAAGACAGTAAAACTAGCAACATAATCACTAGATTCTGTGCTCCTGCAGAACTTAATATAAATAATGTTACTATTGTGCTTGACTATTTGTATATCTCAATTATCTGTTTTTAGAATAAAGATAACCTTTTTATTTCTTAATTATATACCTAGGAAAAGAAATCACATAATTGGTTTCAAAGATGAAATTCATATAACATCTTGTATACTAATTTCAATTGAGCATTATTTTTATTGCATTCTATTTCACAATAATTAAGAAGTCCATCACAGTACAATTCTTCTTACAAATGTTCTTAATACTTTTTAAGACATAGGGACTTTCACGCTGACAACATTTCCTCAAAATTGATAGATGACACACTGTTCATCTTCCAGGTAAAGATGTTATCAACTGAAGAGGTTATTTGAGCACACACAAACATGTTTTAAATGATTGTCAGTACCAAGTTCTGGGCTAGGTGCTTTCATGTTCATTCAGAACTGATGTTATCCAACATTGCAACACCACTAATGAGTAATCTTAACTGTGTTTTTCTATTTTATACTCTTGCTTCCATTCAAAGATGTATAAAGTTCCTTGCATAAGACTTTTGCATGCAGCAAACTTTATTAAATGCAGTGGATTCTTATTATTCAAGGTAGTTACGTTCTATAAAGTCACTGTAAACACTGAATTAGCAAATACTGAATTATTGCTTCTAAGGGAAATATAGGGTTAGGTTCCTGCAAGCCGCTGGTCACATTTTTGCCAACTGATCAATACATAACCTTGTTTTGTGTCTGTTTCTGTTTAGAGGTATCTTGTTGAATATTTATTTTTAATTCGTTAACATTGAGCACACAGCCAACAGCATCTATAACTCACGCCTAAATGAAGCTGAGGTAACACACATATTTTCTCTGTAAGGCACATCATAGCTTTCTTGTGCTTAGGAACTCTAGACAGAACTTTAGCACTATGCCTTGGGGGCCATTTAAAACTGCAGAATCACCACAAAAAGCACAAAAAGGCAATAACATAGCAGTAAATAGAACACACACAAAAAAATACTTATTTACAGGATGAGAGCAGAAACCAGAAGGCAGACAGGAGCCTTGCGCAACCTCAGCTGGGAGTGTGCACTTCAGGCAACTCAATTTTTTCAGTTTTCTGTGCATGTCTACAAATGACTGTGAAAATACCTCTAGTATTGATTTTGGTGTTGCAAATATATTTTAGCAACTATGTGACTTCACAAATATAGAATCCATGAATATTGAAGATCAACTGTATTCAGAGATGTGGAAAATAGCCAGAATCAAAGCAGTGAAAACCGTGTATAATTAGATTTATGCTTTCCCATTTTAAAAGTCTGTTACCTACTACACTCCTTGATGAATCGTTTCTTTTCCTCTTTCCAACTTTCTTGATCCAACTTTCCTTCCTAGAGTTTGCCTCCCTCCTCCATGCCAATTCCATATTCTCTTTGCCCTTTTTTCATCTTTTATTGGGCAAACTGAAATTCTTAATATTTTTTTTCTAGTTTATCCTAGCTATTACCTCTATTGGATTCCTGCCCTCTAGTTTTGATGCTAATATGCAGAGCTATAGTTATTACTGCCATTCTTCATGGCTGAAATATTGCTGCTGTAGAATGCTAGAAGTTTTTTCCAGTGTCTTCCAATGTCTTTCAATCCTCTACCTTTGTGCTTTCTTGAAACACGAGGTTCTACCTGTCAGTCCAGGGAGCTAGAACATCTCCCCATACTGTCCTTGGTATTTTAGAACAAGCTACCCATACTGTCCTTGGTATTTTACAAATGCAGAGAAAAATTAAGCCTCAACTTTGAATTACAAAACAGACTTCTGATGCCAGTGGTAAGAACAAAATATATGAGAGAGAAGGTTTTTTGTTTGTTTTTCTTTTAAATATACAGAGACTAGTTTTGGGGAGGCTTCCGTATTTTGAAGGCAATAACAGCATTATTCATGTAAATTCTCAAACTGTTAACAACCCAAATGCTGTTTAGTAGAATGGATAAGTCTATCATGTTATATTTGTTTACTAGACTATGATACAGCAAGGAAAATGAACAAATTACATGCAAACATATGGATAAAACTCATAATCATCTTTTGAATGGAAGAAGGCAGACCTAGTAGCATACATACTGGTGTTTTTTAAATATAAATATTTTTAAAGGCATAACTAACTTATGATGTTGGAAATCAGGATAGTAAAAAATTAGCAAAGGAGGGTGGGGACCATGGGGGAGCAAAGAGCTTCTGGAATGCTGCTTGTTTTCCATTCTTTAAAATCTGGGTAGAAGTTAAATAGATGTGTTGACTGTGGGACAAACATTAAGCTGAGTACATTTATGATGTAAGCCCTTTTCTGAATATGTATTCAACAGAATAGTTCTAAATTTATCATGAATGGTGGAAAACCCATTTGTATAAAATGCACTGTATTATGCATGAATAAATTTAAAAATAGAGGTAGATCTATATTTGTTTGTAAGGCTATCCAAATTATATTGCTAAGTGGGGCTGGGTGCGGTGGCACATGCCTGTAATTCCAGCACTTTGGGAGGCTCAGTTGGGCAGATCACCTGAGGTCAGGAGTTCAAGACCAGCATGGTCAACATGGTGAAACCCCGTCTCTACTAAAAATACAAAAGTTAGCTGGGCGAGGTAGTGGGTGCCTGTAATCCCAGGTACGCAGAAGGCTGAGGCAGGAGAATCGCTTGAACTCGGGAGGTGGAAGTTTCAGTGAGTCGAGATCGCACCACTGCACTCCAGCCTGGGTGACAGAGCGAGACTTCATCTCAAAAAAAGGCCGGCGTGGTGGCTCATGCCTGTAATCCCAGCACTTTGGGAGGCCAAGGCGGGCGAATCATGAGGTCGGGAGTTTGAGACCAGCCTGGCCAATATGGTGAAACCCCGTCTCTACTAAAAATACAAAAAAATTAGCCGGGCGTGGTGACGGGCACCTGTTATTCCAGCTACTTGGGAGGCTGAGGCAGGAGAATCGCTTGAACCTGGGAGGTGGAGGTTGCAGTGAGCCGAGATCACCCCACTGCACTCCAGCCTGGGCAAGAGAGCAACACCCCATCTCAAAAAAAAAAAAAATATATATATGTGTATATATATATATGTGTGTGTATATATATATATATGTATATATATGTGTATATATATGTATATATATATGTGTATATATATGTATATATATGTGTATGTATATATATATGTGTATATATGTATATATGTGTATATATGTATATATATGTGTATATATGTGTATATATATGTATAGATATAGCCAAGTTGCAAGAGATGTATATATTTTTATTTTCTGATAGAACAAACAAATTACCTACATTTACCTACATATGGTTATATATTTATATATGAGCAAGGGGAAAGGGCGAATAATATACATCAGATGTTAATGTTGGTCACCCCAATGGGGATTAGAGGCTTGAAGCTTGTGCAAAGGGAAGATGACTAGCGTTGGAGGACTTTTCCTTAGTTCAGCTAAAGATAGGGTCCTTGTCAGATGGCGGTGAAAGGTTAGGCTCACAGATAAGTTGAAGGGTGAGAATAATGGAATTTATTTGGCAAAAATGAAAAAAAGGGGAAACAGGGACTCAGCAGAGCGAGAGTCCTTCCAGTATATGCTTCTTGCCTCACAGATTGAATTCTGGGTTCTACACAGGAAGAGGAGGGGTCAGGCTCTGCCCCACTACAAAGGGCACAAACTTCCCAAGGCTCCACCCCAGTGTGGGGCTTCTCTGGGGGAAACCTTCCCCCTGGGCTGTGTCACTAGAATTGGGTTTTATGTCTTTTATATTATTTTACGTATTTTTATATTATTCGACTTGCTACAATAAACCATTTCGTAATTTCCAAAACATCGAGAAATGAAAATGTCTTATAAAGAAAAAAGTGAGTTGATGTCTGAAAAAATGCATATAAGAATATGTAGATCCACCAGAGTGAAACATACCCACCTGCCAAAAATAAATGAAGATGTCAAGAGCTGTGGAAAGAAAGTAAGAGGAAGTAAAAGAAAGGAAGTAAAAGGAAGTAAATATGGAATATTTTTTAAAAAGTCCCCATATATGGCAGCACATGTAAATAAATGCCCCCCAGGGATCACCAACCACAGATGATGGAATTCAGCTGAACTTTGCCTACAAGTCTGGGTGCAGGCAGGACATCCCTCTACAGAGATATGGATGGGGTGCTGTCTGTGGAAACTCAAAAGCTACTGGATGAAACTGCTTACTCTCATCTTTAATACTTAGCCTGTGCCTGATTAGAGCTATTCTTAGACATTTTAAATGTTTAAAATCTTTTTCTAGTAATCATGCTTTTGAGCTATAGTAGGAGGCTGCCTTACAGTTTTCTTATCTATAATATCATTGTGTCATGAAGTCTGTGTATCTTTCTGGCCTTTCTTCCTAGATCTTTTAGAGACTGTGTCCTTGGCCTCATCACTAGGCAACACTGCTTCTTAATTTTTTTCATTTCCAGGCTGAAACATTTTATTTGTTGTTTATTAATTATTTCTTAGGTAGAGCTGTTTAAATGTTTCCTGAGTTCTTATGATCCTGTTTCTCTTTTGAGCTAGCATCATCAAAACACAGAGCCAAATGAAAGGCTCATTTTTGACTGACCTTGGTCATTGCATCCTCTACAATTAGCCCATTGAGAGTTTAGGAAATGGAAGACGTCCCAAATGCCTCTTGTGGCCTGGAAATTCATTACACTATATGCAAATATTAGAAGTGGACGAGCACGTGTTTTGTGTTGCCCATTAGCTCAGTCATGCTCTCCTTTGGATGTGCAAACTCACCAAAGGTGGGGTTTGGGTTCCATCAATTCTGAATATCCAGTACCCAGAGCAATATTTAAAACAGTGGGCACAAGAGATGTAGGGTTAATGCATTAAGTACCAGTGTGTCTTAAACACTGTGTAGCATTTGGGGGAAATAAAGATGAATAAAACAATAAGTAACCTAAAAATGTCCATAGTCTCATAAGGAAACAAGACAACAGTTATAATTACAGGAGAAAGTGCTTTAATAGAGATATACTAAATGGCTAGGGGAGCAAATACTAGTGAATGATTAATTTTGCCTAAGGGGGCCAGGGACACCTTTAAATTCTTGTAATCTTGAATGCCCAATATTTAACATAGAATCTTGGCCTTTTGTCTACATGCTAAACCCTCTGCAAAGCTCTCAATCCCTCTTTGAAAGAGGGTAGTATTTTATCATAAATCTTTAGAACCCCTTACTAATTGGCATAAACCTCCCTGTTAAATAAATCAGTCTGTGTGTGCCTTATATGCAGTATCTAGTTTGGCCTACAGACCTTGAATTAATCACTTGGTTCATGCTTCAACTTGATTCATTTCATTCTGCATATGTTTTTTAGAGAAAGACAAATGAAATTGGGCTCTGTGTGCACTTAAGAATGGCCCTACTTCCACATCTGACCTCTTTCAAGCTCACTGTTTCTGCCATTTGCTTTTATTTAAATTATTTGCAAGAACATCTCTTGAATATGTTGCCATCCCAACTATTTAGGTGAAAACAGAGGCCAGAAAACAGAGCTTGAACTTCACAAAATGTTCTATTAGTAGATTACGAAGCTTTGTTACCTCTTAAAATAATTGAGCTATCCTTTAACATGTGAAAAATAGTAATCACTAAGCATATATATGAAAGTGGTACCAGTTGGAGGGATGGTAAATGTTCATACTCCTTTTACTTTCTAAGATAGGAAGAGATATCTCTTCGATTCCTAACCATGTCAGGTCCTAAAATGTAAGGAAAAGAAACATATATGGCAAATTTAAGAATTAGATATTAAGGCAGATTGATGCTGCATCCCACAATGTTATAAAAAACCCAGATATGTCATAATTGAGTTGCATTTTTATTATGTGCACATATTTGGCTTTGAGCAGAATTATATGAGTTGAATTAATTTTTTATACAACCTTCCAGCAGCTCTGTGTGGAACCATATGGGAGACATTTGGTTCTCATCAACTCCCTTTTACCCTTACTTCCACCCCATTGCTTTAAAAGAACTTTCATTCTCTTTAACTATCTGCAGGTTTTATTGTGTTCAGAGAGAAGAACCACTAAAATATTATGACCTGTAAGTGATGGGCTGTAAGGGTCTCTCTCAAAAGCCAGCCCACAGCTGTGCATTGATCCCACCTGTTGGTGGCCTGGTGCAGACTGTGTGCTGGGCTGGTTGCAGTCTGTTATCTTTAATCTCATTGGGAGGATACTTACAGTATGGTTTGCTTCTCTCTTGTGGTCTATAAGGAATAAGTGGAAGGATTCAGTTTTCAGCCCTGTTATTATGGTGATTTTTGCTAAGCCTGAAATTCACTTTTCAAAGAGGGTGTATGTTTTATATGGAAAATGGTTGTTGGGAGATTTTCTGAGGTTTAACTTCAATGGATAACCCTTTAAAGTAATATCAGGATTTCCCTGTAAAGTTTTCAGACACATCAGCATGATTATTTGCTATCCACTCTGCAAGGGAGGTAAGTGGCAAATATCAATGACTTTCCATAATGAAGGAGCCCAAGACTGGGAAGGTGGGAAGACTCCAGCTCGCATTTAGATTTAGGTTTTCTTACTACTCAAAGTCTTTCTCCCTTCATTGTCTAGACCATCTGGTTTCCTTCATTTCTCTGGACAAAGGAAACACTAAATGAAGAAATACAAAAGTTATCTCGGTGTTTGCATGAGTGCTTGTAAATACGTGTATTGCGATAGAAACCTGAGCATCAGTTATAACCATAAGGTTAGTTATCAGTTGCCACAAGAATTCTGAATAACCTGGCACTGGAGGCATTTTACGTTATATAGATACTGTTGTGTCAAGTGAATGGAATTTTAATTCCAACGAACATTAGGTTGTTTAAAAGAATGGCATTATGAGTAAATGCAGAGTTAAAAGATAGCTGCCACTTAAAGTGCCTCATGTAATGTATGTGAATTCCATCAAATGACAGCTTCCCTCATAATGAAGTAAAAGTACTTTTGGAGGTTAACTGTCAGTATTTTTCTTTCATATCCTCGTTCAGCATAGTAAAAGGCAGAGACTTTCATATAACAGATTTATTCCCTTGATGGAATTTGAGGGCAGGCTAGCAAGTTCTTTTTAATTTTTTTGATAAGTCCATATCTTGCTCAGGTTTAACATTTATTCATGGTGGCACTTCATCCCTTGCCTTCCTATGTAAATGCCAGAGGTTAAAATTTCTTATGGAAATTCTACTTAACAAAAAGCTTTATTTTGCGTAATTACAATCTGGCTCAGCCTCAATTCATCCAACATTTTTTATAACTTTTTTTTTTTTTTTTTTTTTTTTTTTTTGAGAAGAAGTCTTCCTCTGTCACCCAGGCTGGAGTGCAATGGCACAATCTTGGCTGACTGCAACCTCCACTTCCCAGGTCCAAGTGATTCACTTGCCTCAGCCTCCCGAGTAGCTGGGATTACAGGTGTGTGCCACCATGCCCAGCTAATTTTTGTATTTTTAGTAGAGACGGGGTTTCACCATGTTGGCCAGGCTGGTCTTGAACTCCTGACCTCAGGTGATTTGCCTGCCTCAGCCTCCCAAAGTGCTGGGATTATAGGTGTGAACCACCATGCCTGGCCTTTTATAACATTTAAAGGTCTTAGAAATACTTCTAAAATGTTTTTCATTTTTTCTTTTAACAAATGGAAAAATGTTCATAAGTGATATGTTCACATATTCTCTTATGAGCACCGGGAAGCTCTCCTCTGATTAGCTAGGTTTAATTCATCATTTCACTTCACCCCTGACCTGACCTAAACCTCTTTCAAACTTACTGCTATTAGTCCATTGCTTTGCTCAGTACCCTAGTGCTGAAGCCTGCATTTATTTCACAATCTGCAGTGTAGCAATTTATTATTATGCTACATCTTGTCTCTGTACATTAGATAGCATGTCTAGTGACATAATTCAGTTAAATGAAAATTTGAACATGTATTTAGTTATAGTTTAAAGCAAAGATAACATAACTAATATGTCTTGAATTACAGCTCTAGACAATTGTGTGTTTTTGTGGGGTAATTGCTAACTGACTAGAGTAATCTTGGCACAGGAAATATGAGAATGTCAATTAAAACTGAAAATATCAAAGTGCCAGGCTATTTTTTTTTTTTTTTTTTTTGAGACAGTGTTTCACTCTGTCGCTCAGGCTTGAGTGTAGTGGCATGATCTTGCTTCATTGCAACCTCTGCCTCCCAGGCTCATGTGATCTTCCCACTTCAGCCTCCCAAGTAGCTAGGACCACAGGTGCATGCCACAATGCCCAGCTAGTTTTTTTTGTATTTTTGGTAGAGACGGAGTTTTACCATGTTGCCCAGTCTGGTCTCGAACTCCTGAGCTCAAGCAGTCCACCTGCCTTTGCCTCCCAAAGTGCTGGTATTACAGGTATTCTTTTTTCTTTATTTTCATATTTAGGTATCAGGATACATAATTTGATTAAGTATAAATAATGTAAAGTTGAACTGAAAAATTATCTTGAAAGTTGCTGCATCACTAAGATATGTCTTACACAGACAATTAAGTGTTGTTAGTGTAGCACCTTCTTTTAATAAAACACTTTCTTATTCCAACTTCTAAGAAAAAATACTGCTCTCACAAATTTTTTAAAAAATGATTATTGCTATCCCATCAGTCACACAACTGGTGCCTAAGAACATCAAATGGTAAATCTAAGCATATTAATTACATCATTAAAGTAGCATTTGGGCACGCTAAGATACATTACAATAACAATAACCTTTCTGTTTAATAGGATGCACTACCAGCGTGTAATGCAGAAGTTGCATACAATGAAGATATCTCATTCCATCACCTCGTGGCATAAATCAATATAGTCAGAGCAAAAAAGAATGACTATTTCCATAAAAATGACATTAAACTATTTGTATGCTTGTATGTGCGTGCGTGTGTGTCTATATGGAATGCCACAATTTGAAAGCCAGATAAACTGCTCCAGAGAAAGCAGAGTTGCTTGGTTACATCTGCTGAAAACAATCTGTGCTGTGTATGAGAGCTCATGTCAGCCCAGTAATTACCACAACTGAGATAAAGCCTGTGCTAAATGTCACCTGCCGCTGACAAGCACAGGAAGCCAAACACTGCTAAATGAGTCAGTTACTCTGGGAGTGCTTAGCTCTACTTGCAGGCTAAAAGCATTTGTCTTGTGTATAAAAGGAAAAAATATACGTGATAAAAGAAAAAAATCAGAAACACATTTATAATGTAAACCTGACTGAAATTCTCCACCACCCACTCAGAAGTACATTAGGTAGAAGGCTAACAAATGCAGTGAGGTTGAAGGAGAAATATTAAAGCATTAATGGACATTTCTGAGTCTGGAAGAGTCTTCTACCTTTTACCACAAATTGCTCATTAGTCAGTACAATGCAGTTTCCCACAGTCTAGAATGATCCCCCAAAGACAGCTGAGGTTCCTATTGACAACAACCAACCAATAACACGCTGGAACAGCTTGCTTGAGTCTGCATAGAATGCCCAAGGACACAATGTGCTTTTTTTTTGAGACGGAGTCTCGCTCTGACACCCAGGCTGGGGTGCAGTGGTGCCATCTCGGCTCACTGCAACCTCCGCCTTCTGGATGCAACCAACTCTCCTGCCTCAGCCTCCTGAATAGCTGGGATTACAGGCGCACACCCCCAAGCCCGGGTAATTTTTGTATTTTTAGTAGAAATGGGGTTTCACCACATTAGCCAGGCTGGTCTCAAACTCCTGACCTCATGATCCACCCACCTCGGCCTCCCAAAGTGCTGGGATTACAGGCGTGAGCCACCGTACCCGGCCACAATGTGCATTTTTTAAAAGTCTTAGATAGAAGGAGATTTACTGATGTTTTAATAAGTATTTCTGACAAAAGCAGGATTAATAATGTTGATGTGAGGAAAATGCCACCTTCTCCCTACTTATTTTCTTCTTTACCAATCCATTAAAAAATCATTCTCTCCAGTTAGAATTCTATTTTAGCTGCTTTGTAATGTGATTTGATTACTAAAAGACTCTTGTCACCCAATCACCTAACCCTTTTTTGATACTTAAGTAAAAATTTCTAGCCTCCAGCAGAGGATCTGAAGTGTACTAAGCACCAAAACTCAGAGTGTAATTGTTGAACTAGAATGGCTTTGCTAGCACCCAGGTAACAATGCCAATATCAAGGTAATGGTGTGGAGGTTGCTGCAGGTGCTCTCTGAGGAGGCCTTCATGAGCATCTCTCATTACCTTGGTGAATGGACCAAATTTCAGGGCCTGACCCTCAGCCTTTGGCTTCAGAAGCTGTTTCTGGAACACCACGAGTGGATTCAGCTTTGAGGATGCACTTTTATGAACTCACAATCAGTTGCAAAAATGAATATTACACAATAGTACATTATTGTACTCTGTATTGAGCCTGAGATTATCTGAAAATAGATGACATGAGCAGCCAAATCATTGTTAGAGTGGTTCCTGATGAGAATAGAACAAGAATCTGGGGAGTTAGGTGAACTGAATGTTTAATTGCATCCTTCTCACCATTGGGGTAGTCTGACCAATGGGTTGGGGATATTGGAAATTTGCTGGCTATAGCCACCAGCATCTGTTTTCACATTAAAGGTATGCTTGCCAATGGGAGCAGGGACTTGAAAGCTATTCATAATCTATTGCTTATCAAACTCTTATTATATACCAGGCATCTGTCCTAAAAGCTTTTCATGCTTTATCTTAGTTATTATTCATCACATAGATCTCTGGAAGAAAATACAGAAAATATCCCAATTTTACAAATAAGCTTACTCAAGGCCACACAATCCAAGCAGCATTTGTTTTTATTTTTCACCAACCACTTGTGATTGGCCCACACAAGGACCGCTAATTTTAGATTAGTTAAAAATCATTATTACAAGTCATAAATGGAACTAATTGCATTTTAAACATTAGCAGTTGGTTTTTAATTTTCCAATCCCTGATTTAGAAGGATAATATCTTCTAAACTTTTTATCAGAGTATGGCTATTGGGCCGTACTGATGGCGGACATAAGCTTTAGGTCACATTCCACATTTAGCTTAGTTTATTTTTAAATTTCGAAATCAGAAAACCTTAATTTATAGACCATTGAGATGATAGCAAGTGTGCGATGGTTATGGCAGATGGTTATGAATATTTGGATCAAACACGGACTCAGGAGTGATGAGATTGTGTTCTTTCTAAAACTACCTCTGGAGCTCTCTCAGATGGTCTCATAGGATCATAGGCAAGAGTTGGAAAGTTGACTATCTCTTTGTGGAGATCCACTGAGTGGACACCCACTCTCAGCTTTGGTTGCATTCAACTCCATGATGTATTTCATTACTCTCTGTGTCATTATTTGAATGTGGGTTTAAAATATGGCCCCAAATTCATCATGAATTTCTCTCTCCAGTGAGTGAAAAAAATAATCAAATGGGAGAAGTCAAACTCTTGGGGATAAAGCCATTTGATTGCATGTTTGGTCTTGATTAAAAAAAAAAATCCTGGCATCTTATCTTATTAAAACTTATGCCTTTCTTAGCCCTTAAATGTAGGTTAAGCCCATGCAAGATACTTACAGATTATTGCGATGTGCTACTTGTCTAAGCTGCTTGACGTAATGGAAATGGTCTTTACTGACATTATCAGTTACGTGATAAATGTTATCACATCCTTTATTTAAAACACTAATGTGAGAACCTTTCCCTCAGTTGTCAAGGAAAAGTTCACTCAACTTCATTGGGAAAAACAGTCTTATATATGTGGCCTATTTCTTTATATGTCTAAAATCATGTTTTTGATGACTATAGTGTGATTATAGTAATAGATTTTGCTATATCCTTCAACATTAAATCAAGAGGTAAATTGTTTATAAATTTTAAATAATTAAAAATATATAGGTAATAGATACATCATTTCAAAAATATTAACATTAAAGACAAATTAAAAATACCCCTTAACTACAATATACAATTCAATTATTCTCTCTAGCAGCAATCATTTTATCAGGTTTGTATAGCTTTCTCAACTTTTTACATGAATACCTAGAAATAGGTTTTGTGCTGTACGTTTTAACCATAAATGTTATAATACTATATGTGTATTTTGTAGTCTGCTTTTTCTATTGCAACAGTACATCTCCTGTTGTTTAATGCTACCAAATATATGTTCAATAATATACTTAGTAATTTTGCTATTTAAAAAGTCATTGAGATTGCTTTCAGGTTTTTGCTATTCCAAACATTTCAGTAATTAATATTCTTGTTTATATCCCCCTGTGCTTAAGAATCAGTGTTTCACTAGGGCTGATACCGTAAAGCAGATTTGCAGGAAGTGCACTTATTTTTAATTTTAATAGACACTATTGATCTGGCCTTCAAAATGTGGAACATATTTATTTATATTATTGTGAGAATGATGTGAGGGGCCCCATGCCCATATCTTTGACATTTTAATTTTTGCAAAGTAGTAAATGAAAACAATATCTTGGTGCTATTTTATTTTGTTTTTAAGAAGGTTAAGCATCTTTTATAATATGCTTTATTAATCATTTGAATTTTTTCATTTCTCTGAAATGCCTGCTCATATATTTTTTCCTATTTTTCTATTGGGATCATTGTTTCTTATGTATTTTTTATTCAACATTTTTGATGAAAAATATTTTCGCCAACTGGTACTTCTCTTAACTTGAATGGTGGTGTCTTACATCAAACTGAAGTTTTAATTTTTTTTTTTTTTTTTTGAGACACTGTCTTGCTGTGTTGCCCAGATTGGCATGTAGTGGGGCCATCTCAGCTCACTGCAATTTCCACCTCCCAGGTTCAAGCGATTCTTGTACCTCAGCCTGCCAAGTAGCTGGGATTACAGGTGGGAGACACCATGCCTGGCTAATTTTTGTATTTTTCATAGAGATGGGGTTTCACCATATTGACCAGGCTGATCTCAAACTCTTGACCTCGAATGATCTGCCTGTCTTGGCTTCCCAAAGTGCTGGGATTATAGGTCTGAGCCACCACACCCGGCCTGAAGTTTTAATTTTGTTATCAAATGTATCCGTCTTTCTGTTTCATTTTTTCTATATGCTCTTTATTTAAGAAGACATGTAAAAATATATTTTCTTCTCCCGTATAATTTTTAAAATGTATCATCTAGGTAGAATTTTTTTTTTGTAAGTGGTGTGAAATAGGGATCTAACATTTTTCCAAATTGTTAAATGATTGCCCCAATATCATGTATCTAATATTTATTCTTTTTCACTGACTTGAAGTGATACTCTTATTAAATCCTAAAATTCCAATACCTAAGTATTTCAGAATCTGTATTCTGTTCCATTTATTTGCTTGATAATGATTGGCTGGATATTTTTGGTTAATATCATACCACTTTAATTTCCATAGCTTTATAATTATTTTTAGTATTTGGTAATGGTGAGTACCTTGCCACTATTTTATTTTTCAGGATCATTCTGGCTATTCTTGCACATTTCCTTGTATGATTGTAGAATCAACTTACTAATGTTAATGGAAAGAACTGTGAATACTTTATTGTGATTTATTTGAATTTAAAGATAAAATTTAATGAGTTTAAGTATTTTTAATACCATTGTTTTTTTTTCCTCTTCCAAGAACATGGTATATCTCATTTATTCAGATTTTATTTTATGTCCTTCAGTAAAATTTTGTGGTTTTTCTTAAAAAAACTATATATTTTTGTTGTGTTTATTTCAAAACACTTTATTTTTTATTCTCTACATAATAAAAATTTTGTATATTTTATTTCTGCTTTTTGCTAATGTTAGTCCAAATTTGGCTCTTCATGGCATGTCAATTTTCAAATATATCTTTGCATTTAAAGGATAATCACTTTGAGTTTTAGAGGGAGACCTGGATATAAGCTTATTTAATTAGATGCTCCCATCTAAGACTTTGACTCTTAAGGGATTCAAATACTCAAGGAAAATTGAGGAGTCATTAAAGGAAGCACAAAGTTCCAGCAACTGTGATGGTGTGTTAAGTGGTGGCTCTGCCAGAGACATTGTTATGATTATTCTGTTATGTTGTTTTGTTTGTGTTCTACCATCTTGCCCTCCATAGGCACTGTCTGCCATCTAAGCCTGTATTTTCCAGATATCCCATTGATCCTATAGGCTACCCTTAGTCCTTATAACAAGTTCATTTTCTATTTAAATTTGCTGGAGTTTATTCTCCTTCATGCAATGAAGAACACTAGCTGAATAGATTTTGGCACAAAGGAAGGGGCTTTAGGTGAAAGTCCTTCAGGAAAATGAGGATATGGAGAATCTGGAATTGTTCATCTGCTCCTGATGTGGTAAAGGTCATGAAAATCCCGTTAACATTCAGTGATGATACTCTGAAAGTTTACTGCTAGTGGTGGCCAAAAAAATTTAATTATTATCAATAATCATCTTGAGTGAAGTGCTTATTGAAGACAACGGTTAAAGGGACTATGTTGCTGTTGGCGTATCACACTGTAAAAGGCAAGTACAATTCAAGGAATGCAGAATAGCTCTGAATAATGCTGCACAACTTAAAAGAGGAAATAATTAAACTCCAATCCGTAAATACTGTCACCAAGGGGTACACAGAAAACAGATTTCCAGAACTCTGCGCACAGGAATTTTACATCGTATTTATGCAGCTAAGGTTTCTAAACCAAATCAAACTAAAAATGTGATACAGAATGTTGCTGAAGTACATTGTTCTTTGACTCCACAGCCTCATCATGTCTCTTCCGTGAATGTCAAGGTATTGATTAGGTGAGAATAGTCCTCAACAATTTAGATGGGCATCAATTAGAGTAATTGAAGGACTCTTATCCCCCGCTGAGCCTTTATTGATCACTTAAGCACACCTCTCCCCTTGTTTGCTGAGGGGTATTCTCTCTTGCTTGAAGGTATTATACCTCCCTAGTCTATGGGAGTTACCTTGCAAAATGAGTCCAATTCCCCTTATTTCTATTTCCTTCCAAACAACCAGACACATAGGTAGAGTCAGATCTCAACAGGACCCACAGGGCCAATTGTAAAATCAAATCTGGGGAGATGTTAAAGACTACCAAAGCAAAAGAATTGCACAATTTTGGTAATGTACATAAACAAAAATCTAAGGAATATGTAAGAATGAATTCTGAAATCCAAGAAGAGAGAAACAGCATTTTAGATCAGATTGAATTTAGCAGTGGATGGACACATAGCAGAATTCTGATTCAAAAGCTAGTTCAAGGGGCCATTTGCTTTGCTGGTTGACACAACACTGGTTTTAATGGTGTCCCACATGGAAGGAAGTTATGAGAAATCAATTTTTGTAAAATATTAAAATTCTCAGGTAATTTTATTCAGCCATGGTTAAAATTCCAGTTAAAAGCTTTGACCACACACTTCAAGAGTACTTAATAAAAAAATAGTAAAGTTACTGGCACAAGTGCTTTTGAGAATGTAAAGCCATTTCTCCAGGTAAGGGGGGGCATTGAGAGATTATTTACAAACCAATCATTATAAAAGCTAAGTTTAATCTGCACTTATTAACTAGTCATCATGAGGCAAAATTTCTATACTTGTTTGCTATGAAAAACAAAATTACTTTTCTATAATATTTGTATACTTGTTTTAATAGTTATTTTCTAAGGACCTGACTTAATAATTTATAAATAATTTCTATTTGTCATAGAAAACCACATTGGCTTAAAATGTCTGTTGTAAAGTATTATGTTTCTTCACTTCTCTCTCAGGGTACATTAAATTTGCTCACCAACTTTGTAAAAATTAACCCACTAAAAATGACCTCCCTGACTTGTTATAATTAACCATACTATCCATACTAACAGTGCATTCTTCTATTTTTGAAAATAAAATTGATACATGACTTTAATAGTTTAGTTTTATAACATCATCTAGAATTTTGTTCTTCTACTTTGGTATATTGCAGAAGAAACAATTGCTGGTGTGAATTTACCACCTGCCCAATACTGACTGACCTTGCAACGTTTTCTCCATCAAAGCCTTGATAAGTAACTGTATATAGGTGAGGAGATCACTGGCATCTTTGCAAAGCATGGTGGTGGCTGCTTTCTCTACTATGGGAATGCTGGTAGGAAGTACTGTGATTTAAATGGCCTCCATAATTTTGATGGAAAGAGAATACCTAGGGGATGGCAAAGGCCAAGAAGCAGTTTAGCTAACAGTTAGTTTAATAGTGCCAACTATTAAAAGCTAAGATGGCCCGTTACCATAATGACAGCAAAATCAATCTGGTAAACTGAATAATCCAAACCACATGACTCTTTAGTAGTACTTAATTGATCATGGGAACCCTAGAAGAAAGCAAACAATAAAATGGCCACTGTGGTCTACTGTTCAGACTGCCAGATTATATGAGACATGTTTTTGACAGGAGTTTACCTCCAGTAGATCCAGTTAGACACCAAACTCATGATATTTCTTGTAGTATTTATCTAGTGTCTGAATATAGACTTGGAATCACTTCTGCAGTGGATGCTTTAGGTGCCTTATATCACATTCTCTAGGCCTACCTCCTATTTCTTAAAACACTATTTTTTCTTCCATCTGTCTTCTCCCTTCCTAAGAGAATGGATGTGACCTAATGTTACTTGACAATGGATATGTCTTGTGGATAAATTAAAAAGTTGATGTTTTGCAGGAGCATTTACAGTTGAAAAAGAAGGTAGTGTTCAAATGCAGGGGTCAGATAGACTGTGATGGAGGGGTCTGTGGAAGCTCACTTTTGATTGATTCTCCTCTCTTGGTGTAATAGGAAGCAAGTTCATCAGCTGAAAGAGGACAAGGGAGGAGATTTTCAAAATTGAGTATAGGGGAGAGTGAATGCAATCATCTAGGTGAATGGAAGAATGAATGGTCTGCGTATGTATAATAAAATTGTCACACAGCATTATGGGCCCATTTGATATGATCACAAGTTTAACGTGAGTACATTCAGCATGGTTATAGTGATGTGTGTGTGTGTGTATGTGTATGTTTTCTGTTTCTACTCTAATTCAATGACTTGGGTACAAGGGTGAAGTAGACAGAAATAAACTTAGTTACTAAGGTTTTGGTTTAGCCTAGTGATATGGTTAGGCTTTGTGTCCCCACCCAAATCTTCTCATCTTGAATTCTAATCCCCATAATCCCTGCATATCAAGAGAGAGACCAGGTGGAGGTAATTGAATCATGGGGGTGGTTTCCCGCATGCTGTTCTTGTGATAGTGAGTGAGTTCTCACGAGATCTGATGGTTTTATAAAGGGCTCTTCCCACTTTGCTTGCCACTTCTCCTTCCTGCCACCTTGTGAAGAAGATGTCTTGCTTCCCCTTCTCCTTCCACTATGATTGTAAGTTTCCTGAGCCCTTCCCAGCCTTGCTGAACTGCGAGTCAATTAAACTTCTCCTTTGTACATTGCCCAGTTTAGGGTATTTCCTTATAGCAATGTGAGAACAGACTAATACACCAAGAGAATAAGATGAAGGGCAAGAGGAACTAGGCAAAAGGGGGGTTTTAATGACTGATCGGGAAATTTAAGTGACGTATGGAGAAATGGAGACATGAAGGAATGAAGGAAAAGGAAAAGGTGGTAGAAGCGATGAATTATAGGTAACAAGGGAGAAAGGATTGCTATGGCTAGGGTAACAATAGGTGTGACTTGAAAAGATAGGAATGGTCAGAGAGTGGGAAGATTGAAATTAAGATTTTGAGGGCAGGGAGTTTAGTGTTTGGTAACAGGGTAAAAATCTAGGGGGTGGTTCCCAGTGTACCTTGGCAATGAATAACCAAGGTAGGCTCAGGGCAGTATCATTGGATGAGAAGAAATGAGGGATTAGAGTGTGAGAGATGGGAAGGATCATTTATTTGTCTGTTTCAAAGATGAGTCATTATGACCAAGGTGAATACATAACTTAACTGGAACTGGAATACTTTTGAGAGTGAAATGTAGACCTAGTCAAAATTACCACAGGACAACAAGTGAAATTGGGACCATTGTTATGTAAGAAGTAGTAATGCAGAGAGTGCTAGTGAGCGGAAGATAAAGTCTTCAGGTACTAAGAGAAGTGTTTTGAGGTTATCAGATGAATGAAAGACAGTGGCTAATCTGAATAGAATGGGTTATAATCTGGTGTTTTTTAGGGAGGAGAGGAAGAGAATGGTTCAAGATAAAAAACAGCAGCAAAAAGGATACCTACCTACTTCCAAGCTCAGTGACATAAATTTTGAAGAAGAGAAAACAGCCACAATTTCAAAGGGTGAAGGGTAGGCAGTGTTTGTAGAGCAGAGTGAGGTTTTGTGAAAAGTTGTAGTGAACACTCAGGGAAGAAGTATAAAGTACAGTGGTAATTACTTGTATCAGGCAATTCTTTTCAGAAGGTTCAGTGGAAGGTTCCTGGTGGTGTGGAGAGATGGAACAACGAAAGAGAAGCTCTACTGGGGTTTGGGTACTGGAGAAGGAGGAATGGCCTGGGCATTTGTTTGTTTCTTTGGTGACTGATGGGAATAGCAATAAAGCATTTGATGAATGTAATGGTGAAGAAGGTTTGCTGTTGAGGTGTGAAAGAAGTTTGGTAGGAACCTGCTGAAATCTGAAGCTCCTACTTGCCTTTTGATCATGAAAGTGTGGGATCTGGGAAGATTTACTGTCCATACACTCTGTCTCCTCTTGCCCTGCTAAGGGTAGCCTGCATCCTCTAACCATTAACATCTTTTCTAGATTAGGTGCTTCAAAGTCTCACTAGAAATATATATCAAACATAAGGAGAAAGAAGCAGAAAGAGGAATGATCTAACATTTAGACCTTCTGGAAAACAAATGAGAATAATCTTTCTTGGGTCAAGGATTTGCCTTAAAGTTTTAACCTGCTATGGTTTAAGATGTTTTATTTCAGTTCAGATATAATTTTTAAAAGGTTTAAAAGTATTCATTTAATTGCCTGTGTGAATGTTTGGGGAGGAATTAGAGAAAATATTGGAAAATTGAATGAAAATGTGGTTTGTCAATAGTTCATCTTCAAGACTCAAATGAAGAGATGAAAAGAAAGTCAAAATGGGCAAAAAATTATAGGCAAGAGACACATCTCACCAAGTAAGTTTTGTATAACTTGTTGTAGTAATCAGCTTTCATGAATGGAAGATGGTGCCTAACTGGCTTCCTTTGTCTCTTCTGTTGTGAACTATGTCAAAGTACTGGGGTGGGTAAAACTTCCAGTTGCATTGTGGGAAATGCTTTGCTGCCTTGAACAATGGTGTGGCTGATGTTATTGTTTGACTCAGAAGGAGACCTTGTTCTTTTGAGGAAAAAAAAAGAACTTAGTGCTGATAATGTACTAGAAATCTTGAAGAAAAACCTTTTTCGATAGGTAAATAAGCAAAAATCATTTGCTCTTTGTCACTCTCTGTTTGCCCCCATCTTTCCTATCACCCCATGAAGTTCCAGACGTAACTACTAAGGTACCTTGAGCTATAATAAGTGTAATTGAAAAAAACCTCCATATCTGTGAAAAGCAGGCTCAAATAGAACATAGATGTGTTTGTCTAAATTTAAAATCCACTTCAGGTTTTAAAAAGCCTCAAGTTTAGTTATTTTTTGCTCTATGACAGTGTCTTTACGTGTTGCGGGAGTCAAATGAAGGAATTGTTCTCTTTGGCCCTTTTATTTTGAAAAGTAAAACAGGTAAAAAAAGTGAGGTTTGAGGAATAAGGTGTAAGACTTTTTTTTCTTGGAGCTTATTTAACTACTTAGTAGGTGGCATAATGAACACACATTACAGGTCATTTTGAAACACCACTTCTCCCTCCTTTGCCTGGCTAACCCTTAATTATCCTCCAAACCTCAGGTAGTTGTCATTTCTTCCAGCAGTCCTTTCCAAAGCCCCAGGAATAGATGTTTTTCCTGTCATAGTCCTTAATGTTTTCCTCTTTCAGAGCACTTGTCATAATGTTATATTGAAATTAGGTCCTAATTCATTTTTATATACTCAATGCCATCCATTTTATGTGGTCTATAAGAAATTCTCAATAAGTGTTGGTTTAATTAAAATGCAGGGAAAGATCTTTTTACTATTTCTCTTCTTGTCTGTCTGGACATATGTCCTCTTGATCTCACAGAAGCAATTATATTTTGCAAAGACATTTTTGAATCTGAAAATCCTTAGAAGTCTTCCAGAAGCATTCTGCTTACAATTAGAAGGTAACTTAAGTGTTAAAACAGTAAAAGCCCACAAAATGGATGTGCCAACATCCAAATTTACCCCAGGTGAAACAATGAGGCAGAAAGTTTTCAAAGCCCTCTTTCTTTGCAACATTAGAACACTTTCCAATGTTGCTTTCTTCTTTTTACTATGGGCCTATTATATCCATGTTGCTCCCCCAGAGTGACTTTCTATTTCTCCTCCATCAACTTGACTTTATTAACAGAATAGTTGGAAAGAATGAAATTAAAAAAAAATCTGTCCAAAATGCCACTGATAATAGGTGTAAGATGTGGCCCACATGTTGTTTACACTAATGCTTTCAACAAAACCCCAACCTTAGATGAAGCAAACAAGTCTCTTTTTCTGTGTTTATACTTGAACAAGAAGATGCAGCTTAGGATTCACTGCAATAAAGTAGTTTTCCACTCTAAATTTATCATCTGCAGCCCCAAATGGTTCTTCGAATTGCCTGGTGGCTTTCTAGAGCACAGAGACAAGGATTAATATGCTGCTCTTAATGGAGACAAGCAAGTCCAAACGGTGAGGATGTGGAAAATGAGAGGCGAGGCAGGAACAAACATGAAATGATGTAACGTAATGACTTATTCTGCTGCCTACCTGCTTCATGATGGGCTGTCAAGTGACAAGTAGGTCACTCAGCAAGCATGTTCATCGTTGGACACTAAAGACCTACATCTGAGTGTAGTTTGTGGAAAGCAGAACAGAAGAAGAAATTAACATCAAGTTCCTTCTTGTTTCTTATTTCCCGTGGATTTTTGGGGTGCATTTTTTGCCCTTTTGTGGATGTTTAGAAAGCTCTAGGGTGTGGCATTTCACTTAAGGCCAGAAGAGGAAAAGTGGCTTAGCATGGATAGGCTCAGTGTGTGGGATGGAAGCCATGGAGGAACAGCACTACAAGTCAGACTGCACCCTGGGAAGCTTGCCAAAGGCAACACTGGTGGCTATGGAACGGTCTGAGAGGGAGCCATCCCTTTCTAAAAGTAGTGATTAAGGGTAATATGGTGTTGTACTAAGCTGAACTACATTTCCCAGAATTATTCTTTCTGTAGGTTTCCTTTTAGGTGGGCCATGAAGGAAGTGAAGCATTTTTTTAAGTGAGTATTTTATATGTTTTTGTTTATTTATTTTTTATTTTTTAGCTGTTCCCAGCTAAAAATGGTGATTTGTGAGATTTTGGTGCATCCATCACCCGAGCAGTATACACTGCACCTTATTTGTAGTCTTTCATCCCTCTCCCCCATCCTATTCTTTTTCCCCCAAGTCCTCTAAGTCCATTGTATCATTCTTATGCCTTTGTGTCCTCATAGCTTAGCTCCCACATATCAGTGAGAACATAAGAAGTTTGGTTTTCCATTCCTGAGTTACTTCACTTAGAATAATAGTCTCCAATCTCATCCAAGTCACTGCAAATGCTATTAATTCATTTCTTTTTATGGCTTTGTAGTATTCCATCATATATATGTTATTGTTAGTATATAGGAATGTTAGTGACTTTTGCACATTGATTTTGTATCCTGAGACCTTGCTGAACTTGTTTATAGCTGAAGGAGCTTTTAGTCTGAGACTATGGGGTTTCTAGATATAGGATCATGTTTTCTGCAAACAGGAATAGTTTACCTCTCGCTTCCTATTTCGATGCCCTTTATTTCTTTTTTTTGCCTTATTGCCCTGGCCAGGACTTCCTATACTATATTGAATAGGAATAGTGAGAGAGGTTATCTTTGTCTTGTGCTGGTTTTCAAAGGAATGCTTCCAGATTTTGCCTGTTCTGTATGATGTTTGCTGTGGGTTTGTCGTAGAGGGCTCTTACTATTTTGAGATATGTTTTTTCAATATCTAGTTTACTGAGAGTTTTGAAAACTTTCAATTTTATTGAAAACATTTTATGCATCTATTAATATAATTATGTGATTTTTGTCTTTAGTTCTGTTTATGTGATGAATCACATTTATTGATTTGTGTGTGTTGAAACAACCTCACATCCCAGGGATAAAGCCTACTTAATCATGGTGGATAAGCTTTTCGATGTGCTTCTGGACTCAGTTTGCAAGTATTTTGTTGAGGATTTTTGCATCTATGTTCATCAAGGATATTGGACTGAAGTTTTCTTTTTTTGTTGTATCTCTGCCAAGTTTTCATATCAGGATAGTGCTGGCCTCATTTAATCGGTTATGGAGGAGTCCTTCCTTCTCAACTTTTTGGAATAGTTTCAACAGGAATGTTGCCAGTTTTTCTTAGTACGTCTGGTAGAATTCAGCTGTGAATCCATCTGGTTCTGGGCTCTTTTTGGTTGGTAGACTATTTATTACTGCCTCAATTTCAGAGCTCATTATTGGTCTGTTGAGGGAATTAATTTCTTCCTGGTTCAGTCTTGGGAGGCTAGGTATCCAGGAATTTATCCATTTCTCCTAACTTTTCTAATGTATGTGCATAGAGGTATTCATAATATTATTTGACGGTTGTTTGTGTTTCTGTGGGGTCAATGGTAATATCCCCATTGTTGTTTCTGATTGTGTTTATTTGAATCTTCTCTCTTTTCTTTGTTATTAGTCTAGCTAGTAGTCTATTTTATTAATTTTTTTTTTCAAAAAACTAGCTCCTGGACTTGTTGGTCTTTTGAATTTTCTTGTGTGTCTCAATGTCCTTCAGTTCAGCTCTAATTTTGGTTATTTCTTGTCTTCTGCTAGCTTTGGGATTGGTTTGCTCTTGGTTCTCTAATTCTTTTAGTTGTGATGTTAGGTTGTTAACTTGAGTTCTTTCTAACTTTTTGATGTTGGCATTCAGTGCTATAAATTTCTCTCTTAACACTGCCTTAGCTGTGTCCCAGAGATTCTGGTATGTTGTATCTTTTCTCACTAGTTTCAAAGAACTTCTTCATTCCTGCCTTAATTTCATTATGTACCAAAAAGTCATTCAGAAGCAGGTTATTCAATTTCCATATAACTATCATTTTGAGTTAATTTCTTAGTCTTGATTTCTAATTTGATTGTTCTGTGGTCAGAGAGATTGCTATAATTTCAGTTATTTTGCCTTTAGTGAGGAGTGTTTTATTTTCAATTATGTGATTGATTTTAGAATATGTGTCTTTTCGCAGTGAGAATAATGTATATTCTGTTGCTTTTGGGGTGGAGAATTCTGTAGAATCTATTGGGCCCATTTCATCCAGTGCTGAGTTCAGGTCCTGAATATGTTTGTTAATTTTCTGTCTCAATAATCTGTCTAATAATGTCAGTGGGATGTTAAATTTCCCCACTATTATTGTGTGAAAGTCTAAGTGTCTTTGAAGGTCTCTAAGAACTTGCTTTATGAATCTGGGTGTTCCTGTATTGGGTATGTATATACTTAGGCCAGTTAGATCTTCTTGTTGAATTGAACCCTTTACTATGATTTAATGCCCTTCTTTGTCTTTTTATGATCTTTGTTGGTTTAAAGTCTGTTTTTTCTGACACTAGGAATGCAACCCCTGCATTTTTTATTTTCCATTTGCTACCAAGATTTTTCTCCATCCCTGTATTTTGAGCCAATGTAGGTCATTGCATGTGAGATGGGTCTCTTGAAGGCAGCATACCAATGGGTCTTGGTTCTTTATCTAGCTTTCCACTCTATGCCTTTTAATTGGGGCATTTAGCTCATTTACATTCAAGGTTAATACTGATATGTGTGTATTTGATCCTGTCATCATGATGTTAGCTGATTATTTTGCAGACTTGTTTATGTGGTTGTTTTATAGTGTCACTGGTCTGTGTACTTCAGTGTGTTTTTGTAGTGGCGGGTAATGGCCTTTCCTTTCCATATTTGGTGCTATCTGCAGGGGCTCTTGTAAGGTAGATCTAGTGGTAATGAATTCTCTCAGCATTTGCTTGTCTGAAAATAATCTTATTTCTCCTTCGCAAGCTTAGCTTGGCCAGATATGAAATTCTGGGTTGGAATTTCTTTTCTTTAAGAATGTTGAATCTTGGCCCCCAGTCTCTTCTGGCAGGTAGGGTTTCTGCTGAGAGGTCCATTCTTAGCCTGATGGGATTCCCTTTGTAGGTGACCTGACCTTTCTCTCTACCTGCCTTGAACACTTTTTCTTTCATTTTGACCTTGGAGAATCTGATGATTATGTGTCTTGGGGATAATCTCATGAAGCAGCTTACTGGGGTTCTCTCCATTTCCTGAATTTGAATGTTGGTCTCTCTAGCTAGGTTGGTGAAGTTCTCAGGGATGATAATACTGAAATATGTTTTCCAAGTTGGTTCCATTCTCTCCATCTCCTTCAGGGACACCAGTGAGTTATAGATTTGGTCTCTTTACATAATCCCATATTTCTCAGAGGTTTTGTTAGTTCTTTTCTTCCTTTTTTTCTATTCTTGTCCTACTATCTTATTTCGATCTTCAAGCTGGTGTTCAAGCTCTGAGATTCTTTTCTCCACTTGGACTATTCTGCTATTAATACTTGTGATTGCATTATGAAATTCTTCTAGTGTGTTTTTCAGCTCTATCAGGTCAGTTACATTCCTTTCTGTACTGACTATTTTGTCTGTCAGCTCCTGCATTGTTCTATCATTATTTTTAGCTTCCTTGAACTGGGTTTCAACATATTCCAGTAGCGCAATGATTTTATCATGACTTTTAGCTTCCTTGGATTGGGTTTCAACATATTCCTGTAGCTCAGTGATTTTTGTTTCTATCCATATTCTGAATTCTATTTCTGTCATTTTAGCCATCTCAGCCCAGTTCAGAGCCTTTGCTGGAGAGGTGATGTGGTCATTTGGAGGAAAGAAGGTGCTCTGGCTTTTTGAATTGTGATGATTCTTGTGTTGATTCTTTCTCATGTTTGTGGGTTCAATTTTTGAGGTTTCTGACCTTTGGATGTTTTTTCTTTTATCCTATTTGATGGATTTGAGGGTTCAATTGTGGTATAAGGTAGATTCAACCAACTGGCTTCATTTTTTGAAGATTTTAGGGGGCCAGCGCTCAGCTCCCAACTTCTGAACTGTGTGCTCTAACTCAGAGGGACTTGTACTGGGCCCCAACTTCATTATCTCCCTCCTTGAGGTTAGCAATCCACTGTACTGGAGGGGCTGAGGTCCCCCCTGACCACTGTTCACTATCCTTCAATGGGTAGTATCAACCAAAGCATTTCATAGTGTAGTGATAGCAGGATCTGTCCTTGTAGTGGCAGCTGTGGCAGAGTGCTACCAGGTGCTGGGGTGCCTGCCTCCCTGTGGGTGTTCACTACAGTGGCATAGGCAGTGAGCTCCTGATGGCAGGAGCCCCTCCTAGAGACTATGCGTGGTCATGTTGGAGGTGGTGTTGGCTCAGAGGTAGGGTGCTGGTGGGTACGGGTCTGAGTGCCTTCTTTGTGTCCCACAAGCAGGAGTGGTTGCTCAGGGTGGGGGATGATATGCTGTTCTTTGTGCAGTGTTAGTGCAAGGGTGAGGTGCTGGTGGAGGTGGAGCTGGCTGGCTCGTTGTCTGCCAAGGCTCCATGTGCAATGGTGGTAAACCGGGGCAGGGAGGGGCAGAGTACCTTCCTGTGCACTAATGGGGCAAGGAAAGTAAAACCCACCTGTGCAGACATGTATTAGCAAAGTAATGTTGGGGGTTGCCATGGCCCTGAAGGAAGCTGCAGTATGAAGAGCGAGGGTGTGGTCTGGTATGTGGCCATAGGGGCTGCCCCACTGGTGCTCTCCACTGATCAGGCAGTCTGCCAGTGCAGAAGCTACAGTGCAGGCCCCCAGGGCACCTAAGACTACCCTACAAGCATGCATGGCCAGACTGGGGCCACAGGAGAGGCCAGCAGTCCAAGGGGTGCTCAGGTCAGACCAGTCCCGTCTGACAGGCAAGACCACCCTACAGAGTTCAGATCCAACAGTTCCGCTAGGATCAAAGTCTCCTATGGGAGCAAATTGAGCCTAGGGCAATAGCTGTCCCTGGCCATGCTCTACTACTGGGTCTCCCACATCAAACCCTCTGGGCTCCACACCAGCTGGCTTGCTGCCCCTATCACTTTTCTAACAGCTCTCCATGCCACCTCTAGTGTCTGTGGTAGTTGAGAGGTCTCTTCCTGCCAGGGTTCCAGAGGCCTGTGTTGAGGGTGGTTTGCTTCTTGCCAGTTCAACTCACCCATTCCCCTGGAGCCATCTGGGGCCTGGAATGAGTCCTGATGTGCAAAGCCCTGTGCAGGGTTCTCAGCTTTCTCCCCCTTCAGCCCAATTTCCATGTCCTCCCTCCATCCACTCTTGGTCCCTTCCCTCTGAAAATCGGATAGGAGCACACCAGTCATCTCAGTTCCTTGGTGGGAGCTGTTCCACCTGGCTACATTTAGCCAGCCATCTTATCTCCACTACCCCCCGCCCTGCCCACATTTTGTTTTTGACACTCAGAAGGTTGGGGCAGGAACTTTTATAACTCACATGTATTCTTGTTTATCTGCTAGTTCAACTTGTTGCATGCAAGAATTTTACTTTCCCTTGGACTTTCCTTCTTGTTCACTCCTGGGTCAAGTGTGTGTTTAGTTCCATGATAAAAAGTGTCAGCTTCTCCTTGAGAACACCCACTTCAACAAATTGGGTTTTAATTTGTCCTAATGAGTTTCAGTTTTCCTGCCCTCCACATTTTGCATACAGCTTCTTTTCCTATTGACTGCTCTCAAATTCCAACATCAGATATGAAGGCAAAAGCTTTACAGAGACTGTTTAACCGGGGTCCACAGTCACATATTTCTATTGATGAGACCTTGATTGATGCAGAGGCTTTTGTACACTATGGCCTGCCATTTGTGCTTCGAAGAGCTTCTCAATTTTCCCTATTATACCTATATCCTTTCTATTTCTTGTTGTTGTTGTTGTTGTTGTTGAGAGGGAGTCTCACTCTGTTGCTCAGGCTGGAGTGCAGCGGCATGATCTTGGCTCGCTTCAAGCTCCACCTCCTGGGTTCAGGCCATTCTCCTGCTTCAGCCTCCTGAGTAGCTGGGACTACAGGTGCCTGCCACCGTGCCCACCTAATTTTTTGTATTTTTAGTAGAGTCGGGGTTTCACCGTGTTAGCCAGGAAGGTCTTGATCTCTTGACTTCGTGATCCGCCTGCCTCAGCCTCCCAAAGTGCTAGGATTACAGGCGTGACCCACTGGGCCAGGCCTATCCTTTCTATTTTTTATGTGTAAAAATGGACATGCCCTTGCTCTAAATTCAAACTACATCTTGAGTAGAATACAAAGGTCTCCTTTAAGGTAGTAGATGAAAGGGAGAATGAAGGGGGTTTATCTGCTTATCTCCATACCGTCTTTTATTTCCTATTGGCCAAAAAAAAAAAAAAAATCTTCACTCCACAGGTGAGAACTATTCCAAACTTTTTGGCTCTGTCTCCTGGCTCCTTGGCTGATGCCCTGGAAGCCAGATCCTACTACTGCAGGACATAATCTCATCCGAATCCAGAAGAGGAGATGGAAACAGCATCAACTGTTGTATGTGTAGAGTTGAACTAAGTGTTCACCTTAGACTGTAGCTAGCTCAGAGTGCTTGGCATTGGTAATAGTGATAGTGAAATAGTGGTTTGGAGGCAGTGGCAAGTTCTGGTGGAAGAAAGCAGTTGATGAAATCAAGTTTGTGTCTCATACTGGCAACACTAAGATGTTTCTCTGGTCAGCTCATTTTTTCATCCTCTGCAAACATTATTTCAAACTTTAATCAAATCAGCCTGAAAACCATTTTAGTTCCTCACACTTATCAGAAAACCTTGGCTCCTCTTTTACAGAGAAGATAAGAGTAATGGGAAAGATGCTTTGTTATGTTCTAGGCGTTAAAGATACAAGCTCACCTTTATTTGTATCCTTTATATGCTTGTTTCCTCTTATTTACAGTAGAAAAGCTGTCTTTTCTTTTATTAAGACCAGTTCTTCAGTTTGTATATTGTGTCCCATCCCTCTTATCATCTCAGGAACCTGAAACAGCTGACCGACTTTTTCTTTCCTTTCTCTTACATCAAACCTGTACATTCCCTCTCAGCCAGTCACACAGTAGGCTCTATTTATAGATGTATGTGCATGTATAGGATAAAGGTGACTGTATATACAAATATCCCTGACTTTTATATAATTTTATTTCATTTATAAAAGTGGTATCTGCCCATTGTTACAAGACAAATATTGTATGTAGAAAAGTTCACAATCTTTATCTTCCTACCTCTTTATTACCTCTCCTTAAGAATAATAATAGTTAATAATTTGATAGGTTCATACTAAGCTACACAAATATATACTGTGGGAGAGAATGATTTTTCACTAAATATCCTCTGCATTTTCCAGCCCCCTTCCCTTGTGGATAGATTTAGTTCATATGGTGAGTGCTGGCCAGTGAAATATGAATGGAAGATGTGTGTCAATTTGGGGTTGACACAAGCCTTAACCTTAGAGATTGTGGCAACCTTAGAGGTTACAGGCTCTGGGTAGCACAACCATAAAATGGAGAAGGCCCCCTGATGGGCATGGACTTTGTGTAAGAAACATGTAAATCTTTACTGTGTGAATCTTCTAAGCTTTTAAGGATTTTTCTGTTGAAGTAATTTGTGTTATGCACATATATTTCATTTAAAAGATGGGAACACACTAGACATATTATTCTGCAAACTTGTTTCTTTCCCTTAACAGTATTACTAAGATTTATCCATCCTTTTCAAAATATGAATCATATTCTACAGTATGACTATATCATAACTTATTTCACCATTTTCCTGTGGTTGGATTTTCAGATTGCTCACAACTTTTGCTTTGGTATGATTTTTGCCTCTACAAACCATATTGCCATAAATACCTTAACACAGATCACTTTACATACTGACACTTTCATTTTTGTCATACAATTTTTCCAAATTGAGATGCATGGGTCAAAGGATTTATGTGTGTTTATTTAAGTAGAAATTTCCAGACTGCTTTACAGAAATATTTTAAGCCTTTCGTTCATGCATTAGAAATATGAGTGCCTGTTTTTCTTTCATTAAACAGTGGATGACATAGGTAGCTTATGTTATTGATTTCTCATGTTCAGTCATGCATCACTTAACGAGGAGGATCTGTTCTGAGAAATGCATCTTTAGGCAATTTCTTTGTTGTGAAAATACCGTACAGTATATTTACACAAACCTAGATTGTATAGCCTATACACACCTAGGCTAGGTATAGCCTATTACTCTTAGGCTACAAACCTTTATGGTATGTTACTGTACTAAATACTGTAGGCAGTTGTAACAAAATAGTATTTGTGTATCGAAACATATCTAAACATAGAAAAGGTACAGTAAAAATATGGTATTACAATTTGATGAGGACTACTGTCGTATATGCGGTCTATTGTTATGGGAACATTGCAATGCCTGACTATATAAATGAGATTTTACATAATCATGCCAAAATCTTGTGTGTATTTTATATGTATACAAGCAGTGTGTGTGCGTGTGTGTGTGTGTATTCTCTCTTACAATTTTATGTGCTTTTGTGTTTTTTGCTTAATGGAGTGTCTTGGAGATTATTTTATATCAGAAGATAAAGTAGCTTCTTATTTCTTCTTACAGTTATATAGTGTTCTACTGTATGACTGTACTGTAATTTACCATATTTAATTAGTATTCCTATGGATGAGCATTTAGACTGTTTTTCATCTTTTGCTTGATAAAAAGGGTTACAAGTAATAACCTTATTTGTGTTATTTTACATATGTGCAAGAGTATAAAATAAATTTTTTTAAATTGACTTTCTGGCTTAAAGGGTCTGTGTATTTATCATTTTAATAGATATTACAAGACTGCTTCTGCAGAGGTTACTGTTATTCTTACCATCAATGTATGAGGGTATCTGTTTCCTCAAACACTCTCCCCAAAGTTTGTTATCAAACGTTTTGATCTTTTCAAAGTTTGTTACTCAAACTTGATTGATGAAAGTGGTAATACATATCTTTTATTACACATGAGATTGCTTGTTCTACAAAGTCATTTTTATTTTATTTTCTATTAACTGTATCTACCTTTTTTGGTTTGATTTTTGCCTGTTAGCATTGGATTGTTGGTCTTTTTTCAATTGATGTTGAGAGACTGAATATACAAATGAAAAATGGCCAGATTATTTGCAATAATAAGGTGTTTACTCACAACCTGTAGCAACCAGCCCAGGAAGCCAGCTCCCTATCTATAGTAACCAGTACAGGAAGTCCAACTATTCTTTGTAGCAACTAGTAGAGGAAACCAAATAATAATCCCTAAAATAATTACCCCAAATATCCAAAGACGTGATTAATAATCGACAGTTTCCCCAACCTAGGATCATCTGGAGAAAGCCAAAAATACATCTCTAGCCAATCACATGGATGCCCTGCTTTCAGTTAGCTGCCTACTGTTTCCCCATGCTAACAGCCTCCAATCAGGGCACATCCGAAACAGTCCTTTTTATTTCTATAAAGCTTTCACCTCTGCCTGCCTTTGAGGTCTGCCAAATCCAAATGATGGTGGGTACTCCTTTGCTGTATCAAGCTCTGAATAAATAGCCTTCGCTTTTGCTTGTTCTTATTTGTGTGGTCTTACAATATTTTGCAGATCTTTGTTTGTTGTTGTTGTTGTTTTGAGAGACAGGATTTCACACTGTTTCCCCAGCTGGAGTGATGTGGCATGTTCATAACTCACTGCTTGAACTCCTGGGATCTAGTGATCTTCCTACCTAAGCTTCTCAAATAGCTGGGACTACAGGCACGTACGACCACACATGGCTAATTAAACAAAATTTGTTTTGTAGAGATAGGGTTTCTCTATGTTGCCCAGGCTGGTCTTGAGCTTCTGGACTCAAATTATCCTCCTACTTCAGTTTCCCAAAGATCTGGGGTTACAGGTTTGAGCCACCATGCCCTATCTGCAATTCTTTTTATATTAGCCCTTATCTGTGAAGTACAAACATATTTTTTGACTTTGTTAGAGTGTTTTGAAATATAAATTTTAGTTGGTGTTAAAAATACACACAGCAAAGTGCACAAATCCTGAATGTACCTCTCAATGACTTTTCACAATGTAAACACTCATATGTAACATGATCAAGAAACAAGAGTATTACCAAAACACTAGAGGCCCCTTTGTGGCCCCTTCCAGTGACTATCTTCCCCCATAGATGTCACCTTCTTCCCTTCAAATTTAACTACCTATCTTCACCTCTAAAATTTTTTCTATAATTTCGCTCTTGAGCTTTACATCAGCAGAATCACACGGTATATACTCTTTTGTTTCCGGCTTTCTTTGTCCAAATTCATTTGGATGAGATTCATTCATGTTGTATGCAAGTGAAGTTAATTTATTCCCACTCCCATATTATCCCATATGAATACACCACCATGTTTTGAGCAGAGTTGCTTAATATATCTTAAGTGAATTATCTGTATTAGCAGTGTGGAGTAGTCACAAGGATGATTAAGACATCATTCAGTGAATCTGTTTCTCATGCTTAAACATATCCAAAAACATCATAATGGTACTGATCACTTTATTATTTATCTTGATTCATATGGATTCTGAAACCTACGTGAACGGTGAACCTGAAGGAAATGGAGAGAGGGGATGATATGGGTGGTTTGAATTTCTGGAGTGGGGGATTGCTGCTGTCTTAGTCTGTTCTGTGTTCCTATAAAGGAATACCTGAGGGTCGGTCATTTATAAAGAAAAGAGGTTTATTTAGCTCATGCTTTTGTCGACTGTACGAGGATCGTGGTGCCAGCATCTGCTCCATTTCTGCTAAGGGCTTCAGAGTGCTTCCAAATCATGGCAGAAGGTGAAGGGGAGCCAGCATGTGCAGAAATCAAACGGTAAGAAATGAAGCAAGAGAGAGAGAAGTGGGGAAGAGCTGAGCCCTTTTTTTAGCAACCAGCTCTCATGAACTAATAAAGCAAAAACTCACTCACTCCCCCACTTTAGGGAGAACATTAATCTATGAAGGAGCCATCTCCATGACCCAAACGCCTCCCACTGGGCCCTACGTGTAACATTGGGGATCAAATTTCAACATGATTTTTGGAGAGGTTAAACATCCAAACTATAGCAGCTGGGGGGAGTGTTTTTCCAAAGACTGGTTGAGAATCAGCACGTGGTAATACCGTGAAAACCAACCCTGAGGCCATTCACTATGACATTACATTTTACATACAATGTACTACAAAGATTGTCAAACCCGGGTGGAGTGTGATCTTTGAGTATAATGCTATCATTATGAGAGACAAATAAGTGGGATAATTACTCCTTTTTTTTTTCTTTTGAGACAGGATCTTGCTCTGTCACCCAGGCTAGAGTGCAGTGGTGCTATGATGGCTCACTGCATTCTCGACCTTGGGGGCTCAGATGATCCTCCTGCCTCAGCCTCCTGAGTAGCTAGAACTGCAGGCATGTGCCACCATTCCTGGCTAATTTTTTAATTTTGTGTAGAGAATAGGCCTCCTTATGTTGCCCAGGGTGGTCTTGAATTCCTGAGCTCAAACAATCGTCCTGTCTTGGACTCCCAAAATGCTGAGATTACAATAGGTGACAATAACTTCTTATAATTGCTGAGCTCAGAACATGATACCCAAAAGTATGGCACCTTGACATGCTGAGTATTTGTGGAACAGGAGGAAGGAAGCAGGGAGGGTCTCAAAAGCAAGAAGGTGTCTCTGACCTTCTCCTGTCCTCTTATATTTGACCCTCTTTTTTCTTGGAAGTGGGTCATGGAAACTAAAATTCCTCTCTCTTGAATTAAGTCGTAAAACCTAGAAAGGTCACTCTCTGACCTTCTCCCTTCTCCATTAAAAAATCCTCAGTCACAGATGTCCTGCTCCACACCTGCAGGGAAGGAATGTCATACACAGAGACAGAAAAGAATCTGAAGAAACCTTGCTGAGCTCACCTAGTTTAAAACCATTGGATCATACCTCTTTCTGTCCAATCATGTTTCTCCACTTCTGTCCACTTCTTTCATCAGACTCACCATAAAAATATGCAGTTTTCCCTGGATCTTTGGGTCTTCATTTCTGAATGCTCCTGTGTCACATAAGACTTTGGTGAAATGAATTTTTTACACTTTTATTAGTCTGTTGTTCGGTGTGGGGATGTCAGCATGACCTTTGTGATAGGTGAGGAAAAGATTACTTTTTCTCCCCTACACAGTATAGACAAAATGGTTAGGACACAAAATACTGTATTTTGCTTCCTTGTTCAACATTTTTGAATATTTATTTACTATGAGTCTAGAGCAGTGATTTCCAAACCTTAGCGTGGATCCAAATCACTTGGAGGGCTTGTTAAAAAACAAATCACTGGGCCTCACAAGGATTTGCATTTCTAACTAGTCCCAATGTAATGGGGATGGCTATTCCCAGGACTCACTTGGAAAACTGGTCTGGACAAGAAAAAGAATAATGTGAGTGAAGCAAAGCAATGATAATAGGTTTAGGTAACTTAATTCTGAATTCATATCCCTGTGTAGGGCATTCACGAGTTTTCTTTCTCCCCAGGTGCCATTTTCTGGTAAGCCATAATTTTATGCAATCTTTAAGGAAACTTAAGAAGCTCCTGTGAATTATTTGCAAGAAAAATAGCTTGAGATTATTAGGGTTTGAAGACTATTTTTTTAAAAAAGAAATAACTTTTTGTTTTTTAGATGGAGTCTTGCTTTGTCACCCAGGCTGTAGTGCAGTGGCGCGATCTCGGTTTGCTGCAACTTCCATCTCTCGGGTTCAAGCGATTCTCCTGCCTCAGCCTCCCCACAAGGATTTGCATTTCTAACTAGTCCCAATGTAATGCTGAGGCACCCGCCACCAAGCCCAGCTAATTTTTTTTATATTTTTAGTAGTAGATGGGGTTTCACCATTTTGGCCAGGCTGGTTTTGAACTCCTGACTTCAAGTGATCCACCCACCTTGGCCTCCCAAAGTGCTAGGATTACAGGCGTGAGCCACTGTGCCCGGCCAAAAGAAATAACTTTTAAAGAAATGTTTTGAAGTACAAAATTGATAAAATATATTAGTAGGGTATTTCAGTGGATGTGGTTGGAATGCAGAGACATTGAGAAAATTTAAGATGTGTCGCTGTTAGCAGACAAGCATTTTTGGTTAACTTTCAATTATGTTGTATGGACTGTATCAAGATTTTATTAGGTCTGTTTATTGATTCATTTCCCCTTTAAAACAATTAAAATGTTATGTTTGCTTTTGGGAAAAGGTTTTTACTGTTTCCCTGCTGCAAAACATTTAATACATACATTAACATCAGTGACATATTCATAATTTTTTCCAAGATTCTCATAAGAAAGGTTTTGGGAATAAAATCAAATAAAGTGATATTATTAAAGGATTAATCTTGATTCTGCTCTAATACATTTTTTAAAAGCAAATCAATTTCAAGTTAAGAAAATTTATGATGTTACTATTATTAAACTAATTTATAATACTGTTATATAATAACATAACTATATTAATAATCATTAGTAATTATAATTATTATTTTCAATGACTGTTGTTAAAAAACTTGTAATAAATCTCATTTCATTACAACATACCAATGTTTGTACCCCGAAGGTGAGAATTATTATTTTGGGAGATGTTTTATGTTAGAGCAGTGAATAGGTCAACCTATAGGTATTCCCAGGACTGAGTCTATTTCATCCATACAAAGAAGGTGTTAAGAAGTACATCCAGGCTTATAAGGGGCCTAGGAGATTGGTCTGGCAGTTGGATATTGAGAACTTCAAGGTCTGATCCAATTAGGGCTTTGGATTGCATATAGTCAAAGACAATTAGGAGAAGCAGGCCAGAGAGGCTAATGGAACTACCCACAGAGTTGTTTAGGGACCCAGGCAATAATACAATAACATAGATAAAATATATCAAATGCTTTCTTTGTGACAGGTAGAGTTCTTTAGGTGCAGTATTTCATTTATTTCCTACATTTTGATACTTTAATGACATTCCCCACTCTAAAGATGAAAAAACTTAGAAGCCTGGATGGTGAGACTCTTTCCTTATATCACACAGATAGTTGGGACTGGTAATGAGTCTTCACCCAGGGCTGAGCTCTCCCTCCCATGTCTTCTCTCCTTATTCCCAGCCTATCACCATCTTGTCTCCAAACTGTCTCCCATGAAACCGCTTGAAAGCTACATTACAATATCAGAAATGGTATTTTATGGTGTATAAAATACTAAATATTTTATTAGATTAAGAAATCAATCTTATGACATCAAAAGATATCCTTAAGAAAGTAGCAGAATTGAAAAAAAAGGTGTACTGATAATAATCCCATATGCCTCCCCACAAAATACACAGAAATAATTTAAAATGTATGGTAGGTGTTTGACATTCTTTTTGTTGTATTTCCTTCTCTCTTTCCTTTGTATTAGATTCAAGTTTATTTTTTAACTTATTAACCCATCTGAAATTTAATATGTTTGTTCAATGGAAAATAAATCAATATCTCCTCCTACTAGGCCTTAATACAGTGCTCAGATTGTAGTTTATACACTGTACATTTTACCTTCCCTCATCATTTTTACAGGCAGATTATTTTATGGCCTAATGGTTCTTCAGTAGGCCATAAGCACTATATACACTTGATAACTCCTTTATAACAAAGCGAAAGGAGCACGTCAGTTCTAAAAGTCTCAAAACTGGGCCTCTTATTAAAATTTTAATAAAAACTGTAAACCATTAAAAAAGAGTTAAATTTTGTTGCTGTCATTGAGAAATGTTATTCTTGGCTAATATTATATGCAAATGTAAGGAGTTTCTTCAATAATCACTCTGTGAAAACAAGACTGTCTGGAAATTTTGCCCAAATAGACCAATGGGAGTTTGCACATGTTTTGGGGGAAAATTCTTGCATAGATATCTCTTTGCTTTACTCTGGCTGACTACTGACTTTGTCTTAAGAAAAATCATCCTTATGGGACATTTTATAATAAGATTGATTTTACCTATAGTTACCATACCACCTTCATTTTTACTTTCAAATGACCTCTGATTTCATTTCTTCATTTTCAATAGTAAAATATGAACCAGATGTAGAGAATGGTGAGGTGGAATTTCTCATAGTTCATTTAGAACCTCCATTAATTAATTCCCCATTGTGTGGCAGTGTTAACAGCAGGTGTTTTAGAGTTTGAATAGGTAAAATGGGAAACCCCGCCCCCCTTCTAGCATCTTATTGTTTGCTAGAGAGTTTTGAAATCATGCCTTTAGAAATTTGCATGGTTTTTGTGTGTGTGTGTGTGTATGCATGCGTGTGCATATGTATGTATGTGGATACTTAAAAAAACCTCTAAATCTATAGAGTTCTTGGAGATGGAGGTAGTTGAGAGGTTGGCAATTTAAATATCTTTGTGAAATTAATGCCATGTTTTTTGCTTTTTTTTTCCCCCCTTGAAAGCGAACGTTGTGGAAATGAGTGTGTTGAATTGCAAAAAAAAAATTTTGGAAAAACTGCTTTCACATTAATCTTACTTTACTAGAATCTGCAAAGCATATGTATAGGACTAATAATAAGTCCTACAAACCTGAATCTCTCCTGGAGGAATTAAATCACAAGTGTAGCCTACAGGGTGATTCCATGTTGCAGTAAGTGCCGCTTTCCTGGGCAGCCTGCAGTCTGCTCTATGGCTGTCTGCTGGGGCTTGTGCCAGCTGGAACATGAAAACATGGATCTGCTTGCTCTTCTGGCCAATAGACCCAAAGCACTCCCTTATTCTTTTTTAAAACACTATTATAAAAAATGAAATAATACTTGCTCAATCCTCTCTCTCTCTTTGTAAATAACAATGATGTTTCAAATGATGCTGCTTCACTGATGCTCTGAAAAAAATACATTCATGAATTAGAACTAAATTGACATTTTAATTTTGTCCCTTCCTGTTGTTTAGAATTCACAGTCACTGCAAGGACCTTGCATAACACACATATGGAACATTCATATGTTCCTCTTGATTTCTGTATGCCACCCTCATATTTTGAGATTTGTCCATACAAGTCAGCTTGAATTTGATAATATCCTGTCAATTAAACTAAACCTTGTTTTCAAAGCCAAATAGCACAAGTGCCTCAGGCACCTGGAAAAAAACCCAGCACACAGGCTCAAGTGGATAGTTAGGTGTGCAATTACTTGATTTATACACATGTGTGTTTCTGAAATTACAGCTGCAGGGTTTTGTGGTCTCTGTGGGGGTGTGAACAGTTTTGCTGGCAAGTCTGTTATGCCTTACTTTGGAAATTTGGCTCCCAACATAAATTCCCCTCCCATCACTGATGGAGAACAAAGTCTATTTGTCACTTTTCCATTGACTGCCACAATGATTCAGAAAGAAAACAGTCTTATTTTGCTGCTGTGATTGGGAATTGCTGATTCATCTCACAAGTCCAATCATCTTTACTTTTCACTATACAAATGTGAGTTGTGGATGTGGTATAAGCTGGCGGGAAAGGGCAGTCTTCCCACCCTTGTTACTGACCCGACTACTTGTAAATTTGCTTGAGGGAACACACTCCTTTCCATAAAACTCTCCTTTTTCAGCGGAAGGTTTTGAAACCAAGACATTCATTCAAAAGAAGTTTCTGTTGTTCTTTTGGCTTTGCAGCTATTTAAAAACAATGCTTGCCTTGAAGTTCTACGTATACTTTTAACCTTTTGGCTTAGCTGTAGAAAAGCTTATTACTGCAAGCATACTCAATCACTCATGATAGTACAACACTCTGGAGACCTTATCATCGCACCGTCTAGTTGGGTAATTAAATGCAGGGTAGATTTACAGTTCAGTGGATTTGCTCATGGTGGGGTGGCAGCCATCTCCTCTTTCCGTTTTGAATCGTTCAACTTCACACTGCTGCTTTGCATCAGGGTGACTGGAAAATGTGGAATCAAATATTAAAGAGCAAATATAGACTAGAAAGGGGGTGGCACATTGGGAAAAGAAAGACAAGGACACTGAAGGATTTTGCTGTCCAAGCAAAGGAAAATTATTCTAACTTTGTGTAACTTTTGCAGCTTTGTTAATATTAGAAGATGTAGCTATTATTAGATTGACTTTTTTTTATGAGGAAATTAAACAAGGTCATTTCAGTAACACTGAGAATTCACACTTTCTGCGAAACCACTATTTCCTCAAGGGGCTAATAGGAGCTCAACATGGATAGGAAAAACCACTCCTTTCATATATTCTCAGAATAGTTACCTAACTCATAATGGCTGGAGATTGAAAAGGCCTATTCAGTTCTTGGCTGCAGCCTCCAGGGATCAGGGCAGCATTTTTCTTTGTTCTGTAGTACATTTTCCCCTGTTTTGAATGGTTTTATTTCAATGGCCTCAAGGCTTTCTCTTCTTCCATGGAAAACTGATTCCAGATTCTAGCCAATCTCATCATAAAAATTACTTTCTTACCAGGAATTAAAAGATGTCTCTCTTTTTGCGTGTGTGTGTGTAAAAAGAGAGTGTAGGCTCATTTGACATCTTCACTCTTCAAATCAAGAATCTTCTTGTTTTCTCTTACCTCAAATATACCCTAATCTTGACATTGCCCTCTGGTATTTTTAAAAATTATCTATCTATCTATCTATCTATCTATCTATCTATCTATCTATACAAATTTCTGGTCAGTTATTACTTAAATAAATGCTTTTTAGCCTGTTCCCCCTCCTCAGTTTTCGAATGGTTACTCTTACATTTTATGAAAGAAATTAGCATTTATCTCCTTCGTAAGTGACAGCATATTCTGCACGCAGGGTATAAATAGCAATACCATATACATATCATCTGCCTCAAATCATTTTTTGGAACAGGTAAGGTACAAATACTACAAATGAATAAATACATGTATGCAATATTCATATTATGGCTTGTTAGCATGTTTGATTTGTCATTGCTAATTAAATGACGATTTTTATCTTCCAGGAAATTTGCTAAATTTAAACATTGGTTTCACTTATTTATTTATTTGCTCGTTCAAACAAAACTTGTTGAATACCTACTATATTTGAATACTTGTAGGTGCTGGGAATTTAGTGGTGAATAAAACAAAGTCCCTGTCTTTGTGAAACTTACATTCCAATGGTGGGAGAGAGAATATAAACAAACAAGTAAATAGTCTGTCAAATGGTGATGCGTGCTATAAAAAAATCAAGTAGGATGAGGGAGATAGGATCTCCCTTATGAGTGTGTGTATGCATACTTGTGTAGATTCATGTGGCAGTGTTTGTGTGTGTGAGTGTGTCTATGTTGGAGGGAGGTGGTTGTTTCCTACAGGTGGTCAGTGTGACACAGTGACCTTAAGAGAACTTAAGGCAGGACTAAGCCTAAACTTTCCAGGTTGTAAAAATTACTAAATATAAAAGTCTAAAATGCTGCTGATATGGTTAAGTAACACGAGAACTGACCATTGGATTTAGCAAAATAGAGATCATAGGTGAACTGGATAAGAACTTGAAGTTGAAATAGTAGCGGAGGGCAGAAGTCTAAGGATTCTAAGGAAAGTGGAAAAAGAGAAATTGGAGACATTATATTAAATACTGTTCCTAGGAGTTTTCTTCCAGGAGAAGGAATGACATAGGACAGTAGCTGGAGCTGTTGTGGGATTATGAGTTTTTCTTCTTTTAGCAGTGGAAGAAATAATAGAATGTTTATAAGCTTATTGGAAAAATTGGTGTGTATGTGAGTGAGTGTGTGTGTGTGTGAGAGAGAGAGAGAGAGAGAGAGAGAGAGAGAGAGAGAGAGGTAAATTCCTAGAACAATGTCCTAATGTGGGGGAGTGGAGAAACGAGATAGAGTCTGTAGGATAATATGCAGTTGAGAGATTTTAGAATGACTGTATGCTGATAGTAATGATCTAGTCGAGTGTGAAAAAGTCGTGACAAAGGAGGAGGAAGAGCAAGATAGGATAATAAAGAAGCAGCTTGTGATGTTTTGGAGTATCAGAGGGATTGGGATCCAGTGCACACATGGAGAAGCTGGCTTTAATTTGGAAAGTGTTCATCCACAGTGACAAGAGGGGATGCAGCAGCTATGGGTAGAGATAGATGTAGGTGGGAGGTGGGATTTTTAGAGTCTGTAAAAGTTATTTTCTGATATTTCCCACTTCCTCAGTCACACTGAAAGGAAGTTGAGGATAAGGAGAGGGGAAGTATTAAAATTGGGAAAAGAGGATAAACCAAGATACTTGTAGTCTAGAAGAATGGGAAAGGAATATAGGCTGGGGAAATGCAGTAGGAATGAATAAATGCTATGTAATAGTTATTTGTATTTTAAAATTTGTATTATTTTTAATTGTTTTTTCAAAATACTCTGATCTGCAGTTGGTTGAATCTGTGCGGCAGATGCCAAACTCGCTGGCGCAGAACCTGCAGGTGATGGGGGCTGACTATATTTCAGGACCAGTGTGCCTGTGCTTCTGTCCCTGTCCTAAACTCCTAACCATCTGAATGAGTTGTTGAGCACAGGTGTTTTCCCACCCTGGTGCGCTTATTTTTCTTTTTATCACAGTTGTCCTTATATTGTAGTATATAGTACAAAAAAAAACCCATTCAGAATAAAGTCTGGCCTTCTTTGTTTTAGATACTGTACTTGCACTAAAAAAAGTGTGAGATCTCATTTGTTGTTTGTGTGTTAGTTATATCAGTCCACATTTTTTGAGGGGGAAGGGAAGGGGGAAACAGGGTCTCACTCAGTCGCCCAGGCTGGAGTGCAGTGGCATGGTCTGGGCTCACTGCAACTGCCTCCTAGGCTCAAGTGATCCTCCCACCTCAGCCTCCCAAGTAGCTGGGACCACAGGTGTACACCATGACACCCAGATAATTTTTGTATTTTTTGCAGAAATGGGGTTTCCCCATGTTTCCCAGGCTGGTCTTGAACTCCTAGCTTCAACTGATCCACCTGCGTCAGCCTCCCAAAGTGCTGGGATTACAGGCGTGAACCATCGCAACAGGCCCCGGCATAGCTTTTAATTTGTGTCATATGGGTGATTGAATTTTGAAATATAGTATTCCTACTATTTTTCTGCTGTAAGACTGTAGAGCATAAAAGTGGAAATAGCTGTTAGGAAGGCCACCAACAGTATCTACTACAATCAGGTTGAAAGAGGTTCTCAAAAATATTAAGAAGAGACAAAGTGATGGGAAGAATGAGATATTATAAAAATATTGAGACTAGGCCAGTGGCAGTGGCTCAAGTCTGTAATCTCAGCACTTTGGGAGGCTGAGGCATGCGGATCATGAGGTCAGGAGATCAAGACCATCCTGGCTAACAGGGTGAAACCCTGTCTCTACTAAAAATAGAAAAAAAAGTAGCCGGGCGTGGTGGCACAAGCCCGTAGTCCCAGCTACTCAAGAGGCTGAGGCAGGAGAATGGCATGAACCTCAGAGTTAGAGGTTGAGGTGAGCTGAGATTGCGCCACTGCACTCCAGCCGGGGCGACAGAGAGAGACTCCATCTCAAAGAAAAAAAAAATTGAGACTAGAAATGTCAACATAAGTTAATATATTAATTTCATAGGGAAAGAATTAATAAATAGACTCTAATTTTTCTTTTAAATTTCCTTTCTTGAATCCAAGGGTTATTGAGAAATATTTCCTTATAGATACTACTTGCTTAGCTATCTTTTTATTATTAATTTATACTTTTATTTCTTTATAAAGTCTGTATAATATTGGTTCTTATGAATTCTTTGAGCCCTTCTTTGTAGCCTTGTACGAGGTTAATTTTTCTAAATTTTCTAATTTTGCTTGAAGTGAATGTCTAGTGTCTGTTGATGTAATGTTTATTAGAGCTTATTTTAATGTAGAAAATAACACTTGCTTTTTTGGGTCTGCTTGATTTATTTGTAGTGATTCATAGTTAATAATCTCCAACTATAATTGTGGTTTTATACATTTTCATTGTAGTTCTGTCAGTAGTTGTTATATAACATTTTTCAGTTGTGTTGTTATGTGGATATAGATTCATGATAATGGCACATAACCAAAATAAAATATCTCAATTTTTTTTCTCATGATCATTTTTACTTTAAATCATGTTGTCTGTTTCTGGCTGTTTTAGGTTTATATTTATATGAAGTCATTTTTTTTCTATCCCTGTATTTTTGAGCTTCACATGTTTTGCTGCTTAATATTTCTAGATCTCTCAAAAATCCATCAGATCATTAATCACAGTCATTTCCATTTCTTTAAATTACTATTAGATTGTGATTTACTTCTGTTTTTAGTTATTTTTACATTTGGATTACATTCTGTTTTTTTAAATCAATTTATGAAGAGTATTTCTTTAATTTTTCTTTTTGTATACTTCTTATGTCCACTGAATATAGTACATTTTCTTCTGCTGATTTAAAAAGTGATTCTTTATTAAAATTAATACTAAAGATTAGTTTTTAATCAGTTTTTTAAGCTTATAAATATCTATAAATTCTATTTCAGTAAGTTAAACTCTTCATGTAAACTAGAAATCTAATTCTTAAATATTATGGACATTTAATTTTTTAAGATTGTTTTCCTATGATTATTGCTTTTTTAGACACAAATATTTCCCTAAGATATTTATGCGCCCATAATTCCCGTGTATCTGCAGCATTCTCCTGGATGTATTTCTTGACTTGCTGGAGAACAGGTCAAAGAGGTTTTTATGCAATAAAGTTTATGAAGGCTTGTGTGCCTGATAATAGTTTTATTTTACACTCAGAGTTAAATAAAACATTTAGTTGGATATAGAATTCTAGTTTAATGTGCTTTTCTTTCAACACTTTGAAAATGTAACTCCATTGTTTCCTGAATATAATATAGTCTTTGAGAATTTCAATGTCAATCTGATTATAATTCCTTTATATGTAATTGGATTTTCCTTTCTAGAAACTTAAAGAACTTTTTATTCTTACTTGATGTTCTCAATTTTTGCTATAACTTGTCTCACTGTATGTTTGTTCTAATTTATTCAGTTTGCCATTATACATTCTTTTAATGAGCTCTTATATTTTTCTTTAATTTTGAGAATTTTAAGTCATTGTTTCTTCTAAAGTGTCTTTCCCCCTATTTATTTATTCTTTCCCTATGAAATTAATACATTAGCTTATGATGACATTTCTAGTCTCAATATTTTCATAATGTCTCTTTCGTTCCTCCCACCACTTTGTCTCTTGTTGATATTTTTGGGAACCTCTTTTCAATCTGATTGTAGTAGATACTGTGGGTGGCCTTCCCAACAGCTATTTCCACTTCTTCTTTGTTGACTTTGTTTGTATGACAATGTGCCGAGACCCAGGGAATGTATCAATATTGATTTAAGGCAATCAAGGAAGTCCAATTAGCATTGAACGTCTAGGAATGATCATGTGACCTTAGGAATGTGCGCATGCATTAAGGCTGAGGGCACTCGGCCATTTTCCTGAGACTGGAGAAAGCAAGGGAGAGAGGAGCCAATGTGACTGATGGGGCCCTTTTACCAACACTGGAAAATGGAGTCTTGGAGTCCAGATGAAATTTGTTTTAAGAAACTTAAGAAATGTAATTCTTTCGTCTTCTGTATCATTGTGCATTTGATGCTTATAAGCAACATATTTGAGTGCATTATTTTATTTAGTTCTGGATAATATTAGGTTGGTGCAAAAGTAATTGCAGTTTTGCACTAACCTAATAGCATATGAAGGAAAGTATTTTGAGGACTTTGGGGATGTTTTTCTTTATTACTATAGCTGCTATTGATGATAATATAATGATCACTCCTATGAACTAGCATTGCAGGACTTTTCCTTAGTTCAGCTAAAAACAGGGTTCTTTGACCCACAGCCATGAAAATTCAGGCTCACAGACAATTTAAATGGTGAGTAAGACAGGGTTTTATTGGGTATAAAGGCAGATAAGGGGGAAACAGGGACTTTTGCAAGGCCAGAGTGTCTGCTAGAGGGCCTCCCAACCAGCACTTCGAATCTCAGTTTCCACACAGGAAGAGGAGGGGCCTACTACAAACCTCATGAACTTCCCAAGGCTCCACCTCAGTGGGGAGGCTGGTTGAAGTTCCTCCAGGGACCCCCTCCCACCTGGCTGTCTTACTAGTACTACCATACTGATGATATTATTGTAAAGAAAGGTAAAGGAAAAACCTCTTTAGGCCGTATGGCTGATCTCTTTCCTTGATTCTCCCCTGCTCTGGTCTCTAGTTTACCTGACTGGGACACTCACTGTTTTCATTACTCATGAGCCTCTACACTACATATCACAGACTAGTATATAGATTCAACTTATGAGAATTCCTTGTATCTAAATACTACACCAGCCTGATGAAAGTTTCACCACTACCCATTCATTCCTGTGGAGAGGACTCCTTCCCCTGAATTGAATTGCTTGGATGATTAGCCAGTATTCTTGAGGATTGGCTCATCTTGATCTGGGCCCACCTATAGTCTTGATTTTGGCTATTTTTTTTTTTCCTTAACATCCATCCCCTTTTTACCATTATGATGTCATTTTAGGTATTCCAAAGCTGAGACTGAGACTGAATGCTAATAGGGGACACAATTATGAATTGAAAATAGTGCTGCTCCTCAAAGAGATAATTCGGTAAGAGACAGATAAGTAAACACGTAATTATAATATAACCTTAAATATACTATGATAGAGATATTAAAATGCTGTTGAAGTGAAGGAATGTGTAGGAAGTTTCTTTGCTTAGAGAAGTTGGGAATTAATTTATAGAAATGGTGACATATGAACTGAGCCTTGAAAATTCAGTGTTTTTCATTTCAGGAGAGAAAATGTCATGTACAAATATGAAAATGGAATTGTGAAAAATCATGGTATAGTTGAAGGAATTAGCAGTTCATTTGCACCCCCTTTGAGCTCTTGTGTTATAGGTGTAATAGGGTAAGATACTAAGAATTTAAGAGTAGGATGCACCAAATCAATGATGTTATTTATTTTTTGCTGCATATAAAAGAATGGGCTTTGTGCTTGGGAAGAGGATACACTGGTACTGCACTTCTTTGGATTGACTTAAAAAAATTTTTTTTTTTCTCAAAATAAACAAGTTATTCATAGTTTAAGGCTCTGGAATCTGACTCCCTGAGTCATTCAGTGCTTCTGTATACATGACACTCAACTGTTAAAGAAGTGAACTAGAGAGAAATACTGGGTCTTTCGCATGGCTAGAAAGAAAGAGCTGCTAGTCCCAATGACAGAATGATTCTCAATGGAGAAGAAAGGGTGGCACAAACAAGTAGTGTTTTAGATTTTTGGGGGAGATAGAGCATGAAAACACTGGCCGCTAAATGCTTGGTTGGTCCCTGGAAGCCTAGAGAGAGATCAAAGGATGAGGGGCACAAACAATGGGGACCCAGCTCTAAGGGGCAGTGCTTGATTGGCACTAGATTTGATTTCAGAAAATTAAGAAAAAATATATATTTGCATCTTGTGTGTCACTGAGTTCTTCTTCCTATTATCAACATATCCGAGTTCATTATTTTATTCAATTTTATTTTTTACAAAGGTGTGGACACTTTGAGGATAGGCACTGAATTTTAATCACCTTGCCACTTTAGCAGCTCACATTATGCTGCATACGGAGTATGTTGTCAACAGATATGTGCTGATTGAACAAATGAAATAAGTGTTAGGAATTCAGAGAGGTTGATATCAGTGTCTATTATAGATTGTATCAGCGTAATTAGGAAAATGTGTAACTTTCAGAGTCACTTTCACACGACTGAAGATCTGTGTGCTTCAGATTCATTATTGTTTAGTTCTTCCTAAGGGATGAAATGATGCACACCTGGTTGTAATGACAGTTTTCTTCAGCTTCTCTGATCCCAAGGCTATTTTCAACACAGAAAATGGCATGGCCTTATTGAGGGTGTTATCACCATGAACAACACACTAGCGAGGATTGTGTTTTCTTACTGAAGCCCCATCACCATATATACAAAGGATATTTGTTAGGTGCCCACATTATCCTCTGTGTAAGTTTCAAGCTTACAATTCCTGAGCCAGTAAAAAATGTGTTTTTTTTCCCTTCTGATTTAAATATATTTTCATTGAATATTTCTAAATATGGCAGGGCTGCTTTTTTAGTTCATATTTTTCACATGTGTAGGTCATCAACATTTTATTTAGTATTACTGAATGTCATATGAAAGGTGCACATCATTCATTAATCAGGTAACCTAAAATTACCATTCATGGGTAGCAATTACATATTAGTATGCTAAATGCTCTTCAGGATTTGAAGCATTATCTTTGGTAAGATATTATAAGTAGAAAACAAAACAAAAAAACAACAACAAAAAATGGTTTACCTTTAATAGTGTGGTGTTCAGAGTCAATTGACCAGGATTCAAGAATGGCAGTACCTTTTGCTAACTGGCTGACTATGGGCGAGTTAGCAATTTCTTTATTTTTGACATGGACATGAAAGCTGTACTTACCTTACTGGGATATTATGAGGTTTAAATGAAATAACATATGTGAAAGTACTTCTTATTACTTATTAATATTTAAAAAAATCTGTTTGCTTATATTTTCTTTATTATGGGAAATATGTTGATTTCAGTACTTGTGTGTGTGTGTGTGTGTGTGTGTGTGTGTGTGTGTGTATGGGTGGATGGGGTAAGTCAAAGTAAGTATTTTATGATTTTCAGAAATTGGTCAGGTATAGCATAAAATGGCACTTCAACAGCAATTTTATAACTGTATTTAAGGTGTACAGCAACAACAGTATATTTATGTTTACATATTGCCAGAAGGACTTCGTACCAGTGCCCAATGAGTAAGTTGCTTTTACTCAGAATTCAATGTTTTTTTTTTATAGGAGTACACCTTATTTAATTACTTATTTAATTATTAAAGGCCATAAATAGTTCACAATAAGTTTCCTTGACTCTGAACAACAAGGATCAGTAATATTCCAATCAAAAGTCAAAAAAGTTGCTTCAGCTTTCTGAGTTCAGTCATTTAGTTAACGCTGGTGTTGCTTGATATTCATGAGAATTTCAGCTCTTCATGATTTCTGTACATTTTCCTTTATTCCAATGTCACAATCTCCAAAGCTATCAGAAATAAATTAGGTATTGATGGGACGTTTCTCAAAATAATAAGAGCTATCTATGGCAAACCCACAGCCAATATCATACTGAATGGGCAAAAACTGGAAGCATGCCCTTTGAAAACTGGCACAAGACAGGGATGCCCTCTCTCACCACTCCTATTCAACATAGTGTTGGAAGTGCTGGCCAGGGCAATCGGGCAGGAGAAAGAAATAAATGGTATTCAGTTAGGAAAAGAGGAAGTCAAATTGTCCCTGTTTGCAGATGACATGATTGTATATCTAGAAAACCCCATCGTCTCAACCCAAAATCTCCTTAAGCTGATAAGCAACTTCAGCAAAGTCTCAGGATACAAAATCAAAGTGCAAAAATCACAAGCATTCCTATATGCCAATAACAGACAAACAGAGAGCCAAATTATGAGTGAACTCCCATTCACAATTGCTTCAAAGAGAATAAAATACCTAGGAATCCAACTTACAAGGGATGTGAAGGACCTCTTCAAGGAGAACTACAAACCACTGCTCAATGAAATAAAAGAGGATACAAAGAAATGGAAGAACATTTCATGCTCATGGGTAGGAAGAATCAATATATCGTGAAAATGGCCATACTGCCCAAGGTAATTTATAGATTCAATGCCATCCCCATCAAGCTACCAATGACTTTCTTCACAGAATTGGAAAAAAACTACTTTAAAGTTCATATGGAACCAAAAAAGAGCCCGCATCGCCAAGTCAATCATGAGCCAAAAGAACAAAGCTGGAGGCATCACACTACCTGACTTCAAACTATACTATTCAATGTTTATATGTGATTATTTATGTATGAGTTGGGGGTTCATGCTCTTCCAAAATAGATATTAGAAATAAGCACCTTGATTTTACATCAGATTTAGCACTTTAAAATGCAAGCCTAATGAAAATACTCTATTGTATGACAGTATTATAGATTATTTTCTTAGTTAATTTTCTATTACTCAGAATGTGTGGATATTCCTAATGATTCCATTAGAGTTTAAATAACAGAATTCAGCACAAATGTATTTTACTGAGCAGAAGAAACATAATTTCTCTGGAACTGCAGCTGCCGTAGTTGAAGATGAGGCTCTTACTATCCCTTAGGGAGATTACTGTCTCTGCCAGCTGACTTAGTTTTTATACAGCCAGCGATTTATTAGATTGCTTTGCTCTTAAGTGTGATAATAGGCCTTATGCTTAGCAAGGTTTAGAGACTTCCAGTGCATTAATATTTTATGGCAATGACAGGCAAGACACATTTTGTTTACCTAACAAGCCAAGCCAAGCCAGGGCTGATGTGTATTGGAGATTAGCACTTTTAACTTGGAGGAACTCAGCCAATTATATATTTAGGACTTTGCCATGCCTCTTACAATTGTAATCCAATCAGCTCCTTACTTGGTACATAGCCACTGTATGCAAAGAAACCACCATACCCATATAATCTGGCCTAAATCAGAGGTAATCTCACTATTAACTCACTAACATTAACCATGTAATGACCATGAATTTTCTAGTGATTTGTTTTCTTCCACTAAAGATCTTACTTCACTTGGAATTTACTGAACTTTGAGCCAAAGCTTCCATAGACGCGTGTATATTACAATTCTATTCAGAAGATCCACTCAATTGATCTGAGTCACCTAGTAGGAAAGTTGTGTCATGGTGCTCTTGATTTTGGGGATTTCATTCCTGTTGTTGCTGTCTTGTTTTTTTATAAACTATTTAAAACAATGTGATTCCTGGGCCTTCTAAAGATTAGAAGTACAAATAAAACATAATTATTGAAATAGACCAAGTGGGTTACTGCAGTACTATATTAATTTGTTTCTTTTCTCTATTAAGCAAAGTTGACAGTTGTATCAGTTTTCATATTGAACAAAAAGTGTAAGTCTCAATGCATAGTAAATGTTGGAATATTGATACTCTCTAATCTCAAATTACCTTAGTATATCTAGCTTATATGTTTTTGAACATAAAATTATATGTGCAACATTTCTTCAATGTTAAGGACTGTGAGTGTTTCAACCAAATTATTAGGTACTTACTATTTGTGATATTAAGCTGCATTTTATACATTAATTAATAAACCTGTAGGATGGATTCTAAATATTATAACCATAATTTAAATATGCAATGGAATTTGAAACTTCTCAAGTTGTCTGTGTGACCTCAGGGTATGACATGAAGTATCATCTGTTCCAAAGATGACAGGGACCTCACTGAGAAAGGAACTTAAAAGTTCTATCAAATTGGTTATAGTACAGGTTTTGGGGGAGGAGGAGGGAGAGGGGGATAGCAGACGTAGATTTAGAGTATGGGAATTGGACAATTAAAATGGAAAGAAGGTTCAAATATGTTGAGAAGCAAGTCAGTACATGTGCAAAAACAGAAAACACCATGCACATGTAGATTTAGAAGAATTGCTAATACCCGCAGTGTTCCAATGAGGCATAAACGCAAACCATGGCGTGCCCTGCAGGGTCTCTCTGTGTGTTCATTACTTTTAATACCATTCTGTGCAAGCCTCAGAGGAACACAGCCAACTCCCACATCTTGGGGTTAGCATAATCTTGCTGTGGCTGGCACTCAGCCTGTGCTTGACTAAGTCTGCTGATGTTTCTGAGAGGAGAAAAAAAATGGAAAGCATTTGGTTTGGTTGTACAGATTGCTTTCTTTTATAAAGTGGGGGTGGGCTGGTTGAAGTGGTGGCAATGTATGTTTTCAACTGGGCTAAGTCTTGAAAATTACAAAATACAACAAAATGAAATTAATTCTTTTTGTTAATCATCAGGATTTATTGCTGTCCTTTTGGGGGGTGAGAACTTGATGTGGAAACACTGATCATACAAAAGAATTACAATAAAGTTATGACATCTCTCCCATCTTTTCCAGAGCTTTTTTCTGTTCCCTATCATTGCCTGGATAGTGGTTATTCAAATGCTAGTTAATTAAATTTTGGTAAGGACCAATGCAACCAGATTTATCTTAGTCTCTTCATCTTCTGTTCCTAATTTACCCTTTAAGGAACTCTGATTGCAAATCCCATAGAAGAAAAATCAGAGGGTGATGAGAGGAAGGAACAGAGATTGTGCTGAGTTTTATCAACTAGGAAATAAAGTGAAAATGAATTTTCAAAGTGCTGGAAAGGGGCAGAGACACACAGGCTTATCCCCTGTGCTTGAGCATGATAGTTTCACTATAGTCCCTACTTTGTTCATGTGTTCAAGGTATGTTTTTTTCTCTCTCTCCCTCCCCTTTCCAGAGGTCTAAGGCTCTCAAATTGAGAGAAGCTCAAAATATCACATTGTTGGGAAAGAGCTGACTCTGGCTTTCTTCAGGGAATTTAGAGGCCCAGTGACTTAGAGCAAATCACATGGCTGGTGATTGGCTTTGTCTCTGTTTTTATAAGTGATTAAAAAGAAAACCACTTCAATAATCCTCAGACCTCTGCTCTCGCCTGGGATCTCTTCCAACCAGGCCTGCTCAGCAGAACCCCTGGGAGGAGGAAAGCACACGAGCTCTCAGCCAAAAAATTAGAAAAAGCAACAAAGACATTGGAACCGGAAACTTCAGTGTGGGCCAGAATTCAAGGGCAATACCTTTTTCCCTCCTGGTTTGAGACTCACATTCAGTACTCCCATTTCATCTTTAGTTCCTCCTCTCTCAGCTTTCAGGGCCTTCACGAAACCTTGGAGCGTGATTTGATAAACATTTGCTTTGAACACAGAGACAGTGTGGCTCTGAGTTGCCAGTGGACAATGGAGTGACAATAATAACAATGAGATGATTTAAATCGCGTATGATTCTAAAGACAAGTAATGTGTTACTGGGGACAGAAGACTTTGCTCTATCCTGGGGGGGTACTCTTAAATGAAGGAATTTCAGAACAGATTTCCCAAATGAATGCATTTCTTAGTCCCTAAACAAACCATTAACAAAACTTAAATTTATTTAGTATTCTTTAGATTGACCTGTATTAGTTTTCATTCTAACATCCATATGTAGGTTTTCGAAATCTAAATCTAAGTGAGGAAGGCCCTGTGTTCCAGGTCCTGAAGTCTGAATGCCTGTGTTAGAAACCTAGCTCCTCTATCTATTTGCTAAATGATCTTCAGTGAACATATGACCTTTCTGGCTCCTCATTCCTCATTTATAAAATGGAGTAATAATAAGGAATCTGCCCCCTGGGGGTGCTTGAAGAAGTAAAGGAAATAATGTGTATAAGATATTTTACACAGTACCTGCAACATAGGGAGTATTTAAGAAAAATGACTATGTTACCTTTAGAACAGGAAAGTTGCTTTTATGCTTTTCTGTATTCCTATATTATGTAGCGTTTTAAAAAGGGAATAATGAATAAAGGATAGTAGTTCTGGAAGATAGTCATTTAGTCATTTTCTCTAACTCTTTTTTCACCTTACAGGCAGATGATCAAATTACTGAGTCTTTTTGTTACAAAGTGGTATTGGCAGAATATTTCCTTTAGAATATTGTAGTGTGGTTTCCCCTTCTAAAATTACTAAAATGCCAGGAAATTATCCATTCTGGAGTCATAGTGGGTTTAGTGTGCTTGAGACCTTGAGTATTTTCTTGTGTTTATGGTCATATAAATGCAGACACACAGAAAACAAGGTTATATAAAGTAACATTTGTACCTTGAATCATATTCATTTAATGTTTTATATTGCTAAAAAATACATTGTATTGCTATTTTTGTTTCACCCAGAAATATCTGGATGAAAGAAAATCCAGAAGGAATTATGATTTCTGCACATGACTTGTTTTTTTATTTTATGCTATTAGCTATTTAATACTGCAAGTATTTGTACAATGGTCAAAACATTAGAAATAATTAGTCTGAATGTGTTTAAACCTCAACAGAAAACACTTGTGTTCTAACAGATCTAAATATTTAATGAGATTTTGAAAACCACAATTACAGCTTTTTATAGAAAAGGAACTTTACCTCTGAGACCTGGAAAAAGACTGTTTATTATATAAAGAAAGGGACTTTTTATATTTTTAATATATAATTTAATAAGAATTCTACCATTCCAATCTTAAAATCTACAGTTTGAGAAGAAAAACAGAAAAGTCATGTCAGAAAAATATTTTAGAAGGGTAGCACCTATTTATTTTTTAGGAAAATGTCCAAAGTATACAGAAGGCAGAAATCTAACTCAGGCTGTTTTAGTTTATTGAATTTTCTGTTCCTTGGAAATCATAGCACAATTCTCTAGAGACACCTATAAGGATGTATTACATCATAAAGTACACCAAGGATACTAACCCATGTTATTAAACTGTCAACATACATTATACTACAATTTGTCCTCAATCCAATGCAACTAAAAGCCCCATTGTTGGCAGGAAGTTTAAAACATAAGAGTATTCTCTAATCATCTAAAGCCTAAGGTACTTTGGGGGAAAAATGCTGTAGTAATTGCTCCACTACTCCATAGTGGCATGTGTGAATTTCATTGGTTTTGTACAGCAAATGTTCAGCTATTACAAGAAAGGATTCAGAAGGATTACCACTTAAAGGCTTTTACTAGTGATGCTGCAGATGTCTCATTTCACAGCATATTAATAGTGGTTTTGTATAACACCAGCAGGGAGAAATAAATCTTAGAAACTAGAATTTAAATAATGTTTAATTTTCACACAAATATTTAGCAGAAGATTTGACATTGTAACATTGTCAATAACAAAACCTCACAATTATAGAAAGTTTCTGCATCTTTTTAAAATCTAAAATTTAGGTAATTCCACAGAAATGTGGACAGACTACATGCTAACCAGGATTTCCTAAAATAACTTTATCTCAGAAATAGAGAAACTGTTCATGAAATGGAGGATTTGCCAATGGAGGTAAAAGTTCCTGTTCAAAGATTATTAAAGGCTTGATTTCACATGTGTGATATGTATCATGTCATGACAAATTTCAGATGCTTACTTCCTGGGAAGCTTTCAAAGTTGAGGCAACAGAAGACATAAGCTAATAGCACAAAATAAATTATATTAAATTTTCCTTAAACATGAATAGAAAGACAGAGGAGCAGTGGAACAAGAGACTTCTTTTCTTTTTTGATTTTGAGCCACCTTGCCTTGCCTCTTGTCTACTTCTAAAGGGAGTACCTGGCCAGTGACACAATATTTTTCAGATTTACTGTTCTGTTATTTTATTTTATTTTATTTTATTTTATTTTATTTTATTTTATTTTATTTTATTTTATTTTATTTTACTTTACATTCTGGGATACAAGTGCAGAAAGTGTAGGTTTGTTACATAGGTATACATTTGCCATGGTGGTTTGCCGCACCTATCAACCCATCATCTAGGTTTTAAGCCCCGCATTCATTAGCTATATGTCTTAATGCTCTCCCTAACCTGGGCCCCGGTGTGTGATGTTCCCCTCCTTGTGCCTATGTGTTCTAATTGTTCAACTCTCACTTATGAGTGAGAACATGTGGTGTTTGGTTTTCTGTTCCTGTGTTAGTTTGCTGAGGATGATGGCTTCCAGCTTCAACCATGTCCCTGCAAAGGACATGATCTCATTTCTTTTTTAGGCTGCGTAGTATTCCATGGTGTATATGTACCACATTTTCTTTATCCAGTCTGTGATTGATGGGCATTTGGGTTGGTTCCATGTCTTCACTATTGTAAATAGTGCTGCAGTAAACGTACATGTGCATGTGTCTTTATAGTAGAATGATTTATATTCCTTTAGGTATATCCCCAGTAATGGGATTGCTGGGTCAAATGGTATTTCTGGTTCTAGATCCTTGAGGAATCACCACATTGTCTTGCACAATGGTTGAACTAATTTACATTCCCACCAACAGTGTAAAAGTGTTTCTATTTCTCCACATCCTCGTCAGCATCTTTTTTTTTTATATCTCTTCAGAATAATTTTGTTTTTTAATTTTACTTTAAGTTCTCGGATACATGTGCAGAATATGCAGGTTTGTTACATAGGTGTATATGTGCCATGGTGGTTTGATACACCTATCAACCCATCATCTAGGTTTAAGCCCCACATGCATTAGGTATTTGTCCTAATGCTCTCCCTCCCCTTGCCCCCCATCCCCTGACAGGCCCCTGTGTGTGATGTTCCCTTCCCTGTGTCCATGTGTTTTCATTGTTCAGCTCCCACTTATAAGTGAGAACATGCAGTGTTTCATTCTCTATTCCTGTGTTAGTTTGCTGAGAACGATGGTTTCCAGCTTCATCTATGTCCCTGCAAAGGACATGAAGTCATCCTTTTTTATGGCTGCACAGTATTCCATGGTGTATATGTGCCACATTGTCTTTATCCAGTCTATCATTAATGGGCATTTGGGTTGGTTCCAAGTCTTTGCTATTATAAATAGAGCTGCAGTAAACATAAGTGTGCGTGTATCTTCATAATAGAATGATTTATATTTCTTTGGGTATATACACAGTAATGAGATTGCTGGGTCAAATGGTATTTCTGGTTCTAGACCCTTGAGGAATCACCACACTGTCTTCCACAATGGTTGAACTAATTTACTCTCCCACCAACAGTGTAAAAGCGTTCCTATTTCTCCACATCCTCGCCAGCATCTGTTGTTTCCTGACTTTTTAGTAATCGCCATTCTAACTGGTGTGAGATGGTATCTCATTGTGGTTTTCATTTGCATTTCTCTAATGATCAGATATGTTGAGCTTTTTTTTCATAAGTTTGTTGGCCGCATCAATGTCTTCTTTTGAGAAGTGTCTTTTCATACCTTTGCCCACTTTTTGATGGGGTTATTCTTTCTTGTAAGTTTTTTTAAGTTCCTTATAGATTCTGGATATTAGACCTTTATCAGATAGGTAGATTGTAAAAATTTTCTCCCATTCTGTAGGTTGCCTGTTCACTCCAATGGTACTTTCTTTTGGTGTACAGAAGCTCTTTAGTTTAATTAGATCCCATTGTCAATTTTGGTTTTTGTTGCCATTGCTTTTGGTGTTTTTGTCATGAAGTCTTTGCCCATGCCTGTTTCCTGAATGTTACTGCTTAGGTTTTCTTCTAGGGTTTTTATGATTTGGTTTTACATTTAAGTCTTTAATTCATCTTGAGTTAATTTTTTTTTTTTTTTTTTTTGAGACAGTCTTGCTGTGTTGCCCAGGCTGGAGTGCAGTGGTGCTATCTCAGCTCACTGCAAGCTCCACCTCCCGGGTTCACACCATTCTCCTGCCTCAGCCTCCTGAGTAGCTGGGACTACAGGCACCCGCCACCACGCCCGGCTAATTTTTTGTATATTTAGTAGAGACGGGGTTTCACTGTGTTAGCCAGGATGGTCTCGATCTCTTGAACTCGTGATCCACCCACCTCTGCCTCCCAAAGTGCTGGGACTGCAGGTGTGAGCCACCACGCCCGGCCTTGAGTTAATTTTTTTATGAAGTGTAAGGAAGGGGTCCAGCTACAGTTTTCTGCATATGGCTAGCCAGTTCTCCCAGCACCATTTATTAAATAGGGAATCCTTTCCCCATTGCTTGTTTTTGTCAGGTTTGTTGAAGATCAGATGGTTGTAGATGTGTGGTGTTATTTCTGAGGTCTCTGTTCTGTTCCATTGGTCTATATGTCTGTTTTGGAACCAGCAACATGCTGTTTTGGTTACCGTAGCCTTGTAGTATAGTTTGAAGTCAGGTAGCATGATGCCTCCAGCTTTGTTCTTTTTGCTTAGGATTGTCTTGGCTATACGGGCTCTTTTTTGACTCCACATGAAATTTAAAGTAGTTTTTTTTCTGATTTTGTATAGAATGTTAAGGGTAGTTTGATGGGAATAGCATTGAATCTGTAAATTACTTTGGGCAGTGTGGCCATTTTCATGATATTGATTCTTCTTATGCATGAGGATGGAATGTATCTCCATTTGTATCCTCTCTTATTTCCTTGAGCAGTGGTTTGTAGTTCTCCTTGAAGAGGTCCTTCACATTCCTTGTTAGCTGTATTCCTAGGTATTTTATAATTTTGTAACAATTCTAAATCGGAGTTCACTTATAATTTGTCTCTCTGCTTGTCTATTATTGGTGTATAGGAATGCTTGTGATTTTTTTTTTTTTTTTTTTTTGAGATAGAGTCTCCCTCTGTTGCCCAGGCTGGAGTGCAGTGGCATGATCTCAGCTCACTGCAACCGTCCGCCTCCGGGGTTCAAGCAATGCTCCTCCCTTAACCTCCTGAGTAGCTGGGATTAGAGGTGCGCACAACCACCCCTGGCTAGTTTTTGTATTTTTAGTAGAGATGGGGTTTCACCATGTTGGTCAGGCTGGTCTTGAACTCCTCCTGACCTTGTGACCCGCCCGCCTTGGCCTCCCAAAGTGGTGGGATTCCAGGTGTGAGCCAACCCGCCCGGCCTGCTTGTGATTTTTGCACATTAATTTTTTATTCTGAGACTTTGCTGAAGTTGCTTATCAGCTTAAGGAGTTTTTGTGTTGAGATGATAGGGTTTTCTAAATACGGAATCATGTCATCTGCAAACAGAGACAATTTGACTTCCTCTCTTTCTTTTTGAATACCCTTTAGTTCTTTCTTTTGCCTGATTGCTCTGGCCAGAACTTCCAATACTGTGTTGAATAGGAGTGGTGAGAGAGGGCATCCTGTCTGTGCTGGTTTTCAAAGGGAATCCTTTCGGTTTTTGCCATTCAGTATGATACTGGCTGTGGGTTTGTCATAAATAGTTCTCTTCCTTATATTTGAACACATAGAGGCCATTGTAGGATTATTAATTCACCTAATTTCAATATTGTTGCATCTCAAAGAATAGAGAAGCCTTGGGATGAGGGAGAGAGAAGGGGGAATGGCTGGTCCATGGAGCAGTCAGAACACACCCAACATTTATTGATGAAGTTCATTGTGTTATAAGGACATGGTTTATGGTGCCCTTAAATCATTACAATAGTAACATCAAAGATCGTAGATCATTATAACAGATATAATAATAATACAAATTTTGAAATATTGAAAGAATAACCAAATGTAACACAGGGACACAAAGTAAGCACATGGTGTTGAGAAAATGGCCTCAATAGACTTGCTCAACACATTGTTGCCACAAACCTTCAATTTGTATTAAAAAAGGCAGTTATCTGTGAAGCACAGATAAAGGGAAGCACAATAAAATAAGGCATGACTCTATGGTTACACGTTTGTAGCATAATCTGCCCAACATCTATTATTACATTTATAAGAATTCCTTTTGCTCTGTTAAAATTGTCTCTAACACTTGTCCTGTATTTAATTTTACTATGTTTTCCTGAGTACTCCATTGACGGCTATATTAGTCCATTTTCACACTGCTATAAAGATGCTACCCAAGACTGGGTAACTGATAGAGGAAAGAGGTTTAATTTATTTACAGTTCCTCATTATTGGGGAAGCCTCAGGGAACTTACAATCATGGCAGAAGGTGAAGGAGAAGCAAGTACCTTCTTCACAAGGCACCAGAAAAGAGAAGAAAGAAGAAGGAACTTCCAAACACTTAAAAAACCATCAGAACTTGTGAGAAGTCACTCACTATCATGAGAACAGCAAGGGGGAAATCGCCCCCATGATCCAGTCACCTCCCTCCCTCGACAAGTGGGGATTACAAGGTCTCTCCCTTGACGAGTGGAAATTACAATTAGAGATGAGATTTGGGTGGTGACACAGCCAAATCATATCTTTGTAGACTCTTCTATAATTTATTGTGTATGAAAGTTCTCACACTACATTTTTCTAGTGATTCTACTTCTTGACTATCTCAGGACCTAGAAGGAATCCTCTGAAGTCCAGTGTGTGGGTACTCATGACTTGAGTTTTCCCTGAAGAGTCAAGATTTAGTGAAAACACAATTTCTATGGAAGAGACGGCTACCTGACTGCCTGAGATTCATAGAATCTCTATGTCATAGATTTGTTGAGTCCCTAAATCACCTCTGGTGGAGAGACACCACTGAACAAGGGAAGTGTTTAGAATTTTCAGGAGCAAAAATTAAACCTTTGTTAAGCCACTGAGATTTGCATTAAGCTACTGAGATTTCAGGGTTTATCTATTAGAAAGGCTTTTGTAACTTTACTAATATAATTCTTTGCAATAAAAATAATTGAGCTTAGATAGATTATGGAATTTTATAGGACAGAATGACTTCCTTAGCTGACAGCTCATAACTGCACAGTCCCTGACCATCCTGGGTAATGATTTCTTGAACAAAGAAAAACACCAACTGACTCTTTTTTTCTTCCTAAATCTGTTTCCAACCTCTTATGTTTTCAGGCTCAAAACTCTTTTTTATTTAACATACAGTTTATATGCTTTTCTTCCTATGAGAAATTTTACCAAAAATGGGGAAAGTTCATAATGAGCAAATGTGTATTTTACTAATTCATCCAGGGCCTGGTAATATCCCATAATCTTTCTGTTATTCTGTAATTAAAGATATAAGACAGAGGAATAAAAAAGATCATGAGAATTCATGAGACAATCACATCCTAAAATATTCATGAATGTAATTTTATGATCTACAAACAGCCAAAGTCTATAGTTCTTTGCACGGTTTTTTCCCATCTGGCCAGCTATGAATCACAGCAAACAAATTTATGTAGGATTATGGACTTGTGGTATAAAAGAAATTAGGTTGCCCTCTAAATTTTAGCTGGAGCCGTAGTTTTTCAGTTCAAATACATGTGTATGTGCTTGTATGTGTGTGTTTATTAACACACTTATTTCCTTCAGACATTTTCCAAGTTAGATTCGAGAAGACTATTTATGGAATGAGATTTTAAAGCCTGTCTTACACACTCATATGTAATAATTTCATTATTAGATATAATATTAGATGTTATATTTTCATTTCTACCTTTGCACCCTTATAGTATATCAATACATTTTGGATATAGCTTGGTTTCATAGAACTTTTCAGCATGCATGTTCTTTTAGGCAGTAAACATTTTGTGTGTATACAGGCATATATGTTTTTTAAACTTTTCATACCTATACACAGATTTGTGAGCATTGAAATTGCCAGTGAGTTGCTATATAGACAATATGACCAACAGGTAACAGTGGGTCACCCTTTCTGTAGGGTGAAGCTCATTTGATTGAGTTAAGCTAGTCATAGCTGTCACTAGTAAGTTAGACTTCATTTTATTTTCTCTGGATAAAAGGGTTATATTAGGTGTACATCTTGCTATTTGTAGTAAACTGGTATTAGTAATTCACTTACAGTTACATTGTCCTTGTTAAGGCTTGAATTTTTCTTAAGAAAATAAAGTTTTAGCATGAGTTCATTTCCATACTTTTCCTAGGTCATTGACTAAGAATTAGTGAAACATAAGAATTCATTTTTTGGGCCGGGCGCGGTGGCTCACGCCTGTAATCCCAGCACTTTGGGAGGCCGAGGCGGGCGGATCACGAGGTCAGGAGATCGAGACCATCCCGGCTAAAAAACGGTGAAACCCCGTCTCTACTAAAAATACAAAAAATTAGCCGGGCGTAGTGGCGGGCGCCTGTAGTCCCAGCTACTTGGGAGGCTGAGGCAGGAGAATGGCGTGAACCCGGGAGGCGGAGCTTGCAGTGAGCCGAGATCCCGCCACTGCACTCCAGCCTGGGCGACAGAGCAAGACTCCGTCTCAAAAAAAAAAAAAAAAAAAAAAAAAAAAAAAAGAATTCATTTTTTGGTCTGCATGATGCTAAAATACATTGTCTGGCAAATGCTCCCAGCACCTAGACTAACTGATTGAAGTATGTTTTGGGATAGTGCAGACATAGCCACAGAGTGATTATAACTGGCATACTGTTGTTGACTTACTTTATAACGTTCAAAAATAATATTTTAAAAATCATTAAATACAATCCACATATAAAAGTTTATAAAAGTAAACATGTAGCAAGATGAATAAAACGCAAACCCTTGTAACTACCCAAGCCCAGAAATAGAATATTATTTATGGCCTCTATATTGCGATACTTATGTATTTCTTTCACAGATTCCTGTTTAGTTTTGTCCAACATATATTAGGTTTTAATATTGATGCAGGCCATTTTGAAATAAATTATAAAGGTTTCACTAATTGTAGAATAATGTTATATTATGTCCCACTTTCTCAAGTAATACATCAGAGAAATTTTCATTTAACTTTTGTCTTTAAAAATATAAATCTTTATGTATTTATTTGTTTTTGAGACAGTCTCACTTTGTTGCCCAGGCTGGAGTGCAGTGGCACAATCTCAGCTCACTGCAACCTCCACCTCCTGGGTTCAAGTGATTCTCGTGCCTCAGCCTCCCAAGAAGCTGGAATTACAGGTGCGTGACACCACTCCCAGCTAATTGTTTGTATTTTTAGTAGAGACGGGGCTTCACCATGTTGGCCAGGTTGGTCTTGAGCTTCTGACCTCAAGTGATCTGCCCACCTCGGCCTCCCAAAGTGCTGGCATTACAGGCATGAGTCAGTGCTCAGCCAAAAATAGAAACTTTTATTTAGATTTATATGTTCATTGATTTTCTTATCCTTTTAAATTTGTGTCCTAATATAAGCATCTAACTCCTAATATTTCTGAAGTTAGAGAATATTTAAGGCAGAAAAATAACATGATATTCTACTCCACTGTGGTTCAGGGCCTGAACCACTGTAGGAGACTGTGTCTGTTTTTCTTCTCTTTCTTTACAGTGTTCACAGTTGGCTCAGAATACTGCTGTCTATCTAATTGTTTTTGCCACTTGATAGGAACGTTACTTTTTTTTCTCGGAGAACTATACTTGTTGCCTAGTAGCCTGAGGATTAGATTTAAGCTGTTCATTTTTATACCCAAAATGAATCAGTCGTGTCATTATAAACTAAGTTAATCTCTTGCTGCCCTTAGAAGGTAATAGAAATGTTCTTATCTGTTAATTATGTCACACTTATCACAGCATTTCATAACCACTGTCTCCTTCTGGTGCTATTTGGACTTTGCAAATGTGGTATACAACTTTCTCTCGGTGACTTCCTCTCAGTGGAGGGTGAAGTTGATTTATTTAGTTAAGCATGTCACATCAGTCTTTAGAAAGTGGATTTCATTTTATTTTATCTTTTTCAAATATAAGCGTTATATTGGATGTTCAATTTGTGGTAAAGTGGCATTAGTGTATTCATTTACAATTGTATTATCCTTGTCAAGGCTTGAATTTTAGGAGATAAGTAAAGTTTTATTATGAATTCATTTTCATATCTGCATCAGGCCATTTACTAAGATTTAGTGAAATATACAAATTATTTTATTTCTCCTTAAGTATTATATATACTTCTACAGAAAGTTTTTGTAAACTACTTAAGAAGTATACTTAAAAAGTAAATAAAAACTCTGACCAAGGTGTTCAAATGCAAAATGGATGTATCTGATTTTGGACATACAAGTTTGACATGCATAGCACACAGGAAAAAATGTTAGTCTGAAGCTCTAAATAAAGGTTGGGGCTAGAATTCCATGTTTGGGACTTATTTATACAATAAGAATGAATGCCATGATTTGCCTGTGTGTTTTGTGTTTATAGGTGCTGGGCCTACCTTTGCCTCTAGCCCCCAACAAATTATTCTATTCTAATAACAGACATTCCAACAAAATAATATATTTAATAGAATATACCTATTATTATAGATCCTTGGCTTGGTATGGCTGATAGAATGAGATTGAGTTGTTTGGAACTTACCGCACTCAGATGAACCATGCAGTTGATCATTATCACAGGTCATTGGAATTATGTACATGAGACTTGATTTAGTTTACAATGTTCCACTCAGGTTCATATTATTTTGGTTATTTAAAAAGATGTAGTGATAAATTCGGAATTCCAGAAGACAGAAAACATATCATGGTCTTTGAAATGTATTTGTCCCTTCTATTCATCATCTTATAAATGTAATTTGAAAATCACTGGAGTCTTCTTATTTTATGCTCACAAATGCCCTGTGAGTAAAGCACAGTATATGTTATCATTTTTGATATTTGCAGAAATGGGCACTCAAAACATAAAATGACACAGCCAAGGTAACCCAGTTTATAAGTGGCAGAGTCAGTACTTGAATTCAGGGGTTCTGAACTCAGGAGCTTTCCTACAAAATTATTATTAGTTTTTATAGCATATTGAGAAATGTAACAAGTTAGATTAGTTGACAATTACAGCTTTTTATTTTTATAAATATTTTAAAACACATATTTGAAGATATTATCAATCTGTTTTACAGCTGAGGAAGTTAAAGCAGAAAAAAATGTCTGACTAGCATGAGATCAATATATTCAGTGAGATTAGTTGTTAGTACCCTACATTTTTTACTTTTAGGCCACAGAAAATAATGGTGATAATGTTTCATACCTGCAAATATGCTATGTATTGCAGTTCATTATAAAATGGATGTTGGCACAAGTTGAAAGAGAAATTTATGTGTGGAAACATTCTTTTTATTTTTAGAAATGCGTATTAATCTTTTACTAAAACATAACTGAAATTACAGAGTCCAATTGTAGTTTTGTATTTTAAATATTGCAATGAGAAAAATATCAAGTGGTTAGGTCATCAAACATAACCTTTAAAAAGATGCAGTGTAATCTGAAGTCCCACAGGAGCCTTAAATTTGGGCTTGTTGTAAAGTGTGCCATTTGGTTATAGAGAAATTAAACAAAAAAATCAGTTGTCATTATTAGTAGAGAGCTTACTCTAAATTAATGGTGTATGTTGTTAATGTAGGAATGGTTATTCCTACAAAGCAAATAGAGCCAGAGAAGTAAATGCTATTTCCAACACTATACATATTCCCCTAACATAATCAAGTAAGCCAGTACCCAACCATGAAAGTTATATTGATTTGGACAGTTTTTTAAACAGTAAGTTAAAAAAAAAAGTAGTGTCTTCCCGAAAGAAAAATTGATATGATTACCAAAAAGTCGTTTTATTTTAAATTAAAAAAGAAACATATCTCTGACTGCAGAGAGCATGAAAAACACATCTTAAAATAATTGTATGGCTCAGGAAAGCAGCCAAGGAAGCATTTTATGTGCCAGGTAGCAAAATAAACATCATAATTATTTGTTGTGTAGAATACGTTGATCAAAACTTCATTTGGATTTTAAAACTTCCAATTACTTGTGTCTAATTTTCCTACATAGCACACATTTGCCATTGAAACTAAGTTTTTGATATTTCCTGATAAGTAAAGATCATTCATGTTACAAAAGTAAATTCCTTTAGAAACTGTGGCATAGATAATATTCAGGAGAATGTTCAGGTGTAAGTAGAAACTGCAGTTTTCCTCTTCAATCAAACGTGTTTTGAACTACCATCTTGTCTATATGTTAGTAGGTAAAGCAGAGTTAACTCTGTGTACATGATGGTAGTACTAGTAGCAGGTTGGAGGCAGCAGTGAGTTTTTGACTGTAGAAAAATTTAAAGCTGTATAGATTACATAACCAAATATAGCTGTTATGATTCCTTTTGAAATCAATCCAAGATATCACCCTTCTCCAAAAAATGCCAACAGAAAAGGAGATAGAGCAGGCTGGCCAAGCAGGACCTTCCATTGATTGTTCCTTCTGCAGCAACACCAAATTGAACAATTATCTGCACAAGAAAACACCTTCATAAGAACCAAAAATCAGACAGGCGCGGTGGCTCATGCCTGTAATCCCAGCACTTTTGGAGGCCGAGGTGGGCAGATCACGTGAGGTTAGGAGTTCCAGGTCAGCCTGGCCAGCATGGTAAAACCCCATCTCTAATAAAAATACAAAAATTAGCCAGACACAGTGGCACATGCCTGTAATTCCAGCTACTTGGGAGGCTGAGGTAGGAGAATGCTTGAACCCTGGAGGTGGAGGTTGCAGTGAGGCGAGATCATGCCACTGCACTCCAGCCTGGGCAACAAGAGCAAAACTCCTTCTCAAAAAAAAAAAAAAAAAAAAAAATCAGATAATGATCATAGTATCTGGTTTTAACATCATATCAAGGAAAGTGGCACTGAAGAGGGTAGGAAGGACAGTCTTGCACTGCCCATACCATCCCTCACCCAGCCCCCAGCAGCACGGAAAGAGAATCTGTGTGTTTCGGGGAGGGACAGCAAAGTGATTGTGGGTCTTTGTGTGGAAATTCAGTGCTGCCCTGTCACAGTGGAACACAACACAGGACAGAATTTGGCTGGTGCCCATGGAGAGAGCATTTAAATCAGCCTCAATCACCCCAGCAATAGGAACCTGAGTTTTGGCTAGCTTCAGTGGACTAAAGTGCGGTGGGGTCCTGAACAAATTTGCGAGGTAGTCAGGCCACAAGAACAGCAGTACTTGGGCAAGTGTTGGTGCTATGCTGGACTCAGAGCCAGTGGACTTGGGGTCCACATGACCCAGGGAGACACCAGCTGAGACAGCCAAGGGAGTACGTATGGCACCCCTCTTCTAACTCCAGGCAGTGAAGCTTAACAAGAGACTCTTTTCACTTGTGGAAAGAAGAAGGAAGAGTAAAGAGGACTTTCTCCTCCAACTTGGATACTAGCTCAGCCACAGTAAAATAAAGCATCAGGCAGAATCCTGAAGCTTCTGATTCCAGGCCCTAGGTCCCAGATGATATTCCTAGACCCACCCTGGGGCAGAAAAGCACCTGCTTCCCTGAAGGACAGGACCCAGTCCTTGAAGGATTTGCCACCAACTGAATGAAGAGCCCTTGGGCATTGCATAAACATCAACAGTAGCCAGGCAGTAGTCACCATGGGCCTCGTGTGAGACCCAAGTACCATTCAGGCCTCAGGTGTGACCCAGTCCCAGCTATAGTGGCCACAGGAGTGCTTGCTTCACCCCTTCCTCAACTCAAGGCAATGCAGCATGGAGAGAGATACTCCATTTATTTGAGAGAAAGTGAGCGAAGTGAACAAGAGACCCTGCTTGGTATTCCTGGGAATTCTTCTGGCTCTTACTCAAGCTCTACAAATCTGCAAAAGTTACTGGGCTTAGGGCACCCTCCAGTGCTATATGGCTGTAGTGGCCAAATTACCTAGATAAAAACAATTCCTTTTGAATACCTGGAAAGCCTTCTCAAGAAGGATGAATGCAAACAAGCCCAGACTGTGAAGACTGGAATAAATACCTAACTCTTCAATGCCTAGATATCAGTAAACAGCCGCAGGTGTCAAGAACATCTAGAAAAACATGACCTCATCAAACAAACTAAATAAGGCACCAGTGATCTAGAGATGTGTGACCTTTCAGACAGCATTCAAAAAAGCTAATTTTAGGAAGCTCAGCTAACTTCAAGATAACACAGATACATTTAACAAAGTATCTGATACTATCAGATACATTTAACAAAGGGATTGAAATTAACAAAGTATCTGATACTATCAGATACATTTAACAAAAGGATTGAAATTTTAAAAAATCAAGCGGAATTTATGGAGCTGAAAGATTCAATTGACAAACTGAAGAATGCATTGGAATCTCTCAACAGCAGAGTTGACCAAACAGCAGAAAGTATTAGTGAGCTTGAAGAGAGGCTATATGAAAATACACAGTCAGAGAGAAAAATATAGAAGAATGAAGCACGACTATACTATCTAGAAATAGCCTCACAAAGGTAAATCTAAGAGATACTGGCTTTAAAGAGGAGGCAGAGAAGGAGATCAGTGTAGAAATTTAATTCAAATAAATAATAACAGAGAATTTTCAAAACTTGGAGAAAGATATCAATATACAAGAAGTTCATAGAACACCAACCAGGCTTAACCCAAATAAGACTACCTCAAGACATCTAATAATCAAACTCCCAAAAATAAAGATATGATTTTAAAAGCAACAAGACAAAAGAAACGAACAATGTATAAAGGAGATCCCATATGTCTGGCAGCAGACTTCTCAGTGAAAACCTTACCATCCAGGAGAGAGTGGAATGACACATTCAAAGTGCTTCAGGAAAAACAAAACAAAACAAAACAAAAAAAAACCTTTTATCCTAGAATATTATATCCAGTGAAAATATCCTTTAAATATAAAGGAGAAAAAATGCTTTCTCAGGGAAGTAAAAGCTGTTGAATTTTGTCAACATTAGACCTGTCTTACAAGAAATGCTAAAGGGAGTTCTTTAATCTGTAAAAAGGATGTTAATAAGAAATAAGAAGTATGAAGATACAAAACTCACTGGTAGCAGTAAGTACACAGACAAATACAGAATATACTAACACTGTAGCTGTGATATGTAAATCACTCATATGTTCAGTAGGAAGACTCAAAGACAAACCTGTTAAAAATAACTACAATAACTTTTAAGAGGTACACAGTATAAAAAATAAAAACAACAAAAAGTTGAAAAGCAGGATGTATGGACTTAAGATACGGAGTTTTTAGTTATCTCCTTGCTTGTTTGTTGATTCATTGTTATTTTTTTGCAATCAGAGCTGTCATCAGTTGAAAATACTGGCTTATAAAATGTTATTTGCAAGCATCATGGTAACTTCAAATTAAAAAACCTACAACAGATATACAAAAATAATAAATTAAAACGTGCCACTAGAGAAAATCATTTTTACATGGAGGAAGACAGGAAAGAAAGAATAAAGGCCCACAAAACAACCAGAAAATAAATAACAACATGGTGGTAATAAGTCCTTAATCATCAATAATAACCCTGAATGTAAATAGACTAAACTTTCCAATAAAGAAATATACAGTGACTGAATGGATTTAAAAAAAGACCCAATTATATAGTGTCTATAAGAAACTAACTTCACCTATAAAGATACACACAGACTGAAAATAAAGGGATGGATGAAACAGGCAAATGGAAACCAAATAAAGAACTGTAGTAGTTATATCAGAAAAAATACATTTCAATTCAAAAGTGTCAAAAGAGACAAGGTTACTATATAATCATAAAAGGATCAGTTCAACAAGAGGATATAATAATTGTAAATATATATACACCCAACACTGGAGCACCCAGATATAAAGCAAATATTATTAGAACTAAAGGGAGATATACTCCCAGTACTATAATAGCTGGCAACCTCAACACCCCATTTTCAGCACTGAACAGATCATCCAGACAGAAAATCAACAACAACAATAAAATCAGACTTAATCTGCACTATAAACCAAATAGACCAAATAGATATTTACACAACATTTCATTCAAGACTTGGAAAATACATATTCTTCTTCTCTGCACATGGATTATTCTCAGAAATAGACCATACAATAGGCCACAAAACAAGTCTTAAGAAAATTCAAAAAATTGAAATCATATCAAGTATCTTCACTGACCACAATGGAATAAAACTAGAAATCAATAACAAGAGGAACTTTAAAAACCATACAAACACATGGAAATTAAATCATATGCTCCTTAATGACCTGTGGGTCAATGAAGAAATTAATAAGGAAATTAAAAATTTATTGGAAAAGATGATAATGGAAACACAAATACTAAAACCTATGGGATGCAGCAAAAGCAATACTAACAGGAAAGTTTATAGCAATAAGTGGCTACATCAAAAAAGGAGAAATTCAAATAAACATCCTAATGATACATCTTAATTAGAAAAGCAAGTGCAAACAAAACCCAAATTGGTAGAAGGAAAGAAATAATTAATTAGAGCAGAAATGAAATTGAAATCAAAATATAATACAAAAGGTCAATAAATCAAAATGTTTTTTGAAATGGTAAAATAAGAATAAGCAAGACTAAGAAAAAAAGAAAATCAGAGATGAAAAAGGAGACATTACAATTGATACCACAGAAATTCAAAGCATCATTAGAGATTACTATGAGAAGCTATATGCCAATAAATTAAAATCATAGAAGAAATGGATAAATTCCTAGACACATGTCTAGGTTCCTAAACAACCTAACAAGATTGAACCATTAAGAAATCCAAAACCTGAACAGATGAATAACAAGTAATGAGATCAAAGTCATAATAAAAAGTCCCCCATCAAAGAAAAGCTTGGGACCTGATAGCTGACTGCTGAATCTTACCAAACATTTAAAGAAGAACTAATACCAACCCTACTCAAACTATTCCAAAAAATTGAGGAGGCAATACTTTCAAACTTATTCTACAAGGTCACTGTTACTCTGATACTAAAACCAGACAAAAACACAAGGAAAACAAACTATAGACCAATATCTCTGATGCATAATGATACAAAAAATCTTCAACAAAATACCAGCAAACCAAATTCAACAACACGTTAAAAAGAACATTCATCATGACCAACTGGAATTTTACCCGGGATGCAAGGATGGTTCAACATACACAAATCAGTCAATATGATGCACCATATCAATGGGATGAAGGATGAAAACCACATGGTAATTTCAATTGCTGCTGTAAAAGCCCTTGATAAAATTCAACATCCCTTTATGAGAAAAACCTTCCAAAACCAGAGGTAGAAAGAACATACCTCAACACAATAAAAGCTATACATGACAGACACCCAGCTAGCATCATACTGAGTGGGGAAAAACTGAAAGCCTTTCCTGTAAGATCTGGAACAAGGCAAAGATGCCCACTTTCGCTACTGTTCTTCGACATAGTATTGGAACTCTTAGCAAGAGCAGTTAGACAAGAGAAATAAATAAAGGGTATCCAAACTGGAAAAGATTTCAAATTATCCTTGTTTGCTGCAGATGATATGATCTTATATTTTGAAAAACGTAAAGACTCTATCAAAAGACTATTATAACTGATAAACAAATTCAGTAAAGTTGCAGTAGACAAAATCAACATACAAAAATCACTTGAATTTCTAGATGCCAACAGTGAACAATCTGAAAAAGAAATCAGTAAACTAATCCCATTTATAATTGCTACAAATAAAATAAAATACCTAGGAATAACATTAACCAAAGAAGTGAAAGATCTCTGAAATGGAAGTATAAAACATTGATGAAAAAAATTGAAGAGGACACAAAAAATGGAAAGATATTTCACATTCATGAATTGGAATAATCAATATTATTAAAATGTCCATACTACCGAAAGCAATCTATAGATTCAATGCAATTCCTATCAAAATACCAATGGCATTCGTCACAGAAATAGAAAAGGTCATCATGAAACTTATATGGAACCACAGAAGACCCAGAAGAGTCAAATCTATCTTTAGCAAAAAGAATAAGACTGGAATAATCACATTACCTGACTTCAAATTATATTAGAGAGCTATAGTAACAAAACCAGCATGGTACTGGCATAAAAACAGACATGTAGACCAATGGAACAGAATGGAGAACCTAGAAACAAATCCGTACATCTACAGTGAAGTCTTTGGACAATGGTGCCCAAGGATATACACTGGGTAGGAGACAGTCTCTTCAATAAATGGTGCAGGGAAAACTGGCTATCCATATGCAGAAGAAAAACTAGATCCCTATCTCTTGCCATATAAAAAATAAAATAAATATGGTTTAAAGACTTACATCTAAGATCTCAAACTATGAAACTACTCAAAGAAAATGTTGGAGATACCCTCCAGGACATTGATCCAGGTAAAGATGTCTTGAATAATACCTCATTAGTACAAGCAACCAAAGCAAAAATGGACAAATGGGATCACATCAAGTTAAAAAGCTTCTGCACAGCAAAGGAAACAATCAATAAATAGCATGCAGAATGGGAGAAAATATTTTCAAACTGTCCATCCAAGAAGGGATTAATAACCAGAATATGTAAAGGGCTCAAACAACTCAGTAGCAAATAAACAAATAATCCAGTTCAAAAATGGGCAAAAGACCTGAGTAGATATTTCTCAAAATTAGACATATTGATGGCAAAGAGGAATATGAAAAGGTGTTAAACACCATTGACCATCAGAGAAATGCAATTCAAAGTTACAATGAGATATCATCTCACTCCAGTTAAAATGGCTTTTATACAAAAGACAAGCAAAAATGACTAATGGCAAGGTGGATAAAGGGGAACCCTCATACATTGTTGGTAGGAATGTAAATTAGTACAGCCAGTATGAAGAACAGTATAGCGATTTCTTGAAACACTAAAAATAGAACTACCATATGATCCAGCAATCCAACTGCTGAGTGTACACCTAAAAGAAAGGAAATCAGTATATTGAAGAGATATCTGCACTTCCATGTTTATTGCAGCACTATTCACAATAGCCAAGATTTGGAAGCAACCTAAGTGTCTATCAACAGATGAATGGATAAAGAAAATATGATATATAAAAACAGAGCAATATTATTCAGCCATAAAAATAATGAAACCCTGTCATTTGCAACAACATGGATAGAACTGGAGGACATTTTATTAAGTAAAAAAAGCTAGGCACAGAAAGACCAATTTCACATGTTCTCATTCTTATGTGAAAGCTGACAAAACAACTGAAAAAAAAAAGGGAAGTCAGGGAAGAGGCGGGGAGTGGCACTAAAACATAGTTAGAATGAATAATATCTAGTATTTGATAGCATAACAGGGTGACTATAATCAGTAGTTCAATGTATAATTAAAAATAACTAAAAATGTGTAATTGGAATGTTTATAACCCAAAAGAATGAAAAATGCTTAAGGTGATGGGTACCCCAGTTACACTGATGGATTATTATTGCACATTGTATACTTGTATCAAGACTTTATATGTACCTGATAAATATGTACACCATTTATGTACCCATACAAATTACAAATAAAGCCAAGCATATCAAACCCTGTGGTCACATACATTGTAAACTATTTTCACCCTGTTTTATTAACACAAAGGAGGAACCACAAATAATTTTTCAGTAGGGATTGAAATTTGAAAAATGTCTATTAATGCTGACTCTAAAGCTAATCTTTTGAGAAATAAAAATTTGGTGTCTGGGGGAAATTAAGCCAATATGTATATATTTGGGAATGTCTATTATTCTGTAATAAATAACAAAGATAACCTACTTACCTATACACAGAAACACACAATATTGATAAATCATCTTAAGTATAATATGAAGGAGGAATAATGGGAAGTGATTATAGTCAAATATTTCAATATAAAAGTAAATGCTTGTGTATCTCTATACTAGAAGATCTATTGAGGTAGTTGGATGCTCATACCAAGGTATAGAATTACCACAAATATTACAGCTATGAATATGAACTGATATAGCAACATCAATACCACAACGTTATTTTCTGACTCAATGGGCCATTCTTGCTAAACTTCCAGACAAAAAGCACAATCTTCCTTTACTTTACAGGGTAGCTACATTTAAAAAAACTAATCCATATTAAAACTCTAAAAAAAATACATTACATTTATATGTTAAACACAGCTAGTATCCAGCTATAAATTGTGAATAAAATTTTCACCTATGTGGCTGTCTAGCAAGACATTTCGAACTTGTTTGGGGACATTGGACAAGGCGTTACTGTGCACTATTCTCTGTAATATCATAGAATCTTAAGCATTTCTGGTCCTTGCCTTAAAAAAAATCATCTTTTGTGATTGAGCAAACCGATAGTGTCCTCACATATTTACCCAGTTGGAGGGCACTGTTTTTTTTTTTAATTGTAGATTTGATATGCCTTGTTTTATTCGTTATTAAGATATTGTTATTTCTGAAGCCTTTATGATATTTTGATCCACACTTTACATGTAAGAAGAATTAAGGCTAGAAGAAGTAATTATGCATTTTCAAAATATTAAAATGAACATTTAGCAGAATAATATCAAAACATGAACCACATACTTACCAAAATAACTATTTGGCAGGGTGAAGAATTATAAGGAACAAATCAGGCAATAAGACACCCCAGCAATAATTTTCACTCTTCAATCATGTGTTTTGGCACACTGTGTTGGCCTAGTGATAAGCCCAAAGCAGCACTGGGCTGGATCCAGTCCCAGCTCTCTCATGGATTAGTTATGGCACTTGGATAAGTCACTTACCCCATCTCTCTGCACTTTTCTCATTTACAAAGTGGAATAATGCTCACTCTGTCTACCTCATTACTAGGACATGATAGTACCACATGTGAGAATATAATATTTAGCATTCACAGTCAGAAATGTATCTCATTAGGTCTCCATTTAGTATGAGACTTATTAATCTTTGTTGCCATTCTGGCTTGCAGCTGTGTCCTGCAGTTTTCCTACAGTTGAAAGAAATGAACAGTTCAGAAAGTCTGAACTTGCAGTATGAAGTTAGTACCTATGGGTTAGTAAGTAGTTAACCTGAGTAGTCTATATCTATATGCAGTATGTTAACACATGTAAGGATATATAAATATATTCGACACATAATGTTTTTAACTCAGTGGTTCTCAAAGTACCAGGCACTCCTCTGGATCCCTGACACTTTTGCAGGGTGCTTGCAAGGTCAAAGTTTTCTAATAGTAATGCTGAAATCTTGTTTATCATTTTCACTCTCTTTCTCTCTGATTGTATAGTGACATTTACCAGAGGCCACAACACATGTGGCATTGCAGGCGATTGAATACAGAAGCAGATCTGAGGATCCAGCTGTCTACTACTACTATATATGAGTTGTAAAATGTAAAATAATGTTACTCTTCTCACTAAATCTGTGTCCATTTCTGCACAGTATCTTACTTTTAACTTATAATACAGAAAACATCAATAAATACAGCCTACACAAACAAAAGTGTTCTGGAGTCCTTAATTTTAAGAAGTGAAGAGTTCCTGAGACTAAAAAGTTGGAGAACCACTGATTTAGATTATATTCTAATTCTGTCCTCATTAAAGAACTGGCAGAATTGGGTTTCCTATAAGAAGTGTTTATTTTCTGGTCCTATTTGGCGCTTCTTTACCGTAGTCCTCGTTCTGCATTATCTTTAGGTTCTTTGTATATCCTTTTGATCTGGGTTGAAGTAGTTACTTCCCTATAACAGGTGCAAAATATTTTATCACAAATGTAAAAATATTTCAGTCTCTTTATCTGTAAATGCTCTCTTGTCCAGCTACATTTCCAAGGTGGTGATCTGCATTCTGCTAGTCTGTGTAATCTTTGCAATGCCCAGCGTATGCCTTCTTTCCATCTGCACTGTGATGTAACTCACACAATTCATGCTGTCTCCTTAAGAATTGCACCAAGGTAATGGATGGGTTTTATGATCATTGACTTTTTGGAAGAAAGGAAATCACTTCCCAGGATATATGAACTGCAATAATGGCACCGCTCTGCAGAAATGATTGACTCCATAGTTTTCTCGTATGTAAGTTCCTAACACATTCCTGGCTGCTGCAATCCACAGCCTGGCATTTCACTCTGTGACCACACCTCATAGTTTGTAACGTCTAGTATGAAATATGTAAAGCACCTAAGGAATACAAAGATATACTATTATAAACTAGGTTTATTTTGTTTTCTCTTTTTGCTTACGTATTTTTTTTTCTTTAAACACTGTTAGTATTTAAAGCTTGATTGCTTTGGTATGTTTTCATCAAGTCTCTTGGTAGCTGCTATATATTTTGAATAATATTAATATCTACTTACTGAACCACAGATAATAATCTCTGCAATGGATCTTGTCCCACTTTTAACCAAACAGAACTGTGTCAGCCAGATTATGTAAAAGTTATTTCCCTCACAAACACCTTATTTGTTTATTTTTTGGCGTAACCACATAGGGCTTTGCATTAGGAGATGCTAACGTATTTTAATAAGATATTTTGTCCAATAAAAGAGCATCTAGTAAGATCCCAATTTATGAATGATTTATGTACACAAACAGATGGCAGAGATCTGCTGGGAGGCAGCAGCCCAGGACTCTGTGGAGGGAGTCACTCTTGGTTTTCCAACTGAAGATACTTAAACAGAGAGTAACCAGAATATTTCCTGTGTGCTGTTCTGGGAGGACCTGGGGTCCTGTAAAGCCTTAACCAGAGGCTCTGAAAGCTCATAAGTGAAGGGAGTGATGCATACTACAGCCCCAACTTGGAGATTTCACAAGGAATGTATCACGATAAAAATCCTGAAGATCCCAGAGGACAGAAACCAGCTTAACTTTGTTTAGTCTAATATTTCTTCAATTTCATTAGCCACAGACACATTTATGAAAGGACATATTTGAATATATCCATCTATTATATCAGGGTATCGTTTGGGAAATACAGACTTTGAGAAAATCCGTCTCTTTAGGAGTTAGAGAGAAATATCACATTTCTGATGCCCGCAAGTGTCCACCTTGTCCACCTGGAGCAAGGCTCCAGGTATCACCAAGCATGGGTTGATCTTGTATCCTTAGCTGGTTAGATTTTCTGATGGGAATTGTGTTATCCACATGGGTATGATTGGCTGAATTAGTGTCATTAGTACTCTACTGCAATCTTGCGATGCATTCTGTGAACTACTATGGGAGAAAATGTTCTGAGTTGCAAATCTGTCTACTTCATATTATATGCTTAAAATATAATCAGCAAACTTAGAGCTGACTGTCTTTATTTTTTACCTTACAGTTTAGAGATTCACTATAGTTTTGAAGTGTGTTGAAGAACAAAGGAAATACTTTAGCAAAAGGGGCAGTTTAGAATGAAAAATAAAAGCCTGAGAACATTTTTAGTTTAATATATGATTAAATTTGCATTACAAATGGCAAACTCCTTATATATACCCTGCAGAGGAGTAATTCTCATCAACTGAAAATTACCTGGCTGTGTAACGCTGCGTTCATTTGCTGAGTCAAGTCTGTATGATGGAATATGTCCGCTTGAACACACACAGCCTCTAGCACCCAGGAAAATAAACATTCATTCATTGCTAACTCTCTCTTCCAAATCTCCCACAAACAAAACTGGAACTTTAGAGCAATGAAATGCAAAGAGAATAGATGTGTGAAAATGCTGACTGTGTATAGAACTGATATTACATCTTAAATATAGCTGAGCTGCCAAGTGTCCCCAGGCATGCAGCAAGCGAAACATGTTAGCAAAAGAAATGAAACTCCAAAATCAACTTCAAAAGGTAGACTTAAAAAAAATGAACAAACTTTTGAAGCCTTTCCTATCCGAGTGGCCCCAGGGAATTGACTTATCCCAAATAGTTCAGCTGTGATAGTAATGACTCTTTTCTTGGGCAGCCCTATCAATTATTTGAATCTTGATTGCATAGTTTCTTTTTATAAAACCGACCTTGGAATTCTTCAAAAGTTTACCATCATTAGGGGAAAGTTCTAAATTTCTAAGGACCTTGAGAGAAAAACTGATAAAGAAAATTTGTTATAGTAAATTGGAAATATGAATAAACATCCTCATAGGAGGGAAGAACTGAGCAGTTTGGAGTAGTCAAGCTTGGTTACTTCTCCTAGATGAGCCTGGTACTTTCTTCAGATTCTTTATCTCTGTGTGCTCATTTTTCAAAAGGACATTCTAATTTTAGCCAATTGGAAAAATAAGAAAAAATAAATCACTTAGAAAAATATATAAAGGGTAGTATTTTATGCTTTCTAAGTTTTTTTTCTTTCTTTTTCCATTGCTTCTTTCTTTTCCTTTAGGGGTAGGTTTGAAGATATTTATTCTGAGAATTCTAATGGCATTAATTTTCAGTTCCATCTAGCCAAGTGATTTACAGTAAGTATTTGTTAATACTAACATTTTAAAGTACGTTCTCTAGTGATGGCAGTAGGGAACTACCTTCTGCATTCATTTCCACAATGAGTCATTTATTTTTATTTATTTGACCAGTTGCAGTTCCCTGTAAAGTGGATACACACACTTGATGGGCATATAACTGGATTACCTGGACCGTATTTTTATAATCCAGTATTATTCATGGGGCTGCATAAAAATGCTACACCTGGACAAGAGTGTGCAGTCACAGCACATCAGTGCCTCCATTCATGAAAGCTCTCCTACTCCATCTTTCGATATAGGATAGATTTGCAGTGAGAATGTCTTAATGCTCATTTTAGCTATGTTTTTCCTTTCCGAAACACTACAAGGCTTGAAAGTCATTTATAATGACTTACGCGCCTTCTTTGCAGGGAAGTATCTTCTTTTAGGTATACTTGATGAACTCAAAATATAGTATATGCGTTGAGTCCCAAAGTCCTTTAATAGCAGCTCATTAGATGTTTGTTAGCAAAAATCACTGGAAGAAAACAAACATCTTTGTTTCATAGAAACATCTTGAACTACTTTACTATGCTTTTGGGTCATCAAGACTCCAAACGTATTGTGTCAAACACTCTTTCTTCAACTTTGAAACCCATGTGGATAGCCAGGGAAAAGCAATCTGTATGTTTCTAATTAATTTACACTTAACTCATCAGAATGTTGTTTTCCAAGAGCTATTTGATGTGTAAGGCCTCTTATGAGCCTTTCAAATATGGCTTCTAAGCGTTTTTCCTTTGAACCAGAAAGTCACTTTTTTTTTTTCCTGAAGCAAATGAAATTCAATTCTCAAAAGGCTTAGTGTGGTTCAAAAAATTGTCAGACTCACACAATCTGACAGAACATGTTCTCCCACTTAAATGGATTAACTCATGCAGCAGACACTAGGAATTACAGGGCATTTCATATCATTAGGCATAGATTTACTTAAAATGGCCACAGTGTTAATGAAATTCTTGTTTATTTAGCAATGCTCCTAGATAAAGTGACATTAAGTGCACTGTGTGAGTGAGTATAGGTACTGCTGCAAGAAAATGCAAAGGAATTAAGAACATTTTATCTGAAAAGTGCACATTGGTCTTTGCAGTGTATAGGCAAAGGGCTTATTCTAGTATTATCTCCCTGGTTTCAGTACAAAAGTCAGTGTTGTATACAGGAGACTCGTAGATTGGTATCATCCAATACTATTTCTCTCACCATTTTATACAGAAGAGAGAAAAAAGCAGTGATTACTATGGTGAAATATAATGATAGACCCAGAGCATAACTAATGTCACAGGCATGTCATGTTTCATTATGTTTGCATAGTCCAACTGTGTTTGAGTATTACATTTATAATCTAAATTCCTTCCTTGATATTGGTCTTACAAGTACGTTTTTGCTTTCTTTCTAGTAGCCACTTGGTTTGAAATATTCACATTGATTTTCAAATTCATTGTATCATAATTACCTGACTTTTTTCTATTCACTGTTGCAAAATTTTTGTTTAGAAGCTTCCTGTCAACCCTCATACTATGGAAAAATATTCCTAGAGCTTGCTTTAGCTATCTTCTCTATCTCCAATATATAAGTATCTATAGAAACTTAGACATGCCCATGTGATTTCTTCCATCATTTATATCCAAATTTCTCCCTTAATTCAGGTCCACTTTAATTCATCATCCTCTCTATCTTCTGGTTAATCATTACCTATTTCAATTTTTTTTTAGTATCTTAACATGCAGTTTTAGATGTCAGACATGAGCTGTCTATTATTGAATTTTTGAGGTGTATACTCTTATGACACTAGAGCCAAATGAACAATCCCATGTAGTGCATATAAAACCATCTAAATATTACAAATTTCTATTGCCAAGACAGTTTTCTTTGTCTTTTTTCCAGACCAATTTTTGTTGTAAATAGTGTGAAAGCCAAGGCAATTTGAGCATAATGTAAAGACAAACATAAAGTCCGTAGAATTCAAAATGCTTTTGTGTAAAAGCAGGTATTGTATATATAACTTCCGAAAGTTTTTGATACGCTAGTTAGAACAGAACTCAAATTTCCATTTCTTACGTTCAGAAACATTTTCATAGAGGCAGTATCCCTGATTTCAGTATACACATGAATATTTTAAAGTGAAAAAGCCACTGAGCCCATTATTGCCCCTGTCACTGAATCACTGGATGCTTGCTGTATCCACGTATTTCTTCGTGGGGAAGTTTGGAAAGTTTGGGCAATATGTGTATTCCACCTTCCGTGAGTTTATAATCCAAACTCCAGAATCCAATTTTCTTCCTGCAAAGGACTAGAGAGTCATATTTCCCAATTTTATTTTTAGGTTTCAGTGCCTGGCTTTTGAAACGAAGTTTAAAATGTCGTTGCAACAACCTTCAAAATAAGTGTACTTCTTTGATTTCTGATGTCCTTTCGTATCTCTTGATGAGAGCTTGCTCTGAGAGAGCACTTTTAAAGACATTACTATTCTTCCCCACTCTCCCACCCAGGAGAATTTAATTTTCAGGCAGCATCAGTAGTGAAAGATGAAGTGGCTCTGGCAGTTTCCTCTCAAGCCAGTACATTTAAATAGAGCAGTGCATGTGTAGTTTGTAGCCGTATTCCCTGATGAGAGCCATAACAAACAGCTACAGCATATTTTCCACCGGTGGCAAGTTGCTATTGGGAACCACTCCATTCACTTGTGAATTATAAACACATTAGTTAGGATCAATTCTCCTATAGGGTAAAATTCAAAGTATTATCAAAGAACAAGGAGGTAGTAAGTGATTACTTTCCAGCAGATCCAGTTTGACTATAGTTAGAATTCAGATGAATGGGGCTTTTAGTGAAATAGAGAAGAGAGAGAGAGAAAGAAAAGAAAGTAACTTCCCAACACTTGATAATAAAGAAAAAACAATTTTTTTATTAGCTTTCAAATGGTTTCAATCTATGGTTACCTATTTATTTGGGTTGTCATTCTGTTTACATGGGGTGAGAAATTTGCCAAAATAAGATTTTAAACCATTCATCCCTGATGCAAATATTAACTCAGTAACGATATTTAAGCATACCAGAAATTGAATTGTTTTATGAAGTGATTAGAATCCCTTTCCACAGGTTAATAATCTTGTTTATTAATAGAAATAATTAATCTAGACCAGAATTCTACCCTCTAATTTGGCTATAGAAAGTATAAGTAAAATTTTATAAGATGAAAACCATCACGTAAACTGATTTGAATTATCTGAGAGCCACGTTTGCCTAATGTACATTTAGTGAAGGGGTTGCCATGAATTTCTGATGTCCTTTCCTTGAACTCAAGGGCAGGGTGAGGACATGTTGCTGGAACCGCATACTTTCATTCAGGTCACAGTGGTCTTCGGAAGGTCTTATAGGGTTTATATGATTTTTCTCAGGTAGCAAAAAAGCTTCCCTATTGTGAAGGATCACCCATATGTTTAAGTGGGATACGGTGTTATACTTCCATAAGACAATTAACCATTCGTTGAGGTTTACAAACCCTCTTGAGATATTAGTTTGTTAGTGTTTTAGGCATAAAAGCGTTATATCCCCAAACATGGTATACTAAAGTTTGCTTTAAAGTGGAAATATATTCAAATACAGGTAGGTTGTTGGAGTTCCATAGCATGATAATTTTCAGTTTTAAAATGAAAAATATCAAATATTTTAAATATTTTTGTGTTTATTTTTACCAAGGGAAAACTACTATTAAAGCGAGGGGGCAGTTTGATGTCTAAAATTTAAAGGGTAAATTGCTGCTTCATCACATAAGTGTCTTTTGTAGGCTGGAAGTGAAAAATATTTTTAATTTAGAAGTAAATTTGGAGACCTGGGCATGCTCACTGTACATCACTTTAAAATTATTAAAGTAGTTTGATTTAATAGAGTGAATCATCTCAGGCTGAGAAGTACTTCACTTTGCACTGCATAAGCTCAGATGTTAGAACCTGATCACTTCCCAGCTGAAGAGCTTATAAAAAATGTGAAGTACTCTAATAATTTTAAATTACTCTATATTGCACATTTTCAGGTCTCTGATCACCTCCAAATTCAAGTGCTTATAAAACTGCTCCCATAATTTTAAATTGCTATGTGCACAGTGATTTAAAATTGTGAGAGTGCTTCAAAGTTTTTTAATAAGTGCTTTAATTTAGAAGCAAGTTGAGCAATACTCCAGTATAACTTCAAGAAATTATCAAACTGATATAAAAATTTATCCTCTGGAAAGAAAATTACGTTATGTATAAAAGGGTGTGGGCTTCAAATGAATATATATGGGGACGAAGGTACCCAGTGCTTGGGAACAATCAGTGAATGGAATGTAATAATAGGGTCCTGGAAGTTTGTTTTGCTAACTTTGCTGATTGCTGGCATGAGGCTACAGTTCTTGTAACTGTAACAGGAATTTCCATTCCTTTAAGGTGAAAAGATCGCATGTAGAGGACTTCACTCTCAATTCTCAACATTCTCAAGGATATTGTCACATTTCTTTTGAAACTATGGGAAAATGGGAAAATGTTATTGGTAGATGAGAGGAGTCTTAGAAAAGGTGGAGGAAGGAGGGAGAAGGAGGGTAAGAAAACGAGGAGAGAAAGGTGAAACAGGAGAAAGGGAGACTGGCAGGATAGGAAAGTTTATTGTCGAAGAGGTCTTTTCCCCACTTAGAGTGAGTAAGATAGCTTCTGGACCTCCCTGACTCATTCTTTAATTTCTCATTTTTCAAAGGAGAAAATGGCATGTTTTAAAGTGCACTGATGGATGAATGAAATTGTTTTTCTTAAGAGAATTCCTGTTGTAAACCAATGGTTCTGCTCACTCCAGAGGAACACACAGATTTTGTTTTCTGGCTGTACACCACTGTTAGTACAATACACCAGTCAATTTGATTTTAAACATGCTACTTTCCTACACTGATCTAGCATTATCCCACATATTAGAGGGATAAAATATCTTGTGATATGCCAGCTGCCAACTCGCTGTTGGCCCTGTCTTCTCTTGTTTTTGATGCTGTTCTGATCCACATGGCTGTACGCTTCCACTGAGTCACTTGGTTTGTCTGACTGCACTACCTGATATACCTGAAATATCAAACTGACAGGAACACAGGCCTCTGATAGATTTAATTAGAATTTTACAATGTCTTTGATTAATAACACTAAATTGAAATACATAAAAGATAAGGATACTCTTGTCAAGTTGTTGAAGACTTAGGATTTATAATCAATTGTGATTCATTGTACATTTTCAAATTTTGCTAACCACTCATAGCCTTATTGCTAAAGAAAAGACATTTACATTTTACTGAGGTGCAAATGAAATAAAAGGAAATTGGCTGCTTGTTTCAGCAATTTATGTTTCAATATGGGAAATGATATACATCATTAGATTCTAAGGCACAATAAATGGGCAAATACAAGTTGTTATTAAGCACATTGCTATAAATATTACTCATAAAACAAAACCTTTGAAATAGTTTTTATCTCTAGTTTTGGCTTTTATAACTGTTCCTTGGAAATAATACTATATTCCTGTATTTTCTAAATGTAGAAGGTTAATCTTTGTCACTACAGAGAAACAAAACTTTCTGCAACGTAACACCATATACAGATAAAAAGTAAGGAACAGAAAAGAAGTGTGAAATCTTGAAAAGGACTTGTCTTAGGACAGTTTATCATTTATCCTGTATCACCATTTTCTACAACTTTTCTAGCATTTTTAACACAAATTGAATTCTGTGTCCCCAGTAGAACACTCACTAGTGGCCTGGAAATGTAAGATACTCAGATTATGAAGCCTCAAAGAAAGACAGGAATTCCCTGGTTCCATTAAAGTTGTAGGTTTGCTTTCACTGCCATACTCTGCTTATCATTTCAGGCTAGAATTATCTCAACGTTTTTCCGCCTGGCATGATTTGTTTCTATTTCTCCAGTCTCTATGAACGCTAATTTTAAAAACCATGTGCAATGGTTTTGTTCTTGCTGGGGAAATGGAGGCAGTAGAGGGGGAAGGGCAGAAAGCATCTCTTGCTTTTTCCTGAGTTAATCTGGGGCAGTGAATAAGATGTCTTTTTCTTACCATTGTCAATGAAGGACCATCCCTTTAACTGCCCAGCTTATTAGTCATATGCATTGCCCTAAGATATTGCCCTAAAGATCAATACCCTGATTTCCTTTCCATCTGCTCAGACCAAGATAATTAGGCTCTTTACTTTGTTTTGTATATAATGAAGGAGGCAACGAAGTGCTAGTAGAGAAAAAAGGCTATCTCCCCGTGGTAAATATATTGACATTTACAGACACCGACAGAGCACAACATGGAGAGAGTAATGAGAAATTTGACTGCTTTTCCCTCTTTCTCTGTTTCCTGGTTTAGAGCTGCTGCATCCCACAGTGAATTACTAGCTACAAAGAGAAGGGACTGCTCTGGGACTGACAATTGAGAACATTTACAATTAGCTGAATCGATTAACCTTTACAAATGCTGTTATTTTATGAGGTGTTTTTCTCATCCCTGGTTGAACAGTATGCCTTATTGATTCAACATCCTCCTTTATGGAAACCCTGATTTGTCTGTGACTCCACCAGTCATAACGCCTGCCTTGGTAATTGCTTCTGCATGTTCCTGGGAAAACTTGACACGGGAGACTGGTTGGCATTATGTAAATGGGGTCCACGCCTCCCTCTGAAGCCAGGGTGCAGACCTGCCTCTTAGCATCCCTCTCCTGTGGCTGCACACACAAAGAATGCCAGCTTCTGTGCCAGCATCTCACTGACACTCAATTCACTGCCTTGCTAAAAATCTTTGGTTTTTATCCAGGTTTCTTTAAATAATTTGGGATATGTATGTGTGTAAGGGCAGAAGGTGGTGAAAAATTGTTAGAAAATAGAATTGTTTTTAGTTAGTTTTTTAAAGATTATAGACTGACTTTGAGTGTCCCTCTGAGTAGTGATCCCAAAACCTATGACAAAAGGCATAGTCTTTAGAATAAATTTCATTCGAAGAAGCTCTGTGCTCAGAAATAATAAAAATCACCTAGAAATGGCTGCCTTCCCTCCTTAATTCTCCATCAAACTATATGAATACAAAGTACCATTTGGTTTAGTCTCTTTTCTTGTTTGCTTCTCTCCCCACTTTTTTCCTTCTATCTTTCCTTTTTTCTTCATTTCAATGGGTAAATTTTTGTGATTTAAAAAACAAAATGACTGCCAGCTTGAAGTACTACAGGGCACGTCCATCAGCTGTCCCACCAGTGTCTCTTAAACACTTCCTGCCCCCAAGACTTGTCGCATGATTTGTAGAGTCCAGGGCCAAATGGAAATGTAGAGCCCCTTATTCAATCATAAATTATTAACATTTTCTAAATAGTAACAGCAGAGCATTAGACTCAACTCAGATTGCTACTAAGCATGAGGAATGTGTGATTTTGCATGACACATGTCCAGGAAGCCACCCTTGCCTTCAGCTTGGCTTTTTGTGAAAAGACGGGGAGGCATAGGCCTGAGGTAGTAGTATTTGTCTTCTTTCCCAACTTGAACTTAATGTTGAACCTGGTTTATTCTGGATCATGCTGAATTGCATATGCTCATTTCTCACTTGAACTGCTGCTTAGTTGGGTCTGAACTAAGAACACCAAACTTGCTTGCATCTTCTGCAGGGTGAGAGAACCAAAATTAGACCGCAGTGACTTGAAACACTTTTCTCCATGCCAGTTATGAGATTAGTGTGTTTGTCATTTTGTGTATCCAGTTATGGCTGAAGAAAGTTTGTTTTGCTTTGTGAGATCAAACTGAATATTTGGCTTGATGCATGTGCAAATATATGTACATTTAATCTACTGTAATAAACATACATATTCAAATGCATCAGATATTTTACACATATGTGCATAAAAGAGTTGAGTTTATGGCATTCCAAGACACAGACGAACAATGATGGAAGACAGCCATTTTTTAAAATGAAGTATTGATGCAATTTTAAAGAAAAAAATCAGGGAGCTGCTCTAACAAAGTCTGCAGCATTCACAGCATGACAAACAAATTAGAAAACAGCAGATGCAGCACAAATTAAGATGTATTTAGCACAGCAGCCCATCAGATGTGTGAACGTCTTTTGTAACTCAGCTTTGCAAGGTTGATGTATTGCACTTTAGACAGCTGATAATGAACCCTCCTAGCAATTAGAAGTAGAAATACCGAGGAGTCAAAATTGTGCTGTTCCCAGTGGGTCAAAAAAAGGAAACAACCCATGTGAAACATTTCTTTATGTGCTTGCAAAACAAAGAAAACATTTCAATTTATATACTGGTATATTTGAATTTCTCTTGCCTTTAAAAAATTCCTACTTCATTTTAAGTACCATCCGACTCTAAAGTGTCATTAAATAAGTATGAATTCTGTTGCAGTTACACACGTTTAATGGCCAATACAATGTCTTTTATGGGATGCATTATTTAGTAATCTTACATTAAGACAATAACTTCAATCATTATGCCTTCAAATAGCAATAAGCATGGTAATGGCTTTGCTGAGCTGCTTCCTGGCTCTATCATTGTGTTTTCCCTTTAATATTAGAGCACTGTTTTTATTTTTATCCCAAGAGTGTGTTCCATCCCCTACCCCCAATTCCTGTTTTCTGAGAGTGGAAGCACCTTTGCAGTAGGGAATAAAACATCAAAGTCCATCTAATAGGTAAAATTCTGCTCCAACCCAGTGTCAAGATTAATGAAGCACTGATAATGTTAGCTTTTTTTTTTTAATCAATGTTTGTTTTAAGCAAGTCTATTCTATCCTCCCAGGAGGAAGAAGTGCCTCGTAGTCACTCTGCAGAATTCGCAGTAGTCCAACATTCTGTCAAGTATGGGTTTTGACAAACTTAGAGAGCTTGAAGGAACTCATTGGAGAATAAGCCAAACAGCATAAAGGTAGAAAGACAACAAATAAGAAAAAGAAACCTAATTGGTATATTCTGCCTAGGAAAGAGATATCTGACAGGTGATTTAAAGTCTGCCCCTCCCTACATGAAAAAGCTTACATCATTCTGATATTCATTGGTGTTAAAGAAGTCAGCATTGCAGGTACCATTTTCTTTTGAATCTGTTTCCTGCTATTCTGTTGTTGCAATCTGTATCCTTAATCCCAGGCTTCTAAAGAGCAACCTTCCAGTGTCAAATTCTGTGTGAAGTCCAGAGGATCATGAGAGTGAATTGAAACATTACATTCACGTTTCTGTGAGACAGAATGTCAAAAATGTCAAAGTGCATGTGCTGATTGGTCACATGAACACAAAGAAAAGAATTTATTTGATAAGGTGGCAGCCTTTCCTACTACTTAGAAAGGGGTTCATACAGTGTTGTCCTGGGTTTCCACTGTAATGTAAAGGAAAACTTTAACAATCTCAGAAGGCCTTAATGTCCTGCCAATGAAAGAGGAGATTGTCCTCAACTTCTTTGCAGCAAAACCCAATTAGGTGGCACCAACCTAGGCTTCCAAATGTGAAACCTGCCCAGTAGTTCCATAGAACTGATGTTTTTGGTTTCTTTGAATAAACATAGAAATTTATCCTTCCAGTCTTAAAACTTAAGAAAGTTATATTTGTCTTATCTGATTTCCTTTCTCAGGAAACCAACCATCAGGCCTCCTATGTAGTAGCAAGAAACTGAAACTTACCAGATCATCATATCTGGACAATGAAATGCCAGACCCCTCACCCATCATGACTACCTTAACTAATCACCTGCTTCCTGTTGACCAGCTCCTCTTTCTTGCCCCTCCCTAATTCCTGTTTTCACACACATGATTACACTTCTTCCCTGCTATATAAACTCCTAATTTTAGTCAGGGAGATGGATTTGAGACTGATCTCCCATCTTCTTGGCTGCAGCACTTGATTAAGCCTTTGTCCATTGCAATACTCATTGTCTCAGTAATTGGCTTTCTGTGTAGTGAGCAGTAGGACCTAGAACAACCCCTGGCATTTCAGTTACAAACAGAACAGCAAACCTACAAAAGGAAAGGTGATAGAATCTATATCATAAGTCTGGAGAGGACCTAGGAGAATCTTCTGCTGATGATTCCTGTCCTTACTGCCATTGAAACCCCAGCTGATGTCAGTGTCATATCTTCTAGGAATACTGGCCATGGGCTGTGCTGAAGTTTCCATCTGCCACTGGGGCCACTTCTCTGAGGGGCTCTTCACTCCAGTACCTTTAACTAACCATATCTAGGCAACCTTAGTGGAGCCATGTCTGCCTGAGGTTATCGATCCTAGGGCTCTCAGCCTCTTGGAGATGTATCTTATGTTAACCTGGCTACGAATGCTCTGTGTAACACAGATTCTCCCCTGCACTTGTAGATGTTGCCATCCCATGCAACCACAAGGGAGCTCACTTAGTGGGTCTCATGGTGGATGCTGGCCTAGGAAGTTCTACACATGGGTGGCACTATCTCCCGTCAACATGCATGGGAGGTCAGACATGATCTCTGCCTCTGCAGAGATCCTGAAGGGATTGAAAAGAACAGTCAGGTGCTGAAAAGGCTGTAATCAAGGAGGACCTTCAGGGTGAATGGACTGCTCCAGCTGGTGAGTTCACTGCTTCCCAGCTCAAGGTAGCAGATGAATCTGAAGGCTTGTAGGTGCCTTCTGTGCCTATTCAGCAGGTCCCTTCTGAAGACTGGAGCACTCAGCCTGCCACTGAATCCTGGTCTGTTATCCTGCTCAGGCCACTGAATGATAAGACCAACCATTGAGTGGGCTAAAGCTGTGATTCCACAAGCTTGTAAAGAGCAAGTGAAGCAGAGAGGATTAGAAATCATGTGGCCCAGTTGAGAGGTCATGAACTAGCAGGGTATAGACTGGAATAGGTCTGAAGATGTTTTATTTAATTTTCAGTGTTTAAAAATCGATGCAACCCTTTTAAAATCAGGACATTTCAGCAAAGATTGGATTTCAGCTTTTTGATGTCAGCTAACAATGGGCCTGCGCCCACATGACCATGGTGAGGGGCCTGCTGTCTTTAGGTGGTCTGGCACTCTCCAAGTTTCCAGAGCCCTACAGTCCCTGTTGACCTCTCTTACTGATCTGGCCCATTAGTTGCTACTTATCATTCTGCTTGCACTGTTGGTTTTCTCAGACCTGAGAAACTGTTCCTTCTTAACTGATTTCTTTATTCATGTTACCTGTTCAGCCCTTATGGGCATTCGTGTTTATGGCCCCAGCTGTTCTTAGTATCTTCATTTATGTAATCAGAGGGATAAACTAGTAGATCTTTTTCAAATCAAACATTCTGTGATTTAATTGTCTATTTATATAAGCTGGCATAAGGAAAAAATGGATTAACTAGAAGAAGGAGAGATTTGTGATGAGCTTGAGAAAGAACTGCTAGAAGAAAATGTGAAACATTATCTTCTATTTCCTGATGGAGATTTTGAACGCTCCTTATTCTTAATAAAAATAATGATAATTGCTTACATCTGTACAATGCCTTAGTACTTTTAAAAGTGTTGTCACATAAAATAGCTTATTTGAGCCCATTTTATGAAACTCTTTTTTTTTTTTTTTTTTTTTTTTAGAAAAGGATGTGGATGGCAGGCGATAGATAATCCCATCTAGGATGAACATCAGCTAGGGGTGTGGGGAGTAAATTAAGGACCTCGGTGTGGTTTCTTCCGGCTGTGTAATTCTATTTTTCATCAGGGTAATGGCCTTTTAAAAAAGAGTCATAAATACACTGTCAAGGAACAAGGCTATTGGAATGACTCTGGTTCACTCTTCTTGGACTGATTTATGGTATCAGGAATCACCTAGCTTATTACAACTATTTTTATTTCAGTATTTTCAGTCTGAAGCATACCACGGTGTTTAGAAATAGCTAGAGAGACTTGGATAATTTTTGTTAAGCCAGGTCTCTGATAAGCATCACCACGCCTGTAGAAGTCATTTGACAGATTTTGCTTCTCTCCATCGTTCAACTTAGTTTGGATTTGTAAGGTGAATGATGTCAGGATGAGTATCCAACCTGCAAAGGTAGTGTGAGGACTGGCCTCAAATTTCGGAAGCCTGTGTGCTGAGCTTGCCATTTATCCGTTGTGTGACTTTTGCTCATCTACAAAACAGGATTACATCAGCAGAACCTAGCCTCTCTTGTGTGCACATGGGAGGGCACATGGACCCAAATGGCTTTTATTCCTTTCCTCCCACAATTGTAGTAACTGCTCATTCTCAGAACTGTTGAAGAGAAGAAATGTTTTATAGCTCCCTTAAGGTAGAAGTGTTTGGCCACAGTTGTTGATATTACATTCAGAGTCAACATTCAATGATTATTCAAGCTTCTAGGAAGTTGCTTGATCAGACAGAGGTCGTGGCTGCAACTAGATTCAAAGATAATGTGGCGCACAGCTATGAGCTAGGTAGTGGGTATCCTGGCTTCCTCTGTCTCTTCGTGTCTTCTCTGCAGTGGTGATCATATATCTAATTGTCCAAAGTCATTTGTTCCCCTAGGTCTCAGAACTTTGTCCCCTTGAAATAGTCTTTCCTTCCAGGTCCTAGCCCATCTGCTTCTTCCACCAAAATTGAAATGCCCCATTCCCTAGGCTCTACTTGATAATCTGATACAGTAGTTTATGAGTAGCTCTTAATTGTTAATGTTAAACAAAAACTTATTATAATGCCCCTCTATTCCATTTGCATTCTAATCAGGGACATCCACAACCACAAAACACAAACACATTATCATTATCACTAATGATAGCATTACCAGTACCAAATTGTTGTTAGGAAAAGTGTTTGGGGGCTGGGTCAACAGTCATTCCAACGGTCAGCATAAGGCTGATGAAGAAAGTAAAACTATAGGGTAATGCAGAACACTACAGTATTAATGACATTCAAAATGCCCTCCTTAGCCCTCACAGGTGAAATCTCCTGGAGTAGCACCTTTTAATAGGAAGACCCTAGGTTTCTTCTTTGTGCGTGCACAGTGCCCATGTTAGATAGTTGTATCATTAGTAAAGGTCTTGACCTGTTTTAGGAAATTCTTTGCTGGAGTTTTGGGGATGAAGGAGAAGCAAACATTGTAGGAGTCACTTTATAATGATGAACAGTCAGGTACTAAGCCCACAGCATTATAAGTTAGGAGAAAATAAACCTAATCATTTCTGGATGGCTGGACATCATTTTAGTGAATCCTGGAAAGAAAGTGAAACCTGTTGTGTGGTTTGGGAGCACATTTTTAGAGTAATTTTTTTTAAACGATAAGCAAAATTTGCCCTGTTAAACACTAGTTAATATTCTTTACCTTATTTAACATTCAAACTATAGCATTTGACCTTCGTTTTCATGCTGTGTAATATTGGTAGTTATTAACAGTCACCATTTGATATGATAGTTTTAAATTACATAAGATTGCTAGGCAAAGGGCTCTGATTGCCTTTAATCAAGAAGTGAGGAGTATTCTCTCTGGGCAAATGAGGTACCTTTTTAGGACTTTAAAGAGGGAAAATGAATCAGACTGCTTTTATTGTTTTCTTGTTTTGCTTTACTTTTAGGTGTTTTTCCCCCCTTCTTTGGCTTATCTGTTTATCAATATATAATGTCCAATAAAAGGAAACATCAAATACAACTGCATTTTATTTAAAGGAAAATACCCTCTGGACATGAAATCATTTCCAGATAAAGGTCAAATACTATTATTTCTTTGTTCAAATAAGTATTTTCTGTTCATGCTCAGTTCATTCTGTGCTTTTATCTTTCTGTGGAATGTGTTCTCTATTACCATCTAGTGAACACAGGCTTTTATATGCATTGTATAATTATAAAAGTGTGATACTAAGTTTAATAGGCAAATTTCTAACCGAACAATGACATTTATAGAGCAGTCTTTCTGCTAACAGTGCTGGAGCTTACTTTCCTTCTTGGGGAAATGCTGGGTTAATTAAACATGGGGATTTAAAACTTTACTCTTTTTGTATTATGGTAATTTTTTAAACAAACAATTATTTTTCTATGTGTCTTAAATACAATGGATATTCTATAATAATAAGTTCTAACATTAGCATAAGTTAAAGTTTATAACATCTTTGCATAACTTCTTTCTTTTAATCATCACAGCCCTGTAAACTGAATAGTACTACCCCATTTTATAGATAAAAACATGAGTTTCAGAAATATTATGTCATTTAATTAACATCAAATATATAGTAACTGATACATTTCATACTTGATCATGAATTTCTAATGTCAATCCTGGAATACTGGGGGACTCATTTCTTGTTTTTCTTTCTAGTATTACAAGCCCATCCATTAATGCAAATTTTTTTTCTTTTGAAAACTTGGTTTTTAATTTTTTCCTCTCTATTGCCTAAAAAGACCACTGAAACTTGGATATTCTTTTTTCACCATCTCCTTTTTCAAAATTACCCTTTCTCTGCTTTACAAAAGAGGGGTCTGATTCTTATCTATCCTGAATCTTACTCTGTCGTGCCCCAGGACACAAAGCCTACCTCTCATCCCTGAAAAAGAAACAGTTCTTAAATGCGTTCTTTTGGGAAAAAGATTCATAAAGCAAAACAGAGAAATTTCTAAAGGACTATTAAAGGAATCCTTTAGAAGGAGGGGCCTTATTTCATCCAGACAATAAACTTGAGTCAAGGAACTATTGCTGAATATTGTAGGAAACCGAAATATGCTTCCCCAAAGAAAGTGTTGAGCTGAAGACAGGAAGAAAGAGATGCAGGAGAGATCTGTCCTTCTTCTATTTGCTTAAAAGCAGGACATAGATTTACACAGACAAAAAGGTACTATGTCCCCTACCCCTACCAGGGAGAGCAAAAGTTAGCCAATGAAGACAACAGCTTTAGATCCTTTATCAGCCTTGCGATGATACCAGAGAAATTCATATTACCAAGCTTTACTAACTAACTTTTATCTGCCATTCGTTTGCCTTCCCTTCAATTTGCTGCCTGTAAAGACTCCAAGCCCTTTTCCTTTGTTTTCTCACTTCTCTAAAAATGTACTGTTCTTTGCTGAAGATGCTGTATAAGCTGGAATTTAAATCAGCTCTTAGAGAACTGCTCATTCTCGACTATCTCTTGTGTTTACATGAGATATACATGTTAATAAACTTCTGTTTTTTCTCTTGTTAACACATCTTTTTGTAACAGAGGTCCATTCCAATTACAAACCTATAAGGGTTATTTTTTCCCCTATGCTTTCTGTCTGTCTCTCTCTCCATCTATATACCTATATTTATCCATTGTATCTATCTATCCCTACATTTATCTGTCTATATATCTTAGAATTATAATTTAGTCAGCCTTTTTTGTTTTTACAGTAGGCGTTACTTAATAATGTGGATTAAGTCTTCCTGTTAGGTTATATGGTCAATATTTTCTAAAAATCAAATGAGCTACATCAATAGCTCTAAGATTTTGTGAAACTATGTTTAAAGCATGTAAGCAAATTATAATTGTGTCAGAAATTTTATCTTTTGCAAATAAACTTATAAGTGTATAATTGATAAAATATATATATCAATCTCTAAATTATAATTATGATAATCCCATGGTTCAGGAGAAACTTAAGAAAAAATATTTTGTTGTCAACAGTGTTCAAGTATATGGTCTTTCAAGGGTATATGCAAGCAAGAGTGTAAAACCTTTGTTCTTGGAAGGTCACTTTTGTGGCTGGCAACTGAGAAACCTCTGAGGAATCAAGAACCACATAAGAATAACTTTGCCAAAGTTTGGCAAGTTGAAGGATTTACCTACTAACTCTCATCCCTCATAGGTTGAGGGTTGCTACTGAGGGTGTTAAATGTTCAACAATATTGGGTTGCCCCGTGCTTGGACTGAACAATCTCCAATGTCACTAGAGAAAGGCTTCAGGCAGACCAAAGAGTCAGAGGTGGAATCTACTAGCATGTAGGGAACTGTCCATTGTAGCAATGGACAATGAACTCAGAGATGTGAACTCAGAGATGGACTGAAGAGACATGGAGCATGGAATCAAAGGTATCTTGCACTACTCATGCTCCACATTGAATCCTCTCTACTACTGACATTTGATGGTGGTTGCTGACCACAGTTTCTAGAGATGACTTCAAACAGGAAGTTCAATGAAACAAGCAGTAGTTTCAGCTGCTGCAGATGGTTCCTGGGCCATAATTGCTATACATTGTTGCCTTCCTGTACCACGCAATCTAGATGCCCTCACCTTCTGCTAGCACCCCTTCTGCTGGTCTTGATTGCTTATCTAGCAAGTAAGCAAACTTCACTCCTGAGCTCTCAAGACCCATGGTTACCCTACCCTTGTTAGGCTTTGGTTGGTGCAATTCCACATTTATTTTTATAAACAGGTCCTCCACATGAAGTTGAAGGAAACATGTACTGTTTGAAATTCTCTATTGGAAGAATTTCCTCTCACTACTGTCCTTTAGTGTCACCTCTGGAACAGTGCTATAATATGACCACAGTTCATTCTTGGCTTATAGGAAAAATTTGAGTCGACCTATCTATGAAAGAGACCCATAAGTTTTCTCCCACAAGGCCCTAAGCATGAACTGAGGGAGATGCATCAGTGCAAAAGAAGTAGATGATATAATATTCTGGTCCGTTTGCATAAATTACTTGTCCCTTTACACCTGCTTGGATATGATCCTAAATGTACCATTTCCACAGAGTTACTACTGGAAGTTATTACTATAATTGCCTGACCTTATAATGTGGGAACTGACAATACCCACCTTACAATGACACCTTCAGTCTTATAGCTACTTAATATCCCATGGTTAGACGGTCTCTTTCAGGACCTAGAAGTATGACAGAATCTGTTATTTAAATAGTATTTTTCTGCAGCAGGGGGCATGGCCTTGCTCTAGCACCATCAAGGTCTGTGCTTTAACTCTTTTTGGGGTTTCCCAGTGACAGTACACAGCCCTAATCTACCAAGTTGTTTCTAGCATCACTGGATCTACCGGGGCTGTGATGATTAATATTAAGTGTCAACTTGATTGGATTGAAGGATGCAAAGCATTGGTTTTGTGTACATCTGGGTGTTTCTGGGTGTTGCTGGAAGAGATTAACATTTGAATCAGTGCACTGGAGAGGAAAGCCCAGTCTTAGGAAGACCCCCACTCCCAATGTGGGTGGGCACCATTCAATCAGCTGCCAGTACAGCTAAGAAAGCAGGCAGAAGAAGGTGGAAGAAGCTGACTTACTGAGTCTTCTGGCTTTCATCATTCTCTCATGCTGGATGCTTCTTGCCTTCGAACATCAGACTCCAAGTTCTTTGGCCCCTGGACTCTTGGACTACACCAGTGGTTTGAGAGGGTCTCTTGGCCTTCAGCCACTGACTGAAAGCTACACTGTTAGCTTCCCTACTTTTGAGGTTTTGGGTTTTGAACTGAGACACTGCTGGCTCCCTGCTCCTCAGCTTGCAGACAGCCTATCATGGGACTTTGTGAGTCAATTCTCCTTAATAAACTCCTTTTCATATATACATATATCCTATTAGTTCTTTCCCTCTAGAGAACCCTGACTAATACAGGGATGCATGGTCAAGGTCAACAGATGGGCTATATCAGAGTCTGGACCAGCTACCAAGCATTCTCTTATTCTGGGCCCCACACAAAACTTACAGACCAATCAAATGGACTGTGGAGTGTTGAATCAAGTATGAACTGGCTGAGTGTATTAGTTTTCTCTTGCTTCATAACAAACTACCATGAATTTAGCAACTTTCAATACCCACTGAAATCAAGGCATTGGCTGGGGCTGACTCAGATCTGGGTTAATGAGGGATCATGATTTTATGCTGTCATGATAGATGTCAGCCTTCTATTTACCATCTCTTGACTTTTGTCAGATGTATAAGTCAACAGTGCTTCCTATCTTCCGTCTGGTGACCTGATCATCTGTTACCCACTGCCACAGATCTCAGCCAAGATTCTCTGGTTGTCATTCTTAATGTTGCTTATAAAAATTACATGTACCTGATGTTTAGCTTTCAACACCCTGCTTTTGCTATTCCAGACTCCTATCATCCACATGTTACTAGGGATTTCAGTTTCTTGACAGCATCTTTTTTCCATGTACCCTGGACTAGAAGGGACAGCTACCTTTAAGCTGCTCTTATGATACTGGTGCCATCTCACTTTCTTTACCGAAGGGAATAATTTCTGGCTTATTCCAAAGTTCACAGTAGGCTGCTTTTCTGGTCTAAGGTAGTAAATCTCATTGTGATATCCATTAAATAAGTATACTTATTGCAAGGAATTGGTTAACATGATTATGAGAGCTGGCAAGACAAGTCTGAAATCTGTAGGGGAGGCTGTTAAGAAGGGCAGGCTGGAACCCTTGGGCACAGGCTGGAGCTACTGTCCACAGGTGGAATTTCTTCTACTTCAGAGAAGCCTCAACTCTACTCTTAAGTCCTTAAAACTGATTCAGGCCTACCTAGATGATCTAAGAGAATCTTCCTTACTTAGACTCAACTGATTATGTACTTTAATTAAATACCTTTGCAGAAACACTTAGTTTAGTGGTTGATTGAATAACTGGGTACTACAGCTAAGTCAACCCAAAACTGATCATTATGGAGAACCAATGAAGAAACAAAGAAACATGGTGGGGCTCACACAGATGAGGCAAAACCTGGCACTTACTTTCTTTTCTATTCTGAAAAGAAAGTGCTAGTTTAAGCCATATACTCACACTCGACTTTTATGTGCATTTTAAGCCTATCCATTTGTAAGTGTTGTTCTATTGGTAATATAGAATTGGCCTAGTTAGACTGATCATCACCTCCCTATGGAAGAACTAATTTGGGAAAATTAGAATGGTTTTCCCACCTGTCTGCTCCAGGTTTCCATATATGTAATTTCTTTTAGTCAATCAAATTTATTGTAAACAAAGGCCAAATTTATTGTAAACTAGAGGTATAGCTGATCCCTCTTCTACCCAGAGAATCAGTAAGGCTGATTCAGAAGGCCCTTCACTTCCATGTATGTGATTTCTTCTCAGGATACACAGCTCTCATATAATTGCATGGGATCAGTGATGAACTGGGGAGTTCTGGCTCCCAAGAAATGCTTGTCTCTGCTGTCCAATAAAGTGTATCATAGCAAGATATTCATTAACTGTAAAGCCACATTATATTTTGGTTGAAAATTCTCTTTCTGTTCCATTATATTTCATTCCAGGCTATGTTGTCTAACATAGCATAATTGGACACGTCATACAATTAGTGATTTACAATTTTACGCTCCTCACTCATTATCAGCAATTCCCCAAACACCTCAAACTCAAACAAAATGAATACAGTATATTCTACTAACTTTCCATAAAGATATTAAATCCAAAAAATAGAATCACTTATCTCATAGAAATTAGATGTTTATTAATGTTCAAGTCTGAAAATCTTCCCAAGTTTTCATTTCTGCGCAGTCTTAAACAAGAACATTCACTCAAGTGCCTAATTCATGCCTAAATTCCTTCTTCAGTAGTTGAAGCCTGACCTGTCCTTCTCCCACTGGATATGATGTAGCTCCTTCATGATTTCCAAAACTGGACTCATCTGTCACTGAGTCATCAATCTGTGCAGTGATTTAAAGTTTCTAAAGTTTAGGAGGATATATAATATCTCATAGTAGCCTCACATTCATAAAATGTAGAACACAAAAATCTTCAGCACTATAGCAGTTATGCCAAATAAAAAATGATATTCTTAAAATCCAGTGTGTTTTATAGACCATCATTGTAATTGTCAACCACAGGCCATACTTTGGTCTTAGGAATATTGTAAAATACACAATATAAGGAACTCCCTTATCAGCTGTTTGAAAAACTATAATTCTCTTTTCCCTGGAGAAAAAAAAGCTCATCCACAAATACTATACCTTCTTTCCTCTTAGAAAGTGGTATTTAAACCATTTGTCTCTACTTGTAAAGTGGAGCTCCTGGGTCATTCCTGATGTTCTTTCTGAGTTCTTGGAACCCCAATCAAGTGACAAAAGGCGAAACTAGGGAAAAATAACTCAGTACCAGGAAGCAGTGAAACAATAAAAGGGAAGTATAAAGCACGCAGGAACTGACATACATAGCTATTATTAACAATAAAAACGCCATGTATTTTGAAATTAAAGACAAATGAATACATCTATAGGTCAAATGAGAAATTATAATGGAAATTAAAAATCTGTAAACCCAAAGAGCAATTAAATACTACCTATAAAACTTACAGGATAACTAGAGTGGTATTGGAGAACAACTTATATCCTAAAATGTTTATATTGGAAGAAAAGAAAGGCTAAAAACTACTGAGTTTAGAACTTAAGAGGTCAAAAAAAATAAGAATAGAGAAAATAGAAAAGATGAGCTAGTAAAGAAAAAAAGTCAGATATTAAAAAAAAGTTGGAGACGATTAAAAAGACTGAGAATTATTGAAAACTTTGTTAAAGTGACCCCAAGAAGCCACAAATAAACTAGAACTGAAAAGGGTAACTACAGAGTCAAGTGGATATTAAACAAGTAAAGAATTCTACAGTTAATTCCAAAAATTGTGAGTTAAATAATAGCTCAGAGGTTTTGATAGGTTGTGTCACTGTTATTGTTCAGCTCAAAGCATTTTTAAATTTTCATTTTCATTTCATTGTTGACCCAATGATTATTCAGGAACAGGTTATTTAATTTCCGTGTACTTGCATGGTTTTGAGGGTTCTTTATGGAGTTGATTCCCAATTTTATTCCACTGTGGTCTGAGAGAATACTTGATATAATTTTGATTTTCTTAAATTTACTAAGACTTGTTTTGTGGCCTATCATATGTTCTATCTTGGAGAATGTTCCATGTGCTGATGAATAGAATGTATGTTCTGTAGTTGTTGGGCAGAATGTTCTGTAAATATCTGTTAAGTCCATTTGTCCTAGGGTATAGTTTAAATCCACTGTTTCTCTGTTGACTTTCTGTCTTGATGACCTGTCTAGTGCTGTCAGTGGAGTATTGAAGTCCCTCACTATTATTGTGTTCTGTCTATCTCATTTCTTAGGTCTAGTGTAATTGTTTTACCAATTTGGGAACTCCAGTGTTAGGTGCATGTATATTTAGGATTGTGACATTTTCCTGTTGGACAAGGCCTTTAATCATTATATAATGTCCCTCTGTCTTTTTTAACTGCCATTGCTTTAAAATCTGCTTTGTCTGATGTAAGAATAGCTACTCCCACTCACTTTTAGTGTCCATTTCAATGGAATATCTTTTTTCACCCCTTTACCTTGAGTTTATGTGAATCTTTATGTTAGGTGAGTCTCCTGAAGACAGTAGAAACTTGGCTGGTGAATTATTATCCATTTTGCCATTTATTATCTTTTAAGTGGAGCATTTAGGCCATTTATATTCAATGTTAATATTAAGATGTGAAGTACTATTCCATTCATCATGTTATTTGTTGCCTGAAAGCAGTGCTAAGAGGAAAGTTCATAACATTAAATGCCTACATCAAAAAACCTGAAAGAGCACAAATAGACAAGCTAAGGTCACACCTCATGGAACTGGAGAATCAAAAACAATCCAAACCTAAACCTAGCAGAAGAAAAGAAATAACAAAGATCAGAGCAGAACTTGAAATTGAAACAAAACAATACAAAAGATAAATGAAACAAAAAGATGGTTCTCTGAAAAGATAAATAAAATTGATAGACCATTAGTGAGATTATCCAAGAAAAGACAGATCCAAATAAGCTAAATTAGAAATGAAATAGGAGATATTACAACTGATACCACAGAAATATAAAAGATCATTCGAGGCTACTATGAACAACTTTATGTGCATAAACTAGGAAACCTAGAGGAGATGGATAAATTCCTGGAGATATACAATCCTCCTAGATTACACCAGGAAGATATAGAAACTGAACAGACCAATAACAACCAGCGAGATTGAAATAGTAATAAAAAACTGCCAACAAAAAAGTCCAGGACCAGATGGATTCACAGCTGAATTCTACTGGACATTCAAAGAAGAACTAATACTAATCCTATTGACATTATTCCAAAAGTTAGAGAAAGAGGGAATCCTCTTGAAATCATTCCATGTAGCCAGTATCACCCCCAAACCAGGGAAAGACATAACAAAAAAAGAAAACTACAGACCAACATCCCTAATGAACATAGATACAAAAATTCTCAACAAAATACTAGTGAACCCAGTCCAACAACATATCAAAAACATAATCCACCATGATCAAGTGGGTTTCACACTGGGGGTGTAGGGATAGTTTAATATATGCAAGTCAATAAATGTGATACACCACATACACAGAATTAAAAACAAAAATCACATGGTCATCTGAATAGATGCAGAAAAAGCATTTGACAAGATCCAACATACCTTTATGATTAAAACTCTCAGCAAAATCAGCATAAAAGGGACATACCTTAAAGTAATCAAAGGCATCTATGAGAAACACACAGCCAACATTATGCTGCTCCCTAAAAACCTATTGAAATAAAAAATTTTAAAAAGTACAAGTTTGATATAGTTTGGACATTTGTCCCCACCCAAATCTCATATTGAATTATAACCCCCAATTCTGGAGGTGGGGCCTGGTAAGAGGTATTTGGGTCATGGGGGTGGATTCTTCATGGCTTGGTGCAGTCTTTGTGATAGTGAGTGAGTTCTCATAAGATCTGGTCATTTAAAAGTGTGTGGCACCTCCCCCTCTGCACTGTCTCTTGTGCTCCTGATTTTGCTGTATGAAGTGCATACTCCTGCTTCACCTTCTGCTATGAGTAAAAGCTTGCTGAGTCCCCCCTAGATTAGAAGCTGGCACCATTCTTCCTGTACAGCCTGCAGAACTGTATAAACCTCTTTTTATATTTAAAAAAATAATAAAAAAATACAAAATACAAAAATACTATATCAAGATTGACTCAAGAAAAAAACTTTGACCCCGAAGGTCAAAGTCTTAAAACAAATACAAAAATAAGCTTTACAGTTTTCTTCTATCAGATGTTCTAAGTTATATGCTTGGAAGTATATTGAGTAGAAAGGGCTGCATACATTTAACGGCTGTGAGGGCTAATTTTATGTGTCAACTTGACTGGGCTAAGAGATGCCCAGATAGCTGGCAAAGATTATTTCTGGTTAAGTCTGTGAAGATGTTTCCAGAAGAGATGAGCATTTGAATTAGTACATTGAGTAAAGAAGATCACCCTCACTGATAAGGGTGATCACACACTCTGTTGAAGGGCTGCATAGAACAGAAAGGTAGAGAAGAAGGAATTTGCTCTGTGTGATTGAGCTGGGTTATCCATCTTCTTCTGCCCTTTTACATTAGCACTCCTGGTTTCTTGGACCTTCAGACTCTGACTGGAACTTACACTATTGGCTTCTTTTGTTCTCAGGCCTTCTGGTTTGGACTGTAATTACACTAACAGCTTTCCCGAGTCTCCAGTTTGCAGACAGCAGATCCTGAGACCTTTCAGCCTCCATAATCATGTGAACCAATGCCTCATCATAAATCTCTTTCTGTCTCTATATACTATTGGTTCTATTTCTCTAGGGAACCCTGATTAATATAATGACATTTTTATAAAGCAGAAAACAAACAGCACCAAATAATGTGTTGCTTAGGAATACAAATGTTTGTGATGAAACTATGAAAATATGTAAGGGAATGATGAGCCTAAAATTCAGGAAAATATTTTTTCGGGGGGAAGGATGAAGGAGATGGTATAAGGAGATGGTATTGGAAATGTTCTAGTTATTAAGCACTCTCTAGAAATTGCCAACATCACCTAATGGTCTCTATCTAATGGCTGTGATTCTCAGTGCCTTTTTGCGTTACCTGTCAATGACAGTTCACACAGTTCTTCACTCCTTCTGCTTGTTACACTTCCAGTCATGTGGCTTCCACAACAACACATTTTCTTGGGTTTTCTCCCATCTCATTGGCTTCTACCTCTCAATCTTCTTTGCCAGATCCTCATCTCCCTGATCTTTTAACATTTCCATGTCCTAGGACTTAATTCTCATTCCACTTTTCTTTTTGGTATTCCTTATCTTTGCTAGAAATAATCCCATCTCTGAGTTTTTGCACAGATAACTACAGCAAAATCTTTCATCTCTATCAAGCCTTTGCTCAGATGCTACCTTCTCAATAATGGTCACCCCTGAGCCCGGAGATTAAAATTGCAAACTGCTCTTCTTGCTCCCACCTCCAGTCTTTTCCACTGTTCTCTATTCACTTTTCTCTTTTTCCTCATAATATGTATTTAATACATATATATACACCGAGCATAATTTAATTATTCATTATGCTTATTGTTTGTCACTTGATGTTAAAATATAAGCTTAAAAAGGCAGAACTTTATTGTCACTTTTGGCTGTTTGTGTATCACAATTTTTAGGAGATGGCTGGCACAGAGTAAATGCTCAATAAGCAACAGAATGAATCCTTTTTTGGTCATGAATCTAACCATAACCTACTGAATGTCCTTGGAAATAATTTTTGATTGATTGTTGTTGTTTCTATTTAAATCTGTGATGCTTTTTAAAAGATTCCATATAGATTTAAATAAAACTTAAAAATTACAATGCATGTTGCATCGTGGGAAGACTATGGAACACAACTTGAAAATGTCATTTTTACTAAGAATTTTACATAGAAACTTTCATATGTAAAATATAGCAAATTGAACTAAAATGAATACCATGAAAAAGCAGAAATTCAGATATCACATGCAACTCAGTTATTTTTCAATTGAAAAGATAATTAAATACAAGGTACGGACTCACAAACCTAATCAATGAGAAACACATGATGTTATACAATCACACAGACCCAAATAAAATATTTACAAATAGGGGAATTTGTTGGAACCTTATTGGCAAAAAAGTATAAAAACAAGTAGATAAAAAGTACTGGTTGCAAAATGTGAATTACGAAGTAACAGAAAAAGTAAGAGGAGTATGACATGAACAGAGATTCTTCCTCTTTTGTGAGTCTTTACTCCTCTGAAAATACCAAAGGTCTTTGCGAATAGATTAGTGGAAGCCGCGTGTCTGCAGAGTCTCGGTGCACAGTTATCCAAGAGTTCTATCCAGCCTCTGAACTCACAGACTTTTGCAGTTCTCGTTCATAATCTGTTTTCTTTTCTTCAAAACATTTATTTAATTTTAAATATATAAGCACTACATGAATGTGTTTCATTATAAAACATTCATATAAACAGATAGTTAAAACTACCCCGATCACCACTTTCATTTCCAGAATTCTCTACAATGGTAGTTGTTATTTTGTCATTTTTCCCCTGTATTTACACAGCAACATACATGTTGCCAAAAATACACAATCAAGGTGTGTTTTACAGAAATGCTATCTTGGTCTGTATATTTCTCTCTGATGTGCTTTATTCACCCAACAATTTATTTTAAAGATCTTTCCATTTTGATTTACTAAATTAGTTTTAACTGCTGCATGGTCTTTCATAGTACATAGTTGACTTCAGTTGATTTTATCTATTTCACTACTTCTGGAAATTTAGATATTTCTAATGATCTGTTATTGCAAAAAGTGCTGCTATGAACATTCTGAAAACATGCCTCCTTGTATATATATAAATTTTTTTCTAGGGTAGATATCAAGTAAAATTACAGGGACATAGAGTTTGTGCATTTAAAATTTTAAGTGGGTGCTGGCAAATGGTCCTTCAAAATGTTTTTTTGTCCCTTAATGGCACAAATATAGATCATTTTTTTCTTCTGAGTGTAACCTTTTGTGGCCTGCAGTAGTAGAGATGAGGTAACTACTTTCTAAATGCTTAGAAAGAAAACACATTAAAATGTAGAAGGAAAAGTCACTAGAACCTATTATGTAGCCTGAAGGAAAATTGGATAAGAAACATAGTGGTCTACAAGTAGACAAAACCATGTATATTTATATATGATGACCACTATAATAAGGAAATAGTGAAGCTCTATAGGCAACAATGACACTATAGAAATTTGTTTAGCTGCTATTTCTTAATACAAAATGAGATGTTAAAAAAATGAAGAATTTCTTTTCAGGGGCTAAAAAATAAAGAATGAAGAAAAGCTATTCTTTTTATTTTTTTCTCCAATAGTGGGTTTTCATTATTTTTTGCCTTATTTCTACTTGTACTTATTCCTTTAATACAAATAAATATGTAAACACATACTCTTGTTTCACTGTCATTACTAGAGAAAAGATAACATTCTGTATACATTCTTGTGAACCTTGCGTAAAATACCAGTCTATTGAGATCTTCCTCATTCCTTTTTACTACTAGGTTGCGTTCCATTATGGGCAGGTGAACCATCCCAGGTAAGGTATAGTTGTGCCAGGAGGTAACTTGTGCCTCCTGTGAGAAGTAAACTGAATAAAAAATTCTCCACATCATTTGGGCTGTATTGTTCCAGGAAGTTCTCACAATATGTATTTAATAGTAATTTATTTGTCTTTTGCATATTTATTCCACTAATCTGTGAACTTATTGTTGGTAAGGAATATAAATTATTCATGTTTATATGAGTAAATTCCTGCACCATGATAGTTGCTCAATAAAGGGTTTACGGAATTCATGCGTAACTGCTGAATCAAATTGGAGACCTCCAAATGTGACTATTCTTAAGATTTCTGGACTATGTAAATCCCATGTCCAGACCTGTACCATACAAGCCCAATAAGTTTATGTGGGATTTCCATTTTCATAGCTACTGGAATGAACAAAAATTGGACCCTGTAGAGTAATACATTTATTGTGCAGTTAATATAATTAACAAATTTTGTACTGAAATGATAAAGATTACAGAACCAAATACCTAATAAGAATACAGGCATTGAAACTTAAGGAAGAAATTAGGCAAAATTCAGGAAGAAATAAGTCATGAAACTCTTAGGTTGAAACATTAGAAGTTAATATTTATAAACCACCTGGGAAACAGTAACTAATGAGTGGTGTATATGGTATAAAGTGATTAGCATGCCACTAACTGTGCCACTAGCAAACACAGTAACTCATAAGTAATATGTGTGTTAGAAGGTGAGTTGGCATGCGGCTAGCTACACCATTAGCAAGCTGCTTAGTATTCTGCCAATTATCTAACCTCTTTGGACCTTGTGTTCCACCTCTGAGCATTAAACATGTTGACTCTAAAATAGCTTAGGTCATACTGTTATTACACACCATGATTACACATTTCTCTTCATCATACGTTATTTTTCCAAATATTAGAAAATGTCATTCCACTCAATTCCAATGACTCAGCAATCCAGAAAAACTTCAGTTTTATATGATTAAATGTGACATCTACAAATTGATTGTATCCCCAATAATTCAGCTCTAAGATTTATGGAGATGGGATGTCTTTAGGCAAAACGATATATAATCATAACTTGGACAATTTCATGACAAGGCAATTGAAACACAAACAACGTGACTGCTGTACTTGCGACAGGAATCCATTGTTTCCTGCTTGTGCATTCCAGCACATGAAGAGATGGGGCAGAGAGACACTCTGGAGTTCAAATAATTTTAATTGTAGGGTTCATGAAAATTATCTGAAGCTATCTATAAATCAAAAGTGCTTACCCTAGGGTGGTGTGGTGCAGTAGACAGGTCAAAGGTCAGAATCAGATGGAAATGGGATTGAAGTGAAGCTCTGCCATTAGCAACTCAATTTTTAAGGAATTTACCGAATTTTTCTGCATCTTAATTTTCTCATCTATAAAATGATCATAATACCTATGTTATATGGTTTTATAAGGAACAAATAAAATACCTTAAGTAAATTTGTTGTTACATAATAGGTACCTAAAAAGAGGTTTTCATCTTTAGTTTAATTTTTTCATGATCTTCAACTCTACTTTAAAATCCACAGCACTGACACATGAAAAGAACCCAATTATTTAACAATTTTAGAAATAGTTACTGAAGGTCCTCTTTGCATCTGATAATGTGTTAAATGCAAGAGATACAATGGCATCTCCAGAGAGACATAGTTCCTACTTTCATGGAGTTTCCACTCTAGTAGAGAAGAACAAAACCTAGAATACAACTATATCAAAGTACCACATATACCCCATAAATATGTACATTTTATTATGTGTCAACAAACAAGAACAAAAGTACCATATAGGCTGTGATAGTTGCTATGAAGGAGACATGTAGAAACTATGGGAAAAATAATAGTGAAATATTAGGTGGTTATTAATTGGAATGGAAATCTATTGTATTGAAAAAGGAAACTGTGTAAGTTTATGTTAACAGAAAAAGAATAACTTCTTACAGTAAATTCAGTAGAATGTTGCACAGGTCAGCAAGATATTGCAGAGAAACAGAATAACTCAAGCAAAGGAGGTAACAACGTATCAGAGGTTGAGCAACTGTAATCTAGGTAGTTGTACTTTGGAAGAAGTCTGGGACTGGATTTGAGAAAGAAAGAATGAGATAGTCATGGTTTGTATTTTGGTTATAGGTGAAAAGGTGTGTAGCAAGTCTGACAAGAATTGCTTCGATACTGAAGTTCTTTTGTATCTCCCGTGACTTGGTTAAGGGAGTATGTGAGGTCTTTGTGGATCCATGTGCGTCATCTATTTTTTACCACTGTATGCTAAGAAAATTAAGAGAGAGCAGGATAGTCAATTATACAATAAAACATGTAGTATGAGGAAGAGTTTAAAGTGTAAAGAGTAAAGGACCTTCTAGGTAATTTCAGATGAGGTAATTTACTAACTCTGATTTTATTGAGAATAACTGAAAATATTGAAGGACACCTTAAGCAATTTCTGCTTAAGGCAGAGAGCTACAAGACTATGAAAAATTAAAGGAATGAGATCTTGGAAAAGAAAGAAACCAACAGAGATGAGCCCAGTATTTGACTTCTAAAACAAACTGAGAATTATAAAGGCAATATCTACATAAATGTCATTGAGGTACTGCTTTTATTAGCAAAAGTGTTGAACATATCAAATGACACCAGTGACTGAATGGACAGATAAAATACATGTAGTCATATGACAGGAAGCTATGCAGAGCATACATAGAATTAAACATCTATATTTATCATCCTGGATGGGTTTCAAAAACAACATTGAATGAATGGAGGAAGTTGATCAATGAAATGCATAAATTTAGATACATTTCAAATATGCACAAAAATTTTTATACATTTATATGCATATATAAATATTTAAGAAAGGGATACAATAATTTGTATTGTTTTTTGCTAAAGAGTTATCTGGTAAAATCCAACAATAAATTATTGCTTTCATTTACAGGAACTAAGAATACACTAGATAGAGAAAAATGTTACAGGTAGTAGCATACACAGTACTCCTCAAACTACTAAGTTTTCTACCCCTTTCTGAACTCAGATCGCATCTGGAAATAATAGCTTATATGATAATTTGTCTTTCATCTAGATACAATTTCTTTATTCAAATATAATTTTATATATTTTGATGAATATGTAAGAATATAATAATGGAAAGAATATTTAGAAAAGTGTAAAGGATACACTTTAAATACATGGCATTGAATTTCTTTGAAGGGTGTAGTGATGAGATTGAGAATAATAGATTAAAGAAATGCGCATCTAATGTTATGGTTATATCTCCTTTGATAATGATATTATGTCATCAGTTGGAAGGTACTTTTGATTGAAATCTTTCTAGTTGGAACCTATGAATACTCACTGAAAGAAGAATATGCTTTTCAATTCAATATGCTATTTTACTGAAAATCTTGTAGAAATGAACAGGAGAGTTTTCAATGAAAAGGATTGTAATCCACTATGTTGAATTGGTTATTCAGGGGAAATAAATGAACTGAGTGTGAATAGGCAAGAGAAGTCTCCGGAACCCTATGTAATCTTCAGTTCTGCATAAGTTTCTAACAAAATAATTTCAACAATTTATAACCTATTAATAAGCAAAATATTTATTAAAATGTTTACATGATTAATTTATCACTAATCAGTATAATTTTTAAACTCTTAGAGAAACAAATTATGGTACATTCCTCAAATAATGGTTTAATCTTAATCTCCATTGATAGCAATATCACATAATCTGACATTTAGTTGAGTTAGTTTGTGTGATAGACAAGCTATCTCTGAAAGTGAGTAGATTGAAATTTTTATGAGAATATTTAGTGTGTTTGCTTATCACCTGTGGTTTGCCCTGTAGTGTGTTTGTGTTCTTCCACACCGACCACAGCTTGTATTTATTTCTCCTACTTGTTCATTGATTTCCAAAGCCTTTCTCATTATTCAATTCATTGTCATACATTATAGTTTTTTTGGTTACTCCTTTCACAACATATTAGTATTTTTCTTTTGTTTCTCAGAGTTCTTCTACTTTATGCATCGAGTTAATTGCAATGTAGATAGCAAGATTTTAATTTTCCAGATGATCACATTTCAAGCTCACATTCATATGGATGGAATAAATAAAACTCAGACACATTGTAATTCTGATAATGATATTGTCATCATAATATCTGTAATTCATCTCTGCTTGTCAACATTTCTTCACTAGTATATATAGTTATCATGTAATTTCAGGGTACTGACACATTCAGTGTTTGATATTATCATGCAAAGATCACTTCCAAATGAATCTTGGAAAAAGATGAATGTTTGTTGTTTTCTGAAAGTGTGTGTAGAATTGCTGTTAAAGAAGAACTTAAATATTTTGAGGAATTTGCCAGTAAAACAATCTGGGCCTGCAAATTTCTTTTTGGAAAGTTTTAAACCATAAGTTCAATTTTTAAATTGGACTATTTAGGATATGTAATTCATCAGAGGTGTATTTTAATAGTTTGTGGATTTTGAGGAATTGGACAGTTATCTAAGTTGTTGGATTTATGTGGGTAGGGTTAATTGTTCACAATATTCTCTCATCATCTCTTTAATGCCTGAGGGGTCTACAATGTTATTTCCCTTTTTCATTCCTGATTTTCCTTTTTTCATTCCTGATTTTATTAGTATCTTTCTTTCTTTGTTAGTCTTTTTTCTTTGCCTATCTTGTCTGTTTTGCTAAAGGTTTATCAATTTTGTTGATATTTTATTATTTATTATTGCTCTTTTGAAAGAGCCAGTTTTTTTGCTTCATTAATTTTCATGATTGTTTTCTTTTTCTCAAATTCTTGGTTGCTGCTCTTACCTTTATTATTTCCTGTTTTCTGCTTGGTTGGGGTTTATTGTGATCTTCTTCTAATTTAGTAAGAGAGAAACTTAGATTATGATGATACCTTTCTTTATGTCTAATATTATCATTTAATGCTATAGCTTTTCCTAGAAACACTGCTTTAACTGCATCTAACAAATTTGGTATGTTGTATTTTTCTTTTCCTTTAATTCAAAAATATTTTCCAATTTATCTTGTGACTTCCCCTTTATTTATGGATTGTTTAAAATTATATTATTTCATTTCTACATGTTTGGATATTTTCTTATTTTTCTGTTATTTATTTTTAGCTTAATCATCATGATCATAGAGCATACTTTGTTTGATATCAGTTCCTTTAAAATGGTAAGATTTATTTCGTGCACTAGGACAACAAACTCATGGTTTATTTCATGATTCATCTTGATGAATGTTTAATGTGTACTTGAAAATAATAAGTATTCTTCTCTGGTTGGGTGTGGCGTTTAATAAACATCAACTAGATTCAGTTGGTAAATGTTTTTTTCAGATCTTCTATATTCCTGTTAATTTGCTGTTTACTGGTAGTATCTATTATAGAGAGAAGTGTGTTGATGCTTCCAACTGTAATAGTGGATTTAGATATTTCTTCTTTCAGTTCTCTCAGATTTTGCTTAATGCCTTTTGAAACTCTGCTGTTAGGTGAATGAGCAATCTTTATTTGGAAATGGGATGTATATTACATGAATAAGACTATAAAAAGTGGGGTAAGGCACAAATATTTTATTGTAAGATAATATATATGAGATTTATTAGAGATGAAAAGTTTGAAGTTTTTAAGAGCACAGTTATGGAAATAACCACAATTTAATCTGTGAAAACAATCCAAATCTGAGGAAAGGTGATTTTTTTACCTCTTTTCAGTATGTCATGATGAGAAATTCATATAATATCTTCTAAAGTTCAAAGAAACCACCTTAACTAAGTTTGCCACCTGAGGAAGGTAATTACAGTTTTAAAACATGATACTCTGCAAACTGGATTGTAAAAAAGAATGCCATGGACTCAGTACCGAGTATCTTGCTTTGCAAGACTCTTAAAACTAAAGAAGAAATACCCTTTCCTATTTTAAAAATGAATATTTTTAGAGAATAAACTAGCTTTTCCTGCCAAATATTAAAACATTATTAATCTGTAATATGCCATATTTCCATGTAATCACTGGTATTTCTCATAATGCTAAAAGTACTTTCTTTCCTGAAGATAATTTTAACATGATTATTTTACCAGCATTATCAGATTTTTAGTGTGTATTTTTTAAAAAAAGGTAGATACCAATTCATCTCTCCTGCAATCCAAATGGTATTTTATTTGGAATAAAACACCATTTTAATTATCTGGTCCTTTCTCATCCCTTCTTCAATTTGTGAAAATCTTGGATGGTTCTGTTACTAAAGAATATTTTTAGTCTCTTTTTTTCAGTAGCCCAGTAGCCTACTCTAGAACGGGCGGGATATTGTAATAGAGGCAGAAGGGCGCAACAGCATGTGAATGTTCAATTTCATAAAAAGAACAGCTCTGGTATTCTAAGGAATTTCAATCATATTTTCCTTTCTCCTTGGACTTTGATAAATTTTTATAGTAGAAGGCAGCCTATTAATTTTAAGATACAAAAATAATTATTTATTTACAAATAACAGAACACAATTTGAATACTAGTTCAGAAGAAAAAATGGCAAACCTCTACTTGCCCTTATTTTTTACAAAACAAAATATATTTAAGCATTTTCATATACTTGAAATTTTCTTTCTTTAGATATTAAATGTTTATAGACATTTGCCTATATGCTTAAATTAATTTGCCTGAGCTTAGAAAAACAACAGTAAAATAAAAAAAAGTTCAGCAACTTTTATTTTCATTATAATGCATGAGGTTTTTATGATGAAATTTGAGTTAACAATAAATTTTATTAATATTGTATAGATAGAGTCTCCATCTCCAGGATTAGTAAAGTTTTAGCTAAGTCAAACCTGAGCTAGGGTCCAGAATTTTTGTTTTAATGTACGAGCACATTTTTATGATAAATATATTTTCCAAAACAAAAACTAAAGTTAAGAAGAGTGGGATTGTTTTACAACTTGCTTATCTCTTTAAAGTACGTCTGAATAGGGGATAGCTGGATTTTTATATCTATTTCTGGAATCAAGCTTTTGTGATACGTAGTTTTTGTTGACAAATATGAAGAAAATACATTTCTATGCAGATATGAAGCAGAAAAATGAAAGGAGTATTTTGATAGCCTTTGCAGATAATTGTGCAAAGTTTCCTTTGATATTCTATCAAAAATCAATAAGAAATATTTTCTTAAAGCTTAGTTGCAATTTGGGATCTGTTCAGCGATGAACTTTTCATATGCTATAACATTAAGATTCATTGGGCTATTTTGCACTTTGAATGAATCTTTTACCTAGGTATGATTTTTGCGTCATCAGTCATTAGTCATTGGGAAAATAATGGTTCACTGTGTTATCCCATACCTGCAAATTAGGAAGTAAATATTTTTAATTCTCTATATTTGAAAAATTCCTTCTGCTATTAGGACTAATTTATGTTGTGGATTTAGTAGTTAGATAACTTTCTTTTACCTATGATGTGTCCGTGGAGGTGAATAAGACTAAGACACTTGTCTATTAATATTCTGTTTGTAAAAAAACAAAAAATATTCTGTTATAAAAAACATTGCTTGCCATTTCTCTTTAGAAATGTGTCAATGAAGCACACATGCTTTAATTAACATTGTGCAATTATTATAAATAAAAATGAGCATATCTAAAATATCACAGCCTTATACATTAATTTATTGAGGTAAAATATACATATATAATTTACCAGCTTTACCATTTTAAAGCATACAGTTCAGTGATAACAAATACATTTATATTATTTTTCCCTTGTCATCCCTCCTTTCTGCCTCCCCTTCCTGGCCTCTAGTAACCACCAATCTACTGTCTATCTTCATGTCATTCACTTTTTTAACTCCCACGTGTGAGTGATAACATGCAATATTTGTCCTTCTGTGCTTGGCTTATTTCACCTAACATAATGGTCTCCAGTGTCATTCCTGTTGCTGCACATGACAGGATTTTATTCTTTTTTATACCTGAATAATATGTTGTGTACAAATACCACATGTTCTTTATCTATTGATGCATTGATGGGCACTTAGGTTGATTCCACATTTTGGCTATTGTGAATGGCACTGCAATACATAAGGGAGTACAGGTATCTATCTCCTTGATATATTGATTTCAGTTCTTTCGGATGTAAACCCAGAAGTGGAATTATATAGTTTTTTGAGGAATTTTCATACTGTTTTTCATAGTGGCTGTACTAATTTGCATTCCCACCAACAGTCTACGTCCTTGCCGCCATCCATTATTATCTGTCTTTTGGATAAAAGCCATTTTAACTGGGGTGAGATGATATCTCATTTTGATTTTGATTTGCCTTTCTCTGATGATTAGTGATGTGGAACATTTTTTCATATACCTGTTTTCCATGTGTATGTCTTCTTTCCAGAAATGTCTATTTAGATCTGTCACGCATTTTTAAATTGGATTATTTGTCTTTTTGTTATTGAGTTGTTTGAGCTCCATATATATTCTGGTTATTGATTCCTTGTCAAATGCTATATTAGTTCATTCTCACACTGCTATAAAGAAAGGCCTGAGGCTGGGTAATTTATAAATAAAAGAGGTTTAATTGGCTCCTGCTTCTGCAGGCTGTACAGGAAGCACGGCAGGGGAGGCCTCAGGAAAGTTACAATCATGGTGGAAGGCAAAAAGGAAGCATGCACATTTTATGTGGCCAGAGCAGGAGGAAAAGGGGCGGGGAGAAGTGCTACACAATTTTAAACAATCAGATCTTGTGAGAAGTCTATCATGAGAATAGCACTAGCAGGATGGTGAAAAACCATTAGAAATTGCCCCCATGATCCAATCACCTCCCACCGGGCCCCATCTCCAACCATTGCACATGATATCTGGGTGAGGACACAGATCCAAACCATATCATTCTGTCTCTGGCCCCTCCCAAATCTCATGTCCTTCTTGCATTGCAAAATCCAATCATGCTTTCCCAACAGTCCCCCAAAGTCTTAACTCTTCCAGCATTAACTCAGAATTTATTTTGGTTTTGTATCTTGCAATGTTACTGAATTACTTTATCAGTTATAACAGTTTTTTAGTGGAGTCTTTAGGTTTCCTAGGTGTAAGATCATGTCATCTGTGAACAAGGATGTTTTTACTTCTTCCTTTCCAATTTGAATGTCCTTTATTTTATTATCTTGCCTAATTGCTCTGGCCAGGATTTCCAGTATTATGTTGAATAATAGGGGTGAAAGTGGGCATCCGTGGGTTGTTCCAGTCCTTAGAGGAAAGTCTTCAATTTTTCCTCACTTCAGTATGAGGTTAGTTGTGATTTTATCATATAGGGCCTTTATGATTTTGAGATATGTTCCTTCATTACTCATGTTGATTAGTGTTTTCTTAATAAAGGCAAGTTCTGATCAATTTTTCTGAGGGTTTAGATGTAGGGTTATATTAATTCACATGAAAGCATAAAGTAAAATTTCTTGATCATATCCCCACAAATATCTTGATAGTTAAAATAATCTTGAAATTACCAACAGTGTCATATAATATGGACAAATACTCTTTGTTGTGGAGTTTGTCATACTTAAGAGGTTGCATATCAATTAATCAGACTGAAGAATCTCTCTGGTAATCTAATAATTGTATTAAGAGATTATGAATTTAATATTAATGACTTTTTTTGAAAGTTTTCATAGTATATATTAATACCCTCTTCCACTATGCAAAATTGAACAGCCTTTGACTTTTCGTGGAGAACAAAGTTGGGTTTGTTGTTATTGTTTTTTGTTGTGCTTTCATCAGCATATGCAGCATATGCATCACTTCAAATTGTATCTATAGATTTATCATGAAAAAAGTAAATTATTGAATTCTATAACAGTTCAAAAGTCAAATTGTAGGCTATTGGCTTATTCAGTGTAAGGTATGTTTTATGGCTTGGTGACCTCTGACCTATTTAATAAGCTGTTTTTTCTTGGTCTTAGGACATAGATTTTTAAAAAATAAAACAAATGATCAGACGTTATTCTTTAGAGCAATTTTAGGTTCGCAGCAAAATTGAGAGGAAGGTATAGCAATTTCCCATATACCCCAAGTTCCTCCACACGTGCATAACATCCCCTATATCAACATCTCCCATCAGAATGGTACATTTTTTACAATGATGGACCTACATTGACACATCATTATCATCCAGAGTCCATAGTTTACATTAGGGTTCACTTTTTGTGCTGTGCATTCTGTGGGTTTGGGCAAATTTTAATGACATATATCCACCATTATGATGTCATACAGAATAGTTTTCCTGCCCTAAAAATTCTCTGTGCTTGGTGCCAAGACCAGCTCAGTCAGGGAGACCATAACCTAGAGGCACTAGAGGAATTAAAGACACACACACAGAAATATAGAGGTGTGAAGTGGGAAATCAGGGGTCTCACAGCCTTCAGAGCTGAGAGCCCTGAACAGAGATTTGCCCACGTATTTATTAACAGCAAGCCAGTCATTAGCATTGTTTCTATAGATATTTGATTAACTAAAAGCATCCCTTATGGGAAATGAAGGGATGGGCCGAATTAAAGGAATAGGTTGGGCTAGTTAACTGCAGCAGGAGCATGTCCTTAAGGCACAGATTGCTCATGCTATTGTTTGTGGCTTAAGAATGCCTTATTTAAGCAGTTTTCCACCCTGGGTGGGACAGTTGTTCCTTGCCCTCATTTCCATAAACCCACAACCTTCCAGCTTGGGCGTTAGGGCCATTATGAACATGTTACAGTGCTGCAGAGATTTTGTTTATGGCCAGTTTTTGGGGCCAGATTATGGCCAGATTTTGGGGGGCCTGCTCCCAGCACTTGGCTTATTCATCTCTCCTTTTCCTCTAATCCCTGACAACCACCAATCCTTTTACTGTCTTCATAGATTTGTTTTTTCCAGAATGTCATATCATTGGAATAATACAGTATAAAGCCTTTTCACATTCCCTTCTTTTACTTAGTAATATGCATTTAACTATGCTCCATGTATTTCTATGACTTTCTAGCTAATTTCTTTTTAGTGCTGAATAATATTCCATAGTCTGGATGTACCAGTTTATTTATCCATTCACTACTGAAGGACATCTTGTAGCTGCCAAGTTTTGGCCATTACGAATAAAGTTGCTATAAACATCTATGTTCAGGTTTTTGTACAGAGATAAATTTTCAACTCTTTTGAATAAATACAACGGGTGCAACTGATGGATCATATGTTAAGAGCATACTTAGTTTTGTAAGAAACTGTCAAACTCTTCTCCAAAGTGGCTGTACCATTTTGCATTCCCATCAGCAATAAACGAGAGAGTTCCTGTTGCTCCACATCTTTGCCAGCATTTGGTGTTGTCAGTGTTCTAGATTTTGGCCTTTCCAGTAGGTGTGTGGTAGTATCTCATTGTTGTTTTATTTACATTTCCTTGATGACATATGATGTAAAGCATCTTTTCATGTGCTTGTTTGCCAACTGTATGTCTTCTTTGATAAGGTGTCTGTTAAGGTTTTTGACCTATTTCTTAATCAAGTAAAACATATTTTTAAAATAAATTTATGAATATATTTTAGTTGTTTTCTATAATATGTTTGCTGGAGTCAGATCACGAAACCTTAGAATTATGTGACAATTTCAAAGCTTATAGAAGACTTGGGTTTCAGTAGAATTGAAGGGTATATTATTATTTTAAAAATTACAATTTAAATATCAATGTGTAAATGGAGGATATGCTATGTGTGCCACAAAATAGATATAGTATAACTTTGATATGTTTACTGATGAAATATTTATTTTTGCACAAAGAGAATCAATATATCCTCTGCCAACTAGTTTACAGAAAAATGTCATAGTATGATGGAAACAGATCTCTCCAGAGATGGTGATATTTATCTTAAGTTTCATAAACTTACATAAACATTATTCTCACTCTTGGTTTGCTTCTTTATTTTTCAAAGAGTAGAGGTTATATATACATAATGTCCAATTCAATCCACTATAAATTCACTCTGGCCACATGATGCCAAACATTTGGCTATAGCAATAACTAAAATTTAACATTAAGAACTTTTTCATTGCTTGTATGGTTGTATTGATAAAGATGAACCCAAATAAGAATAAGTTAGGAAATGTTCCAAAAGAAAGAGAATGGGGAGCAAAGCCAGAAAAACAAAACCAAATATTCATGAACAGCAGTCCACGCCAATGAAATTGGAAAGAATTAGCAAGAATCAGAATCTTTTTTACGGTGTTGTGAAAGAGATTATGATATTAACTGTCATGCCTTATAACAGTGCTAAATAATGAGTAACAGGTGACCAGCTTTTCTGGAATTGAAGTTCAGGTCAATATCATAGAAAATCTCTACATTTATATTTTCAATTAAGAAAATATGTTTTCTTTTTGGGAGGGAGGAGTCTCAACCCCATGGGTCACTGGGATGGCTAATATAATGAAGGCTTTATTATTTTTGGTTTCATCTGGCAGGTAAGAGAGGAAGTATCCTTTAACGTATAGTCAATTTTTCTTTTAACTACAAGCTCTTGACTCATCTTCAGTCAAATTCTGGGTCCCCAAGCACTAACATTGCCTTTCTTGGCCTTGATTGTTTAGTTTTTCTACTTTGTTTTCAGAGGGTTTCAAAAGTGCTAGCATTGTGAGGGCCTTTGGGCAAGTAGGACATTAAGATCTCTTTAACACACACATATGCACGCAAAAACACACATATACACAGAAGAAGGAGAAGGCGAAGGAGAAGGAAGAAGGAGAAAGAAGAAAGAAAAAAGAAGAAGGAAAGCCAGAATAAAAGTAGGACAGCTAGCTCTTTGAAGGACTCTTGGGTGCTTTGTAAACCACTGCCACAATGAAAGCAGTAGAAAAGATTCTGCAATGCCAGCCACAGGTTCCTTCAAGTTGACAGAGATTGCAGTTTTACTAAGGTGGTTTAGGGGCAGTTTTTTCCCTTTCTCTGATATTTGGTATCCAGGAGGGCTGATTCTAAGGAAAATGAAAACAAGTTTCTCATTTTAGGTGCTTTGAGCATGAGGTTTTGATAAATCTGAAGTTTTAGCTTTCAGTAGAGTTCCACAGGTGCTTGGAAAGCTGTGAAGTTTAAATTATTACATTGCATGCACTACAAGTTTTCCAAGATTCTGTGGAGAAGAAGAAAGACATATTCTGGGGAAAGGTAAATTAAATTTGATTACCCAATAATTTTCAGTAAACATATATCTATATGTATAATACTTGATAAACTATATTCTAAGATGTACATTTGTTTCATATTTTAACCTTCGAAATTGGAAAATGTCTTATTAATGTACATATTTAATGTGGTGGTATTTTTGTTTCTCTCAGAAAAACTGTTGTCTTGGAATTGCACAAATACAATATGCATAACTGGAAATAAAATGTATCCCTGCACACATCCCTCTACCCAGAATGGTTGTTGAAAGTGAATAAAAAACTGCTGCTGTTCTCCGTAATGATGTCCAGTGTGTAGATTTTGCTGAACTCAGGATGTGAATGATTGCTGTTTTTGTATCTTCTGTCTCTTAGAAAAAAATATAATTCCTTAAGATTATAGGAAAAGAAAAAGACCCCAGGGAGATAAGGAGTGATTGGGCCATTGATTCAAGCATTTCTAATTAGTAGGACAGACCACCTCCCAACTGAGTGACCCACAACCCAGTGAGGAGTAAGACTGTTCTACCAAAATGCCCCTAAATCTCCTTAATTGTGTTATTGAGACTGACTTCCTGTAATTTGGATGCAACCTATTTGATATCACCATATATTTTACATTACTGGGAGGGTATATGGTTGCAAGGGGAAAAATGACTTTCATTGATAGGGAGTTGTTATGATTGGGTGGTGTTCTTTAGGCAGAGTTGTAGTTTGTGCAGTGGATATTTGTTTGAAGAAGGAGTTGTTGAGATGGCAACAAGACCAAGGACAAGAAAACAGGTCTAGGACTGTATATGTCCTCAAGTTTACCCCCCAACCCCCGCCCCATGAAAGAGTTAACATTTTTTTTTCCTTCACTTATAGAGATAATTTTTAAAATTCCCTCATTTATATTTCTCTTTAGTTGCATCTCTTCCACAATGTCTCATTTATACTTGTTCAAGCATACATTGCGGTGTTGGAAAGAACCAGGAAGAGGTGTAGAGCAGGCAGGCATGTCCTGTTCTACATCTGCCAAAACTTTCAATGTCGAGTTAGGAATTGCAGTAGCAATGCCCTAATGAAGTTACTTTAGGACTTCAAGTCAGTGAGTGACAATGAAGTCAACGTTGGCCCACAGAGAAATTCAGAATCTTTAAAAGATGAGATTTCACAGAGCAGAAATAAGAGACCATTTTCTGATAGATGCAAAAAGATATTTTAGGAGAGAGGCATCAGCAGTTCTCTCTGGCAATCCACTGATACATCACTTTTCCTATTGGTTATTATTTCTTGACAGTACTTTTTCTTCTTCTATTAAGAATCTATAGGCTTTTCTGAAAGCTCCAAAGTGTTTCCATAAAGGTATATTTTGGTTTACTAATAAGTGATCGATTGTAAGTGGAAGACCAACTGAAACTGTCCTAGCCAGAAAAATCTTTAGAAAGTAGCATCGTAGTGATAGGTTAGGCAAATGAGCTACAAATAAATTAAAAGATATTCTTGAAGTTAACAGTGTTTAGTGGAGTACTCAAGTTTCTGACTCCCAGAAACTTTGGTGTTTTGTTGGCCATCTCATCCTTGCCAATCCATAAGACTTAATCCTTTTTAATTAATAATTTTAGCAGTTTCTCTCAAGAAACTTTGCCTGGTAACATTTCGTTAAGCTGAGTTGTAGTCATTCTGTACACGCAATGGTGATAAGCATAACCTAATAATTTAGCCTGGCCTATTCTTTAGTCAGGCTTACTAGATTTCCTCATGTACCTAATATTTTAAAATATTACATAAAATCCCTCAAATTGCTATCTCTACTTAGATTTATTGTATTATTCTACTAAGAATATCACAATACAAATCCTATCCCATTTTGAACATTCAAGATATTAAAACTCAAGTCTATAAATATACTAAGTCTTACTCCTGGCCAACTTAAAAGCAAAAGAAAACACACCTCTAGTGTGGGATTGATGTATCTGCTTTGAACAATCTTTCCACATGTTTGTGGTGCACAATCAAAGTAGAAAATGGAATTATACCAGGACAAATTAGAGACATGCTAATGACAAGAAAACTTACCTCCAAACAGACTACTTGATATCTTAGAGAAACATTTTGTATTAGAGGAAAAATATTTCTACTTAGAAAATATAAAATGGCCTGATAGTTTGGATATTTAAATCATTTTAATCTAAGAAACTTAAAGTATTCAATTTTTCACTGAAATTCTGTGCATAAGAGAGATAATTAGAAGAACAGACAGGTCAAGTTAATTGTTGAAATCTCTGAGCTACAAGCAGGCTTGAGAGTTTTCTGCTCCAAAATTAGTGCTTTGTCCAGTACTTGTTTTGCATAATGAAAACATTCGTTGATATTCTTACTGGTGTTTTGCGTGTTTGTGTGTGTGTGTGTGTGTGTATTTCTAATGCTATTATATAATGTAGAATGACTTAAAATCATTGAACTGCTAGGAAATTCTGAGATCTTTTTTAAACTGGCATCTTGTGCTTTAAAAATGGCATCATTCAAGTGTGTTTTTTTCGGGTTTCCCTTTGAATATATCGTATCTTTAGGTACTTAGGACGTAAAGCAAATTTAACCATTCAGTCTAAATCCAGTCAGCATCTGCCAATTGCACATTTAACCACAGTCTTTGAGTTTATCTTACTTAGACAATTTGGGTCACCTGAGCATACTGCAACAGTAGGTAATCACCTGATAAAATAACCATCATAGAAGCTGTCCCAGAGATTTCAGAACAGATAGACACACAGAACCAGCGTAAGGTGCTCAAATCTCATGGTTTATTTAGTCAGTTTTCAAAATGTAGCAAGAAACAAAGGGAAAGTATAGGTGTAGGTTTTACACTCACAATTTTAGAATGCATCTGAAGTGGAAAGAGCATTCTAGTGGAGCCCTGTGTTATGCGATGTTCACATGTCCATCTCTCTGTCCCTCTGCCTCATCCACCTGCTGTGCTAACAGTGTGGTCACAAGGACCAGACCTTAGGATTAGAAAAGGTGCTCAGTATATGTAAGACCCTCTGATACATCACTTGCTTATTTGATTAGAGAGATGCAGGGGCAAGCATGCCTGACCAATAGCTGTAGATCACTGATGACCTGCTGAGCAGCCATGGATGTTATCTGTATGTCTGGCCAAGGACAGTCTTATGGGACCAAAATGGGATCATCAGTGGGAAATGATATCACAATAGCCATCCCATTACTAACACTAGGAGTCTTTGGAGGAGTCTTTAGGGTTTTCTAGGTATATGATCACGTTATGGGTGAAAAGCAATAGTTTGACTTCCTCTTTTCCAACTTGAATGCCCTTTATTTCTTTCTCTTCCCTCGTTGCTCTGGCTAGGACTTGCAGTACTATTTTAAATAGAAGTGGTGAAAGTGGGCATCCTTGTCTTGTTCCGGTTCTCAGGGGGAATGTTTCAACTTTTCCCCAGTCAGTATGATGTTGGCGGTGGGTTTGTCATATATGGCTTTTATTATTTTCATGTAAGTTCTTTCTATGCCTAGTTTGTTGAGTGTTTTTTTTTAATCATAAAGGGATGCTAGATTTTATCAAATGCTTTTTCTGCATTAATTTAAACAATTATATGGTTTTTGTTTTTAATTATGTTTTTGTGATATATCACATTTATTGACTTGCGTATGTTAAACCATCCCTGCATTCCTGGGATAAAACCCACTTGATCATGGTGTATCAAATTAATCCATGGTGTATTATCTTTTTGATGTGCTGTTGGATTTGGTTACTCGTATTTTGTTGAAGAGTTTAGCATCTATGTTTACCAAGGATATTAGTCTCTAGTTTTCTTTTTTTATGTCCTTTCCTGGTTTGGGTATCAGGGTGACACTGACTGCCTGATTTTCATAGCTTTATACTAAGTCTTGAAATCTAATTTGGAAAACTCTCCAAACTTGTTCTTCATTTTAAGAATTGATTTGTGTAATCTAGGTCCTTTGTATTTAAACATAAAAGCAGAATTGACCTGTTAATTTCTATGAAAATTTGCAGGGGTTTTGATTGGGTTTGCATGGAATTTATATATAAATTTTGAGTAAATTAAAATCTTAACAATGTTAAATTTTCCAGCCAAGGAATACACTATATCTCTCCACTGGGGAGAGGGAATTTTCTTTCATTTCTCTCAGCAAAGTTGTGTTGCTTCTTTTACCAAAACACCAGGGTTCAGTCTGGGTCCTGCCACTTGCTGCATAGAAAGACAATCACTAAGATGATGAGTTTTCCAATGGAAGAAGTCTTTGTTCAAGTGCTGCAGCAGAGAATAGGAGATCAGTCTCAAATTCTTCTTTCTGACCAACTAAAATTAGGCATCTATATGGCAGAGAAAACAGGGATGAAGGGTGGGGTAATAGAGGAGCTGGTAATCAGGAATCACGATAAATGAAAGGTTGGCATCTCATTGTCTGGATGCAGTGATCTGGTGAGTTTCAGTTCCTTGATATGATCTGGAAGACCTGAGAGTGGTTTCCTGAGGAAAGAACTCAGATAAGACAAATGTAAGTTTCAGGCTTTAGGATCAGGTGGGTGAATTTCTATGTTTATTCAAAAAACAGTAAACATAAATTCTATGGAAAAGTTGGGTCATTTTCACTTCCAGTGTAAAAGTCTCACAAATTATTTACTATATTTATTTTTAAGCATTTTTCAAAACTATGATGGATACATTATTTTCACAAATTATGTTTAATTTATACTTAATAGGGTATAAATAAAATGTTTTAAAATCTTAACTTTTTTATTATCTTGCTAACTTCATCTATCATTTTTAGTAGTTCTGTAAATTTTTTGGATTTCTGAAGCAATCATATTATCTGCAATTAAGAGTGATGTTCTTTCTCATCAATATACACTTTATTGTTTTTACCTTATTGTTATGGTTAGAACTTCTATTACAATGTCAAATAGATTAAGAGTTGAAATCCTTGAGTTCTTCCCAATTTAGGTGGAAAATGTTCAATATTTTATCATTTAGTGTGTTTCCTGGTTGTACATAGTTACTCTTTACTGGAGTGAGGAATTTTCTTCTATTTCTCATTTGCTGATAGTTTCTATCATAAAATGATGTTAAATTTTCTCAAATAACTTTGATATCTATCATAATAATCACATAGTTATTTTTATTTGATCAAAACGGTAAATAGCATTAATTGATTTTTGGAATGTTAAACCAATCTTCCATTCTTGGAATAAATCCCATTTTGTCATGATGGACTATCCTTTTTTTACATTTTTGGATTCCATTTGCTACATGTTATAAGAGTTTTTATCTCTAAATTTAGGAGATATGTTGGTCTTTTTATTTTTCTGTAATATTTTTGTCAACTTTGATAACAGGGTAAGGAGTTTGGAAATGTTCCCTCCTCCCGTATTTTTTAAAAGATTTCTGTCCGATGGGTGTTGCTTCTTCTTTAAATGTTTGATAGGATACACCAGTTAAATGTTCTGTGTCTAGTTTTCTTTATGAGATGGCTTTTGATGATGATCTCGATTTGTTAAATAGATGCAGTGCTATTCAGATTTTCTGTTCTAACTTGTGTAAGTTTTGTTAAGTTATATCTTTCAGAGAATTTTTCAGTTTCATGAGGATTGTCATATTTGCTGCCAAAGAGTTGCTCTTTACATTCTCTTAGTAGCCATAAGGCTGTGGGGTCTATTGTGATTTTTTTCTTTATATTGGTAGTTTCTATTCTCATGGTTTCTCTAGATTAATCTTCACTATTCCTAGATAACAAATTAATCCATTTTATTGATTATTTTCTAGAAGTGAACTTTTGACTTTGTTAATTTTCTCTATTTTTAAGAATCTCTTCTATCTCATTAATTTCTTTTCTTTAGTATTTCTTTCCTTCTACCTACTTTGGATTCTTTTTTGGTCTACAATATTCTAGCTTCTTAAGGAGATAATTTGAGTCATTCATTTTAGATATTTATTCTTTTGAATATAAGCATTCAAGATATACATTTCCCTATGGACACTTATTTGGCTGCATTCCACAGTTTTTATTATATGGTATTTCATTTTTATTCAGTTTAAATATTTATTTATTTTGCTTGTTATTTATTTTTCACACACTGACATTTTTCAAAGCTTCTTTAATTCTCAAACATGGGTTTTACTAGGCATTTTATTGTTATTTATTTCTAATTTAATTTTATTTTGGCTAGATAACATGCTCTGTTTCATTTAAATCATTTTAAACTTATTGAGACTTGCTTTTAAGCCCAGAATATGGTGTTTCCTAGTGAATATACTAAGTATGCTAATAATGTCTTGGGTATAGTGTTCTCTACATGTCAATTAGTTCAAAGTGATTGATAGTATTTTTAAAAGTGATCCGTGCATGTATTGATCTTTCGATGTAATAACAGAATTAAAATATAGTTGTAATTTTATCAATTTTTCCTTTTAATTCTGTTTTTTTATATTCTGATGCTCTTTTAAAGTGCATTTACATTTATGATATATATTCCTGCTATACTGATCATTTTGTCATTATTAAAGGTCACTTATTATCTCTAGAAATACCTTTTTGCCTGAATTCTATTTTATCTGATATGAAAATAGTTACTTCAGCCTTCTGATGCTTACTGTATACAAGAGAGTTTTTTTCCATCTATTTATTTTCAACCTATCCATGTCTTTACAACTAAAGGCCAAACTGTTTTGAAGGAATATAGTTTAGTTTTGCTCTTTTATCTTTTCTGAAAAATTTTGGCCTTTCGTTGGAGTGTTTAATATGTTCAAATTTAGTAAGATTGCTGATACGATTGAATGTGGATCTACTATTTTATTGCCTGTTTTTCATTTGTCATCTCTGGTTTCTGGTTCCTCTGTTCATTCTTTCCTTTATGTGGATTATTTGATTTTATATATATATATCTTGCTTTAGCTATTGAGTTTTAGGGTTTACCTATTTACATTAGTGTTTCAGTGGTTGCTCTAGCAATTACAATATATTATAACTTGCTAACTTTCCCTTCACTTAGTGGTTAATATTTTACCACTTCACATAAAATGTAGAAACTTAGTACCCGTATAGTTTGCTTTAATCTCCATCCCTTATTCTACTGATGTCATACACATTACATCTACATACATATAAACCCCAGTAAACAATGTTATGATGTTTGCTTAAACGTTCATATGTGTTTTTAAAAATTAAAGGCAGTGTTTTATATTTATTTGATTATTTACAATTTCTGATGCTCTTCATCCCTTTCTTATGATGTGAGATTCCATCTGGTAGAATTTTACATTCACTTGAAGAACATCTTTTTGTGGTTCATATAGTATGGGTCCTCTTACAAACAAATTTACTTACTATTTTTTTTTATTCTGTAAATGTCTTCATTTGGCCTTCATTCTTAAAGAATTCTTTCACATGAAATAAAATTCTGGATTGATCTAATTTTTAGCACTTTGTATTTTCCCACTGTCATCTGGCTTCAATTGCTTCTGATAAGTTAGTGGCTTTTGAATCATTGTTCCCTGTATGTAATATATTGTTTATTTTTGACTGCTTATAAGATTTTACCTTTATATTTTATTTTAGCAGTTTGACTGTAATGCATCTAGGCATGTTTGTCTTTGTATATATTTTGCTTGCAGTTTGATGAGCATTTTGAATTTGTAAATGTATGACTTTCTCCAAATTGGGGAAAATTTTATCCAATAGTTTTCCATTTTTTTCTCTGTGTTCCTAAGATTTCAATTACATGTATGATGGATAGACTTCTGATATTGTTCTACATGTCCTTGAAGTTGTTTTTATTTCTTAAATCTGTTTTCCTTTTCTGTTCTTCAGGTTGGATTACTTTTACTGATATATTCAAGTTGAAAGACTAATTTCTATAATATTGTATTTTTTATTTACAAAATTTTCATTTAAATTTTATTATAATTTGTATTTCTCTACAATGTTCTATCTTTTCATTAATTGCCAACATATTTTCTTTTACATCATTAAACATAGTTATAAGTAGCTTGTTTAAAATTCTTTTCTGTTCCTTCTAATATCTTTGTTATCTTTGGATGTATTTCAATTGATTAACATTTTATTAAGAATAGGTCATGTGTTCTTATTCGTTAATATGTTTAGTCTTTTGAATCTTATACTGGACATTTTAAACTGTATGTTGTGGAGATTCTGAATTCTTTTATGTCTCTCTGAAGAATGCTGATTGATTTATTATTTTTTAAGCAGATAATTATCTTGACTAGATAAAAACAGCAAGTTGTTTCTCTTGGGCTGCAATTGAAATTTCAGTTCAGTTCTCTTATATCAGTTACATCATTTTGTGTCTGCCATGTGTTTGTGTGATCAAGATCAGTCAGAGATTTGTGCAGAGATTCTACATAAAAATTAGGGCACCTTTCTCTGCATATTTTTTATTGCTGCCCTCCCTCCCAATTTCAGAGACTGTCATTGCCTTGCACTCTGTTCTCTGATTTCTCATCTCAGAAAGACTATATGTTTCCTATTGGCATTTTATCCACCATGCATAGGATCAACTGTATGCTGTTCTTCATGTAAAAAGCTTAAAAACAGAAAACTTACACCATGTTCTACCTCCATTGAAGTATTGACTCTCCTTCTAGACTTTGCTGCTTGTCCTTTCTCTAATGACTTCAAGTAGCTGATTATGGATGTTTTCTAGAATTTGCAGTGGTTATTCCTGACAGTAAGTCTGATAGAAGCTTACTTAGCAATACTGAAAACAGTACTTGAAATTTTACACCTTATTCTTCTAGAGATTTTCTCCATTGTGAGAGATATATTCACCCATCCAAACCCAAATAATGGACTTAGAAACACGAGGAACAGTAAAAAGAAGACTTTTAATGGTGTTCTTGCAATATCGGGTGTCTGGTAGGCTGGCACACCTGGGGCAGTCACAGCAGGTAATTCATCTCCTAGCACGCAAGTCCCTCCCTCAGTTCCTCATTGGTCGAGTACTGTGAGGTTACCATCTTCCTGGACAGCACCTACGTTTCATTATCCCCTTATAAGGTGGTACCACAGTCCCCTTCTCTGCTTAAGTTTTGATTTCCCAATAACGAAACTTTCTTCCCTTTTATGGGCTGTCTCCTCCTCTACATCCTGCTTACTTATCGTGACTTTCTAGGTGAATGAGCCATGCAGTTTGTCACGTCCACAGGCTGGCTGCCAGTGCTTAGATTTATCATGCCTTGACAATGAACTATTTAAAATGTTTTCTTACTAATTCTCTCCTTTTTTCTATTTACTTCCTTTGGTCTCATTTTCATTTAAACCTTTTTGGTCCTTGAATCACTCTAGAAGTTGTTTACTGTCTTCTCATAGGAGAGTGGGTTTAATTTGGTTTCTAATAGTAGCAGGTTATTTTGCTGGTAAGTCATGGGCATTTGTTTCTTAATAGCTGTTTCAATTAATCTCTGTGCTAGTCCCCTCACACAGGGATAGCACAATATCCCACTGCTATTTAGACTCCTGCCACAATTATGTGAGATGTAAGGATTGAAACTACCATGCCTTTCCATTTTCTAAACCATCCTTCTAGTAACCCGTAAATGGTTCATCAATTCCAGCATTTTCTGCTAGTTTGTTGGCTAGAGTTGTCAGTCCTTGTAAAGCTTTTGTGATGGTTCCATCTGGGGCAGTATTGCTGGCAATGAAAGTACAACATTTCCCACCCTGCGTAACACATATGCCCCCTTTTTCTGCTAGCATCATGTCTAGCACAAGTCTGTTTTCCCAGGCCATTTGGCTGGTGGCATCTAACTGGCCAGCCACCACTTTGAGGGTGTCCCGAGTATAACTAATGAATCTCTGTTGATTATAATAGATGTAATTGATCCAATCCACATTTTTATTAATAATTGACCACCAGAAGAGTGCTGACTCAAACCCAACAGCTGTTTGGTTTCAGGCCTTAAATTTATTAGGCACCCCCCTAGGTACTCCTATTGAGTCAACATATATATTGGGATCAAAATAATTTGTTAAATCTGTCTGGTTTCGGTGGCCATGTGTATTTTCAGGTATCTCGTGGAATGCCAGGGTGAAGGGAATGGCCAGCTGGACTAAAGCACAAGTCCCAGTCCTATTGGATGGTAACAGGTTACAGAGGTTCCTCTTCCCACATTACCACCAGACATCAGCCCAGGGTATATGGCAAGCTGTGTAATTTCCATTGCCTGACTTACCAGTGATGTTTAGGATGTGGGTACAAGTCGATAGTTCTCCCATGGCTTATTGAACTCTGCCCCCTGCCTAGAGAGGCAAGAGGAGTGGTTCATATTCCTTTTAGAGAATGAGAGGATTGCTCTGGTATCTGACCTCTGCAATGCAGGAAAGAGAAATGACAGACTCTCACAAGTCTCATCTTCCCCTGCATCACTGTCCTGGTATAGAGCCGACATGCAATGCATTCCTTCAGGATCGATATCCCATCCTAGGGGAAATGGAACCACCTGTGCCTGAGGTCATCCTGCAGCACATGTGTAGCCATTACTCTTTTTGAGGGCTTATACCAAGAATTTGACCCATTTGACCCAGGCATTCACATCTCTGTACCCTGTTTCAATTCCTAAGGTTTGCCTTAAGTCATTTATTTCAATTATTTCTACTCTTTTAGGATTATTATGTGATGGAATAAAGTACTTATTAGGGTCTGGGGTTGGAGTAGTCCCAGGCAAGTAGGAGGTTGAGTTCTTGATTAATTTAAGAACAAATCACCCTAGGGGATCTTTTCCTGCAACATCTGCCGCCAGTCTATACTTGAGGCAACACCCTTGGTTCTTGATCTAGGGTGCCTGGATTTTTGATAGTTCTGAGTATAGGATTACACTAAGTTTTGGCAGTTAGTTGGTGGGGAGCCTTTGTACAGATGTATTTTATCTTTTAAGGGTCTCCAGGATGGGGTTGCCTATCCCATAGTGACAGTCCAACCCTGATATTGGGTGGTCCACCAGACATCATCCCAGCTAGGGCAGGGACTTGCACTATTGTAGCCTGCATCTAGTTCAGGGAAGAGATACTCATCTGCTTGTGAAACATGACTCTGGTTTTCTAAATTTCCACAAGGCAAAACTTGGCAGACATCAAATTTTATAGTTATGGGTGCTGTAGTTTTAGTTACATTAATTACTAGCTTAAGTGAGTAGATGGGAGTCCCTTTCCAGTTTCCCTGTCCTCCATTCCAGTCTTTAGTCCCTGGCTTGATAGCCCATCCCAACCATATTAACTTCCATAGAGGGGGCCAGCCCACGTTTTCTTTCTAGGTTTTTCTTAAAGTTAACTTTAAGGCTTCCTTATGTGACCCATGTACTTTCCACTGGTCTTTTTCTCTCCCTTCCAGGGTCTCTTTTATCAGTCCCTTGACTCGAGTATGAGTTCACCCCCTTTCAGCTGTTTGTATGGCTCTCTTGGTGGTCAGGAGCACTTGATAGGGACCTTCCCAGCTGGGTTGGAGCTTGTTTTCTTTCCAAGTCTTAATCAGCACCAAGTCACCGGGCTGGAAGTGGTGAGCTTCAAACTCAAGAGGTGGGGTTTGAGTCAGAAGTCCTTTTAACTAAGGGATGACAAGGTAGAGGATATGGCCAGTGTAATTTCTCGAAAATTGGTCCTTGGTTTCCGTAGTAGGAAGATCTGTAGTACTGCCCAAATATGGGAGTCCATATAATAACTCAAAGGGGGACAGCCTCAAGTTTTTTTCTTGGGGCTGTCCTAACCCTAAGGAGAGCTCAATTGGAAGACATTTGGTCCAGGGCATTTGAGTTTCTAATATTTGTTTAGTAATATGCTTTTTGAGAGTTTGATTCATTCTTTCCAACTCTCCAGAAGAAGGGGGATGCCAGGGAGTGTAATTTGTAAACCTTCCATAATTCCCCTTAACACCCTTGAGGTAAAGTGGCTCCCACTGTCTGAATCAATATTTTCTAACCGGCCAAATCTGGGTATAATCTGCTCTAAGATTATTTTGACCATATTCCTGGTAGTGGCTGTCAGATGGGGAGAGGCTTCTACCCAGCTGGAAAGGTGATCTACGATCACAAGCAAATACTTTACTCTTTGTACTTTGGGTATTTCTGTGAAATCTACTTGAATGCTGTGGAATGGTCTTAGTCCAGGAGGTCGTCCTCCTGTGGCCTGTCTTCTAATTAACTTTTTGTTCATCCTTTGAGAAGTTACACAACTTCCACATACTTGTTTAGCGAGGATATAAATCCCTATACACCAATAATTTCTAAGTATTGCATCACACAGAGCCAGGGGTCCCCAATTCTCCCTTTGCATAATATATTCATTAGTTCTCTCATTAGGGGTTTACTTATCATCTCTCACATCAGGAAGTACCTATTTCTCATCTTCAGTTTGAGTGACCCCTATCCTAATTCTCCTTTCTCCTCTTTGGTAAACTGAGGCCTTAATACTATCTTAGGGAGGTCTGGGATCAGGCTAAATAGTCTAATTTCTTCCTCTAGGGAGGCTTGCTTAGCAGCTTCATCTGCAAGCCTGTTTCCTACAGCTTCTATAGTGTTCCCTTTCTGATGACCATTTACATTAAGTATGATTAGTTATCTCTGCTGGAAACAGGAGGCTTTCTAAAACCTGTTTGACTAATTCTCTATGTACCAGTTCTTTTCCCCTGCTATTTATTAGGCCCCGCTCTGTCCACATTTTTCCAAAAGTGTATATCACCCCATAGGCATAATTAGAATCAGTATATATAATGCCTTCTTGGCCTTCAAGGAGGTTTAGGGCCTGGTTAAGAGCATATAATTCACAGGTTTGGGGCCACCAGCCATTAGGCTAATCTACCTTTCTCACATAAAAAAGTGTTTATTTCCATCAATGACAGCACAGCTATTGTATTTCTTGCCATCTTTCACTCAGGACCACCCATCCACAAACAGCCTTAGCCAATGATGTAGTGGAGCTTCTCTAAGGTCTGGTCTAACTAATTTTGGTTTGGTATTCTATGATATATAAGCAGTTTTCGTCTGATGCTTCTTCGTTCTCCTCTCCTTTCCATATGAAACTGGCTGGATTCAGGCAAGTATCTGGTGTTATGACCAAATCATCTTTTTCCAGTAATATGGCTTCATATTTTAGAATCTGAGAATCTGTTAACCACCTCCCGGCTTTTTTATTTAGTATATTCCTGACCCGATGTGGGGTGCTCATTATTAGGGCCCCACCAAGGGTTAGCATTTGACTCTTCTCTACCAGCAGGGCTGTGGCAGCTAATTCTTGCGCACATTCAGGCTACCCTTGAGAGGCAGGATAATAAAGCTTGGCGACAAAAACAACAGGTTGCCTCTTCCCTTCCCAGGTCTGAGTGAACACCCCAAGGGCCATGCCCTGGTCTACTGTTACAAATAGATGGAATGGGGGGGAGGAGCCAAGTGGCTGAATAGGAACAGCTCTGGTCTACAGCTCCCAGCGTGAGTGATGCAGAAGATGGGTGATTTCTGCATTTCCATCCGAGGTACCAGGTTCATCTCACTAGGGAGTGCCAGACAGTGGGCGCAGGGCAGTGGGTGCAGTGCACCATGCACGAGCCGAAGCAGGGCAAGGCATTGCCTCACCCGGGAAGCTCAAGGGGTCAGGGAGTTCCCTTTCCTAGTCAAAGAAAGGGGTGACAGACGGCACCTGGAAAATCGGGTCACTCCCACCCGAATACTGCACTTTTCTGACGGCCTTAAAAAACGGCACACCAGGAGATTATATCCCACACCCGGCTCGGAGGGTCCTACACCCACGGAGTCTCAGTGATTGCTAGCACAGCAGTCTGAGATCAAACTGCAAGGCGGCAGTGAGGCTGGGGGAGGGGCGCCTGCCATTACCCAGTCTTGCTTAGGTAAACAAAGCAGCCGGGAAGCTCCAACTGGGTGGAGCCCACCACAGCTCAAGGAGGCCTGCCTGCCTCTGTAGGCTCCACCTCTGGGGGCAGGGCACAGACAAACAAAAAGACAGCAGTAACCTCTTCAGACTTAAATGTCCCTGTCTGACAGCTTTGAAGAAAGCAGTGGTTCTCCCAGCACGCAGCTTGAGATCTGAGAAGGGGCAGACTGCCTCCTCAAGTGGGTCCCTGACCCCTGACTCCTGAGCAGCCTAACTGGGAGGCACCCCCCAGTAGGGGCAGACTGACACTTCACACAGCCGGGTACTCCCCTGAGACAAAACTTCCAGAGGAACGATCAGGCAGCAGCATTTGCAGTTCACGAAAAACCACTGTTCTGCAAACACCGCTGCTGATACCCAGGCAAACAGGGTCTGGAGTGGACCTCTAGCAAACTCCAACAGACCTGCAGCTGAGGGTCCTGTCTGTTAGAAGGAAAACTAACAAACAGAAAGGACATCCACACCAAAAACCCATCTGTACATCACCATCATCAAAGACCAAAAGTAGATAAAACCACAAAGATGGGGAAAAAACAGAGCAGAAAAACTGGAAACTCTAAAAAGCAGAGCACCTCTCCTCCTCCAAAGGAACGCAGTTCCTCACCAGCAGTGGAACAAAGCTGGATGGAGAATGACTTTGACGAGTTGAGAGAAGGAGGCTTCAGACGATCAAACTACGAGCTACAGGAGGAAATTCAAACCAAAGGCAAAGAAGTTAAAAACTTTGAAAAAAATTTAGACGAATGTGTAACTAGAATAACCAATACAGAGAAGGGCTTAGAGGAGCTGATGGAGCTGAAAGCCAAGGCTCGAGAACTACGTGAAGAATGCAGAAGCCACAGGAGCCGATGCAATCAACTGGAAGAAAGGGTATCAGTGATGGAAGATCAAATGAATGAAATGAAGCAAGAGGGAAGTTTAAAGAAAAAAGAATAAAAAGAAATGAACAAAGCCTCCAAGAAATATGGGACTATGTGAAAGGACCAAATCTACGTCTGATTGGTGTACCTGAAAGTGACGGGGAGAATGGAATCAAGTTGGAAAACACTCTGCAGGATATTATCCAGGAGAACTTCCCCAATGTAGCAAGGCAGGCCAACATTCAGATTCAGGAAATGCAGAGAATGCCACAAAGATACTCCTCGAGAAGAGCAACTCCAAGACACATAATTGTCAGATTCACCAAAGTTGAAATGAAGGAAAAAATGTTAAGGGCAGCCAGAGAGAAAGGTCGGGTTACCCACAAAGGGAAGCCCATCAGATTAACAGCTGATCTCTTGGCAGAAACTCTACAAGCCAGAAGAGAGTGGGGGCCAATATTCAACATTCTTAAAGAAAAGAATTTTCAACCCAGAATTTCATATCCAGCCAAACTAACCTTCATAAGTGAAGGAGAAATAGAATACTTTACAGACAAGCAAATGCTGAGAGATTTTGTCACCACCAGGCCTGCCCTAAAAGAGCTCCTGAAGGAAGCACTAAACATGGAAAGGAACAACAGGTACCAGCCGCTGCAAAATCATGCCAAAATGTAAAGACCATCGAGACTAGGAAGAAACTGCATCAACTAATGAGCAAAATCACCAGCTAACATCATAATGACAGGATCAAATTCACACATAACAATATTAACTTTAAATGTAAATGGACTAAATGCTCCAATTAAAAGACACAGACTGGCAAATTGGATAAAGAGTCAAGACCCATCAGTGTGCTGTATTCAGGAAACCCATCTCACATGCAGAGACACACATAGGCTCAAAATAAAAGGATGGAGGAAGATCTACCAAGCAAATGGAAAATAAAAAAAGGCAGGGGTTGCAATTCTAGTCTCTGATAAAACAGACTTTAAACCAACAAAAATCAAGAGACAAAGAAGGCCATTACATAATGGTAAAGTGATCAATTCAACAAGAAGAGCGAACTATCCTAAATATATATGCACCCAATACAGGAGCACCCAGATTCATAAAGCAAGTCCTTAGAGACCTACAAAGAGACTTAGACTCCCACACATTAATAATGGGAGACTTTAACACCCCACTGTCAACATTAGACAGATCAATGAGACAGAAAGTTAACAAGGATACCCAGGAATTGAACTCAGCTCTGCACCAAGCAGACCTAATAGACATCTACAGAACTGTCCACCCCAAATCAACAGAATATACATTTTTTTTCAGCACCACACCACACCTATTCCAAAATTGACCACATACTTGGAAGTAAAGCATTCCTCAGCAAATGTAAAAGAACAGAAATTATAACAAACTATCTCTCAGACCACAGTGCAATCAAACTAGAACTCAGGATTAAGAAACTCACTCAAAACCGCTCAACTACATGGAAACTGAACAACCTGCTCCTGAATGACTACTGGGTATATAACGAAATGAAGGCAGAAATAAAGATGTTCTTTGAAACCAACGAGAACAAAGACACAACATACCAGAATCTCTGGGACACATTCAAAGCAGTGTGTAGAGGGAAATGTATAGCACTAAATGCCCACAAGAGAAAGCAGGAAAGATCCAAAATTAACCCCCTAACATCACAATTAAAAGAACTAGAAAAGCAAGAGCAAACACATTCAAAAGCTAGCAGAAGGCAAGAAATAACTAAAATCAGAGCAGAACTGAAGGAAATAGAGACACAAAAAACCCTTCAAAAAATTAATGAATCCAGGAGCTGGTTTTTGGAAAGGATCAACAAAATTGATAGACCACTAGCAAGTCTAATAAAAAAAGAGAGAAGAATCAAATAGACACAATAAAAAATGATAAAGAAGATATCACCACCGATCCCACAGAAATCCAAACTACCATCAGAGATTACTACAAACACCTCTATGCAAATAAACTAGAAAATCTAGAAGAAATGGATAAATTCCTGGACACATACACTCTCCCAAGACTAAACCAGGAAGAAGTTGAATCTCCAAATAGACGAATAACAGGAGCTGAAATTGTGGCAATAATCAATAGCTTACCAACCAAAAAGAGTCCAGGACCACATGGATTCACAGCCGAATTCTACCAGAGGTACAAGGAGGAAATGGTACCATTCCTTCTGAAACTATTCCAATCAACAGAAAAAGAGGGAATCCTCCCTAACTCATTTTATGAGGCCAGCATCATCCTGATACGAAAGCCTGGCAGACACACAACCAAAAAAGAGAATTTTAGACCAATATCCTTGATGAACATTGATACAAAAATCCTCAATAAAATACTGGCAAACCGAATCCAGCAGCACATCAAAAAGCTTATCCACCACGATCAAGTGGGCTTCATCCCTGGGATGCAAGGCTGGTTCAATTTACGCAAATCAATAAATGTAATCCAGCATATAAACAGAACCAAAGACAAAAACCACATGATTATCTCAATAGATGCAGAAAAGGCCTTTGACAAAATTCAACAACCCTTCATGCTAAAAACTCTCAATAAATTAGGTATTGATGGGCTGTATCTCAAAATAATAAGAGCTATCTATGACAAACCCACAGCCAATATCATACTGAATGGGCAAAAACTGGAAGCATTCCCTTTGAAAACTGGCACAAGACAGGGATGCCCTCTCTCACCACTCCTATTCAACATAGTGTTGGAAGTTCTGGCCAGGGCAATTAGGCAGGAGAAGGAAATAAAGGGTATTCAATTAGGAAAAGAGGAAGTCAAATTGTCCCTGTTTGCAGACCACATGATTGTATATCTAGAAAACCCCATTGTCTCAGCCCAAAATCTCCTTAAGCTGATAAGCAACTTCAGCAAAGTCTCAGGATACAAAATCAATGTACAAAAATCACAAGCATTCTTATACACCAACAACAGACAAACAGAGAGCCAAATTGTGAGTGAACTCCCATTCACAATTGCTTCAAAGAGAATAAAATACTTAGGAATCCACCTTTCAAGGGATGTGAAGGACCTCTTCAAGGAGAACTAGAAACCACTGCCCGATGAAATAAAAGAGGATACAAACAAATGGAAGAACATTCCATTCTCATGGGTAGGAAGAATCAATATTGTGAAAATGGCCATACTACCCAAGGTAATTTATAGATTCAATGCCATCCCCATCAAGCTACCAATGACTTTCTTCACAGAATTGGAAAAAACTACTTTAAAGTTCATATGGAACCAAAAAAGAGCCCGCATCGCCAAGTCAATCCTAAGCCAAAAGAACAAAGCTGGAGGCATCATACTACGTGACTTCAAACTATACTACAAGGCTACAGTAACCAAAACAGCATGGTACTGGTACCAAAACAGAGATATAGATCAATGGAACAGAACAGAGCCCTCAGAAATAATGCTGCATATCTACAACTATCTGATCTTTGACAAACCTGAGAAAAACAAGCAATGGGGAAAGGAGTCCCTATTTAATAAATGGTGCTAGGAAAACTGGCTAGCCATATGTAGAAAGCTGAAACTGGATCCCTTCCTTACACCTTATACAAAAATTAATTCAAGATGGATTAAAGACTTAAACGTTAGACCTAAAACCATAAAAACCCTAGAAGAAAACCTAGGCATTACCATTCAGGACATTAGGCATGTGCAAGGACTTCATGTCTAAAACACCAAAAGCAATGGCAACAAAAGCCAAAATTGACAAATGGGATCTAATTAAACTAAAGAGCTTCTGCACAGCAAAAGAAACTACCATCAGAGTGAACAGGCAACCCACAAAATGGGAGAAAATTTTCACAACCTACTCATCTCACAAAGGGCCAATATCCAGAATCTACAATGAACTCAAACAAATTTACAAGAAAAAAACAAACAACCCCATCAAAAAGTGGGCGAAGGACGTGAACAGACACTTCTCAAAAGAAGACATTTATGCAGCCAAAAAACACATGAAAAAATGCTCATCATCACTGGCCATCAGAGAAATGCAAATCAAAACCACAATGAGATATCATCTCACACCAGTTAGAATAGCAATCATTAAAAAGTCAGGAAACAACAGGTGCTGGAGAGGATGTGGAGAAATAGGAACACTTTTACACTGTTGGTGGGACTGTACACTAGTTCAACCATTGTGGAAGTCAGTGCGGCGATTCCTCAGGGATCTAGAACTAGAAATACCATTTGACCCAGCCATCCCATTACTGGGTATATACCCAAAGGACTATAAATCATGCTGCTATAAAGACACATGCACACGTATGTTTATTGCGGCATTATTCACAATAGCAAAGACTTGGAACCAACCCAAATGTCCAACAATGATAGACTGGATTAAGAAAATGTGGCACATATACACCATGGAATAATCTGCAGCAATAAAAAATGATGAGTTCATGTCCTTTGTAGGGACATGGATGAAATTGGAAATCATCATTCTCAGTAAACTATCGCAAGAACAAAAAAACAAACACCGCATATTCTCACTCATAGGTGGGAATTGAACAATGAGAACATATGGACACAGGAAGGGGAACATCACACTCTGGGGACTGTTATGGGGTGGGGGGAGTGGGGAGGGATAGCATTGGGAGATATACCTAATGCTAGATGATGAGTTAGTGGGTGCAGCACACCAGCATGTCACATGTATACATATGTAACTAACCTGCACATTGTGCACATGTACCCTAACACTTAAAGTATAATAATAAAAAACAACAACAACAACAAAAAAAAAACCCAAATAGATGGAATGGTTTCTCTAAAGATGGGAGGGCCAGGACCAGGGCTGTAATGAGGGCCTGCTTTAGCTCTCTCATTGGCTGAATGTCCTCTGGGTACCATTGCAAGGGATCAGGTTACTCTTCCATTAACTTGAGATACACAATCTTTGTCTTTTGAGCATATGAGTCAATCCATAACCTACAGCAGCCAGTTAAACCTGAAAATTTTCAGAGTTCTCTCTTTGTCTTAGGCAAAGGAAGACCCACTATTCCTGATAGTCTTTCTGGGTTTATTCTCTGCTTTCCTTCACTAATCAGGTGTCCTAAATATTTAACTTATTTTTCTACAAACTGCAATTTGTTTTTAGGGACTCACAACCCCCTTTCTCCTAGAAAATTAAGCAACTTATGGTGGTTTCTGATACCTGAGCCCTCTTCTCCCCAGAAATTAAAAGATCATCTACATATTATAATAACTGGGTTCCCCTGGAAGTTTGGAATTCCTCTAGAAATTTTTCTAAGGTTTGACTAAATAAGTTTGGGGCTTCTGTGAAACCTTGTGGCAGCACAGTCCAGTGCTACTATTGTTTTTCTTCCCAGTTATAGGATTTTCCCATTCAAAAGCAAAGAGGTCCCTACCCCTAAAGTCTACAGTAGATGCTCAGAATGCATCTTTTAGATCCACCACATTGAACCACTTATGTTCATAGGATATCTTACTAAGGAGGTTGTAGAGGTTAGGCACCCCACGGTGGTGGGTCTGGACAATTTGATTTATAGTCCTTAGATCTTGCACCAATCTATATAACCCATCATGCTTTTTGACTGGGAGAATTGGAGTGTTATATGGTGACATGCAGGGTTCCAATAATCTATCTTTGATTAATCCCTTTATTACCCATTGGAGACCTTTTTTCTCCCTTCAGTGGGAATGGGATATTGTTTTCTGCAAACTATTTCTCCTGGTTGCTTTAGTTTAATCTGTAAAGGTATAATTTTTAACTTCCCCTGTTGCCTTCCCTAACCCACACAAGGGGATTAATTTTTCATTACTCTTCATCTGTTAGGAGGCCCATTATTACTTTTATTTGTCCCTCGTCTATTCCTAATCCTAAATCCAGTCTCACACTTATGTCTTGATTTAGTTAGTTCCTGCTTCAGGAACATATAAGAGTGAAACTTCAATTTGTTCTGATCACAATCTAAATACATTTGCTTGAATATCAGAACCTGAAATCACTCCCCTTTTACTCCTGAAACTGTCCATTTTTTCCTTAGAGGGTTCTGTACCCCTCGATGGATGAATTAGGGAGAATCGAGCCGCCCCAGTATCAACCAAATATGTTACTTCTTTCCCCTTGAGTCCCACCATCAATTTTATCAAGGGTTCCTGGTGGGACCTACTTAAAAGGAGCCCCTGACCCCCCTAATCTTCATAAATAGTCATCACAGGGATTATCTTCTCTTTCTTTTTCCATTCTGGACATTCTCTGTTAAAATGTCCTGGTTTTCCACACTGTAACATCCACTTACAGTGTTAGGAGTTTTTCCTTGTATTTCTCTTCTGAGTTTTTGCTGAAACCTAGCAATTTCTCATCTCCTCCAAGAGGGCTCTTGATCTAACTTCCTCCTGGCTACCTCCTCTACAGTGGAAACCATGATTTTCACTTTTTGTCTCTGTTTTTCCTTTTCTCTTCATAGAAGGGCCTTTTTAGCTTCCTTCATTAATTCCTCAATTGATTTTTTCATTCCAACCATTGATCTTTTGTAATTTTTTTGTAATGTCAGGCCAACTATTAGTTACAAAGTTAACCTTCAAAGGGCTTTGCCCTACTGGGTCCTCCACATCTAATCTGGAGTATTTTCTCATTTGATCTCTGAGCCTCTTAAGGAATGCAGAGGGAGTTTCCTCTTTTTCTTGTTTAATCTCGAATGCCTTTGAGATACTTTGTATCCTAGGAGTGGATTCTTTGATCCCTTTAATTATTAGTTCCCTGAGGTTCTGCATTTGGGCACAGCCCCTGGGATCATTATTATCCCATGTGGGATTGACATTAGGAAATTTTTTCTTGGCTGGCAAGACTCCTTGTCTGGGATAATTCCCCTTTATTCTCCTGTGAACAGGATATTCATGATAGACGTAATTTCAGCCCAGGTGTAAAAGCTGGGTCCTAAGAATTGGTCTAGCTGTTCTGCTAAACCAAGGGTACCTTCTAGGAGTGGTTTCATTTCCTCTTGAAATTCCTAACTTCAGTACTTGTAAGAGGAGCATTTACAAAGCCAATCTTTACCTCCCCTGTGGGAAGTTCCCTAAGAGGCAACAGGCTAAATGTTTGCTGTTTGGAGGGGATAGGGAAGTTCTCAATATCCCTCTTACACTGTTCTAATTCTTTTCTTAAATTTGGATAAGGATATAAAGGAGTAGTTGGTTTGGCTCCCCCATGGTCTCCAGGTCTTTCTTCTTCTAACCCTCCTACTGCTCTTGATCTTCCTGTCCCTTATTTTGTGAGACATATGGAGGAGACAAGCATGATAGGGGGTCCCAGGGCTTTTCACTGGGCAAGGGCTTTTTACTAGACTTTTTTTCTTCCTCTTTGAGAGGGAACATGGGGGCTAATTTCTTGATCCAGCAGAGATCATAACTTATCTTCTCTTGTGAAAATGGGGTTTTATTATTCACATAATTAAAGGTTGGCACTCCCAATCCTCACCTGAGCCAAACTTAGGCCAAAAGACTGAAGGCTTATGAATGGGGTCTTTGGACCAGATTAAATAGCAGTCTTTACCATCTTTTGCTTCTCCGTGTCCCTGATTTGAGGGTTGTCCCTCCAAACCTGAAACATTCTCCCCAAAGGACTATCTGGGGGAATGTCAGAGGGAGTCTCTTTGGCTCCCTCTTTCCTTTATCCCATAGGCCTTGAATTTCTGTTTCCCATTTTCAGTCAGTCTCTATGTCTGAGCTTTTCCCTGTGTATTCAATCCACACTACTGGAGGTTTCTTGCACACCCCAAGATTTGCTTTGTCCATCTCTGGCAGCTTCCCTCACAGGAGAACAGAACCACGGATTGGGACTCCGCACTCGCTTCATGTCTAAGATACATCTCAGTCACATACACTCAACCTCCGAAAATGCCCAACCACCAAGGCAGTACTGATAGTCCAATTTTCCTACCTTGGCTCATGCACAAGGTTGCCTGCTTGCTACAATGCCTGCTTTTCTGCTTGTGTTGCCTCCACTCCCTTCTGAGTAACAGTCTCAGGTTTGTCTATGGCCTCTGTGGGGAGCCAAGATGCCTGGACAAGGTGAGCCACCTAAAATCAGGTGAGACATGTCTTCCCTCTCAGCTGGAATCCCACTCCACACAGGCACACATATCCCACATGAGCCCCCAAGTTTGCGAGAAACACATTCACCTGTCCAAACCCAAAGAATGGACTTAGAGACAAGGAACAGCGGAAATGAGACTTTTAATGGCAGTCTTGCAAGTTTGGGTGTCTGGTAGGCAGGCACACCCAGGGCAGTCACAGCAGGTAATTTATCTCCTGGCATGCACATCCCTCCCCCAGTTCCTCATTGGTCGAGTACTATGGGATTACAATCTTCCTGGATGTTGCCTAAGTTTCATTATCCCCTCGTAAGGTCATACCCCATCCCCTTCCCTGCTTAAGTTTTGATTTCCCAATAACAAAACTTTCTTCCTTTTTATAGCCTGACCCCTTTTCCACATCCTGTTCATGTTTCATGACTTTCTAGGTGCATGAACTGTGTGGTTTGTCACATCTGCAGGCTGGCTGCCAGTACTTAGATTCATCATTCCTTGAAAATAGAGCATTTAAAATGTTTTCTCACACCGTAACCAAAGAAAATATCTCCTGAAAATTATTGTTGTTAATTATAGCTTAAAAGTATAAAGCTATAAATATATTCTTTTGTTATTACTGAATGAAGGCAAGTGTATTAAACCTTGGAAATATAAAACTAATGATATACTCAAGATAAATTAGGAAAAGGAATGGGATGAGTAGAGATATGGAGGTCTATAGAAACACAAATATATTCATATTACAAAAATAAACACATACAAACTGACAATCAATCTAAACAAGAAAGCAAATAAAGGATCAGAGCAAGATGAGCAAGTACAACCCCTTCTGGCAATTGTTTCCCCCTGCCCCCACAGGAACAACAAATTGAACAACTCTCCACACAAGGAAGCACCTTCACGAGAACCAAAAATCAAGTGAGTGATCATAGTACCTGATTTTGACATTATATCAAACAAAGATACATTGAAAAGGATAGAAAAGACAGCTTGAATAGCCTACACTACCCTTTCTCTGTCCCATAGCAGTGGCCATATGGCATTAAACAATAACTTGTGTGCTTGGGGCAGGAAGAGCTCAGTGATTGTGGGACTTTGCATTGGAACTTAGTGCTGCCCTCTCACAGTGGAAAGCAACACAGGGCAGAATTTGGCCAGCACCCACAGAAGGAGCATTTAGACCTGCCCTAGCCAGAGAGGATTTGTCCATCCCAGTGGCTGGAAACTGAATTCTGGTAAGCCCCACCACCACAGGCTAAAGGATGATAGGGTCCTAAATAAATTTGAAAGGCAGTCTAGACCACAAGAGCTATAATTCCTAGGCAAGTCCTGGTGCTGTGCTAGGCTCAGAGCCAGAGGACTTAGGGTGCATGTGGCCCAGTGAGACACCAGCTGGGGTGGCACAGGGAATACTTGCATCACCCCTCCCTCAGTCCCAGGAAGTACTTCCTGCAGCTCTGGCAGAGAGTCTTTCTGCTTGAGGAAAGGAACGGGAAGAGTGAAGAGGACATTGTCTGCAACTTGGATGCTAGCTCAGCCACAGTAAAACAAAGCATCAAGCAGAGTCCTGAAGCCCTCATTCCAGGCTCTAGATCCCAGGTGATATTTTTAGACCTGCCCTGGGCCAGAAGGGAACCCATTGCCCTAAAGGGAGAGGCACAGGCTTGGCAGGATTCACCACCTGCTGACTAAACAGCCCTTGGGCCTTGAATAGGTATCAGTGTTAGCCAGACAGTAGTCACCATGGGGATGGGGCAGTGGTATCCATCGGGATAGTCACCTTCTGCTTGAATAAAAAATAGGGAAAAGTAAAGAGGTCTTTGTCTTGCAACTTGGGTACCAGCTCAACCACAGTAAAATAAAGCACCAAGCAGTCATAAAGCACCAAGCAGAGTCCTAAAGCTCCTGATTCCAGGTCTTAGCTTATGGACACCATTTCTAGACCCACCCTGGGTGAGCAGAGAACTTCCTGCCCTGAAGGCAAAGACCCCAGGCCTGTCAGGATTCACTACCTGATTACTAAAAGGCTCTTATGCCTTAAATAAACATCAGCAGCCAGGCAATAATTGCCACAAACTTTGGGTGACACCCAGTAGTGTACTGGCGTCAGGAATTCCCTGCACCGATCCAGTGGTGGTGGCCAAAAAAGTGCTTGTGTCACCCTCCCTGTAACTCCAAGCAGCTCAGAACAGAGAGGGAGAGACAGAGACTCCATTTGTTTGAGGAAAATTAAGGGAAGATAACTAGAGACTCTGCCTGGTAATCCACAAATTTCTCCCAGATCATACACAAGTCCATGGAGACAGTACTTCTATAAGTCTGCAAGAGTCAGAGTGTTACTGGGCTTGGAAGCCCCATAATGCAGACACAGCTGCAGTGACTGAAGACTTAGATCACAACAGTGAATTTCCTTTGAATACTTGGAAAAGCCTTCTCAAGATGGATGGGTACAAACAACTTCAGACTGTGAAGATTAGAATAAATACATAACTCATCAAGGCCCAGACACCAATAAACATCCACAAGCATAAAGACCATCCAGGAAAACATAATCTCACCAAATGAACTAAATAAGGAACCAGTGACCACCGTTGAGCTGACAAAGATATGTGACCTTTCAGAGAGAAAACTCAAAAGAGTGGTTTTGAGGAAGCTCAATATTAAAAAAAAAAAAAAAAAAAGAGAAAGAGAGGGAAGGAATTCAGAATCCTATCAGAGAAATTTAACAAAGAGATTGAAATAATAAAAAAAAAATCAAGCAGAAATTCTGGAGCTGAAAAATTCAACTGGCACACTGAAAAATGCATCAGAGTCTCTCAACAGCAGAATTGACCAAAGAGAAGAAAGAATTAGGGAGCTTGAAGACAGGGTATATGAAAATATACAGTCAGATGACAAAAAAGAAGAAAGTATGTCTACAAGATGTAGAAAACAGGCTCAAAAGGGCAATTGACCTCAAAGAGGTAGAGCGATAAAGATGGAAAGTTTATTTAAAGAAATGATAGCAGAGAACTTTCCAAACCAGGAGAAATATATCTTCAAGTAACAAAGGTTATAGAACACCAAGTACTTAACCCAAATAAGACTACCTCAAGATATTTAATAATCAAACTCCCAATATCAACAATAAAGAAATAATCCTAAAGCAACAAGAGAAAAGAAACAACATATAAAGGAGCTCCAATACTTCTGGCAGCAGACTTAGTGGAAACCTTACAAGCCAAGAGAGAGTGGCATGCCATATTTAAACTTAGAGGGGGGAAAAAGGCTGAAGGTAAAAACAATAAAACAAAACCTTTTATCCTACAATATTATATCCGGGGAAACTATACCTCAAACATGAAAGAAAAATAAACACTTCCCTAGACAAATAAAATCTGAGGGATTTCATCAACACCAGATCTGTCCTACAAGAAAAGCAAAAGGGAGTTCTTCAGTTTTAAAAAAAAACATTAACGAGCAATAAAATATCATCTGATGAACAAAACTCACTGGTAAGAGTAAGAATACAGACAAATACAGAATATTAAAACACTAACTGTGGTGTTAGTATCTTGAATAGGAAGGCTAAAAGATAAACCTATCAAAAATAATAACTACAACTTTTTAAGACATAGAGTATAATAGGACATAAATAGAAATGACAAGAAGTTAAAAAGTGGAAGGGATGAAGTTAAAGTGCAGTTTTTTAGTTTTCTCTTTGCTTCTTTGTTTGTTTTTGCAATCAGAGTTTGTTTTTGTCATCAGTTTAAAATAATGGCTTATAAGGTGTTACTTGCAAGCCTCATGGTAACCTCAAATCAAAAATTCTACAATAGGTACACAAAAAATGAAAAGCAAGAAATTAAAACATACCACCAGAGAAAATCAGTTTCACAAAAAGGAAGACAGGAAGGAAGGAAAAGAAGAACACAAAACAAGTAGAAAACAAATAACAGAATTGCAATAGTAAGGCCTTACTTGTCAATAACATTAAATATAAATAAACTGAACTCTCCAATCAAAATATATAGAGTAACTGAATGGCTAAAAAAAATAAGAACCAAGTATCTTCTGCCTATAAGAAATGTACTTCACCTATAAAGATGTACACAGACTGAAGATAAAGGCATAGAAAAAGTTATTCCAAGCAAATTGAAACAAAAAAAGGTCGTGAGTAGCTATACTTACACCAGACAAAATATATTTCAAGGCAAAAATTATAATGACCTTATATCTTTTTAAATAATGATAAAGGGAACAATTCAGCAATAGGATATAATAATTGTCAATATATATGCACCCAACGCTTGAGCACCTAAATATATAAAGCAAATGTTATTAGAGCTAAAGAGAGAGATAGACGCCAATACAATAATAGCTGGAGATAGTCAACACCCTACTTTCAGCATTGGATAGATGCTGTTACATGTCTGACTGAACAGTACAGTCGGAAAATCAAACACCAAGCTTAATCTGCACTCTAGGCCAAATGGACCTCATAGATATTTATAGAACATTTCATCCAAGAGCTGCCAAAATAAAACATTTTTCTCAGCACATGGATTATTCGCAGAGGTAGACCATATATTAGGCCATGAAAGAAGACTTAAAAATTTCAAAAATGTTGAAATCATATCAAGTCTCTTTTCTGTACACAATGGAAAAAAATAACAATCACTAAAAAGAGAAACTTTGGAAACTATATAAATGCATGGATATTAAACAATATGTTCCTGAATGACCAGTGGGTCAATGAAGAAATTAAGAAGGAAATTAAAAATTTCTTGAAAGAAATGAAAATGGAAATACAACATACCAAAACATATGAGATATGAGACAAGCAGTCCTAACAGCCAAATTTATAGCAATAAGTGCACACATTAAAAAAGTAGAAAAACTTCAAATAAACAAGTTACTGATACATCTTAAAGAACTAGAAAAGCAGACAGACATAAACCAAAATTAGTAGGAAAAAAGAAATAATATCAGAGCAGAAATAAATAAAATTAAAAATAAAAATATAAAAAATCAGTGAACAAAATGTTGGTTTTTTAAAAAAGATAAAGTCAACAAACCTTTAGCCAGACTAAGAACAAAAGAGAGAAGACCCAAATAAATAAAATCAGAAATGGAAAAAGAAACATTACAACTGATACTACAGAAAATCAAAGGATCATTAGAAACTATTATGAGAAACTATATGCCAATAAATTTGAACATCTAGAAGAAATGAATAAATTTCTAGACACATACAAACTACCAAGATTGAAACGAAAAGAAATTCAAAACCCAAATGGGCCAATTAAAAATAATGAGCTCCAAGTCATAATAAAAAGTCCCCTATCAAAAGAAAGCTATGGACCTGCTGGCTTCACTGCTGAGTTTCAAAACATTTAAAGAAGAATTAAAACCAATCCTACTCAAACTATTCTGAAAAATAGAGGATAAGGCAATATTTCCAAACTCATTCATCCAGGCCAGTATTACCCAGATATCAAAACCAGACAAAGAAACACTGAAATCAGAAAGCTACAGGCCAATACCTCTAATGAACATTGATGCAAAAATCCTCAACAAAATATTACCTGACTGAATTCAACAATGCATTAAAAAGATTATGACTCATGACCAAGTGGGATTTGTCTCAGAGACAGAAGGATGGTTCAACATATGCAGATCAATTAATGTGATACATCATATCCACAGAATGAAGGACAAAAAATGATATTTCAATTGATGCTGAAAAAGGCATTTGATAACATTCAATATCACTTCATGATAAAAATTCTAAAAATCCTGATTATAGAAGAAACATACCTCAATGCAATAAAAGCTACATGTGACAGACCCATAGCTAGTATCATATTAAATGGAGAAAAATGGAAAGCCTTTCCTCTAAGACAAGCTTGTCCAACCCACAGCCTCTGGGCCTCATGTGGGCCAGGACAACTTTGAATATGGCCCAATACAAATCTTTAAACTTTCTTAAAACATTATGATACTTTTTTCTGATTTTTTTTTTTAGCTCATCAGCTATTTGTTAGTGTATTTTATGTGTGGCCCAAGACAATTCTTTTTCTTCCAGTGTGGCCCAGGAAAGCCAAAAGATTGGACACCCCTGTGGTCTAAGACCTGGAACAAGACAAGGATGCCCACTTTCACCACTGTTATTCAACAAAGTAATAGAAGTCCAGCAATCAGACAAGAGAAAAAAGGGCATTAGAAAGGAAGAAGTTAAATTATCCTTCTTTGCAAATGATATGATCTTATATTTGGAAAAACTTAAAGACTCCACACACACACAAGAAAAACAGAACTGATTAATTCAGTAAATTTAGAAAATATGAAATCAATACACAAAAATCAGTAGCATTTCTGTATGCCAACAGTGAAGAATCTGTAAAAGGAATCAAGAAAGTAGTCCAATTTACAATAGATACAAATAAAGTAAAATACCTGGTAATAAAACAGTGAAAGATCTCTATAATGAAAATCATAAAATATTGATGCAATAAATTGAAGAAGACACACAAACACAAAGAAAAATATTCTATGTTTATGGATTAGAAAAATCAATATTATTTGAATGTCCACACCCCAAAACAGTCTATGGCTTCAATGCAATCCTTATCAAAATACCAATTATATTTTTCACAGATATAGAAAATATAATCTGAAACTTTATATGGAACCACGAAAGACCCAGAATAGCCAAAGCCATTTTGATCAAAAAGAACAAAACTGGAAAAATCACTTTACCTCACTTCAAATTATATTGCAGAAATATAGTAAACAAAACAGTATGGTACTGGCATAAACACTCTAGACACATAGACCAATGGGACAGAATAGAGTACCTAGAAATAAATCCATACTATTAATACTCCAGGGAACTCATTTTCAACAAAGTTGCCCAGGACATACATTGGTAAAAGGACAGTGTCTTCAATAAATCATACTGAGGAAACTGGCTGTCCATATGCAGACGAGTGAAATCAGACCCTTATCTCTTGCCATATACAAAAGCAAAAGAAAATGGATTAAAGACTTACATCTATGACCTCAGGCTTTGAAACTACTAAAAGAAAACTTTGGGGAAGTTCTCTGTGACTTTGGTCTGGACAAAGATATCTTGAGTAATACCTCAAACTCACAGGTAACCACAGCAAAAATGGATAAATGAGATCAGATCAAGTTAAAAAGCTTCTGCATAGCAAAGAAAACAATCAGTGAAGTAAATAGACAATGAACAAAGTGGGAGAAAACATTTGAAAACTATCCATCTGACAAGAGGCTAAAAATCAGAATATGTAAGGATCTCAAACAACTTGAGGAAAAAATCTAATAATCTGATTTAAAATGAGTGAAACATCTGAATAGATAGTTCTCAAAAGCAGACATACAAATGGCAAACGGGTATATGAAAACATACTGAACACCAGTGCTCATCAGAGAAATGCAAATCAATATTACAATGAGATACCCTCTTACTCCAGTTAAAATTATTTTTTATCTAAAAGACAGGCAAAAATGAATGCTGGCAAGCATGTAGATAAAGGGGAACCCTCGTACAATGTTGGTAGGAATGTAAACTATTATAGCCACTATGGAGAATAGTACAGACAGTCCTCAAAACACTATAAATGGAACAAACATATGATCCAACATTCCCACTGTTAGGTGTATACCCAAAAGAAACAAAATTATATGAAAGAGATATCTGCGCTCTCATGTCTGTCACAGCACTATTCACAATAGCCAAGATTTGGAAGCAACATATGCCCATCAACAGATACATGGATAAATAAAATGTGGTACATATACACAATGGAATGTTACTGAGCCATAAAAAAGAACAAAATCCTATAATTCACAACCATATTGATGGAACTGGAGGACATTTAGTTAAGTGAAATAAGGTAGACATACAAAAACCATTTTCACATGTTCTCACTCATATGTGGGAGCTAAAAATTAAAGCAGTTGAACTCATGAAGATAGAGAGTAGAATGATGGTGACCAGAAGCTAGAAAGTGTAGGAGGTTGCAGTGAGGTTTGTGGGAAGTAGCAATGGTTAATGGGTACAAAAACATAGATATAATGAATAAGATCTATTTTTTGGAAACACAATAGGGTGATTATAGTCAACAATAATTTACTGTATATATACAAATAACTAAAAGTGGAATTAGAATGTTCCTGACACATAAAACGATAAAAGCTTGAGGTGATGGGTACTTCAATTACCCTGATGTCATTACTACACATTGTATACTTGTATCAAAATATCTTGTGTGCACTATAAATATATACATCTACTATGTACTCATAAAAATTTTAAAAATTTCCATAAAAATAAATAATAAATCAGTTGGTTTCATATAGATTGCCTTCTATTTCAATAGAATGGATTTTATAAAATCAGGATGCTGAATAATATTAGTGGTAAAGTAGAAAAAGGATTTTTTTCTCTCAAGAACAATAAAAAAGGCAATAATAAAATCCTGGAAAAGAAACTCATATAATCATACTATAATATAAAGCAACCCAAAATATGATTTTATTTTGAGAAATTTGTATAATGTAAGAAATGTTAAATACATTAGTCTGTTTATTAGGAATGTTTTCATTTGGATAGAATTATGGTTATTACATTTGACCTTAGACAAATCATAGCTTATTACCTAATTTTTTTGTGAATTATATTTATATAGCAAAACTTTTAATAATGGTATTATTTTTAACTACAAATAAAATATTCTTAACTTTTTCAATGTACTAATAGAAGTGCAAGTGAAAGAAAACACAAGGAGAAAGAAAAAAGTGGATATTAAGATAGTTTGTAGTTTCATGCTTGTAGTTTCATGTAATATAAAAATTGATACTTTCAAAAGCTGATCTAATGATAAACTGAGATTAACATATTTGTATATCCAAAATAATCATTAGAAGAACGAAATAATAGCTAACTAAAATTGGGAAGAGGAAATATGGGACATTGGTAAACTAATATTTATCTTTCAATGTAGAAATTTAATAGAGAATTTCTCAAATTTATATGTCAGTAATGGTGTCATATCAATATTTTTAGAGTAAGAAATGTATTCTTAATAGCAGCTCAAAATATGAAAATGTTAAGTGGTGATTTTTAGAAAACATATATAAAGGGTACTACATGGCATTGCTACTTTTTATTAAGAGCACTTAAGTTTTATTTTATTTTCAAACTGTATATGTTAAAAATTAAGTTAGATGTAGTTTAAAATTATGTAAGGAAATGATAATGAAACTGCAAATACAACTATTAATTTACAAGAATTGACTAGCATCTGGAACAGAGTTCCCCATGCAATGATCATATCTGATATTTTTTCCAGAAAATTTCCAGCAGAAACTTGGTGTGGATATTGCTTTTGGGAGACACAGAGCTCAGGAAACAGCCAAACAGAATTTAAGTCTCATAAACTAAATTGGGTTTTTAAATTTCCATTGTGTTTAATGTCCATTAATTATATTTTTATACCTAGTAAAAATTACTAGGATTTTGAAATCAAACAAACATATTTTAAAATCTTATTTTAACCAATTGTTCATTGTGTTTTTAAGGCAACTTTTCTGATTCTCAATATTCCCATTTATCTAAAAGGGCCTCTATTATCAACTTCACAGGAATTTTGTCAGTGGCAAGATAACATATTCAAAGGATTTGGCATAAAGTAGATCCCTATATGTTTCCTCCTTTCTCCTATACTTCTCTAACTCTTTTCTTCTACACATTCCTTCTCCTAAGAAGCACAGGATATTTTCATTTAACACAATACACTGGCCACAGAAAACATTTTAACATTGCTGGAATTTCTAGGCTTAGTTGAAATCAATCAACATTGCTGGCCTAAAATATATGATTCAAAGAAATGAATTATCCAAAGTAAATCATTATGCCAAGTTATAGTTTAACTTCTTCTAGCATCAGTTACTACTTTGTGCTTTAATGGGACTATTTAGTCGTATGTTTCAGTCATACTCATTAATCAGAGTTTCAACTTTATACTAAAAATAACTTTGTATTTGGAAGCAAATGCAATTATAAAAGTTTTATGCTTGTAGGTAGAAAAATTACAAGAAATGTATTTTGGATTTGCCACCATTGTATTTGATGGCCTGTGTCTTTTCTGGTTTATGAGTTTATAAAGGGGTTTTTCTAAATATTATTTACAACTATTTCAGTAACATCAGTGGTTGGATAGCGCAACTGTTTTGTGTTGGGGCTCAAAACATAATACCCTAAAGTGTAGCACTTTGACATGCTGAGTACTTTCAATTAAAAGAGATTGGAAGGCTTCAGAAGCAGCCTGGGAACCTTCCCCCATTCTCCTTTCTCCTTCATAGAAAGCCATAGAACTGGAATTCCTCTTCCTTGAGGAGGGTCATGGAAACTTGAACTCCTCTCTCCCAAAGCCAGAATAAAACCTGGAAATATAACACTAACTTTTCCCTGCCTTTCTGTGTAAGAGCTGGCCATAAAGAAATTCGCTGACTTGTCTGACAGTTAGGTTATAAGACCCTCATTCCAGAGGAGTTTTGCACCACACCAGGAGGAAAGAATGCTGCACAGAGAGGCCAAGAAGAATCTGAACCAGCAGGCCTTGCTGGTGTCCCACCTCAGTCTATCCCTGTCAGATCATACCCTTTTGTATGACCACATTTCTACACAGCTGCCCATTTATCATCAAACCTAAGCATAAAAGTAGACAGTTTTTCCTAGGTCTTTGAGTCTTCATTTCTGAAGGCTTCCATGTTATGTACAATGTTGATTAAATAAATTTGTTATGCTTTTCCCTGTTAACTTGTCTTTTGTTACAGGAGTGTCAGCTGTGACCCTTACGATGGGTGATGAAAGGTATTGCACCTTTCCACTCCTACATTTGCTAAAAGTAAAGATTTTTAAAACTAGTTGATTCTGTTTATTTGGTTTCCTTTTTTCCCATTTTCATTTCTTTTATAAATTACCTTAGAGTAAACATGATGTCCATGTTAAGTGCTTTGATTAGGAAGGCTGAAGAAGAATATTTTCCACTAACTCTCCCGTTAAGCTCTAAACTTCTTTCTCAATTAAGAGGCACACAAAGAATTAGGGACATTTAAAACCAATGCAAAAATGTACCATTTGTAGTTAACCATGTATAATAAGATCATTGGTAGCCAAATATGCAATTAAAAACATTGCCTAGTAGCTGAAGCTTTAGCTTGAATTATTTAGAAAGGAAAAAGAAATAAAAAGGATATACAAATATCCTATAGTAACAGTGCTTCAGAAAAATAATAAAAAGTATAAAGGCACAATCATAAGTGTATTTGTTGTTTTTTCCTTGATTGAAGCTTAACAACCTTTTAACTAAATGAATACTTGTCTAGTAAGGGTAGGATAAACCCTCATCATGAAAATTGATTGTGGTGAATCGAGGTAGATAGCAATCTGAAAACTTAAAACGACATAGAATCCTGCCTACCCTTTTGTCTGTTTGACCGTAAAACTGGAAGTGGTTGACTCTTTCAGCTATGAGCATTGGCATACCCTTTTTGTTTTTAGAACTAAGGAGCCATTTAAATCTGATATTTCCAGATCAAGTCAAGGAACTGTTTCCCTTGTGGTATCACTAGTAGCTGTAATATAACTCTTGAATAGAATTGGAGGCAATCTAGGAAAACTCAATTTTCACTAGATTAACTTGAATTTTCAGTTATGATGAAAATTATCTTTGGAAAGAAAATGTACAGATAGTCCAATTTCGACCTATTTTTGTGATACAATGTGCCTTAATAGCCCAATGAAACCATTTTCATAAGGCTAATGATAGCCTTAAACATGCATACTTTGAATAAAGTATATTATATGTTCCAAATAGGAAGAGATTATGCTGAACAACAGCCAAGTAATCATAAATAATTTTGAATAATCTAACTTTGAATTGAATTCACTAGTTCTCTATTCCTAGAGAAGTTATCTGCTAGCTACTTGTTGTCTGAACATAAATAAGGAAATGAAGATTATTGGTGGGAAATTTGGAGCTTTACTTTCTGGAGAATTTGAAAAGAAGAGGTTTGGAGCTCAGGAATTGCAGGAAATGTGGGTCCCGTATAGGAGTGAAAAGGGAGATTAACTGCAAATTCATATGCGTAGTAATCAGACCCCAGCTACTTCATCTCTGCCCCATGCATAAATAATACCAGCAACATTTTTACCTACTAAAAAAGATGCTGGACATTTTTCCTCTAAAGAAAACAAATCAGAAGAAAGCATTTTAGGGTCTAGAAATAAAAATATCTAACATCCCCCACACATCTTAAAGTGAAGCCCACTATTCAAACCAATCCCATGTACACAAAGTTTAATATCAACTTTATATCTCCTACACTTAAATATGAATGGACAACCAAGGATTATAAGGCACTTGAAAAAAATGTTCATTATAAAAAGGATTTATTAAAATAAGCAGATGAAATGACTTTGATAGAGATACTGCAGAGAAAAAATTAAAAATTCTCTAATAAAGTATTCTTGGAGAGATATATAAACTTTGAATCTAAATTCATTTTCAAAATTGGAATGTGACAACCACAAATAAAAGTAATACTATAAGAACAGGAATTTTGAAATTATTAAAAAGTTGCATTATTTACAAACTTTAAAGCTATAAGGCAGTGGAGAGGATCTACAGACAACTGAAACAAAAGGATTAAAATCTAAGAATCTTAGATATAAACAACATCTTACAAACTCATCAGGATGAAAGGAGATTGTCTGTGAAGATGCAAGATTTCAAGACACATTACCCTCTCGTCCCATCTGAGAAAAAGCAATAAATAAAAGGATTTAACCAAACAAAAACTTAGAAGTGAGACCAAATGTTAAGAAGAAGAGAGGAAAACAGTTAAACAATTTAAATGGATAAGAAGCATGAGCTGCTCATAACTGAATGATATATAAGTTAAGGAAATAGTCTTGAAAGAAAACAACTTCTAATGATTTCTGAATTATCCAACACATCCTGGAGTGGAGGTTAGTGGAAATGAATGTGTTCCCAAAATCACATGCAGGGAGGTGGAGAAGGATGAAAATAGAAGGGATAAATGATGAAACTATTGGAATAGTGTGATATTTGAGTGAGAGAGGACCAAGAGAAGAAACAAAGCATGTTGTGAAAAAAAAAATCGATATCATAGTTAGGGTACTAATTGAGTTATATGAATCTGACTATGGGAGCAGGAAAATAAAAAAGTGTGTAATAAGTAATTGTACTAACTTGTTAAAAAGCACCTTTTCCACAAGCAAAAAATACCCCCACTTAATTAAATAAACTAGTTTTTTCCTTTCTTTGTGACATAGACATGCAGAGCAGTCCCAGGCCCTAGTGCAAATCACACAACATCATCAGGACCCGTGTCTCCTCCATCATGTTGTTCTGCCATCCTTAGCATGTGAACACTTATTAGATACCTTCTGTTTTGCCATTCTTAGCATGTGAACATTTACAAGGTCACCTCATGGTCCAGGACAGTTTCCAGAGCTCAGCTATCTCATCTGTATTTTAAGGAGGAAGAAGTGAAAATGAAGAAAGTCAGAGAAGATTACTCCCAGCTGAACCATCTGTCTTTGAAAAGCTTTGAAAAGCACTCCCAGAATCCCTCAAGAATCTCTCCTTGCATCTCATTCCCTATGCCTAGCTATGAGGGAGGCTGGGAGTTTTGAAATAAAATCAGGTCTCTCAGTTAAGGGAGAAAAGTAGATGGATATAGAGTGGGCAGGCAACTGTAGCTAGCAGTCTGCCATAGAAGGTAGCAATTAAAGTAATGAAAAGAAAGTAGTTAAATTTATAGAATATATTATGAGAGCAAGGAAAGAGAAAGTACCAGTGAATTGAATGAAAAGGCACAATTGAATATCCAAATTAATAAGAGGAAAATATAATAAATAACTTCATGACTATACCAGCAAAATTAGGGAAAGAGAAAAGGAAAAAAATAATAAAAATAAATATAAGGTGGGAACAATGAAACAATGTATTGCAGTCCTTACAGTAAATGTAAGCACACTGCATTATTTCATTAAAAAACAGTTAATGTTACATTGAGTTAAGAATTAAAACCCAATTTCATGTGTTTACATGAAACACTTGAACCAGTTACTTACAAAAGTTAAAAATACAGGATTGTGTAAAGATACACCAGAAATATGCATACAAAACGAAGGTAGAATGACTAATATAATATTAATATTAGATAATGTGTACTTTAAAACTACAAGCATTGAATAAGATAAAGACCAGTCTGTGAGAAATATAATATTCATAAATCTGTATGTAACAACTAACAAAGCAATTAAACATGTAATATTTTAACTCCCCAGGAGTATTGCCACTAGCATGGTTTCTCGTAAACAAACTATTTTCCAGTTTCTTTTGTAGGCATTGATAAGATACAAGCAGAAATATTCAGGTGGAGTTTCAGTGAAAATTCTTTGAAATGGGCCCATTCAGATGATACACGCCTCTGAACCCACTTACTTAATCCTTCTTCCTAACTGAAATGTGGGTGTGATGGCTGGACTCCAGCAGCTATCTTATGAAAATGAGGTGACTCTGAAATGACCCTGAGAATGACAAGATGACTGTGATAATGTCACTCTGGGGATGAAAGCCACATACTAAGGATGGTGGAACAGAAAGATAAAAGGTACCAGATTTCCTAATGATATGTATAGAACTGCTGTACCTGTCTCAGACAGCAGGTTTATGAGAAAAAATAAATTCCTTTCTCATTCAAGACTCTTATTTTAGTTCTCTATTATTAGAAACTCAATATAATTTTAACTGATACACAAGAAAAAACTCTTTAAAAAGCACAACTATAATAGATTTTCAAAAGATCTCCCAAATGTGAACAGACAGAGTTCAAACACACAAAATTAGTTATATAGTGATTCTGACTGAAATTAATTTGAGTTGATGTACATACACTTCACTCTGCAGCAATAAATGTGAATATATTCTCAATAAATAGAGCTTGGGCAGCAGGGATTTTATTTATGACTGTACTCAAATTATGAAATTTATTTGATATTATATAATTTAAAAATATTTGTGTATACCATATGACCTAGTCAGAGGACTCCAAATAGGATGTTTTATTTTAATTCAGATTTGCAGGACTCTGGATGTTGTTACTTTGCTAGTGAGGGTGTTGCTAAATCCTTGGTCTATATCTGGTACTGACTTTTCAGCTGTGGGTCATATCTTTCAAGTTGCATTACAACAACCATTTCCAATAAAACACGTACCCCCCAAATCAAACGTCAAACTCTTATAGTTTATAGTGACACAAATTCTCTTGGGTTTCAATAATGGTGACAATGTCAGAGAGGTTTTCGTGCGACTATTTAAAGACCATTATATAGTGTTAGATAAAGGACACACGCTAAAATGGTGGTACCTAAGAGAGTTTTAGCCATCGGGATTGATCTTAGCTGAACTGCATAGAAGATCCATTTTTTCCTTGTCCTTTTGGTTGTTCTTTTGAATCTCATTTTTATATAGATTTGTTACCCATTGTACTCTAAAAATAATTCAAAAGACGTCTAGCAGTTGATAACCAGGCATACATTAAAAGATAGGAAGCATGAAGTGGTGTGAACGTACATATTCATAATAACTGTCTAACTAATGTTTTTTTCCCTTCAGTAGACTAAGTCATGCTGTATATTTCCATCCAACTGAAATATTATCAATCACTTTTTAATATCTTTTCATCTGAACAAGAAAAAAAAATCATTTGTATTACAGACATGTAAATTTAACTTAAAACTACAAAACCTAGTTTGAGGCTTGATACTGTGGCCATAAATCATATACAATAACATTGTAAATGAGATAACTGTAACATTATATTCTCTGGGCAAGGTTAATAGATTCAGTTCAAGTCTAGCAAGAAATTGCAGCTGACGTTTTCCCATTTCTTTCCGAAAAGCCTTTATAAATCCTCAACTTCTAAATTGGACTGGATTAGGTCCCAGTGGAGAAAATCCTAGATTTAGTGTTTTTAATTTCCTAAGTTACTGAGTGAGAACCAACTTTATAACTGTAGTCAAATATGGCTTGGGGACTTTAACAGTTAGGTTATTTTTGTTATTCCCATCCAATTCCAAAAATGAAACTAATCATATTAATAATAACAAAGGAGAAATGATGGTGAAAGTAATAGTAGCCTGAAGTTTTGAAAAGCCTGTCAATTTGGTTAACCTGGGTGAACGGTGTAAAGAAATATAAATAAGCCTTTCTTGGGTGACTAAACAGAACACAGCAGGTCTACTGCTTTCATTTTCAACTGAAAGCTCTTCATCATAGTAACAGAATATTTATATTCCGCTGCATCCTGCTCCTTGCTTCTGTCAAGCTCTTCTCTGAATTGGCACAATGGGTGACCTTAATTTTTTTCTACTGTTGGAAACAGAGTGTTTGCACCATGATGTTCCTGAGGCCAGCAAGCTCAGCTCCCTAATGTAACCTGTGGAGGGAGAATTTTCTGAATGCCACATAGTCATTGGGGATTGGTTACAAGATCTTCAAGACTGTTTTCTGTAGGTAGAAACTGACCACCAAGGTGGGGAGATTGTTGTGCTGTAGAATTCTCCACAATTTGCTGTTTCCTCTCCTTTCCATTTGCCAGAGAACTGATCTGCTTTCTTATCCCCAGATACCAAGATTATTGAAATGACCTCATACTTCCCAAAAGTTTCTGTAGATTTCATTTTATCCTGGGCATTCTTGTTGGATTATTCTTCTTGGAATTCAATTTTATCATTTCATTCTGCCACCCAAGTTTTACCTGGCCTGTGCACCCTTCAAAGACCATATGCATGCTTTTCTGTCTTTTCTGGCCTTCTCACAGTGGGCTCAATTTATGTGGATTTTTGTTGTCTTTCTGTTTTCTATTTGTAGGGAAATTCATTTCCTGTCTTTGCTTTTTTCCTCCACTTGGATGTCACAAAATCCAAGTAAAGCCACACACTATGCCATGCAGAGGACATATGATTAACATATGTCTCAAAACCCAGATGAAAATTTACCTGATCCCTGAGACTTGCTTTCGTGAATTCACTGTACATTGACTTTCTCTTATTTTGGGTTTCCTATAGACTTACAGCAATACTATATATCACATTTAATTTCCTTTAGGTTGTATTCTGGTTATTTCTTGAGTACTACTTGTATTTCCTCAACGTGATTCCAAGTTCCTTCAGGACATGATACTTTTTCCTACTTTTATATTCCCTACAGATTCAGTGAAGTTCAAAATGTATAGTAACTGAGAGTTGAATTTAAACTAATCTTTAAAGCAGATTGTAAGCCCCCTTCTTAAAGGCTTGGCTGTTCTGGACATATTTAGACTAGAATATTTTTTCCCATTTTTGTAACAAGGTTGTGTGTTAATATAATAATCCTTTAAGTTGCAATCTTGCTCTTTGATTGAATTACTGTTAAAACAGCATGAAACACTATTATATTCTTTTAGGGTGATTTGAGAATCAGAGTGGTGTTATCTTCCAACATCTTTGCCTCTATAACAAGCAGTAATTTTCTCTCTGAGATGCACCTCCAGCTCTGTGCATTAAGGACATGTGCATTTTTCTCAGTCTTTTGTACTGGTCATAGTGTTGTGTGTTCTCTATATTTGACATGCCAAATATTGCCCAGTTTGCATTCACAGCTCCTAAGGGTAGAGATTATTTAGTCATAACTTTTCCTGGTTTAGCAGTGCAAACAACATAATAAATGTGGGTATTTCATGTTTAAATCTCTGATGCAGAGATTCCTATATTGTAATTAGATGCAACATGTGCCCTGAGGCTCATGGCACTTACTTTCATAAAAAGACTGGCCAGGAATGAAGGATAATATTAACATCTGCCTCAAGTATAAAGTGTTAACATTCATCTTTTAAATATCAGGCTCATAAAGCAGGGAGGATAATGGTCTGATAACACAAGGTGCATCACACTGTTGAAAATTATAACTGTTCTTAGGCTTTATAATTTTCAAATCTTAATTATAGACACAGTAACTTGTCAAAACGATAAACAGATCTTACATGATTAGCAGAAACATCTACTAGGTTCTGTTTTAAAATTTTATTATTAGTATGAATTCATGTAAAGGGTAGCTTTATATAAATTCTTTGGTGACAGTGCCTATATGGCATCAAGTAACTGATCAGTAAATTTAATAGCCTCAATTAGTAACTTGCACTGTGGTTTTACTTAAGTCATTAATAGATTATTGAATTATTCACTTTCAACAATTTGTTGTCATTAATATTAATTTTATCCCTCCATCAATAGCTACTCATCTTTCAGTCTAGTTAGAAACCTACTGTGGAGGCTTTGTGGGCACAAGGAAGTGTAACACACAATCCTATTCATGTACTGAATCCAGATACACACATATATAGGCGAAAGGTGAAATAACAAGAGAGTCACATGTACTCCCATAGAACAATATGACTAAATGAGTAGCAGTATAAGTGAATGAGCAGTATAAGTAAATATTATGAAGTGATAGGAGTTTATCACTGGGCTGGGTTTTCTGGAGAAAGAAATTTCAGATAAGAGCTCTGCTATTTAGTACTTAGTGCACGCTTGAAGTTCGTGGCTTTAACATTTTCAGTTTTTATTCTTTTCAGAAGACTCCCTAAAGGCCCACATTAAGTGGCTTTATACATTCGCTGATGAAAGATTCTGTATTGTGTAGCACATGACGTTGTTGCGGGGAGTATGACAAGCTGCAATGCTCTTAGCATCCATTTTTGTTTCAACTTAGCTTTCTGATTTCCTATGATGACACTGGTCAATTTGGGATTCAAGAAGACCTTGGATGAATTGGTCTTCTTGAACATAAAGTCTTTTTTCTGTGTCTCTGACTGCATTTTACAATTTTTTAAGGGACAGGGTCTTGCACTGTTGCCCAGACTGGAGTGTAGTGGCACGATCGTAGCTCACTGCAGCCTTGAATTTTTGGACTCAAGTGATCCTCCTGCCTCAGTTTCCAGAGTAGCCATGACTACAAGCATACACCACCACACCTGGCTAAATTTTTATTCTATTTTATTTGTAGAAATGGGGGTCTTGCTATGTTGCCTAGTCTGGTCTTGAACTCCTGACCTCAAGGGATTCTCTTGCTTCTGTCTCCAATGTGCTGGGATTACAGGCAGGAGCCACTGTGCCTGGCCTGCTTTACACAGTCTTATAACCCTTCAGTTCCAGTGAATAGTATATCACAGGTACTCAATATTAATTTGAATGTATGTGTGGATGACGGACAGTTGCATATGGCATCAGTATGCAGTGACAAATGGTTCATGTAGGAGTGCAATGGAAGACAAAGTTGAAAAATCACTGAAGTCACAGTGGAGAGGACTTTAAATCTACAAACAACTTTTTCCTGCCTATACTGTAGTCATTTATTTGAAATGCAGTACTCATAATAACAATTATCATGAGGAAAGAATCTATGTTATTTTATAACTGATTATATGTGGGAGTATGTTATTATATATGGTTGTCTTAAAAAGGTATGATTTCTTTACATGAAAATATGGAAACCATGAAAGACAACTGTGGCAATGATATGAAGTGCATATGTTGGGAAATATATTGCTTACCTTGTTAGGCAAATTAAATAAAGGTAATATTTAGTCATTTTTGAACAATCAAATAATACAGAAAGGCTTACATAGATAAATGAATAGTGTCCATCCCTTCCACCCTTTTCCTTCACTCCATCCTCATAAGACACTTTTGCTTGCTGTTTCCGTTTTCAGTTCTTTTTATATATGTTTATAGATACATTATTGATTGATCAATGATAGTGTTTATTGACTTCTTGTTATTTCAAATGAATATTTTACTTTTCTATTCTCTCAGTTATTTTTATATGTAGTCAATTTTTGTATTGTTTACATCTATCATAATAACTTTATATCTAAAATCCTATTGCTTTATCTCCTACTATTAGCACTCTTTTTTTTTCCTCTCAATGTTGTCTCTCCACTTTAATCCTTCTAACATTATCAAGGTTAAAAATATATGTTGCTCTTTAATGTGTTGAGGCCAAATAAAATATGAAGATACAAAGCTCTACATTTAATGTTTATTTGGGAAGAAAGAATTGCAATTTGGGGCATATGCACAGGCTGGATAGCCTTCAGTATGTTCAAAGAACAAAGAGAAGATTGGAGGTTTTATAAAAAGGAGGAATGTTATGTACATTTCAAATGTACTGCTCTTTGAGAAAGTTCATTGACACAAGTAAAGTTTTGAGAATTGGCAAGGTTTGAATGATAAGTGACAGTAGTGAGCAAAACTGGCCTAAGTGTTGGAACAGGGTGTTTCAGAAGCCTTAGATTAAACTGGTTTCAGGTTATAGCATGTGGTTTCGGCAGCCAAGCTGGCAGAGAATTACATTCTTGGAACAATGCTATGTGCTCTGAGTGATTTTCCCCCTGGCTTCTTGACTCTGTATTAGTTAGGTATGGTAAGAATGACTCAATTCATATGAACAACTTTCACAGATTAAATTTACATCCCTCTCCTATTGATTACCACAAGCAGCCTAAAGCTTTAAAACCAGTTTGTGGAACTTAAAGTATTACAATGAAAGTGTTCACCACTGATGAAATTAGAAATGTGCTAGTATTATATTATGTCATCTACAGTTCCAACATTCTGGTCACCCACTGGAAAAAGCAATCCTTAATATCCAATTAATTGGGTTGTCTGCTTTCTTATACATAATTGCTCAAATTTGTGTTATGTTTTAGTTTTTCTCTATTTAAATAATCATTTTCTTGAATGTGTTTTAGTTTCTACTGACGTTTTTTATTTTCTCTTACTGAGAGAATGAACATATGTTTTTATCCTCGTATAACTAATGCTGTTGCTTCTAGCGTATTTTTGGTTCTATATATGGTGTAGAGTTTATCTCATTTTTCAAAATGTAAAGTGTTTTCAGAACACCCTGATTGCTTCTTCTAATTTTGACTGGTTGTTTTGCACGTCTACTTTAGAAGGCTAATCTTGCATATTCTTAGCTGTATGGTTCTGTACAGTGATATGTAAAATTTTGAGATTCACCAAATTCTGGCTGATAACCACCATTGTTCATGTTATTCATTTGTATTGTTTTACTTTTTGCCTATTTGTACCTTTGTATTAACATGGATTTTGTATAGGTAACATAAGGATGGATATTGCTTTTTTATGAAAACTGATGACTTCTACTTTTTAATTGAGGAGTTTATGTCATTTACAATTAATGTGATTATTGATTTGGCTGGCTTTAAATTTACCATCTTGCTGTTTGTTTTCTTTTTCACTCATTTGTTCTTTGCTCATTTCTTCTCTCTTATTTTCCTCTCCTTTGAACAAATTATTTTTTCAGATTTCATTTTATCTTTCTATTGGCTCATTAGCTATACATTTGTATGTATGTGATTGCTGTAGGGTTTATATAATATATCTTTAATCACAGTGTGAACTCAAGGAATATTATACCAATTCATGAATAATATAGAAACCTAACAATACTGTGTTTCTATTTCATTTCTCCTGCCCTGTGTGCAACTGCTATCATACATATTACTTCCACATATGCTATAAATTCAACAATATAATACACTGCTATTATTTTTGCTTTAAATAGTCAAACATTTTTAAAGAGGTTTGCACAATAAGAAAACAAGCATTTTGTAATTACCCACATAGTTACATTTCTGATGCTCTTCATACCTTTGTGCAGATTCAGATTTTCATCTGGTAGTACTTTCCTTCTGCCTGACAAACTTTCTTTAACATTCCTTATTATATAGGTATGCTGCTAACAATTTATGTTTTTTTTTTTTTTTTTTTTTTTTTTTGTAAGCTGGAGTCTCGCTCTGTTGCCCAGGCTGGAGTGCAGTGGTGCAATCTTGGCTCACTGCAACCTCTGCCTCCCAGGTTCAAGCAATTTTCCTGCCTCAACCTCCTGAGTAGATGGGATTACAGGCGCCTGCCACCATGCCCGCCTACTTTTTGTATTTTTAGTGAAGATGGGGTTTCACCACGTTGGTCAGGCTGGTCTCGAACTCCTGACCTCATGATCCTCCTCCTTTGGTCTCCCAAAGTGCTGGGATTACAGGCAGGGAAAAAGCCACCGGCCTTTATTTATCTTTTAAATGCCTGAAATATTAATTCTTTTTTCATGACTTTGAATAATATTTTCACGTGGTATAGTACTCCAGGTTGATTGTATTTTCCTGTTAAGTAATTTAGGTAAATTCACTGTCTTCCTGCTTGCATTATTTCTACATAGAAGTGTGTTGTCATTCTTGTCTTTGTTTTTACGTATATCGTAGGTCTACCCCTTTTTCCTTTCCTTCCCATAGGTGCATTCCAAATTTGCTCTTTACTCCTGGTTTTAAGCAATTTGATTGTAATGTACTTTGGCATCATTTTTTTTCATGTTGTTGTGCTTGGTGTTTGTTTTGGCTTTTCAGACACATCAGTTTATTATTTCACCAAATTTGAAAACATTTCAGCCATTATGTTTTCCAGTTGCACATGTATCAGCCCCTTTGGTATTATCTCAAAGATTGTTATAATCTGTTCATTTTTTCCAGTTTTCTCTCTCTGTATTTTATTTTGAATGGCTTCTATTACTATATCTTTAAGATCAGGAATCTTTTCTTTTGCAATGATTAATCTATGAATCCTGTCCAGTGTACATCTCACATATTAAGGTGTCTTCCATGTTTCTTCTTGACATGCACATGCTTTTCTTTACCTTCTTAAACAAAGAATATGTTTATAATAGTTATTTAAAATATCTTGTTTCTAATTCTGTATCTCTGTCATTTCTGGGTCTCTTTCTATTGATTGATTTTCTTATTATGGGTTGCATTTTCATGCTTCTTTGCATGCCTGGTAATATTTTACTCTCGCTCAGATTACTAACAATATCTGAATCTCACCATTCTTATATGAATTGAGCTAATGTTATGAAATTAAAAACTTTTCTAATTCTTGTTGCTCTTTTCTACAAACTTATACTCATTTGCCTACATTTTATTTTATTTGCAAAAGAATTTTTCTCCTATTGTTTAAAGCAAATTTCTCCACTTATACTTTAAATATCTCATCAGAGGTGCTTTAACACTGGCTGTTCCTCACTTTTGAAATGATGTTAATTTCACCTTTCTGAAAGTCCTTTCTTCTTATCAGCACATCAACATAATCAAATATTTCTCATTTATGTATCCATATTGCCCTCTAGTTTATGTCCTCTCTTTTCTTCTCTCCACTGCCCAGATTCTTGAAACAGATTAAGATGTTACTTCAGGCTTACTCTTTAAAAATAGTTTTATTATGTATTATCTCCTGACTGTTCACTACAGTGGTTCATGTCCTTCCGTGTTTTATAGATTTTAGAGGATACTCTTCTTCAGTGAAGAATGTTTTCATTGTGAGTCACTGAGTATGGAAGTATCTTTAGAGGGTAGATTTGCCTTTGCCTGTCCTGGGAATTTATACACTTTTGAGAAGCAAGAACTATTTTCATAGTAATGTCTCATTTGGGTGTCAGGAATTATATGATAGTTTGTATGTGGAGCTCTCATTTGTCTACATTGCAGGTTTGGGATTATAATTACGAGTCACTTTTAAAAAACTTGCTCTCCAGTAAGTTTTACTTGTCCTGTTTTTATGATGGGTGGTACTGGTTTCATGCAGAAAGCTCTGTTCATAATAATAACCTCATTATGCATGAGCCTTATCTCACATTCTCCAGCAGGCATTAAAACACCAGCCTCTACTTTATATCTTGATTTCCAATATCCCTGTAGGCTGCTTGTATTTAGTATTCATTCTTCTCTCTGATTTTGAATTTCTGCTTCAATCTTGGCATATAAAATTTAGAAAGTTTGGCTATATATTAAAATTTGTTATTCAATTATTTTACTTTATATTGTTATTTATTTCAAAAAAGAAGAGGAAATTTCTGCACTAGCTCTGTATGGCATACTGAATTCTCAGTTCCTTGCAAAGTGGAGGTAGCCTGAACATTGCTGTGAATTCTGTTTTTATTACTCTAACAAATATATCTACAGACAAAAAGCACATGCTTTCCTTTTCCAGGCTGATGGCCAATTCCTTTTTGGCTTATGGGATATTAACTCTTCTTGACTTTCTACATTTAGAAGCATTTTTCCATTCTATCTTATCATTGGTTCCTTTTCTTAAGACTACCAGTTGATTTCCCAAGACCTATTTTTGGCTCTCATTTCTGCCACCCATGGATGATTCTATGGCTTCAGGCTATAATCTGTTGCATTACCAAAGATCTCTCTCCTAAGAGTCAGAAGAAATTTATCTAACTACCAGATATCTACTAGATGTCTACACTTCATTTAAGATGTCAAAACCAAACTTATCACCTTATCTCCATGGGTCCAACCCAACAAATCACTCACCACTTCCTCCCCACTGAATACACATGATTCTTCTTAATACTTTAGATGACTTTATTTTCATGAACACTATAACTGATTTCAGTGAGTAATGTTTTATTGCAAGGAAATATTTAAAATGATCTTGCGATATTTTACATGAAAAGATTAATTATTTACATATATTACTATGACAACCATATATCAGAGTATGATAAGTGTGGATTGCACAGTTCTTTTCTTTAGATCCTCAAATCAATGTAGTGATCAAGTGCTTAATGGCACCTTCATGTGAATAACACCAGAAAAAAAGTAGAATAAAATGTTTTGCATAAACTCTGTTAGAATATTTTCCTTAAAAACATTTTGTATCTTAGTGTCGGTGGATACATGTCTTTATACATTTGTCAAAACCCATACACTGTGCAGTGCAAAGAGTAAATACTAATATAAGCTATGAAATAAGGTTAATAAATATGTGTCAATGTTGGGGCATAAATGTTAACAAATATACCACTCTAATTCAAGATGCTAGTAACAGAGGAAACTAGGAGGGAGGGTGGAGAGGGGTTGTATGGGAACTCCGTGTACTTTCTGCTTAAGTTTTCTGAGAACCTGGAACTACTGAAAAAACAGTCTATTGGCTGGAAATGGTGGCTCACTCCTGTAATCCCAGCACTTTGGGAGGTTGAGGTGAGAAGATTGCTTCAGCTCAGGAGTTTGAGACCAGCCTGGACAACATAGTAAGACCCCATCTCTACCAAAAAAGGAATAGCATGGTGGCATGTGCCTGGAGTCCCAGCTACTCAGGAGGCTGAGGTGGGAGGATTGCTTGAGGCCAGGAGGTCAAGGCTGCAGTGAACATGGTTGCAGCACTGCACTGTAGCCCGGGTGACAGAGTGAGACCCTGACTAAAAAATAAAAAGAAAAGTCTATTAATGTTTTTAAATATAAAAGTTTGTATCAAATTTGCAATCACTGGTGTGAAAATGCTATTATTCATAAGAAAGGAGTATAAATCATTTACTATTATTTGCAAAATTACTGATAGTTTGAAAGGATAAGATTTTAAACACCTATAAGATGATTTGCCTATATTTTCTCATAATACAAGAAAGAATCTAATGATAAAGACGAAAACACCACAAATAATTTAAAAACAGTATTAAAAGGAGAAATGGATGAATTCTTTTTGAGGACATTTATATTGTATATGTGTCTGGTTTCAGTCAACATGACATAGAAGAACATTACCACTTGTTATGGGATAAATTGTTTCCTCCACAAATTTATATGTTGAAGTCCTAACATCCAGTATCTCAGAATGCAACTGTATTTAGAGATAAGATCTTTAAAGAGGTAATTAAGGTTAAATAAGGTGACTAAAGTATGTACTACTCCAATACTGGTGATGTGGTTATAAGAAGAGAAAATGGGGACACAGACACACACACAGAAGGGAAACCATTGCAAAGACACAGAAAGAAGACAGCCATCTACAAGCCAAGGATAGCAGCCCTCACAGGAAAACAACCCTGCAGACATCTTGTTCTTGAACTAGTAGCGTTCAGAACTGTGAGAAAATAAATTTCTGTCGTTTAAATTACTCAGTCTGTACTACTTTGCTTTGGCAGTCCTCATCGACTAATACACCATTTTTGGATTCTGAAGTTAGTAACAGGATCTCTCCATTAGAGCATGGGCTTTCAAGGAGAAAAGCCATAATTTATTAATCTTGGCATCTTAAAATCTGACACTTAAGAAGCTCATAATGAATATTTGTTGAATACATGAATTCCTATGTTTTGCCACCTGTTATTAATTTTTTTGGTGGTGTAGGTTTCAAGAACCACTTCAAGCTAGTTTAAGCAAATAAATAAGAAAGAAAGAGAGGGAGGGGTGGGGAGGGGTGAATGGAGGGAATGAGGAAGAAAGAAGAGAAAAAGAAAGAAATTTGCAAGAAGGACACTGGGAAAATTCATTGACTAGAACTTAAGTACATAACTAGAACTAGCAATTGTAAAGCTAGCAGTTATTCAGAGCATTTCACTCTTATGTCCTCCTTTTCTCATCCCCCTCCTTCTTTCCCCTTCTCCTCCTCCTCATCTTCCTCCTCCTCCTTATTATTTCTCTTTCTTCTCTTAATGGACAGTCTATCACACATCTAATGCTTTGATGTGTACACAACTTCCCCATAGCCCCTGAGTCTTCATTTAAATGATCAGTCTATACTGAATCTCCTGCCTCAGTTCTGATTTAAAGCTCTTAGGAAATAAAAAATGTTAAACTCAGATAGAGTCAAAATTCTCCTGGTAAAAATGACATTTCCTAGGGTCACAATAGGATGAGTTTTCTAAGAAACAATACTGTCTTAGTAACCGCAAAGATCTCTTCAAAATATTTGGAAGTCAAAATTAAAAGTATAATTTATAATCACTCAAAAATGAAATAATTAGAATAAATCTAACAAAACATGTGCTGGACTTGTATGCTGAAAACTGTAAAACACTGATGAGAGAAATCAAAAATCTAAGTAAATGGAGAGATATATGGTGTCCATGGATTGGAAGACCAAACATTGTAAATATGTCTTTTTTCCCCAAATTGATATACATGTGTACCATAATTTCAGAAAAATTTTTGGTTATTATAAACAAGGATATTCTAAATTTTATATGAAAAAGCAAAGCAACCAGAATGGCTAAAACAATTTTGAAAAAGAAGAATAAAGTCAGAAGAATCAGTAATTAAGACAGTACTCAAGACTGTGTGTTATTGACAGAGGGCTAGACACCAAGATCAATGGAACAGAACGAATGGAGAACCCAATAAATATGTCCAACTGATTTCTGACAGGAAACATGGCATGAAGGTATAAAAACAATTCAATGGAGGAAAGATAATCTTTCAACAAATGGTGCTGGAGCAAATGGACGTCCATAGACCTAAAAAAACAAGGCAACAAAACAAAACAAAGAACATTAACCTAAACCTCACATCTTACACAAACATTAAATCTAAAACTATAAAATTTTGGAAACAAAATAGGAGAAAGTCTTTGGGACCTGGAGCTTGGCAAAGTATTCTTAGACTTGACACAAAAATATGATCCATAGGAAGAAAAATTGGTCAGTTGTGCTTCATCAACATTAGAAGCTGTTGCTCTATGAATGATTTTATTAAGAGGATTAAAAAAACTATAGATTGGGAGAACATATTTGCAGATTCAAAAATGCATATTATCTAGAATATATAAATACTATTCCAAACTCTATAGTAAGAAGCCAAAAATGTGGTTAGAAAATGAGCAAAATATATGAACAAATATGCCATCAAATAGGCTATATAAATGACTAATAAGCACATGAAAAAATGTCCAACACCCTTAGCTATTAACAAGCAAATTAATACCACAATGAAATATGTCTATGCTCCTATCAGAATGGTTAAAATAAAGAAGAGTGGCAATACCAAATCCTGTTGAGCATGTAGAGAAACTGGATTACTCATACATTGGTGGCGGCAGTGTAAAATAGTACGGACATTTTGGAAAACAATTGGTCATTTCCTAAGAAACTAAACATGTGAGTACTGTAATATTTATTGAGTGCTTACTATGTGCCAGTTATTGTGCTGGTCCTTGAGGGTCCCCACTCAGGGACAAATATGAAGAAGACACAGTCCCTGCACTAAAGGAATTTATAGTGTGAAGAACATAATGTGAATTTCAATATAATGTGATTGTGGCACCAGTAGAAGCTGGGTTGATCCAAAGATAGATGCAATGGCTGAAAGTGGTGGAGAAGAAAAAAATAAAGTGGACAACTGCCATTAGTTAGTATTAGCTCATTTCTTTAGTGTTATGAAGTTGTAGCTGCCCTAGAAAATTAAAGCCGTAAGTTTTGGTAGTCAAATAAATGGAAAATGGATCAATTATTTTCCTTTTTCTGTAGTTACATTTTAATTGGTGGATGCTAAGGAATGCCTATGTTAGCTGAAGCACTATTTCTAGCAAAATATGAGAAGTTCATAAATATTCACTGAAATAACTTTTTGAATTTATCTGCTGCCCTTTATGGACTTGAGAAATGGGAACTGTTGAGTATTCAGCAGAGATTTCTGAGTAGTAATTTACAAATAGTTTCAGTATAAAACATAGTCAGTGTTATTAATCTTGTACACACTATAGCTAAGACCACCCTATATAGAAATATGGATAGCTTATGCTATGGAGTAGCAGCTAAAGCTTATATCATCGAGTAAAATCCTGGTTGAAAAACACAAGATAAAACTGAATAGTGATTTATTTAACCCAAATTAGGGCATCAATTAATAATGTGCTTTTGGCAGAATATTAAAATAATAAAGCTTGTTAAATTATAGTGTCCTAATATGTATTTACTTTAAAGAATTGTAACATTCCTTTGAAATAGTAAACTATACACAATTAAAAGTGAAAGACACAAATCCCAAAAAAACTAAACATCCAAGTGTCAGACCCAGCAATTTTACTCCAGGATTATTCAAGAGAAAGGACAACTTATGTTCATACAAAAACCTGTATATAAATGTTTATAGAAGTTTCATTCACAATAGTCAAAAAGTGAAAACAATCTAGATGTCCTTCTTCTGGTGAATGGTTAAACTATGGTACATACGTACCTTGGAATACTACCCAGCCGTAAAAAGGGACATACTGCTGATACATGCAACTACTTGGGTGAATTTTCAGGGAATTATGCTAAATGAAAAAAGCAATCTTAAAGCTATACCATTACATTTATATAATATTCTTTTTTTTTCTTTTTCGAGATGGAGTCTTGTTCTGTCGCCCAGGCTGGAGTGCAGTGCCACTATCTCAGCTCACTGTAACTTCTACCTCCCGAGTTCGAGCAATTCTCCTGCCTCAGCCTCCTGAGTAGCTGGGATTACAGGTGCCTGCCACCACGCCCGGCTAATTTTTATATTTTTAGTAGAGACAGGGTTTCGCCATGTTAGTCAGAGTGATCTCAAACACCTGACCTCAGGAGGCAGGTGATCCACCCACCTCAGACTCCCAAAGTTGGAGGCCTGTGGGCCTGTGGGATTACAGGTGTGAGCCACTGCACCCGGCCTTATGTGATATTCTTGAAATAACAAAATTATAGTAATGGAGTACAGACTAGTGGGTTACCAGGGATAATGGAGGAAGAAGTGGGAGGTAAGTGTGTGTGGCCATAAAAGTGTACCATGAGGCATCCTTGTGGTAATGGGAATGTGCTGTATTTTGATGCATCCTTATCAATAGCCTGGCTGTGATATTGTACAAGATGTTCTCATTGTGAGTATCTCTGTAATATCCTGTATGCGAACCTATAATTATCTCCAAATACAAAAGTTCAAATGGTAAAGGTGAAATAAAGACTGGGCAAATTTGTTGCTAACAGGCCTACCCTACAAGAAATATTAAAGGGAGTTCTTTAGGCCGAAAGAAAATGATACCAGATGGTAACTTAAATCTACCTAAAGAAATAAAGAGTACCTGTGAAGGTCATTATGGAGGTCAATATAAAAGAAAGTATGCTTATATATTTTCTGTTCTCTTCTCTTAACTGATTTAAATGATGATTAAATAAAACAATAATTAAATTACTGTTAGTTTGAAGTAGATTATGATAAGTTGAAATGCATATTGTAATTCCTAGAGCAAATACTAAGAAAATAAATATATATCCGGAAAACCAACAAAGGAATTAAAATAACACACTGAAAAAATACCTATTTAACACAAAAGAAAGGAGGAACAAATAAATAAAAAAGATGAGACATATGGAAAACAAATGACAAAATGACAAAAATAAATCCAGTCACATCAATAATCAATTTAGATTTAAATAGATTGAAAATAAAAGGATGAAAAAATACACCATGCAAACAGTAACAATAAAGGAGCTAGATTGATGATATTATTATAATATCAGACAAAATGGGCTTTGAGATGAGAAATACTATTTGAAATAAAGTCATTTCATAATGACAAAAGAGTCAATTTATGAGGAAGATATAACAATTATAAATAATATACACCTAGCAACAGAGCCCACCATTCATAAAGCAAAAAGTGATGGAATAGAAAGGAGAAATAGAGTATTCAACATTAATAGAGATTTCAATACCCATTCTCAGTAACGGAAAGAGCAACTAGACAGAAAAATCAGCAAAGCTGCAGAAGGCTTGAATAACACCATAACTAATTTGACCTATTTGACATCCATGTAATGATCCATTCCAACAATAGCACAATATGTATTGTCTAAAGTGAAGCATTCTCTAGACCATATGCTATGCCATAAAACAAGCCTCAATAAATTTAAAAGCACTGAAAAAAATCACCCAAGACACAACAATAAAAACCAAAAAAAGAGCAACAAAACACAACTTCCCTCTCAAAATGAATCTGAAAATCAAAATCCCAACACCTATTAAATCATGTAATGCTAAGAAAAGAAGATACAATTGGGGTATACATTCACTCCAGATAAAGCTATTGATAATAATTAGGCCAAGAGTTAAAATATGTTAACTTAGAATAATTGAAGGTAAAATGGAATAGTAACACTATTAAAAAGCAATAAAAACATAAAGCAAAATAGACAAAAAATTCCAGAAGAGGTAGAAATAAAAAAAAAGTGATTACAACCACTGGAAAATTATAATCATCAAAATAAAAAATAAGATACTGTCACAGAGAATTGATAAATTGAATGAATAATTCACCTAAAACATAATTGTATTTCGCTATTTCCATTCTCCTATATTGATTGAAAATATCCAGAAATACCATATTTGTCCTGCTTCTTGTTCATTCATTCATTCTTTCATTCAACAAATATTAATGAGCATATACTGTGGTGGATACTCTTTTAGATACAGGGGATAAAAAGGCAGACAAGACAGGTAAGCTATCATGGAGCTTGAATTATATTGGAAAGAGGCACATATTATTAAAGAATAATTTCATTGTGTAATAAGTGACGTAAAAGAAACAGCACTTCCCTCTCCAAGTTTAATATGACTTCTGACTACAGAGAAAACATTCTTGGAAGCTTATCTAGATCAGCAAGTCAGGATTTGTCTAATATTGCTCAGCAGGGAAGTTCCAAACAGCCCCTGGTAGTGAGTGCAGCCCAAGACCCGTGCTGGCTATGGAGCTTAAATCATCATGGTAGTTAAAATGTCATTACACCAATAAGTGTTTCTCCTTCAAAAAGTATTAACCAGAATTACAGTTATCAAAACCAGTATAACAAATATAAAAATATAGGGCCTAACAGCGGTTTAAAACCGTATCAATAAAAGATGTCCTTAATACCCAGTGAAGATGGAGAATTAATTGAGGAGACAAGAAAATCTGAAGAGGAGGCATAGAAAGAGAATGGAGAGAATATTTAATTAGGCTACTTTCTTTTTCCTTTTATTTTCCTCATCTTACTTAAATTGTAAGTCTAAAATAATATATTTCAAGAATGACTTATATTTCTAGGTTTATTGTATTGTATTGCATATGGAGACTTATTTTCTTACTTTGGACTGTCTCTTGTTCATAAGCCACACAATTTAATGAGCACAGTTGTTATTGTTCTTGTAAGCCATAAAGTTTGTCTTAGGGAAAAAATATTTTATTTTATTTTAAAATATTCTTTTATTTTAAAATATTCTTCAGCTGCATTTCCAACCAAACTGCACAAAATAATTTTAAAAGGTCATTAAAAATGCTTGTATCCCAATTTAGCAGTCAAAATTAACTTGTTTGAATTAAATTTAAAACTTCCCAAGATTCAAGTCCAAGTCTGACCCCAAATAAATATTATTGTCTAATTTAATCCTGGAGGTAGTAATTTGTACCACATTTACTTTAGAACATGTTGTTTACTTCAATGAACATTCTAATGATAGGCAAAATAATTGATTCTAGGATAATGGATTTCCCAACTTAATATTTCCTATCTGCACTTAATATTTCCCATATGCATGAGTTTGCAAGTCTCTTTCCTGTTCCATCATTAGCAATCAGTACAGCTCTAAAAAGGAATGGTATATCAAATAAGAAGTAAATTAGCTAATGTCAGGGAAAAGAATGGCTATTAGTTCACAGAAAATTTGAGAGAGAACCACTCTAGTGTGAGAAATTCACACAGAGACACCAGTGAGTTTCTGCCATGAACTGATCCTACTCAATCCCTTTTGAGTGGGGGAGTTGCATACCTTAAAGCCCTTAGCTACACTATCTCTAGATCCCATCCTGAGCTGCCTTTACCACTTCCAACTTTGTGTGTTTACTCAGGTGTGCATGTTCTGATTTTTACATAGAAAAGAATCATGAATCAGCTTTTGCCAGCTGGCTATGTATGATGTGGCAATGGAAACATTTTATTTTAATGAAATATCCGCATTCTGTTGGGTCTAGTATTTGGTCAAGTGTCTCAATTTTCATCTATCAGTTTACCCTAACCACCCATTGATAACTCCCATACTTCACTGATGAATTTCCATAAGAATGGTAAGTTCAGGGAAGACACACTTGATAAGCCGGATCCCTTAGCCTTCTTCCAAAACTCCAAACAAGTTTTTAGTACTGAAAACTCTTACCATAAAACACTCTTGTGTGTAGCTTTTTTTTTTGTTAGGTGACATTTCAAGAATAGATTAGAAATTAAACATACTTATTTCTAAGACTGTGCTATAAAAAGCATCAATGATATCCTCTGAGAATTGTTTACTTATTTTTAAAGAAACCACTTCCAACTCAGTGAGAAAAGATATAAATTTTAATTGTAATCCACATGCAAAGAGAAAGAGAATATATTTCATTAAGTCTTCATCATAATATCTGTTATTTTTCTAATTTTCTACAAGTTGCATTGACCTGTATTTATATCCCTGCTTTGAGATCAAGCCATTATCCTCCTCAAAACCCTCCTATGCTCCCAGTGGCTTGCAGAATAAAATCCAAATTGTCAGATATGCAGTGTGATCTGACCCAAGCTATTTGCCTGGACTCCTCTGCCTCCCACAGCTCACTGCACTGAGTTATTCCCAGTGTCATTAAAACATTGTGACCTCAAAATATCCAAGTATAGATTTGTTCACATATTTCTATCTAATGTCCTTTCCATTCTTGCTGCTTATTAAAGTTGTTCATTCCTTCAAAGCTCAGCTGGAGGTGATTTTCTTCATGAAACCTATACCAACTTCTCCAGGTGAAATTAATCTCATTTTCTTTTCTGCTCTCATGATGTTTTTGTGTACCTCTTGCATGGCATTGCTTTGTGTTTAGATAATTCTGTACCTGGCAGTCTAATTCCACAGGTTACATGTTCCTTAAAGCAAGAGACCTTGATTTGTTCATCTCTGTTCCATTCACAACTAATAGACCCTTGAATATTTATGTAGCACAAATTGCCAAAAGGAGACCTCTTCATAGATTCAGGGTGATTTCAAGACAGAAATTCTAAAAAGTGATCATTCTGGAATTATCTGATGACCAAGAGAACATTTTTCTCTCTCTCATCCATCACACTCTCACTTTCTAGTTAACTAATAGCAGTGAAGTAAGAAAACCTGTGAAGCATGGACAGCTAGAGAAGAGTATGTGGCCAAAAATTGTCATAAGTAACTTTTGACAATAGTTTATTAGGAGGCTGTTTGTCCACAGATGTATCCTCAGAATAGAAACAAGGATCAATAGCACTGGAGGTCATTGTCTCCCTCCTAGGGGGCATTTTTTGTGAATCACCATAGGTAGCTGAGTGTGGTGGTTTCAGCTGATGGTTTTTTGCCTTTATTCTCCTGTTTCTAAACTCCCATTTCAAATCAAGATCAGGCCAAAAATCTAAGAGCACACAAAATGAACCAAGGTCAGAACTGCTGTGTGGAGATATTTCCACCAAGATCACCTCTGTCACCATTGTATTATGGTTGGTATCCAGCGATCACTTCACAACAGGGTAGCTGCTTCTCACTCTAAGAAGCTGTGAGGAGATGCTTGGAGAAACAGAGAGAGGGCACCAGAAAAGAGAACAGATGGGGAGGGTTGCAAGGGGGTTTCTTTCCACCATTTTTTTTCTCCTTGCTCTGCCAGAGGAATAGAAGACTCAACAGGGAGAATAGTTTGAAACACATTAATAAAATTTGCTTTGCATTTTGTTCTTGTGCACATGATGTTCTCCCTGTCAATCAGAGTTATCATGCAGTATTGCAGTAAGGAGGTAGATGCAACTGTTGAGTTAGGATTGTTACAGGTGGAGGGCAGAAAGAGAATAATTTGCTTCAGATATTCAAAGTACAATTTATAGCAAGATAATAATAGTCTAGTGAGCCAGACTTTTCAGAGAATTACATTTTTCTCTTTAGACCTTTATGTCTCCTCCACTAACATATAAGTACCCATGCCAGGCCAACCATAAGTTTTATGTTATGTAGATCCCCACCAGACTGGAAGAAGGTGGCATAGATCCCATGTTTTGATGCTGGGATACCTGGGGAATATTGGGTAACAAAGACAGAAGATAAAAGTGCATGTGTACCAGTCTCCCTCATCTGAGATATAAATGTTGATAGAGGGATGCCTGGAGAATGAGGCTTTTGTCTAATTCATGTGTGGGAATATAGAGGGAACTGTGTCCCAAACTATCTCTTACCTTTACCAATTAAGATAGTGACCCCATCAAATGTAGTCTGTGGCATAGAATGGTATGGCAGAAGGAGAGCCAAAGTTTAATGTTTTGAGTAGTCCTTGGATCCTCCGCATCACAGCGAGGACTCAGGAGTTCCTATTAAGCTGGTAAGGGGTTGTAGCTAACCTGGAAGTTAATGGCCTGACTTTGGAGACTGCTGGTGAGAGGAGAGAGGATCTGACAGCATAGCTGGGAGTGAATTCATAAACCATGAGCTCAGTGAAAGACATTGCAGTTGTAAGAGCCAAGGTGATACCAAGACAAACTAAGAGCACCACTTGGCCTGAGAGACAGGAAGACAGGAGAAGGAGGAGGAGAAGGAGGAAGAGGAGAGGAGATGGAGGGGAAAGGAGGAAAGAGAAGGAAGGGAGGAGGTTGGGATTAGAGAAAGGGAGGGAAAGGAAAGCCCTTTAGGAACGACACCAGGTTTAAATGCCTGCAGGACAAGCAGCAACTAGGTAGACAAGGATCATTTTCACAGAGATCATAGGAACTTCAAGACAGTACAAGAATACTGCGTGCAAAAGTATCTCCTCATTGTCAATGCCATGAAGGTGCAGTAAGACACACCCACTTCTGCGGAGCCACACAGTACTGAGAAAGGAAATGTGAGGGTGATGAAAACATAAAAGATTATTTTTAACCTAAACAAACTAAAATTAGTTAGAGAAATAGATTGTTATATTAGATAAGGGTTATTTAACATTATGACGTTTAAATTATAAACTTAGATGAAAATGCTTTTCTTCTATCCAGAGGATGAGAGTTCAACACGATGATCATGTTAAGTGACTAAAGAATTCACATTTTCCTGATCCATGTGAAGGTAGTCTGAGCAAAACTGGTATCCCAGCACATGGAGAAATAGGGCTTTGGCTCTTATTACTCTATTTATTATTGGGATTGACTGGTCTGACTTCCTAGGGGGTGCTTCTTTTTTCTGATACCTCCAATAGCCTGAAGCTGGGCAATGGGTCAATGAAGACAGTGTTCTTAGCCTACACAAAGCCACTTATCTGTACACAGGATGCTTTTCTGCTGGAACTTGGAGTAAGTGTTTAAAAAACATTAATGAGTGATTCTTGGATACTATCTCTGAATGAGAATAAATCTATGCCCTGTTTTATCTCCTTTCTTTAAATTCTCTTTTTTATTATTTATTTTCTTCCTTCTCTCATTATTTTCTTTATCTCTCATTATTCTTCTTTCTCCTTTTCTTGGAGATATTTCATGCTATTAGAGCTTTCATTTCAAAAGTCTGTATTCAATGACAAGTGAAAGAGAGCAGTACTTGTTTTCATTTTATCACCAATGCTGTATGTTCTGCCATGTTTTAACACATCAAAGCAATGCATATACAAAGTCAGAATTTGTATGATGTAAATACAAGTTAATTCTGTAATTTGCTTACACATTAGATAGTCATTTCACTGATATATTAACTCATGCAATTGCATCATTTTTAGCTAAGCTTCATAAATGCATCTGTCCTGTGTATTTACTGGTTAAATAAAATTTTCTGAAATCTAAACTAACTTAGGAAGGCTTCATTTTTTTAGTGTAGATATTTTTTAAAAACCTTATAGAAAATGTTAACAGATATCTGAAATAAAACACTATGCAATATTCATTTTATCAGCCATAATCTATCATGTATAGTTTTGATTTTACCTAACAGCCCTTTAAGAGAGGTCTCCCCAGAAGCACATTATTTCCAACAGCAAGATCTGCATGTAAGAAAATGTTGAGATTCGGCGTTCTGGGCTATCAGCGCAAAAGCCGGAGCATCACCTCAGGGTTGACTGAAACATAGAAGTAAAAGTTTGCTGCCTTCCTTTTCTTCTGGAGCCTTTTCGAGTGACATTTTCTTTGCTTAAAGTGGTCCATATACTTTCATTTCTTCAGTTCATTTTATCAACTTTTAAGTATCTATATACCTCATTTTAGATAGTTCGGCTGTGACTCAACTACATGATGTTACGTAACATATATCTATCTATCTATCTATCTATCTATCTATCTATCTGTCTATCTATCTATATACACATATACATAAACATGCACATTTTAAAATGAGAATAAAATTAATGTGAAACAATATATTTATCCCCATAATATTGTTCTACATAACTAGAAAGGCAACCAGAAATAACTACATAATAAACATAACATATATTCCAATAGTACAAAATTTTATAAGTATAAAAATTATCAAAAGCAATGGCCAACATAATCTAAAAATTGGTGAGGTAACACACAAAAGAAATAAAACTAACATGGTCGTCATTAATTCCTTTGTTAGGATGTGGTATGTAATGAACTGTGGTCTTCAGTTCCCTAATTAGAAGCTCTGCATTCCTGTACTGACCAAATTTCTATAAATCCACGAGTCTTTCACAATAATTTCTAAATCTCTTAGAGATTATGAAAGTCAATTCAAGTCTCTATTGCCTAACTCTCAAACATGCTCATATATATGCCCTCATATATCAGTCAGAATGATGCCATAGTTACAATCCATGGCTAGAGAAACATCTGATAGAAACAAACAAAACAAAAAAGATAAGGTGCCCAACCTAAAGAAATCAGTATTGTTGCACGCAGAATTGTTGTTTGAGTTGAGCTTTGGAAACAAATTTCTCATAATTACTGAATTGTGGTTCTGGGACTATTTTGGAAGAGATACCTTTTTCCTTCATCTGGCTAATCTGGAGTCACTGTGTATATTTCTAAAGGGCAGGTACACATTTGACTAGTTTCATAAGAATATGGAAGTCGTTTGCTACTTGTCTCATTCAAATGTTCTATCCTGCACTTCCACCTTCAAGTTCATTAATTTTCACTCAGATGTATATCTACTTGATATATGACCTTGCTTATCTCATTTACAGGTTTAATCTTTTGTTAGAGTATGCCTGACTCAAAGAGATGTTTTCAGGCAGAATCCTGCTCAGCTAAGAGCATTCAACCCAAAACACACTGACTAACGGAGACACAAATGCTCAGAGAATTCACTCCGCAGTGGGGAGAAAGTTAAATCAATACACAAATTGATTACATTTTCACCTTAAAAATTCCATGTAGTTTGAGCTGGCTTGTTACTTATCCAAACTTAATCTCATAGTTCATTGAAGATTGCCCACCTGTGCTCATTAGCATAAAGAAGAAAAGTCATTAGGAGAAAAAGTGCGATTTTCTAGTAATCCCAAAAATTGTTCACAACATTTTTCTTTACATAAGATACTTAATATTTATAAACAACATTTATTTCTTTTAAAATCACTTATGTAAGAAGTTTGGCAAACATTCCCTAATAGTAGAATAAGTCCTGTTTCACATGCATGGAAAGAAACAGAATGGAGAGACTGTGACATTTTAGGAGTGGTGGAGTTATAATTTGGTCAAAGATTTTGACCCTGTTATATATTTTGACCCTGTTCTATCTTTTAATTTCATGATAATTAAATTTGTCTGCCATGATTCTATTCCTGCATAATTCAAATATACTTTCTCCTGATTTTCCGCATTGGAACATTTGTGAAATCCGTGTTTGATTTACACCTAATATGTATATGGCACAGATTCTTCCTAAATTATAGACATGTCATTGTGCATAGTGCTGAGCTTTTTATCAATTTTCATTGTCTTTCCCTCTGTCCTGTGCCCCCCTTAGAATGGAAAAGGGTTACTGCCAAATCCCTTTGTTCTTTCTGCTAACACTTCCAGATTCTAGTCTCCTCATAGATTTTATTATATTTTCCTCTTCAAAAGGAAGAGTACCTTTAGATTCATTCATACACAGTAACCAATGCTCCCTAAAACAAAGTCCACAGACTTCTAGTATCTTGGGAAATGCTCATAAATGTTTTATAAAATTTTCAAAAAAGAATTGTGTGGATAAATCATTTTGCAAAGGTTAAAAAGTTCAGCAGAATTCTTGATTCAGGATTACTTGGAGCCTTTAGTATGGTAATGTGCTTTGTGGCTCTCCAGGAGGCAGATCAAATATGTAGTTTTCCCAGAATTATTTCACATAAGAATACTTTTTTTTTTGAGGAATATATAAGGACCCTAGAGGTCTACAGTGCACATTTAGAGGAAAGCTTCTGATAGAGTCTAACCCCCTCATTAATTTGACAGTTCTCTCTTTTCCAGGGAACAACTATGTTTTATGGTAACAACTATGTTTTTACATCCTAAAAACACCTTATGATTTCAGTGGACATTATATTAAACTCAATCATGGAGTCCTTTGTGGGTTCCTTTCTTCTTTAAGCAAGAAGAAATACATTTAGAAAGAAAATGTTTCACGTCAACTCAGAGAACATACCAGAATTTTATTGATATAATAATTAATATTTATAAAACAGTCTGTTAAAATGGCTTAATGTTCCAAGGGAATGGATTGTGGAGTCAGATAGACCCAAATTTGACTGTCATAACTACTACTTAATAGATACGTGATTTTTCTGAGTCTGTTTCTTCATCCGTAAAGACAATGATATCTCCACTGAATTTTTGTTAGGGTTAGAGAAAACTATATATACAGATACATGCATACATACATATATATATGTGTGCACACACACACATATATATATGTATGCACACACACACACATAAATTTTGTAGCCTAGTGCCTGCCACAGAGTTAGCAAATGTAGTTAAGAAATCTTTATTTTTAAGAAAAACTTTATTTTTTCTATATTTTTAAATTATTCTCATGGAGTAAATTTTTCTCCCATGGTCCAGCAATTTTATTTCTTTTTCTCTCATGCCTTCCAAGCGAGGACCTGGAATATCTGGTCTACTTTTGTAGTAGTTGCCGTTGGGACTCTTTACTAGGCTGGGACACCCATGCCTCAGCTGCTGTGAGTGTTGGCTGATGATGGCTCACACCCATATACCTCTTCTACAAGTATTCTCAACTGACAGAGCCACCTGGAGACGACTGAGGGGTTCTGCATGCCTCCTTCTCCAAGAGTAGGCCCTGGATAATGCTTGACTGATATGGTAGATAAAAGCCCAACCCATTCCTCTAGTGGAACAATCTCAGTGCTAAATTTATACTCCAAAGCTCCCCATAGAAATAAGCTGAAGTTAGACTTTCCTTGAAACCACAGCTTCGCCTTCCTTTCTCCCAGCCCTATTCTGCTTCCTCACTCCCATGCAGGTTTCTTCCAAGAGTACATCTCTGACCTCAGGCCCTTGTTCCATTCAAACAGCTCCTGAAATTGTATTATCTCTTCTCCAACTGATCATTTTTATCAGCTTTATTAGAAACAAGTAATTATTTAGTAGCTTCTTATGGCCAAGACTTCATGCCAAGTTTTAGGATTTCTGAGAATCAGAAAACTTTCTACTTTGAGAAGCATACAGTTTTATGATCTGAGAACCCCTTTCCCCATCTTTACTGTCAGTACTAATCCATCATCTTTGTCTCTTGCTCCTCCAAATCTCTTGTATATTAAAATGCAAATTTTTGTTACCATATTACTTTAAAATTGAGTAATCTACACAACAGCAGGTTATATACCATACAGTTTAGTTTTTATGTGACTCTGGTGTGGCCTATTTGTAGGATTGACTCAGATAACCTTTAGCCATTAGGCTAGAGGCCAAATTACTCAGTTCCTGTGGATCTGAGGACAACCATAGCCTCAAAAAGTTAAAATAATAAGCCCTTTATTTGCTAATAAAATATAGAAGCAAAACTTCCTTATCAGATATGGAGGATTTCTCAACATCTTCTGAAATAATTTTCAAAGTACAATATTCAAACATTAAAGAGAAGTTTACTGAATCTATTGCTTCCTAAATATACTTTGCCTCCAGTCTGTTGAGAAGTTAGGCAAAGTGGGGATGAGGTAAAAATGACCCAAGACAAACTTATTCACTCATTCAGCAATATGATTATTAAACACATTATGTATGAAGTATGACTTTAGATCAGATGCCTTAACTTCCTGGAGAGGCCTGGCCAGGTAAGAAGTCCTAAAGCCTAAGCCTCATTCATATAATTTTCAATTTGCTTCCGTCTTACTCTTGTTATAGGGAGTGGTCTCTTGGGGAGCTGGAGTCACTTTTATGGTCCAGTAGTGATCGGGACAGGAGCAGGGAAATTCTGGGCAGAAGAAGGTGGGTCCTCAGTGAGGGCCACAACCTTAAGCTGAAAAGCCCAATACCATGGCCCAAGGTGAGAACTGACATTGCTGTTTTCCCACTCAAGTGTTGCCTTTTCCAAAACTAACCATGGCCCGCCCCACCCCCCATCTTGTGCCCATAAAATCCCAGGCTCAGCTGGCAGAGAGAGGAGAAGCAGCCAGACTTCAGAAACTATAGCTGGATATCAGAAAGAAGTGGCTTGACTTCAGAGGGACAGCTTGACAGTGTAGCTTCAGAGAAGAGTCTAGCTGGGACAGCTGGACTTCAGGGGAAATTTGTCTTCCCACTCCATCCCCTTTTCAGCTCTCCTTTCTGCTAAGAGCCACTTTCATCAGCAATAAAATTCCCTGCATTTACCATCTTCAATTTATGTGTGTGACTTCATTCCTCCTGGACACTGGACAAGACCTCAGGTGCCATGAGTGCGGGTGCAAAACGCTGTCACACTGACCCTCTAATGAGCTGATAACACTTAAGCCATCCACAGACAGCAGAGCTAAAAGAGTACTGCAACACTTCCTCTGGGGCTCCAGGGGTCACAAGCACCCTCCCTTAGATGCTGGGGTAGGGCCGATACAGAGTTCGCTCTTGCTTGTGCACAAAATACCAAAAGCAATGGCAACAAAAGCCAGAATTGACAAATGGGATCTAATTAAACTAAAGAGCTTCTGCACAGCAAAAGAAACTACCATCAGAGTGAACAGGCAACCTAGAGAATGGGAGAAAATTTTTGCAATCTACTCATCTGACAAAGGGCTAATATCCAGAATCTACAATGAACTGAAACAAATTTACAAGAAAAAAACAAACAACCCCATCAAAAAGTGGGCGAAGGATATGAACAGACACTTCTCAAAAGAAGACATTTATGCAGCCAAAAGACACATGAAAAAATGCTCATCATCACTGGCCATCAGAGAAATGCAAATCAAAACCACAATGGGATACCATCTCACACCAGTTAGAATGGTGATCATTAAAAAGTCAGGAAACCACAGGTGCTGGAGAGGATGTGGAGAAATAGGAACACTTTTACACTGTTGGTGGGACTGTAAGCTACTTCAACCATTGTGGAAGTCAGTGTGGTGATTCCTCAGGGATCTAGAACTAGAAATACCATTTGACCCAGCCATCCCATTACTGGGTGTATACCCAAAGGATTATAAATCATGCTGCTATAAAGACACATGCACACGTACGTTTATTGTGGCACTATTCACAATAGCAAAGACTTGGAACCAACCCAAATGTCCAACAATGATAGACTGGATTAAGAAAATGTGGCACATATACACCATGGAATACTCTGCAGCCATAAAAAATGATGAGTTCATGTCCTTTGTAGGGACATGGATGAAGCTGGAAACCATCATTCTCAGCAAACTATCGCAGGGACAAAAGACTAAACACTGCATGTTCTCACTCATAGGTGGGAATTGGACAATGAGAACACATGGACACAGGAAGGGGAACACCACACATTGGGGCCTGTTGGGTGGGGAGAGGGGGGAGGGATAGCATTAGGAGATATACCTAATGTTAAATGATGAGTTATTGGGTGCAGCACACCAACATGGCACATGTATACATATGTAACAAACCTGCACGTTGTGCACATGTACCCTAAAACTTAAAGTATAATAAAAAAAAAAAAAGAAAGAAAAAGCTCACAACCTGGCTCCTGCACCTCCTCACCTGCACTCACCCTCCTGCAAGGGGTGGAACACAGCAAGTTTGAGTGAGTGGAGTTCGCTCCTGTTGGCATCAAAGCGGCCGGCTAGTTCCAGTTCCCATGCACTCCTGTTCCCACCCACAAAGGGATCAGGGAAATATCCTGTTTCATTAGCACTCCTGGGCAATTGCTGGGGTCTCGGTATTGCAGTAGTCACAAACTATCTAAAACACACTTTCAGAGGCAGGCATCTGACCCTCAGACTGAGAATCATTTGTTTATATTGCTTCCGCTTGGTATATTTCCAGATATACTCCAACTTTTCCTATGGGGGTGCATCCTCAAAGCCCATGCACTGTTAGTTTCATACTGTCCATTATACAGATTGGTTATGGCTCATCAGAAACGGCCTCTGGGTTTTTACAATATGTTTTTACCCTTCCTTAAAGATAAAGACAGCCTAGTGAAAAATCTCCCTCAAGGGAAGATAAATGTATCATTCTTGCTTGCTGTGTTACCCTCTCTCAGGACAGAAGAGTTTTCGGCCAAAACAGCTATCAGTTAAAGAATGAATGAATGAATGAATTTAAGAAATCAGACAAATCGTATTTGGTCTCAGTGGGTCACCTTACCAGCCATGTCTTTGGTAAGATAGCTAGTAACAGCAAAGATGTTCTTTTATGTGGATATGAGAAATTAGATTTCATCCCAATTCAACAATGCTGTTAAGTATGTATAAAATAAAAATTTTCAACAATGTGGCACAGGTACATTAAAGAGATTGTCTAAAGTCACACATCTAGTAAGACAAGCAGACTAATTCTAACCCATGTCTTTGGGCTCGAGGTCTAATGGTTTATATAGCACACTTGCCCTACTTGTGGTATCATCTTCCTGTATATGAACTCACATAATTATTTGTGCCTCTACTATGCCAATACTCTTTCAAATTTATGCATAACTAATAGTAAAATTACCTTCTCTTTCCTGCAAAGTGCATGCTTCTTGGTTCATTGGAGCAAGTGTTGCATTATACATTTTTAAAAAAAACGTTTCATGATGTACAAGGTAGGAGCTTAAGAAATGTTTGATGAAAATTTTTAATGAATACATTTCAGGGGACCCAGACTGGGTTCATTGATCTAAAAAGAAATCCTGAAGAAAGGTAAGCATGGACTGGGGTGTGGTTTGACTAGCTTGATTGTCAGATGCAGAAATATTAAACTGGACTAATTTATTATTTATTTTTAAATACTTTACTATTTATTATTTTGACCTAATCTCTCTCTCTTTCCCCACATTTATTCCAATTAGCTGATAAACACAAAAGTCAGGTTTGGAGCATAACTAGATTGTTTGGTGAAGACACTAGAAAATTTCATAGTAAGCTCTTGCTAAATGCTTCTTCTTAATGGTGCTGGTGATATATAGTTTATCATTTACATGTAACTCCTTGCAAGATGAGATCTCATTGCAACAAAACTAGCAATGATATTAGGGAAGCAGAGTCTGTTGTTCCCATCTGGTACTAATCACTGTGATGACTAGACATAGGGCTATGACAGTGGCTTGCAGGCAGGAATTAGCATGAGAACAGTCCTTTGTGAACATGCAGAGAGGTCAATAAGTACATGATTATAAATTAGCTTGGTGGACTAGTGTGGTCATTAGCTGGGTCGAGTGTTCCTATTTCATATAATTGTTTGCTGCACCTGAATTAATTTGAGTGTTTAAATCCTGCATATTAATTCCGTGCTGCTGGATGTAAAGCTTTGGACTAATCCCTTTAATACTCTTTAGTATAAACACTTTAATCAAGCAACAGCTTTATAATTAGTTCTACTTACAGACTGGATATAATTTACTAGTTTTACAGCTCATAAGTTACTGCGACTTTTTAATAATAATAATTATGCTTTAGAATGTAAACATAAATGGACTTTTCTAGCTTATTTGAAGAATAAAACCAAGGCAGTCAAAATCAGGAGATTAATAAAATCCAATATATGGATACACTTTGTATTTTTATGACAGCTCAAGATCACCCATCCTTGGAATTTAATCACCAGATTAAGGTAGGCTATTGAGCTGAGAAGGTGATTTTTTTTTCCTTAAAAGGAAGTACAGTTCTGTATATATTACATATTTCTTTTGTTGGGTGTGAAAAATGCTGACGTGATTTCATTTTATCGCAGAAGTGAGCAGTCTGACAATATCCCTCTCATGTACTAAACCTAGTAAGTAAATAATGGTTTAGCTACTAAGGATGTGCTGATCCATTTTTCTTTTTATCTATTTTTTTCCCTGAGGATTTCAAAGTACAAATCATCTCTGGCATTAAGAACATTTGTCTGGTCAGACTACACAGTTTAGAGAGCAGCACTTTAAATTAAGTCTTAAATAGGCATTTAAATTAAATTTATTAGAAGAGTTATTTATATCAATTAAAGTAAAATTACTTAGAAAACTTTACTGAGATTTTATTGAAATAATACAAAAGATAAGGATTTCCTACATTGTTGCTAAATTTCAATGACTGTACATTATTAGTGGATACATTTTAAGTATATAATTACTATCTTTGTATTATCTTGCTGAAATATTTCTGATTCTGGTACAAGTTTAATATATAAATGATCTATTTTCCTGAGAAAATGCTATGAAAAATAGGCTAAACCTTTTGGATTTTGACCATAGATTATGTAATTATGTGAAATACTATATATTTATTATATATAAATATAATTGTATGAAATAATATGTGTATATGTGTTATATATATGTAAATGTAAATAGTCTGGTTTTATTATAATATAGAGAAACATAGATGATGAACTATTTTATTTTGGCCACTCTAACAAAAAGTATTAATTACTTTGTTTTTAGTTCCATCATAGTGAGTCATATTGATTGTAAAGACGGTCGTGATAATTGACAATATTGTAGGTCAGGTTGGAGGTTGCATATAAAAACAGTTACTGTGAGGGAACTCTAAGAATGTTTGTTTACAGCAATTACATGCAATATCTCTTTCTCAGCATAATGTTGTTCTTAGTTTATAATTGGTTGGTATTACGGATATTTGTTTTGATGGACAATTATACTATGTAACTCAGAACTCTTTCAGTTGGATGCCAATATTTATGAAAATTTTCAGAAATGAGGACAAATCTTTTAGGATAGGGAATAGAATGGAACTTAACCAATTTCTGGGATAAATATCCTGGCTAGAGATAAAGTGAAGCTAACTGCAATGTTAGAGCTTACAGAAGGAGGAAGTGACCTGCGAGAACAGAGACACATCTAACTCATCAAGGAAACTTGAGGGGAACAATATCTAGACACAAGAAGTGGTGTCCTTGAAGAATCCTTGAAATCATCTAGGAAAGCCTTAAACCTGTGACAGGCTCAGCAAGCACTAAACCAGCTTCCCAAATGCAGAGGGATCAGAAACATTTATTATTCAGTGGGATAGATAGTGAAGTAGACAGAAAAAAACATAGCTCCTTGCCTTGCCATTTTCCCTGTGTCAGGCCATAGTTGGGGGAGTGGGAGAAATCTTACCTTTGAATGAAGATTTAAAAGGTGATTGTCACAAAAATCATAAAATAAAATATGCAGCACTTCTTTAAGTGAAATCTGTAGACTCTTAGGAGTCCCCAACACCCTTCCAAGGAATCTGAAAGATCAAAACTATTTTCCTAATAATACTAAGGCAACATTTGTCTTATTCACTATATTGACATTTGTAGCCCTGTTACAAAAGCAAATTGTGGGTATAAGTGCTGACTCATTAGCCTGAATCAAGGCGGTGGTGCCACATTGTTCTAGCAGTCATTTTATTCATCAACATCATCCACTGGCAGCTAATAATAATAAAAAAAATTTAGTGCTCAGTTATCTTTCCTTCCACTGCTATTATGGCTGATACATTTCTTGTAGCCAGATTTAGCATTTATTTTCTCTTGTCTTTAAATATTTCCTTTCTCTCTTCCCTACTACCCAAGCTTTCTCTCCACACAAATATTCCATGCCATAGCTTCCTTCACTCTGACTTCCCATTTACCTCCAGCTTCCTGCTGTCTCTTCTGGAAATGTTTTGCCAAGTCTTGACCTCATTGGCCAATTGTCTGGGATTTTGGATTACACTTCTGTTCCTCTCAAAATAACCCATCAGTGTCCAATTGCTTTTGGATATTGTTTTCCAATTTCTGAAATGACAGCTAAGTATTTTGATAAGTTTATCTATAGAGTATTAGTGGTTGCAAATTATGTTTATTGATCATCTCTCCACGGCTGTCCTCTTCTGTTTCTTTATTGAATAAAAGGCACTCCAATTCTTTAAAGAATTTTTAGGGCAGGATGTGGCTATGGGTAAAAACATGCTATCCAAGATAACAGTGCTCATGTGCTTAAAACATCCTTCTTTTCGTGGACCACATTCAGGGCTTCAAAATAATGTGCCACCTAAAATTACATTATCCAAGAAACAGAAGTGCTTAGCCCAGCAAAAAGAAGACACATGAGGTTCTATTAGCGGAATACAAAGAGTTAAAGAGTAGTCTTGTGATAAGCAAATTTAATTTAATCCACTAAGCTCTAGGATAGCCCCAGAACCACTGTGGTTCAGGAAGTCAAGATTTTACTATGAATTGGAAAAAGACTTTTGCAAAATGAAGGTATTGCCTTGTAAGTGAAGAGGATCAGAATACGCTACCTCCCAAAATGCTGCTTTAAACATGAGAATTATTTTGAGGTGAAGGCAATTAAGAATCAACAGATACAGTTAGAGTGTTCCTTATCTGATTAAAAGAAGAAACTTCTCAAAGTTGAAGACTATTATAAATCCCCTCTCTAGTTGAATTTTGTGGCCATAAATAAGACATAAAGTTGGCATCAAAATGAGTTTGCACAAGCAAACCTTACTAAAATAACCTGTACCTTCCATCAGTTTTCCATGTATTTACCTTTCCAAAATTTATTGTTCCTAGAAGCCCAACCACCTTTTCTTTTGTCTAGTCATTTCTCCACATTTATCAGCCTTTGTTTAAATGTTATATAAGCTTCTGAGTATAACTACTTCTCTGGGTTTTGACTTCTTTTCTGTGAAGCCCCTACACATGTAAAAATATTAACATCAACAAAAGCTGTATGCGTTTACTCCTGTTGATTTGTCTTTTGTCAGTTTAATTCACAGGCTTCAGCCACTGAATATATAAGTAGAGGAAAAGTTTCTTTTTCCCTACATGAGGAAACAGAAACATTACATAAATTCGTTTCTTTATGGGCCAGAACTATGGTTTTCAAACTGTGTCTTGAGGAGACAATCTAGAGCAGGGGTGTCCAATCTTTTGGCTTCCTTGGGCCACATTGGAAGAAGAATTGTCTTGGGCCATACATAAAATACACTGAGGATAGCTGATGAGCTAAAAAATAAAAATTGTAAAAAAATACCTTGTAATGTTTTAAGAAAGTTTACAAATTTGTGTTGGGCCACATTTAATGCCATCCTGGGCCACATGTGGCCTGCAGGCTGTGGGTTGGACAAGCTTGATCTAGAGCAACTGGAAGGACAAGCACTGAGAACGTGGGGCTTGATAGCCTCTCATTTTAAGAAGAGTATCACTTTAAATATGCATATAATTTGCATATGCCTTTGAATTAAAAAGCAACAATGAAAGATTAATAGGTCAGAAAAATATTTTGCAAGACCACCAGACTTTTTTATTCCCAAATTCTCTCAGTTCTTTGTCTGGGAGCATTGCGAAATGCCAACATTGGAGGTATCTTGACATAAGCAAGCTTTTCTGCATCCGTGAGAACCCACTGCATAGAAGGAAGAGACTATTTTGTCTTCTAAACAGCCTAGCATTAGGAGGTCTTACTTTAACAAAGTCAGAGCCTGAAATTTCTTTTTTGGTAATTCATACTATGATTTGAATCTTTCCAATTCATAAGACATCTATTGTGTACATGATATGTAAGGTCCTAAACTGCATGCTGACATAAGCATGAAATAAAACATCTTTCTTCTTGTTTTAGGGCATTTTTAGCCTAGCAAAGGACCCTCATGCATCTTCTCCTTTGCCATAAGAGGAATTAAGAGGTCATCCAGAACTGTGATGTTCCTCATAATGGTACCCAACCTTCTCCCACATGCCCAGCCTCTCTATTTCAATTTGCCAAGATGACTATTTGGACTGTCTACCCTGCTCCACATCCCCTTTAATTTTAATCTCGGTAAGAAGCCCACCTCTCATTGTGATGTCATTCCTCATGCCATCATCTGTCTATCGCTTAATCAGACTCCTGTTTCATTCGTTCCCAAATTCCTAAACCCTGTGTCAATGCCTTCTTAAACTCATGGGCTGCCATCCAAGAAGTCTTCCAGAAGCACAAACATTGAGTGTTATAATCACCTTCTTTATCTGAGTGAAACTTTTTAACACAATGCTCTCCTCTGACAACACTGCTTCCTCTGCAGTTCTCTCAAGTAGTATGTCTTTCTTTCAGGAACTCCTGAAACTTCATATGCTTTCATTTAGGCTAAGTGCTCTCTTCCCTCCTCTATGCTATTCAGACTATTGTTTTCCCTTCTTTCTTCAGCTCCCTCACTTTGAAACTTACACTATCAGATCACACTACCCTCTACCCTTCCTGGTCGTCTATAAGCCTATGGGGTCAATTCCTTATTCCCTGAAGGTTTAAGAAACTAATCCTGTCATTCTTTTCAATACTAATCCTATTATAATCCTTGGTAATTTCAATAGTTTATAGGTGATTCATTCAGTATTTCAGCACTTTAATTTCATAACCTCCTTTTCTTAAACTCTTGTCATCTGACCTTCCTCAGTCACCCGTTTTCATGGTCATACCCTAGACATTTTCATTACCATTAATTGTACCCCACCCACAATTTCAACTGTTCTATTTTCTGATCCCCAGCTCCTACTCTAAAGCTACTGTGCCTCTCTATCCCGATTCTGAACATATTTAACCCACCGAGTCTAGAATTCATCCATCTTATCACCTTTTTAGGGTCATATTTCCTTATATTATCACTTCTCTGCTCACTCAACAAATCCCACAGCACATCATGTTTATCACTCCTTTGCATTTATCTTCTATTTTATTGCCCCTATCTTCCTTCTTTGCACATCCAATATACTTAGCTTCAGGGCCTTTGCATTTTCTCCGATTTGAATGTTTAGCTCTTGAATAGCCACATTATACTCTCTTGCTGTCCTTAGGTATCTGCTCAAATGTCATCTTTTTATAGACTTCTTCCCTGGCCACTTTATATAGTACAGCACACACTTCACAATACCAGTCCTCTTTATACTGGTTTTCATTTTCTCCATAGCAAAGCCCTTATCACCAATTGGCATATTATGCATGTATTAGTGTCTTAGAAGTCTTTTTCACTAGAATGTAAATTCTACACAGCAGGGACCGTTTGATTCACTGGTGTATTCCCAGAACCTCGAATGATATCTGGCCCATAGTGGGTGTTCAAATAATGCTTCAATAAGTGGGTGAGCAAATAACCACCCATGCCCACAAGTCTATAGACCATTAGCATACCCATCATGGGATAGGTGAAGCCTCTGTCTTCCCACTGACTGCCCAGATCTAAGGTTCCCAACTGGTGCATTCAGTCTCATTTTAACACAAAGTCTTAAATCTATAAATATTTTTGTACTTAGATTGAAACAATACTAAGACTACAGAAATATGACATGAATTTATTGCAGGTTTTGTTATAATATGAGGCTGGAAGTAAAGTAGAGGAAGCTAGTTTAACCTAGTATAATCCTTGGTTTTAATTAATGAACATTAATTTTTATACATTTAGTAAATTTATGTCTTTGAATGTTGTATTTCTCTACTATTAGCTCTTTTTGTTTCCAACTATGTGTGAACTATGAATGGGAAATGAAGTAAAAGGGGAGAAGCTCCTAAAATTCCACCTTTATCTCTTTTGATTTTCTTATTGGCAAAGCATTATCTGGTCAAGAAAGACATCCTCCTGTAGCCTTTTGGGTGGTGTTCTTTGTTACAGGAAATCTTTTATTTCATTCCAGCAAAGAAATGAACCAATTTGATATGATTCTTTTATCCCAGAGAAAAGGCACAACTTCTTTATTTTCAAGGTTGTGCATTTTTTTTTTCTACTGTAAAACATACTCCACTATTGAAGCCATAATTATATGCACTTGTCAATCAATCTTAACCTACTACACTATGGTTACGGCATTTTATCTAAAAAGAGAAGGATTAAAGGCTTTGCGTAAAATGAAAGGTACACACAGTCAGGGAAGTATAATGCATGTCATTAGCTATCTGTGAAGGGAGAAATGGACAGAGACAGATTACCAATATTTGATTTCTCACAGGCATTAAAGAAGTATTTAAGGCTACCTACAAAATAATGTTAGGGAATTTGACACTTTGATTCCTATTTTGTTCTCTTGGCAATTATTTAAAAGAGCTCCTTCATCCAGCAGCTACATAAATCAAATTCAAAAAGGATAACATTTTAAAGTGAGATTAAGAAAAGAAAAAAAAATCCTGTTTCAACATAAGTGCTATGCCACAATTTCAAGAGAGGATTTTAAATGTTGTTTTCTTCAAATACATTTTATTTCTTTGGATACAGTTTTTATGGTGGTTGGGATATCTGGAATTAGGTTAAAATACGTTCGCTGCCCTTTGGGTCTCTGATCAGTACTGTGGCAGTAGAGAAGGAAAAGCAACTTAAGAAAAGTCAGCATAAGAGAAGCCAAGACTAAAAAAAAAATTTATATTCTAAGATTGGTGTAATGTAAAGCACAAACTATGTTTAACATTTAACATATCAGGAAGATACTAGTTGCAAGGACTCAAAAACCAAAATTGTATCTGATGACCTTAAGAACTGTATAATTGAAGTGAGCCTTGCTGATCCACAGAGCAACGGAATTACATTGAGAAAACTGAAATAATTACTAAAATTGTTCTGGGTGAAAACTCCCTGTGTAACTCCCATGGAATAAACTTTGTTATTGACAGAAAGTGTTCACCATTAAAAAAAACTGAAGACCATATTTGGAGTTGCTGTTGTCAGAATGACTGATGGTTACTTGCTTTGTCTTTTCTATGTGGGTTTTTAATAAAAAACTTCAACAATCTGATGCAGATAACTAGCTGAGCTTGGCATCAAGAGGTCTGCCAAATTCAGAAAAAGATGACAGAAATCATGGCCTGAGAGGGTAGACAAATGACTTGAAAAGAAGTGTTCAATAAGCTAATTCCAAGGAGCGTACAGGATAACATGGAAAAGGATTATGATCTATTTATCCTCTCCATGACACATTGGTTAGAAAAGTGAACTGTGAAATGGTAAAGTGCAAAGCCACTTGTTTCATTAGAAGTAACTGTAGAATGAATTTACTGATTCACATTGATGATAAGGTAGAAATGACTGATATAAGATCCTATTGCTTTGAATAATTTTTCAAATATCTTATATGAACATCTTTGTTCTTCAAATATGTTATATTTCAATCACATATGTAAATGGAAAGCTGTATCGACTTTGCTTCAATAATGAATGAATCTGGTCTATATACACTGTAGGAAGCATAGTCAGATGCAATATTTTAGATGCAGCATTCTTACTCCTACTACTTAGTTCATAACTCCTGATGCTACATAAAATTTATGATAAGAGAAAATTAATTTGCCACTTCTATCAGATGTATTTTATTCAATAAATATTTACAGATCTCCCTAAGAGATAATATTCTGCAATATATGTTTGCACACATATATCAGAGTTTAGTTATCAAATTGGTTATTTTACCATCATTCCTATCATATACCCTTAGTATTATAAAATTAAGATGCTACTTTAAAAATATATGAATAGGTTACTAACTGCATTAAGTGTCGATTAATGTATTTCTAAAAGCATTTTTTTAATTGCAATAAAGGAAATACAAATTTGGAAAGTGATTTTTAAAAATCTTGTACAAATTCCTGAGATGTCATTACCCCCATGTGTTTGTGTTTATTTCTGGAATATCTAATGCTCTCCTGACACCTTGCTTATTATACCACTAAATATCACATTCAGAAATAATTAAGAGACACTAGTGGAAAGTATGCTCTTATTAATTGGAACTAGATGTCTGAAATTATTATTTTAGTTTGTGTTAGATACTTCTAAAAATCTTTTGAGTTAGGTATTGAGTTAATCATTCTCTCTGAGCCTCCAGTTCCTAACCAGAAATAAAAGGAGTATTTACAAAAACAAGTAAATATAACATGTATATATAATAAAATTAACTATTTTAATTAGACCATTTGAGAAGTTTTAACAAATGTATACATTGTATAAATTGAAGAAAGGAATGAAGAAAGACTCTCCCTGCATAATGGAAAGATGTAACATATTTATAAAATGGAAGACAATTTTTTGTTTGTTTGTTTGAGGCGGAGTCTCGCCCTGTTGCCCAGGCTGGAGCGCGGTCGGCTCACTGCAACCTTCGCAAAATGGAAGATAATATCTTTAAAATGTCAGTTCTCGGCCGGGCGTGGTGGCTCACACCTGTAATCCCAGCACTTTGGGAGGCCAAGGCGGGTGGATCACAAGGTCAGGAGATCGAGACCATCCCGGCTAAGACAGTGAAACCTCGTCTCTACTAAAAAAATACAAAAAATTAGCTGGGCGTGGTGGTGGGCCCCTATAGTCCCAGCTACTTGGGAGGCAGAGGCAGGAAAATGGTGTGAACCCAGGAGGCGGAGCTTGCAGTGAGCCAAGATCGCTCCACTGCACTCCAGCCTGGGCGACAGAGCGAGACTCCGTCTCAAAAAAAAAAAAAAAAAAAAAGTCAGTTCTCTACAAATTGATCTGAAAACAGCCCAATTGTCCCATAGAACTAGTGCTTATGGTTTTTTTTTTTTTAATAAACATAGAAATTGACCTTCTCTGTTCTTAAAACTTGAAATGTACATTTGTCTTATCTGAGTTCCCGCCTCAGGAAACAGACTCTTAGGCAAGGAACTGAAACTCATCAGATCACTGAATCCAGACAGTGAGATGTCAGAGCCCTAATCCATCATGATTTTATGATTGCATCTTTACCCCTCCCTAAATCCTGTTTTTCTGCATGTAGCTACATGTTTTTTGCATGTAGCTACATTCCTTCCCCACTATATGAATCCCCAATTTTAATCAGTTGAGAGATCTCCTGTTTCCTTAGCTGACATCACCTGAATAAAAAGCCTTCCTCTCTAGCAATGCTTGTTGTCTCAGTGATTGGCTTTCACTGTGGTGAGCAACAGGAACTAAAGTGAACCCCTGGATTTTTGGTAACAGATCTATCAATTAAATCACAAAAATTCAACAGAATTTTTAATAGAAATTGACAAATTGTTAAAATATTTATATGAAGAGTTTTATATACTGTATGAGGAAAATGCATGAAATATTTGGCAGAATTCAATATCCATATATGATAAAAACAAACAAAAAACTATGCAAACTAGAAATAAAGAAAAGACATCTACTAAAACCTATTGCTAGCATTACACTTAATGGAGAAATGTTGAATGCTTTCCTTCAAAGACGGGGAATAATAAGACAAGGATGCTTATTTTTACCACTACAATTCAGTATTATACTAGTGATCATAATCATTGTAATAAGGTTAGTAATAAAATCATTAAAATACAGAAAAGAAGGAGGAAAACTATTTTTATTTAAAGGTGACTTGGTGCTAAGTAAAGAACCTGTTATCTACGAAACAACTATATGAACTAATATGTGAAATTAGCAATGTCACGGGATACAAAAACAATGAGCAATATCACAGGATACAAAAATCCATTGCATTTTTACATACTGTAAGTGAAGAAATAGGAAATAAAAATTTGTTAACTTCTATTCACAATAACAAAGAAATTATATAAACTATAAATCAATTTAACAAAAGATGTATGAGATTTTTCTTAAAAGCTATAGAAAATTAGAAGAATTCAAGAAGTGGTTAAAAATGGAGAGATTTGCAATTTAATGAACTGTAAAGGTAATATTGTTAAGATGCCAATTCTCCCCAAATTAGCCTATAGATTAAATGCGATCGCCAATCAAAATCTCAGTAGAATGTTTTTAGGTAGAATTTGATAAGCTAATTGTAAGATTTGTATGGGAATGCAAATGACCTAGGATAATCAAAGGGCTTTAAATAACAAAGTAGAAAGATTTACGCTACCTGATTTAAACATTATTATTATATAATGCTATAGTAGTCAAGATAGTCTAGCATTGGTGAAAGCATAGCCATATGTATCAGTGAAACAAAATAGAGAATCTAGAAATAGAATGGTACAGATATGACCAGTTAATTTTTGACAAGGATTTAAAGGCATTTCAATAGAAAAATTATATTCTTCATAACAAATAGTGCTAAAACAGCTGTATATTTTTATGCTACCCCAAATAAAAATAGATAACATTAACACTTACCTCACACCAAATACAACCAACTTGAATAGAACAAGATATAAATGTATTAGATAAAGAAGAAAATGTAAGAGATTTTTTTGGAATCTTGGAGTAACAAAGATTTTCTACATGCAAACCAACAAGCATGAGCTCAAAAAAAAAAAAAAAAAGATAAATTACACCTTATTAAAATTTAAAACTTTTTTTATTTGAAGAAAACTATTAAAAAATGAAAAGACAAGATATGTAAAGGAAAAATTATTAGCTATACATACATTTTTACAAATAAATTTTATATAAAATAAACTTGTACGATTCACTAATGAGACCAAAAGCTTAATTAAAAATGGGCAAAAGATTTGAGCAGACCTTTTACAAAAGAGAGTATACAAATGACCAATTCACACAAGAAAAGATGCTTAAGTAGTTAGTCATCAGAGAAAACCAAATTAAAATCACCATTGGATATTATTATACACCAACCACAATGGTTGGTGAGAGTGCAAATTAGTTCAACCATTGTGGAAGACAGTGTGGCGATTCCTCAAGGATCTAGAACCAGAAATACCATTTGACCCAACAGTCCCATTACTGAGTATATACCCAAAGTATTATAAGTAATTCTACTATAAAGACACATGCACATGTATGTTTATTGCAGCACTGTTCACAATAGCAAAGACTTGGAACCACCCCAAATGCCCATCAATGATAGACTAGATAAAGAAAATGTGGCACATATACACCATGGAATACTATGCAGTCATAAAAAGGATGAGTTCATATCTTTTGCAGTGACATGGATGAAGCTAGAAACCATCATTCTCAGAAAACTGACACAGTAACAGAAAATCAATATCCAACTAAATGCAGTTTCCAAATGATGCACTTTAAATATAAGCACATAAATAGATTGAAAGAAATGTGTGAGAAAAATATATCATGCCAACAGTAAGCATAAGTAAACTTGTGAGCATTTATTAGTGTTCTCACTCATAAGTTCTCACTCATTTTCTCACTCATAAGTGGGAGTTGAACAATGAGAATATATGGACACAGCGAGGGGAACATCACACATAGAGGCCTGGTGGGGGGTTGGGGAGAGAGGGGAGGGATAGCATCAAACTGTGAATTATACAATTTTTGTGTCAACGTTCCATAAATGTTATTTAGTTCAAGTTTATTGATAGAGTTGTTCAAATCTTTGATATCCTAACTTATTTTTTCCTACTTGTTCTGTCAGTCATTGATAGAAGGGTATAAAAATCTCATACAATGATTGGGGGTTTGTCTGTTTCTCCTTTTGATTCTGTCAGGTTCATGTATTTTTGAAGTTCTGTTATTAGGTGAATATCATTTAGTATTTTTATTATCTTCTTGATGAATTGACCAGTTAATATTATAAAATAATCCTGTTTGTTGGTGGTAGTACTTTGCCCTGAAATATACTTTTGTGACACTAATAAATGCTCACAAGTTTACTTATGCTTACTGTTGGCATGGTATATTTTTCTCACACATTTCTTTCAATCTATTTACATGCTTATATTTAAAGTGCATCATTTGGAAACTACATTTAGTTGGATATTGATGATTTTTTAAACAATTCTGTCTTTTATTTGAAATGTTTATTCTAGTCACATAAATAAACATAAGTAAATAAATTCACAATTTATATCATGGGCTTAATTATTCACCTGACTGTTAATTTTCTATTTGTGCTTTTGTTCCTTGTTTCATTATTTCTTTTGTTCTTTCTCCTTTTGGATATCTATCCATCTATCTATCTAACTACACACGTATATTTTAGTATTTCATTCTCTCATTTCTAAAGGCTTTTTAAAGCTATACCTCTTTGTATTCTCTTTTATGATTGCTGTAGTGGTTATAATTTATCTTTAATTTTTCACAGTCTACTTTGAATTAATATTTTACCACTTCATATATAATGTAAGATTATTACCATAGAATAGTTCTACTTACTTTCATCTGTCTTTGAGTTATTGTCATATACTTATGCACTTTTCTTATACATATGATATGAAAGCTACAATATATTATTTTTGTTTAACAGCCGATTATCCTTAAAAACATAAGAAAAAAGTAGTCCTTTAAATATTTACCATTTCCTGTGCTTTTTATTCCTTGTTAAATTCCCATTGATGTTCTTTCCCTTCATCATAAAAAACTATCTTTAGCATATTTTATAACATGTCTACCTACGAGTTAGCTTTATGTTATTTGATAAATGACTTTGCTTTCCTTTTGTCAAAGAGAGTTTCGTTGGACATAGAATTCTGGCTGACAGTTTATTTTTTTTTTAGCACTTTGAAGATGTATTCCATTGTTCTCTGACTACCATTGTTTCTGCTGATGTCAGTCATCATATTTTCCTTGAGTATTATGTTTCTCTTTTTCAGGGCTCTTACATTTTTCTCTTTTTCTTTTGTTTCAGCAGTTAGACTTTGAAGAGCTTAGTTCTGAATTTCTTTGTGGTTTTATGTTGGGGGGTTAACTAAGCTCCCCCAAATTTGTGAGTTGTTGTTTTGATCACATACGAAAACAAATATTAGCCAATGTTTCCTCAAATATATTTTTCTGCTTCATTTCTGTTTACTTTCATTCTGAGACTTCAGTTACACATGTGATAGACAACTAGATACTATGCCCAAGTCTTTGGGGCCGGTTTGTTTCTTTTCAATCCTTTCGTCTTCTTTGGGCTTTAGTTTGTATAATTTCTACAGTCTGCCTTATGTTCATTGGTTCCTTTTCATTTTTGTGTCCCATTTGTTATTGATTTCATCTAATAAATTTCAAAAGTTATATATATATATATTTAATTATACTTTAAGTTTTAGGGTACATGTGCACAATGTGCAGGTTAGTTACATATGTATACATGTGCCATGTTTGTGTGCTGCACCCATTAACTCGTCATTTAATATTAGGTATATCTCCTAATGCTATCCCTCCCCTCTCCCCCCACCCCACAACAGGCCGCGGTGTGTGATGTTCCCCTTCCTGTGTCCATGTGTTTTCATTGTCCAATTCCCACCTATGAGTGAGAACATGCAGTGTTTAGTCTTTTGTCCCTGCGATAGTTTGCTGAGAATGATGGTTTCCAGCTTCATCCATGTCCCTACAAAGGACATGAACTCATCATTTTTTATGGCTGCATAATATTCCATGGTGTATATGTGCCACATTTTCTTAATCCAGTCTATCATTGTTGGACATTTGGGTTGGTTCCAAGTCTTTGCTATTGTGAATAGTGCCACAATAAACGTACGTGTGCATGTGTCTTTATAGCAGCATGATTTATAATCCTTTGGGTATATACCCACTAATGGGATGGCTGGGTCAAATGGTATTTCTAGTTCTAGATCCCTGAGGAATCACCACACTGACTTCCACAATAGTTGGACTAGTTAACAGTCCCACCAACAGTGTAAAAGTGTTCCTATTTCTCCACATCCTCTCCAGCACCTGTTGTTTCCTGACTTTTTAATGATCACCATTCTAACTGGTGTGAGATGTTATCTCACTGTGGTTTTGATTTGCATGTCTCTGATGGCCAGTGATGATGAACATCTTTTCATGTGTCTGTTGGCTGCATAAATGTCTTCTTTTGAGAAGTGTCTGTTCATATCCTTTGCCCACTTTTTAATGGGGTTGTTTGTTTTTTTCTTGTAGATTTGTTTCAGTTCATTGTAGATTCTGGATATTAGCCCTTTGTCAGATGAGTAGATTGCAAAAATTCTCTCCCATTCTGTAGGTTCCCTGTTGACTCTGATGATAGTTTCTTTTGCTGTGCAGAAGCTCTTTAGTTTAATTAGATCCCATTTGTCAATTCTGGCTTTTGTTGCCATTGCTTTTGGTGTTTTAGACATGAAGTCCTTGCCCATGCCTATGTCCTGAATGGTATTGCCTAGGTTTTCTTCTAGGGTTTATCTTCTAGGGATTATCTGAATAGATGCAGAAAAGCCCTTTGACAAAATTCAAAAACCTTCATGCTAAAAACTCTCAATAATTTAGGTATTGATAAGACGTATCTCAAAATAATCAGAGGTATCTATGACAAACCCACAGCCAGTATCATACTGAATGGGCAAAAACTGGAAGCATTCCCGTTGAAAACTGGCACAAGATAGGGATGCCCTCTCTCAACACTCCTATTCAACGTAGTGTTAGAAGTTCTGGTCAGGGCAATCAGGCAGGAGAAAGAAATAAAGGGTATTCAATTAGGAAAAGAGGAAGTCAAATTCTCCCTGTTTGCAGATGACATGATTGTATATCTAGAAAACTCCAGTGTCTCAACCCAAAATCTCCTTAAGCTGATAGGCAACTTCAACAAAGCCTCAGGATACAAAATCAATGTGCAAAAATCACAAGCATTCTTATACACCAATAACAGACAAACAGAGAGCCAAATCATGAGTGAACTCCCATTCACAATTGCTTCAAAGAGAACAAAATACCTAGGAATCCAACTTACAAGGGATGTGAAGGACCTCTTCAAGGAGAACTACAAACCACTGCTCAATGAAATAAAAGAAGATCCAAACAAATGGAAGAACATTCCATGCTCATGGGTAGGAAGAATCAATATTGTGAAAATGGCCATACTGCCCCAGGTAATTTATAGATTCAATGCCATCCCCATCAAGCTACCAATGACTTTCTTCACAGAACTGGAAAAAACTACTTTAAAGTTCATATGGAACCAAAAAAGGGACTGCATTGCCAAGTCAATCTTAAGCCAAAAGAAGAAAGCTGGAGGCATCACGCTACCTGACTTCAAACTATACTACAAGGCTACAGTAACCAAAACAGCATGGTACTGGTACCAAAACAGAGATATAGACCAATGGAACAGAACAGAGCCCTCAGAAATAATGCCACATATCTACAACTATCTGTTCTTTGACAAACCTGACAAAAAACAAGCAACGGGGAAAGGATTCCCTATTTAATAAACGGTGCTGGGAAAACTGGCTAGCCATATGTAGAAAGCTGAAACTGGATCTCTTCCTTACACCTTATACAAAAATTAATTCAAGATGGATTAAAGACTTAAATGTCAGATCAAAAGTTATATTTTTTCATTTCAAAGATTTCCATTGAATTCTCTTATCACACCTGAAATTTCTAACTTCTTTACTCATTATGTCTACATTTTCCCATGCTTTCTTTAGCATGTGTCATAGTTATTTTAACATTCTGTCCTGTCTGTTTGCATGTCTAGTGATAGTTGACTAATAGACATTGTAGACAATACATTATAGAGGCCTGTCATTTTTCTTTTGTCTTTTTCTGAAGAGTGTTGCTTTCTGTTTGGGGAGGCAGTTAAATTACTGGTAGATCACTTGATCAAAGGGAGGCTTGGTTATGAGCTTTGGTTGGATGAATCCATTTCAATTTTGCCCTTAATACTAGCACATATCCCTTAGTTCGGGGGCATGATCTTCACTCCTAAGTTGTAGTCTTAATAGGATTTCAATGTATTACTCAAGGTGTTTATCAAGCCTCTATAACTCTGAATGATTGCATTCCCAGCTCTGCATCCTAGTGGCAGGTACCTTATGAGATCACTAATCAGCTCCTTTATACTTTCAGCTATTATTTTCCCTGGACTTCTCAGAATATCTTTTCAGGACTATGTAGTTGAAGAGTCCGCCAAGTATTTTAGCAGAGTTTGTAGCCAGATTTTGGGTCCTTTCCCTTGTGTATTCATTCCTTTATAGAATTTTCCCCTCTATTTCCTAATGTTACAAAGTAATTCAACTCCAACTTCTGACTACTTATCCTAATAAAACTACTCTGTCCTGATTAAGCTCTGTCACCCCGCTCAGCAAATTTGGGGAGCCCCATCAAGGGGAAGGAATCCAAACAGATAAATATGGACCTCATCTTGTATAGTTCTCTCTGTTCAAGTGTTCTAACCTCTCTACTTACTACCTAGTCTCCAGAACTTTCAAATAGTAGTTTTATAATATTTTGTCTAGCATTTTAAATAATTATTAGTAGGAGGGTTTTCTGATATCAGCTACTCTGCCACTAACTGAAACTGAAACAATTTTGAATATTTCTGTTATGGAGTTTTGAATGAAATTTTTACTATTGTCTCAGGATTGTGGTTAAAACCCCTAAATTTAGAACAATATATGCTAAATAATCTCCATATGTTTTAAAGACCTAACATAGGTAGCAAAACTCCTAAATCAAAGAAGAAAATTTTAAATTTCAAGAGAGTCACTCAGCAAATCAGGGTGACTACAAACAGGAAAAACTGATAATTCTTTGGTTAGATATCTCCTTAGGAAAAATACAATTGCTGGTGTATCTCTGGGCTGTTTGTATATGAAAGGAAATAGAACTTAAAAAGCAGTGATTGGAGAAAAATAAAACAGGTCCAAATTTGTGCCCTGCTGAGTTCTGGCCTTTTAATATACTGGTTACATCATATTCACTGAATCTGAGGCTCGAAGATAATACATATGAAAATAAAATATATAGTGGTCTCAGACAAGGGTGGGCTTGGTTAGAACAGCATTGTAAGATGGGTACTACAATCTGATTACCCCTACTGTGAGCCCATTCGACTGAACTATAAATGTATATGTTAGGTATTTGTTTGTAGTGTAGTCAAAATACTTACTCTTTAAGAATTGATTCTTACTAGGCAACATTGCTTCTTTCAGGTTTGCTGTCAAATTGCTAGCTGCCTACTCTATATAGACGAATCTGATTCTTTGAGATTGAAACAGGGATTACTGTACACAGAAAAACAATGCTCCACTAAAAAAAAAAAAAAAGACAGAGAGAGAACATTGGGCAAACAATTTTCTTGTCGTTCTTTTTAAGGGGGATATGAAGCCTTCTGGCCGTTAAACAATAGGTGGTAGCAGGTTAAAACTAAAGCCCTGGCCAGGGTATGTTAAGAATAGAAAAACAGAAGGAGGCCAAACTTAAAAGAATTTGGGGATGGTGATCTTAGGTGAACTTTTTAAAACTAAAAGGTGAACCGACAGAGCAACAAAGTCATATTTAACACCACCATATGAGTTCAGGCAAGTTAGTGAGTAATATAGGGGCCTGTCAGAATTGACTAAACATCTTTCTAGACTCTTTGGGGCATAATTACTATTTACATACAGAGCATACCAGTCAGGTTCAGAGGCTTTATGTCAGGTAGTATGGTGTTCAGATTTAAGCTCTGGAATTAAGTAGCTATGTGAAGTTAGAAATTATTCTTGATTTTTTCTCATCTGTAAATGAAATTAATAATGGTATTTGGGCCATGAAGATGTTATCAATAGTAAATGAAATAAAAAGTATAAACATTTTAGCACAATGCATAATTGAATAGTAAAAGATCAATAATTGTGACACATAATCCTCATCACTGTTATAAAGATAATCCACATTACATTCTCCCTCACTTCTTTCATGTCTTTATTTGATCATCTCTATTTTAAGTGAGGCCTTTTTCTGGCTGTTTAAAACTGTAATACTTCATAAATTTTTCACTCCCCTTCCCTGCTTTACTTTTCTTCATAACATTTAATATTATCATACTATATTTCTTTTACTTATCTAGCTTAATTTTTTTAATATAATTTAAGTACTGGGATACATGTGCGGAATGTGTAGGTTTGTTACATAGGTGTACATGTGCCATGGTGGTTTACTGCACCCATCAACCCATTATCTACATTAGGTATTTCTCCTAATGCTATCCCTCCCTTAGCCCCGCACCCACCGACAGGCCTGTAAGTGTGATGTTCCCCTCGCTGTGTCCGTATGTTCTCATTGTTCAACTCCCACTTATGAGTGAGAACATGAGTTGTTTGGTTTTCTGTTCCTGTGTTAGTTTTCTGAGAATGATGGTTTCCAGCTTCATCTATGTCGCTGCATAGTATTCCATGGTGTATATGTGCCACATTTTCTTTATCCATTCTATCACTGATGGGCATTTGGGTTGGTTCCAAGTCTTTGCTATTGTGAATAGTGCTGCAATAAACATATGTGTGCATGTGTCTTTATAGTAGAATGATTTATAATCCTTTGGGTATATACCCAGTAATGGGATTGCTGGGTCAAATGGTATTTCTGGTCCTAGATCCTTGAGGAATCGCCACCCTGTCTTCCACAATGGTTGCACTAATTTACACTGCCAGCAACACTGTAAAAGTGTTCCTATTACTCCACATCTTCTCTAGCATCTATTGTTTCCTGACTTTTTAATGATCACCATTCTAACTGGTGTGAGATGGTATCTCATTGTGGTTTTGATTTGCATTCTCTAATGACCAGTGATGATTAGCTTTTTTTATATGTTTGTTGGCTGGATAAATGTCTTCTTTTGAGAAGTGGCTGTTCATATTCTTCACCTATTTTCAATGGGATTGATTGTATTTTTATGTAAATTTGTTTAAGTTCTTTGTAGATTTTGGATATTAGCCCTTTGTCAGATGGATAGATTGCAAACATTTTCTCCCTTTTCTGTAGGTTGCCAGTTCACTCCGATGATAGTTTCTTTTGCTATGCAGAAGCTCTTCAGTTTAATTAGATCCCATTTGTCAATTTTGGCTTTTGTTGGCATTGCTTTTGGTGTTTTAGTCATGAATTCTTTGCCCATGCCTATCTCCTGAATGTTATTGCCTAGGTTTTCTTCTAGGGTATTTATGGCTTTAGGTCTTACATTTAAGTCTTTACTCTATCTTGAGTTAATTTTTGTATAAGGTGTAAGGAAGTGGTCCAGTTTCAGTTTTCTGCATTTGGCTAGCTAGTTTTCCCAACAGCATGTATTAAATAGGGAATCCCTTCCCTGTTGCTTGTTTTTCTCAGGTTTGTCAAAGATCTGATGGTTATAGATGTGTGGCGTTATTTCTGAGGACTCTGTTTTGTTCCATTGGTCTATATATCTGTTTCAGTACAACTACCATGCTGTTTTGGTTCCTGTAGCCTTGTAGTATAGTTTGAAATCAGGTAGCAAGATGCCTCCAGCTTTGTTCTTTTTACTTAAGATTGTCTTGGCTATACAGGCTCTTTTTTATTCCATATGAAATTTAAAGTATTTTTTTTTCTAATTCTATGAATAAAGTCAATGCTAGTTGGATGAGAATAGCATTGAATCTATAAATTTTTTGGACAGTATGGCCATTTTCACGATATTGATACTTCCTATCCATGAGTATGGAATGTTTTTCCATTTTTTTGTGTCCTATGGAGGCAGTAATTTATAGCCTACCAACCAAAAAAAGCCCAGGACCAGATGAACTCACAGCCGAATTCTACCAGAGGTACAAAGAGGTGCTGGTGCCATTTCTTCTGAAACTATTGCAAACAACAGAAAGACAGACTCCACACTAACTCATTTTAGGAGGCCAGCATCATCCTGATACCAAAACCTGGCAGAGACACAACAAAACAAGAAAATTTCAGGCCAATGTGCTTGATGAACATGGATGTGAAAATCCTCAGTAAAATACAGGCAAACCAAATACAGGAGTACATCAAAAAGCTTATCCACCACAATCAAGTGTGCTTCATCCCTGGGATGCAAAGCTGGTTCAACATATGCAAATCAATAAATGTAATCCATCACATAAACAGAACCAATGACAAAAACCATATGATTATCTCAATAGATGCAGAAAAGGCCTTCAACAAAATTCAACACCCCTTTATGCTAAAAACTCTCAATAAACTGTATCTTAAAATAATAAAAGCTATTTATGACAAACCCACAGCCAATATTATACTGAATAGGCAAAAGCTGGAAGCATTCCCTTTGAAAACCGGCACAAGACAAGGATGCGCTCTCTCACTACTCCTATTCAACATAATATTGGGAGTTCTGGCCAGAGCAATCAGGCAAGAGAAAGCAATAAAGGGAATTCAAATAGGAAGAGAGGAAGTCAAATCATCTCTACTTACAGATGACATGATTGTATATTTAGAAAACCCCATCGTCTCAACCCAAAGTCTCCTTAAGCTGATAAGCAACTTCAGCAAAGTCTCAGGATACAATGTGCAAAAATCACAAGTATTCCTATACACCGATAATAGACAAACACAGAGCCAAATCATGAGTGAACTCCCATTCCTAATTGCTACAAAAAGAATAAAACACCTAGGAATACAATTTACAAGGGATATGAAGGACCTCTTCAAGGAGAACTACAAACCACTGCTCTAGGTTAATTTTTGTCTCTCTCTTCCTACTAGAATGTACACTCTATCAGGGTAGGGATTATTTTGTTTATTTCTACATGCTGTATTCCCAGAGCCTATGACCTGGTACATAGTAGGTATTCAGGTGCTCGATAGGTGTCTGTTGAATGAATAAATGAATGAATGAAACAATTTGGTATGTGATGATATAGGCCTTTATTTCTCTAATCTGAGCATATTATTTGTTCTCTTTGGCAACTAGGTTTCTCCAGTTTTCTTGTGTTATGATAATAGGAGAGGCCCTTTAATTTCCATGTGAATCCATGGAAGAATCCATTACATTGCGATGAGATAACACTTTGGAAACAGTAACTAGTGGCATTTCCTGTAAACTTGACCTGTTTCTCACTTGGTCTGCAGCCAGAACTTGCCACATTCATGCCTTAGGGAAAGGTAGTTATAACTGAAAAGAGGAGTAAGGGTTTTAGGTTTTAAAATCACAGGGCCCATGGGAACTCGAAGCTATAAAAAACATGTTACAACTCAGAGCAGGGTTTCCTTCCCCTCTATCTGAAATAGATGCCCTGGACCATGAGGAGCTGGAGAGTTAGGGGTGGAATATACAATGAAGAGGTGAAAGATGTTCTTGAGAAGGGAGTCTTGCACTCAGGTGTTTAGTCAGGCCCCATCTGAACATTGAGATGAACATAAATGCCAGTCAGACTTGGTGACTAGAGTTCAGAGATGACATGTGATTTTTTTTCTGGGTAGTGATCAAGGAAGCAAAAAGGTTCTAGAGAAGAGGTGGCCACACGGCAGACAGGAAGACAGAGCTGAAACATCCAGATCCCATCATGATGTGAACTGTGATCTTGGCAAACTTTCTCCTTCACTCCCTGCACACCCTCAGAGACCGCTTTCAGGTGGCCACCATTCTGCCTTAGCATGACTACTAAGGTTTTCTAGGCTGCTGATCACCCAGGGCTACCCAGAGTCACTCCCTCTCTTTTATGGGTAGGGAAAATGACCCTCATGTCTTTATATGGATAAATCCCAATCACTGACATCAAGTCTTATTTCTAGAAGACACTTCCATTTTATGTAAATCTCTCACTAAATTCTATGTAGTCTTTACTTTTCATTCTTGTCCAATAGTTCCTTCTTGACAGGAAAACTAGAGAACAGCCTCTAAACAAAGTCGGGATTTTTACTCTAATACATTTAACTAGCCCTGGGCTTTTTGCAAGGCTCCATCTTTTGATACCCAACGTTGTATTCTATATATATAGGTTTGTCATTGTCATATATATGACAATGATATATATGACAATGTAATATATATATATGACAATGACAAGCCTGTATATATAATGCAAATATATATATATATATATATATATATTTTTTTTTTTTTTTTTTTCATTACTAAAACCTATCCTTAACAGAGAATTATCTGGCAATTCATGCCCCAGCCCATCTTTAAAGCCTCATTGAGTTTATTGTCAGGTAAAACGGGTTGCAGATCTTAGCATGTGGGAGAAATGAATGACTTCCCAGTCTGCTATGTTTACTTGTCCCTTCTTCATTTTCTGGTTCATTGCCTCTCTCCAGCTTGTTGCCTTTCAACTGGGCTCAGGAGTATGGAGACAACTGGTTATTTCAGTGGTCTGCTGTGACTGTAAGTGCTATACTTCTCCCAGAATGCTGCACACCATCTATGTTGCTAGCCATCGGCTCTCTAGATTTCTGCTTGTTGGCAAATTGTGCTTACTGAGAAGACCCAAAATGTTTCATATCCAAACTTCCATATCTGAGTGGTAACATGAAAGCTTCTCAGATGCCCAATTAGCTGCATCCAGACTCAGAACATCCGTGTCATAATTGTGTAATTCCATGGTGATAATCCAGGCAAATGTGAACCAAAAGATATCCACAAAACAGTGGCAATGTGAATTGAACATGGAGCAGACAAACAGCAAGAATATTAGAAAGTAAAATCAAAAGAATTTTGACTGGATAGGAATGATGAGGTAAAAGGTTGACTTTCAAAAATTGTGTATGTATTTATTATTTTAGCCTCAGTGACAAGGTATAAATTGGTATTATTATCAAATAAATGGAAAGCAAGAGGCAGAATAGGCATTTCTTAGGCCAGAGAGATGCAACTGTGCTTAGTTCTGAACCAAATCATATATACATGGCAGTGATAAGCAAATTAGACTATTTCTATCTCCATACAGTATTGAAATAACGGATTAGAATTATAAATTAAAGCATAGATGTCTGGAAATTGTTTTAATGTAGCTGAAACAGATTAATTGACTTAGTAGTGGTGAGGTCAGGAGTCACATATAAACACATACATTATGACATTTTATTAGGTAGAGTAACTTAGATGTAGTAGAATGGGCCTCTATACATTCCTGGTGCTCTCTCGGCCTTTACACTATTGATGTAATAAGAATGAGATTAGCAGCTTTAAAAGATCTGCTTTCTATGAATATACGAAATCAATAGACCAAGGCAAGTGAATAGTTTCATCTTTGATTTGGGCTTTAAGTTCACATTTCCTCTTTTCAAATTCTATAGACCTGCTTAGCTAAATCCCTGCACAAAGAAAGACAATTCAGAACTATGAAAAGTCCAAACCATCTCCCTTCTTTAGGCCAAATCCTAGATGGCCTTTCTGAGTAGTTACATTTGTTGAGTAACATTTGTTGATAATTCACTAGAAGGATTCACAGAACTCACTAGAAGCTGTTATACTCATGCACAGTTTATTGTTATAATCATTTATAGTTTATTACAGTGAAAAGATACAGATAAAATAAATCAAGAAAATATGCACAAGGCAGAGTCCAGGAGCATTGTAAATGTGGAGCTTCTATTTCTTCTCTTGGTGGAGTCGTGAACAGAGATAACTCCTCCAGGCAGCAATGTGTAATAACAAGCACAGAGTATTGTCAACCAAGGAAGCTTGAGACTTAGTGTTCAGTATTTACTGAAGCCCCATCCCATATACATGGTCAACTACCCACCTCAGTCTCCAGTCCCTGTGGAGGTTGGGCTTACTCTGTGTGATTCAAAGCTCCTACCATAAATCCCACTGTTAGACTTAGGGCATATCCCAATCTCCCAGGTAAACAAAGACACTTTTATCAAACAGAATACTCCAAAGGGTTTAGAGATTACCTCTCAGTGGCTGAAGGCAATGGCCAGAGCTTTCTTTGGGCAACGTTAAATTCTTTACCACACGATAATATCTAAATAAATTGAGTATTATCAGATAAGTGCTAGAGAAATTTTTTTTATATATAGGACAAGGATGAGGGAATTGGGAATGTTTGTATGGAGGTAGGGGGAAAGGGCAGTTTGCCTCATTTAATGTAGTGTTCAGGATAAGCCTCATTGAAAATTAAATGGGAGAGTTCACTGGTCCCCCTTGCAGGACATGTGACAGGGGTGTGGCTCACCCGTTGGGTGGCCACCACTGCTCAAACCCCTGACAGGCTGGGGTTAGTGCTTTGGGCTCTGGCCTTGCAGTATTGTCTAGGGGTGGATGCCTGCAGCCCCAGTTTTACAATGCTGTTTTAGCCTTGCTGTCCACAGATGGCTTAAGTTTTAACAAGCTCAATTGACCCTCTGCCTTTTCACAAGGGCAGAGGGTCAGTGTGACAGCTTTCTGTATCTTGAGCTCTTTCCCGGCATCCTGAAAGAATTGGGTCACACATAGACTTAAAGGATAAAAGTGGGGTTTTTTTTTGCATTATTATTATTTTTTAATGTACTTTCAATTCTGGGATACATATGCAGAAGGTGCAGGTTTGTTACATTGGTATACATTTGCCAGGGCAGTTTGCTGCACCCAACAACCCATCATCTACATTAGGTATTTCTCCTAATGCTATCCCTTTCCTTGCCCAAACCCCTGACAAGCTCCTATGTGTGATGTTCCCCTCCCTGTGCCCATATGTTCTCATGGTTTAACTCCCGCTTATCAGTGAGAACATGCAGTGTTTGGTTTTCTGTTCCTGTGTTAGTTTGCTGAGAATGATGGTTTCCAGCTTCATCCATGTCCCTGCAAAGGACATGAACTTATTCTTTTTTATGGCTGCATAGTATTCCATGATGTATATGTGCCACATTGTCTTTATCCAGTCTATCATTGATGGGCATTTGGGTTGGTTCCAAGTCTTTGCTATCGTGAATAGTGCTGCAATAAACATACGTGTGCATGTGTCTTTATAGTAGAATGATTTATAATCCTTTGGGTATATACCCAGTAATGGGATTGATGGGTCAAATGGTATTTCTGGTTCTAGATCCTTGAGGAATTGCGACACTGTCTTCCACAATGGTTGAACTAATTTACACTCCCACCAACAGTGTATAAGTGTTCCTATTTCTCTACATCCTCTCCAGCCTCTGTTGTTTCCTGACTTTTTAATGATCACCATTCTAACTGGTGTGAAATGGTATCTCATTGTGGTTTTGATTTGCGTTTCTCTAATGACCAGTGATGATGAGGTTTTTTTCAAGTATTTGTTGGATGCATAAATGTCTTCTTTTGAGAAGTGTCTGTTCATATCCTTTGCCCACTTTTCAATGGAGTTGCTTGTTTTTTTCTTGTAAATGTGTTTAAGTTCCTTGTAGATTCTGGATATTAGCCCTTTGTCAGATGGATAGATTGCAAACATTTTCTCCCTTTCTGTAGGTTGCCAGTTCACTCTGATGATAGTTTCTTTTGCTGTGCAGAAGCTCTTTAGTTTAATTAGATCCCATTTGTCAATTTTGGCTTTTGTTGCAATTGGTGTTGCTGTTTTAGTCATGAAGTCTTTGCCCATGCCTATTTCCTGAATGGTATTGCCTAGGTTTTCTTCTAGGGTATTTACAGTTTTAGGTCTTACATTTAAGTCTTTAATCCATCTTAAGTTAATTTTTGTATAAGGTGTAAGGAAGTGCTCCAGTTTCAGTTTTCTGCATATGGCTAGCTAGTTTTCCCAACAGCATTTATTAAATAGGGAATCTTTTCCTCATTGCTTGTTTTTCTCAGGTTTGTCAAAGATTAGATGATTGTAGATGTGTGGCATTATTTCTGAGGACTCTGTTTTGTTCCATTGGTCTATATATCTGTTTTGGTACCAGTACCATGCTGTTTTGGTTACTGTAACCTTGTAGTATAGTTTGAAGTTAGCTAGCACGATGCCACCAGCTTTGTTCTTTTTGCTTGGGATTGTCTTGGCTATACGGACTCTTTTTGATTACATATGAAATTTAAAGTAGTTTTTTTCTAATTCTATGAAGAAAATCAATGGTAGCTTGATGAGAATAGCATTGAATCTATATATTACTTTGGGCAGCATGGCCATTTTCACAATATTGCTTCTTCCTATCCATGAACATGGAATGTTTTTCCATTTGTTTGTGTCTTCTCTTATTTCCTTGAGGAGTGGTTTGTAGTTCTCCCTGAAGAGGTCCTTCACATCCCTTGTAAGTTGTATTCCTAGGTATTTTATTCTGTTTGTAGCAATTGTGAATGGGAGTTCACTCATGATTTTGCTCTTTGTTTATTATTGGTATATAGGAATGTTTGTGATTTTTGCACATTGATTTAGTATCCTGAGACTTTGCTGAAGTTGCTTATCAGCTTTAAAATTTTGGGGGCTGAGATAATGAGGTTTTCTAAATACACAATCATGTCATCTGCAAACAGAGACAATTTGACTTTCTCTCTTCTTATTTGAATACCCTTTATTTCTTTCTCTTGCCTGATTGCTCTGGCCAGAACTTCCAGTACTATGTTGAATAGGAGTGGTGAGAGAGGGCATCCTTGTCTTGTGCCTGTTTTCAAAGGGAATGCTTCCAGCTTTTGTCCATTCAGTATGATATTGGCTATGGATTTGTCGTAAATAGCTCTTATTATTTTGAGATACGTCCCATCAATATCTAGTTTATTCAGTGTTTTTAGAATGAAGTGGTGTTGAATTTTATCGAAGGCCTTTTCTGCATCTATTGAGGATATCATAAGGTTTTTGTCATTGGTTCTGTTTATGTGATGGATTATATTTATTGATTTGCATATGTTGAACCAGCCTTGCATCCCAGGGATAAAGTCACCTTGATCATGGTGGATAAAATTTTTGATATACTTTTTGATTGGGACATTTAGCCTGGTTATATTTAAGGTTAATATTGGTATGTGTGAATTTGATCCTGCCATTATGATACTAGCTGGTTATTTTACCCAGTAGTTGTTGCAGTTTCTCCATAGTGTTGATGGTCTTTACATTTTGGTGTGTTTTTGCAGTGGCTGGTACCGGTTTTTTCTTTCTGTATTTAGTACTTCCTCAGGAGCTCTTTTAAGGCAGGCCTGGTGGTGATAAAATCCCTCATCATTGGCTTGTCAATAAAGGATTTTATTTCTCCTTGACTTATGAAGCTTAGTTTGGCTGGGTATGAAATTTTGGGTTGAAAATTCTTTTCTTTAAGTATGTTAAATATTAGCCCCTGCTCTCTTCTGCCTTGTAGGGTTTCTGCAGAGAGATCTGCTGTTAGTCTGATGGGCTTCCCTTTGTAGGTAACCCGATCTTTGTCTCTGGCTGCCCTTAACATTTTTCCCTTTATTTCAACTTCGGTGAATCTTTCGATTATGTGTCTTGGGGTTGCTCTTCTCAAGGAGTATCTTTGTGGTGTTCTCTGTATTTCCTGAATTTGAATGTTGGCCTGTCTTGTGAGGTTGGGGAAGTTCTCCTGGATAATATCTTGAAGTATGTTTTCCAATTTGGTTCCATTCTCCCCATCACTTTCAGGTACAATCAAATGTAGGTTTGGTCTTTTCACATAGTCCCATATTTCTTGGAGGCTTTGTTCATTCCTTTTCATTGTTTTTTTCTCTAATCTTGTCTTCATTCTTTATTTCATTAGGTTGATCTTCAGTCTCTGATATCCTTTCTTCTGTTTGATCAATTCGGCTATTGATACTTGTGTATGCTTCACGAAGTTCTCATGCTGTATTTTTCAGCTCCATCAGGTCATTTATGTTCTTCTCTAGTTATTCTAGTTAGCAGCTACTGTAACCTTTTATCAAGGTTCTTAGCTTCCTTGCATTGGGTTAGAACATGCTCCTTTAGCTCAGAGGAATTTGTTATTACCTACCTTCTGAAGACTGCTTCTGTCACTTCTGTCAATTCATCACTCATCCTTTGTCCCGTTTTGTTCCTTTGCTGGTGAGGAGTTGTGATCCTTTGGACGAGAAGAGGCGTTCTGGTTTTTGGAATGTTCAGGATTTTGTGCTGGTTTTTCCTCATCTTTGTGGATTTATCTACTTTTGATCTTTGATGTTGGAGACCTTTGGATGGGGTTTTTGCATAGGCATCCTTTTTTTTTTTTTTGAGATGGAGTCTCACTCTGTTGCCCAGGCTGGAGTGCAATGGCGCGATCTTGGCTCACTGCAAGCTCCGCCTCCTGGGTTCACGCCATTCTCCCGCCTCAGCCTCCGAAGTAGCTGGGACTAGATGTGCCCACCACCTCCCCTCCGGCTAATTTTGTTTTTATATTTTTAGTAGAGACGGGGTTTCACCATGTTAGCCAGGATGGTCTTGATCTCCTGACCTTGTGATCTGCCCACCTCGGCCTCCCAAAGTGCTGGGATTACTGGCATGAGCCAACGCGCCCAGCCGTGTGGGTGTCCTTTTTGTTGATGTTGATGCTATTACTTTCTGTTTGTTAGTTTTCCTTCTAACAGTCAGTCCCCTCTTCTGCAGGCCTGCTAGAGTTTGCTGGAGGTCCACTCTAGACCCTGTTTGCCAGGGTATCACCAGCAGAGGCTGCAAAACAGCAAAGATTGCTGCCGGCTTCTTTCTCTGGAAGCTTCGTCCCAGAGGGGCACCTGCTAGATGCCAGCCAGAGCTCTCCTGTATGAGGTGTCTGTCGACCCCTGCTGGGAGGTGTCTCCCAGACCTGAGGCACGGGGGTCAGGGACCCACTTGAGGAGGCAGTCTGTCCCTTAGCAGAGCTCGAGCCTGCGTTGGGAGATCCACTGCTCTCTTCAGAGCCAGCAGGCAGGAATTTCTGCCTGCTGAAGCTGTGCCCACAGCCGCCCCTTCCCCCAGGTGCTCTGTCCCAGGGAGATGGGAGTTTTATCTATTATAAGCCCCTGACTGGGGCTGGAATGTGGGGTTTTATTGAGTGGTGGGGGTGGCTCTCAGCAGGATGGATGGGGAGCTGGAAGACAGATTGAGTGGGAAGATGATCTTCCCCTGGAGTTTGGCTGTCCAGTGGCTGAACTCCCCTCTGACCGTCCCCTGCCAAACTCCTCTTGGCATTCAGATGTTCCTTCCCTTCTCTCTTTCTCTGCCATGCCATTCTGCTGGTGTCTGCTTGTCTTCTTGTGTTTTCTCCTCCTCTCCTCATCTGTTTGTCTGCCTCTGCACCCTGGGGTTTGGGAGTTATATGGGTATAGGATAGGGAGGTGTGAGGGGCCAAAAGGCAATGTTTTTGGTGCAAAAACAGAAATGCCTGTTCCCACTTAGGGCTGTGGGTCTCCAGGCTTGGGGGTGGGGCCTTTGCCAGAGAACCGCCCTCCTCTACCCAACATTTCCCTGTCTGTATCAAAAATGTTGCATTTTGTTAAGAAAACCAAGGCTTAGAAAGAAAAGTGACTTGTCCAAAGTCAACTGAGATCTTCTGCCCATTACACAGACTTGAGCCAAAGACAATGTCCAGCAGATTCTGGCTTGTATTGTAATAGGACAAATTTTTATCCATAATCAAGGAGGCATGGTTACAGGAAAATCACAGAGATGTCAGTAGTAAGATTTGACCAAGAGGAGTCAGAAGCTGGCCCAAGGGAAATGAAAACTCTGAAATCTAGAGGAAAGCAAGGCAAGAAGTGGAAGGAGCAGACAGGCATCAAGCCCACCAGTATGCATGGGCTAGTTCAAAGAAACCTCAGACAGTGATGTGCCGTCTGTATTGGGATGTGTCCACACATCCACCCAGCCACCTATGGCCACCTATGTGAGGAAAGTCCTATTTGTCATTAACCTTTTTCCTACAATGCCCTACCCTTTTTGTTTTTTTTTTTTTTTTTGAAAATCTTGTCTTCTAACACGACTGAGTTCACACCTCTTCTCTGATGATTCCCTTTCCCATTCTTCCTTAGCATTTTGAGCTCACTTCTGTAGCACCTAAAACATTGCATAATGGTCTTTTGCAGCCTTTTCCAATGGTTAAACTGTATACTTATAATTAGTAGGGACTGTATTTTATTCATATTTCTATCCTTAGCACTTATTTCTTAGAAAGTGTTCAGTAAGTGTATGTGTGGAGTGAGTAAATAAGTGAATCCTGGAATCCATGAAGGGCCCCAAAGTGACTGTTATTTTTTATGTAATTCAAATACACTCTAGAAACAAAATTCAGTTACATGAACACTGTTTGTTTAGTGATGATATGAAATTAAAATAGAGATGACCTCAACCTGGAAATAATAAAGTAGAGAAGGATAAACCCAGCAAGCTAACAAATATTGTGGTCACTGGTCTGTGGTTAATTTTTCTTAACAGCTCTGGAAACAATTTTGGATTGGATTTTTATATAATTTCTTCATTTCAGCCTTCTAAGATTAAGCAACTAATTTTTTGATGCAGTGATTCATTTATTTATTCATATAGCTCTTTTCTCCTGTAATCAGGCATTCTGTTAAATGATAGGATTTAAAAAAAGAACAAAACACAGCACAGCCCTTTTGAAGAGCACAATTTAAGTTTTAGATTTTTAGGGGGCAATTGACACGATGTCAGTCACCATATGATATATACAAATTGAGACAGGAATAGGATAGTAAGTAATTACATATAATTTCACTCTCTGTTTTTTCAATAATGGCTATTGAACAGTCACACCTAGTTACATGTAAAAACACTGCCTCTGAGAGCATAGAGGAGACACATTATAACTATTATAATCTGGCTCCTTTCATCCAATACAATTCAACCAAACTGACTTGGGGTGTGATGGTGGACAAGTGTTCTGAGCCTTAGTTTTCTTGTTTATGAAATAAACATAATACTGTCTACCTCAAGAAACTTTGGGAAGATCTATTTTCAAAACATTATATGTAAAGCTGCTGGGGCATGTCTAACAGACTTCAAACCAGGTGTTGTTTATCATGCTTTATACCATCTTTGATATCAAAATTCTTAAAAATTATTGACCAGGGGTGCTTGTAAGAAAAAAGTATTTCATTTTTATAATGCCTAAATCCCTCAAATTTCTACTGTACTAGAAATGTGGAAATACCTTGAGTGACTAGGAAGATTAGGATCTTTATTAAAATTAAATGCAGTTATATAATGCTATTCCTACCAGGATTCCTCTTTATTACTATACGCTATGGTTCTGGCTATATTGAAAAAAACATTTTGGCTTTTCTGTCATCAGAATACATTGCTCAAGAAGATGTTGTCACTAGCAATGCTCTCCATATTTCAGAGTTTAGGTCTCTATATGAATGTGTCATATTTTACATCTTCTTTCAGTTAAGGCACATATACCTTACTGTTTGACTGAATTTATGTATTTAAAAAGTGGTTCCATTTCATTGATGAATTAAAGGAAAACAGCAATGTAGTACATAGGAAAAGTCAGTTTTCTAGGGGTCAAAGAAAAAGAAAAATGCCACAGTAATGATAGTCCAGTGGAAATATATTTTTAACCCTCCATGTCATACATTTTAGTGCTGGTACAATTTAAGCAAGCTGAATTGTACATCCTTATATTAATACATTCAGTGAGCCTACTTTAATGAAAAGCTTTTGTCATTGGCTTTTAACCTAGTAAAATCCCAATAATATTAGCTTCTCAAAGCCCATGTTTACAATGTTTGAACAATAATTATATACCTATTCCCATTTATTTATTTTTATGAATAGAATAATATAATTTATAATTTGCCTTTAAGAGATATCATGTTCTGTTTATAAGAGCAAAAAATAAAACATTACATTTCAATTAAATAGAAACATTAAGCTTCAAGGAAAGATTAAATTTATTTGGAAGGCTTGGAAACCTTCCAAATTTATTACTTTTGTTAAAATGTTGCAGTTGTACTTTTATGACTGCTAAACATATTTTTTTTTGATGTTCACTGGGCTTAGGGGCGCATGTCATGAATTGTATCATTTTTCAATGTCTGTTGCATTACAAAAAGCTCTAGTTGATCCTTGCATGCAGTGTGGTTTGTCTCTTTTGAGTTCCTTGGCAACAATAACCTCTCATCATGATTACGGAGTCTCTTGCAGAAGGATGGGCCTAATCCCAGTGCTCCATCAACTCAGTAATCTATTCCAATCAGTATTTGATGGATTTGACAGGCCATCTCTAGCCAAGTGAGACAGATTCAGGCAGGTCAAGCATCTTAGTGCTCTGCTGCGAAATATTGGGGAAAACCTTTGTGCTACATCAAAAATTATGGACACTAAAATTGCTTCTGGTCTCTTCCGTGAGGATAGAGAATGAATATAAAAAATTTCCAGATGCATAGTTCAAAATACACCTACTATTTTAGTTATTGAACAAGTTCATTCAATATTAAAAATTAAGGAAAAACAACCTGGTATTATATTTAGCCAACAGCAATAACTCAAGATTAAATAAGCCAGTTGTTTCAATGCATGGAGATTTCTTAATATGTTTAGTTTTTCTTATATGCACATAAACAAATATCTTATTTCTGAAAACCATGAATCAAGTCTCACAATTCAATTTTAAAAGGCATTAATAAATAAACATTTTTAAAGATATAATATAACCTAAGATGGCAAGCATCATCTCCCTTTATGTTTTTAAATATAATAACAATAAAGGGAGTCATCTGAAAAGGAATTCACTGTTTACCTCAAATCTAGCTCTTATACTTAGTGCTCTCTGTTTCTGTAGATTGGGGAACACGGAAGGAAGCTTTCTATGTAATGCGGTGAACCATTGATTTTAACTAGGAAAGATTAGTCTCTCTTAGGTATTTTTTCCTTTCTACATTACTTCTTACAAGACAAGAATTTAGAAAACTAATTTCTCAATATATGTTTATTATTATAGCTGATAATCAGCTATAATTTATATAAAGTGATATATAATAGTTAAACATTCCTTATCTTATTTCAGAAGCATTTTTTTTTATATTATACACCCTGGAAAACATTTCAGAATGTTTGATTCAACCACCATTTGAAAGACTTCAATGTGTTCCAAGTAGTAGAGCGAAAACAACTTATTAAATGTATTCCAACTACTTTTAATGTCTAATAAAAAGCAGGTTTAGGGAAATGTATGAAGAGTTATCAATTTAAAGTGCTTACTTTTCTCACTCTACTATTTTCTGACTTTTTCCCCCCAAGAACTCAGCTGGCTCCATGTGATTTAACAGTAAGATTTAAATAAGAAAGAAATCCTAATCTTTCCATCCTTCTTTGCCTTAGGGCTAAACTGTGCACAGTAGCTGTTAATCTAAAAGTTTTATCTAAGATTTCAAAAAGCAGCTTCACATCTGATGTGAAAATAGCATAACCTCAAAGCACTAAAAGTGATTATCATTTTCTCTATGAGAATGTAATTTATAGAAGCAGAATTCTTCTACAAATACATCTTGAATGTTCATGGCCACATAAATGTGTGTGCATCTTAATATGAGAGTGTTCCTATTACACTCTCCAGCACTGAGGTGGTGTACTTGATTGAAGTAAATGGGGGCATGGGAGGATGTTTGGTCAAAAATACACCAGAAACATACTGTTTTGTAGCAGTACTGAAATGGATCTTCTGTTGTCATATTTTCATAACCGTTTTATATGCTAAAGTTTTTTGCAACAAATTGGAGTTCTGCCCAAGGCTTATTCTCAACTGGGAGTGTTCGGAGATGATTCTTTGGATTGAATCAGGTTTGGCAATTTAACCACTGCAGTGTGCAACCAAATTCCCTGCTGCTCTTAATAAAGGAAATAACTGATTTTAAATGAAAGGACCCTTTACATAATATAAGCAAAACCTAGGTAAGACATAGTAATAGGATTTGTTTGGTAAACACATATAAGTTTTGGCTATGATTGAGGTAGTAATAAATAATATGTTTAGAAGCTATATCGTAAGCTGAATCTTAGGTGAGCTGGAAAAATAGAGGAAAATGCAACAGCCAGATGTGGTAAAAAGATTATGATACATCCTTGTTCTCTTTTCCCAGAAAAGAAGAGAGCATGGCTGTAAAAAAAAAAATAAAAAAATAAAAAAATAAATAAACAAAGTGTGTGTGGGTGCGTTTTAATTAATTGACAAAGAACAAAAGTAAATTCTTCCTGGACATTCACCCATCATTCTTGTGTTCATTAATTTTTATTGCTTCACAGAGGCAAATTGTAGAATTGTTATTGGAAGCATTTGTATTGGGCATGCTAATGCTAGAGGTAGCCCTTCACTTAAAATTAACCACCTAACAGATTTCCTTCCGAAGACCAAAGAGACGCAGCAAGAGGAAAACAGTCAAAGCAAAGAAGCTGGCTCGGGTCTGAGCTGTGTAATTCCGCCCTTGACCACCCGTGTCATTGCAGCCCACAGATCCTTGAATGGTGCTTGCCAGAAATCTGCATTGAGGTGCTGAGCTGACTCCCACGGCTTTTTAAGAGTCTCTGAAGGGGAGCAAAATCGAGATTAATATGCGTTGAAAAATAAAATGCCCTTACCACATTTTTGTCTGACCTTTGCACAGTTAAATGAATATATCTCCTCACTGGGAGTTTTTGGCTGCATGTCAGGTTTGCAGAAGGAGGAAAAAAAAAAGTCCTTGCAGCCTAAGGAGGAAGGGACGCTCCCAAGTGAACCTTGATAGATATTATTAGTATAGAGGTGATTCCAGGCAGCCTCTGTCTCTTTCCTTCTCTCTGCACTTTGTGTTCTACTCTGGGGCAGAATAACTGATGGAAAATTACGTCTATAGGAGAGTTGAATATTGCCTTAAAATGCCAATAAGACAAGCTTGGGAGCAGACAGTAGAGGCTTTATTTTATTTCATTTTATTTTGCTCAGGAATGCTTTACCTACCAGAGCTCTGTGGCAGAGTTGTGTGAGCAGGGGGAAATCAGACTTGCAAAAAGTTAACCTTGAACAAAGAAAACACCCAAAGCTTCATGTTGCTTGCTATACTGAGAGCTTTTTCCTGGGACGAAACCGAATTAATTGCCATGGAGTATGTGGAGAACACAAATGTAAAGGGCTTTCCTCACTTCCTCCCCTCCACAAAGGTTCTTCTTCGCTTATTTATCTCTTCCATTTTTTTTTTTTTCTTTTTTGGTCAAAGTGCCCGAGGGGAGCAACATCTGCAAGTAGCAAGAGACTCGCATTTCCTTTGTGTGTGAACGCTGCACAGACCTTAAAGGCTAAACTGGATCTACCGCAGTGTCCTGGCTGCTCCCTTTTCTTCTGTCCAATCTTCTACCCATGGAACTTGGGAAACTCTATTGTCACTTTCTTCCGAGGGTGGGTTTAGAAAAGAATAGCAATGCGTCAAGGTGACTGTGTGTGGAAGCTGAGAGAAGAGACGGTTGAGAATTAAAACAATAAAAGTCCTAGAAACAAATTTTGTCGATCTGAGAGAATGTAACCCTGAGAGGCCCTGGATAGGCTGGGCTGGGGCTGCACTGAGAAATCCCACCATGTGGCTGGAGTAGGAGTTTAGTCTCTGTCCAGCCTGCTGGCCTAACTGTGGATTTGTGTAGGTTGTTGTCTGAGCATAGCAAGCAAAAGCTGGGAGGTGCCCCAGAGTTGGCGTCCTGAAAAGAGATGGAAAAAAAGAAAGAAGAAGAAAGAGCAAAAATCTTGATCAGTGTTAGGAACAAAAGCAATCTCATTTTGAACAGAAATGCTTTCCATTTGTTTGGACTCTTAGAAGAAAGCCAAATAAGAAAAATGAAGTTCAGTTAATATTTCTCTCTTTCTTCCTTCCCTTCTTTTCTCCTGCCCTTCCCTCTCTCCCTTTCTTCCTATCTTTTATTTTTAAAGAAATAGGTATTCTCTTCTTCCTAGAGAAGAGAGTTGAGTATATTCGATTACAGAAACCTGTTTCACTGTTCATTTCTAATGGTAACTTATTCTTTCAAAAATGGAAGTTTTTGGTTATCCCGATTAGTTGGTTATTTGATGTTTGTATGTCTGTGTCTTTGTCTCTTGCTGTGGTTTGAATGTTTCTCCTTCAAAATTCAGGTGTTAATACTTAATTGCCAATGTGATGGCATTAAGGGGTGAAGTCTTTAAGAGGTAATTAAGTCATGAGAGGTCCTCCCCTCATCAATGGGATTATGTGCCCTTATAAAAAGGCTTGACAGAAGAAAATTGTCCCTCTTGCCCTTCCACCTTCTATTATGTGAGGACACAGTGTTCTTCCCCTCCAGAGGATGCAGCCCTCACCAGACAACTGAACCTGCTGGCACCTTGATCTTGAACTTGGCAGCCTCCAGAACAGTGAGAAAATAAGTTGCTGTTCTTTACAAATTACCCAGTCTGTAGTATTTTATTATAGCAACCAAAACAGACTAAGACATCTGTGCAGTCAGGGTCATCACAAGATGTTTCTGTTGAAAATTTCTTTTGTTGTAAAATATCCCTGGGACCATTGGGCGAGAACTGAAAATAAAGGTAATATGATGAGATCAGCACTGCTGTGGCACTGACATATAAACAGTCAAATTAGCTCTCTTGTCAGGAAAAAATGAAAGCCTCAGCCACAAAACATTATTCCAGCAGCAGCCTGAAGTGTCCTTTGAGCTATTAAGGTCATTAATAATGAAATGTCCAAGCAGTGCCTTTTGGGTTGTTAAATAATGTGAGGATTACTTGATTTGATAAAACCTATTTCCTGTGGATGGTTGTTTACTGAATTAAACGTGGTTTGTTTGGTAGTATTCCTTTTTATAATTAAAATAATTCACATTGCCAACACATATTTAAGGGATTCAATTTGACATTCTTTGAGCTAATTAACAGAGAGGAATTGCTTCATAGACTGAAAATAGAGATTCTGTTTTTTGTTTCTAAACTTTTGTGTCTTTTTAAAAGGAACAGTCTGCTGGTTTGGGTCAGCATGTTCTCCTTATTTTTTTCCCCCAAGAGGAAACATTAATCAGATTCTGATTACTGTCTTCAGTTTGTCAAGAGGTGAATGGAAGTTTTAAGAAGAGTCTAGGAGAATTTGTAGACTCTAGCTTGGGGAATTGAGTAAAAACATTGAATCTGGAAAGTTATCCACCAGGGTAATGGGGTGGAGAGGGCATTTAACTACATTCTGCTAAAAATAACGCTTTTCAAGGAGCTCAAAGAAACATGGTAGTGCTTTAGCCAAACTATCTGCATTTTTCTTTCCCTGAAAATTTGGGCTTTTAGCTACAAAGAGACTCAGTTTTACATAAAGTTCAGAGAAAAAGGTTTGTTGTAATTTAATAAAATAAAATACAATTGTAAAAGTGATCAGTTATTAAGAAGGATACAATTCTTTGCAAATTTTCATTGAGGTATCTATTTCTCGTTGGTGATGTATAGTTTGAGTCAGTCCCAAATCCAGATGTTATTTTTTCTTATTTCTTTTAAGGTAGGAAATTATAATTCATTTCATATACTATTGAGAATGTTAGCAAGTGTATCCTGACTTTGTAAGGCAGTTCTGCATATTTTTAGATCAAACATTAATCTGAAATTATGGAATGATTTCTCACAAAAGATACTAAGTCAACATTCATAGCACATTAAAAAAATAAAAATGGAAGCTTGAATGTTAGTGACTTCTGAAATGGCAGCAAATGGATCTTCAGTTTACTCCTTGGTTATAGACAACTTAGGGCCATACTTCTTCATATGCTGAATGTAGTTTGTGTATATTGACTCAAACTATCATTGGTTTCTTTCACTAATAAGTAGGTAATATTACTAATATTGGCAGTCAAAACCTAGGTGATTGAAGCGTTTACATCATAGCTCAATAATCTTAGGAAACCTCATTATATTACATATCAAATTAAAAGTTTTGTTATTTTCAACTTGAATTTATAACTTAAAGGTATTTAAGATATTAATACATTGCCAAGGTACGTCACTGGATTAAGCCAACTGAAATTGTGGAAATGATACTTACCAGAATGACCATGATCATGAAAGAATGTTTTCATTATTTACTACTCATTTCAAACAATTTTTGTGAGTACCATTCTGATTGATTGGCTGCTTCCATACTTCAGGATGGATGTACAGTCTTTGTTGTTGGTTTTTGTTTTGCATAATCCCTAAAAAGCATATATTAAATGGTTTTGGTTTTATCCTCTTCTTAATCTCACCAATGTGTTCAGTACTAAAATGTACATTAGAAGGCATACATTGTTGAGTAAAACAAATAAAACAAGAGTAAGGACTTGTAATAGTCTGTTCTTGCGTTGCTATAAAGAAATACCTGACACTGGGTAATTTATAAAGAAAAGAATTTTAATTGGCTTGTAGTTCCACAGTCTGTACAGGAAACACGGCTGGGGAGGCCTCAGGAAACTTACAATCTTGGCATAAAGCAAAGGGGAAGCAGGCACATCTTACATGGCCGGAGCAGTAGGCAGAGAGAGGGGCGAGGTGCCACACATTTTTAAACAACCAGATCTCATGATAACCCATTCACTATCACCAAAACAGGCACCAAAGGGATGGTGCTAACCCTCTGTCAGTATAGCAAGGAAAAGGAGAAAAGGAGAAGTAGGATGCACATGTTTTAAAAGTTTGAGGAAGAAAAGTTTCATCATGATGCAATCACCTCCCACCATGCCCTACCTTCAACATGGGAGCTTATAATTCCACATGAGATTTGGTGGGAACACAGATCCAAACCATATCAGAATCGATGATCAGACACAATTCTTTATTATCCATTGAGTAACCCCTGACTTTGTTATCACACAACTGTTTCATCAGCACTGATTTCAATGCACCTTTCATACTCTAACTTGTAATACAGTTCTTAGCTAAAAACGGTCTTCTTCCATAGCATGTGTTTTTGGAGGTAACTAACAGGAAGTTTTCCAAGTACTTCTTCCCCATATCCATGACTTTTATACCAGGAGCTATTGTATAATATGAACATTAATGATTCTATCAAAATGTAAAATGAGATATCTAATAACATGATTTCCAACATTAAAAAACAGTGATATTATGTGACATCCCCATTTAACATAAAAGTCTTGCCAGTATTCCAATCTGCTTTCTCCCAGAGGAGGATATTTTTCATGTAATTAGTGGATGGCTTTGCTTTTTCAAATTCTTATGAGCAGGACAACTTTGGATGATGCTCCCATAGCTTTGATTTCTTTTCTTGACAGCGAAAAAAGTCATAAATGTCACATTAGAAAGCTATATTTAGAATTTTTTATGTAAAAGCTCAGTTGTTTACCAGTAAGATTACTGTGTTTTACTGGAAAAATCTGGAGGAAATCCTGCATGATTTCATTTCTTCAAATGGATCTTAAATACAAGCTAGATGCTAAGCACAAGTTGCTCATGAGAAGTGTGTGATAATGGATATGATCCCTATTCTTGGAGAAGATGAATATGAACCAAAAGTCACACACACACAGAGTATTGAGGAAGAAAAGTTGCATCCTGCTGACTTCTGGCTTCTCTGTGAAGTGGGTTCCAGTCCATCTTCTGAGGGGATTGGGGAAACAGAAGTTTGTTAAAGTGAGAAACATTTGAAGTAGTTTTGTTAAGAATGAGAAATAATGACATAAGACCCAACAAACAGGGAGATTTATCTATTTTGTTCATTTATGCATTCAAAAAACACGTGGAAAATATTTACTGTTTATATGAAATGAATGATTGAATGAATGAATGAATGATTACCATACAGTGTTGGAATTGACTGTTAGTTATAGATTTTAAAATTATGGTGGTACAATATACTTGATTGTGTGATTTATTTCAGTAGGTCTTAGTCACATATCAGAAGGTAGGTCTGGAAGAAGCAGAGAGCTGGGATTTTGTCAGACAGAAAAGATGAAAATAGAAAGGGACAAGGGTGTGTTAGATATTATTTAAGTGCTGGACTGTGAAGTCTAACACGGCAAAGGAAGAATGCAGATGAGTTGCTCGTGGACAGGACCAGAGTTTCTGGAGAACTGGCATTTGGTGGGCATGTATTGAAAGGAGTAGAGATTGAGATCAAAGGGTGAGACTCTAGACTTTAAAATTCAGAGCCCCTCCTGATGATATGGCTTGTAGTTGAGCTTGACCTGAAATGATATTTTTAAATTGTATCTTCTGTCACTTTCCTCCAAATCCTTCTCCACATTACAAGGGGCTTTTCCAATCATGATTCTTTCTATGCTAGGCCACCAAATATATATGAGCCTCTTTGTGCCTCAGTTTCTCCTTCTGAAAAAGGGGAAAGCAATATTCATTTCAAAGAGTTGTAAAGTTTAAATGGGATAATAAATAAAAAATTATAAATTTGCCTACAACTGAGGTATAAGATATACCAAATTATTTAATTTTTAAAAATTCAATGGAATCTGCCTCTAAGTTCCCATTTAATATGATGCCAAGTTACTAAATATGAACCACTAATTGAGACTCATTTCTCTGTTTGGCAATGTAAACACTGTCAGATACTTAGAAATATCCTTTGGCCTTTAGTCCATCCAGGTTGCAAATGAGATGGTCACTGTATGAGGCGACATGATCCATTCAAAGGCAGGTGGCTCCACTGCCTCTCTGCGAGGTAGGGTGCTGTCATACTTTGCTGCAGAGCTCAAGTCTGTGGTGCACGAAGTTTCACTTCCTCAGCAAACACATTGGCCCACTCATCAAAAGTCCTGTTGCCTCCTGGGGTACTTCTAACCCAGGCTCTGACATTAGCACACACATCACCACTTATCTTTTCTCAAGACGGCAGAGACTGCTATCCTTGGGTGAATCCCTCACTTTCAACACAGTAACACCCCTCCCACCCCACACTCCATCCCCTCCCTCTCAGGAACATGTGGCTACATTCCCCTCCCACACAAAAATCCAGATAAACATATATTAAAGATACTTAACTTTTGTATTGGTCCATGCAAATATAATACCTTTAACAAACTCTGAGACCAGAAGCCTAGAATTTCCAGGAGGAGAGGTGGGCAAAGTGACCTTTCCAGCCTCTGAGTGTCTCTTCTGGCAGGGAATAGGTATAGAAATTAATAACTTGGATATTGTGTCCTGAAGGTAAATTGCATAATACAGAGTGAGCAGGTAGATCAGGGATTGTTTCAGAAATTACCCTTTTGTCATTGTCAGCCTAAACTCCCTCACACTGAAGCCTGGCCCAGCCCTCTAAAAATGACATGATAATCATTGACCCCTTTGCCAGGGCTCTCAGAAGAGGTGAGAGGGAGCAAATTCTGCGTCTCTTAACTGCCACTGGCCTCTCTAAATGAACCCAAACATGTCCTTGAGACCCCAACAAGTTGAAAGGGTAACTTAGGCTGCAGCTTGCACAGCTAATGACATTTCCAGATGAGAGGACTCAAAAGGCGGAACCCTTCAACTAGCCAGGGCCTTGCACTAAACTTGAAGATTTGGATTCAATGCTCCATGTTGATTCCCTCCATGGGGCTGCCTCCAGGAATCCAAGCCCTTTAGATGGGAGCTGGCTCTTGGAATTTTGGGCATCAACAGCTGCCCTTTGGTGACACTGTGCCCACTCCATACCAAGGTGCCAGCTCAGCCATGCACTTTGTTTACCCCAACATTGAGTGCAGGGGTGTAGGACTTGGTGATGGATAATCACCAAGGATTACCAGGGAGCCACATCCCTGTTGCATTCTGTTATTTATGGCTCCTCCTCAAATACAACTCTAGAAAATGTGAATAATGCCTCCTGGAGTTGATCCTTCTGCCCCTACACTTGGGCCTTGAGTGTGGCAAAAAAGCACTAGAAAATTTTCTCTTGGAATAGGTCCTCATCTGCCCATCATCATTTAGCTAATAGAATTTCCTGCTTTTGAGGGCCTTCTTTATTTCCTATGTGGGAAAGAGTTAGGGAAGGGGAAGGGGAACCAGGGCTAGAAGCCAAGCTAGAGTAAGAAATCCTTCCGGTAGTGTGCAGACATTTTGGGCAGATCTTTTTGTAGCCACCCTCTCATGTGCACACATCGTGTTGGACTACCTCACCACACACCTGTGTGTCTTTGAAGATAAGCACAGATCTGGGAGTGAGGTATAAGTTGTTAGGTTCCTCCTACCTGACTGCCTTTAAGCTGGGACATTGTTTTCCTTCTGCTTTCAGGCTTGCACCAAAACATCAGATCTTCCTGGGTCTTGAGATAGCTAGTTTTCAGACTGCAACTACACCATCATCTCTCCTGGTTCTCAGACCTTCAGACTTAGACTGAAACTTACATAATCAGCTCTCCTGGTCTCCAGCTTGCTGACAGCAGACTTTAGGACTTGTTAGACTCCACAGTGGTAAGAACCAGTTTCTTATTATAAGCCTTTTCATTTGTCTATGTATCTATGAATCTATCTGTATATCTATTTATCTATCTATCTATCTATCTATCTATCCTATATATCTATCTATCTACCTACCTACCTACCTATCTCTGTATCTATATCGATACATCCTTTTGGTTCTCTTTCTCTGTAAAACCCTGACTCTGATACAACCTCTTCTCCCTAGACTGCTTGAGGGTTTACCTCAAGAATCATCACTGCCTCATTTATTGTATCAGCTCTTGAAATATGAATAAATGAGCCAGGGAAAGTGGGATGGGGAAGAGGCCTGGCTCACCTCAAACAATGTTTTGGATTCAAGGACCTCACACAGTGGACACCATATCCGGTGTATCCAAAAGTACACTCTGTGAGCTTCTAGAAACTGTTGAGGACACAAATTAAGAAAGGAAAGCTCCAGAGAAGCATTCTTGTGATATTATTGATCAGATGAAGATATTTACGGTGGCTGGGTGGATGTGGGCCTTCCCAGATGGCACAATGTAGAGTGGGCAGCAGTCCATGAAGGGTGCATGGCCACTGGGACCCTCATCTAGTTGGTCTGCCCCATGTTCTTCCCCAAGTAACTGTTTTGGGTTGGGTGTTTTCAGTAACCCTCTTGTTTAGGTTATTCCTTGGGAACCTTGAGAAATCATCTTGTGAATGTCTCACAGAATTTACTTATTATCTCCTCCTGGAAGTCAGCCCTGAGACCCTTCATTAGGTTCCTCTTGAAACTGTGCAGGAGGCCCCCGTCCGGGTCTTTTTCTGTCTTGAACCTTGCTGAGTCCCTCATATGAAACTATGGTTGTGAGGAGACAGTCCAGTGAAACACTAGAAACCATGATTGAGGGGAGAGAGTCAGGTGTCAACTTTGATGAGAGAGGTTGTAATCCTAAGAGAGTGTGGAGTCAGGTGAGGAGGTAAGGCCCAAAGACAAAGCAGGGTGTGACTGGGGAATAGGGTCCAGTATCTGAGTGTGCTCTGGGGGTGGAAAAGAAAAGATAGTGGTGCGGTAAAAGATGCTATGTGGACACTATGGGATCCAGTTTTGTACCAGACTCTGGGGGAAGAAAGATACCTAGTGGTGAGGGTAAAACAAAGGGAAATGAGAAAATGGGAGGGTCCAGTGGGAGGGTGGAGGCCAGAGGAAGGAAGGCCGAGTGAGTGATGCTCAGCAATCCCAAAGGTGATGGAGAAAGCACAGCATCTTTTCCTGCCTCCTCATAGAAGAACAGAATGTCTGCTTCTGTGGTTGCTCTATTATACCCTACAGAGCACAAATTTTGCTGTATATGCTCCAGAAAACTACCAACAAAACAACAAAGAAAAGAAAGGGCATAGATAGTAAAAATGTTGCACCAGTAGGGGTCAGGAGGCACAAAGTGGATCCAGAAGGAGAATGGGGACAGGAGGGCCTGGTGGGCCTGGCAAGGGTCACATACCTGAATATCCTGGAATTTATGAAACTCTTGTGATCCCTCACCCCACATCTGGTGTTCACATCCCCTTCCCTCTGGGTTTTCCTTCTCATGTCAAACCCAGACTGCATTGGGACACTGGAATTCCATGGGACAAGCTAGAAAGTGGGTTATCTGGGATAACAGAAGAGATTAATTACCTTTTGCAAAGAGAAAGGTGGTCTTATGCTACCTTAGCCCTTTGCAAACAAGCTATTTTAAATAGAAAAAGTAGCTTGTATTGCATCAGGTGAAGGTAGGAGCAAAGGTACTTTGTAGGAGGTTTGTAATATGCTTCATTGGGAATAGATTTAAGTTTAGGCCCTGAGAGCTCCAGGAATTTAAGGTCCAACGGTCAATGACATTAATAGTTAGGCTCACATAGGTACAGTGCTATGTCATTTAAAAAGGGCCTTGATATACATTATCCCATGTGATCAACACAACTCAATGAGATTTGTGGGCAGGATGCCCTCTCAAAGGAGGAGTCTAAAACTTAGGGAAATTAACACTTTGTTCAAAGGGTTGACCTGGAAATTTTCTTTCCAAACTTAGCCAGTATCCTTTCCACTATATCTCACATCAACATTTAGTAGGAAAGACCCACTGCCCAGCTCTATTGTTATTTAATTCCCATGGAGGGGCAGAGCATTAATTGGAGAAGTTTCCTAAATTCTGATATTCTTCCTTTGGGCCTTTCCTCTCAGGGCTCTGTTTTCCTCTAGAAACTGACATCCTCAGCAATTGTGGACCTGGGATCTCATGAAATAAGAGAGATTAAGGTTAATGCTGGGAGGCTGGCATTGAATAGCAGAACCTTATCTTTTAAAGCTACTACTTTGTTCTTCTTGCTCTGTCTGCACTGATGCTGAAAGCAAAAAAAAAAATTAGAGAGTGGAACCCATTTCTTAGTCTCCTCTTTCTAAGCAAGCAGCAGACATTCATTATAAATGAATAATGTGACTTCCTATGTTGATTTAAAGATCTCTATTCTTTCCTTTTGAAAGTGGATATAAATAATTTCTACTAATCCCTTTCTGAAAAACTCAAGTAATGATAGTTTTTCTGCATATGGTCTTAAATTGATATTTCAGTCAGTAGTCCTCTGCTGAATGACAAGGACATAGGATCTCGAGTCTTCAGGGTTATATATGCTCCTTTCCATAGGATCCTGTTCCCTGAGGACAGACTAAGTCATATCTGATAGGAGGTTTTTACAAGTTCAGCATTTCAGCCCTAAAGCAAGGGACAGGCTTGACCCAAAGACACATCAGATGGAAAGGTGGCTATGAGTAAGTGTTGCAGGCCTCTTCTCTTGGAGTAAGCCAGCCTGTAGCCCCAGCATCACAATGTTTGGGATTTTTATCCTGGAGCTCTCTACCACACCCAGGTTGGTGGGGGCATGTCTGTGAGCTTTGATAGAAGCCCTAGTTTCCTCTCTGCCCTCTGTCCCTCATCAACCTGTTGCCCTAGACGGCTGATGTTCTTATCTTTCCTGAGAGCTCCCATTTCTTACCTCTCTCTCTTCTAATAGAAAGATGAAGAAAAGGAACTGTGAATGTAGACATGTTTAGAAACATAGGAAAAGGAAAAGAATCAATAAGGGTCAATCTCATTTGTCAGCTGGACCCAGGGTTTCCTTGCCTAATTGAGGTCTCTGACTTTTTCAAATATTAATGAATATGGATTCCACTGAATGTAATAACATGACACAAAGGAGATACTGACCTCATACAAAAAAAAATATGGAACTCACTAAAGCACAAAGAAACCAGTCAATGGTCTTCATCACTTTAAGCACACTGCTGCCTCTGGCAGCTGAGTGCAGAGAACGTGAGCTCCAGTCTGGAGTTCCATACCAGCAACACAGAGCTAAAGAAGTCACACAGAATCACGGGGGAAGAAACAGCGAGTGGACCATGCACCAACAGCCCCTCCACACCCACAGAGCTAAGCAGACCCCACTGCTGCACCTGGTCTCTAGACCCCTCTACTCTTATCCAGGCCTTCCTATTTTCCACCTGTAGCTTTTCTACACATCCGTATTCAAATCCTAGCTTGGTTGTGTACCCTGAATTGGTCACTTCATCTCTGAGAGCTTTGCTTTCTTCCTTTATATAGTGGGATTGATAGTATTATGCTTGCACCAAGTTGAAGGGTAGCTTAAATAAGGCAATATATAATGTCCTTTATAGATGAATCCTAAAGGGCTGTAAACATATTTTGGGGGATTCTCTTTTCTATATTCTCTTTTTTGCTAAACTCTTTTATCCTCGATCCTGATTTAGAATAAATATTGATGAATCTTCCTTCCTTGCAAGAGAGAAATGTAAGAAACATTGTATTTTCTTTTAATGTTTTCTTAGTGCTTGGCGCTTTCAATGATCTTGAATGACTAGCCACAAAGGGTTACTTTAACATGGTCGACACAGAGAAAAGAGTCCTGGAGATACAGCCCAAGCTGGCTGTACTTCTAACTCTGCCACTCACTACTGACTGGCTGTGTGACCTTGAGCTCTGATCACCTCTGACTCTGACCTGCAGAGTGTGGCTCACATCACTTCCCAGGAGATGCTGGAGGAAAGAGAACTCTGTAAACTGCTGCCAAAGGATGAGTGGGCCTTATGACTAAGCAATAGAGTAATGGAAAACCAATGAAATGAGAGACTCACAACGTGGTTTGTTAACATTCATGTGGGCAGGGTATACTGCCGCTGCCCTTTGCTGAGATGATCCTCTTTTTCTAGCCTCTGCAAAGTTGTTGTACCTGTAGACCTTGCATCTCTGAGGCTGCAGTGAGAAGAGTGTGATGAATGAATTATCTGCCCATTTGTCTATACTTCCTCCAATAAGCATTCAGATACATATGAGGATTTTCGGTGGCATGATCCGACTTTTGCTTCAGATAACATTTGGTGATGGAAGGAGTTGAAGGATGATGGCAGGGACATTTCTAGCTCAGAAACTTGTAGGATGATGATATCTTTGACCTACTTAGGGAGTCCAAGGAGAGAAGCATGATTAGACTTTTGTCAACTCTGAAATATGTTGCAATTGGGAAAATTACTTAACCTGTCTATGTCCGAATGTTCCTTCTCATCAGTAAAACTTCCTATCCATCGTTGCAGTCAAAGTGTCTATGTGCCAGTGCACAGTAGTCTCTTCTAGGGTCTAGGATAGATCCGTGAGCTCTAGAAACAGAAGTCCAGAAAATAGAAATAAATGTAGCAATTACCATCAACTTTATTCAATTTTCAACAATCCCATCCTATGGAGGATCAGGCCAGGAACACTGGTGTCACCAATGTTGCAGAGTCCCTCCAAAGATCCAAGGTGGTATTTTCAGTTTTCATTTATTTTTAAATTTATCTGATGATAAAATGTATGACACCAACACCCTATGACATAGATTTCAAATTATTTTTGTTCACACTTTCTAATAAGGACAATGAGCTTTAGAAATGTTAAGTGATTTATGTAAGTTACCTGGTAGTGAAGTGAGGATTCAATCTCGGAACAGTCTGGCTACAAGTTCAGTCTCCTCTAATCATATAGTGCTACACATAATGCTACCGTTTATGAAAATGAATTCATTTTGTTAAAAATAAACTGGAGTAGCAGGCATTGTTTCATTTTCCTTTGTAGTTACTCCCACAAGGCAATTTTCTTGGGTTCTTCTGACTGAGAGACTGACTGCAGTAACATGGCCCAGTTTTTCCCAGAGTAGTTGAGAAGGGCTCCCAGTTCTCTGTTTTAGTTAAAATGAAACAATAGTATTGCTGTTCCTTCTTACCCCCAACTTGATTGCAGGAAGGTTGCGTACAAAATTGTTGAGCACCTAGGTCTGTTCAAAACCCAGTTTGATTACTTACTAACTTGGATAAGTCTCATGCCTTTAGACTGAGTACAACCGTACTTATCTCAGACAGTAGTTATAAGCATCAATTACTAAAAAGTATAAATTTCACCCCACTTCTGCTACATCTATGCTTTTCACCAAAGCTGAAAAGAGCTAAGCTGACATGGAATTATAATTCATTCTGTGAATATGTTTATTTGTCTTTATTTTACCAAGCATTCCATGAAAAAGCTGCAAAAATAAGTATTCTATGACATTTAGATTTATGCCACAATAAGATGTGTACTGACTCGTATTTTGGAGTCATACTGCACGTTGGTGAGAGGCAGGTCCTAGAATAGTCTCTCCTGTGTGCCTGTTTAATTCTGGTCTTCAACTGCAGCTGCTGTGGAAGGTCTGTCTAGGGAAAAAGTTAAAGAGCTTTTGTAACCTGTACTCTCTTTGAAAGATTCATGAAATCAAAATTGCCAAGTGAAGTCATGAAATAATGTCTGATTTGAGTAAAATCTATTAATTTAGTTTTCTTTTAGATTTCGCTTTTTTGTGGGAGAGACATTTAATCTTCATCACATATCCATGTGTCCCCCCACCGCCCCTGCTGCAACCCCCTTGCACATGGGAAGGGCCAAGTGACTGGTGTGGCTAATGGATTGGGAGTGGAAGGAACATGTATTACCTCTGGGCAGAAGCAGTGCAAAGTCCCCAGAGAGCCCTCTAGCTCACTGCTGCTGCTATAGAGGTCTAGAAATCTCATGTTCTAGGTACTGCTGCTTTATGATGCAGACAGACTCACATCACTGTTTGGCAGGCACCTCTCTGGAGAGCCACCTAACCCGTGGAGACTGCAGAAACAAGAAATAAGACCCTGAACTTTCAGTGTTTGGATATTGCTGCTGGAGCTTCTAGCTTAATCTTTCCTATATAATTTTATTTTTTCCCTGTTACAGAAGTTATATGTATTCACTGAAGAAAAATCCAGGTGTATATGAAATAACCATTCAGAATCCTACCTCTAAGAAACTGTCATTTTAACAGTTTCAGTGAATGTTTGGTCATAAACATACATTTAATATAAAATATGCATATTATACAGATGTAATATAAACATAAAATATGACACAAAATATACATATTATATAATAAGAATTATAAAATTAACATATACTGAATACCCACTTTATTCATGCATTGTACTAACAGCCATATATGAATTATTCCTTTGAAATCTTACAAAGGCCCTGCAAATTTGAAAGTTTCTTAATGCCATTTTATAGATAAGGAAACTGAATTTCAGAAAGGTTAAAATAGCATCCTAAAGGTTACACAGCTAGTCAACGGTGCAGCCCAAACTGGAATTCATTCATCTGGCTTCAAACTAGAGTGGGTCTTAGCTACAAAACTTATATTGCCTCTAAACTGGGATTATATTATACATATAATTGCAATCTTCTTCTTGCTCTTATTTTCCCCCTTAACTAAATATATCTATTTTTCAATGGCATAATTTATTCTCTTACAATATTATTTTTAATGTCTGTAATGCTGTACTATTAAACAGTAAATTGGCTATTTTTCTATCTTTGGACTCAGATCGTTTCTATTTCTTTTTTTGCCATCATTAACAACAACGCTAAAGATATATTTGAACCTAAGTCTTTACATACATCTATAATTGTTTTCTTAGGATAAATTCTGGTAAGTTGAATATCTGTATTAAAAGGAGTATATGTTTTTATCAGTTTCTTTAAATTATTGTCAAATTACCGTGTATTGAGTTTCTTATCGATTTAAGTTCTATCAGTCCAACACAGCAAAACCTCACCGACACTTTTATCTTTTATTTAAATTTTTATTTCTTTGTTTATTTTTTGAAGTTGGACATTTTTCTAATGCTAATTGGCCAGTTATATTTCTCTATTAATTGCATATATATATATATATATATATATATATATATATATATTCTTTACCCACTTTTTAGTTTAGGGATTAAGATATATTTTAAAAATAAGTATTTGTGTGTCATGCTGCTATAGCAAGCTCCTCCAGGAGAATAGATGTTGAAGCTACAATGTGTATCAAATTTCTTATGGCTATATAAACCACTCAGCTTTTTAATGTGTCAAATTATCATCTTTTAATTTTATGGAAATCACAAAAGGACTAAGTTAAGTTTGATTAGGCTTATGTTACAGAATCTTATTTCACTATACGAGTGGCAAAAAATGCTTTAATTCACTGTTTTTTAAGAGTATAAAATACAGGTAATACCTTCATAAAGTACATAATGGGGCTAAATGATAGAGATTATACCTCTAAAAGCAGTTTACAGCTTGGACAATATTAGAAAATTTAAGTTACGCTTCTCATGTAGCATATTCCTGTTAATTATAAAAAGTCCAAATGATTTAGTGAAATTGGGCAATTTAGGGTATATACAAGATACAAACAATGTCTAAATTTTGAAGGAAACCTTGGATAGACAAGGAATATACACAGTATTTGTGTAACATTTTACCTTTCTCCCAATTGTATAGTCATTTTTATTGCAGTCCTCCATGTTATATATAAGTGTATGTATCTACACACACACATACACACACACACACACACACGCACACGTAAAAGAACAGCATAAATTTATTCAACAGCATCACCTCTCTGTTTGGCATAATGAAAAAGACCTTTTTGTTTAAAGGCCAGAGCTTTAAAATCAGACACATCCTTTTAAAGTCACTGTAAATATGTAGAATTGTATAGGCAGCTAGGCTTATAATTTTGGAAATAATAACAATTTGCACTGATTAGCTGTAAATCTCAGTTATTAATGTGGCCTCACATAAAGAACAAATTGTGTACTCTTTTTTGTATTGGCACTTGGCTTCTAGAACATATTCATCTAAGCAAAATGCATGCTATTTCAGCATTTCAAGGGAAAAGTTGTTATTAATTATAATCTCAGTTGAAGGCATGATCTGAAACTCAATTTTATGCAGAAAAAGATAGGATGGTTAAAATTATTCAGCTCAACACATCATTGGTGTATCTCTACTTGGCTAAAATATATTGGGAAATCCTCCTGGTATATCAGGTCTGATCAATTTAAAGGCCCTGTAATTAAGTTTGACTCCAAAGAAATAAGAAAGATGGGTGACATTTTGAGATTGTAATTTAGACAAGGCTTTGAAATCACTTGGTTTAAAAATGTTATTCTTTTATCAATGCCTTAAAGCAATGTCCTTTTTTTTGAACATAAAAACACAAAAATAGTCCTATTGATAATTAGAAAGAGATTTCTATGATATCCCATTCTTTTAAATGTTTACATTAAATTCATAACTGTTAATTTTGTGGTATATTTTCACTTAGATTGCTCTTGCTTGTGAGTATAGGGAATATTTTTAAATGGTCTGGCTACCATTACAGCACTCTTCTTTCTAAAGCATTACTGTTGATTCAGATATAACCTCTGGAAGGGAAAGAAATTGATGTTATAAAATATGAATGTTAGGCCTCAGTTATATTGCATGTTTTAAAATAAACCAGTGCTATCATTTCCCAATACATCAAACCAATTTAACATGTGATAGTGTATTTAAATTAGTAACTTCTTGAGGGAGATGTGATGAACTTTGAGATGAATGAAATCTCCAGGTAGAACTTGTTTTGCTACTGAGGTACTAATGCTTTGAAGAGCTAAGAACCTATAATTAGTGAACTTTGGGTTCACTGAAAAATATAAGTGAAAATCAGAACTCAGAGAAAGAAGAGTGAGAGAGTTCTATAATGGCTATGTTGAGGTAATAACCTGTTTAGAAAACCTGAAAAGTAAAGTGTGAAATGGGGAAATAGGAAAAGCAAAGATGGAGAGAAAAGAACCTAGCATACACACATCAAGAAGATGATTCAGGGAAGGAACCGAGGGAAGATGATGGTAGAGATCACAAAACGTGAACGGCACTGGCTATTTAGCTATTGCTTTAATGAATATTTATAGAGTGCCAGATGTGTATCAGGTGAGGGGATTTGTGTAGCAGATAAAGTGTGCCTCATGTTCTCGTCTTAGAGAATCTCATTGTCCAGTAAGACAAATCAATGAACAGTTGAAGTACAGAATGGTAAGAGTTATGATAGCAATGCATACAGACAAAGAGAAGCACAGGAAAAGGACACCTATCTCAGGCAGGAGATGAAGTCAGTAGGTGAAAGCTGAGATAAATGTTGAAGAACCAGAACAATGTGATTGAAGAAGAATGTGAACGATATTTTAGGCAAATTGGAAAAGTATGGGCAGAGCCAAGATGTGAATGTGTACAGAATCTTCAGGGGTACACAAATATTGCATCATGCTGATAGCACAAAATATACACAGACAGTCCCCATCTTACAAAGGTTAGACATGATCTTTTAATTTTTACAATTGTGCAAAAGCAATGCACATTCAGTAGAAACCATATTTTGAATTTTGATCTTTTCCTGGGCTAGTGATATGCAGTACTGTAGTCTTTCTGGATGCTGGGGAGTGACAGCGAGCCACAGGTCCCAGACAGGGACATGATCTTGAAGGTAACAACCAGGAGATATACAATCCTTTTATAAAATAAGCATTGTGTGAGATGATTTTGCCCAACTGTGAACTATTCTAAATGTTCTGAGCAGTTTTAAGGTAGGCTGGGCTAAGCTACAAAGTTCCAAAGGTTAGGTACGTTAAATGCATTTTTGAATTATAATATTTTCAACTTAACAAGGGTTTATCAGGACATAACCCCACCTGTGTTAGTCCATTTGCTTTGCTATAACAAAATAATTTGAGGCTGGATGATGTATAAAGAAAAGAGGTTTATCTTGGCTCACTGTTATGCAGGCTATACAAGAAGCATAGTGCTGGCATCTGTTTCTGGTGTGGGCCTCAGGAAGCTTACAATCATGGCCGAAGGTGAGAGAAACCTGTGTGTCACATGATGAGAGAGGGAGCAATAGAGAGAAGAGAGGAAGTGTTGGGCTCTTTTAAACAACCAGATCTCATGTGAACTTATAGAGTGAGAATTCATTACCATAAGGACAGCACCAATCCATTCATGAGGGATCTGCCCCTATTATCCAATACCTCTCACTAGGCCCCACCTCCAACATTGGGAATCACATTTCAACATGAGATTTGGAGGGGACACACATCCAAACCATATCAACATCTTAGGTCAAGGAGCATTTGTATAGGAACGTGGGGGGGGGAGAAAAATAACAGGAAAGATGTATTCTATGGTGGTACTTATCCTGAAGGTAATACGAAAACTTGGAATGATTTAAGAGAATGATGCAATCAATTTATACTTCATTAAAATGATTTTTTGTGGCAGTATGGCTAATGGATTTGGGATAGAGGGAAAGAAGACTAGGAGAAGGGAAAATTCATAAGAAATCCAGGTAAAAAAGAAGAGGGTCTAATGTAAGGCAAAGGCAGCGATAGTACAGAAGGAAAATAAATTGTAAGATATTATGAAGGTAGAATTGACATAATGTTTAAGTGGAATATCGGAAAGTGGGAAATATAAAATGACCTTTAGACATCTTGGAAAACTGGAAATATGTTATGAACTGAATGTTTGTGTTTCTCCAAAATTTATATGTTAAAATCCTAACCTGCAATGTAAGGTATTAGGAAGCAGGGCTTCTGGGAGGTAATTAGGTCATGATTATGGAGCCCTCATGAATGGGATTAGTGCCATTAGTAAAACAAACCCGAAACACCTACACCCCCCATTTCCACCTATGAGGGCAAAGCCACTGGAAGAGGGTACTCACTAGAACTTAATCATGCCGGCACTCTGAGTTCACACTTCCAACCTCCAGAAGAGTGAGAAATAAATGTTTGTTGTTGATTAGCCACCTAGATTGGCATTCTGGTATAGCAGCCCAGGGTGGCTAAGACAGAATATGGTGGTATAAGTTACCAGAGTAGAAAGTAAAGTTAGTGAGTTGTAGAGGGGTCATGTTATATTGTTCTGGACAAGTTATGTTTGAAATGTTTTCTAAGTAGTGTTTACTAGGTAGCGGTTGTATGGGCTGACACCTTGAGTACGATGCTGAGCTGGAGATATAGATTGAAAATTATCGTATTGTGTGTCAGACCAACCAATATGCTTTTCTTGATTGAATAAAAGAGAAGAAAACTAAAGATAAAATAATTACAATGCAGAATCAGGAAAAGGAAAAATGATCTCATGGACTTTAATAACAAGTATCTGGAGAGATAGGAGGAGAACCAGAGAGAGTAATGCTATTAGAAACTCATAGTAGGAGAACTTCCAGGTGTGGATGGTCAACTTTTTGAATGTTGAAAATGACTGAAAAGTAATTCATTGGGCTTTGCAAATCAGAGATCACTGATGACTATAGGAAGAATATATTTATTGAAGAGGTAGAGTCAACAGCAGGATTTGAACACTTAATGAACAAAAGAGAGAAATTAGGAATAGCAGCACAGGGTGGGGGAAGCCTGGAGGATGGTAGGAGGTTGAAGTAGCTCCCTTTTCAGCTGATTGATAATATGCAGTTTCAAACTGTAGCAAAAGAGAGGCACTGTTCTAGGTAGAAGAAGTCATTGTTTCTTATAATGAGTTGATAAATAGGAGAGAAACTTAATCTAATTGATAGAAATTAAGATAACTAATAGGAACAGTTTTCCCCAAGATTAGAACCTAGAGGCTAGCCTGAAAATTCAAAATGGAAGTAACAAAGGATATTGTCACATAATTATAACAGATGCAGCTGACTAAGACTTCCTATGGGTCAGCCATTCTAGTAAATGCTTTGCCAAAATAGGTTTTTGTTGTAATCTTCTTAACAACTCCATTTAATAGATATTACCATCTATACTTTTTGATGAGAAAATTGAAGCTCAAAAAAGTTAAATGAGTAACCCAAATTCACAACTCTATGAAGTGTCATAATCAACATTCCAAAACAACCTCTGTGTCTCTAAAGCCTACACTCTTGTACAATATTCTATTTTATCTGGAAAGAACTACCAAGTATTTAAGCTTTGGACAAGCTAATTCACTAATAAGATGGTATATATTTTTACTTCAAATTCATATAATTCTAATTTTTAGGATATTTTCATGCTATAGTAAAGATTACCTCTGACCGTGAGTATGATAAATAGATTGAGGGAAGAAGACTCAGTGGAGATAAAAAGAATTAGAAAAAAAGCTATACACCTAAAAATATAAACTTTATAGCAAAATCTCCCCCCTCCCTTTAAAACCTGCCAGAAGTCAATGGAATAAATGCTGAGATCAGTAGGCTTTATGTTTAGATAGTGCCCTTGCAGACTGCTCCAGTTTGTTGAAAGGCCTCTTTATTTAGAAATTTCACAATTTCAAGCTCTTTTCCCAGCAACATTCTCCTTATAATCCCAAAATAATTACTTCATCTGGCTCACCATTTAGGTATTATTTTTCCATTCTGATTTTCTTTGCAAGTAAAAAGTGATATCTTTGTTAGGTGTCAAGGAGAAATTTTGCAGTGACATATGTATATGTAAATATACACAAATATATACATATATATATATACACACACACACAATACATAGTAGATTAAAGATAAAAACATGAGAACTCATGTACCCATATGCACATAGAGGTGCTACTGCATGGGAAGCTAGTGGTAGTTTTCAAGTACATTTTAATCTTTGTAACATTAGATCATCAAATTACCCTAGAATTAGAATTCCTTAATGGAGAAAGAAATTAATAAGTGGGTAACTCTTAATAAACTTTTGAACAAAAAGGTTTTGTATATTAATCCCTTTTAATAAATTCAGCCTCAAGAGCAAACATTAATCCCAAATTATTTTTAAAGGTAAAACATATGGATTGTTGAATCAATATCAGAACTATTACAGAGCCCATAATTTTTTCTCTTTTCCGTGACACAACAGCAAATAAGGTCAGGTCACAGCATCTCACCTTCCAATCTAGCAGGTCCATAGTCAACAAGATTATTTTAACCACAGTCTTAAGAACCAGCAATCAAAATGACAAATCTTCACATTATTTGATGATGTTTACAAGCGATTCAGACATTTCTTGTTAACACTGGGAGGCCACCATGTGTTCTAGACACTGTTTGTGAATCTGTCCACCTGATTAGTTTGTGTTCTCTGTAATAACCCTGATAGCACTGAACATATGTTGTGGGCAAGAGCTGTCAAGCAAAAAAACAGAGTTAATGCCATCTATCTCTGTCACCTTTAATATGAACACTTATTTGGTTACTGAATAAGGCAGTGAAAGATTTGGATTATTATACTTTTAATATTTTCACACGTAATAAAAATAGTCTGATGAATCTGAGATGACTAGAAAGAAATCATAAAAAATGACCACTCATTTTACTCAATTTAAATTCATAGCCTAGAACACTATGGCTAATAATTAGCTGCAGTTAATGAAACAAGGCACATGTAATTGACAAGACTGTACCAGAAAGGCACACTCTATCATTTTCAGATACAGTACATTGCATATGCCAGAATTTTATAAAAAGAAGAAAGCTTGAAGTAGGCAGAATCCACAAAAGAAAAAGGCATTAAAAAAATCTTCCTTTTTAGAAACATAAAGTAGCTTCTATACATTATGATTTTTAAATGTGCATGACATTTTTGTAAATGTATTTAAATAAGTGTTTACCTAAGCAAAAATATTCTCCAGTAGTTTTGGCTAAACGTTCTCCATTAACCATGTGTTTTATCTTTGGATTTTACAATCTGACAAAAAATTCCAGACTAGCCTGTTGTGTGCGCAGGTTTACTCAAGCAAAACCGCTACAGTCACCTGGGGCTGCTGAGTTCTCAGTACAGCTGGTTTGTTGTAAATCAATTACAGTCATTTCCTAAGGATTATAAATCGTACTTTAAGAATGTGCTTTTGTGTGTCTTAATTTAACTTTGGTGAAATTCCACTGGATTATGGAAACAGTGTAGGGTTTTATTATGAGCATAAGATGAGCCTTATTAAAAGACTGGGATATTTATTATTCAAGTCATGTCTACACCTCATTAGAAGCTGTATTATGAATAACTTACTCACATTCAACACTGATTTTATAACATCTGAAACCAAGCATCAGTACCAAGCACAAATGAGAGGAATAAATTTCTCCAATCCTTAGGTCATCCCGAAGAAACAAAATCATATGACAAGTACATGATTATTTTAAAAATGATTTTGGATAATGCCGTAACACTCAACCTCCCAAAACATTAAATGTGTTGGTTTCCTTAAAGACATATTTTAAAATGCCACATCTGTCTTGAATATGGCATACTAAAAAATTAGGATAATAAAATAGGGCTCTTAATATTTCACAAAGTTTGAAAATGATAGCACAGATATCCAGCCCCCAACCTATATTGCAGCACTTTTTGTAAACAGGAAAAAGGACACACTAAAAATTGATATGTTATAAAAAAAAATACTGACACAGTATTCAGTATGTACAAAAGAGCATGGACACTTATGTTCAGAGCAACCCTGGAGAACCTTTTGATTTTACAACCTGACAGGGGTATAAGAGGCAGAATGTTGAACAAAGAAATTACAGAGTACTGAGGGTCAGTAGTCATCTGCTTCACAGAGTTAAGTGCCAATATTTACAAAGAATCTCTGTTCCCTTCTTTCTCTTTAATCTATTGTCTTTTTGTAGCAAGGAATGTCTGAAAGGATGCCTGTTAAAGCAAATGAAATAGTCTTTTAGCTAGCATCCTTGACCTAAATTTCTTATCAAACCATCTTCATAAAGATGTTATTGCTGTTTGGTGGTCATTTTAATTGTACATCTTGTTCCAGGGCAAGATACATGCAAAATAATTATCTTTTAGGCTTTATCAGTGTGTCTTTAAAAAATAACTCCAGAAACTGATTATTTATTACAGACTTAAAGATTATCGTTAATGAATCCCGTTATATGCCAAGAGAATTTCATAGGTCAACACACCTAAGCAATCAATCTGACATTATTACATTTATAAACATAAAAATAAAATGCTGTGCAATTAGATTTACATGTTAAATGTAAAAGTAACATATTGAAATAAAATGTTGCAAATTTATATGATTTTAAAATATTTTTAAAATTACAAACTCTATAGATATACTTATTTTTTCCATTATCTGAGCTAAACTTCGTTCATATTCTGAATATATTTTAATCTCAACAATGAACAAGTGATAGTAACCTCACAAGCCTGTTCAATTTCCTTTGACCCAAGGATAAAGGGCTTGAGAAACTTGAATTCATTATTTTTCATGATCCATGGGAAGCCAAAAATAGCAGTAGAACAGTTTCAAATCCTCCTTAAAAGCAAGATATACCCATGGAAGCTATTCTCTAAGAGTAATTTAGGGACTTTTGCTAGGTCCATTTATTCTTTTGGGTTATTAAGAAATCAATTGGTAAGTAGTCACTGTAGTACAATAAAATTTTCTTTTACAACATTTTGTTAAATGTCAACATTTATATTAGTCTTCATCATTATGATCTTTCTCTTTCAGTATAAACTGTCAGAGAATTAATTATCAAAGAGCTCAATTTCACTCTTGGACCACAAATTCAAAGAACTGATTGTACTAACTCTGGAGGCAGAAATACTTAAAAATAGGATATTTTCTACATTGTTCAGTAATGCTTAAATATTTAAACTCTTTAGTGTTCTGTAGTCTTATATATATTACATATAATATATACTATTACATATTATATATACATGTATCTATAATACATATTATGTATAATGACCTATAATATACATCCTAAACATATTTTAAATATAAAGGAATTACATGGAATATTATGATTAAGAAATTTTCATTTTAAGAAATTTAATCTTTTCACAGTCAAGATTAAGATTGTACATGTGGAATTAAAACCATTAATGTATGTAGGATGTAGATTGGATAAACAATATTGGATTGTGTTTAATGTTACCAATAATTCCTTGACTTGCATTAGTACCCTTTGTCAGAATTCTACCCAAACCAGCCCTTGGCATGAGGACATAAATCTTTTCATAACTATTGGCTCCTTGCCCCCAAATACACACAATTGTTTACCCTTCATAATAGTATTAACTTCCATTTGTGAATTTTAGTCCTCATGTCTATGTTAATATTTATTGCTCCTTTGGGCTTATTTTCCTTCTTTAATTCTCTATGTTACTTTATAAGTTAGGCTCATTTTTGGCCCATTGTTTAATCACTTTATATCAGTACTTGCATTAAATTTTCTGTCTAATTGAACCCCTCTTGGCTTTACTTTTATCTGTGAAGATAGCAGTATCTAACTCTGCTAACCTATTTTTTCTTTTTTGGCATGCTTGTTCTTAGCAATCTTTTTATGTATATTTTTGTCTGCCTCTTGTTTTTTGTAAGTCTGAAAGTCTGAGCACCCTTTTTTTTTTTTTTTCTAACTATTACATTTGGATGCTGGACTTCCGAGACTTCCAGAAGTCTGTGAATTTCTGTTTTGCTTTTCAGTTTTCTTGTAGAACCAAATACATAAAAAATCAGGAATAAGCCTCAGTAGTCCACAGAAAGGAAGGGATAGAAAGGCCACAAAGTTCCTCTTCAAACAAAAGATGTGACTTAAAGTGCATGAGGTCAAGAAAATATATCGTAAAATATTTTCAACCATGTCTCCCTGAATTACCATGTGATTTTTTAAAAAATATAGAAATATGATGTACACAGGAAAAAGATTAAAATAAAGCCTATTGCAGAATATTCATGAGCATCACAAGTAATGTTACTGAATAATGAGCTGTGGGCAATTATGGAAAAAGTTGGCTACCTAGGTATAACCTCCATGTGCTTTCATTTACTTTGCTACCTATATATGGCAAAATGGATGGCATTCCAGTAATTGGACTCTAGTCATGCAAAGCAGAGCTGGAATTTTTCTTTCTCCAAAATATGTACTTCATTGGTTTTTGCAAATTCTATAAAATGTACATGGAAAACATTTTTCAAGAAAACAAAAGAAAATGAAAAATAGTAATCTTTCTATGGCTCACATCTATTCCCTTGAGGCAAATGTTAATACAACAGCTTCTCTTTAGTTCTTTGTGCTTACCATTATTTGCTTTGTATAGTGTCTATATATGCCTCTATTTCTTGATTTATCTGCCCTAGAAAATATACATTACCTCTCCTTTGGAAATAATTAAAAAATTAACTTACACGACTTCCTGTATTTCCCTCATTCTTCAACTTCTGACTTTTATTTTCTTCTATTGGCTTGCTTTATATTAAGCCATATGCTAATGCTTGATTTATTGACAGTATTTATGGACTTTCTTGCTATGAAATATGAGAGAATTAAAATACTATCCACTCGAATTTCTCCTCTGTATACTATGTGCACTTTTTGAAAATTTCATTATCACTTTTAAGATCAAGTCTTCTTACATTAAATTCTGCTTGTAAATGATATGAACATTGCATACTTTTTTTAACATGTTTTTTTTCTGTTTTTCTTTTTTTTTTTTTTTAAGTTGAAAACGAATATGGGCCAGGTGCGGTGGCTCATGCCTGTAATCCTACCACTTCAGGAGGCCAAGGCAGGTGGATCACCTGAGGTCAGGAGTTCGAGACCAGCTTGGCCAACATGGCAAAAACCCCTCCTCTGCTAAAAATACAAAAATTAGCCGGCGTGGTGGGCTTCTGTAATCCCAGCTACTTGGGAGGCTGAGGCAGGAGAATCGTTTGAACCCATGGGGCGGAGGTTGCAGTTAGCCTAGATCATGCCCCTTCACTTCAGCCTGGGTGAAAGAGCGAAATGCTGTCTCAAAAAAGAGAAAAAAAAGAGAATGAATATGATACATTTATAGTGTTATATGTAAGTATTATGCATTTTGCTTTAAGTTATGTAGAAGGTAGAATAATTCTGTGCTATTTCAATTTTGCCAAGGGTATTCTTATCATGCATTCAAGTCCATTGGATATTCCTCTAGTTAACTTCTAGCTTCCTTCACATTTGCTGAATTCTCAATTGCTATCATAATTTGTATTCCATGTTATCCTCAATTTTATATTATTTTCATATGCAGAAATATGTTAGGAATACAGTTAACAGCAAATGAGAAAAAAGTTACTAATTGTATATTAACCACATAGGGATATATCCATCTTTTTCATTAAAAATTTAGAGTTTGGAGTATATCTAGTAGTGGAATTACTGGATCATGTGGCAATGTTATGTTTAACTTTCTGAGAAAGTCAAACTGTTTCTCATAGTGGCTGTACCATTTTTACATTCCCACTAGCAGTGCCTGAGGGTTCCAATTTCTGCACATCCTTGCCAATACTTGTTATTTTTTGTTTTAAATGATGGCCTAGTGAGTATGAAGTGACATTTCATCATGGTTTTGACTTTCATGTGCTTGTTGATCATTAGTTTCTTGTTTGGAGAAATATTTATTCAAGTCCTTTCCTCATTTTTACATTTGGCTGATTGATTTTTGTTGTGGTTTTGCCAGTCCTATAGTTTTAAATCTTACTTTCAGGTTTATAATCCACATTGAATTAATTTTTGTGTGTGATGTGAGGTAGGAGTAGAAAGTCATTCTTTTGCATGTAGATACCCAATATCACTTACTGAAAAGACTTTTTCTCCCTTTGAATTGTCTTGGCAGTCTAGTTGAAAAATCAGTGATTATAAATGTTAGGGTTTATTTCTGGAATTTCAATTTTATTCTATCGATCTATATGGCTAACCATATGCCAGTACCACACTGTCTTGATTAGTGTAGCTTTGCAATAAGTTTTGAAATCAGGACATGTGAACACACAAACTTTGCTCTTCTTTTTAAAGATTTCTCTGGGTCCTGTATTTCCAAATGAATTTTATAATAAGCCTGCCAATTTCGTCGCTTTATTTGACCATGATTTTTTTCCTATTTTATTTTATTTATTTCATTTGTTTGCTTTCTCTTTCTGGAATCTCTATTAGGTAGACTCTGTATTGCTAACTAATTAATGTTAAATGTCTGCTGACATTTTCCTTCTCGCATTCTCTATCCCTTTGCTTTTTTTTCCATGTTTTGGAAAAATCCCTTCTCTTAGTGTTTTGGGTTTCTATTTCACCCTTCTACTTTTTCTATTATGCTATTGAATAGCATACAATTTTCAAAAATATTGCAGTGAAAATTTTAATTTATAAGATTTATGATTGGTTCTCTTGCTTTTAGCATATAGGTTTATATGTTCTGTTAATTGTCCCCTCAACCAGGAATTTCTTTGCTAGTTTAACTTGGTGTCTTTCTTTTGCAGTAATTTTTTAGACTTTTTGCCTAAAAATTTGGTTGTTCTTGTTTTGGGAGCTGAAAGTCTCATATTTTTAGAACTCCTATATTATTCTCTGTGGATGTAGTTTCTGAGGACAGGATCTAGCCTTTGTTTATTTTTCTGGAAAAGTATTTGGTTGTTTGTGCCATTGTTTTCTCCTTAGCTTTGGTCTTTTGTCGTATCCTGGGGGGCGGGGGGAGGGGGAGGTTCAGTAGCTCCCTAGGGAAATGCTCAATGTCAAGATTTCCTCACTGTCATATCCAGCCTGTGATAGCTAATATTGTTGTCCACTCCACTGCTCCACTAGCACAGAAAAAGGGAAGACCAATCCAATAGCTCTGACCATGGATGCTCTGTCAGTTGTCAAATATTTGCCTAATTGGCCATTTCTACTCATTTTCTTCATTACCTGTGATCCTAGATAGCTTCCACTGCTCTACCAGTCTTCTGAGCCCATATGTCAATCAGACTGCATCTGATTTCTAGCTCTCAGAATTTCTTATCATTTCTAGCTCATCAGTGGATATTTTTTCTTATAGTCAACTCCATTATGTTTTAATTATATTGAAAGACTTTTTATTAGGTTTTAGGTGAGGAGTTATATAAATGGGAGATAAGTCTTCTCAGTTCCCCATTTTGTTACAAATTTTTCACACAAATATTTTAAAACATATTAGACACTGATAGTTTTCTAGTAGGAAACTATTATATGTATATCTATGAATGTATGAAGTTTATATTTTTCATGTTTATAAATTCCTATATCCTACTATAGGAATGAATATTATCTATGTGCCTAACTGTGTATTTATGTGTTTGTGCCTGTGTGTGTGTGTGTGTGTGTGTGTGTGTGTGTGTATGAGAGATGGAAAAAACACATTTACACCTTGGTCATCATGTTTAAACTGTCATGCCTGGATATAACTATTATATTTAAGATATTTACACTTAAATGTCTTATATGCAAATATTTATATCAAGTTACACATATGATATTCAAAGTAATAAAAGAACAAAATAAAAGGGAAAAAATAAGAGCAAAAAAGAGTTTTCTCAAGAGACACATCCACTTCAGAGTAGAAGAGAAAAGATAAAGTTAAGGGGAAAAAAATAGAAATTCATCTTTTTGGCTCCATGTATTTCAAACACTACTCAGGTTAAATATAGATGTCTTTTTGAATATGACAACATTTTCACATTTTTTATAAATGTTGATGTTTCCCCTGCTATATCTAGGTGACTGTATTTCTATACATTTGTACTTTCTGTTATATACTTTCATCTGAGTTGTAAATTTTAAAAATCTGTGCTCTCTTTCTTAGAATTATTTTCATCCTCAATTATCTGAAGCTCTTTCCATGGGAAGATGACCCTGTCTAAGAAAGTTCAGTTCTTGTGTAATAAATAACACATAACTACACTCAAGAAACTAATATTTAAATTTGTTTAAAATATCTTTAAAATGTTTAAGGAGAAAAGGATTTATTTTTTAAAAAACTCTTTAACAGAAGGTCAAGTTATAAACAAAAACTGCTAGAAGGCTCATCCCTGGGAGGTTATTTCTATCTAAATAATATAGTGATTGAAGACAGAAATATCAGGTAGAGTAAAATTATATTAAGTTTAGTTGCCACAAAAATCATTTTTTATTGGATAGATATTATCATCAGACATGATAAAAACTTCATTGATCACCGTCTGGCACATTTTCTCCTTTATTTCCCATGAAAGGAAGAGCAAATGAGAAAACTAAAAGGGCATTTCAGAAGTGAGTCACATAATTCATAGAAATCCACATATCAAGAAAGTCAGTGTACTCTCTGGAGACAAATGGTTAGAAGCTTCAGCAACAATTGTGAGTTGCATTGATAGAGTTCTCCAGAGATAAGCCTTTTCTTTATAAATAGAAGGCTAAGAGGTAAGCTTTTCGGTTCTGTTCTGCAAGCTCCAAGTGACCAGAACATACCACATATCTATAGATTTTTAAAAGTAGGAAAAGATCCAAGACTTGTGATATCTGGGCATTAAAGCTTAAGCGACAGAGATCTCAGTTCAGAGCAAAGGAGTTCAGTTCAGAGAAAAATATTTATAAATAAACTAAAAGAAGTAAGGTTTAATATAAACCTTCTCATTATAATTGTAAAGATCTTTATATATTTTACTCTTGCTGTCCTTTAGTGCCTATGTTTCATATATAGTAACTGAAATTCATACTCTTCATGGAATTTCAAACTATGTGTCAGGCAGGTGCTATGATAAATGCAGAAGATAGACATGATTATTGTATCAATGGAATTAACAGTCAGTTCCGACTGTTGTATTAATCAACTAACTAAAAAATAGACTAATAAAATTCACAATAAGGAAAGCACATGGTATGACAGGAACAGAAGACAGGGGTGCGTCACTGAGTCTGGGAGTGAGGTGAAATTCAGAAAGAGTTTCTTAAGGGAAATCATTAGTAAATAAGTGAATGAAGAAGAGGAGTTTGCCAGATAGAGAAAAAGTTGGGAGAGGTAGAAAGAGAAGGTATGTTGTTTCAAATAAGAAAAACAGTATATGCAAAGTCTTTAAGAAGAGCATTACATGTTGAAAAGCTTATAAGAAGTTAGTTATGAATGGACAAGAGGGTGTGAGGCAGGAAAGAACAGTAGCAAAAGTAGAAGCTACACAAGGCCAGGTAATAAAGGGGTTCATGATCATCCTAGGGTATTTAAACTTGATCCTAAGGGAACTTACTTTATTTAGAGTACTGTCATTACTATGTTTATGTTTCAGAAAGATCACTCTGACTGCTACATGGAAAATGTGCTGGGGAGAAACAAGACTGCAGGAAATAAGAGCAGTGAACAAGCTCTTGCTGTAATTCAAGTCAGGTATGATGATATGATGGTGTCTCAGATTGGGGTAGTAGCAACATGGGTGAAACTATTTGGACACAGTCAGGAAATAGAAGATAAGACTCCAGAGGATTTAATAATTCATTACATGTGGGAGAGTTGAACAAAGAAAAAGCAGGCAATCATGGCACCTAGGTTCCTGACCAAGGCAACTAGAAGAATGGTGAGGCAATTCACTAAGTTTGGAACCATTAAGTACAATTGGATAAATTGCACAATTCCATGTTGCCATAGATTGGCTTATTACCTCCATTCTAGAAAGAAGGACATTCAGACTTAGAGAATTCAAAGGACTTGCATAACATCCCTAGTTACTAAATGGTATGTTACATCTCAATCTTAGTTCTCTAATGTCCATGTATGTATTTAGTAAGTATGATATTTTTACTTTCCATTATTTGGATCTGAAATTATCTTAACTATTTCATTTACTCATTTAATTTCAGTATGGATTGTTTGCATTTATAATGGGTAAGCACTGAGAATTGAAGTCAGCATGGTCCAGTCCCTGTCCTCAAGGAGCTTTCAGTCTCAATTCCTGATTTGCAAAGCAAGTAGTACCTAGGAAGGAATAAACTGTCTGACTGATACATGCCTTATAACCACATAGCTATTTAGTGGCAAACATTAAGTTCTAATGTGCTGTCTAGGAAGCAATGTTAAATTTCAGTCTCACCTATTTTCTTTTTCCCATCCTGTTGGGATTTAAAAAAATACAGGAAAAATGGGTATTGTGGCACAGTGAACTTTTTGTCTTTATTTATTTCCACCCCACCACCCCTGCCGAGAACTTAAATGTTTTGCTCAGTGCATTACCATACCATTTTAAAACTACATTTCCTAGCCCATCTTTCAGCTAGATATGGCCATGAGACTCAGTTCTGGACAACGGGAAACAATAAGAGCTGTCCTGTGGGACTTCTAAGATATCTGAAAGAGAGGAACTTACACATTTCTCCACCTTTTCCTTTCTCCTGCTTCCTGGAGTGCAGGTGTAGAAGCTGGAGCTGGAGCAGCCATTCTGAACTATGTCGGTAAGGGCGGTACTCCCATGGTGGCTTGGAAGTGAGCTGGAGGGCACCAAGGTGCATGATGATATCATGGGGTTCCCATAGATACCCAGGATCACGAACATCAGATTTCATTTTCATGAGACAGAAATAAATTCCTGCTTGGTTCAAGATACATATCATAAAAGGAAAAAAAAAAAAAAGAAGTCCTGACGAAGATGCCATTTATTTTCTAGAAAATCTACCTGGAAATAAAAAGTTGACTCACCGATTCACACCATTTCCATTGTAAGTAAGACGATATCACTGTATTTATCATTAAGCATTTTTTTACTTGCTTTATTTCAGAAAAATAGGGTTTGTTCATTTTTTTCTCACATGCTAACAGAAGATTATATTTACTGTAACTATATATCTGAAACCAAATAGGAATATATTTCTCTCCCATATGTATTAGGTAGCCAAACCTATGTGTAACATCCTCCCAAACAGCAAACCAGAGAATCAGCAATTGTCTCAAGACCTTTTCTGAGTCAAGTAAATCTTGGCTAAGGGATTGTCCTTGCACTCGTTAAGAGGACATGCCCAAGATAAACATTACTCTCAGATTTTTGTTATACAAGTGAAGAACCAGGAGCAGGAAATTACTTCTCCAATTAGAAAATTCACAGGCAGTGGAAAAAGGTTGCATTATTCTGTCTCCCAATATACTCAGAGAAGCAAGTTATTTGTGAGGTGATAAACTTACATGTTAATGCGCTGAGGGAAAGGGGAGTAGTGATGTGCCCCAAGGGCAGTAAATCCCAGTATACACATGAGAAAAGAAAGCAAAATGCTCTTCACAAATCTCTCCCCATCAGCTGAAGATAGACCCCTCTTAGCCCAAGGCTAGAAATTGATCACCTAGCTCCAATAATTCAATTATGTGCTCTATATACCTTATCCTACCTGTGCCTTTATCAGCTAATCTAAATTGGTTGAATTTATAAATTTGCCATATAAGTACTTTGGCTTGGTTTTTTCATCTCAGGTACTACTCTGTTCAGACGTAATCTCTATTTCTTTATAAGAAAATTATATATAAGGAAAAGTCTTAATATTTATTTGAAACTGAACACTTATAATTAAGTGTTCATTTTAATTAAGTTAATTTGAACTTTCAAAAAAACTATGAATTTATTTTAAAACAAAACTTCTGCCTTTATAGAATGACAGAAAAAACAAAAGCATAGTGGCTTTCCCAAATCACAGCTTATTTTAATACACCAAATTTGATAATAAAACATGGCAGTGTGCCTACACTTAATACACATGGCAATGTATATTACACTTGTAATATAAGTGAAGATATATTACAAATGATGTTTTCTACTTTACTATGTATTTTAGAGGGTGAGTATAAAAATTGATTTATGATTAACATCATAAGTTCTGTATCAATTACAATCACATGTGTATGGCATAAGAATTAACTTTACACCGTTACTGAGAGGAAAATAAATTGTTGATAAAACAGGTAATCACTCAAAACTCAGGACCTCCAACAGGTAATTGATCTGCAGCTTTATATTCTTTGTTCTTATGAGAATAATTGTCCAGAAATGACAAACGTTGCCAACCATTTTTTTTCTTGACAATATAATTGTGAAATAGCCAATTAGACTTAGAGTTTCAGATCAATATTTTGATAGCTTTTTGAGATGAAGCATTCTTTTGATGGTGGTCAAAATTAAGGGCTACATTAAGGAGAAGATTTTTCAATAAGTGATTTAGTGCTGCGTCTAGCACACAGTGTAATTAATAATATGTCTATAACACTGCCAGAGAATTAAGTGGAATTTACTAACAAATGCTGCTACGCTTTCACTTCTACTTTGATAATTTACTTTACATTAATATAAATGAGGTAAAATTAACACCAGCTCAAAGTATAGCAGCCCATTTAATTTGGTCGAATATTTCTCAACTGCTTTCAAGTGATACATTTGGTTTCAAGGGTAATAAAATCAGACCATTTATCATTTTTCATTTAAAATACATAATTTTGTATATACATTTGCATTTAAAATTCGTTTTTACTGTTCTTTCAGATACAAGACAAAAACATCTTAAGATATTTTAAAATTTAATTATTAGTCAAAACTTTTGTCTTGTACAATAAAAGAAAAATAAAAAGAATTCCTGAGTAAAATGCTATTTATTTTATAGAAAACCTACCTGAAAATAGAGTTGATTTATCTATTTTCATTGTAACTAAGAGTATGTCACTGTAATTATCATTAAGCATTTTTTACTTGCTTTGTATCAGAAAAAGAGTTTGTTCGTGTTTTCTCTAATGTGCTGACAGAAGATTATATTTACTGTAAATGGGGCCCATTACTCCACATCAGAAGTTACTCAAAAGAAAGGAAACATCTTTCTAAAAACCTTTACTTAAAGAGGGACAGACCACAAAATATTCACCCCACACACAAAAAAAGTGAAAACAAAAATCACTGAGGTATCTATTTTACTATTTATTTATTTTCTTTTTGTAGAGACAGGGTCTCACTATATTGGCCGGGTTGATTTCAAACTCCTGACCTCAAGCAATCCCCCTGCCTTGGCCTCCCAAAGTGCTGGGATTACAGGCTTGAGCCACCATGCCCAGCCAAGATGACTATTTAAAAGCCGTGGTTTAGAAAGCAGAAAACATATGGTTGAATTTATGAGAAAAAAGAATGCATGATATTATTACTTAAAGGAGTGATAAGTATGGCTAAAGGTGGTTAGGAATTCTGTGGTAGAGGTGAGTTTTGTAATGAACACATGTTCTGATCCTGGTCACAGCAGTAGGCAAAGTGTCATAGTAAATAAAGGGCTTAAGGCAAAACTTTCCAAAGCACAGTCCTGTGTTTTTTTTAAAGTGTTTCTAAATTACAAAAAAAAAAAAAAATACAAAAAGAAATTAAAGGCATACATTGCATTTCTCTGGGGGAGCTAGAATTAAGCAGCCTTGTACAGTTAGACATGAAAATGTATGGTGACATTATGTTTTGTCTGCACTTTACTATTTGCATTTCTAGAACAGCTAACGTCTAAATGTTCAACAAAAATTGATGTGTATTGACTTTGATTCACAATTTTAGAAGGAAGAATGAAGGGAAAATTGTCAATACCGAGACAGGCAATCTTTTTGGAGGCATTCATTTCCACTGCTCAATTTTTCTGGCATAAGGTCCACATGACAGTGTTTGGGTGGAAGGTATGCTTTATACAACAAATCGCTAAGAAGGCAGACATTGTTCTCAGGAAAGGAGAATGTGTGATATAGATGGCAGGCAGATACCAAATGGATGGTTTACACTCTCTTCTCCTGATTATACATTTGTCCCTCAGAGGCATTCTGATCTCCTTCCTTGTGCTGTGTGGAAAGGCATGTGTGCATTGTGCCTGGCTTATATTTGCTTCTAACAGAGAAGCAAAGGCAGTCTCAGAGGACAGGAAAAGAAAATAACTGGGAGGGGATCTCTTTGTTTCCCTTTGATTTAACTCTGGAACCCGTTACTTTTGGCTGCAGCCCTAAGACTGTGATTCTAGCCTGGCTGGCGCATACTGGCTGCTGGCAGTGCGAAACATTGCTTTATGAAGTTCCCAAATAACATGAAAGGTTCCAGTGTTCTCACCTGTGTGTGACCTAGAAGGTGGGTTCAAATATTTTTAACAGTTCTCTGTCAACTCTTGGAATTCATGGTTTGATTTTTGTTTTGTTTCCATTAAATGGAAGAAAGAGACCACATTTCATCCATAAAAATTTAGGCTTCATTTCAAGCTGAACCCCCTGAGGTAATTTTAAAATTCTATGCTATATTTTAAAGCCATGGTCACAAAATAATAATAACAAAACTACTTTGTATAAAAGTTGTCACAGATTAAAAAAGCCAAAACTCCTTTCCCATAAAAGGTTTAAGCTGCTTCTCTCCATTGCTCCCCTTCCCTATCACTATTAGGAGGATGTTATTACAAACATGAAAACTGAATTCCCTTCTGCCTGACAGGTAGCTCCTAGGTCCCTAAATGTTGCCTAGACTCTGGGCCTTCCATTTGTTTTTTTAACCCTGTCTAGAACACTGACCCTGGCTGATGCTATGACACTTTTATTTGTTCTTATTTCAGGCAGTGAGATTAATGACAGGATTCTATTATAATAACGTTGATATTAAGATGACAAGGACTTTGACTACAGTACTGTCAGCAGAAATGAAGGGAATGTTTAAAGGCTTTTTTATGAAAAGGGATTGACAAACCCTTATAATCCTCAATGCAGGGAGGGGAGGACTTAAACCTTTCAAGCATGGCTTCTTTGGGAAAAAAACATAACTGGCAACAATAAGGAAGTCAAAGGAGGAGCCAAATGGAAGAGGAAAATGAGCTTTTTAAGACTTTTTTACATGGCCAGTTAAAGTTGTATTGAAATATCTAAGTCAGGGTCTCCATGAGGTAGTTGGGTTTGTAACTTAGGACTGGAGCTGTAGAAAAGAAATATGTAAGGATTGCATGGCACAATTGTGGATGTAATGAGACTTCATTCATGAGAGGCAGGGAAAGAGAAAAGCAGCAGGCCAGAACCTGACCCTTGGGATTTGCAGGGCAAGGAGAGGAACTAGAGGAGGGAGCAAAAGGGTCATGTGAGGGATGGGAGAAGGCCAGGGTGATTTCTCCTTACCTCCTGAAAGATGATAACAAGCTAAAAGTAGAAGTGGTATTTTTATTCTCCTGGTTTTTCTACCTTATCTATAAAATAAGATATTCCCATGGATGTTGTTTCTCTTCAGAACGTACCTCAGGATGACAAAGTAATGGCGAGGAAGGAAATTTGCTTGATTGAGCAATTTTTTTTCTGAGTCATCAAGTACTATGTGTATATATATTGTGGCAGCCATGGAAATATGCTACTCAAATCTCCTTCAAGACAACTACTTTGAGGAGCAGATTGGCAGCCCCAGCTGCTTCCTCTCTAGATCCACCACTGCACTGAAGCCAGTGTTCCCTGGGCTGTTCCCAGTGAGGGTACTTGCAGACCATTCTTACTTAACACTATTTACCAGGCAGATTTTGCTTAGAGACTCCCATTGACCTGATCAAGATTACCTCAGAACTGCTTTGCTATCTGGGGCTCTTCTGACCCTATCCCTCCAGCTGTTATTCCTTAAGCCTGCATTGAACCCACTCTTGATGGCTACTCCTATTTGCTTCCCCTTCACAGGCATTTCTCCTAATGCACACCTCTTAGTATCTGCTTCTCAGAAGCTTCAAACTCTTACATACCAACTTAAGTTTAATGTTGACCTGGAGAGCTCTGATAAATCTCATCCCTCAGAAATAAGAGCCAAACCTCTAAAACATTTTTTTGTGATTTGTTTCCTCAAGATTTTAAGACTTAAATATATCCTGTTTGGAGTCAGATCTGTGGAGATGATACATAAAGCCATTGTGAGAATTACACAAAATGATGGTTTATGTATCATTCCCTACAATTTTTCTTGAGGAGACTCAAAAAGGTTAATAACTCACTCCAAATCACCTTGACACTGAGAGGAAGTGTCAGAATTAAAACTCAGTGGACATCATTGGTGGAAAAGATCCAAGATTTTCCACTGAAACAGAAAATCATATTCTGGCTTATGAAGCATTGGGTAAATCCCTAAATGTTTCATTCATTTTTCATCAGGTAGTGAGAGGCTCTGTCCTTGGTGCTGAATTGCAAAAAAAATTACAGAGTATTATTCTTCTTATGGAGCTTATAGTCTGGTGGGAAAAACAGTTAATAAATAAATGACATGACTTCAGCTCCTTTATTCTATTTAAAACAAAACAAAATGTAAGTAATATCTATGGTTTCACTGACTCCTACTAACTAAATATAGAAAAAATTTCATTAACTTCTGAAGAATTTTATCTGAAAGAGATACTCTCGAAGTCTGTGGAAAACATCACAACTAATTGCATAACACTGAACACATTTCCATTGAATATTAGAAAGAGAAAAACGTAAAAGAAGACCTGGGTAAGTGAAAATTAATACTTTAAAAAATCAGGGCCAGGCGCAGTGGCTCACGCCTGTAATCCCAGCACTTTGGGAGGCCAAGGCGGGCAGATCACGAGGTCAGGAGATCGAGATCATCCTGGTTAACATGGTGAAACCCCGTCTCTACTAAAAATACAAAAAATTAACCAGGCGTGGTGGCGGGCGACTGTAGTCCCAGCTACTCGGGAGGCTGAGGCAGTAGAATGGTGTGAACCCGGGAGGCGGAGCTTGCAGTGAGCCGAGATCGCACCACTGCACTCCAGCCTGGGCGACAGAACGTGACTCCGTCTCAAGACAAAAATAAATAAAATAAAAATAAAAATAAAATAAAACAAAATAAAAATCAGCCTGTTGCCTGGCAAGAGTGACACCATCCTGAAGCAAAACCATCAAGATAACCAATGTTTGACCTCTACATATCAAGGTGTTCTGCAGCAAGGCCCTAAAACGATGCTTGTAACATAGATAATCCCTCATAAAGATGCTTATCTAACCTCCCTAGTGGTCATGAGTTTTAGCAAGAAAGTCTCAGATGTGACCAGCTGCACATGTTTTACCCCAAAAGCTTGCTATATAAAGGATCTTTTCTGGAGGGCATGTGAAGGAATCCACCATCTTGTGGCCACCCCAGATATCACTTCATTTGTAATTCCCTACTAAATATTTTCTGTCTGAGAAACTGGATCTGTCAGGCTCCTTCTTTGACATCTCATCTCCTTTGGCCTTTTGAGGTAGGCTTTCATATACTTGCTCACCCTGAATTCTTTGCAAGCTAGCCAGGAACTGAGAAACCAAGAAATAAGTAAATTGACTAAAGAATCTGTAGGGAAAATATCAGTATGGCTAGCCATGTCTCTGTGGGGTGGTGTGGCATGTCTGTTAGACACTTGGGGACCTCCACATTAGTACCCTGAAAATGCTGGTTGGCGAAGAGCAGTTATTACTTCAAAGCTACATATCACACTGCAGTAAGGAAGGGTGGCTGGTAGCCACTGCAGTGGGTTGGCCACTTCTGTAGGCCATTCATTTGGTAACAGAGGCCTACCTAGTAGCAGAAACAAAAATTAAACAGCTAAAGGAAGAATTGCCGCTAGAAAGGCATGTGCATTTCCACTTCTCTCCTTGCATCCAACTTAGTGGACAAAATTGAAGACCAGGAGACAAAAATTGAAATGTTAGCATGTAGATTTGCCCACCTAGGAGAAAATAAATGGAAATGACCAAAATTCAGAGCTATCATACCTGAGCCAGATTGAAACATGAAAACTTGGAATCCCTGAGAATGTTTTGGAGAGGAAGACTGATGACATAGAAGGGGGACAAGAATCATTGGCAAGCTCACTCTCTAATGCAGAGGAAAGCAAAAGCTCAACAACTGCAGCAAAAGGGGAACAAGTGATATAGGAGACTCTCTTGGAGAATGAAAAGACCTTTAAACAACTACTCAGGGAACCCCTGACAGCTTGGATGGTCTGACTGTGGGACACAGGAGGTGATGATGTTTCCTTAGCCAAGAATTAAGCAGAAAAATAATGAGTAAAATCACCACCTGCTCAGCTCTGTGGCAACACCTTCATAATGCAAGGGAATTATAAACTTATGGACTGGATCATTGTAGCTGTGAGAGAGGCTTGCCTAATGAAGGAGGTTTACCAGGAGGGACAACCTCTTGGCAGTTAATCAAAAAGGCCCAGGGGCCTCTCAAAGGATTAAGAATGAGACAAGCTATCTATGCTCAGGTTTTTGCAGGATCTGATAAGGAAGTTGTTACTGCCAGTATTAAAAACTAATTGCTACAGGGTGCACCAAGAGAATGGCATGGCCATTTGCTGTCTTTGTTGAATCTTATAGTGGAGCAAGATGTAAATGATGTGGGAGAAGCCATCATAGATTTGGGAGAAACCAAGAAAGTCAGAGACAGAGTATTCCTAGTAATCTGACAAAGGCTAACGTATGGTAAGAAGAAAACTCCACAGAAAGAAGGAGAAAAAAGGGGAAAGGCACCAATAAAGGTCTCATGTAAGCAAATGTAGTATGATTTATTGGAAGCAGGAACAACACTCTGAGGAGAAATAGACAATCTAATGTTATATTAGCAGCTTTATGGAGGGAACTACAGCATGAACAGTAGTTTTGTTCTTTCCCTTTTGCCCTTCTGGTAGAAGGGAAAGACAACTCCACTCCTAGTTCTAAGGCCCTGGCCTTTCAGGGGTGGCCCCCATCTGGCCCAGCGATTAGGAGTGAGGCCAAGGTCAAACCCACATGCCAGCAACAGAGGGGCAATCAGAAGCCCCATACTGAGCTCACCATTTACTTGTACCCCTACATACAGAGAAGACTATTGCCTTAGTAGATACTGGGGCAGAATGTACTTTAATACATGGAAATCCACAAGGACACCCTAGTCAGTGGTCTACCATTGATGGTTATGGGGGTGAGGGGAAATGATCTAAGTAAAAAGAACTTTAATACATTTAGTTATTGAAAAGGCTTCTCTTGCCCTATATATGGTGTTTATTTCCTCTATTCCAGAAAACACTATAGTCATGGATATTCTATTATGAAAGACTTTGCAAACTTCAGTGGGTTAATTCAGATTGAAGGTGCATGTAGTAAAGGCTACTCTCAGTGGAGAGGCAAAATGGTTACCTGTACAACTCCCTGTCCCTAGGCAGGTTGTCAATGTCAAACAATGCAAATTGACTGGGTGTGTGTTGGGGGGGAGGTGGGGCATGCTGAAATAAGTGCAACTATTGAGGAATTGGCAAAGGTGCATATTATCCTTGCAGCTCAAAGCCTGTTTAACAGCCTCGTCTGGCCTGTACACAAACCAGGTGCAAACCAGAAAGTACCTGGTAGATGACTGTGAATTAATGGAACTGAATAAGGTAACCCTGGCCATATGTGCTGTAGTTCCTAATATTACTTAGTTAGTCAAACACACAGTGTCTGTGCTGGAGACTTTATGCTCTCTTAGATTTGGCTAATGCATTTTTCAGCATTTCTTTCTCTGAACAATCACAAGATTAATTTGCTTTTACCTGGTAAGGTCTGCAGTAGAGCTTTCAAGTGTTTTCCCAGGGATATCTTCACAGGCCTACTATTTATCATGGAATGATGGCTAGATAATTTTCTTTGTTCTCATTCCTGTCTTCTCTTTCTTAGTTTCATTATATTGATGACATTATGTTAACCTTAGAAAATTTTAATGTGTTACAGGAAAATCTTACAGCATTGTGTACTCTTTTGTAGGAACAAGGGTAACCAATCAACCCTTGGAAGATCCAGGGCCCAGACTGAAATTTTTAGGGGTTGCGTGGTTGGGTAAGACTCATTTTACATGAGGTATATTAATTGACAAAGTCCAGCAATTTCCAACTCTAAAAGCAGTAAAAGAAATCCAAACATTTGTGGCATTTTTGGGTTATTGGAAAGCATTCATCTCACATTTAGCCTAGTGTTTGAGACCATTATATAGACTTATGATAAAAGGGAAATATTGAGCTTGTGGCACACCTCAGCAAGAAGCTTTGAACAAGCTAAAGTGCTAGTATGGCAGGCATAAGCCTTAGGTGCCACTTTAGAGGGAATAGCTAGGACTTTGGATGTGACTGCTACTCCTGAGGTGTGAGCTGGGCCTATGGTAACCACAGAATGGTAGGTCAGTTCCTTTAGGATTTTGGTCACAATTATGGAAAGGAGCCAAAACCAAATGCTCTCCCATTGAACATTAAGTGCCAGTAGTATATAGTGCTTTACAGCAAGTGGAGCCATTGACAAAGACCTTTCCTGTGATTGTGAGAACAGGTCTACCAATCAAGGGATAGACAGAAGGACTGTTTAAACAATTAACCTCCACTGTAGCCCAAACACCAATCTTGAATAAATGGCATGCCTATTTGCAACAGTGAAGAGTTTTGGCAACGAGTTCCTTAAGCTCAGACTCTCATTCTGCATTAGGCCCTGTTACATTTGAGCAAACAAAGGACTCCCCTTTAGCTCCTCCTACTCTAATGCCTGATATAGTAAGAAAAAATTGTTACCCATCTGGACAATGCTTGGTATATGGATGGCTCCAGTAGAGGAAGCCACGTTACTTGGACTGCTATTGCTATACAACCACAAACTGATAAAATCTGGCTTGATACAGATACGCATCAGAGTAGTCAGTGGGCAGAGTTGAGAGCTGCTTGGTTAGTAATCACACATGAGCCCTGGCACCTGGTTCTTTGCACTGGTAGCTTAGCTATATTCAAAGTTCTAACTATGTAGTTAGCCCAAATGTAACAAGAAAAGTGGATGGGATGATTATGCGCAAGCCTGGATGGAGCATGAACATGTGGCAAGATATATGGGAGAAGCTGCAACACCTGCAGTTGATTTAATTGTATTTCATTTGGCTGCAGGAAAAAAAAAAAAAGACTCAAATCCAAGAGATATGAAGCTGACATTCTAACAAAAATCAGAAGCATTATGCTGACTCAGGCTGCTAATGTAGTGACCTGGGTACATAACAAAAGTGATCATAGAAATGCAAGAGTAGGCTGAGAGATAGCCAAGGAGGGGCAGGAGTGGCCTTAAAATATAGTGACCCCCTAGCAGCTGTTACAAACTGTTTACCATGTTCTTGATTGTATCCATGGCATATACCATAACAAGCAGGAAACATTTGTAGGGCTATCCACCCTGTAACCAATTGGAAAGTAGATTACATAGGACCTCCAAGGAAAGAAATATGTGTTAAACTGTGCAAACACTGCTATTGGGAGTGATACAAGGTTTTTCTTGTAAGCTAATCAAGCCAGTACTACTAAAGGTTTAGAGGCTTTCAGTACTATGTATTGATATCCCCAGCACACTGACAGTGACCAAGGGACCCCTTTTGCTAGATGTGATATGCATGACTGGGCAAGGGAACACAGTATAGCATGGCACTTTCATTTACCACATAACCCCTAAGCAGCAGGGGTAATTGAAGGAAAAATGGTCTGTTGAAAGCACAAATGTGGACCTTACTGGGGAAACCTTCCTGCCCAGGTAGATGTATATGTTATCCGCAGCCTTTACTTTTAAAATTTAGCCAAAGGAGGGGGCACCTGCCCCATATGACCTGTTGGGACAACTGCTTCCCCCGCCCCCCAGCCTATCACTGTTCTCTACGGGTGACTGAGGCAACTGTTCTTCCCCCAGACCTGGTTGACAACCAACATGTTTTGCACATGAAGACACCAGTGAACATACTACCAGGGAAGGGGACACTCCTCTGGGGCTTGGGATGACAAATACCCCCAGGCTGTATAGGCTATTTCCTTCCAGAGAGTGGAGAACATGCTGGATAGTAGGAGCTATTGAGCCTATGGATAATAGACCTTATTGAGCCTACTGAATAATAGACCCACGATCATCCACTTTAAATGGTCAGCAGAAATATATATACCCTGTGGCATGGTGGTGGGTTCTCTAATATGGTGTACTCTTGACCAAATTACTTTGACAACCACTGCTGACAGGTCATCCCCTGGGCAACATATATGGTATGTTGCAAAAGCCAAGAGCTACTTCTTTGATAACTACCCTTAATAAACAACTAGTATATTCCTAACAGATGGAGGAGATCTTCCCTTGGAAATACTTAAGTTTCTTGCTTTTTGTCCTTAGTTATTTTCTGTGGCTATTATCATCAGCCAACACCTATGAAGCAAACCTTTTCCTATAATGGGTCCAAGACTATGCTGATGGCTAGTCTTGTCAATCATCTGTCAGATATGTGGCCTCATGCCATTCACTGGTGTTTCTAGCTTGCTGTGGTGGATATCTCCCTTCCAAGGATGAGGTTGGATAGAATATCAGGAATATGTCACTGCTTCTCAAAATTACGTGATGGTATTACAAATATGACCAGAGATAAAATAGCTCAATGGCCCATTAATAATACCCTTTCTGAAAAGGGACATGGGAAGCATTTTTCTTTCAGTGAAACTATTTAACTTGCTCTCCAACTGGCAACAACCCAATTGAAAGGACAAAACGACCCATTACTGTGATGTCAGGACCCAATTATAGGATGGGTTTATTTGGCTAACTCCGTCTTTTGGCCAGCTTAGTAAAGTTGTCCCCCCACCCACCACCATGTTGGGAACAAAAGAATCATTCTAAATATACTTGGCCAAATAGCACAAGGAATATGAAATGGATATCAAGAGACTGATGTTTATATGGGAAAATATTACCAAGTACTGACTGGCATGGTACAGAATGAGCAATGCATCCAGAAACATATTGGTTGGCCTCAAACAAAACTTCTTGGATATGTGGCACCAAGTTATGGCCTTGGTTACTCCCTGGATGGTCAGGAAGATATTCTTTGTTTATACATGGGCATAAGGCCAAATAGTTGCTATTCTTACAAAGCCTAAAAATCTCTTTCATTTGAAGTCCCACTGGGCCTAATCTGTTTTCCATTGGTGTAATCGTATGGCCTCTATTTTTATTTTTCAGTTGGGCATCAAATATGTTATTTGGCATGTGGAAGCTCTAACAGTTTATACAAATAAAGCCTTGAATGATAGCCACATGGGAACATCTTTTTTAAACATGGAAGTTACTCTCATGAGAAAGCCTGTCCTCCAAAATTGCATATCTTCAGACATACCCATTAATGCCCAATGGGGGACTTGTGTGATCATAAAAATTGAATGTTGTGTTTGTATTCCTGATAAATCAGACTGACAGTGACTGATATGAAAACCCCAAAATCCAGTCTTTCAGATTGAATGCCCACTTTGAATGAATAGCTTCATAGCTGGTTTGGGTCCTGGGGCACCTGTTGCCAGAAGCTGCTTCTCCTATTAGGTATTACACTCATATGTTGTTTACTGTCCTGTTTTTGTCTTTAGCATTGCTGCAGCATTTGTTTCCAATGGAGCCAATAGGTTGTTGCTAAAGCTGTACGATATCAAGAACTCTCCCTCTAGGCCCAGGTACTATCATGAAAGAGGCGGGAGCATGAGAATGTAAGGGCCAGTTTTGAGGCGTGGAATGTATGAAAATAGCCTGTTGCATGGCAAGAGTGATGCCCTTTTGAAGCAAAACTGGCACGATGATTGATGTTTGGTTCCTGCACACCAAGGCATTCCTGCAGCAAGGTCTTAAAACAAGTCCTGTATCATAAGTAACCCCTCATAAAGATACTTCTCTAACATCCGCAGTGGTCACCAGTTTCGGCAAGAAGTCTGAGACATGATCAGATACACGTATTTTAACTTAAACACTTGCTATTTAAAGAATGCTTTCTAGAAGATGGTTGTGGGGATCGACTGTCTTGCAGCAGCTTAAGATATTGATTCTGTTTGTAAGTCCCTATTAACTATTTTCTTTCTGAGAAACTGGATTTGTCAACCTCTTTCTTTTGTCTCTCAGCTCCCTTGGACTTTGATATAGATTTGGGGGTTTTAGATTGGCATATACCTGCTTACCCCAGAATACATATGATATTTTTAATTAGGAAAATATATTGTAAAGATGCCAGTTATCTAAATTTTAAGTTATAAATTTAATAACACCCAATGAAAATCCCAATGGGATATTATGAAAGTTGGCATCTGAAAAGAAAAACATAAAGAATAATCAATTAAAGAAGAAGAATAATCAATTAAAGAAGAAAAAAAGGAAGAAAATATTTGGCGGGTCTTGATATACCAGATATAAAATAAACTACAAAACTCCCCTGCTTAAAAAGTATTGTCTTAATCCATTCAGATTGCTGTAACAAAATACCATAAACTATAGGGCTCATAAGAAACAAAAATTTATTTCTCACAGTTCTAGAGACTAAGAAGTACAAGATCAAGGTGCTGGCAGATTTGGTGTGTGATGAGGGTCCACTTTCTAATTCATAGACATTGTCTGGCCACTGTGTCCTCACATGGCTGAAGGAGAAGGGAGCTCTCTGGGGCCTCTTTTTAAGAACTTTAATACCATTCATGACGGTTCCATCCTCATGACCTAATCACCTCCCAATGGCCTCACCACAAAACACCATCACATTGGAGATTAGGTTTCAACATATAAATTTTGGAGAGACACAAACATATAATCTATAGCAAATGTGATACTGGTACAGAAATATTTCATTGAAACATAAGACCCCAGAAATCAGTGCCATAAATATGTAGCAATTTTGTTTGCAATAAAGATGGAATTTCCAATCAATGAAAATGATATACTGCTTAAACAAATGGTATTGGGACAATTGAAAATGAAGTAGGAGAAAAATAGTTTAGACATACATTTCATCCTATGTACAGACACCCACCCCTGACCACACACACTCTCTCAGACAAACTTCAGATTATTTTAGGAATGAAATAAGCAAATAAATTTATAAAGATTATAGAAGAAAATATAAGGCAGCAATTTAATAATCTTAATGTTTGTAATCTTGACCTAAAATGTGTATGTGTTTATGTGTGTATATAGGATGAAATTTTATATCTAACTCCAATAGTTAAAAATACTGATACATTTGACTACAGAGAAATTTAAATCTCCTACAGGGTGAAAAAATTAACATCAGAGAAATTAAAAAAGTAATGATAGATAAGTAGGACATCTTTGCATTGTCTACATGAGGCAAAGGTTAAGTTTTAAAAAATACATATACATCTATTTTGAAATGATAACTCATTTGGAAAAAAGAGCAAAGGTTATAAGAGGTGATTTACAAGAATAAAAAAGATATGAAAATATTTTCAACCTCACTGGTGATTAGGAAAATACAAATCAAAATAAGATACCCTTTTTTGTCTAAGACATTAACAAAAGATTCAAAAATTTACAATATATTGGCAAAAAAGAAGGAAAAGATAGTCTCATAAATTGTTGATAAAAGTGTAATTTTGTAAAGATGTTTTGGTGAGATATTTGTTAATATCTGTCAAAACTTAAAATGTTCCCATTGAGTTCAGTGATTACACTTTTATTAATTTATACTATAAACATTACTGTTTATTTATTAGTGGTCAGTGCAGTCAGATAATAGTAATTCAGCTTAACTATAAAATACCAGGAGGGACAATTGATACTATGTACTAGATAGGAACTCGGCTTCCTAAAAGCCCACCTCTGGATTAATCCCAGAGGATCACAGTTATCTGAGAAGAACTAGTTAATAAATATCCACTTTAACTGAATCCATTTTAAATGGGTACTGAATTTTATTAAAAGTGGTGAAATGTTATATAATGAGGAAATTTTTTTCAGAAATTCATACAAATATTATAAAAATAAATGTACTTGGTATGTGATAAAATTAGATTATAATTGCTTCTGTGGGCTATTTCTTCACAAGTTATGGATGGATTAAATCTTGGCATTTTGGATGCAGTATTTCCAAAAACACTTTATGGTAGCATGATATTAAATCCCCGATTTATGACTTTAGCAACAAAATTATTAAAAGAATCTTATTTATTCCAAAAGACCAAAAGTCCTTTAATGATAAAATAAGTAGAAATATATATCACAACATCATAGTTGTCAGTCTTCTCTTCTGTCCATGACAAGCGGTTTAACTATGCCATTTTGCTATTGTAATCATTTTTGTGATTTTCGCATTTCTTTAATCTCACTGCATGAAACAAATTTCCTCTCGTGAAATGTATGGTAACATGTTAAAATCAATTTGCATTAATATTGCATATTATTCCAAAACGAACAAATTCAAGTACAACATCTATTGATAATAATGAACAGGCGACAGACAATAAAGATGTGGTGGTGGGAGACAGACACCAGTACTACACAGTACCGCAGAGAGGAAAACTGGAGAGAGGACTACTCTTAGAAGTGATTGTTTTATTAGTGAAACTTTTGTCCAACTTAGCTTTTCTTCCTTACACAACTGAACTGTGAATCGGTGAATAATATTGAGTACCCATTCAAACATGAATTTCTATATTTATTATATCGGTGAAAAATTCGATATAACCTTAATGTCTCTTAATAAAGGAAGGATTAAATACATTATAGTGTATGATAGCAAATACTTCTGATTTATTAATTTACTTACTTACAAATATTTTTTGAGTTCTTATTAGGTACTAGGCTCAAAACAAATTAATTTCCAGCTCTGATGGAGTTTGATTTCATTGAGAGAAGATAGACACTAAACCAATAAAAAAAAGAAGTACATATTTTAGATATCAATAAGTGCTAATAAGGTAACCACCCAATGGTTCTTCCTGTCCATTCCACAGACAAAACCAATTCACTAAGACCATGGCATTGCAATAAAGAAACAGTTTAATTGATACGAGGCTGGCCACGCCACATGGGAGACCGAGTTATTACCCAAATCAATCTCTCCAAAAATTATGAGGGTAGGGTTTTTCAAAGATAGTTTGGTGGGCCAGGGAATGGATGCCATGGATTGGTTGGGAATACAATCATAAGAGTATAGAAAATGGTTCTTTTGTGTGCTAAGTCCATTTCTGAGTAGGGCCATGAGACCGTTTCATGGCTTCAGGTGGAAATGCAGTCATCAGAAATGCAAAAACCTGAAAAGACATCTCAGAAGACAAATTTTAGGTTCTACAATAGTGATATCATCTGCAGGAGTAATTAAAGTTGCAAATCTTGCGAACTCTGGAATAATGACTGGTACCTGTTACATATTATGTCATGACTGGTACATTCACAGAATTCAGGCTCCTCTCATCCTCCTATCCTGCTGGCCTTTCATTATCTTTACAAAGGCAGGTTAGTTTAGGGTAAGGGCTGTTATCATTTAAACTATAAACTAAATGTCTCCCACAGTTAGCTTAGCATAAGCCTAGGAATGATTAAGGACAGTTTGGAGGTTAAAGGCAAGATGGAGGTTGGTTAGATCAGATTTCTATTACTGTCATAATTTTCTCACTGTTATAATTTTTGCAAGGGTGATTTCAATAAGATGAATAAAACAAACAGGAAATGATGCAATAAATGATGGTATTTTATGTGGCGTGGCTGTGTATGGATACTGGGAAAGGTAACAATGGAGTAAAGGAATAACCTATTTATATCTGAGAAGAGCTTTCTAGGCAGAGGAAGAGAAAATGCAAAGGTCCTTAGGCATGTTCTTGATACGTTCAAGGCAGAGCAAAGAGGCCTGCAAGGCTGGAGTATGTTGAGTAGGGGCAAGATAGGTAAGAGATATGATCAGAGGGGTAGCAGGGAGCCGCATGAGTTAGGTACTTCTGTGTAACAAAAAAGATCTTGGGGTTTATTTTGAGTGCAAAGAGAAATTATTGGAAGGTTTTGAACAAACAAATGACATGACCAGACCAACGTGTGTGTGTGTTTTCCTAGTCTCTCTTTTCAAATCAATTACACTTTTTATTAAAACTTAAACACCCTGAAAGTTGTCACTCCCATACTAACAACAAGAAAAAAGCAGAAAATATTAAACATTATACATGCTTTCTTAAATCCATCACATAATTGAGCACACAACAGTGCCCTGAAACTGGAAAGAGACAGACATGCAAATACAAAGAACCATAGCACGCTGGAAGCAGAAACCACTGGAGCCACTGGAAGTGGTAAGAAAACTTAAACTGTAATTGATGAATGGCTAGACACTAAGTGAGGATTGGCATGAGAGTGAAAAACTCCAGGGTGCCCAGTCTTAAAAAAGCCCTCACACTTTTGTGAGTTTTACCTGCAAGAGCTCTGATAGGTTCTCCCAGTGAAGACCAGAGTAAACACCTTCACATTCTCTTCAGGGGGAGGAGAAGTATAACCATTCTAAATACATCCATAGCATTCTATTCTTTACTTTAAAGGAAACTACTTCACCAGAGCTTGAATAGCAAGGAGGAAGGAAATACCCAACTCTAGCCCCTAGTAGTCTCCCTGACTCACCTAAGTGGTGGTGGGAGGGGATGAGGGGACTCAGAAGCACTTGGGGAGGTCACAGCCTAGGGGCACAGTCTCATTAAAAGACTGATATCTGATCGTAGGATACACTACTCCTTCAATCTTATGCCACATCACAGGGCTGCTGTATCATAACAGAGGATTATGGTTGAAAGAACTACGAAGTGCTCAGACCCTATTTAAGGAGGAGTGTCAAACCCAAAACAAGAGAGACACAAACAAGGATGATAGAGGAATTTGAAACCTCATACCCAACAGCCACAGACAATTGTAAACATCTTGTAACTCCTAGACATATAAACATAAAACTTAATGCTAAAACCCTATTTGCTTTCTATAACCTAATGTATTATGTTCAGCTTTCAGAAAAATCTACAAGGCATAAAAAATACAAGTGAAAACACAGTTCGAAGGGACAAAGCAAGCAACAGAACTAGACTCATATAGGATAGAGATTTTGGGATTATCAGATGGAGAAGTAAAAATAACTATGATTAATATGCTAAGGGCTCTAATGGAAGAAGTAAACAACATAGAAGAACAATTGGACCATGTGAATAGATAGATGAAACTCTAAGAAAGATACAAAATGAAATGCTAGACACCAAAAATAAAAAAGAATGATAAAATGGAACAGAATATTCAAGAACTGAGAGATAATTACAAAAGGTATAACATATGTATAGTGGGAATAACAGGAAAAAGAGAAACAGAAGAAATATTTGAGTAATATGACTTGGAATTTTCCAGAATTGATGACAAACACCAAATCGTGGATCCAGGAAGCTCCGAGACATAAATCAAGGTGAATACTAAAACATATGCATCTTGACGCATCATATTCAAATTGCAGGCATAAAAGACAAACAGAAACTCTTAAAAGAAGACAGAGGGGCTGGGTAGAGACAGGTAGAGAGAGAGAGAAAGAGAGAGAGAGAGAAAGAGAAAGGGAGATTTTACCTATAAAAGAACAAGAATTGCATTGAGTGTCTCCTCAGCAAGCAGGCAAGTAAGAAAAGAGTAGAGTGAAATATTTAACAATCTGAAAGAAAAAAAAAAAACAGAGTTCTGTATGTAGTAAATATCCTTCAAAAGTGAAGGACAAATACTTTCTGAAAAAATCAAAAACCAAGGTAACTTGTCATCAGTACACCTGCCTTGCAAAAAAAATTAAAAGAAGTACTTCGGAGAGAAGAAAACAATATAGGTCAGAAACTCAGACCTACATAAGGAAAGGAAGAGTAGTAGAGAAAGAATAAATAAAGGTAAAATACCACAATTTGTTTATTTTTATTAATCAATGTAATGGGTAACTATTCAAAATAATAACAAAACAATATATTGGGTGGTTATAGTTTATGGATAAGTAGAATGAGTGACAACAATGCTATAAAAGGTGGGAGGAGGAATTGAGAATACTTTGTTAAGGTACCTGCATTACTTGTGAAACAGTACAGTGTTGTTTGAAAGTGGTCTTTCATTAGTTGCAAATGTATATTGCAAAGTCTAGAACAATTAGAAACAATCATGAACAATTTTAAAAGAGGTATTATGGACATAATAGAGAAGGGAGAAAACAGAATCATATAAAATAATTAAAACCAGAGAGAGCAGAAAAAGAATACAAAAAGAAAGAACCAGTGTATAAATAAAAAATAGTTAAAAAATGGTAGATATTTACCCAACTATATCAATAATCACTTTAATGTGAATTGTCCAACACCAAATAAAAGACTGAATGGAGAAAACAAAAAACAAACCAAGACCCAACCACATAGTGTATACAAGAAACTCCTTCTATATATGAAGATATAGAGTAAATACACACCATCCTAACACTAACCAAAAGAAGATTGGAATAGGTGAATTAATTTCAGACAAAGCAGACGTCAGAAGAAAGGAAATTATAAAGGATAAAATGGGTCATTAAATAATGAAAAGTAATCAGTACTCCAATAAGCCAGAATAGTTTTATTGTATATGTGCCTAATAACAGATTATCAAAATATGTGAGGCAAAAAATGATTAAACTGCAAGCAGAAAAAGGCAAATCCACTCTTATAATTGAAGATTTCAACACACCTCTATCATTAATGAACAGATCCAACAGGCAGAAAACAAGTAAGAATATAGTTACCCTGAAGAGCATCATTAATCAACTGAATCTAATTAACATTTACCGAATACTTCAACCAGCAACATCAAAATACAAATTTTTCCTAAGCTCACATGGAATACACACCAAGGAACAAACTCTGGTTTATAAAATATACCTCAACAAACATAAAAGAATAAGAATCATATAAAGTATGTTCTCAGATCACAATGGAATTAAACTAGAAATGAATAACAAAAAAGGCTGGAAAATCTCAAAGTATTTGGAGATTAAACAGCACACTTCTAAAATCACATGGATCTAAGAAATAGTCTAAAGAGAAACTAAAAATATTCTTAACTAAATAAGTATTAGATACACCTTAACAGAATTTGTGAAATGCAGTAACAGCATTTCTTAGAGGCAAATTTATAGCACTGAGTTTACATACAGATATACCTTGGAGATATTGCAGGTACAGTTACAGATCACTACAATAAAGTGACTATCACAACAAAGCAAGTCATACAAAATTTTTGGTTTCCCAGTGCATAAAAAATTATGTTTACAATAAACTGTACTATATTAAGTGTGTAATAGCATTATGTCTAAAAAACAATGTGCATAGTGTAATTTCAAAATACTTTATTGCTAAAACATGCCACCAATCATCTGAACCTTCAGCAAGTCGTAACCTTTTTGCTGGTGGGGGCTCTTGCCTTGATATGGATGGCTGCTGACTGATCAGGGTGATGGTTGCTGAAGGCTAGAGTGACTGTGACAATTTCTGAAAAGAAGACAACAATGAAGTTTGTCCCATTGATTGACTCTTCCTTTTATGAAAGATTCCTCTGTAGCGTGTGTTGCTTTTTGATAGCATTTTATCAACAGTAGAACATCTTCCAAAATTGGAATCAATCCGCTCTAACCCTACCCCTGTTTTGTCAATTAGGTTTATGTACTCTCCTGAAATCTTTGCTGTCATTTCAATGATGTTCACAGCATTTTAACCAGGAGTAGATTCCATCTCAAGAAACCACTTTTCTTGCTCATCCATTAGAAGAAAAAGGATAATCTTCAACAGATAGTTCAGGAACAACTGGACATTCACATGCAAAAAAAAAAAAATGTACGTAGATGCTGAATTTACTTCTTTCACAAAAATAAACTCAAGTGGACCATAGACCTAAATGTAAAATGCGAAACTGTAAAACTTACGGAACATTCCATAGGAGAAAATCTATGTGACCTTATGTTGACGATTGATGATGACTTCTTAGATACAATACCAAAAGTGTTTTCCATGAAATAAAACATTGGTAAGTTGGACTTCATTAAAATAAAAAGCTTTTGCTCTGTGACAGACACTGCTAGGAGAATGAAAAGACAAAGCACAGAGTGGGAGAAAATATTTGTAAAATACATGTCAGATAAAGGACTTGTATGCAAAATACACAAATAAGTCTTTAAAAAACTCAACAATATAAAAACAAACAACTCTATTAAAAATGGGCAAAACTCTGAGCAAACACCTCACTAAAAAAGATACACAGAAAACTAGTAAGCATGTGAAAAGATGCTCAACATCATAGTCATTAGGAAATTGCAAATTAAAATAACAAGTTACTACTGCATACCTATTAGAATGGCTGAAGTTTAAAACAAACAAACAAACAAAAAAAGCTGACAATACCAAGTGCTGATGAGGATATAGAGTAACAGGAACTCTCGTTTATTTCTGCTGGAAATCCAAAATGGTACAGTCACTTTGAAAGTTTTTCATGGTTTTTTACAAAACAAAATGGTCTTACCATTCAGTCACTTTTTTAGTACTTAATCAAATAAGTTGAAAACTTATGTCTTCAAAAAACCTGTATGCTAATGTTTATAGCAGCTTTATTTATAATTGCCAATTTATAATTTGGGCAATTATAAATATGCTTTTCAAAAGATTAATGGGAGAGATTTATTAATCTAGTAACTATACAAAATTATAGTTAGTAGAAATAAGTTCTGTTCTATGTCACTGTAGGATGACTATTGCTAATAATAATATATAGTTTCAAATAGGTAAGAAGATACTGAGTGTTCCCAAAACAAAGAAATGATAAATGTTTGAAATAATGGACATGCCAATTACCCTGATCTGATCACTATACATTATATGTGTTGAAACCTCATTATGTACTCCATAGTACGTAGAATTATTCTATGTCAATTAACAATAAAATTTTGAAAACCTGAATGGAAAAAATGGTGCATCTATACAATGGATTACTATTCAGCAATTCAAAGAATGAGGTATCAAGCCACAAAAAGACATGGAGGAAACTGGATAGCATATTGGTAAGTGAAAGAAGCCAATTTGAAAAGCCTACATATGTATGATCCTAACTTTCTGACATTTTTTAAAAAGCAAAGTTTTAGAGAAAGTAAAAACAAAGCAATAGTTGCCAGGATTTTGTGGGCAAAGGGTGGGTGATGAAAAGATGAAGCACAGGGGATTTTTAGAGCATGATATATGACCCGTAATGGTGGATAGGTGACATTATGACTTGTGAAAACCTGTAACAATCTACAACACAGAGTGAACCCTAATGTAAACTATTAACTTCTGTTAATAATAATGTATCAATATTGCTTCAAATATAGGACACTGAGGCAAGTTGTTAATAACAGGAGAAACTTTGTCTTGTAAGAGAGGGGCTATGTAGAACTCTCTGTACTTTTAATTTTCTATAAACCTAAAACTGCTCTAAAAAATAAAGTCTGTTAATTAAAAAAACCCTCAACACTGAAACAGATAAGCACACAGACAAATATACATGTCATAAACTGCAAGGGAAATATCCTTGAAACCACCACCCAGATTTAGAAGTGGAACTTTGTTAACCACCGTAAAGCCTCCCCCAATATGTCCATCCCATTGCCCAAAAGTAACCATTATCTTAAACTGTATAGTCATTACTTTTTAGCGTTTTCCATGGTTTTAGCTTGCAAGGATGTACCTATAAGTACCATAGTTTAGTTTTGCCATTTTAAATAATTTGATATATTCAAGTTTATAAATAAATTTACAGCTGGTGATATTTTGAAAATATCACTATGGGTTTTTTTTTGTGTGTGTGTGTGTGTGTGTGTGTGTGTGTGTGTGTCTGTGTGTGGAATAACGACTACTGCAGTACAAAGATGGAGGCAGGAGGAACCAGTAGGAGACTATTGCAATGGCAGCTTGAACAAGGGTGACAGCGGGGAGAGGTAGATGGAATCTCTTCACATTGAGAAGGTTGAACGCCAAAGATTTAGTGATGGATAGCATATGAAATAGGAGAGAAATAGAAGAACTGAAGATTACTGAAAGAAACAAATTGTCACTTGCAGAAAGGGAGAAAGGCTGGAACAGTTACAGTCATTTAAAAATCATAAGCAGATCCATACTGATTTTGAGGATGTATGTGATATTAATTTAAAGAACCAATTTTTTATTATTTGAGTATAATATAGTAATACAAGAGTATGTCCTCTTTCTACATCTTTCAAAAATATGTGCACATTTATTTTACATTTTTTAATAATAAAGAAAAATATGGAAAATAATCTAAAAACTATACATAATTGGATCTATGGGAAAGAATTTTTCAGTAATGTATGAGAGACTAATTTTATTGTAGAACCCTCAGTACTCTTTAGTTGTTAATATGAACATATTATTTCTGTAACTCAATCAAAATTCTGCATACATATATGTGCATGCATATACACACATAATTTTGAGCATACCAAGTTTTTTCCCTACAATTAGTACATAGCTTGTAAGTTTAGAACTATAAAATAGTTTTGAATACCATTATTTTCAACCGCAGGCAGTTGAGAGTGAAAAACGGATTCAACAGGGGCCCAAACCAGCCTCATAAAGCCCAAAGAACTAGAGAAGGTGTCGGAGACAGTTCTGTATCCCCAAATCCCCCAGAAGGAATGTGAAAGTACTGAGAGGAACAGTGGATTGCAAGTTGCTTGGAGTAGGACAAAGAGGATGGATAGTGACACTATCTACTGTAGAGTCAGACAGGACTGTGGACACCTGTCATTATTTCTGGCTTATCACAGAGGCTCAGGTGGGATGAAGTATGTTGTCAGAGGGGAGGGAAACTAGGATGAACTGAATCTCTTCTCTTAAAATAATAATAATTCCAAGCCCTTAAAATCTTAGATCAACTCCAAGTAGGAAGGATAAAGGGGCAGGGAAAGCAGATAAAATGGAATTGACTCAGTTTAAATACAAAATTAAACACATTTAAATCAGGAAGTGTTTGAGAAGAAGTAGTGTGTGTGTGTGTGTGTGTGTGTGTGTGTGTGTGCACTCAAATAGCTTAAGGGAGGGTCAGGGAGAAAGAGAGACAAACAGAGGCTCTGGAGGATGGCAAAAAATAACTTTTGCATGAGCATTTCGTCAAATGACCACTTAACAATAGCAATTTAGGTTTATTTACTGTAAACATAGATTTGAGAGTTTGATATTTACAGTTTGATATTAATTTTACTGGGTGCTTTTTTGCAGTTTCTGCTTGATTTTATTCAAAGGAATATGTCCATTTTATCTGGGTAAATAAAAAAATTATCTGTGTTTTCAAAGGAATTATTTTTTTATGAAATTCCTGGTTACCTGAAAACTATTGATTTATAAATTCATTAAATTCTGATATGTTTACATTTTAGTGTAAAGTCAGTATGTTTATATTATGCATGAAGAAAATCTCACAAACCTTTTTTCCTTATGTGTATAAAAACACCAATGATATTCATTAATGTTTTCTGGTTATCATCTATTACATACACACAAACACTCATATAAGGGGAAAAAGGCAGTCTGGTATATTACTGATGGGGAAGATTCAAAGGGGAAATAATAAAAATACAATGAAAAATATGCTTTAAACTATGTTTGCTTTGCAAGCTATGCAAATTGACATTTCAAATTGTGACTAGAGAAAATAGAGAATAATTACATTCCGTCTTTTACAACTATACATGCTGGTGTTCCAAAGAATGACAGGTCGGGTGAGGCGTTAGTAGAGGTCCCTTTAGTTGGATTCTTCTTTCCCTTTTAAATGGCATCAGTCAGCTGCAATTTCAGATCTATTGTCTATAGACCAAGCCCAGGGCAAGATCTTACTGTGGCACAATGACCTTTTTTATTTCTTTTCTTATAGTTCCATTAGTCTTTTTAATCTGTCTAATGCGACAAGTTTATGTCAGATAGCATTGTCTTAAACTAACATTACTTTGTCAGAATTTTCCAAACAGTTTAACAATTTGCCAGCTGTTGCTTTTGATAAAAAAGGAAGGTTATATGTATTATTCAGCTGATGGTGGTGCAGGAGAAAAAAGGAAAGGAGGGGAGAGAAATTGTTCCTTTCCAGTGCCCTAGCTTTTTAACTTTGCCTGTGTTTTGAGGGTGTTGATATAGGGTGAAATAACCAAAGTGTAACTGGAAAGCAAGAAGGTGGTACTTTGGATGTATTTTCTGAGGTTATTTAGTAATCATTTTCTTTAGGGGATACTTTATATTTTATAACTTGAAATCAGTTTCTTTTATGCTAGAAGTGAATTCCTCCAGACTTGACTTTTATAAACATACATAGAGGTATATTCACATACACCTATGCTCACGTTTTCCTCCCCCCTGAATCTTATCTTTTGCTCTTGTTCTCTGGTGACCTCAAATGTTCATACTCTCCCAAGAGCAGGATTAGAAGAAATTCACTTATTATGGTATTCAGTGGTAATTGATAGCTGTGCTGAATAATGAGAATAATCTATTAACTTGAAGAATGGCTCTATATTGGCTAATTCTGATGGAGTCACAACATTATATTACAATAAAGAATGGATAAAATAATGTACCAAATTCTACAAGTTTGCTTATATGGATGTAGAATGTTGTTGTCCACAAAACTATTTAGGTACATGTTTTGGGATTCGGGAGAAGGCAGCAAAATGTATGTTTTAAACAGACAGATACTTTTCATCAGTTTGAAGTTTTTATGGCCCATACATAAAGATTGTACTCTCATTACTAGACAGATGCTAAATGCTCACATAAAGAGAGTAAATATCTCTTCTGAGAAGCAATGTGGCCTATGTGTATTCATATATGGAAAGCCAAGATGGAATATTCGTAAAATACTAAGAATTCATGTCAAAGAGGAATCAATGAGACGTAATGCAAGGATCAAAAGTTCTCAGAAGGCAAAAAGATAGAGGAGCCAAGGGGATTATACATTTTTATCAAGTTATAAACAGATTCTTATTTAGAGACTTTTAAATCAAGTGAGTAGTACTTCCTGCTGGTGTATGGAAAGTAATAGACTTGTGTTATCATTGAGTCAAGCAGAATGAGATCAATATGAATCAACTTAAAGAATTTTCAAAAGGAAAGTTGATAGACCTTGGGTATTCTAGGAGTTATCTATGCATGAATCAATGTAGGGTTTTTTGTTTTTTTTTTTTTAATTTCTGTTTTTGCGATCTCTATTTCAACTATGTTGACCCAATAGTTGCCTCCATTGTTCCTTAGGATTTACATCAGTCCCAGTGGGAAAGGAATGAGAAGATTGGCTGCCTGATACAGCAGTACCTTCTCTTTCACGGCCTTTTTCCTGGTATCTTGTGCCTGAACTTCTGTCTCCTTTTCCTGCTCGTGCCTTAGGCTCCTTGCTATTTTAGGGTCCTGATTACTGACGCAGATCCTCACACCAGTCTGCCTTTGCCTCCTTTGCATGCTTCTGGGGTTTGTTTGACTTCCTTACTTTTTCTCCCAGGCTCATCCTCACCCACTCTTGGCACTCTTTTTGCCTGAGTGACCTCAAGAGGTAACTGTTTAAAAGTAAAAATATTAGAATGAAAATTAATTGAGGGCAGGGGTCATCTTGCTCTTAGCTCTTTATAAGCAACTAAAATAATACTTAGTGTGGTAGGCAGAACAATGACCACTAAATATGCCCACGTTGTAATCCGTGAAACCTGTGAATATGTTACCTTATATGGCAAAGGGACTTCATATATGTGGTTAAGGATCTTGAGATGGGGAGATTTTCCTGGATTATCTGAATAGGCCCTGTGATATTGCGATATAATAGGAAACAGAGAGAGAATCTCTGTTCCAGTTCCTGGCACATAGCTCCTACAATTCCTGGAATCTCTGAAGTGATGAGTGTCTTTTGTTTGCTAATGAGATGACTGGTGTCTGGCAGCCCCTGGATAGCTTCAGGATATAGGCAGGCCACCAGAATGACCAAAGGCTGACTACAGTTTGGGACTTTCAGCTCTATCTATCTCCTGACCCCTGGGGAGGGGAGATGGGTTGAGTTGATCACCAGTTGTCAATGATGTAATTAACCATGCCTATGCAATTAAGCCTCCATAGGAACCCAAAAGGATGTCAGTTGAGGAGCTTTGGGATAGCTGAACATGTGGAGGTTCCTTCAGGGTGGCATGCCTAGAGAAAGCATAAATGCTCCATGCCCCTTTTATCCATCACTTCCCTTATAATAAATGGGTAAACATAAGTAAAGTGTTTCCTTGAGTTCTGTGAGCTGTGTTCGCAAATTAATCAAACCCGAAGAGGCGGGGATCATGGGAAGCCTGGTTTATAGCAGATTGGTCAGAAGCACACGTCACAACCTAGGGCTTGCAATTGGCATCTCAAGAGAAGAATAGCCTTGTGGGATTGAGCCCTTAACCTATAGGACCTGATACTACCTCCAGGTAGAGTATCAGAATTGAATTAAATTGTAGGACACCCAGTTGGTGTCTGCTGGAGAACTGATTAATTTCTGCTGGGGAGAAATTCCCACACATTTTGGTGACTGGAGGTGAAATATTCTGTGTTTAGTATGTGAGAATAGAAAAAGAAAACACTTTAGTTTGTCCCATCTCTTCAGAAGCTCTGAATGTAATCACAACTATTCATACAAGATTGAAGCAGAAATGCTCTGGAAAAGGAGGAGGCAAGGTGACTAAGGAAGCACAGATGGCAGTGATAAAGCCAGGAGCCAAAGAATGCAAATTAGTCTCTGTAAGTGGAAAAGGCAAGGAACAGGTTCTCCCTTGAAGCCATCTACAGAAACCAGCTGCTGACTTCCTGATTTTTGCTTTTTAAGACCCATTTTGGACTTCTGATCTGCAGAACTGTAAGAGAATACAGATGCCGCTTGACTTATAATGGGATTATATCTTATAACTCCATTGTAAGTTAAATTTTTTATTACGTCAAAAATGCATTTAATACACCTAACCTACCCAACATCAAAACTTAGCCTAGCCTTTCTTCTTGTTTTCTTCAAGCTCATTAATATAGACTGAATAATAAAGAAGCTTTCAAAAGGAATAAAAGCAACATGAAAGGAATAGTTTTTCTTAGGTATATTCCTAGGAGCAACAGGGTAACAAACCACATTGGCTCCTACCATTATGCTGGAGAAATGAGGCTATTTCCAACTTTCCTACAATGACTTGTAGCTTTGTTTAAATCTTATTTTTGTGTATATAATTTAGAAATATTCACCAATATGCCTACACAGATATCTTTAAGAAGCTAGGAAAAGTTTTACTCACTAAAGGATGGTAAATACTTCTGTTATACTTGTTATTGTATAAACCTGTTATAAACTTTTAATCATGTTATTTTTGCTTTTATTTTTTCTCTTACACTCAGAATTGATGAGTTTTAATTAATTGGTTTTGATGTGAATGTCTCATTAATAATGAAATGAAGAACAGCCACAATTCTGTCATGGTAACGCTCTTCCGAATTTGATGACTACAAAAGTCTTACACATTGAGGAACATACATATTGAAGACTGTTCAATATTTTATATAAGCATTTTGGGTCATGGTACTTTTCTAAAGTTGCTGGATGGTTGTATTAACTTACTATAGATGAAAATGTAGGCAATAACTTAAATTTTGAAACCTTTTTAAAAAGTCATCTTACTTTGACTTCTTAGCTGAAGGCAGAAATTGTGAGATCATGGTGACATTAAATCAAAACTATTTTACTAACTTAGAGACAGGGAGTTCTGGTCTTTTATAAAATATAAAAAGCATATGAGCATGATTTATAAAGGAAAAGAGACTTAAAGTAAATGTTTTGCAGATGAACACTGTCTTAGCCTTTATTGAGGGGAATAAATTTTTGTCCAAGAGTCTCTGATAGCCTGTAAATACCATCACACACACACACACACACTCACACACAGAGCACGTTTTTAAACTACTTTCAAACTTTTCCAGCATTACCAGAGAAGGCAAGACAAAGGAAATGCAGAGATAAGGCAAGGATAGAAAAGAAGAATTTTTAAAATCGTGATAACATTGTTAATCAATTGATTTACATTTCTTCTCCATTTATATCGTGATTATTTATACTCACAAAGTGAGACAAATTACATGTGGACTTACAGATCTAAATATAAGTTGAACATGGCAAATTGCCATTTGTAGATGAGAACAACGTACTTGTTAATTTAAAAATGTTCTGATGTCAGTTTCAGGGACACTTAACCTTCCAGAGGAAGAGATTGGTCCCAGTGGACAACCGTAACTGAAGCACACAGCTCAAAGAGTGTATGAGTGTGTACTTGCTTTCTTTATATTGTCCACAGTTACTTCTAGATTAGGCTTTTTGATCTCTCAGTTTGGAAATAAATTATTTCTTCTTTTCGTGGCCTAAAATTCCTCAAGAGGATATATGTTTTATGTTGCATCTTTGTACGTATATGAAATATTTACTTTAAAAGGTTTGATAATAATTTTCACGTTTCTACATACAATTCTGTGAATTCTTGTTCTTATCTAAGCTATTATTACTCACCCTGATTCTTACCTCCCCAGATCACTTTTACAAATGACTTTTCTAGGCTTTTCTGTAAACAGAAACTTTCTTGGTTGGTTTGAGCCCTGTCATTTGAGGCTGTCACCCCAAGTTTTATTTGGTGGCGAATGAGCTGATTCTATTTCAGAGCTGTAGAGTAAAACTAACCTCAATTGGTATTTTACAAATCATCAAATGGAGAATGCACAATGGTTCATAAAAATCACTATCAGTATTGGAAATGATAGCTACTATGTTTTGAGCATCTATTATGGGTAAGGTTCCTAGATACATTACGTATTGCATAGCATTTTTCTAATTAGGCATTACTCATATTTTATATATAAGACTCAGAGAAGTTACTTTTCCAATGGCAAACCTGTATTTAATAGACAAGCCTCAACTCCTGTGGTTTTTCTATTAAACCAAACTGTAAATATCTCAGTGTTCATAGAGTAATCCTGTTGAGTCAGCAGCAGCATCTTCATATGAGAATTGTATATGCTACAAATACATGTTTAAATAAGAATTTGCTGGATAAATAACTGACATCAATATTAAAATAGTAGCATAAATATATCTTCAATACATAGTCTTTTATTCTTCAGAACTTTTACCCAAGAAAGTGGGCAAAACATTATTGAATAATTCATTCAACAAGTATTTATGGTGTTTTTTATATTTGCATAGTACCTATATTAACTAGAAGAGGTTATGGTCCTTGCCCTTCAAACAAGGCATAAGGACATGAAACAAACGAATACATTATGATACCAGCTATAGTTTGTGTCAAAACAAGTGATAAATACAAATGCACAGTAGAGCAGACAAAGTGAAAACATGGTGGAGAGGAACCATTAGAGAAGGCCTTATAGAGTCGTTTGATTTGAGTTTAACTTTGAAAGGTGAGAGAGTTCGGCTGTAAAAGGATTAGAGGGAAACCATTCCAGGGAACTGGGATGTCATTTAAAAGTACTGAAATAATGATTGAGGATAGCCGTGACATATTTATGATTACTGGGAAATATTCCTCTTTCTTCCTCTTGTGCTAGGTAGGGTTATATTTTTCTGCCTCACTGACGTAGGTTTGTCTGTGTGACTTATTTTGGCTAATGGAAAATCACAAATATAATATCTCCTGCCTGAGAAAATGTTTTACATGTGATTTTGTAGTTAGTTTGACCTCTGGCTCTTCTGTGAAAAGAACAGGTGCATCACATGCCTGACCTCTGGCCTGGAGCATAGCCACCATCAAATTTCGGTTTATATGAAACTTAAGCAAAAAATAAACATGTGTTGTTTTAAGCCAATAAGATTTTGAGGTTCTTCCTTATGCAGCAAAACCTAGTGAAAGCTGACAAATATAATGGCATTGGAGGAAATCCTATAAGGCATCCTGATGAGAAGACGGTTTCTACTGGATTCTAAAGTTAAATAAAACAATGAAGACCTTAATTTCAAGACTTGAGTTTTAATCTGTAGAACATGAACTTGGTTGTCAGTCTGAAATTAAAAAAATGAAATGTTGGTTCCATTGTGACAGCAGTGTTGACAGGAGCCTTTTTTTTCTAACAGTGATCAAATGTGAGCACTCTCAAATATTTTTGATTATGGCCAGAATTAATGTAAATAAATAGATCCTATGACTTGAACTTTCCTATGTAACACTTACCTTCAGTCATCAACCACCTCTTATCTGGGATGTCACTGTGGATTGTGTGGGACTAGCATTTTACCATTAAGATAAAATTGAACTTGTATATAATTGGGCTGGCATTTTCATGACTTTTGTTTGCTGCTTTATTAAATGACTGGTAGGGTTTGGAATACATATTTAATCTTTACAATTTCTCATTTTGATTGAGAAACTATTTCTTTGAAAAGCTATTTAAAATCTTTAGGCAGTAAACTGAATAAATGTCAAAATCTATCTAGTCTTGTTAATCAGCTTAACATACCCCTACATCAATGGGATGACTATATAGTTTACTGTCTAAATAAGGACACTTTCGAGAACAAAATAGAATACTGCTAATAATTATCCTGGGACGACAAACATAAGCTGAAAATGTTTAGGGCAAACTTAGATATATGGTCATCTAGTGCATGAAAGAATTGAACTATCATATTCATCACTGCTTTCTTGCTGTCTACTTCCTGGAGAAAATTTTAAAAAGGAAGATTTCACCAGTGACATTGCCCCTTTTCTTTCAATCATCTGTTATGTATATAGGTCCTGCCTCTGTCTCCCTCACCTTCTACCCACTCAACCAGCTTTTGAGAGAAGTGAGAAAAGGGCCAGCTACTTCTGTATTCTGAATTCAGTAGGTAAAAACCCCATCACAACAGAGCTTCAGTGAACACATAAAAACTTTAAATTATGTTCAGCATAATAAGAATAATGAATATGAATATCATTGCCTTTGTTCAAAATAGCACGAGAAATATAGATTTTTTTATTTCAAAGAATTTAAGAGTTTTTCCCCAATATTTTTCTCTAATGTAACATGTAGCAAAAACAATGCTTTTAGCTGTGCTAAGAAAACTATCATTGTTAAGATGTTTTAATTGCCTTTAATTTGAGAGGGTTTTCCAAATGGAATACTTTCAGTGGAATGAAAATTATTTAAGATAGTCTACTTGATATGAACTCTTCGAAGTCAGTAACTATGCAACTTTTCTAACCTCATGCTACATATACCAATATAGATTAAGAAATCAAGACTACTTTGAGCCCTATCTAGAGCAGTAATGAAAAAGTTTCCAGAGATAAAGAGATATGACCTTGACTTTGAAAATTTGGAACAATTTAAATTTGCATAGAAGATTAGAAAAGGCGTGGAAATAAAGTGACTAAATTCAGAAAAGTCAAAAAGGAACACATATGTTCACTGTACACTGAAGAAAAAGCTATTTAGAGCAGATGATTTGTTTTCTGGAATGACAATGATCTGTGTTTCATGGATGGAAATATCTACATGTCATCAAAAGCACTTATATTTATGTTTATATGTTCCTGGGTTTATATTATCATCAGTGGTTTCTATTGTAAAAAAGAATTTTAGAATCTACTTGAACTATGTAATCCTTTTTTCCCCACCAAAAAAGGAATTATATTTGATTAGGCTAGGGATGGATATCAGAAATTAGAGCAAGAGAATGATGTCGGAAAGATGCCTGACTAGAGACACCTGGCATTCATTCCCCTGACAAGAAAAGATCAAGGCAAAGAATAAACAATGAAAATTCAAGTGGAGTGTTAGAGAGAGAGTGCTGGAATGCAGCAAGGAGGTACCTAGGTCCCTGTGGTGCTCAGAAGCCCAAGATAGCAACATAGAGAGGGGAATTAAGCACCCTGTCTCTGCTGCCCTATTTCCCCACCCAAGATCTGGTCAGTCAGGAGAGTCAAGTCTTTACCCCTTGTAAAGAAAAGGTAAGCAAAAGATCCCCACCAGTTCTCATTGCCACTGCAGACACTGGCAGTTCTTATTACAGGGTAATCCTACAATTCTCACAAGCCCTGAGCCAAGTCTTGGGAGCTGCCTGGAATTCATATGGCTGCATTGCTCTGGACTAAGAGTTATATACTCCTAATCCTGCCCATGACCCAATCTGCTGCAGTATGAAGCCATCTTGAAACCAGAGCCACTACTGAAGTGTGACCTGCCCTGGGGGCCAGTAGTCACCACCTCCCCAGCCCTGGAGCTCTGCCATCATTCCACCAAGACCATCAAGCCCACATGGATTCATGTGGGCTTAGCTACGATGATAAAACCCTGGTTGCTCAGAGCGTGGGATGAGGTATGACTATAACTGTGGTCCTGCATAGTGGAGAAGCCAAACTGGACCAGCTGAACCACTGTGTGCCTGTATCCCTAGCTGGAGAAATGGCCTGGTAGACCCACCCCAGGTAGACTATCTCCTGAGCTGGCTGGGAAGCAATGTCCCATGAGTCTACTGGAGTAACAGCCCAGCAGCCCCTATCCCAGCAAGCCAGTCCCAAGCTAGCTGACCTACTATGGGCACATACTTGCCCCTGTCCTGAGACAGAACCTAGGAAGCCCAACTCTGGCAAAACTACACCACTACTACCACTAACTCCCACAGCATAGGCCACTGAGGCACTTGCTAACATCACTAACACTGATTATAATGGAAGAAATAAACAGAGAATCCACTACTGTGTCCACCCAGAATCAAAGCCAACACATCATATCTAACTGATACCACAGAACCCAACAACAGGAATTAGTCTTTTCCTGTAAAACCTACTCCATGCAATTGGAGGAGACAGTTGTTCCACCAAATGTGCAGATATCAATATAGTGACACAATAAATATAAAAAAAGCAAAAAAAAATACATTTACAAAGGAATACAATAAATCTTCAGTAACAGACCAAAAAAAAAAAAATCCCAGAAAAATATGAAAGGCCAGAAAAGGAATTCAAAATAATAATCTTATGAAAGCTCAGCAAAATGGAATTCAGCTAGAGAATACAATGAAATCAGGAAAAAAGTTTATGATCTGAATAAGGCATTCAACAAAGAGACAGATATCATTTAAAAAACAAAAAACAGAAATCTTAGACCTAAAGAATGTAATGAATAAAATTTTAAAAATACCACCAAGAGATTCAACAACAGACTAGACCAAGCACAGGAACAAATTTCTGAACTTGAAGACAAGTTTTTCTGAAATAACCCAGGCAGCAAAAAGAAGATAAAAGTATGGAGAAAGTTTACAGGACTTATGGGACACAATTAAGTGAACAGATATCCACATTATGAAGGTAGCAGAAGAAGAATGGAAGACCAAAAGTGTGGAAAGCATATTTAATGAAAAAGAGCTGAAAACTTCCCAAGTCTTTGGAAAGAGATGAACATCCAGATCTAGGAATTTCAAAGATTCTCAAATAACACCCAAACAGATCCTCTCCAAGGCACATTACAGTGAAATTGTCAAAAGTCAAAAACACAGAATTTTAAAAACAGCATGAAAAGTGTATCAAGTCATATATAAGGAAATCCATATTAGACTAACAGATTTCTTAGCAGAAATCTTACAGGCCAGGAAAGAATGAGATGATATATTCAAAGTGCTGAAAGAAAAATACTTCTATGAAAAATGCTATACCTGGTAAAGCTACCCTTCAGAAAAAAAGGAGAAATAAATTGTTTCCCAGATGAGCAAAAACTGAGGAAATTCATCACCATTACAGCAGCACTACAAGAAATGCTTATGGGAGTTTTACATCTGGAAACAAAGATAACTACCATCCTGAAAACTCACAAAATTATGACTCATTAGTAGAACACATACACAAAGCAGGAACAGAAAAAAACAAAATCTTATCTCTACAAAAAAATCACCAAACTGCAAAGATAAAAAATAAGAGAAGAAAAAAAGAACAAATGACATGCAAAACAGCCAGAAAACAATTAATAAAATAAAAACAGTAAGTCCTCACCTATCAATAATAACTTTGAATGTAAACAGATGAAATTTCCCAGTTAAAAAATACAGACTGGACAAATGGATTTTTAAGAAACTCAACTATATGCTGCCTACAAGAAATTCAATTCACATGTAAATACACATATAGACTGAGAGTGAAGAAAAGGAAAAAGAAATGTTGTACAAGCCAAAACCATAAGCAAGCAGGACTAGGTATACTTAGATAAAATAGACTTTAAGTAAAAACTGTAAAAAGAGACAAAAAAACCCATTAATTAATTTTATTAATTAATAATAAAGGGATCAATTAAGCAAGAGAATATAACAGTTATAAAAATTTATGCACCCAACTGTGGAGCGTCCAGATACATAGAGCAAATATTATTAGATCCAAAGAAAGACATAGACTCCAGTGTAATAATAATTGGTGACTTTGACATCCCACTCTCAGCATTGAACAGATTACTTAGACAGAAAATCAACAGACATCAAATTAGAACTGTACCATAGACCAAATGGACCTAACATTTACAGAACATTTCAACCAAAACCTATAGATACACATTCTTATCATTAGCACATGGAGCATTCTCCAGGATTGACTATATTTTAAGTAAGAAAACAAGTCTCAAAAATTTTAACAAATTGAAATTATATCAAGTATCTTTCATGACTCAATGGAATAAAACTGGAATTTAATACTAAGAGGAACATTTGAAATTGTACAAATACATGGAAATTAAACAAAATTCTCCTGAATAATCTATGGGTCAAGAAAGAAACTAAGGAGGAAATGTTAAAAATTCCTTTTAACAAATAAAAACAGAGACACAACATACCAAAACCAACAGGGAACAGCAAAAGCAGTATTAAAACAAGTTTATAGCAATAAATGCTGACATCATAAAAGCAGAAAGATTTCAAATAAAATAATAACGCAATTTAAGGAACTAGAAAAACAAGAACAAACCAAACTTAAAATTAGTAGAAATAAATAGTGAAGATCAGAGCAGAAATAAATAAAATTGAAATTAAGAAATACAAAGAATCAACAAAATAAAACCTTAATTTGTTGAAAAGATAAACAAAATCAAAAAAGAAAATATTAGCTAGATTAAGGAAAAAAGAAGACTCAAACAAAATCAGAAACTTAAGAAATCACAATAGAAACCACAGAAATACAAAGGACTGTTAGAGACTATTATGAGGAACTATAGTTATAGAAATTAGAAAACCTAGAGAAAATGGATAAATTTTTGGATGCATACAAACTACCAAGATTATACTAAGACAATACAGAAAACCTGAACAGATGAATAATAGTAAGGAATCTGTAATAAAAAGTCTCCTAACAAAGAAATGCCCAGGGCCAGATGTCTTTGCTGCTGATTTCTACCAAACCAGATAAGGACACAACCAAAAAAGAACTAATACTAATACTTCTAAATATTCAAAAAAAAAAAAAAAAGTGAAAGACGGGGTAATCTTCCCAGCTCATTCTACATTGCCAGCATAATGCTGATATCAAAACCAGATAAGGACACAACCAAAAAAGAAAACTACAGGCCAACATTTATGATAAACATAGATGCAAAACTCCTCAACCAAACACTAGCAAATTGAAACCAACAGCGCATCCAAAAGACCATACACTATGATCTAGTGGGATATATGCCAAGCATGCAAGGATGGTGTAGAATACACAAATCAATAAACATGATACATCACATCAATATTATGAAGGACAAAAACCATGTGATCATCTCAATAGAAACACAAAAAATTATTTGATAAAATTTAATATTCCTTTGTGAAAGAAAACTCTCAACAAATTAGGTATAGAAGGGATGTACCTCAACACAATAAAGGTAACATATGACAAACCCATAGCTGACGTCATATTAAATGAGGAAAAGCTGAAAGTCTGAGTCTTTCCTCTAAGATCTGGTAAACAATCAAGGAAAACAACTCTGACCATTCCTTATTTAACATAGTGCTAGAAGTCCTAACCAGAACAATTAGGTAAGAGAAGGAAATAAAGGACATTCAAATTGGAAAGGAGGAAATCAATTGATCCCTCTTTGCAGATGACAAGATCCTTTCTGTAGAGAAAACTAAAGATTCCACCAAAAAAAATCTCTTAGAAGAGATAAATGAATTTAGTAAATTTGCAGGGCACAAAATCAACATACAAATATCTGTAGCATTTCTAAGAACTAACAACAAATAGCTGCAAAAGAAATCAAGAAAGCAATCTCATTTACAATAGCTACACATAATACCTAAGAATAAATTTAGTGAAGGAACTGACATATCTTTACATGGAAAGCTATAAAACACTGATGAAACAAATTAAAGACACATATACAAAACATGGAAAGATATAATGTTCATGGACTAGAAGAAACAATGTTGCTAAAATGACCATACTGCCCAAAGCAATCTACAGATTCTATGCAATCGCTATCAAATTAGCAATGACCATCTTCACAGAAATAGAAAAAAAATCCTAAAATTATTATAAAACCACAAAAGATCCCAAATAGCCAAAGTAATCCTAAGCAAAAAGAACAAAGGTGGGGCATCACACTACCAGATTTCAAAATATACTCTGAAGCTATGGTAACCAAAACATCATGGTGCTTCCTTAATAACAGATACACACACATAGACCAGTGGAACAGTATAGAAAATACAAAATTAAATCCACCTATTTATAGCCAACTGATTTTCAACAAAGGTGCGAAGATCATTCAGTGAGTAAAGGACAGTCTCTTCAATAAATTGTGCTTGGAAAACTGGATATCCATATGTAGAAGAATGAAACTAGTCTCCTATCTTTCACTTTATACAAATATTGACACAAAATAGATGAAATATTTTAACATAAGACCAGAAACTATGAAACTACTAGAAGAAAACAGAGCGGATACGCTTAAGAACATTGGTCCAGAAAAAGACCTTATCACTAACACCTCTAAAGCATAAGAAAAAAAGCAAAAATAGGCAAATGGGATTGTATCAAACTAAAAAGCTTTTGTACAGCAAAGTAAACAACAGAGGGAAAAGACAACCTACAGAATTGGGGAAAAATTTTTCAAACTACTCATCTGACAAAGGATTAGTAGCCAGAATACATAAGGAACTCAACAGCAAGAAAACAACCCAATTTTTTAAAATGGACAAATGATCTGACTAGACACTTTACAAAAGAAACATACAAATGGCCAACAAATATATGGAAAAAATACTTTACATCAATAATAAGCAGGAAAGTGCACATCAAAACCACAATTAGATATAATCTCACCCTAGTTAGAATGAATATTATCTAAAAGACAAAAGAAATAAATGCTGGTGAGGATGCAGAGAAAGGTGAACTCTTATGCACTGTTGGTGGGAATGTAAACTAGCACAGCCATACAGAGAACAGTACAGAGGTTCCTCAAAATACAAATAGAACTACCACATGTTCTAGCAATCCCACTACTGGGTATACACCCAAAGGAAAGGAGATCTGTGTATCGAGGAGATATCTGTACTCTCATGTTTATTGCAGTACTATTCACAATAGCCAAGATATTCAGTCAACTTAACTGTTTATTGACAGATGAATGGATTAAAATCATGTGATATATATACACAGTGGAATATTCTTCAGTCATAAAAAAGGAATGAACTACTGTTATTCACAACAAATGAAAGAGCCTGGAGGACATTACGTTATGTGAAATAAGCCAGGAATAGCAAGATAAATATCTCTATCTGCATGTTCTCACTCATGTGCAGAACATAAAAAAGTTTGTCTCATGAAAGGATAGAGTAGAATAATGGTTACTAGAGACTGGAAAGGGTAGAGAGAGAAAGGGATGGAGAAAGGGTAGTGAGGGAGGGATTGGTAGAAGGAGACAAAATTGCAGCAGGACAGGAGAAATAACTTCTAGGTTTTCATAGCACTGTAGAGTGACCATAGTTAATAATAATTTATTACATACTTTAAGACAGCTAGAAGACAGCATTTTGAATGTTCCCAACACAAATTATAAATATTTGAGGTGATGGATATGCTAATTACTCTGATTCAATCATTATGCATTTTATGTATCAAAAATCACTGTGCGCCCCATAAAAATGTACTAGTATATGTCAATAAAAATAAAAATATAAAATAACAAAAACAAAGAATTATTAGAAAATATTGATTCTAAGTTTGACCTTTAAAGAACAAACATATTCAAAGAAACCATATATGATGAAAGTCACATAGCAATAGACCGTTTTTGAATACAATAAAGAGGGAGGAATATAATACAATATGTTGACAGATCAAGCCTGCTTTTTATACCAATTCAGTATAAATGACCTAAATGGCTCTATGAAAAGAAATGTTGGTTGAAACACACACACAGACACACACACACACACACACACATATATACACACATAAAATATACAGATATGTATACATACAAATGCACACACATAAGTTACTCATCTCAAGGAAAGTAACTCAGAAACACAAAAATAAAAATATATGCAAAGACATTCTAGAAATATTTAATGTAAAAAGGCAGGGATAGCATTCAAAACAGACAATAAATTTGAAAAGTGAGAGCAAATAACATTAAAGTGGAAAAAGGAAACTTTATAATGATAAAAGTAAGACAAAGTAAAGCTTTTCCATTACAAATATCTGTATGTCTAATAAAAATTCATGAAACTTTATAAATCAAAACCAACAAGGAATAGAAATCCATAACAAGTAGCAGAATTTAATTTACCCCCTGCAATCCAATAAACTAAAATGACAAAAAGATATGTAAATATAAAGAAAACCTGAATAATATAATAAACATAGTAGATCTAATTGGTACTTTGGAACTTTGCATCCTAAAAGAATTCTTTTCAAATGTCCATAGAACATTAAAAAGATGGCAATTTTGTTCTGTGCATTTACCAAGGCACAAATAAAACATTAGTAAATTTCCATAAGTAGACAATGCAAGCAGCATCTGTTAATCACAGCGAAATCAAACTATAAATTAATAATTGTATAAGTTATCTCTTGCTGCATAACAATATTCCTACAAACTTGCTTGAAGCACAAAGATTTATTACCTCACAGTTTCAGCTGCCTCCTCTGCAATGTTGCAGTGTCACTTGAGGCTTGACTAGGTGGGCAATCATTTCCATGCTCATGTGGTTGCTGGCAGATTCAATTTCTTATGACATGTACCAACAGCCTCAGTTTCTCTCTGGCGGTTGGCTACAATACATTGCAATTGTTTGGCAGAATAAGGCACCTCCATTTGTTCTGGAGTAATTGTCAAAGTATATTGAGAAATAAAAATGGTAAGACACAGAAGGTATAGATTGCCACTGTTTGTGTTTATTTTAATTTAATTTTATTTTATTTTCAACTTTTGGTTTAGATTCAGGGGGCACATGTGCAGGTTTGTTACCTGACTATATTGCATGATGCTTAGGTTTGAGGTACAAATAATGTTGTCACCCAGGTGCCAGCATAGTACTCAATAGTTTGTTTTTTCAAACCTTTCCCCACTCCTTCTTTTCCTTGTCTAATAGTGTCTATTGTTGCCATCTTTACATCCATGAATATTCAATGTTTAGCTAACACTTATGCTTGAGAATATGTGGTATTTGGTTTTCTGTTCCTGCATTAATTCACTTAGGATAATGGCCTGCAGCTGCATCTATGTTGCTGCAGAGGGCATGGTTTTATTTCTTTTTATTCCACGGTGTATGTATACCACATTTTCTTTATCCAATCCACTTTTGATGGGTAACTATGTTGATTTCATGACTTTGCCATTATGAATAGTGCTGGGATGAACCTATGAGTGCATGTGTCTTTTTGGTAGAATGATCTGTTTTCTCGTGCTTATGGATTAGAAGAACCAAGGTTGTTAAAATGGCCGTACTGTCCTGTATTAGTCCATTTTCATGCTGATGATTACGATATACCAGAGACTGGGCAATTTACAAAAGAAAGATTTAATTGGACTTACAGTTCCACGTGGCTGGGGAAGCTTCACGATCATGGTGGAAGGCAAGGAGGAGCAAGCTACAGCTTACATGGATGGCAGCAGGCAAAGAGAGAGAGCATGTTCAGAGGAACTCCTCTTTTTAAAACCGTCAGCTCTCATGATATTTATTCACTATCACAAGAACAGCACGGGAAGACTTGCCTGCATCATTCAATTACCTCCCAGCAGGTCCCTCCCACAACACATGGGAATTCAAGATGAGATTTGGGTGGGGACACAGCCAAACCATATCATTCCACCCCTGGTCCCTCCCAAATCTCATGTCTTCATCCTCACATTTCAAAATCAGTTATGCCTTACCAGCAGTCCCCCAAAGTCTTAACTCATTTCAGCATTAACTCAGAAGTCCACAGTCCAAAGTCTTATCCAAGATAAGGCAAATCCTTTCGACTTATGAGCCTGTAAAATCAAAAGCAGGTGAGTTACTTCCTAGATACAGTGGGGGTACAGACGTAGGGTAAATACAGCCATCCCAAATGGGAGAAATTGGCCAAAACAAAGAGACTACAGGCACCATGCAAGTCCAAAATCCAGCAGGGTGGTCAAATCTCAAAGCTCTAAAATGATCTCCTTTGACTCCATGTCTCACATCCAGGTCACACTGATGTAAGAGGTAGGTTCCCATAGTCTTGGGCAACTCTGCTCCTGTGGCTTTGCAGGGTACAGCTTCCCTGCCGGCTGCCTTCATGGGCTGGTGTTGAGTGTCTGCAGTTTTCCAGGTGCACAATGCAAGCTGTCAGTGGACCTACCATTCTGGGGTCTGGAGGATGGTGGCCCTCTTCTCACAGCTCAGCTAGGTGGGGCTCAGTAGGGATTCTGTGTGGAGTCTCTGACCCCGCAATTCCCTTCTGCACTGCCCTGGCAGAAGTTCTCCATAAGAGCTCTGTCCCTGCAGCCAACATTTGCCTGGACATTCAGCCATTTCCATACATCCTCTGGAATCTAGGTGGAGGTTCATAAAACCCAGTTCTTGACTTCTCTGCACTGGCAGGCTCAATACCATGTGGAAGCTGCCAAGGCTTGAGGCTTGCACCCTCTGATGCCACAGCCTGAACTCTACATTGGCCCCTTTCAGCCATGGCTAGAGCAGTTGGGACACAGGGCACCAAGTCCCTAGACTGCACACAGCACAGGGACCCTGGGCCTGGCCCATGAAACCACTTTTTTCCTAGGCCTCTGGGCCTGTGATGGGAGGGGCTGCCGTGAAGACCTCTGACATACTCTGGAGACATTTTCCCCATTGTCTTGTGGAGTAACCTTTGGCTCCTAGTTACTTGTGCAAATTTCTGCAGCCAGCTTGTATTTCTCCTCAGAAAATGGAATTTTCTTTTCTATCGCATTGTCAGTCTGCACATTTCCCAAATTTTAATGCTCTGCTTCTCTTATAAAACGGAATGCTTTTAACAGCACCCAAGTCACCTCTTGAATGCTTTGCTGCCTAGAAATAGCTCCTGCCAGATACCCAAAATCATCTCTCTCAAGTTTAAAGTTCCACAAATCTCTAGGGCAGGGGCAAAATGCCTCCAGCCTCTTTGCTGAAACATAACAAGAGTCACCTTTACTCCAGTTCCCAACAAGTTTCTCATCTCCATCTGAGACCACCTCAATCTGGAACTTATTGTTCATATTACTATCAGCATTTTGTCAAAGCCATTCAACAAATCTCTAGGAAGTTCCAAACTTTCCCACATTTTCCTGTCTGCTTCTGAGCCCTCCAAACTGTTCCGATCTCTGTCTGTTTTCCATTTCCAAAGTCACTTCCACATTTTCAGGTATCTTTTCAACAGTGCCCAACTCTACTGGTACCAATTTACTGTATGATTCGATATTTGCACTGCTGATAAAGACATACATGAGACTGGGCAATTTACAAAAGAAAGAGATTTAATTGGACTTACAGTTCCACGTGGCTGGGGAAGCCTCACAATCATGGTGGAAGGTGAGGAGGAGCAAGCCACATCTTACATGAATGGCAGCAGGCAAAGATAAAGAGACCTGTGCAGAACTCCTCTTTTTAAAAACATCAGATCTCACGAGACTTACTCACTATCATGAGCACAGCATGGGAAAGACTTGACCCCATGAGTCAATTACCTCCCACCAGGTCCCTCCCACAACATGTGGGAATATAAGATGAGATTTGGGTGGGGACACAGTCAAACCATATCATGTCCGAAGCAATCTACAGATTTAACGCTATTCCTATCAAACTACTAATGATATTTTCCCCAGAATTTGAAAAAAAAACTATACTAATAGTCATATAGAACCAAAAAAGAGCCCAAATATCCAAGGCAATTCTGAACAAAAAGAATAAAGCCATAAGCATTACGTTACCTGACTTCAAACTATACTATAAGGCTACAATAATCAAAACAGCTTGGTACTGGTACAAAAACAGACACATAGAACAATGGAATATAACAGCCAAAAAATAAAGCTGCACACCTACAACCATTTAATCTCTAACAAAATTGACAAAATAAGCAACAGGGAAAGGACTCCCTATTCAATAAAGAGTGCTGGAATAGCTGGTTAACCGTATGCAGAAGAATAAAACTCGACACCTACCTTTTATCTATACAGACATTAATTCAAAATTGATTAAAAATTTGAATGTAAGACCTCAAACTATAAAAATGCCAGAAGAAAACCTTGGAAATCATTGGCCTTGGCAAAAAATTTTTGGCAATTGCAAGAAAACCAAAAACCGACAAGTGAGACCTAATTAAACTAAAGGACTTCTATACAGCAAAAAGAACTATCAACAGAGAATGCAGACCATCTTCACAAGAGAAGAAAATATTCACAAATTCTGCACCTGACAAAGGTCTAATAACCAAAATCTGTAAGGAATTAAGTAACAGAACAAACAAAAAGCAAATAACCCCATAAAAATTGGGCAAAATACATGAACAGATACTTCTCAAAAGAAGACATACAAGTAGCCAACAAACATACAAATAAATGCTAATCATTACTAATTATCAGAGAAAAGTTAAAACCAGTCAGAATGGCTATTAATAAAAATAAAAAAACATACAAAAAATGAAACAAAACAAAAAAACAGATGTTGGTGAGGCTGCAGAGAAATGCTTACAGACTGTTGGTTGGAGTGTAAATTAGTTCAGTCATTGTGGAAAGCAGTTTGGATATTTTTCAAAGAACTTAGAACTACCATTCAACCCAGCAATCTCTTTACTGGGTATGGGTATATAGCCAAAATAATACTGCTGTCTTTAAATAGAAGTGTGTGACTGTGTGTGTGTGTGTGTGTGTGTGCGCATGTGCATGCCAGTGTGTGTGTGGTTTCTACACATAGCTCACCTCTGGAAGCTCTGTGAGACTTTGGAGATGGCGAGTTGTCTTCTAGTAGGAAACCAAAATGGCTGGGAGGCTGAGTTGAACTAGTTCTCTTTTTTTTCTTTTGAATTTTGTGTCTTGTGCCTGCATTATTTATTCAAAACTAAAATATTTTAAAAATTAGTCTTAAGGATTTATACAGAAAGTCTGCTTGAGCATGCTGCCAGAGGGGCTATATTATAATAATTGTACATTGACATGACTTTCTAATATTCCTAAATTATATTTGTACAACTTTAGAAACTTATTCTTCACCACAAAACTTTTGACATTTTATGAAAAAAAGATTTCCTTTATTTCAAAAATAATCTTGGAAACTACTTGAAGTTTAAAGCACTTTTTGAATTAGAACTGAAACAGAAAAGACTGACAGTGCATTAAAATGATTAAAAGAAGTGTGATAATGGATTTCCTGGAGCTCACAGGTGTATGTGCTTGGTTTGATGATTTTAGCTGAGATGGAAGTGAAAAAATAAAAGAAAATTCTAAAGGCTGATATTCATTCTCTGCTTTCTTTCACCAAGCCAGAAACCCATGGATTTACCCCAATATTCCCAAGCAGGGAATGGCAAAACAAACTTATAACTGGTAAATATTTTAGTTATAAAATATTTATTTGTTTTCTAGACTGCAGCTTGATGTGTGAGATTTCACATTTCTCTAATTAGTACTCTTTTTATTTTTCTTCTCTTTAGATTGTGTTTAGAGTCAAGACAGTCTAATTTTACAATAAAATAGATTCAGTATTGTAGGTATTTTTCCATATGTTGATTTTCTGATGGGATGGTAAATATGTCACTTTAATATTACATTTGAAATAAATGATATGACAATAAAATTATCTCTCAGAACTATTTATATTAATTGTATTTACTAATGTGATATATCAATGTGTCACCAAAAATTTTTTGAAATGCCAATTAGCTTTTAAGGTTTTTATATCTCTAAATTCTTAGTGATTAAACCAGATTAATTCTTTCAAAATAAACAAACTATGCCTTTCTAATAAGATTGGTGTGCTCTATAAAGTTTTTTTATCATAATTTAAAATATAATAAATATCCAATTTTGAAATAGTAGTTTTCTTGAAAATTACCCAAAAGTAACAAGGAGAAGGAAAAACAAAACTGAACTCCATTTTCAGTAAAGTTATAAGATCCAAGTAACCTCAAATCATAAGATATGAGAAAAAATTACTAAATACAATGAAAGTCAAATACAGGTTAGCGGTCATGTTGAAGTAGGATGCCCCCGGCTGTAGAATTTAGACAAAGCCACAAGCTGAAGTGTTGAAAGTAATTGGCCCTTTATGGTGCAAAAACAACCTTCATTTATTTAAATCAGTGGAAATGTTTTTGTAGGCTGATGGTGACGGTGGAACTTTTTTTTCAACTAGATTGGTCACACAATCTTGAGAAGCAGAGGAGAGGTTCTGAAGGAAGAAGCACCCTCGAAGCTATATTTGCAGGAAGCAAACTATAAATGAGGAAGTGCAGAGGAGACAGAAAAACAGACATTTTTCTATATGAAACAAACGATCAATGCACAGAAACAAGAACTCAAGGAGAAAAATGGAAAGACAATGAAAAAAAAATCTGAGTTCATTGAAATTAGATTTTTAACATGAAAATTAAAATGTCAGAAATGAAAAATAATTTGCAAACAGCTCAAAGGAGATAAAATATGAGAACAGATATAGAGGCTTGGAGAATAGAAAGAAAAGTAAGAAAACTTAAATTAAATAATTAATAGTTTTTAAATAGTTACAGGATATATCATGTCTCTCTTTCTGGATATTGGTAAGTAGTGTCTTCTCTCCTTTTTCCTGCCCCTTGACCAATCTGGCAAGTAATTTATCAATTGTGTTGATTTTCTCAATTAACCAGCTTCTGGTTTGACGTTATTGTTTGCTGTTTTCTATTTCATTGATTCCTACCCTAATCTTTATAATTTTCTTTATTCTGCTTATGTTGGGATTAATTTAGTCTTTTTGTTTCTTAAGATGAAAATTGGGGTTATTGATGTGAAAAGTGTTTTTGGTAACATGAACATTTAGGGCTGTAAATTTCCCCCTAACTGCTGCTTCAGGATGAACTATACAGCTTAAACTCCTCCCTTAGAAAAAAAGTAGCATCCTACAAATTTTGACTTTTTTTTTTTTTTTTTTTTTTGAGAGGGAGTTTCCCTCTTGTTGCCCAGGCTGGAGTGCAATGGCACAATCTCGGCTCACTGCAACCTCCGCCTCCCAGGTTCATACCTGCCTCAGCCTCCCGAGTAGCTGGGACTACGGCGCCTGCCACCACACCCAGCTAATTTTTGTATTTTTAGTAGAGATGGGGTTTCACCATGTTGGCCAGGATGGTCTCCATCTCTTGACCTCGTGATCCGCCTGCCTTGGCCTCCCAAAGTGCTGGGGTTACAGGCATGAGCCACCACGCCCAGCCCGACATTTTCTGTTTTTATTCATTTATATTCATTTGTTATTTATTTATATTAATTTATATTATTCATTTATATTAATGCAGTTCCAAAAAATTTTTAATTTATGTTTTGATTTCTTCTTTTACCCTTGGATTATTAATGAATGTGTTACAGTTGAGTATTTCTTATCCAAAAATGCTTGAGGCCAGAAGTGTTTCAGATTTCAGATTTTTTAAAATTTTGGAATATAGTCATGAGTTGCTCAATGATGAAGATACAGTCTGAGGAATGAGTCATTAAGTGTGATTTCATTGTTGTGCAAAAATCGCAGAATGTACTTACACAAACTGAGACGGCATAGCCTACTACATACCTAGGCTATATGGTATAGCCTATTGTTCCTAGGCTACAAACCTATATGTCATGTTACTATACTGAGTACTGTAGGCAATTGCAACACAGTGGGATTTGTGTATCCATAGCTAAGGTACAGTAAAAATACAATATTGTAGTTTCATCCGTCCATTGTTGTATATGTGATCCATCATTGACCAACATACCATTGGGCAGCACATGACTGTATTTGCTTATACATAATGAGGTATCTTAGGAATAGGACCCTAGTCTAAACTCAAAATTAATTTATGTTTCATATATACCTTATACACACAACCTGAGTGTAATTTTATACAGTATTTTCAATAACTTTGTGCATGAAACAAACTGTTGACAGTGACTTGTCACATGAGGTCAGGTGTGAAATTTCCTACTTGTGGTGTCACATTGGCATTAAAAAAATTTCAGATTTTTGAGCAATTCAGATATTGAATTTTCAAATTAGGGATGCTCAACCTATAATTTATTTTCAAATACTTGGGAATTTTCCAGAGATCTTTATGCTATTGATTTTTAATTTAATTCCATTGAAGTTAAAGAACATAGATTGTATTACTTTATTCCTTTTAAATTTATTAGGACTTGCTTTCAGTTCCACAGTATTATCTATCCTGGTAAATGTTATGCTGCATTTGAATAGAATGTGTATTCTGTTGTCATTGGATAGAGTTTATTGTAAATGTCAATGAGGTCAAGTTGATTAATTGTGTGCCTTCTCTACTTTTACTGATTTTCTGTTTACTTGTTCCCCAGTTATTGAGAGAGGATTATTTACAATATCAGTATAATCATGAATTTGTTTATTGAAAAATTTATTCTTATTAGTGGAAGGAAAAGATTGACATGCAACATCATGTTGACATCAGAAATACATAAAAACAATATCCATAATTATTTCTTTCGAAATCCAATCTCATATATATGTATGCATTTATTATACATATATGTATTATATGTGTATAATATATTATATATTACATATAATATATTATACATACATATATGTATTATATATATGAATATATACGTATGTATTTACCTTTTATCTTTATTGTTTTCCAGATGATATTTCAAAAGAATTAATCAGTTTCTATTTTTGCACTGAGGTAAAAATGCATCTAATTCAACTGGCTAAAAAATTACCCCCAGCAGCCTAAGAATCCAAATCAATTACACTTGGCAATCTAGTTGCCACGCAAACTATTTGTTTTGTCTAATCTAGGGACAGTTTTAAAGCTGGTTGACATGATAATATTTCTGTTAGGTATTGACATATTATCTAAAAATAGAATTGCAATGAATACAGCTTCTTAAACTCACCTTTCTAATGCTCTTTTCACTGAACAATCACAAATACGTTTACATTTGCCTGTTTCTCATTCTGTCTAGTAATAACCACAAAGAAGAAATCCATAGGGACTTTTTGTCGCAGACTAAGATATACCATTTATACTATTACCTCTCTAATTATTGAGATGTTAACTATGATACTGACAAAGAGAAGGCCCCCTTTTTTCACTGAAAACACAAGTTTGGGCCAGGTACAGTGGCTCACGCCTGTAACCCCAGCATTTTGGGAGGCAGAGGTATGTGGATCACTTGAGGTCAGGAGTCCGAGATCAGCCTGGCCAACATGGTGAAACCCCATCTCTACTAAAAATACAGAAATTGGTCAGGCATTGTGGTGGGTGTCTGTAATCCCAGCTACTCGGGAGGCTGAAGCAGGAGAATTGCTTGAACCTGGGAGGCAGAGGTTGCAGTGAGCTGAGGTCACGCCACTGCACTCCAGCCTGGGTGACAGAGCAAGACTCTGTCTCAAAATGAAAACAAAAACAGAAAACCACCACAAGTTTTGCTGAATAGAAGATCTATAACTGAAGATGAGATATTATGCTTTTAACCTATAAGGCTGCTAAAGACTTCCAAAGATTAACTGTAGATATTCAGGTCAAAAGAACAAAGATTTACCAAAGCACTTTTGGCAGAAGTAATGATCTATGGAGTTAGACTTGAACTTTCTAAATTGTAATTGTCAGCAAGAGGACTACATTGTAACTATGAAACATAGATTTTTCAATAAATGCAGTTAAAACAAAAATAATTTTTCTTACCTGTAAATTTATGAGTTACAATCTTTATCACAGTTATATAAGGGGTGACATGATAGATTATATATAATCTTCAGTTTAAAAAACTTTTATCTTTTTATTTTCATATAATTAAATACAAGAGTTTGTAGAAATACAACTCCACATAAATTTCTAAAAACTCTATAAGAAAAGAAAAATGCAGGAAATAGCCTTTTATGAAGCTAAATATACAATTCATTTGATAAGATTTATAGAGATTTTTCTGGTTAAAGTTCAGCACATTTTGGTATGCATGAAACATTTTGATTAAAGTCTCATTGTATGACTGTAACATTGGAAACACAATAGAAATAACAATGACCACATGTTTCCATTTACTACAATGCAACATTGAACTGTGATAGCTACCTCATAGAGGAGTTCTTCACATAATTAGAAGGGTAGGGTACTGGAGATACCTGATCCAAATGGTGTATCCTATCCACATAGTGTTTCTATAGTTCAAATTTCCATCATCCTGTGGAATTCTTACTCAAACCGCATATTCAACGCTGGTTTCCTGAATTCAATGTCATCATTTAAAGTTCATTTCTCAATATCTGAGTTTGTATTCATAAAAATCTCTGTGGAGATTTCAGGAAGTAAATCTCATAAAAGGAAACCAAAGGTATGAAATATGCTTATGCGTTAACATAAATAATTTCACAAAAGGATTACTTTATTTATTTATTTGTTTATTTATTTATTTATTTATTTATTTATTTATTTATTTTTTGAGATGGAGTCTTACTCTGTTGCCCAGGCTAGAGTGCAGTGGCCCCATCTCGGCTCACTGCAAGCTCTGCCTCCTGGGTTCACGCCATTCTCCTGCCTCAGCCTCCCGAGTAGCTGGGACTACAGGCGCCCGCCACCACGCCCGGATAATTTTTTGTATTTTTAGTAGAGGCGGGGTTTCACTGTGTTAGCCAGGATGGTCTCGATCTCCTGACCTCGTGATCCACCCGCCTCGGCCTCCCAAAGTGCTGGGATTACAGGCGTGAGCCACCGCGCCCAGCCGATTACTTTAAAAAATAATATACTACCCCAATATATTTTAAATATTGAATGACTCAAATTACAAAGTCTGTATTTCAAGTAAATTTGTGAGCAATGTGCTTATTAAACAATGTTTATAACGTGAACCATGAAATAAAGTGAACACATATTTGTTGGGCTCTCAGAGTAACACTATACACCTCTAGACTTTGAACAATTCAAAAAATGAATGACGCAAAAGATCACCACACTAAGTCAAAATACTTATATCAAGGGGAGAGGCTCAAATAGAGGAGGTGGCTTCAAGTTAGTCACCTAGGATTAAGAGCACTGCCCATCAGAATTGATCAGCTGTGCAAAATGGGGTACGCACCCCGGGCACCCCCACTCCACACCCACAGCCCATTGCCAGAAAAAGCAAAAATATACACATGCTCTGACAAATTATTGTCAAGAGAAAAGAGGGAAGCTTAGCCCACCATGCCAGGTTTTTATCCCCCAATTCACCAATGAATGAATGAATAAGTCATTTCACCCCTAAAAATGGAGTGTGCTGAGAGGAGGTCTCTCCTTATGGAAATTAGGATTAGACCCTCTAAATATATTATTTTAAAATGTTCTAAAAGGACATAAAAGCAAATGAGTGGTATGTACAAAGAGTTATCTTAAAGGAGACAGATGAAGATTATTTCTTTTTCTCATTTGGTGGATAACTTTAATGGCCAAGATTCTCCAATAGCTAAATTGTAAGAAAAAAACCAATGAATTCACAGTGAGACTACACATTAAAGGAAAGTTCAAAGTTACATAATTAAGAAGAAATGGACAAAATTAAACTATAGTGTTTAGGAGTGCATATTGGGTGATACAGTTATTTTAAACAGCAAGAAAACAATTATAAATAATTAGAATATGATTTTATTTAATAGTTTTGTGATGAGACAAGTGGTTATGACTGGGTGGGTATTCTTTGGGGGAGGAGGCTGCAAAGCTTTTTTCCTCACACCTTTCAAAGCTGGGTCCTTGTCAACAATTACATTCAGCCTGTCACTTTCTCAGAGAGGTCCACGCTCACCACCCTATCTAAAATAGGTATTTATGGTACATTTATATCACAGCCCTTTCTTTTCTTCATAACTCACATTACAACTTACTTTTTTACACATCTGTTTTACTTTTTTTGTCACTCTTGTCCTCTAGAATGTATGCAACATGAAAACAAAGATTGCTGTCATATCACTAATGTCTACACAGAGCCAGAGACATAATTGGAACTTGGTAATTATTAATTCAATGAGTGGTTGAAATTCAGAACCCTTCAGAACCCTGTGACACCAAAGTCCTTGTTCTTAGCCACTATTATATTGTGCTGTTACCTTCAGGCTCTTCTATTGTCACTTCTTGTCCCACTCCCTGGACTCAATTCTAACATATATGCCTTGCTATTTTTATTGTTCCTTTTGAGTATATCCTTACATTACCTTTTTATTGTATTTGGCTAGCTCTAATAATTGTTCAACATTCAGCTCAGTCATCGCTTCTTCCAGAAAACCTTCTCTGGTATTTCCAATTCCTCCAGGGCAGATTAGGTAGTATGTATTTCATGTTTCCAGAATATTTTGCGCAAAATCTCTCTCACTGTACTTGCCACAATTCTATGTATCCACCTTTCTCACACACTCTGCACTTAGTAAATTTTTGTTAAAAGCACATACTTAAATAGAACTATTATTGCCAAGAACAAATCAATTCATAGAAATAATTATTTAAAATTATCTCAATATGTGCAAACCTTTCAGAGATTAAAAACAGGCTTAATAGAAACAGTTAACTATAGGTAGAATCCATACATCAGGACTACTGTCATTCATCTGAGCTAAAATAGATTCAGTTATTTGTGATCAGGCTCATTAGCCATTTTAATCTTTACTGATAAGGCAGTTGCATACTGTGGTCTCTTCACATCAAAGAAGAATATGAAAATATGAAAAATGATTGATCTTCAATTAATTTCTACTGATGATGGATAGCATCAGTTAGGATAATTTTTGGCTGCAACATAGAACTGCATTTTAAGCTGGCTTGAAATAAGGGTATTTATCTTAAATAAAAGTTATTCAAAGGTAAGGTAATCTCCAGGCTTCTGTGAAGACAATTTTTTGAAGGAATCAGATTTTTCATTTCTCAGCTCTGCATCTCAACTAGGCTGACTTCCCTCAAGCCTGCATAGATGACCGCAGCAGTTCCTAAATCACTGAATAAAATGATGTCATTTCTTCTGAGTTTTATTTTTAAGAAGGAAGGGTCCTTTTCCAGAAGCCCCTTAAAGTATTCCCATTGAATATCATTGGTCAGCACTGGTGACTTGTTCATGCCTAAACCACTCACTAGCAAGGGAAATAGGATACCAACATTGGGTCTACAATTAATTGTTAGAGATGAAAAGGATTAGAGAAATCAACCACATATATTGTGGTCAGTATATGACTAATATCACTGTAAGCAGTTATTGATTCTAATGATTAAAAACCATGTTGCATCAAAAGAAATAGGAAATAGTAAGTTAATGAAATAAATTGAAATGCAGTTACTGGCCATTTCACAATGTTATAAAATTCATAAGAGCTAAAGTGGAGAATTGTGACTATTACCTACACCATAGTAATTCTTAGAATTCACAAATGTTAGACACATCTGCAGAGAAAAAGCAAAGATCAAAATAGGGAAACATATTCAGTTACCTGATCTTGAGTCACTGCACATTCCAAAAATATGATTCATTCTCCTTATTGCCAATTAATTTTATTTTTTCTTCTAACACCCATTTTAGAATATTTCCACCACTGAGACTAAAAGATAAATAAGAAGTCTCTCTAGGTACAGAAGGTTTTTCATTTATGACTGTGGGTGAAAGATACATTATGAATAGTATTGATTTTCTTGACCTCAGTCAAGTGACATGAAAGCTTAACCTAGATTCATCTTCTCCTCACATTTGTCATAAATCTCCGACATGCCGATATTTTATATTTGAATGCTTTGTGCACATTAGCAATATTGTAAAATCATACTGGATTGTGACAAGGCACTAAATTTATTTGAGAGAGGGTCCATTTTAGCACTATATGCACTATGCATAATAAAGCAGTTATTGATTCTAATGACAGATTATCACAACGTTAATAATTTAGTCAAAGCAAGATCTTTTTTCATGTAAAATTGGAAAACAGTTGCTAAAGATAAAATAGCCAGCACTTCTATTAGCTTTTCTTGTAATGATGTTGTTAATCTTAATTATGTGTTATCATATATATCCATCTATGTAGGTCATATTAAGTTCAGAAACATAGGGATATAAACTGTAACGTAGTCATGGCTTTTAAATCTTTAATTCTCAATCATGATAATGGGGCAAAGCTTGTATATTGTCTGTCTATACTCAGATAAAAATGGTTATTTATTTTCACCTCTGGCAAGACCTGCTATCACAAATCATAAAAATAATATCACTGTAAAAACAAAATCAGGTGACTTGTCTAAGGAATCAGATATATTTAAATGAAATGGAAATGTAGTTAAAGGCATTTGCTTATCCTTAATTGAATTTATTTGAAGCACTAAGTACCTGTGAAATTTTGACCACAAGAGATTTTATATATGAATAGCTGAGTTGCTAATGATATTTAGAGGTATTCAAGTATAGTACATAATATATCCCATATTTTCAACTGTACTGAAATTCCTTGCATGAAGAAAAGTTTATTCTCCTTGTTGAACTATTTGCTATTTTGTTGCCAAATTAGACCAAGATTTGTCTTCAAACTCAAACATGCCACATCCCTTTTTAAAATTTACTATATGATCTGTCTATCTATCTATCTATCTATCTATCTATCTATCTATCTATCTATCTATCTATATGTGAATAATATGCCCACTGTCAGGGAAACATGAATCCTCCATTTTTACTCTCAGTGTAGTAGTTCCCAGTTAGGAAAAGAATATTCAGGGCTTCCAGTCTAAGATAACTGGTAAAGTTATCTGTAATTCAGTCACCCTTCCCTCTGAAGCCAATCTCAATTATAAGATATTGAGAAACAAAATGTAATCAGTAAATCAATCTCTAAGGAAAGTAGGAATCACCTATAACCCCATAAAACAATATAGGAAGAAAATGCATTAGTAATTGAACTAGATATAGACAGCACTGAGTGGATAGCTCTCTATAGATTTTCCACAGAAGGAATAGTTTTCCAAATTTAGAAACACATCCTATGAAGACAAACCTACAAATCTATGCTTAGAATAATAATATTTAGATATAAGGAATAGAATTCGGAGGCTTCCTAAGCCCTGGTGGACAAGACAGAATGATCAGGAAACTGGGGCTGAGAAAAGTAGCACACAAGTGCCATAGAGCAAAGAACCACTACAGGTGCTGGAAGAAACAGAAAGTGATGAAAAGCAGCCCCAAAGCTACTGATCTTGATCCATTAGCAGGATAAGTAATGGCTCAATCAAGATGCCCAAACGTATACACATGCAAACTCAATGCACACTTTTGTATTAAAAGCAGCCTTATTGTGAGTTCTATAGCTCTCTCCTCAGTGAAAGAAGTTTGTAACCTTGGGCACAATGTTGTCCTAAAATTTTTGAAGGCTACAAACAATCTGCCTGCTATTCAAGTTAGCTTCTTGCGCAGCTCAGTCACTCAAGCCCTATTCAACACCCTGATGTTGAAAATAGCTATACCAGAAAAAACTTTCCTCATTAAAAAATGATTGGGTTCCCAGCAAAGATATTGCAGGAGAAGGAAGGGCAAAAATATGGGATTCAAAAGGCAGAATACAGCCAGAATTATGTCATTGCCTAGCTTAGTACTGGAGACAAATGCTTCTACGTGAAATAAAACAAACTAAAGAAAACATGCCTTCTGGAAGCAAAAAGAAAAAGAAAACATGCCATCTGGAACAAATAAATGACAGAAAGATTAAAAGGAAATATGATGAGACATAAAATGGAGAAGAATATTGAACTAGTATAATTCATAAATAAAGTAATAAAAACACAAAGTAATTGAAAGCAACTAATCACATCATAAATAAGTAGGGATACACAAGATACATGTATAAGTAGGAATATGCAAGATACATGTATAAGTAGGGATATATAAGGTACAAATAACGTAAGTTAGAAGTCGGTTCCAATTGATATGCTTATAATATTGCCCCCCCAAGAGATAAAGTTATTCAACTTGTAACTTGTCAACTTCTGTAACATTTTTAAAAAAGATGATATATTAGGTCATAAATAAAACAATAATCACATTTTAAAAACTCATACACCTTTGTTTTTAATTAATAAAAATTTTTAAATTAATTTAAAAACTTTTCTGGTTAAAGGGGGAAAGCATCTAAGAATTCTTATCTGGGAAATAATGATTATTAAATCTTTACATATCTTTATCAGGCATACAGTTAATTCAGTGATCAGAGAAAAATTTTATAAACTCAAATTCTTGTATTATTAAATTTAAAAGAATGACAAAGAATTAGGTACTTAACACAAAAATAGGAAAAAACTCTCAACTAGTTAAAAATAAGAAACATAGGAAGAAAATAATATTAATAAAGTCAGAAGTAAATAAATTAGAAAACAGAACAAGGCCAGGCTCAGTGGCTCATGCCTCTAATCCCAACACTTTGGGAGTCTGAGGAGGGTGGATCACTTGAGCCCAGGACTTGGAGACCAGCCTGGCCAACATGGCAAAACCTCGTCTCTACTAAAAACATAAAAATTAGCCGGGTGTGGCTGTGCACGCCTGTAGTCCCAGCTACTCGGGAGGCTGAGGCAGGAGAATCGCTTGAACCCGGGAGGCAAAGGTTGCAATGAGCTGAGATCATGCCACTGCACTCGAGCCTGGGCGACAGACAGAGACTCAGTCTTAAAAAAAGAAAAGAAAATAGAACAAGAGTGTAATTAATGAATAGCTCCAAAGTTAGTGCTTCGCAAGAATTAATAACTTAAAAGAAAGAAAAAATTGCAAATGAAAGTAGATGGGAGTAGAAAATAACTTCTGATACTTGGGAAATTGGAAGTATGTAAGAGAGATCAATATTTGCTATGCCCAGTATATTTTATTTCCTTCCTTAGTAATAGAATCCCAAACTTTTAGCTAGATACATAGCTACCCACAAAGTTTTATTGTCCAGCCTTCCTTACAACTGGCATCAGAAATGTCATGTTGCTGCTATTAAAGCTATTCTCAAAAGCAGCTGGTGGGTGTCTGTTCCACAACTGTTCTTTTTTCATCTTGCTGCCTGGTATGCAGATCAGAAACTGAAACTTTAGTCACTATATTAGCCTGTGATGACAAGAGCCACACCAAGGAATGGCAGAATTATGTGCTGGAATTAAGTCTGGTCCATCGAATAATTGTAGAGTCACTACATGAACTTCAGACTACATTCCTTTGAAATTAAACTAAGAAAATAATAAAAAAAGAAAACACCTTCTTTGAGTATGTTAATAATCTTTTAATCTGCAATGCTCTATCTTGCATTCTTTTGCATCTAAAATGCAACTTAATTTTAACTGATTCAATAAATGAAAAAAATTTTTCTATTTTGTGCAAACAAAACTGATATAGAAGATTAAATGGATTATTTTTGCAGTAATAGAAGACATGAAAATCTCAAACCTATCAATCACATTACATAAAAACTCTCAAAGAGTTAACCTCTCATATGGCTTTTATGGTAGTTTGAATTATTGTCCTCAATTCTATCTCTCCTTCTCCAATCCCATTGACATAAGGGTTGACAATGTGACTTGCTTGAGTCCATAAAATCAAAACAGAAGTGAAATACACCATTTTTGGTCAAAACTTTAAGAGCTATAGCGTAATATTGCCTTTCTTCTTTTCCCATAATATGAAAATTTGGCAGTCTGGATCCAAGGATGAGAAGACCCATAGAAGACTTCCAGGGATTGTTGGCTGACACATAGCCAGTATGAATTGTGATGAAGAAATAAAACTCTGTTTTTGGTACTTTTGTGTTGTTACTGCAACAAATTCTAGGGCAATAGTTCTTAATATGTGGTCCTAAGACTAATAGCATCAGCTTGTTAAAACTGCAAATTCTTGGGTGCTACCTTCAATTTCCTGAAAAAGAAACTCCATTTACCAAGCCTTTTGAGTGATGTTGAGGTATACCAAAGTGTGAGAACTGCTGATCTAGTGGAAGCTAATTCACATGGTTTCCAGGTAAATTCTATAAAACCTTTAATATGCAGAAAACTCCAAAACTATTAGTTCTGGATCACTGAGGGAGAAATCAAGCTTCATTTATTTATGAAATAAAGCCTTTTAATAAAATACAATATTATTATTAAATTAAAAAATAGATTAAAGAGAATTCCACACTAAACTTGTCTTAGATTTGGGTAAAAATGTTACAATACGTAAAATATAAACAGATAGAACTTAGCAGCACATTAATATTCCTCAGTGAAATAGGGTTGATGCCATGGCTGAATATTCCATCTAGTGGAAGCTTCTACTAGTAGCTGATATTAATCAATCACCTTATTAATGGGAAGAAGAGAAACATATATGATTCTCTCCATAGACACAAAAAATTGGTCAAAAATAAAAGTTTCTTAATTTAAAAAGAATATCTTAATAAAACAGAAATACCTAGATAATTTTAAAATATGACAAAAAGAGTATCTTTCAAGTCAATAACCAGCATAATGTCTATTTTTTAGGAGTCATATTTCTCCAACCAATCATTGAGAAAAAGGTATTTTTTAAATGTAGGTTCTTAAAACATATTGGATGAAATAATGAAGTCTGAAAATTATTTCTTATCTTCAGTAAATTAAATTCCAGACTAGTAAAGATTTAAATATAAAAATTAACCATAGAAGAACACATACGGCATAATTTTTGAATCAGAGTGTAGAAGTCACAAAACTTAGAAATCATAAAGGAAAAGTTAGTAAATTTGAATACCTAACAAACGGAAAACTTTTGCACTAAAAAACTTTAATAAAATAAATAATCAAGTGATAAATTGGAATAATAATTTTGTATGACATATGACATTGAAAATGCTAGTTTCTTCAGCATAAGAATAAGAACCAGTAATTTATTTAAAAATTGACAGGGGGCACAAAAAGGTAATTGACAGGAAAAAAAAATTTATTTTGACTGGGCATAATGGCTCACACCTAGCACTTTGGGAGGCCAAGGTGAGCAAATCTCTTGAGCTCAGAAGTTTGAGACCAGCCTGGGCAACATGGTGAAACCCTGTCTCTAAAAATAAAATAAAAATACATTTATTTTAAGTGTATGAAAAAAAGTTCACTTTTATTCATAATTAAATAAAGAAATAACAAAGTAACTTGTTTTTCACTTGTCAAATTTGCAAAAATTAAAATGTCTGATGTCCTAGTTAATTGTCTATAATAAAATACCTGAGACTGGGTAATTTATAAAGAAAAGAAATTTATTTCTCACAGTTCTGGAGGCTGGGAAGTTCAACAGCATGGCTGTTGCATCTGGCAGGGGTCATCTATGGTGAGAGGTCAAAAGCAGAGGCAAGCACACGAGACAGAAAGTAAAGCACCAGAGGCTGGACTCACTTTATAGCACACACTGAAAATAACTAATCCACTTCCACTATTATGACATTAATCGATTCTGGAGAGTTCTCTCATGACCCAACCATCTTGGTGGGCTTCACCTCCCAACACTGTTGCATTGAGGATTAAGTTGGATTGAGGATTAAGTTGGATTGAGGATTAACTGACATATGAACTTTGGAGGACCATATTTAAGCCATAGCATTCTGACCTTGACTCCTCAAATTTATGTCCTTCTCACAATACAAAATACAGTTATTCCATCCCAATTGTCTCAAAAGTCTTAACTCATTTCAGTAGCAACTCAAAAGTCCAAAGTTTAAAGTTTCATCTAAATCAGATGTGGGTAAGACTCATGGCATGATTCACCTTGAGGCGAATTTCTTCTTGCTGTAAGCATGTCAGATTAAACAAGTTATCTATTTTCAAGATACACCAGGGGACGGGCATTGGACAGACATTCCTATTACAAATGGGAGACGTAGGCAAGAAGAAAGGATTAACACACCCCAAATAAGTCCAAAACTCAACAGAGAAAATAATATTGTCTTAAAGCTGGAGAATAATCTCCTTGGCTCCCTGTCCTAAGCTCACTGGTGCAGGGGTTGGACCACTACGGGCTCTGGCAGCCCCGTCCCCATGGCTTTGCTAAGCTCAGACCATGCTTCACCTCTCTCAGTAGAGCTACAGTGGTAGCTTTACAGTCCTGGGGTCTTGATGGCAGTCCTGCTTCCCCAGTTTCATTCAGCATTGCACTATTGGGGAATCTCTGAGGTGGCTCTGCCCCTGTAATCAGTCTCTGCCTGGGTTACCAGGCTGCCTTCTATACCCTTTGACATTCAGGTAGGGAAAGCAATGCCCCTACAGCTTTTACATTCTGTCTGCCTGCAGACCTTAATACCACATGAATGGCCCTAAGATTTGCCTCTTGCATTTTTCAGAGTTGCAGCTTGAGCCACAGTTGTGGTTGCTTGAGCCACAGCTAGTATGGCCAAAGAGCACTGTGCTGGGATGCAGAGACTACAGACCCATGAGAGATCTGGGCAGCAAGCCTGTGGAGAGTGCCCTGGGCCTGTCACCTGAAACCACTCTGCCCTCTGAAAACTCTGGGCCTGTGATGGAAGGGGCAGCCTTAAAAGTCTCTGAAGTGTCTTTGGGGTCTTTCTCCCATTGTTTTGATGAATAACATCTGGCTCCCTTCTATCCATGAAAATCTGTTTAGCAAATGGTCACTTTGCTACACCCTCAATACTTTCTCCTGAACATGCTTTTTTACTCTTTATCTGTCCAGTCTATGAATTTTCCAAATCTTGCCATTCTGCTTCCCTTTTAATTATAAATTTCATCTTTAAATCATCTGTTTGCTGTCACATTTCACAGTATGCAATTAAAATTGCCATGCCATGTCTGAATGCTTTGTTGCTTAGATATTTCTTAGGCCAGATATCCTAGTTCATCACTTTTTTTTTTTTTATTTCCATAGGTTTTTGAGAAAGAGGTTGTGTTTGGTTACATGAATAAGTTCTTTAGGGGTGATTTATGAGATTTTGGTCCACCTATCACCTGAGTAGTGTACACTGTACCCAATGTGTAGTCTTTTATCCATCACGCTCCTCCCATCCTTCCCCCAAGTCCCCAGAGTCCATTGTATCACTCTTATGCCTTTGCATCCTCATAGATTAGCTCCCACTTATGAGTGAGAACATACAATGTTTGGTTCTCCATTCCTGAGTTACTTCACTTAGAATAATGGTCCCCAATTCCATCCAGGTTGCGGTGAATGCTATTATTTGATTCTTTTTTATGGCTGAGTAGTATGGTATATGCATACCATGTTTTCTTTATCTACTCATTGATTGATAAGCATGTGAGCTGGTTCCATATTTTTGCAATTGCAAATTGTGCTGCTCTAAACATGCATGTGCAAGTATCTTTTCCATATAATGTATTATTTTCCTCTGGGTAGATACCCAGGAGTGGAATTTCTGGATCAAACAGCAGATTTACTTTTAGTTCTTTTTTTTAATTATTATTATACTTTAAGTTCTAGGGTACATGTGCACAACGTGCAGGTTTGTTACATATGTATACATGTGACATGTTGGTGTGATGCACCCATTAACTCATCATTTACATTAGGTATATCTCCTAATGCTATCCCTCCCTCCTCCCCCCACCCTGTGACAGGGCCCAGTGTGTGATGTTCACCACCCTGTGTCCAAGTGTTCTCATTGTTCAATTCCCACCTAGGAGTGAGAACATGCAGTGTTTGGTTTTCTGTCCTTGCGATAGTTTGCTCAGAATGATGGTTTCCAGCTTCATCCATGTCCCTACAAAGGACATGAACTCATCCTTTTTAATGGCTGCATAGTATTCCATGGTGCATATGTGCCACATTTTCTTAATCCAGTCTATCATTGATGGACATTTGGGTGGGTTCCAAGTCTTTGCTGTTGTGAATAGTGCCACAATAAACATACCTGTGCATGTGTCTTTAAAGCAGTATGATTTATAATCCTTTCGGTATATACCCAGTGATAGGATGACTGGATCAAATGGTATTTCTAGTTCTAGATCTTTGAGGAATTGTCACACTCTCTTCCACAATGGGTGAACTAGTTTACAGTCCCACCAACAGTGTAAAAGTGTTCCTATTTCTCCACATCCTCTCCAGCACCTGTTGTTTCCTGACTTTTTAGGGATCGCCATTCTAACTGGTGTGAGATGGTATCTCATTGTGGTTTTGATTTGTATTTCTCTGATGGCCAGTGAAGATTAGCAGTTTTTCATGTGTCTGTTGGCTACATAAATGTCTTCTTTTGACAAGTGTCTGTTCATATCCTTCACCCAATTTTGATGGGGTTGTTTGATTTTTTCTTGTAAATTTGTTTAAGTTCTTGTAGATTCTGGATATTAGCCCTTTGCCAGATGGGTAGATTGTAAAAATTTTCTCCTATTCTGTAGGTTGCCTGTTCACTCCAATGGTACTTTCTTTTGCTGTGCAGAAGCTCTTTAGTTTAATTAGATCCCATTTGTCAATTTTGGCTTCTGTTGCCATTGCTTTTGGTGTTTTAATCATGAAGTCCTTGCCCATACCTATGTCCTGAATAGTATTGCCTAGGTTTTCTTCTAGGGTTTTTATGGGTTTAGGTCTAACATTTAAGTCTTTAATCCATCTTGAATTAATTTTCATATAAGGTGTAAGGAAGGGATCCAGTTTCAGCTTTCTACATATGGCTATCCAGTTTTCCCAGCACCACTTATTAAATAGGGACTTGTTTCCCCATTTCTTGTTTTTGTCAGGTTTGTCAAAGATCAGATGGCTGTAGATGTGTGATATTATTTCTGAGGACTCTGTTCTGTTCCATTGGTCTATATCTCTGTTTTGCTACCAGTACCATGCTGTTATGGTTACTGTAGCCTTGTAGTATAGTTTGAAGTCAGGTAGCGTGATGCCTCCTGCTTTGTTCTTTTTGCTTAGGATTGGCTTGGCAATGTCTTTTTTGGTTCCATATGAACTTTAAAAGTAGTTTTTTCCAATTCTGTGAAGAAAGTCATTGGTAGCTTGATGGGGATGGCATTGAATCTATAAATTACCTTGGGCAGTATGGCCATTTTTATGATATTGATTCTTCCTATCCATGAACATGGAATGTTCTTCCATTTGTTTGTGTCCTCTTTTATTTCATTGAGCAGTGGTTTGTAGTTCTCCTTGAAGAGATCCTTCACATCCCTTGTAAGTTGGATTCCTAGGTATTTTATTCTCTTTGAAGCAATTGTGAATGGGAGTTCACTCATTATTTGACTTTCTGTTTGTCTGTTATTGGTGTATAGGAATGTTTGTGATTTTTGCACATAGATTTTGTATCCTGAGACTTTGCTGAAGTTGCTTATCAGCTTAAGCAGATTTTGGGCGGAGATGATGGGGTTTTGTAAATATACAACCATGTCATCTGCAAACAGGGACAATTTGACTTCCTCTCTTCCGACTTAAATATGCTTTATTTCTTTCTCCTGCCTGATAGCCCTGACCAGAACTTCCAACACTATGTTGAATAGGAGTGTTGAGAGAGGGCATCCCTGTCTTGTGCCAGTTTTCAAAGGGAATGCTTCCAGTTTTTGCCCATTCAGTATGATATTGGCTGTGGGTTTGTCATAAATAGCTCTTATTATTTTGAGATATGTCCCATCAATACCTAGTTTATTGAGAGTTTTTAGCATGAAGGGCTGTTTTACTTGAGTAGGCAAACAAAGCGGCTGAAAAGCTCAACTGGGTGGAGCCCACCGCGGCTCAAGGAGGCCTGCCTGCCTCTGTAGAATCCACCTCTGGGAGCAGGGCATAGCTGAACAAAAGACAGCAGAAACTTCTGCAGACTTAAATGTCCCTGTCTGACAACTTTGAAGAGAGTAGTTGTTCTCCCAGCATGGAGGTTGAGATCTGAGAACTGACAGACTGCCTCCTCAAGTGGGTCCCTGACCCCCAAGTAGCCTAAGAGGCACCTCCCAGTAGGGGCCGACTGACACCTCATACAGCCGGGTGCCCCTCTGAGATGAAGCTTCCAGAGGAAGGATCAGGCAGCAACATTTGCCATTCTGCAATATTTGCTATTCTGCAGCCTCTGCTGGTGATACCCAGGCAAAGAGGGTCTGGAGTGGACCTCCAGCAAACTCCAACAGACCTGCAGCTGAAGGACCTGTTAGAAGGAAAACTAACAAACAGAAAAGACTTCCACACCAAAACCCCATCTGTATGTCACTATCATCAAAGACCAAAGGTAGATAAAACCACAAAGATGGGGAGAAACCAGAGCAGAAAAGCTGAAAATTCTAAAATTCAGAGCGCCTTTTCTCTTCCAAAGGAATGCAGCTCCTCGCCAGCGATGGAACGAAGCTGGCTGGAGAATGACTTTGACGAGTTGAGAGAAGAAGGCTTCAGACGATTGGTAATAACAAACTTCTCCAAGCTAAAGGAGGATGTTCAAACCCATCGCAAAGAAGCTAAAAACCTTGAAAAAGGATTGGACAAATGGCTAACTAGAATAAACAGCATAGAGAAGACCTTAAATGACCTGATGGAGCTGAAAACCATGGCACGAGAACTATGTGATGCATGCACAAGCTTCAGTAGCCAATTCGATCAACTGGAAGAAAGGGTATCAGTGATTGAAGATCAAATGAATGAAATGAAGCGAGAAGAGAAGTTTAGAGAAAAAAGACTAAAAAGAACAAAGCCTCCAAGAAATATGGGACTATGTGAAAAGACCAAGTCTATGTCGATTGGTCTGCCTGAAAGTGATGGGGAGAATGGAACCAAGTTTGAAAACACTCTTCAGGGTATTATCCAGGAGAACTTCCCCAACCTAGCAAGGCAGGCCAACATTCAAATTCAGGAAATACAGAGAATGACACAAAGATACTCCTCGAGAAGAGCAACACCAAGATACATAATTGTCAGATTCACCAAAGTTGAAATGAAGGAAATAATGTTAAGGGCAGCCAGAGAGAAAGGTCGGGTTACCCACAAAGGGAAGCCCATCAGACTAACTAATAAGAGAGTTTCTGGATCTCTCGGCAGAAACTCTACAAGCCAGAAGAGAGTGGGGGCCAATATTCAACATTCTCAAAGAAAATAATTTTCAAACCAGAATTTCATATCCAGCCAAACTAAGCTTCATAAGTGAAGGAGAAATAAAATCCTTTACAGACGAGCAAATGCTGAGAGATTTTGTCATCACCAGGCCTGCCTTACAAGAACTCCTGAAAGAAGCACTAAACATGGAAATGAACAACCGGTACCAGCCACTGCAAAAACATGCCAAATTGTAAAGACTGTTGATGCTAGGAAGAAACTGCATCAATTAACGAGCAAAATAACGAGCTAACATCATAATGACAGCATGAAATTCACACATAATGATATTAACCTTAAATGTAAATGGGCTAAATGCTCCAATTAAAAGACACAGACTGGCAAATTGGACAAACAGTCAAGTCCTATCAGTGTGCTGTATTCAGGAGACCCATCTAACATGCAGAGACACACATAGGCTCAAAATAAAGGGATGGAGGAAGATCTACCAAGCAAATGGAAAACAAAAAAAGCAAGGCTGCAATCCTAGCCTCTGGTAAAACAGACTTTAAACCAACAAAGTTCAAAAGAGACAAAAAAGGCCATTACATAATGGTAAAGGGATCAATTCAACAAGAAGAGCTAACTACCCTAAATATATATGTACCCAACACAGGAACACCCAGATTCATAAAGCAAGTCCGAAGAGACCTACAAAGAGACTTAGACTCCCGCACAATAATATTGGGAGACTTTAACACCCCACTGTCAATATTAGACAGATCAACGAGACAGAAAGTTAACAAGGATATCCAGGAATTGAACTCAGCTCTGCACCAAGCAGACCTAATAGACATCTAAAGAACTCTTCACCCCAAATCAGCAAAGTATACATTCTTCTCAAAACCACATCACACTCATTCTAAAATTGACCACATAGTTGGAAATAAAGCACTCCTCAGCAAATGTAAAAGAACAGAAATTATAACAAACTGTCTCTCAGACCACAGTGTGATCAAACTACAACTCAGGTTTAAGAAACGCACTCAAAACCACTCAACTACATGGAAACCAAACAACCTACTCCTGAATGACTACTGGGTACATAACAAAATGAAGGCAGAAATAAAAATGTTCTTTGAAACCAATGAGAACAAAGACATAACGTACCAGAATCTCTGGGACACATTTAAAGCAGTGTGTAGATGGAAATTTATAGCACTAAATGCCCACAAGAGAAAGCAGGAAAGATCTAAAATTGACACCCTAACATCACAATAAAAAGAACTAGAGAAGCAAGAGTAAACACATTCAAAAGCTAGCAGAATGCAAGAAATAACTAAGATCAGAGCAGAACTGAAGGAGATAGAAACATAAAAAAACTTCAAAAAATCAATGAATCCAGGAGCTGGTTTTTTGAAAAGATCAACAAAATTGATAGACCGCCAGCAAGACTAATAAAGAAGAAAAGAGAGAAGAATCAAATAGACACTTTAAAAAATGATAAAAGAGATATCACCACCAATCCCACAGAAATACAAACTACCATCAGAGAATACTACGAACAACTCTATGCAGATAAACTAGAAAATCTAGAAGAAATGGATAAATTCCTAGATACATACACCCTCCCAAGACTTAACCAAGAAGAAGATGAATCCCTAAATAGACCAATAACAGGCTCTGAAATTGAGGCAATAATTAATAGCTTACCAACCAAAAAAAGTCCAGGACCAGGACCAGACGGATTCACAGCCGAATTCTACCAGAGGTACAAGGAGGAGCTGGTACCATTCCTTCTGAAACTATTCCAATCAATAGAAAAAGAGGGAATCCTCCCTAACTCATTTTATGAGGCCAGCATCATCCTGATACCAACGCCTGGCAGAGACACAACAAAAAAACAGAATTTTAGACCAATATCCCTGATGAACATGGATGCAGAAATCCTCAATAAAATACTGGCAAACCGAATCCAGCAGCACATCAAAAAGCTTATCCACCACGATCAAGTGGGCTTCATCCCTGGGATGAAAGGCTGGTTTAGTGTATGCAAATCAATAAACGTAATCCATCATATAAATAGAACCAAAGACAAAAACCACATGATTATCTCAATTGATGCAGAAAATGCCTTCAACAAAATTCAACAGCCCTTCATACTTTTAGTTCTTTGAGGAATCTCCATACTGTTTTCATGGTGGTTGTGCTAGCTTACATTTCCACCAACAGTGCTCCCTTTTCACCACATCCACACCAACATCTATTTTTTTTTTATCGTGGCAATTCTTGCAGGAATAAGGTGGTATCACACTGTGGTTTTGATTTGCATTTCCTTGATAATTAGTGATAGAGAGCTTTTTAAAATATGTTTGTTGGCCATTTGTATATCTTCTTTTGAGAACTGTCAATTCATGTCCTTTCCTTAGCCCACTTTTTGATGAGATTTTTTTTTCTTGCTGATTTGTTTGAGTTCCCTGTAGATTCTGGATATTAGTCATTTGTCAGATGTATAGATTTTGGTGATTTTCTTCCCCTTTGTGGATTGTCTGTTTACTCTGTTGATTATTTCTTTCACTGTGCAGATGATTTTTAGTTTAATTAAGTTCCATCTATTTATCTTTGCTTTGTTGCATTTGCTTTTTGGTTCTGGTCATGAAGCCTTTGCCTAAGCCAATGTCTAGAAAGGGTTTTCCAATGTTATCTACTATAATCCTTATGGTTTCAGGTCTTAAATTTAAGTCATTGATCCACCATGAGTTGCTATTTTTTTATAATTTTATTTTATTTTAGGTTACAGAATACATATGCAGAACATTCAGGTCTGTTACGTAGCTAAATGTGTGACATGGTGGTTTGCTGCACCTATCAACCCATCTCCTAGGTATTAAGCCCCACATGCAGTAGCTATTTGTCCTGAGGCTCTCCATCCCTCCAGCCTGCTGTCTGGCCCTGGCATGTGTTGTTCCCTTCCATGTGTCCATGTGTTCTCATTGTTCAGTTCCCACTTATTAGTGAGAACATGTGGTACTTGATTTTCTGTTCCTGTGTTAGTTTGCTGAGGATGATGGCTTCCAGCTTCATCCATGTCCCTGCAAAGGACATGATCTCATTCCTTTTTATGGTTACATAGTATTCCATGGTGTATATGTATCACATTTTCTTTATCCAGTCTATCATGAATGGGCATTTGGGTTGGTTCCAAGTCTTTGCTATTGTGAATAGTGCTGAAATAAACATATGTACGCATGTATCTTCATAATAGAATGATTTATATTCCTTTGGGTATATACTCAGTAATGGGATTCTGGGTCAAATGGTATTTCTGATTCTAGATCCTTGAGGAATTGCCACACTGTCTTCCACAATGGCTGAACTAATTTACATTCCCACAAACAGCATAAAAGCCTTCCTATTTCTCCACAACCTTGCCAGCATCTATTGTTTCTTGATTTTTTAATAATCACCATTCTGATTGGCATGAGATGGTATCTCATTTTGGTTTTGATTTGCATTTCTCTAATAATCAGAGGTTTTACGCTTTTTTCATATGTTGTTGGCCACATAAATATCTTCTTTTGAGAAGTGTCTGTTCATATCCTTTGCACACTTTTTAATGGGGTTGTTTTATTCTTGTAAATTTGTTTAAGTTTCTTGTAGATTCTGGATATTAGACCTTTGGCAGATGGGTAGATTGTAAAAATTTTCTCCCATTCTGTAGGTTGCCTGTTCACTCTGATGATAGTTTCTTTTGTTGTGCAGAAGCTTTTTAGTTTAATTAGATCCCATTTGTCAATTTTAGCTTTTGTTGTAGTTGCTTTTAGTGTTTTCATCATAAAATCTTTGCCCATGCCTATGTCCTGAGTGGTATTGCCTAGGTTTTCTTCTAGGGTTTTTATAGTTTTGGTTTTACATTTAAGCCTTTAATCCCTCTTGAGTTAATTTTTTTATAAGGGATAAGGAACAGGTCCAGTTTGAGTTCTCTGCATATGGTTAGCCAGTTTTCCCAGCACTATTTGTAAAATAGGGAATCCTTTCCCCATTGCTTGTTTTTGTCAGGTTTGTCAAAGATCAGATGGTTCTAGATGTGTGGTGTTTTTTGTGAGGTCTCTGTTCTGTTCCATTGGTCTATATGTCTGTTTTGGTGTCAGTACCATGCTGTTTTGATTACTGTAGACTTGAAGTATAGTTTGAAGTCAGGCAGCATGATGCCTCCAGCTCTGTTCTTTTTGCTTAGGATTGTCTTGGCTATCTGAGCTCTTTTTTGGTTCCATGTAAAGTTTAAAGTAGTTCTTTTCTGATTCTGTGAAGAATGTCAATGGTAATTTGATGGGAATAGCATTGAATCTATAAATTACTTTGGGCGGTATGGCCATTTTCACTATATTGATTCTTCCTATCCATGAACATGGAATGTTTTTCCATTTGGTTGTGTCCTTATTTCCTTGAGCAGTGGTTTGTAGTTCTCCTTGAAGAGGTCCTTCACATCCCTTGTTAGCTCTATTCTTAGGTATTTTATTCTCTTTGTACTAATTGTGAATGGGAGTTCATTTATGATTTGGCTGTCTGCCTGTCTATTGTTGGTGTGTAGGAATGCTTGTGATTTTTGCACATTGTTTTTATATCCTGAGAGATTGCTGAAGTTGCTTATCAGCTAAAGGAGTTTTGGGACTGAGATGATGGGGTTTTCTGAATATAGAATCATGTCATCTCCAAACAGAGACAATTTGACTTCCTCTCTTCCTGTTTGAATACCTTTATTTCTTTATCTTGCCAGATTGCCATGGCCAGAACTTCCAATACTATGTTGGGTAGGAGTGGTGAGAGACGGCAACGTTGTCTTGTGCCCATTTTCAATGGGAATGCTTCCAGCTTTTGCCCATTCACTATGATATTGCCTATGGGTTTGTCATAAGTAGTTCTTATTACTTTGTGATATGTTCCATCAGCACCTACTTTATTGAGAGTTTTTAACATGAAGAAATGTTGATTTTTATCGAAGGCCTTTTCTGCAGCTATTATGATAGTTATGTGGTTTTTGTCATTTGTTCTGTTGATGTGATAGATTACATTTATTGAGTATGTTGAACCAGCCTTGCCTCCCAGGGATGAAGCCAACTTGATCGTGGTGGATAAGCTTTTTGATGTGCTGCTGGATTCAGTTTGCTAGTATATTTTATTGATAATTTTTGCATCAATGTTCATCAGGGATATTGGCCTGAAGTGTGTTCTTTTTTTGTGGTTTCTCTGCCAGGTTTTGGTATCAGGATGGTGCTGGCTTCATAGAATGATTTAGGGAGGAGTCCCTCCATTTCAATTATTTGGAATAGTTTTAGAAGGAATTGTACCAGCTCCTCTTTGTACCTCTGGTAGAATTTGGATGTGAATCTTTGTGGTCCTGTGCTTTTTTTTTTGATTGGTAGTCTATTAATTAATGCCTCAATTTTAGAACTTGTTTTTGGTCTACTCAAGGATTTGACTTCTTACTTTTTTAAACTTACAAGGGTGTATGTGTCCAGGAATTTATCAGTTTCCTCTAGATTTTCTAGTTTATTTGCATTGAGGTGTTTATAGTATTCTCTGATGGTAGTTTGTATTTCTGTGGGATCAGTAGTGATGTACCCTTTATCATTTTTTATTGTGTGTATTTGATTCTTCTCTCTTTTCTTCTTTATTAATCTAGCTTTATTAGTCTATCTATTTTGTTAGTTTTTTCAAAAAACCAGCTCCTAGATTCGCTGAATTTTTGAAGGACGTTTCAAGGCTCTAACTCATTCAGTTCTGCTCTGATCTTAGTTATTTCTTGTCATCTTCTAGCCTTTGGATTTGTTTGCTCTTACTTCTCTAGCTCTTTTAATTGTGATGTTAGGGTGTCAATCTGAGATCTTTGTACCTTTCTGATGTGAGCATTTAGTGCTATAAATTTCCTTTTAACCCTGCCTTAGCTGTGTCCCAGAGGTTCTGGTACATTGTGTCTATGTTCTCATTGGTTTCACAGAACTGCTTGATTTCTGCCTTAATGCCATTTTTTTTACTTAGCATTCATTCAGGAGCAGGTTGTTCAATTTCCATGTAGTTGTGTGGTTTTGAGTGAGTTTCTTAATCCTGAGTTCTAATTTGATTGCACTGTAGTCTGAGAGACTATTATAATTTCAATTATTTTGCATTTGCTGAGGAGTACTTTTCTTCCAATTATGTAATGAATTTAGAGTGAGTACCATGAGATACTTGAGCAGAGTGTATATTCTGTTGTTTTAGGGTGGAGAGTTCTGTAGATATCTGTCAGGTCCACTTGATCCAGAGCTGAGTTCAAGTCCTTAATATCCTTGTTAATGTTTGTCTCGATGATCTGTCTAATATTTGACATTTGGGTGTTAAAGTCTCCCATTATTATTGTGTGGGAGTCTAAGTCTCTTTGTAGGTCTCTGAGAACTTGCTACATGAATCTAGGTGCTCTTATATTGGATGTATATACATTTAGGATAGTTAGCTCTTCTTGGTGGAGTAATGCTTTTACCCTTACATAATGACCTTCTTTGTCTTTTTTGATCATTGTTGGTTTAAAGTCTGTTTTGTCAGAAACTAGGATTTCAACCCCTGCTTTTTTTCTGCTTTCTATTTGCTTGGTAAATTTTCTTCCATACCTTTATTTTGAGGCCATGTGTGTCTTTGAACATGAGATGGGTCTCTTGAATACAGCACACCAATGGGTCTTTATTTATCCAATTTGCCAGTCTGTGTCTTAATTCGGGCATTTAGTCCATTTACATTTAAGGTTAATATTGTTATGTGTGAATTTGATCCTGTCATCATGATGTTGGCTGGTTATTTTGCACACTATTTGATGCAGTTTCTGTCATTGGTCTTTGTATTTCAGTGTGTTTTTGCAGTGGCTGGTACCAGTTTTTCCTTTCCATATTTAGTCCTGCCTTCAGAAGCTCTTGCAAGGCCAGCCTAGTGGTGACAAAGTCCCTCAGCATTTGCTTGTTTGAAAAGGATTTTATTTCTTCTTCCTTTATGAAGCTTAGTTTGGCTGGATGTGAAAATCTGGGTTGAAAATTCTTTTCTTTAAGAAGGTTTAATATTGGCCCCCACTCTCCTCTGGCTTGTAGGGTTTCTGCTGACAGAAACTGTCACTGTTAATGGTGATGGGCTTCCCTTTGTAGGTAACCTAGCCTTTCTCTCTAGCTTCTCTTAACATTTTTTCCTTGATTTCAACCTTGGAGAATCTCATGATTATATGTCTTCAGATTGATTCTCTCGTGGAGTATCTTAGTGGGGTTCTCTGTGTTTCCTGAATTTTAAAGTTGGCCTGTCTTGCCAGGTTGGGGAAGTTCTCCCGTATTATATCCTGAAGTGTGTTTTCCAGCTTGGTTCCATTCTCCCAGTCTCTTTCAGGTACTCATATCAGTTGTAGGTTCAGTCTTTTTACATGGTCCCATAGTTCTCGGAGGTTTTGTTCATTCCTTTTTATTCTTTTTTTTTTTCTTCTTCTAATCTTGTCTGCCTGCCTTATTTCAGTGAGATAGTCTTCAAGTTCTGATATTCTTTCTTCTGCTTGATTTTTTTCTGCTATTGATACTGTGTATGCATCACAAATTTCTTGTGCTGTGTTTTTTTAGCTCCATCAGGTCATTTATGCTCCTCTCTAAACTTATTATTCTAGTTACCAGCTGCTGTAACCTTTTATCATGGTTCTTAGATTCTTTGCGTTGGGTTAGAACATGCTCCTTTACCTCAGTGAAGTTTTTTATTACCCACTTTCTGAAGCCTACTTCTGTTAATTTGTTCATTTCATCCTCTGTCCAGTTCTTTGCCCTTGCTAGAGAGGTGTCACTATCATTTGAGGGAGAAGAGGCACTCTGGCCTTTTGCATTTTCAGCATTTTTAAAAAATTCTTTCTCATCTTCATGAGTTTGTCTATTTTTGATCTTTGAGGCTGCTGACCCTTAGATGAGGTTTTTGTGGGGACCTTTTTGTTGATGCTGTTGTTGCTTTCTGTTTTTTTAATTATTATTATTTTTTTCAGTAGTCAGGTTTCTCTTCTGTAGGGCTGCTGCAGTTTGCTGCGGGTTCACTTCAGGCCCTATTCATCTGGGGCACTCCCGCATCTGGAGATGTCACCCGAGGAGGCTGGAGGACAACAAAGATGGGTGCCCGGCTCCTTCCTCTGGGATCTCTGACCTTGGGGAGCACTGACCTGATGCCAGCAGGAACACTCCTGTATAGGGTGTCTGATAACTTCTGTTGCCGGGTCTCACCCAGTTGGGAGCATGGGAACCAGGACCCATTTAACCAAGCAATTTGGCTGTCCCTTGGTGGAGGGGGTGTGCTGTGCTGGGGGTAAAGCCACTTGTCTGGGCTTCCCAGATTCCTCAGGGCTAGCAGGGGGAAAACTAAGCCTACTGGTCCATGGAGACTACAACCCTTCCTCATCCTAGAGGCTTAGGCCCAGGGAGATCAGTGTTCTGTCCCTAAGCCCCTGTGTGGAGTTGCTGAAGTTCTTGCAGGGAGGCCCCACCCAGTAAGGAGGGATGGGTCAGGTTCCAGCCTAAAGAGGCAGTCTGGCCACTATCTACCATAGTTGGTGTGCTGCACTGTGGGGAATACTTCTTGGGACCAAGCCGTCCAGTCTCCCTGGCTCCTGCAGGGGAAAAACGTGGCCTTGAGCTACAGTGCTGGCTGCCACCCTTTCCCACCGGGAGTTCAGTGTCTTAGGTAGTTAGCAGCCACAATACTGGAAGTTGTCCCTCCTCCAGGGAGCTCAGTTTTCTTAGGCAGCTGAAGTGATGGTTGCTACCCCTCATCCAGGGAACTCAGGCAGTTTAGACAGCAGGCAGCTGCAGTGATGATGGCCACCCCTCCCTCGGGAAGTTCAGTTGTCTTAAATAGCCACAGTGATGGCTGCTACACTTTCCACAGGGAGCTCAGAAGGCTTAGACAGCAGGCAGCAGCAGCAAAGACAGCCACCTCTCTCCCCAGGAACTCAGTTGGTCTTAGGCAGAGTCCAACCGTGTGGCTGTTGAGAATCTGCTTGGCTCTGTGGTTTGCCCTAGTGGCATGGGCTCACAAGTGGGATCTTCTGATCTGTGGGTTGCACAGTTCCATGTAAAAAGCATGGTTCCCCAGGCTTGGTAGCATGCTCACTCACTGCCTCCTTTGGCTGGGGTGTGGGGTATTCCTTGCACAGTGTGGCTCTCAGGTGGGCCAACACACCACCCTGCTTTTCCTTGCTCTCTGAGGGTCACACCAAGCACCTAGTCAGTCCTGATGGTAGAACCTGGATACCTCAGTTGCCAGTGCAGGATTCGCCTGCTGTTTTGGTTCTTGGTGGAAGCCTCCAACCCTCCACTGCTTCTAGTCGGCCATCTTGGCCCTGCCTGGCGAGTTGATTTTTGTATGAGAGACAAGGATCCAGTTTCATTCTTCCACAATATTGTACATACTTCCAAAAACAATCTACAAATTCAATGCAATTTCCATCCACATACCACCATCGTTCTTCACAAAATTAGAAAAAAAATCCTAAAATTCATATGGAACCAAAAAAAAAAAAAAAAAAAAAAAAACACCCTGGAAAGCTAAAGCAAGACTAAGCAAAAATAACAAACCTGGAGGCATCACATTACCCAACTTCAAACTATACTATAAGGCCATAGTCACCAAAACAGCATGGTACTGGTATAAAAATAGGCACCTAGACCAATGGAAGAGAACAGAGAACCCAGAAATTAAGCCAAATACTTATAGCCAACTGATCTTTGACAAAGCAAACAAAATCATAAAGTGGGGAAAGGACACCCTATTCAACAAATGGTGGTTGTTTATCACTTTTAATTTCTGCCTTCTGTAAAACCCAAGGGCATGGACATAGTACAGCCAAGTTCTATGCAACTGTACAACAAGGATGGCCTTTACCCCCATTTCCAATATGCTGATCCTCAGTTCCATCTAAGTCTTCATTAGTAGTACCTTTACTGTTTGTGTTTCTACCAATGTTCTGATCATGACTGCTTATGTAGTCTAAGAAGTTCTGGACTTTTCCTACAGCTCTTCTCTTCTTCTAAGCCCCCACCATAATCACCCTTAATGTTCTATTCACAATATAGGCTTTTTCTTGCCTGATTCTCCTAATTCTTCCAGCCGCTGCCCATTACCCAGTCTCAAGCTTCCACATTTTTAGGTATTTGTTATAACATCAACTCCATTTCTTGGTACCAACTTTATGTCTTAGTTTGTTTTCTGTTGCTGAAACAGAATACCTGAGACTTGGTATCATTTATAATGAAAAACATTTTTCACAGTGCTGGAGGCTGGGAAGTTCAAGAGCATGGTTCTGGCAACTGGTGAGGGTCATTCCACCGGGAGAGGCAGAAGGCAGAAATGAGTGCATGAGACAGAGAGAAAGGCACCAGGGGCTGGGCTTGCTTTATAACAACTCAACCTCATGAAAACTAAACCACCTTTTCAATAATGACATTAATCCATTTATGAGGGGTCTGCCCTCATGACCCAATCACCTCTTATTAGGTCCCACCTTTCAACACTGTTGCACAGGAGATTAAGTTTCCAGCACATAAACTTTTGGGGGAACACGTTCAAATCACAGCATTTAATGAGGGTCTTGTCTCACTTTGAGGAAGACTTAAACCCTCCAATGTCCTACAAAGATCTATCTGATTGACTCTCGCTGTGTCTGGGAAACCCTCCCTTTCCACCCCCAACCCCTTGTATTCTCTGCTCTAGACAGGCTTGTCTTCTTGCTCTTCCTTGGACACATCCACCAAAGAATATCAAGAATCTTCTGCTTATTTTCCCTATACCAAGATGGTCCATTCTCAGACCTTTATGTCTCCTTATTCAGTCTATGCTTGAGTGTCGCCATCTCAGAAAGGCCTTCCTTGACCACCCTCTCTGGGTTTACCCCTCTCTCACTCCACCACTCTCCATCCCTTTGCTCTGCTTTATTTTGATAACACTCTTTACTACCTAAAATTACCTAAAAATATTTTATTCATTTAATTATTTGACCTTTCTAATACATAATAGGAAGAATGTACACACATGCTGTTAGGAACATTGTCTCTCTTGTTCCCTCAATAGCTACAGCACCTAACCAGGAACTGGCACAGAGCAAGCACTCTATATTCCCTGAATAAATGCATAATAGCTGCACAGGGTTGGGGAGCCTGGGACAAACAGGCTGTTTCATTTACTTCTGGAAGGGGTATAAACTGGGACAAACTAGGTAGTAAATTGTTAGTGTTTATCAAATATTTTTCCATCAGAAAGGAAATTTTCCTTTTCAATTTTTACAAAAATAAACAATATAACTGGGCACAGTGGCTCACACCTGTAATCCCAGCAATTTGGTAGGCCAAGGTGGGTGGATTGCTTGAGCCCAGGAGTTTGAGACCAGTCTGGGCAACATGGCGAAACCCTGTCTCTACAAAAACCACAAAAAATTTGCTGGGCATGGTGGTGTATGCCTGTGGTTCTAGCTACTCAAGGGCTGAGGTGAGAGGACTGCTTCAGCTCAGGAGGTTCAGGATGCAGTGAGCCATGATCGTGCTACTGCACTGCCACATGAGCAATAGAGTTCTGTCTCAAATAAATAAATAAATAAATAAATAAAATAATAAATAAATAATATTCATAACCTCTTGAGTCTGCAATTCTACATCTAAGATTTTATCATGAGAGCTTATTTCTACATGTGGATCTGACACAGTTATATGGATTTACTGCAGTGCCTTTTGTAAGGATGATACATTGAAAACAAACAAATGCAGTGCCTTTTGTAAGGATGATACATTGAAAAGAAGACTAGCTAAATATCAGGGTACTCACAGAGGAGATATTATGCAGCTATTAAAAAGGAGATATATTTATTTATCTTTCTACATATCTGTCTTTATATGTCCTATGATTCTATGTGTGCATGCATGCATATCTGTGCTGCTCTCAAACAATATTTTAGATATGTTCAGTAAAGTAAATAAAGTGTAAACAGTTGTAGATTATTCTCTAACTGGAGAAAATACACATACATATGTTTGTACATGCACATACTATATATATTTGTATAGATAAAAACAACTAGTAACACTAGCTGATTACAGGTAGGTGGACTGAATACCAAGGGGACAAGTGTAAGAAAGAGAATTACCTCTTACTGTAAGCTCTTTTGTGCTATAACATTGATTTTTACTAAATTGATATTACTTATTTAGTAAATTTTAAAAATTAATAAAAAATAAATTTGCCTTTAATTTACATATGTCAAAGGATTATTCCTTTATGTTTTTCTAATATTTTTGTATACACATATGCAATCTTAGCATCTTTAATTGTATTTCCCTATAATTAAACTACAACAGTGTTATTTCATCCACATGATTCATTAGAACTAGATATTTTAATGTGTATCCTGAGTTGTAAATTTTTCACAAAGCAGCAATGTTGTAAACATCTATCTTTACATAATGTATTTCCCTTACTATGCTATAAAAGTATGTAAAAACAATGTAAAATAACTTTACCTTGATCCAACTGATGGTAATGGAAATGTGTGCTTTTTAAACCATGAAACTGTCTTTGCAATGCTTTCAAATAGCCAATTAACTTACACTCCATTTTGGCTTAAGTGATCTGATAAAATACAGAATCACTCCATCAATCCTCAGTCAATGAACCCTTGCTCTTCAAAGGTTAATGCTTCATCCTGCTTCATTGAATTGAATAGTTTTGTCTCTTTATATATTAAAGCAAAATGTACATTTTAACTAGCATTTTATTTAGTTCTCATTTATATAAAAGGCAATGAGAAAAAGGATGTTATGAAAATAGAATGATGTAATAAATAGCTTCATTATGGGATTATTCTGCCCTTTCTCTCTAAAATAAGACAGTATTCTGTGAAAGGAAATTGAAGATACAAAATACAACATTCTGTTTTCATTACTTTATTTTTAATGTTCAGCAAGATTTAATATGCAATATTTTAAAACCCTCAGCTCAAGCTTTGCAAGTCACAGAACACCACAGGGACATGACGGCAAGAACATTAATTTCTTTCTCTCTTGGCTATTACAGTGGAGCCCTTATGTGACTACAGAAACTACTCCTTATGTTTTAATCTTATTCCATTGTGGACTGGAATTTTGTTCTGAAGTATGTTTCACAGAACTAATGTTTCAGTGATTGGAAGTAATAGTCTTAGAGCTATTTTATGCACATGAATTTCATCTCCAAAGTTACCGTCCTCCTTCTCAGCCGCTGCTGGAGATGGACACATGGAGATTGGACAAGTGCCCAAGAGCTTCAGTGCCACGCAGGAATGCTTCAGTCATGACAGTTTGCACAACACAGCCACTGTCATCTCATTAGAAGGCATGAGCATTTTTGCCACATGCCGATTAATACAGACACACCTGCTCTCACTAATGTCATCCAAAAGATTGGAGTTGGACTTATTTTATATTCCTCCAAGCTTCTGGCCATTTAATTCCATGACATTATGGGACAACAAAGTCTGTCCGAGAGGTCACCTGGTCCAATCTGCCACTTCCAGAAATACTAATAGTTAGCCATTGAAAATGAATGGGTTTCTGTTACATTTTAAAATGTCTGCTGGGATGGTGATTCCCCACAATTTGTAGCCAGCTTCAGTGTTTAATCAGCCTTATAATTGTAGTGGAATGGGATGGCTGGTAAAGAAGAAATTACGTCTTATTTTTCTTTTAGTTAAAAGGCAGAAAAGCTGTCTTTCAAGAGCTGACAGTCTTGTCAACTTCCACCCTTACAGACAACTACAGACAGTTTTGGAGGATTTCCTGGTACCAGGAAGAATAACCTGAATAGTTACTTTACTTGTCCTGGAGCCTTCACACTCATACATAGGAAGCTCTGAAGTCACCAATCGAGAAAAGAACCACATATTGTCTCATATATATATATTTGGGGGGATAGTGACTAGAAGATTCCTGATTAATTCAGATCTTCGCTAGTGAGGTTATATGGTAGATATAAATAACCTTTTAGATATAAATAAGTCTTTTTTGATATAATTAAATTAAGTCCTGATATAGAGCAAATTACCTTGATCTATAAATTAGGGCAAGTTGTTACTTCCCAGTCCTTAACTTCATTTTTGTTAACATCACCCAAAATCATTAAATAAAATACAGAACTTCCTTTTGTTTACTTTTTCTCTTTAGTTGATTCAAAATACCAAGGCCTCTTCTGCCACGTTTGCCCAATAGTTCATTTTACTTTGTTTATAATTCTAATATTTACTACTTTACAATTTGTTTAGTCTAATAACTATAAAGTCCTAGATATTTGTGCTATAGTATATTATAGTACTCAATCATTTTCTTATCAGGAACTATGAAGATTGTGCTAAGTGCTTGAGAAACAACTAAATAGGAATAGCAGCTGTAAATATATATAATTAATTTGAACACTAAAATAAAAAAAAAATTCATCTTCTAGCAAACCATTCATTATTTTCTCTTCCATGCATATGGGGCTGTTCTAGGAGAGGAATGTGGTCCTCACCCTCTCAGGTTTATTTCCCCATCTATAAAATGAAAGGCTTTATTGAAAAGCCAGGTTTACCTCTACTAATCTAGAGAGGCAGGGTAGTAGAGGAGAATGGATTAAGATAGATTGATTTACAAATCCTGGCTCAGTAACCTTCTAACAACACAACCTCAAGTAAGTTCCTCTGCTTCCCTGAAATTCTATTTCTTCAATAGTAAAATGTTAATAATTCCCGTTTGCAGTACTACTGCAAAATTGAGATAATATATGTCAAGTGCTTGCATGGTATGTTCCCAAATTGGCAGTTATTATCTAAGAATTTTATCTCTGGACAGAGGTTAGTGTGACATATTTTAAATCATTAATGATTTTAAATTGAAAGTTAGCATCTGAACTCTTAAGCCAAAAATGCCATTTTATTGGCTTTTTATACCATGGGTTGCTTTTCCCTTGGCACCATTTGTAGCTCTTTTCTACCTAACCTAAAAAAAGAAAAAATGGTACAGATTTGTCATTAGATAATATGCAATAGTGGCTCAAATTTTTCCACCCTGGGAATTAGAGAACATGAGAGAGATTTCTTTTTCAGACATAGTCATATCAGTAGTTTTCTCCAAAGGAACCAACATATGTTGCAAAATATAATTTCAGGGAACAAAAAGGCCTATTTTAAGGTAATTATATTTAGTTCTATGATATACACCTGAAACAATTACAGACCCATTTAGAGGATAAATAGAAAGTATGAAGTTTGCACTCTATATCTTCTCCCTCTTGTGAAAAGGGAAACGGAAATAAATCAAAATAAATCATTTCTTCAATATGCATTGAACAACTAGAGTATGCCAGATAGTATGACTACTTGGAAAATAAAAAAAAATAAAGACAATTTAAACAGTGCCTTCAGGAATTTGACATGGGCATTCTAAGTTATGGGACATAAGACCTATGTATCAATCAGGTTCCTTATGACAAGCAAGAGGATCCAACTTTTACATATAAAACATATTTCCCTAAAGGCTATTATGAAGCTCATTGAAACCTTGGTGAGACTGAAGAGCCAGCATGGAGGATGAATATATGGAAATAATTACCTGAACACCACAGAAGTGGTTTGGAGAGTTAGCCATTGCCCTGGGACAGAGCTAGATGCTTCACTAATCACCTCATAGTACTTCTCACCCTCCAAGGACCCCATCATCCTGACACTGCTGCAGCCACCACTGCCAAAGAGAAGGTGCCCCTGTACAAGCTTCCAAATCCAAGTCCAAGTGTATGTCTCTGATTTGCAGATGATAAGTCACCTGCCAGTACTGCAAAGGATGCTGGGAAATTGAATGTCTAATCTTTTCAGGTTCTATAATGAGGAGCAGCCACTGCTGAGTTTCATAAAAAGTGAAACTACTCAAGCTTTGAACTGAGCAGATGAGTTCATAATCCAGATTACCTAAAATAATGATAAATATTCACTATGCTGCTTGAAACTATCACCATGGTATTAATTTTCCACACATTCTGTTAACTTTTTGACAGGAGTCATGTTACTCCTCTCCTATGTTCTAAGTTCAGTCGTGGGTCACTTATTGATGGGGATATTTTCTGAGAAATGCATCATTAGGCAATTTTGTTATTGTGTGAACATCATAGGGCACACTTACATAAACCTAGATGGTACAGCCTATGACACACATTGGCTATATGGTATATAGCCTATTGCTCCTAGGCTACAAACCTATACAGTATGTTACTGTACTGAATACTGTAGGTAGTTGTAACACAATGGTATTTGCGTTATCTAAACAAATCTAAACATAAAAAACTTACAGAAAAAATATGATATAAAAAATAAAAAATGATACCCCTGTATAGGCATTTAGCATGAATGAAGCTTGCCAGACTGGGAGTTGCTCTGGGTGAGTCAGTGAGTGGTGAGTGAATGTGAAGGCCTAGGACTTTCCTGTGCACTGCTATAGACTTTATAAACACTGTACAGAACAGCCAGTCTGCACTAAGTTTATTAAAATATTTTTCTTTATTCAATAATAAATTAACCTTAGCTTACTCTACTTTTTTACTTTATAATTTTGAATTTAAAAAAAAATTTTGACTCTTTTGTAATAGTACTTAGCTTAAAACACAAGCACATTATACAGCTGCACAAAAATATTTTTAATATTTTTATTCTATAGGCTTTTTCTATTTTTAGAATGTTTTATTTTTTACTTTTTAAACTTTTTTGCTAAAAATGAAGACACACACATACACATTAGCCTGGGCCTATACAGGGTCAGGATCATCAAGATGTCACTAGGTGATAGCCATTTTTCAGCTCCATTAGGATCTTACGGGAGCACCATGGGATATGTGGCCTGTCGTTGACCAAAATGTTGTTTGTGGTGCATGACTGTACATGGATAAACGGTAATGTACATATTAGTACTCATCGCGCAAGCAAATCTTGACTAGAACTCTGTAATGATCTGAAGACTCAATAGCTCCACCAAATCTCCCTTCCCTCTCCTTCAAGAGAACAAATTGTGTGGCTCTGTTACTACTTTTCTAGCCCAGTCTTCTCATGAAGGATTTCTGCTGAATAAAATTCATCCCCTTTGAACAGTTCACTTGGATCAATCTCTCTTGTGGTTAAGACATCACTGCTTTTAATAAAGATACACTCAAATATATCTTTAGGGTGAGTCTATCTCTTGTGTCATCTATTCTGGGATAGTTCATAGCATAACTGTCAGAAGGCAAACTTATTTAAATCAAAATAATAATTTATTTATTTTTTCAATTCTTTGGTGATAGACACATTGCATACACTGTGTCAATTCCTTATAACCAGTAGGCAAATTTAGGTATATACCTTAGTTATCCTTAGATGTGAAGAGACAGTTTTGGGAGGTTAATTAACTTACTCAAGATTTCAAAGCCAGAAAGGAGCAGTGCTGGGAGATTCTACCACACTGTGGATATTCTCCATTCCTGAGGCCCGCGAGTGGGTGATTCTGGGATGGGGATGGGGCAGTGAAGAGGACTCACCACGACTCCTTGTGCTGGCAGCCATGTCATTATTAAAATGTCAGGTGAATTCTATCCCAGTCCTTACCAAATCACTATTCCTACTTTCACAGAATGTAGATTTTAGTTACATGCAGACAGGTGTACAAGATTACTTATTACTTTTTCCTCTGGTTCACGTTTTTACTACCTTGTGATTAAAGCTATTTACAAGATGCAGGTATGATGTAGCTATCATTTGCCAACAGAGTGGTTGATTATTTAGTACATGTATCTCCAGCCTTCTTAGGGACCCAGCTTGCTTAGGACTAGAAGACAAGGATTGCAAAATAGACATTGGTTATAAAAAACAAAACAAAACACCAGGAAAGCTTTTCATTTATCCTGGAAAGTGTGTTCTCACGATCATTTGAGTACATAATTTTTAACCAAAATTAGGGATGGGCAGAGTATCTTTACATAGCTACTTTTCACATAATTGACTCAGCAATTTTTCAAACGCTATGAAATGCCTTCTTTCGTATGTGTTTAACTGAATATGAGGTAGTAAATATATGCCCATATGTTGTATTCAGACAACAAATAATTTTGTTCATTTCCCCTTAAAGGAGATGTTTAAAATTCAACACTGAAGGAAACTCTTTTTTTAACCTAAAGTTCCAGTCACCTCAGAAATTAAGATAAATGGCTTTAAAGAGACCATCTTGCGTATCAAGAGTTTTGTTTCCAAAGCACTATCTTAATGAGGTTAATAGAAATGAATTTGGAACAAATGGACTGAATAGCCTTGGGATACAAAACTGAGAATGTAATGAAAAAAGGGTTTGGTACAAATGTTTTAGATTTTACTGAATCCCAAATATTTAGGTAGTATAATGGTGAATGTCCAGTCCAAAACATAGTTTCAAATACACTCTTTAATGCTAATCTGAAATTATTGATACACCATATGTAATAAATGTACCTTTTGGTGTTTCTAAAATAGGTTTTAATATTATATTATTCTATGACCAAGTCATATTTAAAGTAAAAAAAGATTTAAATAAATAAAATGTATCTTAATTCCCTTAGCATGTATAATGCAAACCTCATTGTTCCAGTGAGAACCCACAGTATTTATAGTTAGCTTGATGCTTGGGTTTGACAGGCAGCCATCTGGGGCACTGCAAGAGGCCATTTTGAAAATACAAACCTTCAATAAGATCAAAGTGTCTACAGACGTATTAAATTATGCCCAGATAGGAAAGTATGTGTCCTCAGTCTTTCATGTGAAATTTAACATTGATACATGCTCTATGCGTTTTCAGTTTCATGTGTACACATAAAATCCACACCACTGAAATGCTGAGAGATGGCTGAAAAAAAAAAAGAATCTAAACTAGGATCACATGTCCTTTCTGGCCTCTAACTGTGGCATTCATCTGACATAATAGAGACTCAGAAACACAGTGCGCCTTCACTCTGCGGGGGTTACAAAGCTGTTCAGTGTAGGAAATCAGCACGTGAATATCTCTACCCCTAGCTAGAAAATGAAAAACACCTGACACTTGAGAACTGTTAGTACATGATTTGAATGCCATTAGGGGCTGCTTCTACACGTTTCGTATTACAGCTATGGAGTGTGTAACCCATGAATAGCACTTGTGTTATGTTTGCTTTAAAAAACTGTGTTGATCCCTCCAGGCGCTCTATTTGCAAGTACTCCCACGTGAGGCATAGAGCAGGGAGAAACTGGAGCAAACAGATCTGTCTTACAGAGAGACTGTTCTACAAGGAAATATTTTTAGAGGCTGGAGAAATGGGTAGTGTACCTCCCACTCCGGTTATAACTTTTAAAAGACCTTGGCCTAGGAGATCTTTTATTGACTTAACTAAAACTATTTGTACAATGTGCAGGGCTCAAGGTCTAGTCAACCATCTCCATGTGGCTGAGAGTTTTAATAGTTTGACACGGCCTTTCTGGATTTAGTTTGTGGAAGGAAGGTTATAACACAAGTGTTTTTCTTTGGAAAAAGCTGCTCTTTGGGGTTTTTTAAACCACTTCTCAAATTGTGAAAATTAGGTCAGAGATAATCTTTCAATATGTTATAAGGTTTATGTTTCTTTTGGATTTTTTTTCAGGGTGGCCTCATTTTAGAATTTCACGGTTGGAATAAAATGTCTTAATGTCTTTTGAAATAAAATTTCTATATTTTTCTCTACATACAGTCCAGTCTAGACCAAAGTGGTATATTTTAGAAATATGGAAGCTAACAGCTAAACTTGCTTCTGAATAATTGAGTACATCATGATGATGATAGCTGGATTTCTGCCTTAGTTTTCTGTTCTGATCACAAATTTTGATAAGCTCCTTTGCTTTTATTATTATTATTATTAGGATTTATTTGTTTGTTTGTAGGTAGTTATCAGGATTACGCAGGCATACCTGGAAAGGAACTGGGCTTGGAGGATGGTTGCACCTGAAAAAGAAATCAGTCAGTTAGTGAACAATGGCTATATGGTGAGTGATTTACATATATCACTCCATTTAACACACACACAACCTCGCAGATATTCCACAAGGTAGATATTATATTTATTTTTATAGAGAGAATGATTTCTCAAACTGTAAAACCAGGAAATGGCAGAGTTGAAACTCAAAATTGTCATAAAAGTTTGTGCTTTTAAACATCGTCTATTGCCTTCATCAAATAATTGTGAAACTTTCTTCCTGTCTTCAAAAAAATCTTTTCAAATCTTGACATGACTCTTGATTACTGAATAGCTCTGTCTTCTTCTTTGCCTTTTAAATACATACCTAAAGAACAGTCTAATAAACTTGATAAAATCCCATTTCTATATATAGTGGTTTGCAACCCTGAATGTCATTAAAATCATCTACAAAGCTTTTAAAAAATACTAGTGGCTTATCCTGTATCAGACCATTCACATCAGAATAGCTGGAGGTTGAGCCAGGACATGGATATTTTTAAAGGGTCTGTTGGTGATTCTAATATGCAGCCAGGGCTCAAAACCCGGCCTATATATTGTCATAAAATGCATAAATTCTAGTTCTCCACACGTCCTCCTCAGCTATAATAAAAATTATAAAAATGTTATGTCTTTTTTTGGAAAGCAACCAGTGGTATTTTTATGTATTTTTCACATGGGCTTATCAGCACACTATTCTTCCTAATTGGAGGACGTGTTGGAATCCACATCTATTTACCATGCTAAGAACTGTGACTTAGAAAGCAACATGGTAGGCAACTGGGGATAGAAGAGAATAAGGCTGATATCACTTGGTCTTAAAACTTTTTGTCTTTTTTTTTTTTTTTTGCCAGTAATTTAAAATATTTGTCTTGTTTAAAAAGTGCCATCTACCTGCCCAGGCACCTGTAACCACTTTTTATTAGAGCTGTGAGGAAAAGTGCAAAAACCTGTTTAAGGACTTTTAATTCTATGTTTATCCATTTCTGGGGCAACATGCTGGTGTGGAATCCCTTCCAGTCACTATTATTTGCTATTGAGTTAGGTTTTGTCTAACTCACTCCCCAGCCTGGCTTATGTCTTTAAACCACTGCCCCAATTCATCTAGCCATTAGTATGGATTCAGTTTCTCTGCCAGGTGTTGAGAAACTTCTCTTTCTGTTATTGGCAACATGAGGAACAAATGGCACATATACCTTTCTTCTGCAATTATATTTATTGGCAAACATCATTTTCCTATCACTGAAAATGGCAACATCATCAAGTGTCGAATGTTCCTAGAAAACTGAGATCAGTTCTTAAGAGACAATGCTGTGAAATCAAGGTAGATGTTTCATGAGGGAAAGTCTATTCTTAAGAGAAATACTTTGGGCATTATGTGATATTAAATTCTCATGCCCATGATCTACACTGAGTTTGGACAGCAGCGGGGGAAGGGAATACTCTACATTTTGGCAAACTAAAGAATAGCTAAAATGTATAAGCTAAAATGTATAAGCTGTGCATATCTTCTGGTTGCAACCCTGATTTACTCACCACCATTTTTCCTCCTCATTTTTTTTGCTTTAGAAGGCTGAACTAGAAAGATTGCATCCATAGGCTGCCTTACACTCTGGCTACAAGTTGGCCAGTGGGACTATTGGTTGAATTGGCTGAAGGATGAGAATATAGCTGGGGTATTTATTCTTCCAGATTCCTCCTTGTGGGGTCACTGGAAGTTGTCAGCATTCCTTTACCAAAGGTCATGCTTTTCATCATGTAGGTCTCTCTGTATAGCTCTTTATTGCTGGCTTGTTTAACTATTCCCTCTTCTTCCCCATTCATGCTGAAGAGAGCTAAATGACTCACCACTCTTGCTGGCCTCAGGAATCTGCACAGTTCTTTGGTTTCTCCCAAACTTGCCTACATCTTTGTTAATAGTTCCTTTATTAAACAGTCTGCAACTATCCACCTTGAGTGTGCTGTGTCTAAGAGATAACCTTGGAAGAAATGTGGAGTTCTGATTTCCTTGGAAGAAATTCTAATTGCCATGGTATCTTTAAACTTAAATGTCCATGATAGTTTTCTTGGGAATTGTTCATCTTAAACTCTAGGTTAGAATGTTGGTTATTTATTGGGTAATACTTTCTTGGACTACTTTTTCTTTCTTTCCTTCCTTCTCTATCTCTCTCCTTCCTTCCCTCCCTGCTCTCTTGTTTGTATTTTTATATTCTTTATTGAGTAGGAGGGAAAAAGAGCTAAGTTAAGATTAGTAGGTAAAATAATTACATGTGGAAATACGTTGCACAAATAGATGCCAAATTGGTGTCAGGAAAAAAAAGTGATTGAGAATGAGTATTAGAAAATAAGGATACTACATACTTAAGCATGTACTAAGTGCTGGTATTGAGAGTGGAGAGTTGAATACCTAATTTATGTTAAGTTATGGCAGGCATTTTAATAGTATTTAATAACCACAACAGTCCTGCATACAGTCATTCTGCAAATATCTATTGATATTTGTGTGTGATGCATTGTAGTAGATGTTAGGGATATAGCAATAAGCAAAATAAGCACAGTCCCTGCTCTTACAGGAATCAACTGGGAGCCTACAGGACAGGCAACAGGCAATTTACACTGAGGAATGGAGGGTGCTAAGAGGAAAGAGCCCATGCTCTGGGAGCAGGTAGAAGAGTGTTTGATTATCTGATAAATGCATCAGAGAAAGTTTCCTGGGAGAGGGAATGTCTAGGCTGGGACACGGAGTATGAATAAGAGTAAGCAAGCAAAGAGATGGCGTTTTCTACACATAAGGAGCAATCCATGTATTGGAGCCTGGCATTTCTTAGGAACTAGAAGAAAGTGTAACATGGCTATTTTAGCAAAAACAGGTCAAAAAAGCTGACTTTTCCATATGCTACCCAAGGAATTAGGTAACAAACACAAAAGTGCAGGGGAATTAACTCCTATTGGGGTAATCTTTATCAAATGGGAGACAGGAAAGAGGAGAGAGAGAGACGTGACAGATAAATTTCCTCTTTAATCCTCCCTCTAAAATAATAATAATGATTTAACAAACATGCTAACATTTATGGAGAGCTTAGTATGTATTGGGCACCATTCAAAGCACTTGAAACTTATTACCACATTTAATCCTCAAAGCACCTCAAAATCCTAATGTGTGCACAGAAGTTTTGAGTAGCTTTCCCAGTGTGACACTTTTATTATGTGACACAGTAAGGCTTTGAACTGAGATCTGCTAAAAGCAGAGCTGGCTCACACTGTTCAGTCAGGTAGAGGCTGAACTGACTGCTAAAAAGAGATAATCTGATTGGGTTGGTAACTACCTGATATAAATAACACTTAAGAAAAGAAGATGGAAATTGACAAGCACTATTACAATTTCTAACTAGGTGATAGATTTGGTCTAGTGATTTTTTCCCCTATATTCTTGAGTATAGGGTTGCAGTTTCAATGGTGCCTTAAATGTGTGCAGTGAAACACAGCTGGTAACTGACTTTAACTATAATTATTGGTCTCTTACCAGTATTTAAAGATGCATTGCATGGATCAGTGCTTTGAACTCTGCTTTTTGTTTTTTATCAATAGCGTACCATTACTTTCCCAAAGACCTTTTCTTCACCTTTATTTAGATCTTGCAGTGATCTATAATTACATGAAACTAAAATTCTCTATGGATTGATTTCCATAAATTACAAATATGTCATGCGTTATGTTACCAGACAAAAGGGCAGCAAACCAATTTGTTACACCAGTAGCACATTTACTAGAGCTTGGACAATGATCCATTTGTTGAAAGCCTTCTGGTTTTAGCTCTTTAGCCCATATTTCAACTGATATAGAAATTGCATGGAAAATGGAATTTGAATCACTTGTTACTCATAATGGTTAGAAAATAGAACAATTTTGGCTAGGTGGTTATAAATTGGTATTTGCCTGTAATGCATCTATTTTTATTCAATTTTCTGTGGTAGAGAAGAAATACATAGCATTTTGCTACATCCTAAGTGTATGAATTCCAAATTAATGACACTGACAATATATAAACTAATTCTACTATATTAAATTATAGGTTTAGTAAAAGGAATACTAGTACCTTAGATTTATTTTAAAAATAAGGAAATATTACACATTATGGAACTTAAAAATTAAGTTGGATTCTCCCAATGTCTTCTGTGGTCCTTAGTAATCAGTTAAAAATGAATCCAATAAATGGGATTTAAGTGGTAAGAATGAAGTAATTAAATTTCATAGGGGAACCTATATCCCATCTGGCAGCAGCTTGGTTGGAACAATATTTGTCACATGATTCTGATATTACTCCATTCTGCAATTGTGAACTCAGGCTTTGATCATTCCCTTGAAACTTTTTTTCTGTTTTGAAAACTGCAGTAACATCTATGTGTACAAATAGCATGACATTTTCCAACCCCCCTAGGCTTGAAATGTTATACTTATCATTGATTCTTCTTCTCTCTTGCTCTATTGCCTGATGTGATGTCAAGTCCCACTTTTCTAGTAATAGTTCTTCCATTATTATTTTCTGTATGTGCCAGTTACTACCATCAGAGTTCAATTTCCTCTCACTTTGATTATGAACTGTTTTTTTCTGCCTTCATCCATAGTACACAGTGATATCAGATAATATTTATGGGACATAGGATCATTCATGTCATGCCCTTCCTCTAAAATACTCTATTGCACACAGGCTGGAGTCCCAGTAACTCTGGCATAAAATTCAGATTACATCATATTCCCATGCCAGCCTACTGTACCAAATTTCTCTTTTCACCATTGGTTCTCATGATCACTACATTTCTTAGATTACTCACCATCCTCAAGTTATTCTTGCCCTTTTGTAATTGTACTCCTTTCTGAAATTACCAGCTCCTATTTTGGCCCATCAATATCTCTCCTATATTTCACAGTTCAGTTTAAATGTATATCCCTTTGTTCTTACAAAGCAATTATCACTTTACTTATAATCTACTTTTAGTTATTTGTGTATATTTATTATTATTGTTATAATTCTATATTCATTGTCTCAATGACGCATTCCCTATGATATCTCCATGGCATGTATTTTATGTTCTCCACTTTTAACAGATGATAAACTGGAGCTTAGAGAATTTAAGAAGGTTTGTAAGGTCATCCAGCCAGCATAGACAGAGCCAGGATCAAACCTAAGTCAGGTAACTCTTGAAGTCAAGGGACTCTGATATTCTGTGGCTTTCCATAGCTAATTTTAAAACAGTTTTGAGAGAGATAAATATCTGTTCCTCATACATGCGTACACAAACACACACGCAGTACTATTGCAGTAAGATAGATACTAGACAAAGGATAGAGATAAAACTATTGCAATTAAATTAGACTACTTTGGTTTGTCTTAGATTTTTTAGAAATATTCTGACTCGTAGACAGTCAATGAAACATTTAACAACTAATACATTTTTTAAATTTCTTGAACGTCTCCTTGATTAAAGTTATCTGTTATGTCTCACACTGCATATGAAGGAGTGTCTTTGAAACTTGAGGCTGTTATTGCTCACCTAAGACTGTTTATTTGTATGAATACTTAGTGGATTCTGCCTTTTGTGGTTGGACTTGTGATACACAGTAGGTCACTGAGAGTAGATTAAAAAGACTGATAGTGACATTGAAATAGAGCTGCTCAGAGCTCGGGTACTTTAGGAGCCTCACTTTACTTTGAGTGACAACTACGAATAATGTTCCACAGCATCCTTGCCATCCCATGCTGGTGTGGGGCTAAGGGATAGCAGCGTGCTAAGTCACTGGGAATCCAGGATGGAGGGGAATCACGGGAGTGACAATCAAGCTGTTAGGCAGCTTCAGTTGCCCCTTTGTTTCTCCTCCAATTGAGAATCTTTTGTGCCTTTTTTTTTTTTAGTCATTTTCCTCTCTGCGCTCTACTTTGCTAATTAAAATTCTAATCACTCTGACAGCTAGAGGTAGGGAAAAAAAATCATTCTTCCATGCTGGAGAAGGTAATTTCAAGGTGTTTTAGCTGCCAAAGAAACAAACGAAAATTAGACAAAGAAGCTGGTTGTCATAGCAGGACAAATGAATTTTGCTTTCCCATTCTGCCGAAAAATATGAAACTTTAGCAAAGACAACACATTTCTATTTGGTATTGTGGAAATTCTAAACACGTGAAGGTTAAACAATATGTTTCACTTTCCTACAGGTTAAGGTTTTCTGATAAAAATAGTATTTTATACATTTGTTCATGTCAAAAATAATTTACTGTTCTTGGGGTGAAACAAAGTATAACATCAAAGGTTTGACCTGGTCTTTCTGGTATGTTGTTTCTGAAAGTATTTCCTTTTAATCTTTGATTTTCAGATTTTTATTAAACATTTAAGAGACTGGAAATTCATATTTTAAACAAAGATACGTTTTGTTATGATTTCATTAATAAAATTGGGATGTTGAATTTTTAATGTCAGCTGGTCTAGAAGTATTAAATACAATTTTACCCAAGATGTATTTGAAAATGAGTTTTCTAGACAGGTAGGCTTCCTGAGAAGCATTTCAACTGGATTAATAATTAAGCTTAAGTTTGGTTGTGTCTATCAGGGATCCAGAAATAGGGTAGAGTTGAAAGCCTATCTATACCAGATAAACAACTATTTGAATTGACTGGCATTTTACCAATTGCTTAATTTTACTAAATTGACTGGACACTTGTTAAGATACACTGAATTGGCTGTCTGATCCAATATTATTTAAATCTAGTCAAATATATGTTTTAAAAAACATGGATCATTGAGTTAATCGACAAGAATCATTGAATGACCCATGCTACATACCCAGGACACAAACATAGGTCTACAAACACAGTACAAAGCCTCTAGGATTTGGTAATGTAATAAGGTTACTTATTGTGAGATACTGATTTTCAGATGGAAGGCACTGGAAACGACATATTTTTGAAATTTGTATGGCCTTTAACCTCCTGAGTATTTATTTAGATATTTATTTCCTGACCAAAAAGTGAGGGTAAAATTATACTGATTAAATAAAACCCATATTCAATGATGGCTACATCTATGCAAGGTTATAATTTTTATTTTATATGCTTGTATGTTTTAGAATTAAATATTACCATAATTATCTGTAACACTAAGCCTTTAAGATATTCTTTATTAATGAGCTAAAGTATGGTTTTGTTACTTCGTTATTGTTGTTGTTACGTGATTGGTTCGCTAAGTAAGTAGATTTCAGTACAAGAAAATAATAAACTCTTCGGTCCATAAGGTTTTAACAGCACATGAACAGCAATGAATCCATAAGAATTCAGCAATCTATTTATAAGAACTTTCAAAGATTGTTATCCTAAAAATATCCAGAGAGAGTTTTGTAATATATTGGTGCAAAATTGTTAAATCGATAAAATGTGTTTGTTTTTAACTTGTAAAGTATCACAGGATCATGAATGTATTGTTTATTGTTGTACTAATTCTAAGATGTTTTTGGAAGACACAATGCTTTAAAGAAGAGAGTCTAGCATAAATTTTATGCAAAGGGAGACTATGAATACTACAGTACTAGTAGATTGAAAAAGTATGAAATTCATCATCAGATTTCCCCAGACAGATTTAAAAAAATCATTTACATAGATATTCCAACATGTATTGGCAGTGCATTAGATAAAGGTTTAACTTTGCAACAGAATATTTGGAGCTCAAAGCTCAGATCTGTGAGTACATTCCTGGGTTATCATAAGCAAAATTATATAAAATCTCTGACCCTCAGATTCCTCATCTATAAAATAGAGTCAATGATGGCAATCTCCCAAACAGTAGCTATGGACAACTTATTATTTCTCTATGACATTGTGTATGGGTAAAAAGAAACAGAGCAAGCACTAGCTGTTTGATCTAAAAATCGGTATAGCTCTGAGGACTTTCTTTAGCCTGAATAGTTAAGATGTTATTTTATTACTGTTATTGAATACCTACAATGTGCAAAGATTTATGCTAAAAATTGAAAGATTCTGTGGTGAACAAGCCAGAGTCACTGACCTCAAAAATCATTTATTATAGTAGTACAAACAGCTATGCACACAAATGTAATAAATAAGAGAGATACTAAATAGAAGCTAAGTATGAGACAGCCTAATTTCCATATTACAAATGCGAATAATTGTGTTATAGTTACTGTGTCATTGTTGCTGCTTTCACTACTATTTTAGTACTATCTGAGAGTCCAACATAGCCAGGCACTATAAGTCATCCCTGGACTTTCTACTCAACTTGTAACCCCAAGCAATTAGAATATTTGCAAATGCTCCTACATGGCTTCTGGTCATGAAGGGATATGGTGATTATAGAATTGCCTCCAATCCAGGAGCCACTACAGTTCCCGTAAACCAGGACACTTTTGAGAAAGAAAGCAGAACAATTAATTATCACGCTGGGACAACAGGCAAGTAACTTTGGAAAATTAGTACCTATAGTCATGGTACCCAGAGCCCATACTTTGGAGTAGTAAAACTGACTTTTAATCTAGTTTCTGCCTATCTTCTGCCTCAAACCCAAATTGTATTTTTAGCATTGCTCCTGCCCTTTGGATTTGGACTTTGTATTTGGTCAACCTGTTCTCTGCCTCAAGGATTTGCCTCTTCTAATCTTGGGGATGACACTGAACCCCATTCTGCTTTCTTGACCCCGATCCCAGTGTAATGTGGTTAACCGCTAAGACATCCCGAATCTCCATTGGTATCCAATAAAGCATTATTTGGATATCAGGTCTAGGGCTGGTGGAAACGCTACAGAAAAGCTCTCTACATTAAAGGTGAGAAGCTAGCCTATTGAAGTATACAAAAGTCTGATGATGATAACAATTTATGTATGTTGGAACCAAACATCCAATTTCAGCTAATGTCAACAGGCAAATATTATTATTATTCACAGATATCTTCCTATCAACACATTTTATTTTAAGAAGTACTTATATTTTCTTTAAAAATTCTCTCAGTACCCAAAAGGCTTATATTTAGCTGTCTACTTATCTACCACATTATCTTGAATATACATTGTTTAATTTGATACATACTGTGATACGACAATGACAAAGGCTTTGGTCTTAATTTTATCATCTATTTCCTGTGTGACCTTTGGCGAGCTGTTTAACATCTTTGAGCCTCAATTTTCAACTGAGACATAAAGATAATGATAATTATCCACTAGTATCCTTGTGTGTATAAATGCTTTAAAAATGTGAGTTGTATCCCCATCCTCTTCCCTTTTCCATTTCTAATATCATCTGACTGGCTGTGTTTCTATCTTATCTATCTATCTATCCATCCATATATCTATCCATCCATCTATCTGTCCATCCATCCATCTGTTTATTGAAGGGGAAACATTCACTGGAAAGTTTCTATATGTAGATGGCTAATGTTTAAGCTATGTGATTTTTTCCCCCATACCTTCCCCTAACAGTCACGGATCAGTGATAGTCATGGATCAGTGACAGCTTTCTCTACACATTGTCCTCAGAATAAGAACTGGCACAGTTGAAAACAAATCAATCATTGCTCTTGCCCAGCTTTGAATTGAGAGGTTTTTTTTTTTTTTATTACAGCAGTGTTAAAAAAAAAAACCCAATCAAACAAAGAAAGAAAGGGATGAAATGCACACTTTTTAGTCCAAGAGCCAGGAACTTGAGAAAAACTTTCTGGATTCCAAAATAAAACATAAAAATCATCTTTGATCTCAAGAACCAAAGTCTGGTGAAGTAAGAACGTAGTTTATAAAAACTAAACATAAAGTAGTAAAGGAGAAAGACAGGAGGAATGAAAGCACTTTCTCCCCTCACAGAATGAAGTAAGAATTAGATGAGATGCTAAGAGGAAGAGTGAAAGGGGGGCCATCAGGATCAGGCAAGGCTGAGAGCCTTTGACAGAGCCCAACTCTGCCTCTCTTTGCAGTGGAAATCCTGGCAGGCAGTGGGAAAGGTGATGATTTCGGGAAAGGGGGTTAACTATATGGCGTTTGAGTCTCTAAGGCAGAAAGGGCTTAAGGTCTGCTTTCTACCCATAATGGTGAGAGGACTCAGCAGTACTATGGAGGCTTCAGGAAAGGGCAAATGTTCCTAGACCAAGAGGGCTTGAGATGACTACAAGTCTTTCTTTGTTTCAGCAAGATTTAGAGTAAATAAAGGAAAACTATCTATGGCTACCAGAGTGAAGGGAGGAAGAAATCCCCAGTTGATTCCCAAGATCTGAAGGTAGATTTCCCAGAGCAGGGACTATGAAGACATGGTAGACAGAAGCAAATCTCAGATTATCAGCAGTGTTGGTAGGAGCTGATGCTGAGCCTGTCACAGTGTGTATTCTGTGCTGAGGTAATCCAGAGGGAGAGTAGTTGAGGGCAGAGAGACAAGCTGCCACTCTGGAGGCCAAGTAGGACACTTCAGCCTGAAATCAGATAGTTATCCCTAACAACTTGGTGTAACTTTCAGCTCGATGTGATTTGGTCACTACTAATCCCTCCAACCCCATCCGCTACTACTCTAAGCCTACTATAGCCACACTACTTTTTTGTTCTTCCTCAAGCATGAGAAGGTCATTTCTACTGGGGTCTTTGCAGGTTGTTTCTGTTGCTGAAAATGCTCTTCCCTCAGATTTTCACAGCTATATACTCTCACTTCATTCAACTCTCTGCTTAAAAATTTTCTTCTTAGAGATTTTTCCCAAAACATTCTTTCTAAAATAGTCTCCTTTACCATCCTCTCTATCCCTTTACCCTGTTTTATTTTCTTCATAGTGTTGATTATTTTCTAAAATTCTATTTTGTATTTATGTACCCGTTTTGTGTGTGTGTGCGTGTGTGTGTGTGTGTGTGTGTGTGTGTATCTTCTATCTAGAATGCAAGTCTGTGAGGGCAAAGCATTGTGGGTCTCCTTCACATGTATACCTTTAGTGTCTGACATATAACAACTTTCAATTAATACTAATTGACTGAATAAAGGAATGAATAAATGAATTCCCCCTGCACAGAAATACCTGCTAGAAGAAAAAAATAAGAATGAGTAGAAATCTTAAAAGGTGAAATACTTACCAAAATAGTTAAGTGGCTAATCAGAAATGAGCACATTGCTTTTAATGAGTAAGATTAATAGTCTCCCCACACTCCAGTACACAAAAACACCTCTGCCTTCCCTCTACAGATGAGTACTTGAGCCTTATATGCAAATCGAATTATAGCAAAATAAAATTTATTTTCTGCATATCTGAAGTATGACTATAAATTTTGAGACATTCACATTTATATTGTCAGTACCAATATATTATTAATTTGCACAAAGATATGTTTCTACCAGTATCTTAGAAAATTATAGTTTACAGATATTTTTGGAAATTTTTGCTAGTGATGAAGAAAACATTTTTGGTATGTTAGCTAGATCATAGTTATATGCCCATATCACATAAAGTATTCTGCTTCATTTAGATTTGTAAGGCATTTGGCCAGACAAATCATGTTTGCAGCTATACATGAGATTGAATCCACTAGCTTTTCTCTCTCAATGCATAGTAAGTTCCTAAACAGCAAGTTTACCAGACTTGACCAGGATTTTAAACTTAGCCCATGTACTTACTTCCATTATTACCCCAACACCCTTAAAATGACACATAATAAAGCAATAAATTATCTTTAATACTAGAAATTATTTTCCAATGCTACTGGTGAAACAGGTTTATTAAACAAATAAGAATATTAAAGAACATATAGCTTAAAACATCCTCAGAAGTAAACTACAGGAGTAGTACAGCAATCTACATATCCAATTCCGCATTGAGCATTTGAATTCAAGCTGAAATTTGAGAGCCACACTCTGTAGGATATGACTTCCCTGGGTGGGGAGGGTACCTAGTATTAGTGTTATCGCCTGCAAGAAAAGCAAAGCAGATTTTGAGGTAACTGAGACCACCAATGCAGACCTGAATGGGGGAAAAAAAGACAATTCTTTTGAAAACAAAAATGAACTAGATTTCCTCACTGCCAGAGGAAATGTATTCCTCTTTTGGCAGCTAGTGAGGAGAAAAAATATCTGCTTGTTTTAGACCCCCAAACTTTAAATTCAAGTAATCAGTAGGCCGCACCACTTTGAAAGCACTTTGGGATAGACATCCTGGTCACAACAGAGGCATACTGGGTAAATAACACAAACAGCTGCCAAGAAAATCCATATCCACCATATATACAATTCAGCCTTTAACTTTTTTTACATATATGAATATGCAACCAAGGTATTTGAAGAAAATCAACAGAATAGAAGAGAAACATCAAGATATCCTAGATTCTTTCAGAAAAGTGAGGAAAGAAAATAAAGTTTATTTTCAAAGAAAAGGGATTTAACATGGCATCAGATGATTCTTATACAATACCATATATAGAAAATAATGGGAAATACTATAGAATAAGTTCAAGAAATATATTATTTTTGTTTTTCTGTACCCTAATTTTTATTATTTTTTCCTTCTACTAGCTTTGGACTTATTTCTTCATTTTAGATTTGAGTTTTGAGTCTAATTTTCTAGTTTCTTAAGGTGTAAAGTTAGGTCATTTATTGCTTTCACTTGTTAAAATATGTTAAGTAAACTATAAATTTTCCACTTAGCAAAGTTTAACTGCTTCCCATAATCCCATGTTGTGATTTTATTTTCGCTGGTCTCCAGACATTTTATGATTTCCCTTATGATTTTTTTTAACTGATTGGTTGTCTAAGAATGGGTTGTATAATTTCCACATATTTGTGGATCTTTTAATTTGTAATTGCTACTGATTTCTAGTTTCATTTCATTGTGATCAGAAAAAAATGTATAATTGCAATCTTTTTACATTTATTAACACTTGTTTTGTAGCACAACATATAGTCTATTCTGGAAAATGTTCTAACACTCCATCCATCAACAGCAAAATACACGTTTGAGAAAAATGCATATTCTGCTGTTGATGGGTGGAGTATTCAGTATATGTCAGTTAGATCCGATTATTTTCTAGTGTTAAGTCCTCTATTCCTTTATTGATCATCTGTCTGGTTGTACTATTCATTATTGAAAGTGAGGTGTTGAAGTCTCCTACTATTATTATAGATCTTTCTATTTCTCCCATCAATTCAGTGAATGTTTGCTGCATATATTTAGAAGTTCTTATGTTTAGTGTATCTGTGTTTATAAATGTTACATCTTCTTCGAAAATTGACCCTTTTATCATTATACAATGTCCTTCTTCGTCTCCTGTAATAGTTTTTGAGCTAAAACATATTTTGTTTGACATTAAGGTAGCCATCCCATGTTCTATTTTGGTTACTATTTGCACAGAAATATCTTTTTCAAGGCTTTCAATTTCAATCTATGTATATCTTAGATCTAAAATGAGTCTCTTGTAGATAGCACATAGGGAAATTCTGTTTTATCATTCATTCAGCCAATCTACATTTTCTGATTGAGGAGTTTACTCCATTCTTATTTAACATATTTACTGATAGAGACAAAGACTACCACCATTTTGATCATTGTTTTTCTTGCTTTTTGACTTTGTTTGTCCCTCATTTCCTCCCTTACAGCTTTCCTTTTTGTTTAGTTGATTTTTTAATGCTGACAAAATGTGACTCCATTCTCATTTTCTTTTGTGTATATTCTACAGATGTTTTCTTTGTGTTTATCATGGGGATTACATAAAACAGCTTAAAGTTATAACTGTTTTAAACTTTGATTTCAATCCGAAACTCTACTATTTCTTTACAGCTCTGCTCCCTTTATATTTTGATGTCACAAATTACATCTTTACATATTATGTACTCATTAACACTGTAGTTTTTTAAAATGATTTTCTCTTTTAAATTCTATAAAAGAATTAAAAATAGACTATGAACCCAAATTATAATAATCCACATTTCTATATTTTCCCAAATATCTATTTTCACCAGAAAAATTTATATTTTCATATGGGTTCCAGTTATTGTCTAGCATCATTTCAACTTGAAGAATTCCCTTCAACATTTCTTGCAGGGAAGGTCTAGTAGTAACAAACTCCCGCAAATTTTGTTTATCTAGGAATGCCTTACATTCTTCTTCATTTCTGAAGAACAAGTTTGTCAGCTATAGTGTTCTTAGTTGCCAACATTTTTTCTTTTAGCACATTAAATATGTAATTCCACTGCCTTCTGACTGGTAATGTTTCTGCTAAAAAATCCACTGAAAATCATATAAAAGCTTCCTTCTATGTGATGAATTTCTTTTTTCTTGTTTCTTCCAAGATTCTCTTTGTGCTTGAGTTTTGAAAGTTTGATTATAATGTGTGTTGTTGTAAGTCTCTTTCAGTTTATCCTACTTGGGATTTGACGAGCTTTTTTTTTTGTATAATGATTATTTTTCTCAAATTTTGGAGGGTTTCAGCCATTATTTTATCAAATAAACTCTCTGCCTCTATCTTTCTGTCTTCTCTCTCTGGAATTCTTGTAATATATCTATTGGTCTGCTTGACAGTGTTCCATAAGTCGCTCAGGCTCTGTTTATATTCTTTATTATTGTTATTTTGCTCCTTGGACTTGATAATTTCAAATAATTTTTCCTCAAGTCCATTGATTCTTCTGCCTAATTAAGCCCAAAGTTGAATCCTTCTAAGTACAATTTTAAATTCAGTTATTGTATTTTTTAGTTTCAAATTGCCTGTTTGGATCTTTTTCATAATTTCTCTCTTTGTTGATCTTCCTATTTCATTTATAAATTGTTTTTCTAATTTTGCTTAGTTGTCTATGTTCTCTTTTAGTTCGATGAGTATATTTAGGACAATCATTTTAAATAATTTGTCAAGTTAGAGTCCTGTGTTTCGTTAGGGTTGTATTTATAGATTTATTTTGTTTCCTTTAATGGGCCATGTTTCCATGTTTCCTGGTATTCCTGTGATCTTTTGTTTAAAATTGGGGCTTTGTGGGTGTTGAGAGGGACTCACCCAGTTTTTGCAGACTGGTTCTATGGAAAGGGAGGAAGATCTTAATTAATTAGTCTAACATGGAGACTTAAAGTCTTCTCAAGCCTTTTCTGGGCATGCAAATTTTCTGATGCCATGTGTGTACTTTTTCTCAATTGTCCCTTTTACAGGGCTGTCTTTACATCTCTTAATTTTTCAAAAAGTCTCACCCTACTTCTTGAAGCCTTATATATTCTATCATATTATTCTGCCTATAATCTCTTGCCTTCAGGCATCTGTAGGTCTGCAGTCTTCCTGCAGTTTTCCTATGCCACAGCACCTGCTACAGTATTCTCTGGCTTCAGTGCAAACTATGCCCAACATTTTATCTCAGCTGTGAGTCAGATGATACAGAAATCAGTCCCTCAGGCAACCCACAAAAGGCCAGAATGTTAAAAACAAGTTCCTTCTGACAGGCCATGCTGCTCCAGGGAAGGAATGGAGTAAGCATGACTAAAACCATCATAAAATGTTCTACCATTTTGACTGTAGCTTTTTCCTGATTGGGTGTTCACTTAGGTTTTGTAGATCCTTGACTAGTTTCCTAAGCTCCCATAGAGCTACTGTAGTCCATCTATAGTTATTTACTTGATGTTTCAATGATGGCAGTGAGAGCTTGGAGCTTCCAAGTCTACAATCTTGCTAGTGTCACTCCAAGAAAGGTATTTTAATCTATACTCTATCTCTAATATAAAAAAAAACTCAATTGTGAGATTAAAGCATCTTTTGAACATCTAGAAACTCAGTAAACTTACCAGTCATAACCTCTTTCTGAAAATATTATCAATAATACTTCAACAAAATAATACTAATAATTTAGGGAAGATAAGTCAAAGAACAATGGTGAATTTAAAAGCATAGAAAATATTTATAAGTAATAAAGACCATAACAATTTGGAATAAAAATCCAAGATAATTCTGGAATAGTGATGGGTTGCAAGTAATACTGGAGGAAGATTGTGAAGTGTTGGCTTATTATATCTTGTGTTATTGGGTAGGAGGTGGAGAATGAGATTTATTCTAGATATTAATAGAAAAACAGATGTTTATAAATCTGCAAGGGATTATACAGCTGAGATTATATAACAGATTAAATAGCCCAGGTACTAAGTGAAGTCCTGCAAATTACAACAAGCAGAATATTTAAATGAATAATAATATCCATTGTTGGAGAAAGTATGAAGAAATGGGTGACCTTTACATTGCTAGTGTGAGGAGAATTGTTAAGGCCTTTCTGAATAATAGTTGTGCAGTATTTTTTAAATTTTAATATATGTCAATGTCTGCCTTCCAAATTTGGATTTGGAAGTAACTGGAAAAAATACTTGGTATTTTATGTAAAGATATATATATATAATATATATATTATATATATCTATAAATATTTTATTGAATTATTCTTTGTAATATGAAAAATAAAAGGAAAATCACATGTTCATTCAGTGAATTATTGTGAATTTTAGTGAATACATATTAGGAAATACTACTTAGCAATTCAACAGAATAAAATCAGTCTATATATGCATAGTTCCAGAACATATTAAGTCAAAAAGGCAAGTAGTAAAAAAAAAAGATGTATGTTGGGTGCAGCAAAGCAACATGACATATGTATACCTGTGTAACAAACCTGCATGTTGTTCACCTGTACCCTAGAACTTAAAGTATAATAATAAAAGTATTATATTAAAGTATAATATATAATAATAAAGTATAATAATAAAAGTATAAATATAAAATATAATAATTCTTACATAAAGCCCAACAACATTCATCATGTCTGTTAAATGATAACCACAACAACAGCTCTTGCTCTGCAGTCAGCCATGCAAGGAAGCAGTTTCCAGCCATAACCTTGGTGTAATAATAAAAAGTATAATAATAAAAAAGTATGATAACAAAAGTATAATAATAAAAAAGATATATGTTATGGTTGTGTTATATAAGTAATGACTAAAAAATTTAAAAATAAAAAATAAAAAACATAAAAATATTAAAAATTATTAAAAGAAATAAAAACATAATACATTCTTATATATTACACACAAAAACATTTTATAATTTTTCTTATATGTATTTGAGCAATGAATATATTACCCCTTCAAAGTTACATAAATATGAATACAGGAAATCCATATGGGCTGATTTGTAACAATTTTTCCCCATATAAATAAAACGAAGCAAGTTTGTAGAACAGTGTGTATGGTATCACTTGTGCATCAAAAAATGTATGTGTATATGTGTGTATGTGTGTATATGTGTTTATACATTTATATACATATATATATAATGCATTTATTCAAATACACACTTGAAAGCACAGCCTCCCTTGAAAAATTCAGAAGAAACTGCTGAGAATGACTTTCCCTGTTGAGAGAGACAGGGATTGTCCACACTGAAAATCTATTTGAATGTTTACCACGTACATAAATCATTTTTAAAACACGTTTTAAAGGCATTTGTGAAATGCTGGTCACCATAGCAAAATTTTTTGAGCAAAAGTTTAGACAGAACTAAATATTTCTTCTTTGGGAATGATTTGTATTAATTTCAACTCATTCATATTCTGGAATCCTCTTCAGTTATTAAAATATTTTTACTTTTTTTAAACTTTAAAAAAAGTAATGAGACAATATTATATATTTATATGTGTGTGCTTATAAATGTAAACAAAAATCTAAAAGCTGGTAATAATTAATGATGGCAAGAGGATTGGGAGAATCTTGATGTACCAGGAGACTTTTATTTTTTACTGTATGGAGTTCTGTATTGTGTAAATGTATTACTATATTTTTAGTATAAAATAAAAGCATGTTTAATCAGATATTCAATTTGGAATAATGTGACCACCTAGCCTTATAGATAATTCATGTTTGTCATTGACATAGTTAAAAGGACCTAGCTGACATTTTTTAAATCTAAAAATTTCTTCTTATAGGCTTTTACACAGATAAAAAGTAACCTGGTCCTTAAGGTCAATCTTGATGTTAATTGGGAATTGGCAAAGAGGTAGGAGTAAGTTTGTCTCTGTTATGGGAAGAGAAAGAGTGCAAAAATGTGAGTGTTATCTTCAGTAACCAAATAGAAACATATATGTGTAATTAAAATTCCTTAAATTCAACAAATTCCAAAATAAGGCTAAACCAAAATATAGTATGACAAGACTGTCTACCTCTTACTGATTTGCCTACATAGCTATCAACTAATGTTTGACTTTGATATAGTATTATCTTTAATTGTTCTTAGATTTTTTTGTTAGTCCACTATTATAAATGAGTCTATAAAAAATTTGATTATACACACAGTCTTCTGGGAGAACAGGAGCAGGATTTTGGCATCGTGACATTCTCAGCTTCATAACACTCCCCTCCTTCATTTCTTCCTCTCTTAGCAGTCAGCAGAATAGGCTGACACGAGGGAAATGCCTGCCAAGGAACTTTAGTAGGAGGCAGTTTTTAATTAACAGGGGCCAGAGAAGGTGATAACCCCAAGGGATAGTGAAGAGAAATTAACATGGAAAAGCAGTTCCACGCTTCTGTGGGTCCCCAAAGGCCAGTCGTATTAGTGGTGTCTGTTCTGATTGAACTTTTGCTGTGTCTTTTTATTGATTCAGTTGTCAGGATCTGACAAAAGGACCGCTGCTCGTCAGTTATTTGCTCATGGTAGAGGGTTATAGCTGGAAACTGCTTCCTTGTATGGCTGACTGCAGAGCGAGAGCTGTCGTTGTGGTTATCATTTTACAGACATGATTAATGTTGTTGGGCTTTATGTAAGAATTAAGTGTGTGTACACACATGCAACCGGACAGGCTTACTTTGGATTTTTTGAGCCTCTTTATTCTCTTAGTTCTTTGCTTGGTTTTCCAAAAACTTCTTTAATTATTAAAATATTTTAAAATGCAATTTCAGGGATAATAATTAAACTGACTGTTGTAGCCACTTTTTTTTCTGCCAGTTACCAAATCCTTGGCTTAACAAGCATTTTAAAAGAATAATATCCTGTGATTAAATATTTCAAGTTTCTCTCTCAAAGATGAAAATGAATAGTAAATAAAGCGTGTAAAGGGCTTGTGAAATCAGCTCATGTAGCAAGGAGAAGGTAGGGGTTTTCTTTTTTTAACTGCCTAAGAGAGTGCCTTGAGCTGGTAAGCCCAGGGTGTGCCTCAGGAGAGCTTTTGTACTTTAGCACAGTGAGAACAAAAGCACATTTTCTTAAAAATATTTTAAGAACGTTTTGAACACCATGTGGGTCTTTTTAACTCCCTAAGAACCAAGCTAACTCCAGAATTCCATTTATGTTTACCAGTTTAAGAATGTACTTTTTCTAAAATAATGGCAGACTTCATACTTTTCTAAAAAGTGCAGTGATAATTACTTTTTCTAAATTCAAACAATATTTGTGTTATTTACTTACTCGAAACACAGTATTTACTAAGGTCACTTAATAAGAAAATACCAGGACCCTGATACTAATACATTCCCTAAAGCTTGTTTGTCTTCTTTTTCCTTTTCTTCTTCTTTTTGAGGTTTGTGCAACCATTTATAAAGAAATGGCTCTCTTAGAGTTACATGTCCCTCATGTCTAAATTTAATAAGCATCTAGATTGGTCCTGTCTAAAGTAGAAGTCATAAGCCACATGTAGTAATTGATCACTTGAAATGTGGCCAGTTTGAATTGGGATGTACTTTAAGTGTAAAATATACACAAAATTGTGTAAGTGTAGTATGAAAAAGAGAATGTAACATATCTCATTAACAATTTTTATGTTAATCACATATTGATGTAATATTTTTAATGTATTAGGTTAATATATTACCAAAATTATCTGATTTCTTTTCTTTTTAACATTTTTTATATAGCTACTAGAAAATTTTACATTATATATGTGGGTTACATTATCTTTCTATCAGAGAGTAGTGATCTAGATAATAGTTAAAGTTAATATTTATTAAGCACTTACTATTTATTTAATATTTAGAAAGCACTTACATGCTATTCTAAGCACTTTATATGCATCATCTCATTTAATTTCAGAATTACCATTAGGATAGGTGTTATTATTACCCCTGTTTTATAGACAAGAAAATTTAGGCAAGAATAGTAAGCAATTTGCTTAAGATTATGTAACTACCTTATACTTCACTCTCCTTTTAATAATTAAAATATTTTTGAAGTGTCTACGTAATGCTATGCATAAGACATAGTACTATGCATAGGCAATACACTGTAATTAATTACTCTGTAGTATATGCTAGCACAACTCTAGATGAGTTTGGGAGGGTTGAAGTTTACCAAACTAATTTTTGCATATGCTATACAATTAGATGTATTAGATTTAGCAGAGAAAGCATTAAAGTGCTCACAGAAATCCCCTATTATATTCTAGGGTAAGAAATAGTTTCAACTGATCTGTATTTATAAAAATGTTGAAGTAGAGATATTACCAGAAAAAACTGACAAGTGGTATTTATTTTAGAACGAGCTCTGATTTCAAGTGTAAGGTTTAAGGTCTATAAATGTTTGCTAGAGGGGAGAATAAGGAAGTAGTTATAAACCTATATACCTCTCACATCTTCTGCAGAGCTCAAATTATTTTATGGAGTATAGTGTACTTCTTCTCAGCCAAGTTGAGTTAGGAGAAAAATCAGAATCAGGAAAAGGAGAAGAAAAAGAATGCATGAAGAATAGTTGATAAATATGTTTTCTTATGCTGTCTTTGGGAACTGACAGCTCTTCTTTTAACAATAAATAATATTAGAAAGCCTGCTTCCTAATGCCAAAAAGTTTCTTGGTCATAGACATAAAAGTAAGGGAGGTATACGAATAGAGAAAATGTCTTTTCTTTTTTTGTTTCATTTTTCTGCAAATGGCCGTAAACATGAAACAAGGGAGATAACATCTGAAACTATCTGAGATTTCTGAACATTCCTGAATTTGAGGGCCTAGCTGTTTCCATAAGATTCCATTGGCATCTGGACAATAGAAGTCACTTATGCGGGATTAAACAACTGGACCTCATATTACATATTGTCAATAATTTCATACACAAGAAGACAGTTCTGTTTTCTAACTGTACTCTGAAAATAGCTGCTGTGAATTTATTTACTTTATATACTTTTTGGATATTTATACAGCATACACAGAAAAAATCATGTTTTCTTAAGTGTGAAAATCATTCTCTTTAAGATAAATTATTGATGTTTAGAGAATTTTTAAATCACATAGTTTTTTACAAAGTTTCATTCAATATATTATTTATTTTTTATAATTAGAAGTTTTAAAAATACTAATATTAGTTCTATTTACTTAACATCTACTTTAATACAAGGTGGTCATGTGACTAATTATATCACTTTGTTTTCACAATCACAATGTCAGATATTATTTTCCAATTTTTAAAGTTGCTAAAGGAATGAAGCTCAGTCATGTCAAGCAATATTTCCAGATTTAAAGGCCAGTAAAAAGGCGAGCGTGGATTTAAAGCAAAAGTCAAATAAACCTAATACTTTCTCCCCTCAATGCTCATCATCGTACATTGTTAGAGTTAATGTTGAATCTCTAAAATATAAGATTTGTTGGCAATGGTTCTCATTATTGTGTCTTCCCAAATCCTTTGGAGATCTTAATAGCTAATGAGACTCACAAGGAAAAACTTCCATGTTATAATATTTTCAATTCCTTCCTCTTTAGCCTACATTAATCCTTTCTATCTACTCCCTTCTACCCCCAATTTTGCCTTCTTCTCTTCAAAAATAACTGTCCTTGCTTAAAATCAAACATTTTGCAAATTGCTGTAGACTCCTACACGGTTCCTGTTTCCAGATTCTTCTCCCTATATTTATCGTCCATATTGTCACCATGGCTATTTTTCTAAAATATACTTTTGCTTGAACAATTTCTTTATTTTAAAATCTGAGGGAATTCTTCTTTGCCTTGTTAGATTTTAAGTGTAGACTCCTTAGGAAGGTATTCAATGCCTCAACCTCTCTTTCCAGCTTCAGCTCTCACTTTTCCTGGCTAAGGCTGCCTATTTTCCAGCTGCACTGAATATACTCAATGGCTTCTGCATGAGCTATTGGGAATTAAATGTCTGAATCCTTCCAGTAGAGTACCATTTCACCACATGTGTGTGGTCGCAGCCAGAGATGAATTCATAACAGATTCCTGAAGCCTGCAGGCTTTGTACACTCTGGTTGTTATTTGATGATTCAGATCCACACTGCCAAACCTTTGTAAGCCTGAAGTTTTATCTGATAGATTCCAGAAAAATGCCTGAAGGAACTTTGGCCTTTTCCAGCTCCAAATAAAATCTGAAACCACTTCCTGCTGGAAAATGTAAATTTGGTCCTGATGGTTTTTACTTCTCTATTGTCGTCATCTAGGTCAAGATAATAGATTTGAGATAATATTTATTATTCCTAAAAACAAATCCTAGAAAAAGTATTGACAGATGATATTTTAATTGGTTTGGTCTTTCCAGTTATTAAATAATCATGAAACCTCTTCTGTTTAACAATTGCTTGAGGTACTTTGTATTCTCACCTCAAAGTAGAGCAGTTTCTAGCTGCTAACACTGTGATTGATTTTTCCATATCAAATACAATGTTACGGTCTATTGTTTCCATAGCAAACATATAGCATCTGTCTTCAAACTCAGACTGTGATCCTGTGCTAGCCAGTAATACTTTATATGACCACATCCTTCCATTACAAGTATGAGTCGATTAATATTGATTTTTTTCCCTCTTGTCCAAGACTGAAGTTCTGTCTTAGCTATAATTTACACAGCTGGTATATAAAGATACGCTTACTCCTCCTTACTTTCATGGTAAGTAGTATTGTTTTGTCTGAAAATCAGTTTACTCTATTTTTAGCCCATACATAGGTTGAAAAGGCTGCACACTTTGCAGTTCCAGCCATTTATATTGCCACATGTTTCCAATAACATCTTGGAGCTTTTAGAAACTTGGAGTTTTTAATACGTACAAAACTTTGGAAAACCACAAGGAGCTGGCAAGAGCACACTGCATTCAACTAGCTAAACACCAAAAATTATAAAACAAGTGAGTGTGTGTGCATGCTTGTGTGTACTTGTGTGTGTGTGTGTGTGTGTGTGTGTTACCTATTTTATAATTTTAAATTCTGGAATTCTTAAGTCAAAAATTTTCACCAGAATGTTTCTGCTTTGTTCAGTTATAATCCTTCAAATTTCCCTTCACCATAGCCCCCCAAATACACCCATTCTCACCTCTGCACCATTGCTCAGAAATATTCCCTGCCTATAACCCCCTCATTCTCCTCTATCACTGCACTAAACTTAGCCACTCTTCAATACCCAGGTCAAATTTTACCTTTTCCTTAAAGCTTATTGCAGTTATTCTGGTTCCTGGTGATTCCTTTTATAATTTTCTTCCAAGAGTAAAGTAAGCACTATAAATATTCACTTTTAATTACATTATCCCTTGCATTTACATAGTGTGGCCCTGAATACCACCAAACATATTGGAAGCTCCTAGATAAAATGTATGTGAAGGAATCAAACCACAGTGCCTGACAAACATTAGTTACATCTGAATGTGTACTATGTTTTACAATTATTTAGTATCTCATTCAGCACCTACTATCAAGTTAGGCTAGTGTTAATTGGTAGCTGAAAATGTCCAACAGAGATGGTACTTCTTGTTCCAATGCTAACAAAGTTGAAAGAGGACTGAATTAGGATTTAAACGATGTGAGTTTCCTCCTGGGCTTCACCATTGCCAAATTGCATGACCTTCAGAAAGTTAATTACTATTTTGAAGTTCAAATACTTTGCATAAAAGTTATGTGGTTGTACCTGCTCATACCACAAAGAACTCCTTTCTTTTTCAATCCAAAATCCACAGGACTGAGTCTATTCTAAATTGTGTACCATAACTCTGCTTCCCATTTTCATGGGTGATTGGAGCAAAACATTCCTGACTCCAGCTTAGCCAACCAGATTCTGCTACAAGGGGAGATTGAGAGAGGGAATCTGTAGATAGTAGTTTATAAACTGCAGAATTATAAGTAGTATGGTGTGTTTTGGAAAATGGAAAATTTGATCTGCAGACTTAAGAATGAAAAAATACACAAGAAGAGATGAAAAATAGGACATGCCATCAAGGACCAAAATGTCTTTCAAATCTAATTCTAAGCAATTGCTGAGGCCTGCCTGTACCCTGACTTTGATTTACTTTGAGAGTTGGGCTATAACTTACCTTAACACAAAGAACATGTTTGTCTTACTACTGTGGTATTCCGAAGTCTCACACAGTCCCTGGCCTACAGAGGTGCTTTGTGAATATCTGTTAAATGAGTAAATGGATTCTACTTTTTTTTTCTTTTTACACATTTTCTTCATCTGGTTCTATTGAAACAAAGCAAGGAGTTCTGACTAATACATCCTTGGGCTAAATAATATCTAAGTCCCACCATAATGCTATAACTTGGTGCTTTTTATTTGATCAAATTGGCCTTTTGTAAATATTATTATACTTTCGAAAATATTGAAGGGAATTAGCTAACATTTACTCTTTCTCTACTGTCTTCTAGACAAGCTACACTTCTTTTTTTTACACTTTCCAACAAAATGATGATAACCCTATATATGATCTAATTTTCAGAGATAAAAGCTAATACTCAGTGGTAGTCTTGAGTAGGTGATGAATTAAAATTTGAACCCACATATTCACTTTTAAGCCCTTTATTCCCTTTTTACTCTATCATCCGGCCTGAAAGAACTGGTGATACAACCTGTGTACTGAAGAACTGATGATACAATCTGTGTATTGGAATTTTGCAATGTTTTTTAGGGATGGCTTTTGTGATTTACAGTAAATCTGATGATTTTCATGTGCAGGTTAATTTAAAAAAACACAATCACTTTATTTTCACATTTATGAAGTGTCCCATAGCTATATTTTTAAAATTCATGTACATACTTTATAATTCCTATCCTCAGGAATTATGTGCATGAATAATTGCCCCACAAAGTAGCATGGGAAATGTTCTATATAAATGTTAGTTAAAGAGTTATGAAAGTTCAAAGAAAAAGAGAAACGTTCAGAAATAGCTTTGTGGAGAAATGAGCATTTTTAATTCATCTGTGAAGGAGGAAAGAATATGGGCATGTGGAGCTTTGGAAGCCAAATATATGCCCAGTGGAGGGATGGGATGAGATGAAGGAAAATGTTGGAAAGTAAGTAACTGTCATATCCATTTGGTTATTTGAACTTCGGTAAATCTCCTGAGATGTAATGACTACTGAATAGCAGCAAGTTTTATTGGCATTTTCTGATTTGACTGGTACTTTATAAGATATATCAGTCAGAGTACTGGGTTGCAATAGAAACTAACTATTGGAGCTACATGAGGATTTTGAGCTGAATATCAATTAGCTCAAAAAATGATTAGAAAATCTGGAGATTCAGACACAAAATTAGGACCCAAGCCAGGGTAATAGGAATTACTCAACATCTAGTTTGGAAGCCAATGCTTGAGTGAAGGAACTTCAGCATTTTTATATTTCAGCATCCATTTATAGAACTCCTATTGTTTTGTAGTGTTATGGACTGCATATTTGTGTCCCTCATTCATATGTTAAAGCCCTAACCCCCAATGTAATGTTATTTGGAAATGGAACATTGAGGAGGTATTAGGGTTAGGTGAACTTGTGAGTGTGGGGCCCTAATATTGGGATTAGTGCCCTTATAAAATGAGACACCAGAGAGCAATCTCTTGTATGTGCTCTCTCTCTCTCTACCATGTGACAACTCAGTGAGAAGGCAGCAATTGGCAAGCCAAAAACGGAGCCTTCACCAGGACCCAACTATGCTGGCATTCTAATTTTAGATTTGCAGCCTCCAAAACTATGAGAAAATAAATTTCTGTTCTTTAAACTACCTGGTTTGTGGCATTTTATCATAGCAGCCTGAGCCAAGACGATTAGACACTGCTTATATAGGCTCTGAAGAATACATATATTAGTCCATTCTCATGCTGGTTTAAGGACATATGTGAGACTGGGTGTATTAGTCCATTTTCATGCTGCTGATAAAGATATACCTGAGACTGGGCAATTTATGAAAGAAAGAGGTTTAATGGATTTACAGTTCCATTACAGACAAGAGAAGCTCCATTACAGTTCCATTTACAGACAAGAGAAGAGTGCAGGGAAACTCCCATTTTTAAAACCATCAAATCTCATGAGACCCACTCACCACCATGGGAACAACACAGGAAGGGCCTGCCCCATGATCCAACTACCTCCCACCAGGTGTCTCCCACAACACATGGGAATTGTGGGAGTTATAATTCAAGATGAGATTTCGGTGAGGATTCAGCCAAACCACATCATTCCATCCCTGGCCCCTCCCAAATCTCATGTCCTCACATTTCAAAACCAATCATGCCTTCCCAACAGTCCCTGAAAGTCTTAACTCATTTCAGCATTAACTCAAAAGTCCACAGTCCAAAGTCTCATCTGAGACAAGGCAAGTCCCTTCTGCCTATGAGCCTGTAAAATCAAAAGCAAGTTAGTTACTTTCTAGATAGCCATTCCAAAGGGAGAAATTGGCCAAAACAGAGGGACTAACAGGCCCCATGCAAGTCTGAAATCCAGCAGGGAAGTCAAATCTTTAAGCTCCAAAATGATCTCCTTTGACTCCATATCTCACATCCAGCTCACACTAATGCAAGAGGTGGCTTCCCATGGTCTAGGGCAGCTCCACCCCTGTGGCTTTGCAGGGTATAGCCTCCCTCCCGGCTGCTTTCATGGGCTGACGTTGAGTGTCTGTGGCCCTTCCAAGTGCACAGTGCAAGCTGTTGATGGGTCTATCATTCTGGGGTTTGGAGGATGGTGGCCCTCTTCTCACAGTTCCACTAGGCAGTGCCCCAGTGGGGACGCTGCATGGGGGCTCTGCCTCCACATTTTCCTTCTGCACTGACCAGCAGAGGCTCTCCATGAGAGCCCCACCCCTGTAGCAAACTTCTGCCTAGAACATCCAGGCATTTCCATACATCCTCTGAAATATAGGTGGAGGTTCCCAAATCCCAATTCTTGACTTCTGTGCACTGGCAGGCTCAACAACACGTGGAAGTTGCCAATACTTGAGGCTTGCACCCTCTGAAGCGATGACCTAAGCTCTACGTTGGTCCCTTTCAGCAATAGCTGGAGCAGCTGGGACACAGGGCACCAAGTCCCTAGGCTGCACACAGCATGGGGACCCTGGGCCTGGCCCACAAAACCACTTTTTCCTCCTAAACCTCTGGGCCTTTGATGGTAGGGGCTGCTGCAAAGGTCTCTGATGTGCCCTGGAGACAATTTACCCATTGTCTTGGTAATTAACTTTTGGCTCCTCATTACTTATGCGAATTTCTGCAGCTGGCTTGAATTTCTCAGAAAATGGGATTTACTTTTCTATTGCATGGTCTGCTGCAAATTTTCCAAACTTTTATGTTCTGTTTCCCTTTTAAAACTGAATTCTTTTAACAGCATCCAAGTTACCTCTTTAATGCTTTGCTGCTTAGAAATTTCTTCCACCAGATACCCTAAATCATCTCTCTCAAGTTCAAAGTTACAAATCTCTAGGGCAGGGGCAAAATGCTGCCAGTCTCTTTGCTGAAACATAACAAGAGTCACCTTTGTTTTAGTTCCCAAAAAGTTCCTCATCTCTGTCTGAGACCATCTCAGCCTGGATTTCATTGTCCATATCATTATCAGCATTTTGTTCAAAGCTATTCAACAGGTCTCTAGGAAGTTCCAAACTTTCCCTCATTTTCCTGTCTCCTTCTGAGCCCTCCAAACTGTTCTATCTCCTGCCTGATACCCAGTTCCAAAGTCATTTCCACATTTTCGGGTATCTTTTCAGCAGTGCCCTACTGTACCGGCACCAATTTACAGTATTAGTTCGTTTTCATGCTGCTGATAAAGACATACCTTAGTGAGCCATTTATGAAAGAAAGAGGTTTAATGGACTTACAGTTCCGTGTGGCTAGGGAGGCCTCACAATCATGGCAGAAGGTGAAAAGCATGCCTCACTTGGCAGCAGACAAGAGAAGAGAGCTTGTACAGGGAAACACCCACTTTTAAAACCATCAGATCTCATGAGACCCACTCACCACCATGAGAACAGCATGGGAAAGACCCACCCCCATAATCCAACCACCTCTCACTAGGTCCCTCCCACAACACATCGGAATTGTGGGAGTTACAATTCAAGTTAAGATTTGGGTGGGGCCACAGCCAAATCTCATCACTGGATACTTTATAAAAGAAAGAGGTTTAATTAACTCACAGTTCCGCGTGGCTGGGGAGTCCTCACCAACATGGCAGAAGGTGAAGGAGGAGGAAAGGCACATCTTACATGGTGGCAGGGAAGAGGGCGTGTGCAGGGGAACTGCCATTTATGAAACTGTCAGATCTCATGAGACTTATTCACTTTCATGAGAACAGCATGAGAAAAACCTGCCCCATGATTCAATTATTTTACACTGGGTCCCTCCCATGACACATTGGGGATTATGGGAACTACAATTCAAAATGAGATTTCGATGGGAACACAGTCAAACCATATCAACAGAGAGGAAAATTCATAGTTCCTGCCCTCAAAATATATAATCTAGGAAGGATACAGCGGCTCACACCTATAATCCTGGCACTTTGGGAGGCTGAGACAGGAGGATCGCTTCAGGCTGGAGGTTTGAGACCAACCTGGGCAACATAGCAAAATCGTATTTCTACAAAAATATACAAAAATCAGCCAGGTGTGGTGGCACATGCTAGTAGTCCTACCTTCTCAGGAGACTGAGGCAGGAGGATCCCTTGAGCCTAGGAATTTGATGATACAGTGAGCTATGATTATACTGCTGCACTCCAGTCTGGGTGACGAGTGAAACACCATTGCTAAAAAAATTATATATATATATATATATATATATGTACACACACACACACACACACACACACATGCCTTATAGGTACATATCAAAAGTATATATTTTGATCATATATATGATTGAAATAAGTGTATCGCTTTCACACCCACCCCCATAATGTGTTAATTTTTATCTTTAATTTAAAAAAATATATATATATACCTAAAATATCAAATCTTACCTATGTTACCCTGTTGGATAACAGCAATTCTCTGCCTCATCCTCCCCTAACCTTCATTGTTAGTGCTTGGGACTAGTTAATTTCATCTCCTTTTGTTGTTTTTATTTTTTATTTTGCCTCCAGATTCTTAAATAAATACTATATACTACTATTTCTTAATTTATCAGGCTTAGATAGTGTCTGTTGATTTGCTGCTAAAGGGTTAAATTTAATCTCTTTTATACCACCACAGTCTCATTTGTTCTCCTCAACTTCTAATGTTAATATATAAGAAATTGTAGTTAAGTAAATAACTGTTTACATTTTATACTTACATAAATATTGAGCCAAGTGGTGTATTATGTGTAGGTTTTCTTTTTGTACAATGACAATTTTTATGTAATTAATAATTCGCGTTTTCCTTCAATTTGCTTAGCTTCCATGTTCTCACTCGCACTTTAAAATTCTCTTTCAAATACATCAAATACTGGAAATAACTTTTCAAATTCTCAGAAAAATTAGCAATCTCATTTATCATGGGGTGCTGTCACCCACAGCACTTTGTTCTTTTTGCTCCATTCTGCACATAGGGTCGTTGAATGGAGTGTTTTTTCAGACATCCCTGTACCATCCTCTGACAATTGGTTGGCTGGATTTTCTCTTTCTTGGTTTATAAACTTATTTTACTGAAGCACATTTTTCACTACTTCCTGAGAAAGAATTCCTTGTTTGTACAAATGCATCTTTATTCTGACCTCACACTTGATTGAAAGTTTGATTTGGCATAGAATTCTAGGATGAAAAAATACTTTTTCTCATTGTTTGGAAAGCACAGTTCTACTACCTTCTAGCTTCTGTGATAACATTGAAAATAAGACTCACATTCCTTTGTATTTTATATTTTTTGGTGTTATTGTTTTATAAATGAATTTTTCTTCTATCTCTCTAAGAATGTTAATTACAGGGTTTTTTTCTTAAAGTTTTCTCCTCTTACCTGCATTGTCTCTGTGTTCTCTGTGTTCCCTGCTCCTGCTTACTGTGTTTTCCATGTTCTGTTGAAGTCTTACTTATATTGTCTGTAGATCCTTGACGTTCTATTTATACTCCAGAAAGAAATGGAAGACTTTGGGGCTACAGATGGAATTATTGACTGGTGAACTTCCCAATGTGATCAAGCAGCAAGCCTTATTTATGTGTGGTAACTCAAGTATCAGAAAGAAAATGAGACCTTTCAATTATTTCTCAGAAAAAAAATATTCCAATACCCTGATTAGAAAGAGATAAAGGCAGGCAGCTGATACACGCCTTGACTCAGATATTCTCAGAACACAGTGATAGAAACTGGTCAAGGGTTTTATAATATAATATGCATATGTCTTTTAGATTTAGTGGTTTATTGCATTGTTTAGATATCTGTTTTCTTAGTTATCTTATGTCTGGTTGTTCTATCCATTGCTGAGAAGGGGATATTGAAGCTCCAACTATTATTGTAGAACTATTTCTCTCTTAAACTGTCAGTTTTTATTTTATATATTTTGATAGTCATTAGATGCATAAATGTTTATAATTGTTATATCTTCTTGATGTATTGAAACTTTTATTAATATATAATGTTCTTGTCTCGTGACCTTTTTTGATTTATAGTCTATTTTGTCTAATGTTAGTATAGCCATCCCTCCCCTCTTTTGATTACTATTCACGTCAGACATATTCTTTCATCTAGTCACCTTAAATGTATTTGTGCCTTTAGATCTAATGAGAGTCTCTTGTAGACAGACTATAGTGGGTCATGTTTTTAAATCCATTTTCCCAATCTCTGTCTTGATTGGAAAGTTTGATGCATTTACATTTATAGTAATTACAGTGAGTCTTTCATATCCATGTGTTCCACATACATGAATTCAACCAACTGTAAATAAAAAATATTCAGAAAAAAATCCAAAAATTTTCCAAAAAGCCAAACTAGAAGTTGCTGTTGGACCAAATACTATATTGAATCCATGCAATTGTATTAATATATAGGCATTGTATTAAGTACTATGAGTACTCCAGAGACTAAAATATACAGGAGGATGTGCATAGATTATAAGCAAATACTGTGCCATTTTATATAAGGGACTTGAGCATTTGAGGATTTTGATATCTGCCAAGGGTGCTGGAACTAACCTGTCACAGATAATGAGGAATGACTGAACTAAAAAGGATAAACAATTATGTCCTTTTGCTATCTCTTTTCTATATGCTTTATAACTTCTTTTGGTCCCTCATTTTCTGAATTATTGTCTTCTTTTATGTTTAGTTGATTTTTTGTAGTGAAACATATTAATTTCCTCCTCATTTCCTTTTGTATATATTCTGTAACTGTTTTCTTTGTGCTTACCAGGGGAATTACCTTTTAACATTGTACAGTTACAGTCTTCTAATTTGGATTTATACAAGCTTATCTTGAATAACATACAAAATCTCTGTATTTTTATAGCTCCAGCTCCTTACCTTCAATTCTAATGTCACAAAATTAAATCTTTATACATGTGTGTTCAAAAGCATACACTAATAATTATTAATGCGTTATCTCTTAAATTATATAGAAAAGAAGTTGGAGTTACAAATCATTGTTACAAATAACACTAGCTTTTTAAATTGCCCAGGTATTTTTACCTTAACTGAGATCTTTATTTCTTCATACGGCTTTAAGTTACAGTAAAATATCCTTTTATTTAAATTTTCAGAACTCCCTTTAGCTTATGTTGCATAGAAAATGTAGTGATAATAAACTTCCTCACTCAACTTTTGTTTATCTGGGAATGCCTTGATTTTTCCCTCACTTTTGAAGGACGATTTTGCATGATATAGAATTGTTGGTTGAAAAGTTTTTCTCTTTCAACTCTTCACTACACAAGCCCACTGCCTCCTGGCTTCAAAAATTTATCATGAGAAATCTGCTAATAATCTCACTGAGGTGCTCTTGTTTGTGTGTGATGACTTGTTTCTTTCTTGCTGCTTTCAAGATTCTCTCTGTCTTTGGTTTTTGACACTTTGCTTATAACATATGTTGGTGTGGATCTCTTTGAGTCCATCCTCCTTGGAGTTTCCTAAGATTTTAGATGTTTACATTCATGTCTTTCATCAAACCTGGGAAGGTTTTGATCATTATTTCTTCAAATAATATATTTTCCCATTTCTCTCTCTTTGTTCCTTGTGAGGCTCCCATAATGAGCATATTGGTCTGCTCAGGTGTCTTAAGCTCTATTAATTTTTCTTGAATCTTTTTGCTCCCTGCTCCTCAGTATAAATGATTTCAATAGTTCCATCTTCAGGTTCAATGATTTTGCCCTCCACTTGTTCATTTCTGCTTTGAATCCCTCTAGTGACTTTTTCATTTTAGTTATTGTACCTTTCTATTACAGAATATTTTTCTTTGTTGATATTTCCATTTTATTCATCCATCATTGTCATTACTTTCTCCAAATCTTCATTTAGCTCTTTGAACATCTTTTAGACAGTTTTTTAAAAAGATTGTCTAGTAGGTCTGCCCTTTGGTCTTTTTTAGGGAAAGTTTCTGTTTGTTTGATTTTTATTTGAATGAACCACATTTTTCCCATTTATTTGTATGCCTTGTGATTTTGTTTGTTGTTGGTAACCAAAACTCTGCACTAATAATGTGGTAACTCTAGTAATCAGATTCTTCCCTCTTCACCAGAGTGTGCTGGTTTTTGTTTTTCTTTTGCTTTAATTGTTGTAGGCTGTTTTTATATCAAAGATCAGCCTGAAGTGTAAACTTAAGGTCTTCTCAGGTCTTTTCTGAGCCTCTGCTTTTCTTTGTCCATGTACAGTGACTTTCTAATTTTCCCTATATACACACAGATGTTTTATAATGTCTTAATCTTTAAAGTCTGCTTCCCAAAAGGGGAACAGAGTTAAATGAAGAGATGGGGGTAAAATAGTGCCAGCCCTTTAAATCCTGTGGAACTTGCTTCAATCTGAGGGGGAGGGGCTTGCAACAATGGGGAAACTGGAAGTGCAGCACCTCTGTGATCAGAAGCAGCACTCAGTCATCAAAACATAGACTTATAGTATGTGAAGAACAGGGTCCTTATTGCTCACTCTGGATACCAAAGCTGTGTGTAAGATACTCCAAGAATGCATACACAGTTGCCCTGCCACAGGTCTGGAGGGTTGAAGATGGGTAGTTACTGTTGAGCTAAGACCTAAAATTGAGCAAAAGTAACTGTAATTTACTATCTGAGTCTTTCCTTGAAAGTTGTAAAGCTTCAATAGGCTCCAGATTTTCAAAAATAGTTACATCAGGTAGATTCTTCCAGTGAAATTATTACCTAGGTGGGGAGACAGATTCCTTTTGCTTCCTACTCCATTATCTTCTCAGAATCCTCTCTCTAAAATAATATGTATGCATTTATTTAATATGTATTTTTAGCCACATTTCAAAGCCTCTTGGAAAGGTACATTGTGTTCCTGAATCTTGAACCTCTTGTTTTCAATTCCTTCAAAGGAAATATCTTATCCAGAAGAAGCATATACAGTGAAGAGAAAGATTTGGTCATCTATCAGGTGTAAATGGAGTGGTGGAAAGGCTGGGTTATTCATTGCTTTGTATATAGCTTTGCAAATACTCTTTACTTTCAGCTCAGCCTAATGTTCAAAGTGCTGAGCTTCTCAGGCGGTTCTTCAAAACAAATTGGTTCATTTATGTTGATTTTCCCCTTCTTCTGTCACTAAAATTTTAAGTTCTTCCACTGTGCTAAGCTAGTTACCGCTCCACTATTTGCTTCCCATCTTTCAAAACTTGGTTGAAATAAATTTATCTTCCTTTTTCTTCTCTATTGTCCTTTTTCTTTGTGGGGCAATAATGTAATAATGCCATTTATTATTACATTTCCCTTTTATTGGGTTTTGTGGGAGAAGAAAAGATAAACACATGTGATCCCTTTACAACATTGAATTAGAAGTGAGTCCCTGGAATATGGATAATTAACAAGCATCTTAGATGATTCCATTATGTAATTGTTTGAGAAGATTTCTTTAGAGGAGAAATGGACATGTGGGGGAAGAATATTACCTCAGAAGGTAACATCTGAAGGGCAAGTACAACTTGGCCATGGAAAAAGTCCCGGGAGTAGATTGAGGAGAGGGAATAGTATGGTACAGGCCTGAAATATACAACTCCTCCGAGAAATTTCATGATGCTTAATGTGGTTGAAGCACAGATTGGGAGTGGTAGTGAGGAGGCTGTAATGATGGTGATGGTAACAGATGAGGGTAAAATGTAGGAGAGCTGTGGAAAGATTTTGCATAAATAAGAATGATTATTAGCTGCAGTATATAAATGGGTGATAGAATAAAGGAGAAGAAAGAAAAATACAAACGTGGAAGGAGGGAGATGAACTAAGAGCCATTTTCTGTGACCAAGGTATAAGATAATTATGTCAAAAAACAGGTGATAATGACGGTACGAAAAGGCAAAAGTAGATATGTTCTACAAATACTTTGGGGGAAAACTACAATTTAGTAAATAGGTATCTAAAGAGATGAAAAAGGAATGCTAAAGGTGACTACCAGGTTTTGATTTGGGGACAAATGAGTGCAGTGACACCATCCATTCTGAAGGAGAAACATTTTTGAGAGGAGTGGCAGACAAGTCACTGAGATTAAATTTAGACATTAATTTTGATAACCACAAGATATCTAGTAGAAATGTTGAATAGTATCTTTGGATTAGAAGTTCAGGAAAGAATTGGGGCTGGAGATAAAAGAGAGAGTGGTCATTAGTTTATATGTCATAGTTGAAGAGTAGAAATTTCTCAAGAGAGATTATAAAATCAGAGTAATAATAACTACTAGTTATTAACTATTTATTATGTGACATTCATAGTTGTGAGTATTTAATACCAACAACCACCTTATACAAAAACTCTTTTCTGCCTTAGTAAAGGGAAAACAAGGGCCTGAGGGATTAGGTTGCTTTCCATGTGTTCACTGAAAGCATGTGACAGAGCCAAGATTCAAACCTAGGTTTTTCCCAACTCTAGAACATATCCTCCTCCTACTTTGATCTTCTCAAAAATAAAAGCAGGTAGGTTGAAAATGGAGTTTATTTAAGGAGCAGGCAGATGAAAAGAATCCTTGAAAGTTTATGATACAGAGCAGTGATATTAGCAGAGAAAAATTGAAAGAATGTGGTGTTGTGGAATTTAATAGAAAAGAGAAATTCAAGGAGGGAACACTTAACAGTGGCAAACACCACAAGAAGGTTAAATAAGAGAACAGAAATTTATCTATTGTATTCATTCACAAAGTGGTCTTTGCTGACTTTGGGGAAAGTGAAGTCTGCAGAGTGCTGGAGACTGAAGCTGCTCACTGTGGGCTGTTAAATGAAAGAACAGTCAGGACATAGAAACAAGTAATTCAAGACTGTCAGGCTGTGAAGGCAGGGTGAGGTGAAAGGCACCTGTTAGATATAGTGTATGGTGGAGGGATAACCTGAGAAGACTGGAGTATGTCTAGATGCTAACTGGAAAGAGTAAATAACTGACAGTGAATTTACAAAGAAAAAGCATATTTGTAAGCTAATGTTGCTGAGGGAGGCCAGCATAGCTTTGGAATAGTTTTATCCTTAGACTTTTAAAATTGAAAATATTTTTATTTTTCTCATCATAAATATAATTCTGCCTTCTTTAGAAATTTTAAATAGCAAAATATATAAATTAGAATCTGAATGTACCCCTGTAATTTCAATCATACCCCAAGATGGCTGCTTTTGAAAATTGTTTAGTCTTTCAAACTTTAAAAAATGAATCTGTAAACAAATGTATACTAAGAAAATGGAATTATAATATAGACATTGTTATATAAGCAGATTTTTCAGCTTTAAACAGTATATCATGAATAGATATATTTCTATGTTAATAATGTAAAACAATTTCAAGCCCTTAATGTCTTCATAGTATTCCATTGTAGAATATATTTAATGAATTCCATTTTTAAATTTTATTTTTTAATTGAAATACGACAATTGTACATGTTTATGGGGTACATAGGGATGTTTTGATAAATAATGTGTAGTGATCAGATCAGGGTAATTAGCATATCCATCATCTCAAACATTTATCTTTTCTTTGTGTTGGGAACATTTCATATCCTCCTTTAGCTATCTGAAACTGTGTGACATACTGTTGTTAACTCTAGTCATCCTATAGTAGTACAGAACACTAGAACTTATTCTGCCTATCTAATTGCCAATTCCTTATTTATGAACATGTAGAAAGCTTTCAATTTTTTTCTATTAAAAAATCCAACAGAACAGCTATACTTATATTTTGATCTTTTTTTCTTCAAATATTTCTTGGATTATTTCCAAAAATATAATGGCTGGGCCAAAGAACGCATTGCTAAATAGCACTAATCCATACTCCTGTTGTCAGCGAATAGGTGGGGAGAATTTCTTCCACTGATTAGATGGGTAGAAATAAAAGGAGATTATAAATAAGAATCTGGCTTTCCAGAGTGGGCAAAGAAAGCTGAGCAACTATCCTGTTCATTTTCCCTCTTGCCTTCACCACTTTTACCACATTTTCTAATTTCTCTGTGAAGTAGGAGACAAATCTTCCTGCTCAGAGTAAGGATGAAGGAGTATGTATATATACTTAAGGAAAATAGAGATTACTTAACATAGTAACTATAAGGAGAGAAAGAGATCTGTGTGCTGAAACAGTAGAGGAAATCAGGTAGCCTTAAGGCCTTATTTCATGTTAAAGGCCATGAAACTGTAATCAGCAGTCTTCCTGATCTTGCGATCTTTTTCCCAGCAACGTTCAGCAACCTTGGCATAGGAACAGAGAATATAGCCAGAAGGATTCATCCACGTTGCTATTTTGTTAGATGGGTGCAACCAAGGAACAGGAAGCTAAGAACTGATGGTCTGTGGGGTCCAAGCTAGATAAGAAGGAAGAGAACATGGGTAGGCAGGAACTTACAGATTTAGAGAAATTAGGGCACTAACCAGCTGGCAGGTTTATAACCGTATCTAGTTGTACTCATATCTCTGGCAATGCTTTTAGTATACTTTTTATATATTATAATTTACACACTTGTCTATATTCATAAAGCTGTGCTTTTAGAGATATCCATGCCAAATTACAATTTAATCAGTTTACCAATTGACAAGTCAGTATTTCTGTTGCCCTTTTGTCTGCGTATGATTGCATTTCCAGCTATGAAACCACAACATGCAAATATACGGATCTGTGGAGGTGAGTAAAAAATATGGCCACTAAAGATTGTCAGATGTACACGAAAAATGCTTGTTACAGCCATGTCACTAAAGCTAACTCATTTTATTATAGATTTTTAAAGAATGGAGATTATATTGCTTTAATAAATTTATATGACCAGATTTTCATAAATTTCTTTGAGGGCCATTGGCAAGCATTATCTTTAAAAATTGCCATAACTGAAATTTTTTTCTGATTAAAGATAGTTTATAATGTTCCGTGTCTCATGAACTTTTTGAGTATCTATATGTAGCAAAATGATTTCAGGTTACACATCATTTCTCTTCAATGGAATACAATTCCTGTGAGCTATTTTTATCCAAAGTCTCCTTGATGACTTTTTTAAAAATTAAAAACTAATAGACCTCACAATATGATCCATTATGACATAACTAAGCTTGACTTCTTGCTCAAACTTAGAATCAGATCATACTTCTGTGAATTATCTGGCTGAGAACAGTATAATCAAGACAGTAAAATTAAAGGCCATTTTCGTTTTTCTCTTTAGAAATAAATGATTTCACAGCCATATTTTTCTTTCTCCATTTGTATTAAAACCTTATTACATAACTTGTATATTATTATTTTAGTAAATTCACTAAAATTATCTTTTTTTTTTTTTTTTTGAGATGGAGTCTTGTACCGTCGCCCAGGCTGGAGTGCAGTGGCGTGATCTCGGCTCACTGCAACCTCCGCCTCCCGGGTTCAAGTGATTCTCCTGCCTCAGCCTCTTGAGTAGCTGGGATTACAGGCACCTGCCACCATGCCTGGCTAATTTTTTTGTATTTTTAGTAGAGACAGGGTTTCACTATGTTGGCCAGGAGAGTCTCGAACTCCTGACCTCGTGATTCACCCACCTCATCCTCCCAAAGTGATGGGATTACAGGCGTGAGCCACTGTGCTTGGCCTCATCTTTTTTATTCTTGAAAAACAGTATCTAATAGATTTGGTGGGTTTGTCACTAGAGGCAATGTTCATAGAGAAGGGCATGAAATACAATTCTAAATACACTTAATATGTTTGTTTTCAAAATTTCTTCCTTTTTCTTTTAACAAATATCGATTTAGTACCTACATAGGGCCCAGAATTCTGAAAGGCACAGGGGGCACAATGGTGTCCATGATAGACCTGATCCCTTCCTTACTGTTTATAATCTGGGAGGTCCAAGTTAATTTTAGACGGGATCCTATGTTGTTAAATGAGATACTCTGTGTGATGGTTCATACTGCGTGTCAACTTGATTGGATTGAAGGATACAAAGTATTGGTCTTGGGTGTGTCTGTGAGGGTGTTGTCAAAGGAGATTAACATTTGAGTCAGTGGGCTGGGAGAGGCAGACCCATCCTTAATTGGGTGGGCACCATGTAATCAGCTGCCAGTGAACATAAAGCAGGCAGCAAAACGTGAAAAGGAGAGACGGGCCTAGTTTCCCATCCTACCCATTTCTCCCATGCTGGATGCTTCCTGCCCTGGAACGTTGGATCCCAGGTTCTTCAGTTTTGAGTCTCAGACTGGCTCTCCTTGCTCCTCAGGCTTGCAGACAACCTATTGTGGGACCTCATGATCATTTAAGTTAATACTTAATGTATGATCATTTAAGTTAATACTTAATAAACTCCATATATATATATTATATATATATATATGTAAGTTCTGTCGCTCTAGAGAACCCTGACTAATACACTTAATATACTCTGTGAGCTCTTGAATACAGCTGCTGGCTGAAGCACTGTGGGTTAAGAAGAAAAATCTATACCTAGAACACATATTATTTCTTTGCCTCTTCCTGGTGGAGGGTGTTTGTTTGTATCAAACAACTTGCCACTAAGTGGCTAGTTGTTCTGCCTCAAGATCCACCCATAAGCAGGGCTCAGTGTTGGTCTCCACTGTAAATATGCAGGATATTCAGCAGTGGCAGCAGCTAGATCAGCATCAGTCAGAGGGGCCCATGATTCTGGAGATGGGCATACCCCCTTCCCTGCCAAGGCTTCCTTATGCAAATACTGGAGTGACCAAAGTCAGAGGCTAGCTGGTATCTACTGGATGAGTCATCTGTAGTACAGAGCCTTCTTTTGGATCTCTGGTGGGAATTGACATGACACACAAGTATCAACAAATTTAGCTCCCACTCTTATGGATCCTCCTGCATGCTTCTTTCCCATACTCCTTGTCTTTAACATGAACAGTTAGCCCATACCCCCATGACATCTACCCTGTTGTGTAAATACCTCTACCTCAACTCGTATTATGGCCTAATAAGGGATTAGGTCTGGTTTACACATTGATCAGCTAGATTTGTTTATGCAGCCTGAAACTGTACTGTTGCCACACACCCAGAGCAATTCTTGTCTTTAACTTTTAAATCTCATTCTTTGTAGGACCCTAACCAAGTCATTTGCCATTGCGTATGAATCTGGGTATATATTTACCACAGACCATTTCCACTCCACACCAAGTTAGTGAACAGGTATATTGCTCAAAGCTCTGTCCATTGTGAAGACTTCCCCTCGTCTTTCTTGAGGAACTGCTCTGGGTTTGTGGCGACTGTACAGTTTCAGGCTGCATAAACAAATCTAGCTGATCAATGTGTAAACCAGACCTATTCCCTTATTAGGCCATAATATGAGTTGAGGTAGAGGTATTTATACAACAGGGGTAGATGTCATGGAGGTATCAGCTAACTGTTCATGTACCTTACCTGTGCCCCTCTGGACCTGTCTGGTACCAATTTCCATCATATATGTTGGGTTGCTGTTGCACCCACTCACCCTCTTGGTTTGGTATTTCTGACATTGAACCTGTAGGGTAACAGAATATGCAACCCTAAAATATGCCAGTTTGGCATAGGATTATTTTAAGTTAAAGGCACTTAAAAAGCAGCAGATGAAAGAAGGGTAATCTGAGCTTCTTTTTGTCTTTCTGAAAGCAGAAAATAAACCCCATGTGAAAGGTATTCTTTGTATACCAGAAGGAAGACATTCTTATCACCAGACATGAGTAGTTGAAGCCAAGAGAAATCTGTACAAATGAAGCTTGTTAAACTGGGTTAGCTTAAACTTATCTTTCTATACTTTCTCCTATCACAAACCCCTTTGTAATGTCATATGTTCACAATTTACTACACATTATCCAAACTGGTACATAAGCTTTTAGCCCTAACTGCTTGTTAGTGTTGTCATTTTTCTTGTGAGACTCCCAAGCACTGTAAAAATTACTAAATTAAATTTATATGCTTTTCTCCTGTTAACCTGTCTTTTGACAGTAATTTACAGGGCCTTGGCTGAAAAATTTGAGATGAGTAGAGAAAAAATATTTTTGCCTCCCCTAGAATGCTGTGGCTGAGACCATAGTCTCTACCAGGGGAAGAGAACATGCCAGTAGCTGTTTTAGGATGGTCAAGATTTCTCTGTTTTGGGCAACATGGCCTTGTTTTTGAACCCTAGGTGTCTGCACTATGATTTTTATATCAGGGTTCTCATATCAGGGCTTTTCAGGAACATCACACACTATTCTTATCTACCACAGTTATCTCTAGCATTAGTGGATCTGCTAGGTTCTGTGGACCAACCAATAGGGACACATAGTACAGCCTGAACCTGCTGCTAATCCCTCACTTAGTCTTGACCTCATTCAAAGTGGAAGCCTTCTGAGTCACCTGATAAATGGATTTGAGTAGTACCTTCAAGTATAGGTCCTAATTTCAAAAGCCAAAAAACCTAACAAGGTCTCTGCCTCTTAGCATAGACTAGTAGGAGGTGCAAGTTATAGTGACTTAACCTTTACTCTGGAGGAGGTATCACAGCATGCCTCACACTAACAGATTTCTCAAAACTTTATACATAACAGGACTGTAAATTCTGGTAAGGCTTTTCTCCTTCAATTTCTTCAGGGACCGTGTGTACTTGATACTCCTGATCATCAGATCTGGTTTCCATGATATTAAAATAGTAGGCCAGCATAGTGTTTTGTGGAATGTCAAGATGGCCAAGAGCTCTGATTCTATGGCAAGAACATGTACATATAGAAAGGGTCTCTTCTGTTGCCCAGGTTGGAGTCCTGTGGTGTGATCACAGCTCACTGCAGCCACGACTTCCCAGGCTCAGGTGATTCTCCTACCTCAGCCTCCTGAGTAGCTGGGACCACAGGTGTGCACCAACACCCCCAGCTAATTTTTTGTAGTTTTGGTAGAGACGGGGTCTCACCATGTTACCCAGGCTGGTCTCCAACTTCTGGGTTCAAGCATTCCACTCACCTCAGCCTCTGAAAGTGCTGAGATTATAGATGTGAGCCCCTGCACCTGGCCTGAATATATGTATTATTGTCTATCCCAGGTGAATGGGATTCTTTTGGAAGGGAATTGAAAAGCCACAAAACATGTGTCAGGGTACAAAATACTGCATCTGAACAGCAGTTACAAGTGAGACTACCTCATTAATAATTTTATTATAATGCACCATTATCTACCATCTTCTTTATGGTTTTTGGAGAGGTTATACCAGTGAACCCAACTGGGATAGCCTGGAGACATCTACTCCTATAAAATTTGTTTGTAGGTGGCATTAATTTCTAGTATTCTCCTCAAATGCAGTATCACTTCTCTGATTTACAATCTTGGCTGTGTGGAAGTGGGGAGCAGTTTCAAAATGTCTCTCAATTTATAGCTTAAGAAATCAATGTGAGGGTTCTATAAGCTTCTGGATACACCTGTAAAAGTTATGCACCCAGGGTAGGTCTGCAGACCCACTGGACTCAATGTGAGATGAAGCTGGGCTAGGACTCTATACTAACAGGAATGCCATGAGAAGATCTGGAGTTTTTTGTTTTTTTTTTTTCTTTTTTTTTTTTTTTATTATACTTTAAGTTTTAGGGTACATGTGCACATTGTGCAGGTTAGTTACATATGTATACATGTGCCATGCTGGTGCGCTGCACCCACTAACTCGTCATCTAGCATTAGGTATATCTCCCAATGCTATCCCTACCCCCCCCCACCCCAACACAGTCCCCAGAGTGTGATATTCCCCTTCCTGTGTCCATGTGATCTCATTGTTCAATTCCCACCTATGAGTGAGAATATGCGGTGTTTGGTTTTTTGTTCTTGCGATAGTTTACTGAGAATGATGATTTCCAATTTCATCCATGTCCCTACAAAGGACATGAACTCATCATTTTTTATGGCTGCATAGTATTCCATGGTGTATATGTGCCACATTTTCTTAATCCAGTCTATCATTGTTGGACATTTGGGTTGGTTCCAAGTCTTTGCTATTGTGAATAATGCCGCAATAAACATACGGGTGCATGTGTCTTTATAGCAGCATGATTTATAGTCATTTGGGTATATACCCAGTAATGGGATGGCTGGGTCAAATGGTATTTCTAGTTCTAGATCCCTGAGGAATCGCCACACTGACTTCCACAATGGTTGAACTAGTTTACAGTCCCACCAACAGTGTAAAAGTCTTCCTATTTCTCCACATCCTCTCCAGCACCTGTTGTTTCCTGACTTTTTAATGATCGCCATTCTAACTGGCGTGAGATGGTATCTCATTGTGGTTTTGATTTGCATTTCTCTGATGGCCAGTGATGATGAGCATTTTTTCATGTGTTTTTTGGCTGCATAAATGTCTTCTTTTGAGAAGTGTCTGTTCATGTCCTTCGCCCACTTGTTGATGGGGTTGTTTGTTTTTTTCTTGTAAATTTGTTTGAGTTCATTGTAGATTCTGGATATTAGCCCTTTGCCAGATGAGCAGGTTGCGAAAATTTTCTCCCATTTTGTAGGTTGCCTGTTCACTCTGATGGTAGTTTCTTTTGCTGTGCAGAAGCTCTTTAGTTTAATTAGATCCCATTTGTCAATTTTGGCTTTTGTTGCCATTGCTTTTGGTGTTTTGGACATGAAGTCCTTGCCCACGCCTATGTCCTGAATGGATCTGGAGTTTTAATACCAGTATTAGCTCAGACTCTGTATCTAATAGCCCTCAAAAGATACTGATATTTCCCTTTTTACCAATGTATGTTTGTTCTAGCAAATGCCCACAGTCCCTATTTAGAAGGATGGTGGTACAGGCACTATACATGCTTGCAATTACATTCTAGGCTTCTTCCTTAACAGTACCTGGTTTCCCATCCAGTCAATGGGCTCTGGGTTTGAGAACTGGCTTAATGTGATTTTTCCATTATAGCCACTGTCAGCCTTCTTCTCACCCTTTCTTGGTGTTTTCAGGACACCTAAGTCAAGCCACACTCTTGTTGATGCTCATTTCTCTCCACTCTAGAAACATGATGGTTTGTTACCCACTGCTGTGGATCTCTTGCAGGTTTCTAAAAGTCTTTTAGTTGCCATTTTGGCCTTGCTGCCTATTATGGTAATTGTGTACAACTTACCTCTACTGATTAAATACCATCAGTTGGCCTCTGCCATTCCAGCACCCTTTCATATGGACATTAGGGAAGCTCCTTTCATAACAGAATCTCCTACTGTCAACTAGCCAGTTACCACTGAGCTTCTCAACCAATCTGGTGCCTATTTACCAGTGAATTGTTTATCACTTTACTGAAGGTAGTGTCTTCTCAGCCTGGCAGTGGATTGCAGTCACTTGACAGGTCATTGAATTTATGTAGTAAACCCAATCTTATATGCCCAGCTCTCTCAGCATTTTAGGCTCTTTCTTAATACTATGTCAAGAAGTTCTAGCAATTCTTGTAGATTTGCTCATCTCCTGTAGGCTATCATGATTTTAACCTTCAAGGAGTCTTCCAGCATTATATTAGGACTAACTCCAATAACATTTGTTATATTTTTAGATCAAAATAGTGTTGCTATGTCAATAAGCTATCCCATCCAGTCCTGTATTCCACCTTCCCTGCCCCAGACCCCTCAAGATTCTCCTCAGGCACTTTTGGCTGGTTCTGCCCTTACATGTTATGTAGGTACTATAGCTATCTCTTGGTAAGTAATTGCTTTCATTGAGTATACAAAATCCTAAATCCTAATACAAAAATCCTAATACAAAAATCCTAAATCCTAAATGCTTCAAAGTCCAAAACTATTTGAGCACCTACCTGACACTCAAAAGAAATGCTCATTGGAGTATTTTGGATTTCAGATTTTCAGATTAGAGATGCTCAACCATTGTTATCTGCACATATTCAAAAATCTGCAAAAAAGCTGAAATACAAAACACTTCTGGTCCCAAGCATTTTGGATAAGGGATGTTCAATCTGTATTTGCGACATTGCTTGAACAATGTCAAGGCATGACTGTTCTTATTGCTCTAAAAGTAAAGATAAAAGATGGGGATAGATTTTAAGAAGGTGATCTTGATTTAGGTGAAAACTTCGCAAAATCTCTAGGCAATGAGCAACAGCTCTCTTTTATCAAGAGAAACAGGGACCACTTTTACCAGTACAGAGGGTTTGGGGAAACCTGGAGTTCCCATGTCCTGCAATTAGATGTCTCCAACTAGAGTCTTAGGGTCTCAGTCTTTTCTTATTAGGGTCCTAACTTTACACAGAAATTATCCAGGCTGTGATACCAGCATGTTTTTAAATTTTGGAACTCTCAATCAAATCTGGTTCCTCTTCATCTCAGCAGAACCTTCCCTCCAGCTATAGTGGATGAGGGCCTCTTTAAACACTGCCACAATAACTGTTAAGTTTTTATACTGTTACCCCAGTTTTTAGTTGGCTGATCTGTGTCTGTTATTTTCTTCCATCAGTAATAACCAACTAATTCCATATTGCCAGGGAGCAGAACCTAGAGCTACTGCATAAATCAGTGTACCCCCATCCCTTTATAATCTATCCCACACAGCCACAGGTGAGAATCTTAGAGCTTATGATGCTATAGAATGGCAAGATGTCTCACAATATCATTTATTACTAGCAATGATTTGGCTTGCAGTTAATCCAATTCCAGAACGGCTATCTAGGGATGAATTTCTAGAACCAACTCTCTTAGGTTGGGTTCCCCCAGAGACAGAACCTGAGCCAAGGAGTTGAGTGAAAGTAGTTTATATGGGAACCCACCACTAGGGGAATAGAAAAGTGAGACAAGGTAGGAAAGAAAGCCAGTCAGAGTGATATTAACCATTGATATGGTTAGGCTTTGTGTCCTCACCCAAATCTCATCTTGAATTTTAATCCTCATAATCCCCACGTGTCAAGGGAGAGAGCAAGTGGAGGTAGTTGAATAATAGGAGCGGTTTCCCCCATGCTGTTCTTGTGATAGTGAGAGTGAGTACTCACGAGATCTGATGGTTTTATAAGGGGCTCTTCCCTGCTTTGCTCAGCACTTCTCCTTCCTGCCACCTTGTTAAGAAGGTGTCTTGCTTCCCCTTCCCTTTCTGCCATGATTGTAAATTTCCTGAGGCCTTCCCAGCCATGCTGAACTGTGAATAAATTAAACCTCTTTCCTTTACAAATTACCCAGTCTCAGGCAGTTCTTTATAGCAGTATGAAAATGGACTAATACAAGCATGTTGTCACTGTGGGCAAGTGAGACTCAATTACATTGCAGTTTGTAGGGTCCAGTGTAGAACATGCCTCAAAGTTATCTCACCCTAAGGGTGAGAAGCATGGGGTATTTATGCACTAATTGATGTAGTCATTGGATAAGGGCTATTGTTTGATTAAGAACAACTCCCCAGAATTGTCCATTGCCTACCTATTTCACAGGCAGGCTGAGCATGTTCTTGCAACCAGATAAAGTCATCAGGCAGAGAATCCTAGTTGCTTGCAGTGAGATTTTATTGACTTATGTGGGAATAGCAATGGCAGTGGGATATGCATAGGATTCTGGTGTGTGCTCCACATGCATGTGTCAGTGAAGCAAGAATTCTGAGGAGTTAAGAGAGAAATGTCTTCCAAAACACAGATATGTGGATTATCTTTGAATAATGAATGGGATATTCATTTATCTCATTGTTTACAAAAGTTAAATAGGACAGTCCTGATGCAGAGGCAAATAAATTTATAGGTTTGATGTCAGGTTTTCAGCTGATGTTTCTGATTTCTTTTTGAAATAGTGTTCTCAGGACATGAGAAGTTAGAATTTCTAAGATTTTAGGAAATTGGACTATTTTTTAAAGTTGCTACAAAGAAGATAAAGAGCTGCCAAAGTAATAGAAAAAAACCAAATTGCTGGGCAATTTTATAGGACAACTTGAGAGTAGTCACCACAGTTGTAGTTTTACTCTAGCAGCATTAATGCATCAGGCTGGTACAGGCTTTGAAAACAGATATTCTGTGTTGGCTCTTTTATGGATATGTGGATAAAAGGACAAAAACAAAGCTGTTGACAATATATAGAGAAGGATTGAAGGAAGGGATTATGTAATCTAAGGTAATCAGAAAATGAAAATGAAAAGAAGACTGCTGAAGCCTGGTAGAAAGAAAATGAAAGGTTCCAGTGCAGCCACGGATCTAGTATATTGGGCACACTTAAGTAAGAGAGCCCCTACTGTGACACAGATGACAGATCAAAATTATATTCTCTTGATTCTCATGAAAGGAATACGGGCAGGAACAAATATAAAAAGTTCAAAACCAGGAAACTTAAAACATACTCTTTAGGGAATGACTAAAAATTACTTAAGGATTCTGGATGGCACCGGAGACAATATAAATCAAAATGAACAGTAAATCTCACATACAGTGTTTGCAAATGCTGACATCAAATTGCTTTTCTTTAAATGTATATATTACATGCACTATAGATTGAATGTGCCCCATTCAAAACTCAGGTGTTGCCAATGAGATGGCATTTAAGAGGTTATTAGGCCATGAGGGTTGCTCCCTTATTAGGAAGATTAAGGCCCTTTTAAAAGCGGCTTCAGGCAGTGTTTGGTTAGCATGCTATCTTGCTCTTCTGCCAAGTGAGGATCAACAAGATGGCCCTCAGCTGACGCTGGTGCCTTGGTCTTGGACTTCCAGTTCTAGAACTGTGAGAAATAAATTTCTGTTCTTTATAAAGTACCCAGTCTCAGGTATTCTGCTGTTGTACCATAAAACAGACTAAGACTATGTATAGGTAAGTTTTTCAAGAATTGACTACATCCATTAGTGATATGAGTGTGGGTAGAATACAAAGGTGAGGTTTTTATTATGTACATGTCGTACATGAATTACTTAGGCAGTACCTCGGCTCAAAGAGCCTGAGGTGTAACTGGAAGGTATAAATAGAATCTGAGACAATGGATATAGAAACAAAAGTATCCTGAAATTAGTAATTCAGCAAATCCTGAGATACAGCCAAAGACATTATCTTAAATAAATTACCATATAGTATCTGAGTGTTACGTTGGAGAGACAGTCGAGAATCAGAGGATTCAACAGTGAAATTTAAAGGCAAGTCAATGTGTTAAGCCAGCAAGGCCACATGCAGGCTGTAGGAGGGTGCTCAGAGGAGAACATCAAAAATCTTGGATGAAGGCTGATAAAGAAGTGGAACATACCCAGGAAGTGAAAGCAACGAAGTTGTATTACTGGGTAGACATATGTCAAGGACCTAGTCAAGGTGTTCCCAGAGACCTTGATAGTGAAACCAAGATCTGCTTCAGCTTGGAGACTTCATATATAGTTCTTGCTGGAGTAGGGGTTTGCCAAAGTCATAGGAGATTCATTTCATACTGATGAGAGCAGTGGATTGAGTTTACATGAAAGGATGTGGGTATGGGAAGAACTGAGAACAGATTTTTACAAGTGGGTGTAATGAGTGAACATGAATATTTCTAAGCCTAATATGTGCCAGTAATAACTGAACTTCATACATTCCAGGTAAGAAGGGGAAACAAAGAGGAGAAGCAGAGGCTTAGTTTGGGAAATTTCAGTGGGAAGCTCTAAATCCACAACAAAGGAAATATTAAATTCTAGTAATCTCCAAAACCAATTTCCAGGTCAATGTCAGGCCCAGGAAAATAACCTCTTGGCAGTGTTGAGGAATCAACTGGAAATCAAAGAGAAAAGAATCTTACCACTAAAATATACTGAAAGATGCAGTCTGGGACTGGAGATCAAGTTATAAATGAGTATGTATGAATAAACAAAGTGATCAGAGGTTTTAATAGGGAAGATTCCGTGAACTGAAGACTTGAAAGCTGAGTTTCTTAGCCTAGACTCTATGGACCCCCAAGATGCCTGTGGAGGGAACTTAGATGGTCAAAGAATTTGCATGAGAAATAAGTTACACCCTAATTTCCACTATCTCTAACTGGAACTTATAATTTCCTTCAATTATGAGTATTGGCAACAGCAATAGTAATAATAGCAGTACCCATGACGAATAGAAGTCATGGATATTTCCATATGACACTGAAGTTGCTGCAGATCTCAAAATGTCCTTTATACTCATCCATATTTTGAAATTACAGTACTTATTTTATAAGGTTTGGCTGTGTGACCCCACCCAAATCTCAACTTGATTTGTAATAGTCCCCATATGTCAAGGGTAGGGCCAGGTGGAGATACTTGAATCATGAGGTGGTTTCCCCCACACTGTTCTCGTGGTAGTGAATAAGTTTCATGAGATCTGATGGTTTTATAAAGGAGAGTTCCCCTGAAATTACTGGCTTGCCTCCCACCATGTAAGGAGTCCCTTTGCTCTTCCTTCCTTCATCTTCTGCCATGTTTGTGAGGCCTCCCCAGCCATGTGGAACTGTAAGTCCATGAAACCTCTTTCCTTTATAAATTACCCAGTCTGGGGTATGTCTTTATTAGCAGCATGAGAACAGACTAATACATTCTTTGACCCACCACTAGATCTTGTTATTTAATATACTAATATAGGAGTACATATATGACTGAATCAAAATGTCGTTTTTGAAAAAAATGATAATAGTTTAATATATTTGACTTCCCTTGTTATCTTATGCACATTATTTTATGCATTTAAAAATAATTATTTTGAGAAGGGATCCAGAGGCTTCACAGATTTCCTGTGTTAGTTATCTAGGGCTGTCCTAACAAAGTATTATAAACTGGATGGCTTAAGGAAGGGAAATTCATTGTCCCATAGTTCTGGGGACTAGAAGTCTGAGATTAAGGTGTTGGCAGGGTTGGTTTCTTCTGAGGGCTTTTAGGGAGAATCTGTTCCATGCCTCTTTCCCCGTTTATACTGTTCTGCTGGCAATCTTTAGCATTCCTTGGCTTGCAGGTACATCACTCAGATCTCCGCCTTCATGTTCATTTGACATTCAAATTTCCTCCTTTTAAATAAGAATGCTAGTTATACTGGATTAGGGCACACCCTAATGACCTTGTCTTAACTTGCTTACCTCTGTGAAGAGTTTATTTCCACATAAGATCACGTTCTAATGTAAGGGGGTGGTGGTGTTAGGACTTCAACTTATCTTTTATTGGAAATACATTTCAGCCCATAACACTTCCAAATGGGTCCATGGCACATGAAAAGGTTAAGAGCCTTGCTTTAAGGCCCCATGGACACAAAGGAGCCTGGTAATACTTCAGGTTTAGCTGGGTTGGCTAATCCAAGAGAGACTATGCCCTGAAAGCTACCTGAGCCTGCTTAGGATTGGTTCCCTGGTATTTCCTCCAGCAGGCAAATGACTTGTGTACTTTAAAATGGCTGACTCCCTAGTGAACCCTGAGGGAGATGACTGATACCACCACAGAAGACAAAGGGAAAAGACTGTAAATTCCAGGGGCCCAGTGTCAGGAGGGGAAATCCCTGCTAATCTCCTCAGGTGGTGGCAGCTGAGTAAATTACCTAGCAAGCAGCTGTAAAGCATTACATTGCAATTATCCCCCAAGAGTTCTGAGGACTTGTAAGCAGCTGAAGATAAAAGGCAATACTGCTTCAGGACTTGAGAACTGTGAGAGGAAGAGCTGCTTCCTTTGCAGTTTTACAGTGTTTGAGGAAATGAACCTCATGGGACAGGTTTCTTTCAGAAAGCCTTAAAGTGCAAATAACCCCGTAGTTATGCCAGGGTCTTGTATCTGAATATACTGCCTACATGCATAAGACATGCAAAGGAATTACACAGGGAAAACAACATAATGAATCTTATGGAATAAATATGGCATGCACTTCTGGAACGAAATCTGCCAAGAGTTCCCACAGTAAATATTATGATTACCTGTTTATATCCTGACAGCAAAATATAAAAATTGCAATCATTTATTAAGTGCCAGACACTATATAGTACTTTTATTGGAGGTCATTTCATTTAATCCCTACAACAATCATAAAAGGAAGGTACCATAACCCCGTTTTACAAATGAGGAAAATGAGGATCAGAAAATATAAATAGGTAGGATACTTTTATCACTGTTAGTAACTGATGGAGTGACATATTTAATACCCATTTTTAAAATTTTGATTCCTTTCCAATGTACGCAAATAGATCTTGTGATTATTAAAATCTTTTTCAATAATAGAATCAATGTACTTTTTAAAATTTCTGCAGACCCAGACACTCAAAAACTTTTTAAAAGTGTTGCTATTTATATTAAAGGCTCGAAATTAACAAAGAGCCATTTACCTCAGGCAATAAGTTGGGAAAGAAAAAATCTAACTGGATCTAATTACTGCATGTGCTTGCTACAGATCAAGATGTAGTTATATAAGTAAAATATCTGTAGTTACATAATTAAAATATTTGTAGTGTCATATGCCTCCCATTTGTTGATGTAAAATCAATTAAGAGATTGTACAAATGAAGCATGCACTATGTAATCTAGCAACAATATATACTTGGACTACAGCTTTCAGTTCAAAACAAATTTTCCTATCTTATATGTACAAACCAGGTGTTTACTAAGCATCCTCCCTTTCTTTGCAGGGAGTCATTCTCTAATCACAAAGATAAAATACAAAGTTACTGTCTCATTCATTTTCCCTCCACAATTTTCACCTCTCCTGACCATCTTCTCTAGATGTCACTGGAGGAAGGCAGTGTGCTTGTAAAGAATTAAAACCCGCGCTTTGAGAGGAAAATAAGCTCTGATCTGTAACATTTGCTCATTTTTGTAGTGTCAATACTCTAACAATGGCCAATTTCAAGCTATTGACATTGACAGCAGGAGCTTCACCATCTTGAACAAACACCCTCATTTTAAGTTCCCCTTGATTAAAAACTGCCTAAATGCAATCCAAAAAACATCAGCCTAATGGTTAATGTCAGCATGACCATAAACCACAAATAACACCTCCAACCAGAAACATTCCAACCCTGCGATAAATACCCCTCCAACCAAAGTCATGGCAGCCCCGAGATAACCTCCCCTCCAACCAGAGACATTCCAACCCCACAATACAATAAAATGCTCCTCCACACAGAAACATCCTGAACCTGTGATAAGCTCTTCTTCCCTAAACCTTTAAATACCCTTAGTCTGTAAGAGAGAATGCTCCTGATCAAAATTGGCCAGAAGCTCCTCTCAGGTTTATTCTCCAAAGTAAGCCTGTCTTTGACTGTTGAGCTGCTTTTTGTGTTTGTTTCTTCTTTCTTCATCTCTTGCATTTGGTGCCAAAACCCAGGACAGGTGTGGAAGGTAGAGGATCTCTTGCAACCCAGGAAGTGGTGGGCAGTGGCAGCTCATCCCAGGCTAACTCCTGGATCCTGAGTCTCTGGCCACCCGCCCCATCTTTTCTGTCATTTCACTTTTTGAGTGATTTGCATGAATCACTAATCTGAAGCGAACTGTGAGGCTTGAGCTGGGGCTACTCTGCAGTGGGCTCTCAAAACCCTCAGGTCTCAGGAATCCACCAGCAACCACCCACAATAGGTATTTCACTCTCTATCTCTTGTTCCCTCTTCCTCCCTCCTCTCTCTCTTTCTCTCTCTTCCTTGCATAGCTCCAGTTCGGGAGGCCCTTTGCTGATTCCAACAAGAACATCCAACACTGGACCCTAATCCAGCATGCTGGTAAGATTTGCTTTCCCCTGGCTTTCTAATGGTACCTGAGAAAGTCTGGTCTGCTGTACTGATCCTCGGAGGACCAGTGGGGCTAAGCTAGAAATCCTGGGGATACCCAGTTTCTTCTCAGCTTAACCATCCTCTTCAGAAAGAAGATTCTGGGTCTTCTTTCTGGGGATGCCTAGAACAAAACCAGATACCCTTGGCTGCCTCTTACCCATCCACATGGGTGCCAAACAATTCCACATTCCCACATATTCTCCACTGGGCTGTCTTCTTTACAACCTCACCAAACTTGGCTTTTGGGGGAGCCCAAAGTCAAAGCATTTAGTTTTTTATTGCAACACAGCCTGGCCCTAATACAAATTAGATAATGACAGCTGATGGCTCAAAACTGGCACCTTTGACTTTCAAATTCTCAAGGACCTTGCCAACTTTATAACCAAGAATGGCAAATGGCAAGAAGTTCCCTATATTCAGGCTTTCTTCTACCTTAAATGCCAACCCTCCCTATGTCAAGTTTGTACCCCTCATGAAATCCTTCTTCTTAATGGAAACCCTCCCTGGATCTCTCCTTCCTCTGAAACCTGTTTTGACCTTGAAGGTGAACCCCCTCCGTATTCTCAAACCCCTGTATCTGCTCCTCACCCATCCAAACCCTCTGCCCCATTGGCCACTCCTGCCCCCAAGCCTTTAACCCTAAACCCCACCCCTCCTCCTTCACCCATTACCCATTTAAAAACTACTCCAGCCAGTCAGACCACGTCTGCCATTCTCCCTCTGGGAAGTAGCTGGGGTTGAAGGTGTTGCTCACATTCATGTCTCTTTCTCTATGTCTGATTTGTCACAGAACAAACAGCGTCTGGGATCTTTCTTTGAGAATCCCTCTCATTATCACAGAGAATTCCTCCACATAACCCAATCTGTTAATTTAACTTGGCATGATACTTATATAATTCTAACCTCCACCCTCACTCCTGATGAAAAATAACGCATCTGGGGTTCAGCTGAAACACATGCAGATGAATTCCACAATCAAGCCCCTATACAAAATTCAGTGGCCAATGATGCAGTCCCCCATAGAGACTCAGTTTGGATTTACCAACAGGGAGACAGTAGCATCAGGTGAAGAGACCACGTGATTACCTGTCTCCTTGCGGGCATGGACAAAAATGTCCATAAGGCAGCTAATTATGAAAGAGAAATTACATAAAAGCCCCAGGAAAATCCTGCCCTTTTCTTATCATGCCTCACTGAAGCTATGCTAAAATATACCAATTTGGACCCAGAATCTAGTGAAGGTCAAACTTTTGTTCACCTCTAATTTCTCAATGTGACCCAGACATCCAGAAAAAAATTATAAAAATTAGAGGAGGGTCTCCAGACATCTTGGCAGGAACTCCTAAATGTAGCGTTCTGTGTCTTTAACAACAAAGATGAACAAAAGATTCAAAAAGACAAATATCTCCATTTAAAATACCAGATGCTTGCCTCTGCTGTCCAAAAGTCAGTTACACAAAAGCCTCTCAATAACCCAAAAGGAAACTCCTCTACCTCTCCGGGAGTCTGTTTCCAATGTGGCAACCCTGGACACTGGGCAAAGGCTTGTCTTAACCCCTGGGCCCCCACCAAACCATGCCCAACTTGTGGTCTTTGGGGACACTGGAAAATAGACTGCCCCCAATGGGGACACCTTCCCTGTTTGGGTGCTGCTCATAATGAAGGCCCCTGACCATCACAGGAGGAAATCTCTTCACTGCTGTCACTGACAATGGAAGACTGAGGGTGCCTGGGATCCTTTGCCCACATATCTAGTGATGGAACCCAGGGTAATTGGGACGGTATCCAGTAAGATTATTTCCTTTCTTTTGGATACTGGGGTGAGCCTACTGGTATTAACTGAATATCAGGGCCTATTAGAACATTCATCTGTTTCTGTCATTAGTATGAAAGGCACACAAGAAACCCCGTATTTATTATGTTGAGAACAGAGCCTCTCCTCAGACACTCCACATCAAACAGGCTTAAATTCCAAATTCCTCATCCATATAAATCCCGTAGTATGGAACACCGACTCCCCCATAATAGCTACCTGCCATTCAGATTCAAATTTCACTGAAGGATCCTAAGTACTATATAGTGGTCCCATGATTTCCCCTCAACTCTAATGGATTATGGAGACTCAAGCCCATCTCCCAACTTCCAGCTGCCAATATTTTAATCCCCACCCATTCTCCCCACAATACTCCTATTCTCCCAATTAAAAAATCAGATGGCTCCTATAGACTGGTTCAGAATTTACGACAAATCAACTCTGCTATGGTTCCTGTTTATCCTGTTGTCCAAAACCCCTACATCCTCCTATCATGAATTCTTTCCAACACTAGCTGTTTCTCTGTATTAGACCTCAAAGGTGCCTTTTTTACTATCTCTCTACATCCCTCCTCTCAAAACCTTTTGGGTTCACTTGGACCAACCCTGGCACAAGCTATTCCCAACAACTTACCTGGACTGTCCTCCCCGAGGGGTTCAGAGACAGCCCTCAATATTTTGGTCATGCACTTCAGTTGGACCTTTTCCATCTACCTCTACAACCTAGCATTTTGCTTCAATATGTGAATGACTGACTGCTTTGCAGCCCCACTCTAAAACATTGTATTCAACATACCACCAGGCTTTTAAAATTTTTCACTGAATGTGGGTGCCAGTTATCCAAAAAAAAAAAAAAAAAAAAAAAAGCCCAATTAACCTCCAAAAGCTTTATACCTAGGATTAATCATAACTCGAAATACTCAAGAAATTCCACTTGCATGAAAGCAAGGCATTCAACAAATCCCAATTCCTAAAACAAAAAGGGACTTACTTTCTTTCCTTGGATAAGTGGGATATTTCTGATTATGGATAGCAAATTTTTCTATTATCAGTAAACTCCTTTATAAACACACACAAGGAAATATTGACCAACCACTCAATCCCACCCCAGATGTTTATCATGCTTTCTCTCACCGAAAACATGCTTTATTACAGGCCCCCACTTTAGGCCTTCCAAATCCCCTAAGACCTTTTTATGTATATTTACACACTTCTTATAATCAGGCCCTTGGACTACTAGCCTAACCCATGGGAGATTCCCTCCAACCAGTGGCATGTTTTTCAAACCAACTAGATCCCATTTACAAAACCTGGCCCCTTTGCTTAAAAGTTTTGGCCACAACCTCTCTAATTATCCCTGAGGCACAAAAACTCACATTCTATGAACCCCTTCAGGTATTTTCCTCTCACAGTCTACAAGATATGCTCAGCCATAAGGCACTCACCTCCACCTCATCCTCTTGCACGCAAGCCCTGCATTCAACTCTCCTTCAACACTCTATCTCTCCTCATAGATACTCCCATCATAATCCCATCACTCTTTTACCTTCAACACCAATTTTGAACTCCGACCAACACTCACACTGATCTCATTGAAAGTTCTCTCACCATGTTTCACCACCTTACTTCCACTCACATAAAGGGAGCCCCAGATTGGTTTATAGATGGCAGCGCATCAAAAAAAACCCTCCTTTACAAGCAGGATATGCTGCCATTGAGGGATATCATGATGATACCCACTGTCTCCCACCTAGAAGAGTTGTAGAGGCTGCCCCCTTGCCTTGCCTTTGGGCATGTCCTCCCAACAAGCAGAATTAGTTGTTACAAACAAAACCAAGTTGCTGGGCAATTTTACAGGACATACTGAGAGTAGTCACCACAGATGTAGTTTTACTCTGGCAGCATTAACGCATCAGCCTGGTACAGGCTTTGAAAACAGATATTCTGTGTTGGCTCTTTTATGGATGGGTGGATAAAAGGACACAAAGATGCTGACAACATATAGAGAAGGGTTGAAGGAATGGGTTATGTAATCTAAGGTAATCAGAAAATGAAAATGAAAGATAATTTTACACAGAATTTGAAAAAAACTATTCTAAATTCACATGGAATCAAAAAAGCCCAAATAGTCAAAACAATCCTAAGCAAAAAGAACAAAGCTAGAGGCATCACATTACCTGACTTCAAACAATACTTTAAGACTACAGTAACCAAATGGCATGGTAATGGTACAAACACAGGCACATAGACCAATGGAACAGAAGAGGGAATCCAGAAATAAAGTTGCACACCTACAACCATCTGATCTTTGACAAAGCTGACAAAAGCGATAGGCAAAGAACTCCCCTTATTCAATAAATGGTGCTGGGATAGCTGGCTAGCCATATGCAGAAAATTGAAACTGGACCCATTCTTTATACCTTATAAAAAATCAACTCAAGATGGATTAAAGACTTGTAAAACCTATAGCTATAAAAACTTTGAAAGATAACCTAGGAAATGCCATTCTGGACATAGGACCTGGCATAGATTTCATGACAAAGATACCAAAAGCAATTGCAATAAAAACAAAAATTAACAAATAGGACCTAATTAAACTAAAGAGCTTCTGCACAGCACAAGACACTATCAACAGAGTAAACAGACAATCTACTGAATGGGAGAAAATATTTGCAAACTATCATCCAACAAAGGTTTAATATCCAGAATCTATAAGGAACTTAAGCAAAAAACAACCTCATTAAAATCTGGGCAAGTGACATGAACAAACATACTTCTCAAAAGAAGATGTACAACCAATGAACATATGAAAAAATACTCAGCATCGCTAATAATCAAAGGCCAAAACCACAGTGAGATACAATCTAACACCACACACCAGTCAGAATAGCTATTATTAAAAATTCAAAAAATAACAGATGTTTGCAAGGCTACAGAGAAAAAGGAATGCTTATACACTGTTGGTGAAAATGTAAATTACTTCAGCCACTGGAAAGCAGTTTGGAGATTTCTCAAAGAACTTAAAACTACCATTCAACCAATCGATCCCATTACTGGGTATATTCCCAAAGGAAAAAATATTATTCTACTGAAAAGACAAACGCACTTGTATATTTCTTGCAGCACTATCCACAAAAGCAAAGACATGGAATCAACCTGGGTGCCCATCAGTGGTGGGTTGGATAAAGAAATTCTGGTGTATATATCCCATGGAATACTATGCAGCCATAAAAAAGTCATATCCTTTGCAATAACATGGATCCAACTGGAGGCCATAATCCTAAGCAAATTAATGCAGGAACAGAAAACCAAATACTACATGGTCTCCCTTATAAGTGGGAGCTAAACTTTGAGTATACATAGACATAAAGATGCAAACAATAGACCCTGCAGACTATGAGAACAGGGAGGGAGAAAGGGGGGAATGGGTTGAAAAATTACCTATTGGGTACTATGCTGACTACCTGGGTAATGGGTTCCATAGCTCAAACCTCAGCATTATGCAATATACCCATGTAACATACTCACACATGTACCTCCTGTATCTAAAATAAAAGTAGAAATTATAAAAAAATTCAAAAACAAAAAGAATCAACTTTTAATTTAGTTCAAAATACTTTGTAATTTTATTTTTTATTTCTTGAATATAAGATGGGTTATTTACTGAAGTGTAGGCATACTAGATCAAATTAAAATGGGCTTTATAGAACAGGAGAATATAAAGGATCCAAGAGTTAGAAATACATGTAGACGTCACAGGAACTGATAAATCATAGGGAAAAGAGAGGACAGATATTTTCTCTAGCTCTCCCTATGGTCTCATATTCACTTATTCCTCCTTCTCTCTATAATGCTTTCTATGCTTTTTCCTCTGTAGACCAGTCTCTTCTGCTCATAGTCATCATGGTCACCACAAAATAGTGCCCTCAATCCTTGGTCTTCAGGATTTTACCTCAGCTTTATACATTTAATTATCTCAGTATTTCAGGGAGAGGAATTTCATTGACCCAACTTAGGCTGGGTGTCTACTTGATGCTATGGTGGCCAAGATGGTAGGAGAATCATTGGTACAGGTATAGACACCCAACCACATGAACAAGGAAAGGAGAGCACATAGACCTGTTCTTTGAACAGCATGTATCATAGTCAAGCATTTAGAGCACCAGGCACTAGGGGCAGAGTAAACAAGGAGAAAAGAAAGAAACAAGAGCCCAGGTAAGTTTTCTATGGGGTTCTGACTTTAAACTGACACCACTAGGCCCACTATGGTCTTAGGACTGTTAAAGCTCCTTTGGTATGACTAAGTCCATGATAGCATCATCTCCTGTTTTCTGATTGCTCTTGAGTCCCATGAGGGGATCTTGTTCATGTTAAGAAGACAGATCCTGTGGATATCCCAAGTAAAAACAACTCTCATTTTGGAAGTAATTCCCTGCTCCTGAAAGGTTCTCCCAGAGCCAGCTTCACTCTAAAGTCTGGTATCCGCAAGACCAGGAAATCACCAGTTGCAATTTTAGCATATTAAAGTCAATGGTAAATTTACTTGACTAGGGCTTTCAGCCTCCAGCCTCCTAAAGTGAGCATGAAGGCACAAACCTGAAATATTTAAGGAATGTTGGTACAATATTTCCTCTGACTGCACATAGACTTTCCTCAGGAAATGATTATGTCCATCCTTCTTTCCCCATTGAACCAGGAAGCATATCTATTATAAATATATTTTCTTTTTGTTACATTTGATGAATTCCTCATACTTTCAAAACCTTCTGTTTTAATTATGAAAATAAAGTTCTGTAAGTCACAAGACCTACTGGGTCCAGGAAATAATTCTGCCTTAAGGCAGACTATACGCAATTGGGGATTATACTTCAAGCAGGGTTCTGGATCCTAAACGTAAATTCTATTTTTAAAAGTATGAAATTTTCACTTAAAAGTTGTTAAATCTCAGTAAATGGGCTTATACTGATGTCCTGCTGCTCCTGAGGAAAACACAATGTGTGCTTAAAATTACTGCCTCTTTGTGATCTCTCTTTTCAGTTGCTTGTTCTCTAACAAAGTCCTACAAAGAGGTGACGGTGACTATCTGTGCTTTGCAATTCAAGCTGTTTTTTGAATAGACAGAATTTCCCTAGAACTGCCCCCCTCTTTCTTCATGACTTCTTGACCCGGCATTCATTAAAGCTGAGGTCCTGGCTCAAGTCAAGGGAAGATTTTAGTTATTATCCTTGGCAAAGGAACTCTCCACTGTGGCTTTGGTTTGAACTTCAGCTCTTTAGAGTACAGGGGTCACATGTGAATTTGTTATGCTCTCTGGCAAATGTTTCAGAATAAATGAATCTGATGAAATTCTCATGAAGTATTTGTTTTTTAGTGTTTCTCTAATATACAATAAATTGTAATTTATGAGGCATAATTGAAGAAAATTCTGGAGGAAGTTGTGTATAAGATTAGGGGGATTATTAAATCAACTTTATTGTGTTTTCAAAAGTTAAAAATGGTTTACAGCTATAATAAATTGCTTGAGAGTGCTATCAACCCATAAATTTTAATAATTTTATAAACATTCTGCAGTTAAGTTGGGCTCATGGCCAAATCCCAGGGCTGGTTTTGTGTCATGTAGTGTGTGTTTCAGTTTACCTGACTGATAAAGGAATGAGCTGTTCCTCATGCATGACATGCAGTGATTGGTCATTAATTTTAATGAACTAAAACTAAGAACTCAAATTTGAAGTCAGAGGTGCATTCGGCATCTCTGCCCCTCCCCAGTCTGTTGCCTAGTCATTGCTACTATATAGTATCTTCAAAGATAGAGGCTAATTTCATTTCCTTTAGCCTTTTCACCTTGAAAACCAGTTATAGAAATAATCACTTACTCATCTCCTATTGGGGAGCTGTTAACAGGATTGTTAAAATTTTTTTTAAGTAATAAGCTTAAAATACTCATAACAATTTGCATATAGAGAGTTCCCAATATACATTGGCTAAGATAGATTTATATCAATTTCATCAAGCAAATAAAGTGTGATATTTTTGGTATTTCTTCTCTTGTGAAAGTTGGTCAAATTTTACACAACTTGCTGAGATGTGCCTGTCTATGTAGAGGCTGGGTTTGTTTTAAATGTGTGCCTTAATGAAATGTGCTAATTAAGTGAGGATTACATTATTCACGTGTTCATCTAGACATTCCTGCCTAGATTTAGACCAAATTGATTATTGTATATTTAATAGAATACTATTTTGCTCTTTTTTTCTTTTATTCTACTCAAATTAAGCATATATAAAAACTGAGGTTATTAATTTGACTTGGTGTTCAATTATTCATTGTCGGCTTTTTATGATCATAAAAATAGTCACTGGATACTCAAGGATACTTAAGATTTAAACTATTGACTTTAGGCTACACATTCTGTTCTTTTAAAAAACACTTTTAGGACTATGATAAAAAAAAGTGGTGATTTTTTAATGATACAAGAGTCTTTTCCATTGAGTGTTTAATTTTCACTTTCTCATCTTACTGATGTGACTAAAAAAAAGTTAAAGTTGATGATTTTTGCCACCAAAAGAATGTCACTTGGTAACTAGATGTGTATATGTATTTATTCATCCATGCAAGACAGGCACATACTAATATATGCACTTGCCATGCCTACATTTTCACTTAATGAAGAGCTTAATAAAAATCAGCATTCATAGCCCCTTCCTAGTCAGATAAATTAGTTAATGCACAATAAGCAGCTCTTATGTATAATGCAAAAGATTAGTCTTATCATTTGCATAATGTGCTACAAATGGCCCACTGTTTCAAGCAGTAGAAGCTTTCTCATTAAATGTGAGTTGAAAGCTGAATGACGTCAATAAAGTAATTATGCTTCATTTGGCATATCTCATTCATTCTCTGGAGTTCAAGACCTTCTCTGAGCTCTGTTGACAGTGCTGCTGAAAGGCATGGTAATGGTTCAAAAGCAGAGCATTGGAACTCTGGGAATAAGCATGGTGTGCTCAAGCCTCCACTATATGAGTTGTTGGCCAGCAGCGATGCATTTTATCCTCTGGCCTATGCACACATGTATGTATAAGCATGTGCAACTAGAAACTCTTATGTTAATTCAAATTATCTGTCAGGGTCACTTAATCTCAGCCTTAAAAAGCTTACAGACATTCCCTGTAATATATGTCTGTTAGTACCAACTTCTCTGTTTTCGTTTGTCCTGGAATGTGTTAATTTGCCTTTTTTTCATAGATAAATGAGTTATAAAAAAAAATTCAGACCAGCAAAGTACCTATATCATTGACGTCCAGATTTGCCAGAATTCCCAGTGGAAAGAAGAGATTGACACTGATGGCATTTCTGTCTCCCTGCTGAAACATTTATAAAAATCCCAGTTCTGCCAATGGGATAGACAGAATTCACTGTCACAGTGTTGCCCCTCATCCCTCACGGAATGCTCACGTGAATATTTCCATGTTTTTGAGGAAATAGATTAGTTTTCAAAGAATATCTTTTAATTCAGAATACGCACTTTACTGATGTGAAAAATAAGACTCAAAGAACTTACATAATTTGGCAGAGATCCAGTTCTACTGAGTTTAGAAGATAAGTCTCTTGAGTCTTGTTCTTTGAGTATTGTTTCCCTGTGTTGTTAGTGGGTTTTTTTTTTTTTAATTCTTTTCACCTTTGTTTACTATCTCGAGGATGGGGAGGCAGATCACTTTATATTTGTCATGCAAAACTTCATATTAAAACTGTAAAAATGGTGGCTATGGAATTGCCTCTAAAAACTGATGCATTTCCATGCTCAGAATCTAACTCATTGCTCAAAAGCAGACTGTAGCTAATCTTTTTCTAGTATACTGTGTAAAAACAGCATTTCGACAAACGTGGTAAAATTATTTCTTCTGAAAATAGCACTTTACTGAAATCTTTGTTTTCCAATTAACTCTTCTTTCTTGAAGATAAAAAAAAATTGTTATTGAGAAAATGTCTGTTTTAAAGCATATATTTTATATTGTACTATTATATTTCATAATATTTTTTAAAAACAAAGAGGATTACTAGTACTTAGACAATTTCATCATTTTCTATATTTAATCCCACTTATTTCTGTGCTTATATAACTTATAAGCAATAAGTCTGTCTTGGAAAGGTAGAATATGCAACTTAATGCTAAAAGTAGGCTTGAATACCATCATAAGATCTGCGATTTATTCCTCCTGTTTGGGAAGTAATATGAAAGAGCCAAAAACCACAGACATTGTTAAAATGTGGATAAATATACTTATATTCACAATTCTACATACAAAGTAGAGATTTTGACATTTTAGCTACAGAAGGCATCAAAGAAAAAAGTCTTAAAGGTTGTATATATGTTAATTAGGTAATTATAAGAAAGTGAAGAAATCTTAAAAGAAATTATTCCACTTAGTTTGATAATTTTATTCAATTGAAGTAAATTTAAATGAGATCACCCATCTTTCACCTTTAGCTAAGAATAATACAAATAATAGATTACCCAAGAATATTTATAAATGCCAATTTGAGTACCTCTAAATTTCTACGGAATCTAATCTGGAACACAGAATGTCAGTTTCTACATAATGCCAATATCATTAAGTAAAAAATGAAATATCTATTAAACAGAAATCTATGTCCAAATGAACAGTTTGAAAACATGTTTTGAGTGGCTACACAATTGTAGCTTCGGCTACTTTGGTATGGACTTCAGCTATTTATCATGCTGACTTGTAATTGTATGTATGTGTGTATGTATGTGTGTGTGATTACATAAAAATAATGCTGCAATATTATTGAGTATCTTTTTTTGGCTATTTTCCATGCACCTCTTCTCTTTAGTAGGTCCAGATGAGATGGATTGCTAAAATCCAATAGTGAGAGAAATAATTGTTGTATCAACAACTGCCAGGTTGGTTCTACTCAAACGCTGAGCTCCTGGTAAATTCAATCCTCTGGATTATCTTCATATAAAAAACAAGTAAGAGGTATAGGCTTCACCCACTACATGCAGAAGAAGTTCAGCTCAAATAGTGTAGTTTTAACAGTCATTAACCCAATTTAAATGGTATAAAGTAATTAGTATATATGCTTTGAATGAGAATGTTCCCAAACTTTGATATATAATATTCATAATTTGGATAGATTTCAACTAAGAGTGTACTTTTACATGTATCCTTATTGGCAATAGAGAGTTTTTATTAGGCACCAGTAAATGGTCTTTGTGACTACTGCTATGACAGTCAGTGGTATATCTTAATTAGCAGTATTATTTCTAGTTCAACTAAAATAGCTAAAGGGTCCTCCTGGGATCAATTCTGGGATATGATTTTGTTTAATCTTATTATTAATGATAATAAATTTTTACTTTGTGGGAGTATCATCTGTATGCCCATGATTCCATTATTTAAACAAATAATTATTCCATATTACAATTCCTTTAGAACATGACAATAACAAATCATAGTTATGGCTTATTCAGAGTAAATTAGGTCTAAAACACTAATAAAATTAATTGCAAGATGTTTGATTGGAAATGAAAGCCAGTTAAAACAGGAGCTCTCTCTCATGGTCTTTGATAATGCATTACTCTCTGGAATAAAGCTACCAGCATGAAATATCTGAGTGCTTGTTAGCAAACAAAGAGTAATTGAAACTTGGTTGCTAGGAGACATTTTTTCTCACTGTTGACAATCCTGATTTCTTTGATTACTGGCACTATTGTTGTTCATTACACAAACTGAATGTTTTTAAATAACATTGGAAAAACATATTTTGGAATCCAATTGTGTGAATACTACCATGTGCTACCAAAGAAATGTTTATTCACAGGTTCAGCAGGTTAACTATTTCTGGTAAGCATTTTTTCAGGAGGCTTAGTGCATATTTTTTATTTCTTATAAAATATACATTTTACTAGAAGGTAAATTTTAAGATTTTTATAGAACACAGATTTTGTATAATCCTTGAAATTAAGATTTTCTTACAAACAAAAAATCCTATCTACATAAATTCAACTTTTTCATTGTAGCAATTTATTTTTATATTCAAAATTATCTCATTTGCATGAAGGAAAATGATATTTAAAATACAAGAAAATGTCTACTTTGAATGAGGTAGGGATTTAAACATTTTGGATAAGACAGCAAATTTTGAAAGTATTTTAGCAAAATGAGCACTTTGGCATCCAGATTTCTCTCATAAAGAATTTTCAAGAATCTTTATTTTCATGGCATGAATTAGCATTATATTTGGCAAAACTTCAAACAGGTAGACAAATATGCAGAAAATATCTAAACAATCTTTAACTCCCAATGGAATTCCTTTGATTTTTATGCTGTCTAACCTCAGGTGTTCTCATTGCCTCTTGACACTTTCTGGTTCCTGTCCTCACTGCTGTGAAAGCCACTCTTTCCCACTCTGAAGTCATTTCTTTCATGCCTACTCTTCACATTCCTGCTTCACAGAATAGACAAGGAACAACAGACTAGAACTCCTTGAGTTTTCACTCTCTTCACACTTAATGGTCTTTTGTCTTTATTCTTCCTTATTTTCTCCCCTCCTATTCAGAATAAATGATATGCTTCCTTTCTGAAACTCCCTCTTCTGGTTCTATTCTGTTCTTTGGACACCTTGGCTCTCAATTAACCCTCTCCTTCTTTTCACTTATCAATCTCTTTTTCTTTGTCTAATTATATATTCAGACTATGTTGACAGTCTTTTTGTTTTTTTTTTTTTACTTACTAAAAAGATCATTCTATGTTTATAGATGGTTTCATTTTTCTAATGTTGTGAAATTTGACTTTGTCAAATAGTCTAACTGAAGTTTCTCTCTCATATGTCACAAATGACCTCTAAAGTCTCTAAATCAAGGATTTGTCTTAATTCTCATTCTTCCAATGTCAATTACTGCTGGTGACCTTTCATTCTTTCACCTCAATTTTTCTTTGATTCCCTTAAAATCACTACCTGAGATATCATCTCATATCTTTACGAATTCTTACATGTTTTCTTCTTAAGCTGCTCTTTCTGTTCCTGTATCCTAAAGTCACTATTTCTGAATTTTGTCTTGGTCCACTTTTGCTCTCTTGCTACATTCTCTCTATTAAATATCTCACCCATCCAACAGCTTCATTTGGCATGCCGGTACAAATCTCTAGGTAAAATTATATAGAAAATCCCGATTTTCCCCCAAATTCAGTCTTGTATGTTCACCTGACTCCTAAGCAATGTTCATATGAATGCCTCAGTGACACTTTAAACTCATCATTTCCATAGTTCCCACTGTCACCATATAGGAAAATTTTATTCTTTCTTATTACTTTAATTTATATTGAGATACTAGCATCACACAGCCATTTTTGTTCTTATTTTTCTCACCACAGCAGTTGTTTGATTACCTACATGTTTTGTCCTGTTTTCTTTGCCATCTCAGTTCGACTTTTCATTGACTCTCCTGTGGACTACTGAAGTTCCCTAATTTATCTCTCCAAGTCATCTGATGCATTTATCAGTTTTAGATTTTAAACAAAACTCTAATCATACCACTTACGTAATTAAAATTATTAGTGGTTTCCCTAAGAGCAACTCAATGGTTCCTTCTAAACTTATCTCCTAGTTGTCCTTTTTGACTTGAATTACCACAGCGTTTGCACCTGTCTCTGAGTACATTATTATAAATACTACAGTACAATATAGCCTTCTAAAAGTCATGTTTTCCTGCTCATAAAAGAATATAAATTATTTGGAAGCTGGGTTTATATTTAATTTATCCTGTATTTTCCATCATATTTTGGTCAGATTTAATATACATAAACTAAAAAATAAGTTATTGATCAGAAATGTAAATAATTATTTTCAATATAAATGAGGTATGTGATAGTCATTATGTAGTCTTAACTAATGTACCCTTTCATCATATTTTTATTCCCTTTCTTAACTTTTTGAGACAAAGGCTAATTTATACTGATGGATACAATGACTATTTTGAGAGATTCTAAATCTCTGTGAGCAAAATGTTCTTGACTTACATCTGCATATGCTAATTGCATGACTCTGCATAGTACAAAGGAAAGAAAAATATTCTTAGATGATACTGGAATTAGTATACTATTACCGGAAAGTATACCATGCTAAGTTAATGATGCATGTTATGAACTCTAGGACAAGCACTTAGTAGATGAAGCATGGAAATATATCGTACAGACAAATAGTATAGATACAATAAAAAAGAAGTACACAGACCTTCCAAAATGTAAAAAAGGAATAAAATAAAGAACTAGTAGGAAAAATATTCCTTACATATAGCAACATGGTTAATTCAAACAGAAGCATATTAATTACATTAAATTCACATGAGTCTGAACATCTAAATACATCAAAATCACAGGAGTGTAAACATTGTAAAAGGCAGAGATAATCAGACTGGGTATACAAATGCATTCCCAACTATATAAGAAATTCACCACAACAATATGGTCAGTTAATTTTCTGAATGTTTATAGCAACTTTAATTTTTTTACATTTTTAAAAATTGACAGTTATATATATGCTGTATGTTACTTTTCAATACCCGTTTACATTATGGAATGATCAAATCAGGATAATTAGTATAATACTATCACCTCAACTATTATTTCCTTGTGAGAACTTTAAAATCTTTTTAGCTATTTTGAAATATATAATACATCATTATTAACTATAGTAATCATGGTATGCAATAGAATTTCAGAACTTATTTCTCCTACCTAACTGAAACTTTGTACCCACTTACCAATGTCATCTTCTCTTTCCCTATCCACCTCGAACTCCCAGCCTCTGGCAAGCACCATTCTACTCACTACTTCTGAGTTTTACTTTTATAGATTCCACATATAAGTGAGATTGTTCAGTATTTATCTTCCTGTGTCTGCAGTATTTCTCTTAACATAATGTCCTCTAGTTTCGGTCGCGGTGGCTCATGCCTATAATCCCAGCACTTTGGGAGGCTGAGGCGGGCGGATCACAAGGTCAGGAGATCGAGACCATCCTGGCTAACACGGCGAAACCCCGTCTCTACTAAAAATACAAAAAAACTAGCCAGGCGTGGTGGCGGATGCCTGTAGTCCCAGCTACTCGGGAGGCTGAGGCAGGAGAAGGGCGTGAACCCGGAAGGCGGAGCTTGCAGTGAGCCGAGATCGTGCCGCTGCACTCCAGCCTGGGTGACAGAGCGAGACTCTGTCTCAAAAAAAAGAAAAAAAAAACAAAAACAGTCCTCTAGTTTCATGCATGTTGTCACAAATGACAGAATTTCCAGGTTTTTTCTTATGGTTGAATATTATTCCATTTGTATATACATATTCGAGTTTTAAAAATTCTATTCATCCACTGATGAACATCTTGGTTATTTCCATATCTTAACTATTGTGAATAATGCTGCAATAAACATGACAGTGCAGACATCTCTTTGACATACTGACTTCAATTCCTCTAGGTATACACATAGAAGTGGGATTGCTGGATCATTTGGTAATTCTATTTTTAGTTTCTTAGGAACCTCCATAATGTTTTCCAAAATGGCTGAACTAATTTACAATACCACAGCAGTGTACAAGGATTCCCTTTCTCCTCGCCAACATTTGTAATCTTTCATGCTTTTGATAATACCCAATCTAACAGTTGTGATGTGATATCTCCTTGTTACTTTTATTTGCATTTCTCTGATTGCAGAATTTGAGTATTTTAAAAATATATCTGTTGCCCATTTGTATGTCTTTTTTTTTGAGAAATGTCTATTCAAGTTCTTTGTCCATTTTTAAAATAGGGTTATTTGATTTTTATTGTTCAATAGTTTGAGTTTCTGGTATATTTTGGATATTAGCCCCTTATCTAATATATAATTTACAAGTATTTTCTCTCAGCCTGTAGGTTGCCTGTTTATATTTATTGCTTCCTTTGCTTTGCAGAAGCTTTGTAGTTTGATACAATCCCATTGTCTATTTTTGTTTTTAGTGTCTGTGATTTTGAGGTCATATCCAAGAAATCACTGTGCAGACCAATGCCATGCAGCTTTTCCTCTGTTTTCTTTTGTTAGTTTTACAGTGTCGGGTTTTACATTTAAGTCTTTTATCCATTTCGAGTTGAAACTTGTGTAAAGGATAAGGTAAGTGTCTATTTTCGCTCTTTGGCATGTGGATATCCACTTTTCCAAGCTCTCATTTGTTAAATAGATTGTCCTTCCCCATTGTGAGTTCTTGGCATTTTCACTGAAAATCAATTGACTATAGCTGTGTGGGTTTATTTCTGGGCTCTCTATCCTATTCCATTAGTTCATATATTTGCTTTTAATGACAGTACCATGCTGTTATACTATACAAAATAGTATATTTTGAAATCTGGTAGTATGATGCTTTCAGCTTGTTCTTTTGCTCAAGTTTCTTTTTGCTCAAGGTTGCTTTGGCTATTTGTCTTCTTTTGGGGTTCCATATGAAGTTTAGTAATGCTTTTGGTATTTCTATGAAGAATAAGCAAATTTTGATAGGGACTGCATTAAATCTGTATCTCACTTTGGACAGTATAGACATTTAAAAAATGTTAATCCTTCCAATCCATGAACACAAGATGTATTTCCATTTATTTGTGTCTTCTTTCATTTATGTTTTATATAACTTTTCAGTAGACATATCTTTCACTTTCTTAGTTAAATTTATTCCCAAGTATTTTATATTTTGTATGATTTTTTTTTTGATTTTTTTTTTGAGATGGAGTCTCGCTCTGTCGCCAGGCTGGAGTTCAGTGGCATGAAATCGGTTCACTGCAACCCCGCCTCCTGGGTTCAAGCTATTCTTCTGCCTCAGCCTCCTGAGTAGCTGGGACTACAGGCACGCACCACTATGCCCAGCTAATTTTTGTATTTTTAGTAGACACGAGGTTTCACCATGTTGGCCAGGATGGTCTCAATCTCTTGACCTTGCAATCTGCCCTCCTCGGCCTCCCAAAGTGCTGGGATTACAGGCATGAGCCACTACACCCGGCCCTGTATGATACTATAAGTAGAATTGTTTTCTTAATTTCCTTGTTGGTGTACTGAAAGACTACTCACTTTTGTAATTTGATTTTGTATCCTGAAACTTTGCTGAATTTGTTCTTCAGCTATAAATGTTTACTGGTGAAATCTTTAGGGTTTTCTATATGTGAGATCACATTGTCAGCAAACAAAGATAATTTCAATTTTTTTTCTTATTTACATACATTTTGTTCCTTTCTCTTGCCTATTTTCTCTGGCTAAGACTTCTAGTAGTATGTTGAACAGAATTGCTAGTATTTTGTTGAAAATGTTTGCATCTATGTTTATCGGTGATACTGATGTGTAGTTTTCTGTTTTTGTAGTGTCTTGGTCTGGCTTTGGTGTCGGGGCATTTCCAGTCTCATAAAATGACTTTGTAAGTATTCCCTTCCCTTCAATTTTTGGACAAATTTAAGAAAGATTGGTAGTAGGTATTCTTTACATGTTTGGTAGAACTCAGCCATAAAGCCATTTGGCCACGGGCTTCTCTTTGATGGAAAACTTCAAATTACTGGTTTAATCTTTTTACTCATTATTGGTCTGTTCAGATTTTCAATTTCTTTGTGATTCAGTTTTGGTAGGTTATCCATTTATCCACTTTCTTCTAGATTGTCCAATGTGTTGGAGTATAATTGTTCATAGTAGTCTTTTATGATCTTTTGTATTTCTGTTATCATTTGTAATGACTGTCCTTCATGTCTAGTTTACTTGAGTCTTCCCTTTTTTCTCAATTGTTCTAGCTAAGGATTTGTCAATTTTGTTTATCTTTTAAAAAACAACTCTTAGCTTTGTTAATCCTATAATTTTTCTAGTCTCCATTTCATTTTTTTCTGCTCTGATCTTTTCTATTTTTTTCCTTTTGCTAACTTTGAGCTTAGTTCATTCTGTTTGTTTTAGTTCCCTTAGGTATAACATTAGGTTGTTTTTCAGAGATCTTTATTCTTTTTTGATTAGATATTTATTGTTATAAACTTTCCTCTTAGAACTGCTTCTGCTGTATCCCATAAGTTTTGGTATTCTGTGTTTCCGCTTTTGTCTGTCTCATGATATATATTTTAATTCCTCCTTTAACTTTTTGATTCAATAGTTGTTCAGGAGCATATTGCTTAATTTATGTGTATTTATTAATTTTCCATGATTCCTCCTGTTATTGATTTCTGGTTTAATACCATTGTGTTGAGAAAAGACACTTGCTATGATTTCAGTTGTCTTAAATTTGTTAAGACTTGTTTTGTGGCTTAACATATGATCTACCTTGAAGAATATTCTGTGTGCCCTGAGAAGAAAGTTTATCCTATTGTTGTTGGGTGGAATGTTCTTATATATCTGTTGGGTCCATTTGGTCTAGAGTGTAGTTCAAGTCCAATGTTTCCTCCTTGCTTTTCTGTCTGAATATCTCGTGTTGAAAATGGAATATTGAAATAATCTCCTATTAATGTGTTGCCATCCAGGTCTCTCTTCAGATATTTTAATGTATGCTTTATATATTTAGGTATTAGATATTTTAATGTATGCTTTATATATTTAGGTACATTATATATAACGTATGCTTTATATATAAGGTGCTCCAATGTTCGGTACATATATACTTACAATTTCTGTATTCTCTTGTTTTAACAAAAATATCAATAGGTTGGGAAAACAGGCAGTGTTTGGTTGTATGGGAAAGTTCTTTAGTGATGATTTCTGAGATTTTGGTGCATCCATCACCCAAGCAGTGTACCCTGCACCCATTCTATAGTGTTTTATCCCTCACCCCCTTCCCAGTCTTTTTCCCAAGTCCCCAAAGTCCACTGTGTCATTCTTACACTTTTGCATCCTCATGCTTATAAGTGAGAACATATGATGTTTGGTTTTCCATTCCTGAGTTTCTTCACTTAGAATAATGGTCTCCAACTCCATCCAGGTTGCTGTGAATGCCATAATTTCATTCCTTTTTAAGGCTGAGTAGCATTTCATTTTCTTTATCAACTCATTGGTTGATGGGCATTTAAGTTGGCCCCATTTTTTCGCAGTTGTGAATTGTGCTGCTATAAACATCAATGTGCAAGTGTCTTTTTCATATAATGACTTTTTTTTCTCTGAATAGATACCCATAGAGGGATTGCTGGATCAAACAGTAGTTCTACTTTTTGTACTTTAAGGTATCTCCATACTGTTTTCCATAGTGGTTGTACAAGTTTACATTCCCACCAACAGTGTAAAAGTGTTCCCTTTTCACTACATCCTCACCAACATCTATCATTTTTTGATTTTTAAAATTATGGCCATTCCTGTAGGAGTAAGGTGGTATCTCATTGTGGTTTTGATTTGCATTTCCCTGATAATTAGTGATTTTGAGCATTTTTTTCATACGTTTGTTGGCCATTTGTATATCTTCTTTTGAGAATTATCTATTCATGTCCTTTGCCTATTTTTTGACGGGATTGCTTTTTTTTTTTTTCTTGCTGATTCATTTGAATTCTTTGTAGATTTTGGATATTAGTCCTTAGTCAGATGCATAGTTTGCAAAGATTTTCTCCCACTCTTGTGTTGTCTTTTTACTCTGCTATTTCTTTTGCTGTGCAGAGGCATTTTCATTTAATTAAGTCCCATCTATTTATCTTTGTATTTGTTGTATTTACTTTTGGGTTCTTGGTCATGAAGTATTTGCCTAAGCAAACTCAAGGAAAATTTTTCTGATGTTATCTTTTATAATTTGTAAGGTTTCAGGTCATAGATTTAAGTCTTTCATCAGTCTTGAGTTGATTTTATATATAAGGTGAGAGATGAGGATTCAGCTTCATTCTTCTGCATGTGACTTGCCAATTATCCTACCACTATTTGTTGAGTAGCGTGTTCTTTTCCCATTTTGTTTTTGTTTGCTTTGTTCAAGATCAGTTGGCTGTAAATATTTGGCTTCATTTCTGGGTTCTGTATTCTGTTCCATTGGTCTATCTGCCTATTTTTATACCAGTACCATGCTGTTTTGGTAACTATAGCTTTGTATTACAGTTTGAAATTGGGCAATGCTATGCCTCCAATTTTTTTTTTTTTTTTTTTTTTTTTTTTGCTTAGTCTTACTTTAGCTATGTGAGCTCTTTTTTGGTTCTATATGAATTTTAGGATTGTTTGGTCTTGTTCTGTGAAGAATACATTGTGGTATTTTGATGGGAATTGCATTGAATCTATAGGTTGCTTTTGGCAGTATGGTCATTTTCACAGTATTGATTCTACCCATTCATGAGCATTCCATTTATTTGTATTTGTTGTCTATGATTTCTTTCAGCAGTATTTTGTAGTTTTCCTTGTTAGAGATCTTTCACCTCTTTGGTTAGGTATATTGCTAAGTTTTTGTTTTGTTTTGTTTTTGTTTTTTGTGGCTGTGGTAAAAGGGGTTACGTTTTTGATTTGATCCTCTGCTTGATTGTTGTTGGTGTATAGCAGTGCTACTCATTTTTGTACATTGATTTTGTATCCTGATCATTTATCAGATCCAGAAGCTTTTTGGATGAGGCTTTAGGGTTTTCTAGGTATATGATCACATCATTGGCAAACAGCGACAGTTTGACTTCCTCTTTACCAGTTTGGATGCTCTTTATTTCTTTCTGTTGTCTTATTGCTCTGGCTAGGACTTCCAGTACTATGTTGAATAGAAGTGATGAAAGTGGGCATCCTTGTTGTGTTCCAGTACTCAGAGGGAATGCTTTCAACTTTTCCTCATTCAGCACAATGTTGGCTGTGGGTTTGTCATAAATGGCTTTTCTTACCTTGAGGTATGTCCCTTCTATGCTGATTTTGTTGATAATTTTAATCATAAAGAGATGCTGGATTTTGTCAAATGCTTTTTCTGTGTCTATTGAGATAATCATCTGATTTTCATTGTTAATTCTCTATGTAATGTGTCACATCTGTTAACTTGCATATGTTAAACCATTCTTGCATCCTTGGTATGATAAACCAGTTGATTATGGTGCATTATCTTTTTGATATATTGTGGATTCAGTTAGCTAGTATTTTGTTGAGAATTTTTGCATCTATGGTCATCAGGGATATTGGTCTGTAGTTTTCTCTTTTTGTTATGTCCTTCCCTGGTTTTGGTATTAGGATGCTATTGGCTTCATATAATGATTTAGGGAGGATTTAGTAAGATTGGTACCAATTCTTCTTAGAATACCTGATAGAATTTGGCTGTGTATCCATCTGGTCCTGGACGTTTTTCTGGCAATAATTTTATTACTGTTTCAGTCTTGCTACTTGTTATTGATGTGTTCAGAGTGTCTATTTTCTCCTGATTTAATCTAGGAGGGTTGTGTATTTCCAGAAATTTATTCATCCCCTCTAGATTTTCTAGTATGTATGTGTGTGTAATGGATCATTCATAGTAGCCTTGAATGATCTTTTGTCTTTCTGTGGTATCTCTGCCATTTTGTTTCTAAGTGAGCTTGTTTGGATCTTCTCTATTGTTTTCTTGGTTAATCTCACCAATTGTCTATCAATTTTTTTTTATCTCTTCAAAGAAACAGCTTTTTGTTTCATTTATCTTTTGTAGGTATTTTTGGTTCAATTTAATTTAGTTTTGCTCCGATCTTTGTTATTTCTTTTCTTCTGTTGGGTTTAGGTTTAGTTTGTTCTTACTTCTCTAGTTCCTTGAGATGTGACCCTAGATTGTCTATTTGTGCTCTCTTTCAGACTTTTTGATGTAGGCATTTAATACCATAAACTTTCTTGTTGGTACTGTTTTTGCTGTATCCCAGAGGTTTTGATAAGTTGTATCAATATTGTTGTTCAGTTCAAAGAATTTTTAATTTCCCTTCTTGATTTCATTGTTGACCCAATGGTCATTCAGGAACAGATTATTTAATTTATATGTATTTGTATAGTTTTGAATGTAGTGTTCCTTTTGGAGTTAATTTTCAATTTTATTCCACTGTGGTCTCAGAGGGTGTTTGATATAACTTCAGTTTTCTTAAATTTATTGAGACTTGTTTTGTGGCCTATCAGATGGTCTGTTTTGGAGAATGTTCCATGTGCTGATGAAAAGAATGTATATTCTGCAGTTGTTGGGTAGAATGTTATGAAAATTTACATTAAGTCCATTTGTTCTAGGGTATAGTTTAAATTTGTTGTTTCTTTTTAGACTTTCTGTCTTGATGACCTGTCTAGTGCTGTCAATGGAGTATTAAAGTCCCCCACTATTATTGTGTTGCCATCTATCTCATTTTTTATGTCTAGTAGTAGTTTTATAAATTTGGGAGCTCCCGCATTAGGTACACATATATTTAGGATTGTGATATTTTTCCTATTGGACTGATCGTTTTATCATTATATAATATCCCTCTTTGTCTTTTTCATCTGATGTTGTTTTAAAGTTCATTTTGTCTGGTATAAGAATAGCTACTCCTGCTTGCTTTTGGTGTTTATTTGTATGGAATATCTTTTTTCACCCCTTTACCTTGAGTTCATGTGAGTCCTTATGTGTTAGGTGAGTCTCTTGAAGACAGCAAGTACTTGCTTAGTCAATTCTTATTCGTTCTGCCATTCTGTATCTTTTAAGTGGACCATTTAGGCCATTTACATTCAATGTTAGTATTGAGATATGAGGTACTATTTTATTCATCATGCTACTTGTTTACTGAATACCTTTTATAGGCCCTGTGAGAGTTATGCTTCAAGAAGGTTCTATTTTGTCATATTTCAAGGTTTTGTTTCAATATTTTGAACTTCTTTTATCATTTCTTGTAGTGCTGACTTGGAAGTGGCAATTATCTCAGCATTTGTTTGTCTGAAAAAGATTTTTTCTCTCCATATATGAAGCTTAATTTTCTGGATACAAAATTCTTGGCTGACAATTATTTTGTTTGAGGAGGTTAAAGATAGGACCCCAATCCCTTCTGGCTTATAGGGTTTCTGCTGAGAAATCCGTTAATCTGATAGGTTTTCCTTTATAGGTTATCAATGCTTTTGCCTTACAGCTCTTAAGATCCTTTCCTTTGTTTTGACTTTAGATAACATGATTACTGTGTGCCTGGGTGATGATTTTTTTTTTTTTTTTGAGATGTATTTCCCAGGTGTTCTCTGAGCTTCTTGTATCTGGATATTTAGATCTCTAGTGAGGCTGGGGATGTTTTCCTAGATTATTCCCTCAAATATGTTTTCCAAACTTGTAGATTTCTCTTCCTCCTCAGGAACACCAATTTTTCTTAGGTTTAGGCATTTAACATAATCTCAAATTTCTTGGAGGCTTTGTTCAGTTTTTACAATATTTTTTTGTCTTTGTCTGATTGTGTTAATTAGAAAAGCTTGTCTTCAGTCTCTGAATTTCTTTATTCTACTTGTTTGATTCTATTACTGAGCCTTTCTTGTGCATTTTGTTCTTCTGCAAGTGTGTCTTTCATTTCCAGAAATTGTGATTGTCTTTTCTTTGTGAAATCTATTTCTGTGGAGCATTTTCATTCATATCCTGTATTATTTTTTTAAATTTCTTCAAGTTGTTTTTCACTTTTCTCTTGTATTTCTTTGAGTAGCTTAATAATCAACCTTCTGAATTTCTTTTCTGGCAATTCAGAGGTTTCTTCTTGGTTTGGATCCATTGCTAGAGAGCTAATGTCTTCTGGGGGTGTTATAGAACCTTGTTTTGTCATATTACCAGAATTGCTTTTCTGATTTCTTCTCATTTGGATAGACTATTTTAGTGGAAAAATCTGGAACTCAAGCTCTGTTGTTCAGATTCTTTTGTCCCATAGGGTGATCCCTTGATGTGGTGCACTCCCTCTTCCCCTAGGGATGGGGCTTCCTGTGAGCCAGACTGCAGTGATTGTTATTGCTCTTCTGTGTCTAGTCACTCAGTGGGGCTACCAAGCTCTGAGCTGGTGCTGGGGAATGTCTGTGAAGAGTTCTGTGGTGTTATCCATCTTCAGGTCTCCCAGCCATGGAGACCAGTACCTGCTCTGGAGGAGGTGGCAGGGGAGGGAAGTAGACTCTCTGAGATTCCTTAGTTGTAGATATATTTCGTGTGCTGGTTTTCTCGAATGCTGAAAGTGAAATTGTCATGTCGACAGATTCAAGACCACTGGTTAGCCAGGATGTTGCAGACAGTGGAATTAGCTGTTGTTTTCGCCTTCCTTGGAGCTGGGTTGTTCTGTCGTGAGTAGCTGTAATGTCCTGAATTGGTTGGCCTCAAGCCAGGAGGTGGTGCTTTCAAGACAGCACCAGCCTCCATAATAGAAGGTGAATATAAGCTTGCCTTAAGTTGGCCAGGATAAGTATTTGGGTTTCACAGGCAATAGGCAGGGTCATAAAGCTCTCAAGGGTTTATGTCTTTTGTGATCAGAGTTTTTCACCTGTTTCACAGAATTTGAAGTGGCCTGCCACTTCTTTCAAAGGATTCTTCTTTCATTTGGTTTTCCTGGTACATATCTGCAGTGGTTCCTGTAGGAGTGGTGTGTCTCCACATGCTGTTCTGTCAGTCCAAGTGGGAGCTGCTTGGCGGCCCTGTCTCCTATCCACCATCTGCTGCCTATATCTTCTTGACGAAGTTAATAATTATCTTCTTTGTCTCTTTTAAAGCTTTTGACCTAATGTCTATTTTGTCTGACATGGGTATAGCTACCCCTGCTCTCATTTGGTTTCCATTTACATAGAATATCTTTTTCCATCCCCTCACTTTGTCTTAGAGTGTCCTTTAAGTGAATTTAGTTTCTTATAAAAAGAATATAATTGGGTCTTTTTTAAAAAAAAAAAAATCCATTCAGCCACTCCATGTCTTTTGATTTAAGAATTTAATCCATTCACATTCCAAGTAATTATTGTTAGGTAAGTACTTACTAGTGCCATTTGGTTAATTGTTTTCTGGTTGTTTTTTGTTCCTTTCTTCTTCCATTGTTTTCTTCCTTTGTGGTTTAATGGCTTTCTGTAGTGGTATGTGTTAGATCTTTTCTTTTTATCTTTTATGTATCTATTATAGGCATTTGTTTTTTGGTTACCTCATGGCTTACATAAAATATCTTAAGTATAACTGGCTATTTTATGCTGTAACATATAATTTTGATCACATATACAAACTACAATTTTACTCCCCTTCCTCCCATGTTTTATGGTTTTAATGTCACAATTTACATTTTTTAAAAAAATTGTATCCCTTAATAAATTATTGTAGCTTTAGTTGTTTTTCATAGTTTTGCTCTTTTACTTTTATACTACAGATATAATTGATTTACCTACCTCCATTATAGTATTAGTGTGTCTTGTTTTGACAATGAGTGAGTTTTACATTTTCATATACTTTCACATTACTGATTAATGTCTTCTTTTAGTTTGAAGAACCCCCATATAGCATTTCTTTCTTTTTTTTCTTTTTTTTTTTTTTTGAGATGGAGTCTCACTCTGTCTCCCTATAGCATTTCTAAGGCAGACTTGGCAGTGACAAACTCTCACCTTTTCTTTCTCTGCATGAGTTTTTATCATGCTTTTATTTTTGAAAGACTGGGTAGCTGGATACAGTATTCTTGGCTGAAAATATTTTCTTGTAGAATTGTGAATATATTATCTCATTCCCTTCTGGTTTACAAGGTTTCTGCAGACAACTCCAGTAATAATTTTATGGGGGTTCTTTTGTATGTAATGATTTTCTTTTCCTTTGCTGCTTTCAAAACTCTTTGTCTTTAATTTTGACGATTTGACTGTGATGTGTCTGAATGTAAGTCTCCTCAAATTCATCTTGTTTGGTGTCCTTTGGGCTTCCTGGATTTGTATTTCTATTGTCTTCCTCAGACTTGGAAAACGTTCTGCCATTATTTCTTTTCTCTTTTCTTTTTTTTTTTTTTTTTAAGATGCGGTCTTTCTCTGTCACCCAGGCTAGAGTGCATTGTCACAATCTTGGCTCACTGCAACCTCTGTCTCCTGGGTTCAAGCTATTCTCCTGCTTCAGTCTCCTGAGTAACTGGGATTACAAGCATGCACCACCATGCCCAGCTAATTTTTGTATTTCTAGTAGAGATGGGATTTCACTGTATTGGCCAGGATGGTTTTGAACTCCTGACCTCAAGTGATCCACCCGCCTCAGCCTCCCAAAGTGCTAAAATTACAGGCATGAGCCACCACACCAGGCCAATCTCTTTGAATACGTTGTCTGTCTCTGTCTCTCCCTTCTTCCGAGACACCAATAATGTGTATGTTGTTATGCTTGATGGTGTTCCATAAGTCTCTTAAACTATTCTCACTTCTTTTCATTCTTTTTTTCTTTTGGCTTTTCAGACTGTATGGTTTCCAGTTAGCTGTTTTGAGTTTAGTAATCCTTTCTTCTGCTTGATCTAGTCTGCTAATGAATCCCTCTATTGAATTATTTAGTTTATTTCATATTTTTCAGCTATATAATCTCTGTTTGGTAATTATTTATACTTCCCATTTCTTTGTTAAATTTCTCAATTTGTTCTTTCTTTGCTCTCTTGACCCTGGTGAGCATCTTCATGATTATTATGTTGAGTTCTCTGTAAGGTAAACCATATATCTCCACTTTACTTGGGTTGTTTTTTGAAAATTTATCTTGTTCTTTTATTTGGAATATATCCCCATTTCTTCATTTTTCCTGACTCTCTGTGTTGGCCTTTCCATATTAGATATGACAACTACCTCTTCCAGTCTTGTCAAACTAGACTCGTGTAGAAGAAAGAGCTCACTAATCTGTCCGGCCAGAGATTTTAAGGTGCGTCTTGAATCTTTGCATTTGTCTAGACTGCTGTTTTTGGTGGCCCCCTGAAGGTTAGGATGTGCCACATACTGTCAGTATCCCAAAAGCGGTAAGGCAGAAGCCAGACTGTCTAGCTATAGCTGGTGTGTTGGTATGTTGAATGTGTGTTCCAGTTTCTCCTATCTTCATAATGAGGCTGAGCACAGGTGCTATCTCCCACTCTCTCTGCACTAAGCCAGAGAAAGAATTTGTGGTAAATGCCTATACTCACATTCAGGCTGCACCCTCTGATCTTGGGGAGATAGATGCTGAAAGTGGGCCTCTTTGTTTTCTGTGGTCTATGCCTATTAGAAATGCAAAGCCCCATCAATTCCAAAGCTAGGTCTTTACGGTGACAGTCCCTTGAGTGTAAGCTGTGAAAGTTATAACACACTCAGTGTATGATCAAAACTCTTTCAGTAAGAACGAGTAGACTTGGATTTATCACTGGGGTGAGCCAGAAGAAAGGCTTATTTTGTGCCAAGCTCTGGCTCAGGCTGCCGGAGAGCTATTGTTTGTTTACACTGTTAGCTCCTTGATGCAAGTTTGTTAGAAGCCAGGTTATCAAGTAGCCACTGGAAGTGTGTGCTATAAGACCCTTCTGGAGAGAAAATGGGAAATGCCTGTTCCTGTCTCCTCTCTGCACTATTCCAAGGGGGTATTTGCGTACCTGTTTAAAACCACTTCTTTGTTTTGTGATCTGAGAGTTTTACATATGCCTAGTCCATTCTGCTCTGGGGCTAAGAGATTTGGTATGGAATCCTTTGGTAGGTAGCTATAAGAGTTGGGGTGCTCAACACATGGTATAATCCCCTTCCAGGGAGAAACTGAGAGCTGTGTTTTCAAAGCCCCTTCTCTGTGCTGCTCCTGAGAGATAAATTCCCTGCAAGTGCTCCCCTGCCCACATGAAACTGTCACTTTTTTTGTGGTCTAGAGAGTCTCACATATACTTAGTCTTCTCTACTCCTAGAGCTAGGAGGTTTGGCAGGCAGTCCTTCCAGTAAACATGTAAAAAGTTGGGGTGTTGATGTGTGGACAAATTTCTTTCAGGAGGATTAATAAACCTGGAATTATCACTAGGGTGAGCCAAGGAGAAGGCCTGGCAAGTACCAATCTGCTTCTCAGGCTGTCAGTGGGCCAATACTTGTCTGCCCCTTTAAGTCCCTGATGCAAGTTAGTTAGAAGCTTGGCCACCAAGTAGCCACTGGAAGAGTCTATCATATACCTCTTTTGGGAAGAAACAGGGAGTTGCAATTTTAAAGCCCCTCCTCTGCTGTTCCTTTGTGCCCATGTATAAGCACCACTTTTTTTCCTGTGTTCTAGAGAGAGATGCATATACCAGTCCCCTCTGCTTCCAGAGCTAGGAGGTTTAGGATGCAGTTCTTCAGGTGAAAGCTGTGAAAGTTGGGGCACTTGAAGTATGGCCAATCTCCTTTCAGGCCTGGAATTATCACTGAAGTGAGCCAGGTGGGGGTTGGGCAGAGGGGATGTTGAAGGCCTGAGAGGTACTGATCTGCTTCTCAGGCTGCCAGTAAGCTAATACTTGTTTGCCCCCTTAGCTCCCCAATGTAAGTTAATTAGAAGCCAGGCTACCAAGTAGCCACTGAAAGAGTATGTCTTAAGTCCCTTCCAGGAAGAGACAGGAGACTATGTTTTTTAAGCCTCCTATCTGCACTGCTCCTAGAGAATAAAGCTTGTGGAAGTGCTTACGTACCTGCATAAAACCACCGCCTTTTCCCTGTGGTCTAGAGAGACTCATGTGTGTCTCCTACCCTCCATTCTCAGAGTTAGAAACTTGAGAACTAATCCATAGGGAACTTTAGAATTAGGGCTCTATATGTGAGAGCCCTACAGTTTGTGCAAGATGCACAAATCATAAAAAAATGTAGATAAGTGGGACTTCAACAAAATTCTAAATGTTTTTCATAATATGCTATTAAAGAAATACATAGATAAGCCATAGAATAGGAGAATATGTTCTCAAAATATGTATCTAACAAAGTACTTGAATTTAGAATAGATTTTTAAAAACTATTACATCATAAGAAGATAAATAATCAAATTTTAAAATGGGCAACAGATTTGAGCAGATAATTCACAAAAGTAGATATAAGGATGGTTAAGAAACACACAGATATACGTTCAACTTTATTGGTAATCAAATAGAAATTAAAACCAAAATGAAACAGTGCTATAAATTAACTAGAATGCCTAAAAGTCATTTTAAAATGACAAGACTAAATGTTGGAGACTTTATGTAGTAACAAGAGCTGTCATACACTGCTGGAGGTAAAAATAACTTTGGAAAAAGGCCAGTTTCTTAATGAATAAGTAAAAATAAAACACATACACACACATACATACACACACACATACATAAGGCAACCTTTTCACTCCTGGGAATTTACTGAAGAGAAATATTCATATCAGCTTTACTCATAATAGCAAAAAACAGGAAACAACCCAAATATCCATCAGCAAGTGGCTGGATAAATATAATGTATATTTATTCAATAGCATATTACTCTACATCGAGAAGAAACACAATAAACTAATAATATAAGGAACAACTTAAGATAATCTCAAAAACAGGCTGAGGAAAAGAAGCCAGATACAAAAGGATATATATTGTTTCCATTTCAATAAAATTCTAGAAAAGAGAAAAGGAAACTATAGTGACAGAAAAATGGTTAGTGGTTGCCTGGAACCAGGTGCTGGGAGTTGGGAAATTAAGGGGAATTAGCTGGGATGAGAGAAAAAAACTTTTGAGGCTGAAGGAATGTTCTATTTTTAGGTTTTGGTAGATTTTACTTCGGTGTCAAGTCTCTTTAAATTGTACAATGTAAATGGATACATTTTGTTTTATACAGATTATATCTCAATAAAGTTGAATTTTAAAAAGATAAAAATCTGTGAATAGATCTGACCTCATTTTTTCATTTACTTGGTACCTAACTTTTCATAAAGTTTGTAATCAGTCATTCAATGTTAAAAGAGAGGAGGAGGATTCTGGGAATCACCCTGCATATAGAATCCACTGACCCTGTGCAAGGCTATGATTGTTCTAGAGTGGATTCATGAGTGACCCTTTAATATGAGAACAATCCAAATTTAGAACCAAAGACATATCATTTGGGAAATATTTTGGTAGGAATGAAATGGTGGCAAGTATTAAGAAAATAACCTAGACTTAATTATTGTAAGTTTTTATTATTCTTGTCCTACTGTCTAGTGTCTCCAAAGCTACTTGAGATAAGATAGTGTGATGGATGAAAGTAAAAGCATTTAGCTTATGAAAGTTATAATCATATGCTGGCAAGGTTGTGGACAAAAGGGAAGACTTATACACTATTGGAGTGAGTGTAAATTAGTTGAACCATTGTGGCAAGCAGTATGGTGATTCCTCAAAGAGCTAAAAGCATAACTACCATTCAACCCAGCAAGTCCCATTACTGGGTATATACACCGAGGAACAGAAATCATTCTACCATAAATTCACATTGATGCGAATGTTTATTCCAGCAGCACTATTCACAATAGCAAAGACATGGAATCAACCTAAATACCCACCAATGACAGATTGGATAAAGAAATTGTAGTACATATACCCCATGGAATTACTATGCAGTCATTAAAAAGAATGAGGTAATGTCTTTTGCAAGAACATGGATGGAGGTGGAGGCCATTATCCTTAGCAAACTCACACAGGAACTGAAAGCCAAGTACTTCATGTTCTTATAAGTGGGAGCTGAATGATGAGAACTCACGAATGCAAAGACGGGAACAACAGATATTGGGATCTACTTGAGGGTGAAAGATGGGAGAAAGGAGAGCAGAGGAAAAAATAACCATTGGGTACTAGCCTTAATACCTGGGTGATGAAACAATACATACAACAAACCCCAGTAACATGAATTTACCTATGTAACAAACCTTCACATGTATGTCCTAACCTAAAATAAAGCCTAAACAAAAGTTATAATCATAGTTATTTGGAAACTAAAGGAGATTTGAAGCAACAAACTATAAATTTTTAAATAGACTTTATTTTTGGAGCAGTTTTAGGTTCATAGCAAAATTAAAAGGCAAGTATAGCAATTTTCCATATACCACCTACCTTATGCATATGCATAGCCTCCTCTATTATTAACATACCCAACCAGAGTGGTGTATTTGTTAGAATGGATGAATCTACATTGACATATTATTACCACCCAAAGTCCACAGTTTACATTGGCATTCATCTTTGGTGTTGTGTAGGTTTGGACAAATATGTAACTACATGTATTCAGCACTATAGTATCATACAGATGTTTTCACTGTTCTTCCTATTCATTTCTCCCTTTCCTCAAACCCCTGGCAATCACTGATCTTTTTACTGTCTCCATGATTTCACCTTTTCTAGAATGTCATATAGTCATATAATTGGAATCATACAATATATAATCTTTTCAGATTGGCTTCTTTCACTTAGTAACACAGATTGAATTTCTTTGAAGCTTTCATGTCTTATCATGGCTTGGTAGCTCATTTCTTCTTGGTGCGGAATAATATTCCATTGTCTAACAGTTTATCCATTCACCTACTGAAGGCTATCTTGGTTGCTTTCACATTTTGGCAATTATGAATAAAGCTGCTATAAATATCCATGTACAGGTTTCTGTGTGGACATCTCATTTGGGAAATACAAAAGAGCACAATTGCTGGATCTTATGGCAAGAATATGTTCAGTTTTGTAGAAAGATTACAAATTGTCTTCCAAAGTGGTTGTATTATTTTACATTCCTACCAGCAATAAATGAGAGTTTCTGGTGCTCCATGACCTCATTAGCATTTGTTGTTGTCACTGTTCTGGATTTTGGCTATTCTAATAGGTTTGTAGCGGTTGCTCATCGTCATTTTAATTTGTATTTCCCTGATGAGATACAATGTGCCACATTTTTTCATATGTTTATTTGCCATTTGTATATCTTCTTTGATGAGGTGTTTGTTAAGGTCTTTGGACCGATATTCAACTGGGCTGTTTATGTTGAATTTTAAGAGTTCTTTGTACATTTTGGATAACAGGCCCTTATCACCTATATTTTCTGCAAGTACTTTTCTCACCATCTATGGATTGTTTTTTTATATTCTTGAGAGTGTCTTTCACAGAGAAGACATTTAAAATTTTAATTTTAAAAGTTCAGGTTATCGATTCTTTCATTCATGGATTGTACCTTTTGTGTTACATCTAAAAAGTCATTGTCAAACCCAAGGTCATCTAGATTTTCTCCTGTGCTATCTTCTAGGAGTTTAATGGTTTTGTGTTTTACATTCAGTGTATGATCCATTTTAAGTTAATTTTTTTGAGAGGTATAAGATTTGTCATTAGATTTATTAATTAATTTATTTTTGCATATGACAGTCCAGTAGTTCCAGAGCCATTTGTTGAAAGGCTATCTTTGTTCTATTGTATCGCTTTAAATTATTTTCAAAAAGTAAATGATATTACATTTTTATTGCACTCTGCCAATCACTATGGCAAAAATATTATTAGCTAGTGCTTTTACCCCTCAGTGAAAAAAATACCTCATGTCTGAGGTCAAGGATGACTAGTTCCCCAGCTGTCAATATTCAGGCAGACAATTGATCTTCTCATTTTATTTAATCTTAGTAGTCATTTCCTGTTCCCTAGCCCCAACACTACTTAGAAAAACTAAATGTGTCCACTGTCATCAGTGCTTAGTGTAAGTGTAATATGACATGAATCAAAGACCCTTCAGGCCAAAGTAGAGACTGGTAATTTGTTATTGAAGAACAGAGGCTTTTCTGAAATTTCCTTTAGTTCAGGCAGATCACTATGAATTAACTAAGTAAGAGGGCAGCAGGTGCTCTGATTAAATTTACAGTCACTGGCAGCAGATAGAAAAGTAGTTTTAAAACAGTATGCAGCTGTGTGGACACCTGTAATTGCAGCCACACACTCCCAGACATGATGCAGTTGGGGAGGGTGGGCCAGTGCTCTCTTACTGTGCTTCAAGCAGCTCTGGTTGCAAGTGACCAGAGAAGTGATTTCTGAACAGACTGTGGGGAGTGTGTTCCCTGAAATGACAGATAATCTTCCAAAATTCAGGTTGTAGGAAACCTTCCTGAGTTGTTAGGGACATGGTAGTGTCCTTGGAACCATTTCCCAAGAAAAAGAAGAGTCTCCACCGGTCTATTATTTATGTCTTCTTTGTTCCCCTTCTAACAGCTGAAATTAAATTTTGAGGTCATCATTTTTGAAGTCAGTTTTGGTAATACATGTCAATCTGTGATTGCCTTTACAGAGTAATGATGTTTTGTTAAAGTGCAATTTGTTTATTATACATATTTTCTTATGAAGAATACAATTTCCATCTACAAGAGCAGGAGTTACATTTTCATAGTTCTAAAAACTGTCCTTGGCATGTATCTTCCCTGGGTTTTTATCCATCTCTTCCCCTATCTTTATCTTTCCTGACATTAATAGGAAATTGTAATTTTCTCTAAGCACTAGGGCAATTTGCAGTAAGAATTGTGTCCTTTCTTTCTCCTTCCTTCCCGCTCATTTTTTTCTTTTTCTTTCTTCCCCCTCCTCCCCTCCCCTCCCCTCCCTTTCCCTTCCTTTCTTTTTCCCTTCTTTCTTTTTCCCTTCTTTCTTTTTCTTTTTAAAATTTTTATATCAGTCCACACATGATCTTTGGCAACTTAGACTACACTCATTAAAAAAAAGATAAATTATAATTTTAAAATATAGAACTAAAATAAAATTCAATAGTCAAAACTAGAGGAAACAATAAAGAAGAATAAATGAGCATAGATATTGCTCTACTTGAAACTTATATTTACCCAAATCATATTGAATATAAAGAGTCCTGATGGTTTTGTGGCAGAACAAATCATCTATCAATAAGTTTTGCATTTTTTCTCTTTTGCACACGGTAGGTTATTTTAGTTAGGAAAGCCACTGAGAACTTGTATTAATATTCTCTGTTTGGGGATATGATACTAGTGAGGCAGTGGATGCGGTTCCTGTCTAGTCTACAAATTTTTCTCTATTCAGTAAGGATAGATTATGCCTCTAACTCTAGCCAACCACCTCATAAATCTAAGATGGAAGGGTAGGATGTTAGACCTGGAAAGGACCTTAGGGTTCAACTCATCTGACAATGCTTTGCCATTGGTCATAGGAAAGAAAACTGAGTTTGGATAAATGTGGGTCTGTCTGTCAGCACTAGTGAGGAAGAAGAAAAAAAAAAACCTGACAAAGCCTGTGATGACTGATGGTCTGGCAGCACCAGCGTCTTCATATATACATGAGAGCAGGCTTTCATTATTTGTTAATTAAATTTCTAAAGTGCGGTAATTACCAGCCTCCCTCTCGCCCCCAGTACCTGAAACAGTCTTCTTTTTTTTTTTTTTTTTTTTTTTTTTAGGCAGAGTCTCACTCAACAGTCTTCTTTTAAAATAGAAATATTCATCAAAATAATATTATTTTTAATAGGAATTTTTTTTCTTTTCTTTTTCTTTTCTTTTTCTTTTTCTTTCTTTTCTTTTTTTATTTTATTATTATTATACTTTAAGTTTTAGGGTACATGTGCACAATGTGCAGGTTAGTTATATATGTATACGTGTGCCATGCTGGTGTGCTGCACCCATTAACTCGTCATTTAGCATAAGGTATATCTCCTAAAGCTATCCCTCCCCGCTCCCCCCACCCCACAACAGTCCCCAGAGTGTGATGTTCCCCTTCCTGTGTCCATGTGTTCTCATTGTTCAATTCCCACCTATGAGTGAGAATATGCGGTGTTTGGTTTTTTGTTCTTGCAATAGTTTACTGAGAATGATGATTTCCAATTTCATCCATGTCCCTACAAAGAATATGAACTCATCATTTTTTATGGCTGCATAGTATTCCATGGTGTATATGCTCTCCTCAGCAAATGTAAAAGATCAGACATTATAACAAACTGTCTCTTAGACCACAGTGCTATCAAACTAGAGCTCAGGATTAAGAAACTCACTCAAAACTGCTCAACTACATGGAAACTGAACAACCTGCTCCTGAATAACTACTGGGTACATAACGAAATGAAGGCAGAAATAAAGATGTTCTTTGAAACCAACGAGAGCAAAGACACAACATACCAGAATCTCTGGGACACATTCAAAGCAGTGTGTAGAGGGAAATGTATAGCACTAAATGCCCACAAGAGAAAGCAGGAAAGATCCAAAATTGACACCCTAACATCACAATTAAAAGAACTAGAAAAGAAAGAGCAAACACATTCAAAAGCTAGCAGAAGGCAAGAAATAACTAAAATCAGAGCAGAACTGAAGGAAATAGAGACACAAAAAACCCTTCAAAAAATTAATGAATCCAGGAGCTGGTTTTTTGAAAGGATCAACAAAATTGATAGACTGCTAGCAAGACTAACAAAGAAGAAAAGAGAGAAGAATCAAGTAGATGCAATAAAAAATGATAAAGGGGATATCACCACCGATCCCACAGAAATCCAAACTACCATCAGAGAATACTACAAACACCTCTACGCAAATAAACTAGAAAATCTAGAAGAAATGGATAAATTCCTTGACACCTACACCCTCCCAAGACTAAACCAGGAAGCAGTTGAATCTCTGAATAGACCAATAACAGGCTCTGAAATTATGTCAATAATCAATAGCTTACCAACCAAAAAGAGTCCAGGACCAGATGGATTCACAGCCGAATTCCACCAGAGGTACAAGGAGGAGCTGGTAACATTCCTTCTGAAACTATTCCAATCAATAGAAAAAGAGGGAATCCTCCCTAACTCATTTTATGAGGCCAGCATCATCCTGATACCAAAGCCAGACAGAGACACAACCAAAAAAGAGAATTTTAGATCAATATCCTTGATGAACATTGATGCAAAAATCCTCAATAAAATACTGGCAAACCGAATCCAGCAGCACATCAAAAAGCTTATCCACCATGATCAAGTGGGCTTCATCCCTGGGATGCAAGGCTGGTTCAATATACGCAAATCAATAAATGTAATCCAGTATGTAAACAGAACCAAAGACAAAAACCACATGATTATCTCAATAGATGCAGAAAAGGCCTTTGACACAATTCAACAACCCTTCATGCTAAAAACTCTCAATAAGTTAGGTATTGATGGGACATATCTCAAAATAATAAGAGCTATCTATGACAAACCCACAGCCAATATCATACTGAATGGGCAAAAACTGGAAGCATTCCCTTTGAAAACTAGCACAAGACAGGGATGCCCTCTCTCACCACTCCTATTCAACATAGTGTTGGAAGTTCTGGCCAGGGCAATTAGGCAGGAGAAGGAAATAAAGGGTATTAAATTAGGAAAAGAGGAAGTCAAATTGTCCCTGTTTGCAGATGACATGATTGTATATCTAGAAAACCCCATTGTCTCAGCTCAAAATCTCCTTAAGCTGATAAGCAACTTCAGCAAAGTCTCAGGATACAAAATCAATGTACAAAAATCACAAGCATTCTTTACTAGGAATTAACTTTTAACCAAGAAGAGCACATTCACTACCAAACATTATGAAAAATTTCTGAAAGATTTAAAAAATGTGGTACTACCTGAAAGTATGATATATCTTTATATGGCCTATTTGCAAATAGGCTTAACTTCCATGCAAACATCTGTTTAAGTGAGCATATTAAACTATCCCATAAAATATGTGATGTGTGTGTATATGACATTCTATGCAATGAATATAAAATATATGAGAATTGTATGTCAAAGGCCACTTAGTGAATAACTGTATAATCAGCATAAATAACATTTAGTAAATCATTATTTGCTTTATTACTAGACTAACATAGCCTGTGGGAAGAATAGAGTGTCAAAGAAATATGGCTTTGTGAAATTTTTGTGCTTGTCTTCAGGATAGTCATACGTCAGTAATGAGTATTCAAGGGAAATTCAGTTTACAATATATATACATAGAAAAATAATATCTCAAGAGGATTTCAAATAACCTGTAGACAGAAGACTGATGACTTCTTCATGGTAATGAAGTACTTACATATATAAAACAGACTAAATGTCTGACAATTTATTTTGTAAAATATATGCTGGAATAGAGATGTAGCAGAATTGGCTATAAATCATTCTAAATCACACCAAAAGTAAGAGCCTTTATTTACTGAGATCCTAGCAGTTGCCTCTGTTGCCCCATGTCATGTGACATTCCTTTCTGAGCCTCCAATTTCAGCTAAGAGGTACAGTGGATTTTTAAGTGCCCCAACAAAGTTCTACCAAGCATTCACCATCTAACCTTCTGGATTCTGACCCAGAGACTTTTCTATAGTTGCAGGAGTGTGTAAACCCAGCCTGGAAGCTTGAGAAATTTAGTGCCCTCATGACAGTCCTCAATCACTGGTGAGGTCAGCTGGTACAAATGCTCCAGCCTCCTCTTCCCTGGGCTGACAATCCCGGAAAGTCAGTTCACTTCCTGGGAAGAACTGCTGAAACTGAGCCCTCATTCCCTCCCAGGCAATCCCAATGTTACACGTTATTGGCGGCTTTTCCACTTTTCTGCGCTCTTCTCCTTCCCTTACTCCTGCTTTAGCGCTCACCCACAAATACATTACTTTTCTCAGGCTCTGCTTTTTGGGAAACCCAAACCAAAGCGATCACCAATAAGAGAGTTCCTTTCCTTAACATGTACAGTAAGAATTTGTGAGATTTAAGTGTATTTGTACATAGCATGAGGACAATTTGGGGGGTTAGGAGACTGATGCTCTAGTCCTCAGTGACTATTAGCATTGCTTGATCTGGGCTATAGTTTCTTTAACTATAACATGAGAGAGAGGGAGAAATAGATTCACAGCTCTTAAGGAATAATGACACAAGTGTAGCCCATGTAATGCAGTTTAATCTACCCGAATCAGCTGCACAGTGTTTGATTTTTTTCTCCTATTGAGCTGTGAGACATACCTTACCCAGGAGGTGAGCTTCAGAACCATTGGTGGAATCTATACTTGTTGGTTTTGTTTGTTATTTTATTTAAATAATACAGGCTGCACATGATAAAAGTAAAATTAAACAATAGGGCTGTGAAAGATAACAATTCCTGTCCTGCTCCTTCCCATCTCTAGTCTATTTCCCATAAATGATCTATCTTAACTGCTTCTGTTTTTTTGTGTGTCCCTTGGGTTACCTCAATAATTTTAAATAAAATGCAAACATGGATTTCTTAGTTTAAAAAATAACTCTCCAGTATAAAATGGGATAATTTTACTCCTTTAAAGTACTCTGAGTCTCCACCCACCTTATTGTGATAGATGTTACGTTTTCTGTTTAGTTTTTTAATGATCACATTTATAATTTCATGTAATGTACTCTACTTCTTGCTCAATAAATTCTGATATTTCTTCATTCTCCACACCGTAAAATGAGTATATTACCCCCTTCTACCTCTCGTCCCATGTATAATCTGCCATCTTCTACATTATCAAAGTGATAAATGTTTGCATTTTAATCTGTGACTGTAATTATGTCTTATGTGCTTTGGCTATATACTGTAAAAATTAAAAAAGAACAGTATTTATGTTGCTCTATCAATGTAAATTCTGCTCATGGCATAGCCAAATAGTGTTAGGATTATATTTTCTTCTCCCTGAGTACAGAATCATAACCCTGGTCTTCCTGTGGCATCGCTAATTCACCGAGTGTTAAGTCAGTCCAATCGTCTCTCTTTTAAAGTAGTTAATTCTGATAGCTAATACTGGTTACTGCTGGGGAAAATGAGTGCCTACATAAAAATATTTTATAGTCAACTAGGCACTCCCAGCAAATAGATGGTGAAAAACAGTAGGAGGAATTTTGTGGTTTTCAAAGCAAAGCTTGCATTTTCTATTAGGATCTAAGTCCAAACTAATTTTTCTAGGCTTACCTAATAGTAGTCTTCTATATGCTTCCTCCTCCTACCTTTGAGTTTAGTTTGCTATTCTTTTCTTGGATTCTTATGGTGCAAGTTTAGATTATTGGTTTGAGATACTTTTCTTTTCAAACATAAACATTCAATGCTATAAATTGTCCTCTAATCAATGTTTTAGTAGTATTCCAAAAATTTTGATAGGTTGTATTTTCATTCAGTTTACAATTTTTATAAATTCTATTGAGATTGCCTCTTGGATCCATGGGTTAAGTGTGTGGATCAATTTTCAAATATTAGAGATTTTCCAAATAACTTTGTTATTTATTTCTAATTTAATTCGACTGTGGCCTGAGAATATACTTTATATGGTTTATACTTTAAAAAATTCTATTGAAGTTAAAGAAAGTATTTTGTATTTCAACCCTTTTAAATTGATTGAGACTAAATCATGTGCACATAAAAAGAATGTATATTCTGCTATTGCTCCTTGTAGTGTTCTGTAAATGTCGGTTAGGTGAAATTGATTGATATAAGTCTTCTGTTTTCTTGCTGATTTTCTTCAGTACTCTCAATTATCAACGTGGAATGGTGAATTCAACTATTATTTTGCATTATCTATTTCTCTCTTAAATTCATTCAGTTCATGAGTGTATTTGTGTGTATATTCTGTTCACTATTTTAAGTACATATATTTATAATTGTTATAACTTCCTCATTAATATTTTCATTACTTTAAAGTGACCCTCTTTGTCTCTAGTAATATTTTGGCCTTAAAGTTTATTTTTTCTGATATTTATGTGGCCATTTCATTTATCTATGTTTACTATTTGCACAGTATAAATGTTTTCATCATTTTATGTTCAACTTATTTGTGTATTTGAATCCAAAGTGTATCTTAATAATTTTCCTAGGAATTATAATACGCATCTTTATTTCTTATAATGTCTTGCAATGAAAACTAATTGAATCAAGTAAAACATAGAAAGTTTGATCCAATATAGCTCTATTTCTTCTCCTTTCATTGTGATATTATTGTCACACATATTATATTTAACACAGTATAAGCCCCAAAATACAGATTTATAATTTTTAATGCTATTGACTTTTAAATAACTAAGAGAAGAAAACAAAAAAAGGTATATCTATGCAGTATTTTACAATTACCTTCCTGTATAATTACATATTCAGTTGCTCTCTGTTTCCTTATGTGGATTGAAGTAACCATCTGATCTCATTGTCTTTCAGCCTGGAGTAATTTTTTAGTATTTCTGGAAAGCAGGTCTGAAAGCAACATATTACCTCAGTCTTTCTTTCTTTGGGAATTTCTCTGTTTCACCTTCATTTTTGACGTGTAGTTTGCCGATAGAGATATCTTGGTTGACAGGTTTTTTTGTTTTTTTTTTCAGAAATATATATATTTTTTATTATACTTTAAGTTCTAGGGTACATGTGCACAACATGGAGGTTTGTTACATATGTATACATGTGCCATGTTGGTGTACTACATCCATTAACTCGTCATTTACATTAGGTATTTCTCCTAATGCTATCCCTCCCCCCTCCCCTTACCCCATGACAGACCCTGGTGTGTGATGTTCCACGCCCCGTGTCCAAGGGTTCTCATTGTTCAATTCCCACCTATGAGCGAGAACATGCAGTGTTTGGTTTTTTGTCCTTGTGACAGTTTACTGAGAATGATGGTTTCCAGCTTCATCCATGTCCCTACAAAGGACATGAACTCATGTCCTTTTTTATGGCTGCTTGATATTCCATGGTGTATATGTGCCACATTTTCTTAATCCAGTCTATCATTGACGGATATTTGGGTTGGTTCCAAGTCTTTGCTATTGTGAATAGTGCCGCAATAAACATACGTGTGCATGTGTCTTTATAGCAGCATGATTTATAATCCTTTGGGTATATACCCAGTAATGGCATGGCTGGGTCAAATGGTATTTCTAGTTCTAGATCTCTGGGGAATCGCCACACTGTCTTCCACAATAGTTGAACTAGTTTACTGTCCCACCAGCAGTGTAAAAGTGTTCCTATTTCTCCATATCCTCTCCAGCACCCGTTGTTTCCTGACTTTTTAATGATCACTATTCTAACTGGTATGAGATGGTATCTCATTGTAGTTTTGATTTGCATTTCTCTGATGGCCAGTGATGATGAGCATTTTTTCATGTGTCTTTTGGCTGCATAAATGTCTTCTTTTGAGAAGTGTCTGTTCATATCCTTTGCCCACTTTTTGATGGGGTTGTTTGTTTTTTTCTTGTAAATTTGTTTGAGTTCTTTGTAGATTCTCGATATTAGCCCTTTGTCAGATGAGTAGATTGCAAAAATTTTCTCCCATTCTGTAGGTTGCCTGTTCACTCTGATGGTAGTTTCTTTTGCTGTGCAGAAGCTCTTTAGTTTAATTAGATCCCATTTGTCAATTTTGGCTTTTGTTGCCATTGCTTTTGGTGTTTTAGACATGAAGCCCTTGCTCATGCCTATGTCCTGAATGGTATTGCCTAGGTTTTCTTCTAGAGTTTTTATGGTTTTAGGTCCAAGATTTAAGTCTTTAATCCATCTTGAATTGATTTTTGTATAAGGTGTAAGGAAGGGATCCAGTTTCAGCTTTCTACTTATGGCTAGCCAGTTTTGCCAGCACCATTTATTAAATAGGGAATCCTTTCCCCATTTCTTGTTTTTTGTCAGGTTTGTCAAAGATCAGATGGTTGTAGATGTGTGGTATTATTTCTGAGGGTTCTGTTCTGTTCCATTGGTGTATATTTCTGTTTTGGTACCAGTACCATGCTGTTTTGGTTACTGTAGACTTGTAGTATAGTTTGAAGTCAGGTAATGTGATGCCTCCAGCTTTGTTCTTTTGGCTTAGGACTGACTTGGCGATGCAGGCTCTTTTTTGGTTCCATATGAACTTTAAAGTAGTTTTTTCCAATCCTGTGAAGAAAGTCATTGGTAGCTTGATGGGGATGGCATTGAATCTATAAATTACCTTGGGCAGTATGGCCATTTTCATGATATTGATTCTTGCCATCCACAAGCATGGAATGTTCTTCCACTTGTTTGTTTCCTCTTTTCTTTCATTGAGCAGTGGTTTGTAGTTCTCCTTGAAGAGGTTCTTCACATCCCTTGTAAGTTGGATTCCTAGGTATTTTATTCTCTTTGAAGCAATTGTGAATGGGAGTTCGCTCATGATTTGGCTCTCTATTTGTCTGTTATTGGTGTATAACAATGCTTGTGATTTTTGCATATTGATTTTGTACCCCGAGACTGCTGAAGTTGCTTAAGCTTAAGGAGATTTTGGGTTGAGACAATGGGGTTTTCTAGATATACAATCATGTCATCTGCAAACAGGGAGAATTTGACTTCCTCTTTTCCTAATTGAATACCCTTCATTTCCTTCTCCTGCCTGATTGCCCTGGCCAGAACTTCCAACACTATGTTGAATAGGAGTGTTGAGAGAGGGCATCCCTGTCTTGTGCCAGTTTTCAAAGGGAATGCTTCTAGTTTTTGCCCATTCAGTATGATATTGGCTGTGGGTTTGTCATAAACAGCTCTACACCCTCCCAAGATTAAACCAGGAAGAAGTTGAATCCCTGAATAGACCAATAACAGGCTCTGAAATTGAGGCAATAATTAATAGCCTACCAACCAAAAGTTCAGGACCATACAGATTAACAGCCAAATTCTACCAGAGGTGCAAGGAGGAGCTGGTACCATTTCTTCCGAAACTGTTCCAATCAATAGAAAAAGACGGAATCCTCCCTAACTCATTTTATGAGGCCAGCATCATCCTGATACCAAAGCCTGGCAGAGACACAACAAAAAAAGAGAATTTTAGACCAATATCCCTGATGAACCATCGAAGCAGAAATCCTCAACAAAATACTGGCAAACCAAATCCAGCAGCACATCAGAAAGCTTATCCACCATGATCAAGTGGGCTTCATCCCTGGAATGCAAGGCTGGTTCAACATACACAAATCAATAAACGTAATCCAGCATATAAACAGAACCAAAGACAAAAACCACATGATTATCTCAATAGATGCAGAAAAGGCCTTTGACACAATTCAACAGCCCTTCATGCTAAAAACTCTCAATAAATTAGGTATTGATGGGTTGACAGGTCTTATACACACTTTGTATATGTCTTTCTACTGCCTGCTAGCCTCCATTGCTTCTAATGATAAGACAGTTTTTAATCCTATTTTGGTTTCCTTGTATGCTGACTTATTTTTCTCTTGTTGCTTTCAAGATATTATCTGTATCTGTGACTTTTAACAGTTTGACTAGGTTTTTACCAGGTGTCATCTTTTTATGTTTATCTTCCCTGGGGTTCATTAAGCTTTGGATGTGTAAATTAATGTTTTAAACCAAATATAAAAATTTTTTTTGAATATTTAATCTGTCTCTTTCTTCTCTTTGAGGCTACTGTCATACATATATTGGTATGCTTAGTGGTATTCACAGGTCTCGGGTTCTGTCCATTTCTCTTCATTCTTTTTACTTTTTCTTCTTCAGAATGGATAATTTCTATTTATCTATCTTAAAATTCTCTGATTATTTTTTTGCCAGCTTAAATCTTCTGTTAAGCCAGCCCCTCAAGAAAATTTTTTATTTCAATTATTGTACCTACAACTGTAGAATTGACATTTGGGTCTTTTTTATTTCTGTCTCTTTATTGATATTTTCTATTTGAGAACTTGTCTTTGTTGTATTTTCCTTTAATTCTTTAAATGTGATTCCTTGAGTTTTGGCTTTCACTTTATTCCAGAATTTTTGTGTCTTTACTGTGCACTAAGCCTCACATTCAGCCAGGGAAGAGTAGATAACTAGATTTTTTGGGTGCTGCATCGACTTTTTTTTTTTTTTTTTGAGACGGAGTCTTGCTCTATCACCCAGGCTGGAGTGCAGTGGCATGATCTCAGCTCACTGCAAGCTCCGCCTCCTGGGTTCACGCCATTCTCCTGCCTCAGCCTCCCGAGTAGCTGAGACTACATGTGCCCGCAACCACGCCCTGCTAATTTTTTGTATTTTTAGTAGAGACGGGGTTTCACCGTGTTAGCCAGGATGGCTTCGATCTCCTGACGTCGTGATCCACCCACCTCGGCCTCCAACTGTGAGATAGTGTCAATCAGTTGGACTTGGAGTTTATTTGGCTTTTTAAAACAAACATTCAACAAATAGTGCTGGGACAATTAGATATCTGCATGTAAAAGATGAATTTGGACCACTCATACACACCAGACAAACAAAAAGACCTAACTCAAATTGAATCATAGACAAAAATGTAAAAGCTACAACTGTCAACACTTAGAAGAAAATTTAGGGGTAAGTTTTTATGAACTTGGGCTAAGGGATGATTTCTTAAATATAATACCAAAAGTATATGTAATGAATGGTAAAATTTATAAATTTGACTTCATCAAAATTAAAAATCTTTACACTTCCAGAGACTATCAAGAAAATGAAAAGACCATGCCATAAATTGGGAGAAAATATTTGTAAATCATATATCTGATAAAGGACTTGTACCCAGGATAAATTCAAATTCCTTATAACTTAATAAGGAAACAACCTCATATAAAAATGGGAAAGAGATTTAAATAGGCATTTCACCAAAGAAAATATACAAAAGGCCAGTAAGCACATAAAGAGATACTCAACATAATTAATCAGTAGGGAAATGCAAATCAAAACTATGAAGACATATTTTTTTGCACACTAGAATGGCTTTAATTAGACAAAAAATAAGTGTTGGCAAGGATATGATGAAACTGCAACCATTATACATTGCTGGTAGGTAGGTAATGCAGAGCAACCAGTAAATAAAACATTCAATATGACCTGAATGTTGCCTCTTAGCCGCAGAAACAGTCCTGTCCCAACTGCTCCTTTTTGTGTCTACTCCTGTCTCTTTCAATCCATAATCAGTAATCTTTTATTATATAAAAACACACTTCTGATGATAGTGTCCTCCTTCAAGTTAAAGCTTTTCAGTTTTTTTTCCATTGCCCTGAAGATAATGAATAAAATTCTTAAGTGTTTTACAAGGATTTGTAAGATCAGGCCTCTACCTGCTTTTTGTCTTCCGTAAGTTGTCTTCTAGTTCTTTCTGCTGCAGCTTCCTTTCCTTCCAGTTTCTCAAACATGCTTCTTCCCAACTCAATCCTTTACATGTTATGTGTCCTCTGACTTAAATAACTTCTCTACCCCAGTGAAGTACCTCTTTTACTATTTTCTTATTTCTGCTTAATATTCAGTTCTTCAGGAGAACTCTAATGATGCCATGCATACTAATTTGACTATAGCCTTCACCTTCTTTATCAGTTTTGACTTTAGACTTATTTGTGTAATTTATTTTATGTATCTCAACCATTAGGCTGAGGATAGAGGCTATGTCTGGTTTTGATCACCATTGTATTTATAATACTGAGATGAGTGCTTCCCACATAGGTATTCAATCAGGATTTGTTGCATAAATGAGTCTCTTCAGAGAAGTCCTATATCTCACTCAACATGTCTTAAGCAGAATTAATATAATCTGTCTTTATGATCCCAAATAGTAAGTACCTATTAGATGATTTTGGTAATTCAGAACCTGCCAATAAAGAAAAGCTTCAGTTTTGGCATACAGTTCATTTAAACATTTTAGCCATTAAAATTTTAGCCAGACAGTTTGGGAATTTATTGGGCATCAGTATAATTCAGAAGATATTTCTAGTGCAGTGATGGCTCTTGATTCTCTGAGGTCTGTAAATGTGAAAGTTCTTGCCTGAGTCAGAATACACTAAGTTATGCTGCAATAACAAATTCACCCCAGAATGTCAATCACCTAACACTAAAAAATTTATTTCTCACTCACGCTACATATTTAATGCAGCTTGGTGGAAGGTTCTCTGTTCCATATGGTTCCTCTGAGAAACCCAGATTGATTGAAGAGATTCTGCCATCTGGAACTCTACCAGTGGCTATGGGAGAAGGAGAGAATATGTTAGAAACTAACACCTACTCTTCCATGCTTTGACTTAGGAGTGACACTCATCCTTTCTGCTCATAGCTTATTGGCTAAATCTGGTCATGAGTCATGTAATTGCTAGATGACTAGAAATCTTAGAGAGCACATGGATATTTGGTGAACAGTAAATGTCTCTTCCATAGTATTGATTCTGAAAGTAAATTATTCACTGATCCTTAAATTGAGATGTTTCAAGTAAATATTTAAGCAAAGTACAACTGAATACATACATTTTTGTGCACATCTGCTCTATGTGCCTGTTTGTGTAATGACCCTGACTGATTCTCTAGCTCATTCTTTCCTCCCAGTGCAAGAGTCTTAAGTGTAGCTAAAACTAAGTTCCAAGTTTAAGTCTTCAAAGTTTTGCCTGAGATGTTTGAAGAGACATATTAGAGTAATCATAATGTTATCAATTGTTTGATATCTTGTATTATATTTTCCTGAATTTTCTTATTGAGACATTCTCAAAAATTCTTTTGATGATTCTTAATTTGTGGTTTTTACTTCTATACTCTTGAATGTTTTATTGCTTTGAGATTGTACTGCTATTTTAGTTTTTCATTTTCTATGAATTTTCATTTTGTTTTTTATTCTGTAAGTATTGTGCCAAGGTTGGAGGGTTGTTGAGCAAAGCCAAAGTTACAGGTAACTAGATAGTAGTCTGTTTTGTCCTATGTGATGTCTCCATAATATGGCTTCCTTATTTTAGCTGTGTGACCTTGAAAATTTTCTTAATTTCTCTGAAAAATTTCTTAACTTTCTAAACTTCTAAGCTTCAACTTCCTTTTCTGTAAAATGTGATTTATGATAACTTTCCTAAGGTTTTGTTTTTTAAACAGATATCAATAACGTACATAAAATATGTAATGCAATGCTTAGCACATAATAGACACTAAATAAATATCATTTTCCTATTATCATATGGTTAATTCAAAGTGTGTGGTCATCCTGAAGAACTGGGCTGGAATCCATGCACCATCACTTAGGAAGTGGATAAAAAGGGCAAGTTATTTGATGTTTATAAAAGTCATTTGGGAGCAAAGTTGAATTTTCTTTTCTTTAAAGAAGCAACAAGCAAGACATTTCAGGATATCCAGACTTTGTTTGCCATTCAAAACAATATTATGTAACATTCCGGTATTTCTATCCTAGTTTTAGCCCTCTGCTTATGGGAAGTCACCTAGCTCTTATTGTGCCACCGATTCTTTAGATGTTGGGGACATTTAAGAGTTTTGCCTGAAACAGGTCACTGCTTTTAAGAAGGGTCTACTGGCCCATTTGTAACGTTTCCTAGGTCAGAATTAAATGGCAGTGATGACCACAGATCACTCATTTTCCTCATTTGAAACAGGTTTAGTGAGCAAGTGTCTCTAGGATTTTTAATAATAATCTTAAACCACAAAATTTGGCTTTTTCTCAGCAGAGATTTTTTTCCCCCACAGAAAATGTGCAAGCTTTAAACATCCCATTTGCAATAAAGAAATTGAAAATGTATCCCTCAAATAAAGGTGTATATCTTAGTGTGGCTTTTCTTAGAACAAAACACCAGTCACAGATTATTAAGTTCATTTGTTTTGCATGAGGAATGAAGCAGCATTAGTTGTAAGGTGAGGACAAAGGCCTTTATGGTTGTCAAAGAGGGAGACCTATGGGCAAGTTCCTTAAGTTCTTTAAGCCTCAGTTTTCTTACTTGTAAAATGAAGATAATGATAGTCACATTGTGTGGAGTCAATATGATAATGAGAGAAAAACTCTTCTCTGGTGCCTGGCACGTAGTAGATAATCACTAAATGTTGGTTAACTTTTATTAGAAGTAATTGTAGTTAAAAAACATTATATATATAGAGTATATATTATATATATAGTACATAGGTTTTTAATGCAATATCATAGTATATAGGCTATTTGATGCAGTATGTCTTATAATCTTTTTTTTAGATCAATTCATTCATTTTTTAAGAAATTTTTTTTGTTTTTTATTTTATACTTTTAAGTTTTAGGGTACATGTGCACATTGTGCAGGTTAGTTACATATGTATACATGTGCCATGCTGGTGCACTGCACCAACTAACTCGTCATCTAGCATTAGGTATATCTCCTGATGCTATCCCTCCCACCTCCGACCACCCCACAACAATCCCCAGAGTGTGATATTCCCCTTCCTGTGTCCATGTGATCTCATTGTTCAGTTCCCACCTATGAGTGAGAATATGCGGTGTTTGGTTTTTTGTTCTTGTGATAGTTTACTGAGAATGATGATTTCCAATTTCATCCATGTCCCTACAAAGGACATGAACTCATCATTTTTTATGGCTGCATAGTATTCCATGGTATATATGTGCCACATTTTCTTAATCCAGTCTATCATTTTTGGACATTTGGGTTGGTTCCAAGTCTTTGCTATTGTGAATAATGCCGCAATAAACATACGGGTGCATGTGTCTTTATAGCAGCATGATTTATAGTCCTTTGGGTATATACCCAGTAATGGGATGGCTGGGTCAAATGGTATTTCCAGTTCTAGATTCCTGAGGAATCGCCACACTGACTTCCATAATGGTTGAACTAGTTTACAGTCCCACCAACAGTGTAAAAGTGTTCCTATTTCTCCACATGCTCTCCAGCACCTGTTGTTTCCTGACTTTTTAATGATTGCCATTCTAACTGGTGTGAGATGGTATCTCATTGTGGTTTTGATTTGCATTTCTCTGATGGCCAGTGATGATGAGCATTTTTTCATGTGTTTTTTGGCTGCATAAATGTCTTCTTTTGAGAAGTGTCTGTTCATGTCCTTTGCCCACTTTTTGATGAGGTTGTTTGTTTTTTTCTTGTAAATTTGTTTCAGTTCATTGTAGATTCTGGATATTAGCCCTTTGTCAGATGAGTAGGTTGCAAAAATTTTCTCCCATTTTGTAGGTTGCCTGTTCACTCTGACGGTAGTTTCTTTTGCTGTGCAGAAGCTCTTTAGTTTAATTAGATACCATTTGTCAATTTTGTCTTTTGTTGCCATTGCTTTTGGTGTTTTAGACATGAAGTCCTTGCCCATGCCTATAGATGCGGAAAAAGCCTTTGACAAAATTCAACAACACTTCATGCTAAAAACTCTCAATAAATTAGGTATTGTTGGGACGTATTTCAAAATAATAAGAGCTATCTATGACAAACCCACAGCCAATATCATACTGAATGGGCAAAAACTAGAAGCATTCCCTTTGAAAACTGGCACAAGACAGGGATGCCCTCTCTCAACACTCCTATTCAACATAGTGTTGGAAGTTCTGGCCAGGGCAATTAGGCAGGTGAAGGAAATAAAGGGTATTCAATTAGGAAAAGAGGAAGTCAAATTGTCCCTGTTTGCAGACGACATGATTGTACATCTAGAAAAACCCATTGTCTCAGCCCAAAATCTTAAGCTGATAAGCAACTTCAGCAAAGTCTCAGGATACAAAATCAATGTACAAAAATCACAAGCATTCTTATACACCAACAACAGACAAACAGAGAGCCAAATCATGAGTGAACTCCCATTCACAATTGCTTCAAAGAGAATAAAATACCTAGGAATCCAGCTTACAAGGGATGTGAAGAACCTCTTCAAGGAGAACTACAAACCACTGCTCAAGGAAATAAAAGAGGATACAAACAAATGGAAGAACATTCCATGCTCATGGGTAGGAAGAATCAATATCGTGAAAATGGCCATACTGCCCAAGGTAATTTACAGATTCAATGCCATCCCCATTAAGCTACCAATGACTTTCTTCACAGAATTGGAAAAAACTACTTTAAAGTTCATATGGAACCAAAAAAGAGCCCGCATCGCCAAGTCAATCCTCAGCCAAAAGAACAAAGCTGGAGGCATCACACTACCTGACTTCAAACTATACTACAAGGCTACAGTCACCAAAACAGCATGGTACTGGTACCAAAACAGAGATATAGATCAATGGAACAGAACAGAGCCCTCAGAAATAATGCCGCATATCTACAACTATCTGATCTTTGACAAACCTCAGAAAAACAAGCAATGGGGAAAGGATTCCCTATTTAATAAATGGTGTTGGGAAAACTGGCTAGCCATATGTAGAAAGCTGAAACTGGATCCCTTCCTTACACCTTATACAAAAATCAATTCAAGATGGATTAAAGACTTAAACGTTAGACCTAAAACCATAAAAACCCTAGAAGAAAACCTAGGCATTACCATTCATAATCTCAAAACTGTAAATGTCATATTATTTTTCTGAGCTACTTAAAAGTTGATGACCTACTCTGGAAATTTACTGTAAACCAACAGGTGGTGTTAGTGGTAGCTATATCCTATATAACATACATATCATATATAGTATATATATTATATATAATATATATTATAATATAGTCTATATTATATATATTACATATTATATATTATAATATAGTCTATATTATAATATATTATATATAATATATAATATAATAATATAGACTATATTATAATATATAATATATATTATAGTCTATCTTATATGTTATATATTATAATATAGTCTATAATATAGACTATAATATATAACATATATTGTAATATAGACTATATTATAATATGTAACATATTATAGACTATATTATAATATATAATATATAATAAGACTATATTATAATATATAATATATAATAGACTATCTTATATATAACATATTATAATATCTTATATATTATAATATAGTCTATATTATAATATGTTACATATTATAATATAGTCTATATTATAATATATGTTATATATTATAGTCTATATTATATATTATATATTATAATATAGTCTATATTAGATTATATATGATGTATAGTATATATAATATATAATATATAATATATAATATATTATATGTATTATATATGATATGTTATATATAATAATTATATAATATAATATATTATATATCATATGTAATAATTATATAATATATATTATATATCATATATAATAATTATTAAATATATGTTATATATCATATATAATAATTATATAATATATGTTATATATCATATATAATAATTATATAATATATTATATAACATGTAATAATTATATAAGATATTATATATCATACATAATAATTATATAATATATATTATATATCATATTTAATTATATAATATATATTATATATCATATATATTATATAATATAATATATCATATGTAATTATATAATAGAATATATCATATGTAATTATATAATAGAATATATCATATGTAATTATATAATAGAATATATCATATGTAATTATATAATAGAATATATCATATGTAATTATATAATATAATATATGTAATTATATAATATAATATATCATATGTAATTATATATATAATTATATAATATATCATATAAAATATATTATGTATTATATACTTCTAATATATTATTGTATAATTATATATTATATATAATTATATATTATATAATATGTAATTATAATTATATAATATATATAATATGATATAATAAATAATTATAATTATATATTACAATTATATATAAATATTTCATATAATATAAATAAATTATATCCAGTATTATATATATTCTATTACACATTATATAATAGAATATATATTAAATTATATATAATATATACTATAATATATATATAATATAATATATACTATACATCATATGATGTATAGTATATATAATATACTATATATTATATATAATGTATGTCATGTATATCATGCATATTATGTATTATATATAATATATAATATATATTTTATAATACAGACTATATATTATAGACTATATTATATTTAATATGTATTATTTATACTATATATTATAAATAATATATATTATAAATATATATTATATAGAATATATAGTATAAATGATATATATAATATATAATATATTATATATTATATATAATATATGGACTATTATAGTCCATATTATATATAATATAGTATATATACCATATTATATATATTATATATATTAAATATATATATAAAATATATATATTATATATAATATGGTATATATACTATATTATATATAATATGTATATAAAATATATATATAAAATATATATATTATATATACTATGGTATATATACTATATTATATATAATATATATATAAAATATATATATTATATATACTATAGTATATATTATGTAGACTAGAATATATATATTATATATGATATATTATAATATAGACTATAATTTTATGTATATTATATGATATATTATAATATAGACTATAATTTTATGTATATTATATGATATATTATAATATAGACTATAATTTTATGTATATTATATGATATATTATAATATAGACTATAATATTATATATATTACATAAGATATATTATAGTAAGACTATAATATATATGATATAATATAGATTATAAGATATATATTATACATAATATATTATAATATAGACTATAATATTATATATTATATATTATATATTATAATATAGACTATAATGTTATATATTATGTATGATATATTACATAGACTATAATATTATATATATTATAGATGATATAATGTAGACTATAATATATATAATATGATATATTATAATATAGACTATATTATATATAATATATATAATATATAATACAGACCATATATTATAGAATATATAATATAGACTATATATTATAGAATATATATAGACTATATATTTTAGAATATATAATATAGACTATATATTGTGTGATATATATATTATACATGATATAGCTACCACTAATACCACCTGTTGGTTTACAGTAAATTTCCAGGGTAGGTCATCAATTTTTAAGTAGCTCAGAAAAACAATACGACATTTACAGTTTTAAGATTATGAGACATAATGCATTAAATAATTATGTACTTATTTTCTGATCTCACAGTAGTTGAATTATAAAGGGTTGACTGTATATGTTTTGATGATATGTTTGTCATCATGAAAACTCATACAGGTGTGTCATACAAGTATGACAAGTAATATTTAAAAGTTATTGCATAATGTGTGATTTTATTAAATGATGAAATTATTTTTGGAATTCATGTATTAGCATAAATTATATACTTAATAAAAAAGAAGTGATATTGCCACTGCTTCAAAATTGTATTCAGAGCCTATTTGTAAGCTACCTAAGAATTCTCTTAATTTTTACAGATATATCTCATTCTTTGAGCAAAAATATTTAAGTTTGACTTTTAGATGTTTTCAGAATTTTTAAATAAAATATTGAATATTCTGAGGAAGTCTCAGGATGTTTCAAAAGTTGTTTTTGGAGAAGTAAAATTATCAAATAGTCTTAAGCTGAATTTTTTTGAAACAAAAAATTGCCACATTTCAGTGTATTAATTTTGGTGTGTATAAATGTACACATGTATAACAAGTTTTATAGTTAATGTACTAAGATGACATTTTATGCTTTATGTACAGTTGATGTATTTTGATAAAAGAGAGAAGCTTTCCTTTCAGACTTCTGTTAGCAGGATTTAAAATATTAATTTTTACTCTTAACTCAGGTTTGATACAAATAATAAATGAGCAAAAAGAATAAATGATCTTAAGAAATTATTTCTATCTGACATGAATTATTATTCCTGAATTTCTTGAATCTTTTAGCACTCTTCTGTATGTTACAAATTTATATCCAAGTTCTTATTCCTGTTGATGAGATATGAATATTATATATTCCTCAGTGATACACCCGAAATAAGCTATTAAACAAGCCATAACACCAATAAAACATTTACTCTTCTTTCTAAATAAAGAATAAATAACCAGTACTGATAATCCTAATTTTGGAGACGTGGTTTTAAATAAATTTTACTCATCCTGCTTTATACTAGAGGAGAAAAAGTTGATGTCATATGGACTTCATTAGATTTCAGTGAATTTTTTTATTTATGACTTCCTCAGATGCGGTATTTTCCCTTCATAGCAGCTACTATCGCAGAAATTGTTTCTGAAAGTAGATACTAAAAAAGATCTATGGATTTCTTTTTAACTAAGATTAAAATGAACCATAGATATATATATGTGCTAGATATATATAAAATATCAACAGCCAATTATTTAACCATATCTAACTTAGGCATCTTTTTTTAAAAAAATAAGAAACCATCCCAATTTGACATCATATAGTATTGAAATATCTGTCCTTTAAGAGAAATATTCAAGATGGGGGATTAAGGGGTGGGAGCAGATTTGATTTTACATCATTTTTTCCATGTGAATATTCTTCTTTTGGCTTACAAATCACTGAAGACAGATTAAGTCATCTGTACACTGTTTCAGAAAGATATTTCCTCTCTTCTGTTTCCTATTTACAATTCCACTGAGTTCATAAAATGGTCAGATGCTACAGAGCCATGAACAAACTACAGTGCTTTTAATAGAGCCATTCATCTGCTCCTTTTGAAGGTTAGTGCTTTCTCTCAAGGGAGGGTTCTCAGATAATAAGAGGAAAATGAATGCCAGTTGAGCACCTGTAATCAAATAACTCTTAATTCCCTCAACTCTTGTCAGATATTGAGCTCCTCATATTGTTTCATAGGTGAGCATTTTATAGATCCCCGTGGTGTAATGCAGTTAGTTTCCTTTCCTGCTTCCCTTCCTCTTTCCTGTTCTCTAGCCACCATCCATCATGACTGGGTAAATCCTGTCAGACAGAAAGTCCCAGTCGTTCAAACAGTCAGATACTGCGCCAGCCTGGTCTACACTTGCACCTGTCACTTCCCGGCATTCAGCTTGTGAGGAAGGGAGCCAAAAGAACATTTATCGAATGGATGCGGGCAACATGCCTAGCATGTCAACAGGCATGTGGCCTCAGCCGTGGGTCTGGTAGGATAGGATGCTACTGGTCCTGAAAAGATTCACAGTCTGCCCCGCCCCCGTTCCCCGAAGAAGGACTGATCTATGTAAAATGCTTGCTGCTTCAAACCTAGAGAAAACCGTAATTTAGTCCGGACTCTCAAAGACCCAACCTGTCACATGTAACAAAACAAGAGCGGTACGAAGCTCTGAGCTTGAGTCAGCTGGTCCATAACTCATCTTGCTATAAAGTCTGCAGAGGGAATTTGTAGAATGGGGTGAAGTGTTCCGTTTCATTTGTATTGTATCGCTTGGGATCTGAGATGAATTCAGGATGCAGCCACAGACATGCTTGGAATTTCATTGATTTTCTTGTATTAGTTGGAACTTAGATATGCTTTATGGTTTTTGTAACCTTAACTTTTATTGAATATTTTTCAGGCGTAACACATGGAAACTAATGGTGTTCTACAATTGCTGAAGCAAGTGTAACACTAAAGGTATTGCCTTTTAGTTCTTTATCAAAATAAATTTTACTCTGAAAAATCCAGTCAGGGAGATATGCAAAAATACAAATCTAAGAATTATAGCATTGTAATGAAGATAATGCTTAAACTTTATTCCAAAACTATGTACAATGAGAAAACTCATTTATCAGTTATGGAAAAAATTAATGTTAGTCTTGAAAATATCTACCTTACTGATTTGTTACATGGACAAGTTACAACATTCCCATCAGAAATATGTTTCCTGTTTTCCTGTTTTTGTCCACTCTGGGCAAGAGAATCAATCTCTCTCTCTCTCTCTCTCCCCCTACCTCCCTCTCTTTCTCCCCCTACCTCCCTCTCTTTCTCCCCCTCTCCCCTCCCTCTCTCTCTCCCCCTCTCCCCTCCCTCTCTCTCTCCCCTCCCTCTCTCTCTCCCCTCCCTCTCTCTCTCTTTCTCCCTCCCTCCCTATCTATCTACCTATCTTACACATATACACACACACGCACATATACACACACACACACACACAGTTACTAAGGGCCAGGTACTGTACTAAGCTCTAGATTAAGACAGTGAATGAAAAAGATTCCATATCTGTGCTTCTTGCACTTATGGTCAGGTGTTTTCTTAAGTATACTTACCAATGATGGAAAAAGATACACACACACACACATATGCACACTCACTGTTCTCCATACTATTCTCTGCCATGAGAGCAATGCATATATTTTACTGTAATTTCTTTCATAGAGACCCTCACACCTACATTCTGACATTAATATGCAGTTTATTCTCCTGGTGGACCTGGTATTAATTCTTTGGTAAAACACATAAGGCAATAATATCTTTGCTGTACACGTCCTCTGTATGTTACATACTCTTTATTTCATCACATTTTCCTGGCATGCTCACTTCTTGTTTCAAGGCCCTCTTTGATCTGTGTTTTGTTTTTTGCATTTGTTTAAAGAACTAAGGCTTTGTCATTTAATTGCAAAGAAAGACATTAATTCTTTCAGAACATTAAAAAATGCTAGATAACCATTGATAGATTCTTACTGCTGCTTTGTGTCTCTAATCCAATGTTTTAGAATTTTTTATTACTCATGAACCATACGATAAGCATATAAATATTTTCCCTCTCTGTGAAAGACACAGCTGGACATTTACCCAGTAGATATTTCCTCCATGTTACTTGCAGACAGATAACTGCTTTTGTTCACCATTTTGAGTGTTCATGTGAGTCTAGAGAAATAGCTACAGGGGACAGTCTTTATTGGTCCTAGCTGATCAGTGGCTGTCTTTGCCACAACAATTCATTGCTCAAGGCGTGATCACGTGGGATGATTCTGGCCAATGAAAAAGTCTGGAAAGATTGTCCTCATTTCTAAAAGAGATAAATGAGGGGGTTATTTCTTTTTCTTCGTCTTGACATTGTTATCTGCATGTGGTACCTGGAACTGAAATAGCCATCTGAGGACCTTTAAGTGAACAAGCCTAAAAGAAGTCAAAACTCTGGGGAGCTAAAGAAGACATAGAATCGATGTCTTTGGAAATGTATTTGCTTTTCCAGCCTTAGAATTACCCCACAACCATGTATTTAGCTATGTGAGGTAATACACATACTTACCCTTTGCTTTCTATATTTTCTGTTACGTGTAGCCAAAATATATCTTACTGTACACACCTGTCTTTAAAGAGTTCAAAATATAATGAATGTCATGACTAACGTCAAATAAACCTAATTTTGAACTTGAAATATATATATATATTCATAAATATGTATTCATATATATATGCTTAAACATATATATATACATATATATATGTATATATATGTTTACTTTGATCACACAGTTCTATCAGTGTAAGAACTGAGACTATTTGCTTGCCATGAGCGTTTTCTTCCTGGGTTGTGTGGAAGGTAAACAAGATAGATCACTTTCAATAACACATCTGTGTTCTTTTTTGTTTCCCACTACATGTGTACTACTTTCTATACTCTTCTAGCTCCTGTCCTCTTGGAGAATTATAGCTCTAATATCAGGGATCCAGATCTGTTGTTTCTAGCTAGCCCTGTGGTGATTAGATGAATGCTTTCAACTTCCTTCGATAGGAAATCACATTCCCCTAGGAATCGAGCTGAAAACAGGATTTTCATGTTCATCTCCCAAACACTCAACACATATACCTCTTAACTGAACCTATGTAAGCTGATAGCTTGTGGTGATCACCTTTCCCACCATACAGAAGGACCGAGTAATGAAGCCAAATCAAACAAGCTGGTATCAAGATGGGGAGTCACAGAGTTCTGTGGATATTTTTGAGCTCATAAATTCATCTGTCTCTAAAGCTCAGTCTACTCATTAGATTTTTTCCAGTTACATAGGCTGAGCTACAGTTATTGTGATAGGCAGAATAATGACTCCTCAAATATGTTCACACCTTAGTTCCCAGATCTGTGAACATATTACATTTTATGGCAAAAGGGACATTGCAAATGTAATTAAGATTAAGCACTTTAAAATAGGGAGATTGTCCTGGGTTTTATTTGTGGAAATAATCTCAATCACATGATTGATCCCTTAAAAGCAGAGAACCTTCTCTGACTAGAGTCAGAAGGATTCACACAGCAGAAGGGGCAAGTTAGATTACAAGCATGTGAGAAGGACTTATGACACAATTCCTGAGATGCAGTGACATGCACACAACTCCTTTAGACATAAAGGGTAACCCCTAAATAACAGCCAGCAAAAAAACAGGAACATCAGTTCTACAACTGCAATGAATGTTCTGCCAACAACAGCCTGACTCAACCCCAATACGACTCTTCTCCAGACTCTCCTAACCAAAGCCTAGTTGGCTGACCACTTGATTTTGGCCTTGTGAAATCTACAATAGAGAAACCAGTCAAGACAACCTACCTTTTTCTGACCTACAGAAATGTGAGATAGGAAATCTGTTTTGCAGCTGAGTATGGTGACTCATACCTGTAATCCCAGGACTTTGGGAGTCCGAGGGAGGAGGATCACTTGAGGCCAGGAGTTTGAGACCAGCCTGGCCAACATGGTGAAACCCTCTCTACTGAAAATATGGCACGTGCGTGTAGCCCAGCTACGTGGGAGGCTGAGGCATGAGAATCACTTGAAGCTGGGAGGTAGAGGTTACAGTGAGCTGAGATTGCACCACTGCACTCCAGCCTGGGTGACAGAGCAAGACTCTGTCTCAAAAAAAAAAAAAAAAAAAATATATATATATATATATATATAAATATATCAGACATGGTGGTGCCAACCTATAGTCCCACCTACTTGGGAGGCTGAGGCAGGAGGATCACATGAGCCCAGGAGTTCGAAGCTATAGTGAACCAGGATTGTGCCACTGCACTCCAGCCTGTGCTACAGAGCAAGACCAGTCTCTAAAATAAATAAATAAAATAAAATTTTTAAGAAAGTAAATCTGTATTGCTTTAAACTGCTAAATTTGTGGTAATCTGTCACAGCAGCAAAAGAAAACTAATATAGCTACTGAGAAGGATTTTGGGCTCTCTAAAACAAAAGTGTCTTGATGAAAATAACGGTATGTTTTGGCCCAAATATTATTGCAATGAAGATGTACTGAATTTTCTTTTGAGTATAAAGTAACCATGGTCTTGGAGAAAAATAAATTTTATTCTTAAATATATTTGGGTTTTTAGAATGTTGTGGTTAGTTTTTGTTTGCCTCTTGATGGCAGAAAAGCAAATAGCTTGAGAACAAGATCAAGGCCCTGGGTTGAAAATAAGTGAACTCCATTGAGGGCAGAAATAGAAAAAAATAATACATTTGGAGCACTGGTTTGACAATGGAACTGCTGCAGGAATGACTGAGCACATTAATAGGTCAGAGGCGAGTTAATCAGAAGAGACTTACAGGCTCACACACGATGCCTGAGCAGGTGAAAGGCCTGAGGAAAAGAAGGTTGATGAAAAGGGATTGGGCAGAACCAAAGGAAGACAAGACCTCTCAGCCTGATTAGGTGGCTTTGGAGGGAAGATTTTAAACATTGAAGTAAGGGATAAAAATGAAACTCTAGGAAACTGGATTTGTAACCCCAAAGCTGAAAGAAATAAGATCCTGGGAGAAAATTCCAGCTATGTCAAGTTAGCTTTAAATGTAGCAAAACAAAGTGTTGCCAACCAGGGAAGCCCACCTGAGCTTTGGGGTTAGTCACATAGACACACAGCTACTCAGGCTGTGGCCCTTCAGAGCAAGACTAGGTATTCACCATAAGTCACATAAACCATCTCATCAAACTGATACTTCTCGGTCCAAAGCCTCAAGCATACAAAAGCATGGTTATAAGGTAGAATATTCCAAGGGCTTGGAGATCATCTCCCAGGAGATCATCTGGCCAGGCCTTTCTTGGAAATGTGGAGCATTTGAGCAACCCAAGCCTGCTAGGTTAGCTCTTTTCTGCAGAGGGCCCTTGCAATTGTGGATCAGGGATCTTGGTTTATAAGGGCCTATGAAGTTATACTAAGAGTGATGGGACACTTTATAAGCAAATTCACCAACATGCTGTGATGGCATCAGGAGACACTGCAGCAAGATCTCTCTCTAAGGGAGCCACATACTAACAGAGGAAGTTCCTTTCTGTACAGAGAAAAAGTGTGCTCCATGGGGCCATAGCCTCTGCCCAGGCTGGAGTCCATAATCCTGACTCTTACCACCAGCCCAGAGCTCAGTTTCTCAAATGCCTCAGATGCCTATGCAAACCCATGCAACAGCCTTAAAAGTCGTGGGAACTTCCTTATCTCTCAGTACTTCCTCTCCTTTTTCATGTAGTGACTCACATAGAATTTGATAATATTTCAAACACGCTGAACAGAAAAGGCCACTCTCAGTCCAAGGAGACCAATTTAAGGTCCTCCAGATGCCTCATCCCAGCCTAGCCAGCCAGGGGCTGAGAGAATTCTTAAGTTATGTTTCTGCTAAATATTAGCAGGTTCAGAAGCTATAGCATGTTCTGAGGTTTGCCTCCTATTACTTGATATGCTAAGTCCTATCCCATGAAGAAAAATCACTTATTCTTTCTCTAAACTATGTCCCTTTTTAGCAAACTCATCTTATCTTCCTCGCCAAAGAAGAAAATTCAATTTTTCCCCCATTAGAAAACAATATTTTCCTGCCACTAGATTGATTAAAGAAGTAGTAGATTCCATCTTTGGAATATCCATTCCCCTGGAAAAATTACACAGGCAGAGGTGGGGGATAGAAATAGGCTAAATTGACTTTACTTTGGGGGATTCACGAAGGGTCATGTGTTTATCTTTGTTCAGAATTAATACTGGGACTACAGCAATATAAGAACCTATTTCTACCATCTTCAAGGAGTTCATATTCTATTGAGGGTGTTGAGGGATAGGAGAAGATAAACAGTTAAAATAAGATATAATGAGTGCTTCTACAGTAGTGACCAAAGGCCAGAGAACCCGGACTGTGACATTCGAGGACAGGAGGAGAAGAAGGTGTCTTGTTTTAGAAGGGAGAGAGAGTGGAAGAAAGAAAGCCAAGCAAGCTACATGTCCCCCTTCTGTCTGCTTTGTTCAAGCCAAGCCTCCAGCTGGATGGATGGTGCCTGGCCACATTGAGAGCAGATCTTCCTCTCCCAGTCCACTGACTCACATTCATGCAGGGCAGGCAAGCCCCAAGTTGGGGCTTAGTGTGAGAGGGTTCTTTGCTTCACCCAGGAAAGAATTCAAGGTTGCAATGGTAGAAGCAAACAGTTTCATTGAAGTGGCAGTGTTACAGCTCCAGCAGTGTTATAGCTCAGGCAGTGTTACAGCTCCAGGACTGCACCTGCAGAGCACGGCTATCCCATAGACAGTGTGCTGACAGCAGCAGCTCAGGGCAGTTCTGCAGTCATATTTATACCTACTTTTAATTGTATGCAGATTAAGGGGCAGTTTATGAAGAACTTTTAGGAAACAGGTAATAACTTCTAGGACATCGGGTCATTGACATGGAAAAAGGTGGTAACTCCCAGGGGTTGCCTGGGCAATGGTAAACTGACATGGCACACTGGTGGGCGTGTCTTTTGGAAAGCTGCTTCTGCCCCATTCCTGTCTTAGCTAGTCCTCACTTTGGTCTGGTGTCTGAGCCCCGGTTATGGAGTCAAGTTCTGCCTCCTACCTCAGCACGTCAGACTCTCCTGGCAATATCCTCACAGACACACCCAGAAACGATGCTTTACCAGACATTTTAAGTATCCCTCACTCCTATCAAGCTGACTCCTAATATTAGCCATCACAGATAGTAAGCACAAAACTATTGTATGGGAGGAAAGATATCTACCTTTTCTTTGTCTAAAACAGCAAATTACATTGCACACAGTTAACAAGTTACTTTGGATTCCCTTTCTAGTCCTAGGCTTTGGAGTCTTAACAGCTTGAAAAATATAAGGCTGAGGCATCTTTGAAGATATTTACTGTCTATATGCAGTAAAGAGTCACTTACACTACAGCAACCCAGGACCCTACCCAGCTGAGGAGGAATGCAGCTGTGACCATGATTTATAAGCCTTCCTCCACTTCTCCAAAGCAGCATTCAAAGTTCTGCTCTCAAATTTAGCCTCCTTCAAGTCCAACATGTGTTGGAGCTATTTGCATAGAATGACAAGAGTGGGAAAAGTCAGAAGAAAATGCTGGAATATTATCTCTGGGCTGGCATGCATTTCTAAGTTACAGAGATATATGTGCAAAAATGTGCCTTTTAAAATGTCTCTAACTTAATTTAGTTCCTGAGGCCATTTTAGCTGATGATAGAAAACATAATTTTGTCAATTCAGGGTAAGCTTAAGCTTATTCAAACTTATTTAAACATGCATTTAAACTCAGTCAATTCTTCATTTTTAGAATATTTTGCAGAGCTTCTATTAGCAACTTCATATTTTTTCCCCTTTTTTTTCCTTCTGTCTGTGGTGAGCTCTAAGTTCAGAAAGGAGAGTGGAAGGGGCTTAGACTTAGTGGAGGGGCTGCTCCTAATCACCCTTGGAATCCTTGGACATCTGTTAAGATGTAGCTCACTTCTTTTGTTTCTTATTTTCCTGCTGTAATTCCCACTACTCAATTCTGAGGTTCACACGTTCTGCATTTTACTGATTGATAGCTCAAAATAATATTCTATTAAAAGCAGTATAGATCAAATAAATTAATTTGCCATTGTGACTTCACCCTTCATTTTATGGGATTCCTTCTCACTCCATTGTCAACTCTAGGCCATTTAGCAATGTATCCCCATGAGCACTGAAACACTCATTCTTGACTGCCTGTATGATATTTCAGTGCCCTCTCTTTTCCAAACCCAGCAGCTGCAGATCTGTAGATTGGAAATACATTGATCCTACTTTCAACCAGGGAAATGGTGGAAAGCATTCCGAGTGAAGACTGTGGTTAGGATGTTCTGGGAGCACAGTCTAGTGTATACAGAGTAGCTTCTGCACTCTGAGTGAAAGCCCTCTAACCTTGCCTCACCGTGTGTTCTTATATTAGAAATTTCTTTTGTCTCTAAGGCATCCAGATGCTCACCATATTGAAGCTCAGCAAACTGCAGCAAATCATGCACCACATAACATTTTGGTCAACAATGGACCACGTATACTATGGTGGTCCTATAAGACCATAATGAAGCTTAAAAATTCCTATCACCTAGTGATGTCATAGCTGTTGGATGTCGTAATGCAACACATTACTCACATGTTAGTGGTGATGCTGGTGTAAACAAGCTTACTGTACTGCCAGTTGTATAGAAGTATAGCACATACAATTATGTACAGCACATAATGCATGATAATGACAAACGACTATGTTAGTGGTTTATATATTTACTTTTTATTTAGAGTAAATTCATTCTACTTACAAAAAGTAAAGTTAACTGTAAAACAGCCTCAGGAAGTTCCTTCAGAAGGTATTGCAGAAGAAGGCACTGTCATCATATGTGAGGACAGCTCATGTGTGTTATTGCCCCTGAAGACCTTTTTTTTAGTGGGACAAGATGAGGTGGAAGATAGTGATATTGATGATTCTATAGGCCTAGACTAATGTGTGTGTTGGTGTCTTAGTTTTTAATAAAAAAGTTTAAAAACTGAAAAAAATAAGGGTAGAGAAAAGCTTATAGATAGAAGGATAGAAAAATAAGGATAGAAAGAAGCTTAGTTCTAAAGAAATAAAATATTTTTGTACACCTGTACAATATATTTTAAGCTAAATGTTATTACCAGAGTCAAAAGTCAAAAAGTTTTAAAAAATTAAAAAGTTTATAAAGTAAGAAAAAGTTTTAAAACATTTAAAGAGTTTATAAAGTAAGAAAGTTATAGTGAGCTAAGGTTACTTTGTTTTTGAAGAAATAATTTTAAAAATTAGTGTAACCGGATTGTACTATACAGTATTTATAAAGTCTGTGGTAGTGCACAGTGAAGTCCCAGACCTTCACATTCACTTACCACCCACTCAGTGACTCACTGAGAGCAACTTCTAGTCCTTCAAGCTTCATTCATGTTAAGGGCCTATGGAGATGTACCATTTTTTATCTTTTATACCATATTTTTACTGTACCTTTTCTATGTTTAGATATACAGATACCATCGTGTTATAATTGCCTACAGTATTCAGTACAGGAACATGCTGTGTAGCAGCGGTTCCCAAGCTTTCTGGCACCAGGGACAAGTTTTATGGAAGATAGTTTTCCCATGCGGTGGGGTGGGGATGGTTTTGGGATAAAACTGTTCCACCTCATATCATCAGGCATTAGATTCCCATAAAAAGTGTGCAACCTGGATCCCTTGCATGCACAGTTCACAATAGGGTTTGCCCTCCTGTGAGAATCTAATGCTGCCACTGATCTGACAGGAGGCAGAGCTCAGGCAGTAATGCTCGCTTGTCCACGGCTCACGTCCCTCTGTGCAGCCTCATTCCTAACAGGCCAAGGACCAGTACTGCTCTGAAGCCTGGGGGTTGGAGACCCTAGAGTACAGCCTATGTGTGTAGTAGGCTGCACCATCTAGGTTTGTGCAAGTACACTTTATGATATTTACACAATAATGAAATGGCCTAACAAGTTTTCAGAACGTATTACCATCATTAAGCAACACATGAATGTACTTACAGCATAAGAGATGAGTAACACAGCTACCATTAGGAAGTTAATAGAACGTGTGGAAAATTAATAGCATGGTAACAGTTTTGTGATTGTGCACTAATAGCAATGCAAGTTGTAATTATACATCCAATGTGTGTGCGTGTGTGTGTGTGTGTGTGTGACAAACCAAAATGAATGGGACATGCATTTAAAGGAATTATTCTGAGCAGAAGCTTTCATAAATTTAAGCTAAATTACAAGCTACATGTGCCTAGGCCTTTGAGTGACTCCTCTGGCTATTATATTGCTTTGCTATGTTGGGTACAGGACAGATAGGTAGGATCTGTTTCTAAATGTGCTTTTCTTCACCTAGACCAGGGGTTTTCAAACTTGTTTTGTAAAAGGCCAAACAATAACTAATTTTAGGCTTTGTGAGCCATAATGCCTCTCTGACAACTACTCAATCTGGCCTTTGTAGCACGAAATCAGTCATAGACAATATGTAAATAAATGAGCATGACTATGCTCCCATAAAACTTTATTTACAAGAACAGAGAGCTGGATTTGGCCCAAGAATCATTGTTCGCAGGCTCCTTTCCTAGGCTTGAAAACAAAATCCCAGTTTTTGTCCCGCCCGGTGTGTTTGGGGAAAATGTACCCATGAACAACACCTCTCACTTCTTTATTTTTATTTTTTATTTTACTTTAAGTTCTGAGATGCATGTGCAGAATGTGCAGGTTTGTTACAAAGGTATACGTGTGCCATGAACACCTCTCCCTTATTAAGGCCAGGTTGCATCCCTCTTATTCCACTCTGTAATCCACACACATAATGTTCAGTACAGAGAAGGCATTTTAGTTGTTTTTTGAAAATGATGAGCTTTCTTCTCCGTACATCTGTACAAATGAGGACACATTTCTTGTCTCTTCTTGGCAAATGTCTGTGGTCAAGGGCAAATCTGAGACATATGGACTCCTTCCCAGTGAAGAGGTAACACACAGTGGTATTGACAGCAAGAACATTCCCTATGAAACAGACCAGATTCTAAACATGACACATATTCAAACACTCTATTTGAGTCTTTTCAAAAGTTGACGTTTTTCAAATATGTGTTCTTTGTAGATAACAAAGTATTTAGCACCTAAGAATTGTTCTGAATAGTGTTATTTCATACTAATTATGTGTTGCCATTTGGTGGCTTCTTTGGGGAGGGAAAACATGATGTCAACTATTGTTTCATTAACCCTAAAGAACTGGCTTATAGCCTCCTCCCAATTTTATTTTCCCAGCTTTTGTTCCCTCTAATTACCATTGTTACTAATAACACCTTAGAGGGCACACAATAATGTATTTCTGGTACATGTATCCATCCTAAAAATATATGTTTGTAAATTTAGTTGCAAACAATTGATTTTGTTGTCATAGTCAATTATCAATGGGACTAAAGGTCCTGAAAGATTGCAAGACATTTAAATTCCAAAAATTTTATTCATAGGAGACACTGATACTTTCCACATGGGGCAAGATGAAAAGTCCTTATTTTCTTCGTTGTGATCCAAATTAAAGCAAAGTTTAATTAAAGTTTCATTAAAGAAAGATCTTTTGTAGTCCTGGGAAGCATCTTTTTCTTTGAGCCAAATATGTTTTAGAACGGCATGCTTTCATCTCAAGTTTTTAATGTTTTGCTGAGGGAAGAAAGGGAATAGATACACCATTAATAAGGTGTGATGTGGCTCAGCCAAGAGTATAAAGCACCAGGTGTTCTATCAATTCTCATCTAGGCTGAATAGACTGCAGTGCAACACCTATAAGCTTTCTTGACTGACAGTCTTTTCACATGTTGCCACCTGAGTGACTTCTAATCGGGCGCTACTCCTCTAATCAGGCTTCCCATTGCATTCTCATCACTTTAACTATTGTTCTTTCACATAAAACCTCTTTGATGCCAATTCTCTTCCCATATTCCTTTCTTTAATATCCCCCTACAACTCCCTCATCCATCTTCTGCAAACAAACACACTCTGCTAGTATTATTCCTCTTGGATACATTACATAACTCTTCTCACTTGCAGCATTTCACGCAATCATTGATTTATCTTTTTTATTTGGCCTCTGACATTATGGTGTTACTACTGGCAAATGAATTTCAGCATTTTGCCTGCAATTAGGTGGGGTTTATATCAAAGGGGTATACAATCAGAAATGATTACAAATAAAGGTTACACATCTTCTTAGCTCAGCTTCCTTGGGAAACAGACCCTAAGACAGAAATGTGCATGCAGAGAGGTTACAGAAGAGTTCCCTGGGAGGCAGCATTTATGAGAACATAAGGGAACCAGGATTGGGCAGAGGGAGAAGTTGAATTGCAAGACAACTGAAACTGAGACTTAAGAAGATCCACAGGGAACTCAGGCACAGAGATGACCCTTTAGAGACATATCTCTTACTTTTCATTGAATGCAGAAGAAGGTCATTTCCTTGGGCAAGGGAGTTCTCTTTGGGGAAGAGTACTTCCTAGCACTTTCCCCATTACTTGAGGACAATACCAACCTCCAGATCTGTCGCACCCCTACCCACTGGCCATTAGGGCTTATAACTTGGGTAAAGTCACTGTATCACCCAGCTAGGATCGTGTGAGCCAAGGGAAAAAAAAAAAAAAAGAGATGATATTCTAAAGGAGCTGCAGGAACTGGCCAGCATGTATAGGAAACAACTCAATTCTGAGGGTCCTTGATTAAGGAGGTCAGATTATAGAATTGCATAGGGGAGAGTTTGTACAGTAGCACTATCCTGAGATACACAAGATACAATATCCTTAGAAAGACCCCAGGAGATAGTTAAGTAACAAGATGGCTCCTAAAAGCATTGGAAATTGATGACTTACATTGCATCATTGAAATGCCAGAATTGTCTTGGCAGGCAGTGGGGTAAGGAGTTCAAAGACTCAAGGAAGTGATTATACTAGAATAGATTCTTGAACAACATGGATTTGAACTGTGTGGGTCCACTTACATGCAATTTTTTTTTCTGCCTCTGCCTCTGCCTCTGCCACTGCTGGGAGAGCAAGACCAACCTCTCTTCTTTCTCCTCTTCCTTAGCCTACTCAATGTGAAGACCATGAGGATATAGAACTTTACGATGATCCACTTTCACTTAATGAATAGTAAATATATTTTTCCATTCCTTTTGATTTTCTGAATAATATTTTCTTTTCTGTAGCTTACTTTCTTATAAGAATACAGTACATAATACATACATAAAATATGTGTTAACTGACTGTTATTGGTAAGGCTTGCAGTCCACAGCAGGCTCTAGTAGTTAAATTATGGGTAGTCAAAATTATGCAAGAATTTTCACTGCACAGTGGTTGGTGCCTCTAATCCCTGAGTTGTTCAAGGGTCAACTGTATTATGTAAAGCTGAAAGTCTCATCAAGTGATTATGTTTCATGGAGAGGTCATAGCAAATGCACTGGTCAGGGGAGCACAAATATCAATAAAAACTCAGTGATGTCTCTCTCCTGTTAGCCAGGGATGACAGTAGGAAAGGCCATTACAGAACATATAGGATACAAACAATAAGGACCAAATGGCAGTGCTTGTATGCAGGAAGCCAATACAACTCAATACAAATGAGTTGCAGGTTTGGAATGACAATCAAGGGGACCTGACTTCTGGAGAACCATGGAGATGCAATTATGGAGATGCATTCCTAAAGGCAAAATATACGGGTAGCCAACTTGAATACTACTCATTTTAAGCCATCTGGAAACAGCAAGAGTGGATGACCCAGAGGTTAGGAACTCTTGTCCTAATAATAATCCATTGTCAGGTTTCTGAATCAAGCTGATTTTCAGACATAGCATCTGAGAAAGGACCCCACGATACAGTGTACACTACAGTGTACACTGTAGTGATCCCTTCAGTCTTTTCATAGTGAGACCTGCATTCATTTACTCAGGTAACTGTACACTGAGAAGGGACATAGCCAAAAGTTTCTACAAGTGTTGGGCATAGAAGCCAAGTTAACACTGAAACCTTATGAAGCAAAGTGTCATCATGGCTCTCCAGCAGAATGGAGACATATGGGAGCCAAGCAATAAAAAAAAGTCTTGACCAACATCTGGATGATAGTGGATCCACTGGGTTGGCTGGCCCATCCATTGGTCATATTCCTAATTTTTGAATATTCAGTTGAGATTGACATACTTCATAACTGGTTCATCCCCCATATTGGATCCTTGGCCTTCAGTACATGAACTTTCATACTGGGAAAGTGCAAATAGAAGCCTCTAAGACTGCATTCTCTTCCCCCAGTCAAAATAATAAATCTAAAACAATATTATGGGGCTGAGCGCAGTGGCTCACACCTATAATTCCAACACTTTGGGAGGCCAAGGCAAGACGATGACTTCAGGCCAGGAGTTTGAGGCTGCAGCAAACTATGATTGCTTCAATATACTCCAGCCTAGGTGACAGAGCAAGATCCCATCTCTTAAAAAGTTAAAACATAAAAAATAAACAATATTGCATTCCAGAGTAAGGGAATGGCTGACGATAGTGTGCTATCATTAAGGATCTAAAGTCCAACAACATTCTAAAATAATGAATATAGTTATTGAACACTAAAAATATGGCTAGTATGACTGAATAATTTTTATATGTTATTTATTTAAATGTAAATCAAAATAGCTACTGGGTGTACTGAGTGGTTATCTTATTGGATAGCATAGATCTAAAGATTTGGAGTGGTGGCCTCCATTTTGTTTCCATTTAAGTTAATGGTTTGGCCACTAAAGAAACATATTGGATACTGAAGGATGCAGGAGGCCAACACAAACCCAGTTAAGTAGCAGCCTTAATTGCAATTGCTTTTCCAGATGTGTTTTTTTTTCCAGCGCCACTTAACATAACCTCAGGTCTATGGTTTAAAATATTACTTTGGTGAATACTTTTATCTACTTTAATCAGAAAGTGAGATTATAATGTGTATTCACATAAAAGGGGCAACAATGTACAATTATGCATTTACTCCAGAGCTATGAAAACTCCCCTGCCTTCTGCCATAATATAATCCAAAGTGATCAGGACCATCTGGATGTCCTGCAAAATACACTGGTTAACTACATCAATGATATTAGGATAACCTGGCCAGCTAAATTGTAATTGGCTAACATACTGAAGAACCTAGCCTTTTTAGCTTGAGAGCTGAGAGAATGTGAATGAAATGTTATAAAGACTCATGGGCCTACCACATCAGTAAAAAATGTGGGAGTTCCGTTGGTCAGGGGCGTGTTGAGATGTCCTCTCCAAAGTAAGAGACAAATTATTACATTATTCATCTCCTACCACAAAGAAGGAAGCACATTATTTGGTGAGCCTCTTTGCATTCTGGAGGGAGAATATTCCTGGAAGTAACTTGGTCATCCTTATAACAGCTGACACCAAATGCTACCAGCTGTAAGTGAGGTCCAGGCTGTGGTGAATTCAGTCCTTTTATCCCTGCCTGAAATGACTCATAGATAAACATTTCTAAAACTAAATATTGAGAATGTTGATGTTTTTGTTTTCTGATTTTTCCATAAACAAATGGAAATTTTCTAGCTTATCTTTCCTTTAAAAAAAATAAGTTAGACTTCCCACAAATGTGATTTTTAAATCTTTTTATAAAACAGGCAAAGCAAGCATAGTACATATAGAAAGAATGAATAAAAAAGGAAAGAAGGAAGTAAAGAAAGAAAGGAAGGGTGGGACGCAAAGAAGGAGAGAACCACCAGAAATTTAAAGTGTAAAAAAACTTTATTTTCTCATTTAAATGTGGGTGTTATTGGGAGGGGGTGAGAAGCTGAGGCTCAGAGAGATTAACAAATTTGCTCAATATTTACACAGAGCTAGCATGCAGTAGGGCTTGGGCTTGAAACCAGATCTATCTCAAGTAAAAGCCTGTGCCCTTAAAGAAGATGCCATGCTGAGTCCTTGATGAAGCATTAAGACTAAATATATCAGCTAATAGACCCTGCTTATAAGTAAGAATTTCAGATTGAGTTAAGAAAAAAGACTTTAATATTAACTGCAATATACTTAACAAAAAGACACTATTTTTAAGTAGTATTGTTCAAAATTCTCTTACAGAGAAAACTATACAACCGGTAATACTAATTTCACATAAAGTGAAATTAAATACAAACATTAAATAGCCACAAAGATTGCCAAACAATGCTATTAAAATTCATACCTCACCATGAAATATAAGAAAACTTTATAGAATATTTGTCAACTAACCAAGCTGTCAAATATATAATACAAACCTGGAATAACAGGAAATAATTGTTAAAATGCAATTATTATAAAATATTGGTGAGATGGGTGTAAACCAAAGAGTATCGGAGACAAGTCTGAATCAATTTAGAAAGTTTATTTCACCAAGGTTAAGGAAGTGCCTGTGACATAGCCTCAGGAGGTCCTGAGGACATGTGCCCAAGGTGATTGCGGTACAGCTTGCTTTTATACATTTTAGGGAGACATAATACATCAACCAATACACGTAAGATTTACATCGGTTTGAACTGGAAGGGCGGGACTTGTTGCCCAGGCTGGTCTTGAACTACTGGGCTCAAGCAATTGGCCAGCCTTGGCCTCCCAAGGTCTTATGACTATACGTGTGAGCCATTGCACCCAACCATGTGTTTTTATGAATACCAGATTTGGTCTGACTTTTGTTTTCCTTGTATCTCTATACCTCACATCAAAATAACTGCGGGGAAGGCCTACGGCACTTACCTATCTCTTTCTGTGAAAGGATATGCTATCTGCCATAAAGAACATGATAAAAGGAAATGAACAAAGTGGCTTTGGTCAGTTCCCAACAGACTATTTATATCCAGAGTGGTCTGGTGTGATACTGCAGTGAGAAATTATATCTCTACTTCTGTAATATTTTTTATAAAAACAAAGTCCAGTAATTTAGAATCAAAGTACTTTTTTACTTGGATGTTGAATGATTTGCACTATCCAGTTCTTTTTTAGAATTACTCATTAGTCACAGGGACATTTTCCAAATTTTTAACACAGTTATTCTATACTTTATGCTATTAGTACAAAGATGATAATATATGTTTAATGTTTAGTGACACTATAATCATATTTTCTCATGTGAATTAAACCTTCTCTTCCAACATATTTCCAAATCTTGTGTTAGTTTCTGATATCCTTAGAAGTTTCCTTAGGTGGCAAATCTAATCCACCTTGTGAAATTTTGAGATCTCAACCATTCAAGTTTGTATGGATATCTGTATTTTGTATATTCCTAATCTTTGTTCCTTGAGTCAGTAGTGATTCCATTTGCTAGTCTACAATTTATGCATTAAAAATAGTATTGGATTAAACTGCAAAGTAAGGTTTTTTTTTTTCATGCTTTTTCTGCATTTAGTCCATGTAAAACACCAGTTGTATCTCATTTTTGTTATACTCAAGTCCCTTGAAGTCTTGTATTTTTGCAACTGTTCATACTAAGCATAGTTTCTTTTTCTAAAATGACCTTGTGAAAGCCATTGTTATGGAGGCATTCTGTGACTAAGATTCCGTTACACGACTGAGCTGGCTGATGGCTGAAGTTTGAGCAGACGCAGCTGGTTGTTGCAGCTGTGGGTCACAGCACGCTACATCAGACCAAATGTTCATTTTGTAGACACTGCCGAAATCTTGCACTGATGGAAGTCCCAGTGACTTTGAACAAAATGTACCCAAGTGCCTCTTCAATGAGCATTCTACAATAGTGAACAAAAACCCAGCACTCGACATTTCTATGCTGTAGAAAGTAGTTATAACTAAAGTTTAAATTGGAAGGTTAAAGCTTGTGCACCAATGTAATAGTCACATCAGACAGGACTACAATCTTCCTTTTCAGAAACTAAAAGGAACTTAACATCTATGTAGAAAAGAATGAGAATCAGATAGGATAAAATTTTATTGCTGTTTATTTTCCAAAAAAAAAAAAAAAAAAAAAAAAAAACTTCTCTGAAGGTCCCCTAACCAATTAGTTTCATCAAAGGATGCAGCAATTATTTTTCCCAATACTCAAATTCCAATGTTTCCTTTTTATGAACACTTTAAGTGACATGTGCTTGAAAAGACACCTGTAAACAGAAATTGTATGTATCCAGCCCAATTTTACCAAACATTTATAACTGTGAAGTTAAGAGAAACAGTTTTCTAGGGTTGTGAAGTTAAAAGTGAAGAGGCAAGCAGAGAAAAGTACAAGCCAAGGCAATGGTCATCTTTTGTCGTGTCTTTTCCTTCTCTAGAGTCTGACAGCATCCTCTTCATCACTCCTATTTTGCTACCTCCATCAAAGAAAGAACAAAGTGTGAACTGAGAGACCCTAGAAAGAGTGTTGAGATGGGTAGAAGGGCATACACCTTCCCAGATGAAAATGTCAAAGGAAACAAATATCTTTCAACATTTCTTCTCTTTCTCTGTGGTGTTTTCTGGGCCAGTTTCCTCTCTGATACCATCTACTTCCTCTATTTCTCTTTGCTTCAGCCACATTTGTCTTCCTGCTTTTTGTTGAATAAATCATGTATATTCCTGCCTCAGGGCCTTTGCCTTGATTTTTTTGCCTAATTGGTCCTCCATATACCTATATAGATTGTCCCCTCAACTCTTTGTTAAGTCTTTGCCAAGAAGTCAGCTTCTCAATGAGACTATCCTGGCCACCCTCTCTTTAATACCACAACATGCTTCCACCCGCGCTCCCTCATATTGCTACCCTTGGAGCCATGTTCTACTCGCCCTCCTTCTGTATGCACACATTGTCTTCAAATTTTGCTTATCTATTATGCCAGTTTTCTTTCTCTACCTATGCATATGTGAGTTTCATGATGGCAAGAACTTTTGTCTGTTTAGATATTTAGCACCTGGATTGTTGCTAAGAACATGGCAGACGCTCAATTTGTAATTGCTAAATGAATTGATAAATGGGATCCAGAGCCTTTCTCCCAATTATCTGTTGATCAAGCATACTTTTCTTGCTGGGTCCAGTGGTTCTAATCATAACTGCACAAAATTCCTGCTTACTTAGTCATCCAAGAGAACAGCACTTTCCCTCATTAAATTTAAAATATCTATAATGTAAAATACATCATAAAATGTTTTCTTATAAACGCTTTTGAAGATATCTGATACAGCATTTATTACTTTAAACTCTAAGTACCTCTATTAATTTTTAATTTTCATTTCTGAATTACTTAACCCCAAACTATTTAGCAAATTCTTATGTACTCTCCTGCAAATTTAAGACATGTTATCATTTTGACATTTTTGCATCATAAAATGGTAAAGTCTCTGGTATATTTCTACATTCCCATTTCAAGCTCTTTTCTCCCCAGTAGCAACTATTGTCCTAAATTTAGAGTTTTTAAAAAATATCTTAAAAGGATTCTATACTTTCACTACATAGGTAGCCATAAAAATATATAGTATTTATAGTTACCATTTTTATATGTACTGTCACCTGGTACATAATCTTTGATGAAATACTCATTTAGTATTATAGTTTGGACTTTTTCATATTGACACATTTTAATTACTTTAATATATTCCTCTTGATTAATCATTGGTAGTTTATTCATTCTTTCCTTCGTTAATAAATAATTGTGTTCATTCCAATTTTCCACTTCGAATATGTACTAAAATTATCCTCCTTACACAAGATTCATTGTGGACTTGTGTTGGATTTTCCACATTGAATATATCTAGAAGTGGAATTGCTGAGTACTGTGGTTTATACATGTTTATTTAATTCAATAGGAATTGTCAAATTTCTCTCTGCGGCAGCTGTACAGTCCCATCAGCAGTCAGACACTTTCAGTTTTGCCAGTGGGGTAAATATGAAATGGTATTTCCTTATTTAAATTTGTAGTGAGAACCAGTGAGCGTGAGCAACTCTTTGTATGGTTATTGGCATATCCAGGTTTCTTCTTCTATAAATTACCTCTCCATATAATTTCCATTTTTCTATTGGATTCTTTATATTGATTTATAGAAATTGTTTGTGTATTATGAATACTAGCTCTATGTCAGTTGAATTGCACATAACATTTTCTAGTGTGTGATTTGTCTTTAAACTTGGTTCATAGTGTTTTTTGTCATGAAGTTTTTTAAATTTTAACATCTAATATAAAATAATCTATTCTGTAGGTTTCCGACTTATATATCTTGTTTAAAAATATTTACTTTAACAAAGTAAACTTTGTTAATACTTTGTTATTAAAGTGAGTATGTAAAGTCCTGGTTTGAAATTGGGGAGAAAGCTGAATTATATATTCTGTATCATATGCTGAATATATTTTCTAAAATGTAATTTTCTTATCTTCTTTTCCTGGGAAGAGTGGCATCGATATTTATAAGGCAATTATTATTTAAAATATTTTAAGAGCTTTTTCTCATCTGAAGTTAAGTTTAGAAAAATTCAGCAGTAAAGAAATTTGATAAAAACAAGAATTAATGGAGAGAATTTGTAAGTACAATGGAGAAAGTCAGTTGACCATCACTAAGTGACATTAAAGTCACTTGCTTCCTTTAAAAAGTACATGTGTATTTTGAATCTGCTTTTGTTGAGTGCCTACTTTTATGGCTCAGTGATCAGACTAATATTCAAATAAAAAATATGTGAAACCAAATTCATCAGGCATACATTTATATTTATAAGCTTGAAATGGAATGCCTTAAACAAGTATGGCCTAAAAGTATTAAAAATTAATCTTCTTTGTCCTAACTTTATCTTACCTTTGGGTCAAGAAAAAACAAAATGAAAACAAAACAAAAACCAATAGTACTTTATAAAAACATATTTATGTTCATTTATGCAAACTAATAGTTGTTTGGTCAAGCAGTGTCTGACAATACCTTTATTTCTTCCATTCAGTAATTGCTGGACCAGGAAAGACCTTCATACGGGGCACGTTATTGCTTAATTAATTTAGCATTAAAGCATGACAGGGTGTGTTTTAGTGTCTATTAATGAACGCCTTGGGTGTCTTCAGCTGCTCAAGGCATATATTAATAGCCCAGCAAAGCATGCCCTGGAGTCGCTTACTGTCATTTTAATATGGTTATTTAATTTGAAATTTTATCTTTAAACCTGATTTTCCAGTGAATCTATACTCTCTATTCTTCCACCATTATAAAATAGTTCTTACGGTTTGGGTTTTCATATTAAGTTATTATTCAAGGGGAGAATAGACAGCAGGACCATTTGACCTCCATTTGGTGAATGTAACATATAATTATAAACTTGCTGTGTAAATACAATAGAATAATAAAGAAAAGCTTTCTTCACCACATATATGTTTTTGGAAAACTTATCTAATGAGTAGTTATTTTCCACTCAGTAGCGTTGAGTTTTCCATCACCGACAATATTTACTGTACTTTTGTTACCCCTTGCATTAATAATAGAAATAAAAAATGTGATAAATTGGCTCTTCCCTTCTTCTTTCTAAAATGCTACTTGTGATTGAATAATGGGAATATGGCATAACTGAAAAAATGGAATGAAAGCATGTGAAGAGAGTAACTCAAAATGTCATAAGTCCCTAAACTGCACTGATGACCCCTTGTCAGGAGCAGCAACTACTCCATACCTCCAACCCCTCCCATCCTTGCTCAGACTGTGCCTTTTATGCTTGAAGCCCCTCATTTGACTTTACCTGGGGTCATTACCTTTTGAGGAGGAAGCCCCACCTCCACTAGTCTTTGTGGCCTCCAGACCTATATCAAAAGTCAGATCACACAGAATGCTCTAGGAGGCCAATTGCAAACTTGGGAGGAGACAGCTTGCACATCAAAATGCTTGTAAGATTTCTCTTCTGAATATCAGCAAATTTAAAAAATGTGTATGACAAGTAATGCTTAGGAGGTCCGATGAGGAATTTTTAAAAAAGGGTATGACAAGTAATGCTTAGGAGGTCAGATGAGGAAAAAAGGAACATGACTTTTATTAGTTTGAAGTTTTTGAAAAGTAGAGAGACTATGGCATCAGTGTCCTGGATAGAGAGTTGGAAGTGATTTGCTTGAGAGATAAATGGGTGAAGATTTCCACCGCAAGCCCACTTAGCTCACTTGGTTGATCTATGCAGAAGACACATGGGTCTGGGACAATGACAGAGATTATCATGGGCTTCATTATGTGATGTCTTCATTGAAGCTGTTATTACATGTGTGGGCAAATTAGTACAGGCCCTAGTAACTGTTATGCTGCTGCTGAGCTGAGAAATGTTTTTCCCCTCTTTATGCCAATAAACAAAGAGCACTAGAAGCTGTTTGCTTTTACCTGACAGACTATTTACCTTCATCAACTTGCATCAAGGCTGCAACAGCTATACTGATATGTTTACAGAACAGAGAGAGAGTAGTGAGTATGCTAGAAGCCTCAAAAGATAACATGAATGTCAGAGAGTAGAAAAGAAATTACTTTAAAATACAGGGTTCTGATAACTCGGTGATATTTCTGGACTCTATTAATCTATGGTATGTCAAAATAGATCCTTTAAAGTGAAAACTACATTGCTGTATCTTATACCCCCTACCTTTCAAGCAAACAAACCAAAGAATGCTTGGTAGACCTCTTTGATGTTTGGGAACAGCTTATACTTGATAGGAGAATAGAGTTTAAGAAAGGCCTCCTGCTGGTCCTGCCTGCAAGGCAAACAAAATGAGAGCACTGTCATTTATGAACCAGTGGACTCAATTGCTGGGAGTGTTTCTAGTGGATTAGGAAGCTGTCAAAACTGGTGGTAAGACACAATCAGAGAATTACAAGGAAGACCCTAGGATTTTAGAGCAAAGCCATGATCCTTTACCTAAAAACTCTTTTCCTTTTGAGAAACAGCTCTTAGTTTTGCCCTGGACACACATCAACTGAATGCCTGATCATGAAACAACATTTGACCATGTAACCTGAGATGTTCATTTTAAACCTGCCAGGAAACTCTAAGTTAGAAGACTGGCAACATCTTATCATTCATTATAGGTGGTATATCACCTATAATGTGTGTGTATGTATATCTATCTATCTATCTATCTATATCTATCTATCTATCTATCTATCTATCTATCTATCTATCTATCTATCTATCTATATATATAAAACATGGTTTGGAAGCATGAATAAACAGTGTGAGCCTTCCACTGGGAACACCTCTGTCATAAAGCCATCCCTGCTCCAGTCAACACCCATGGCTTCATGGATAGTTTCCATGGCCTGAAGGGTATGCCACTTGATGTGGTTTGGCTGTGTCCCCACCCAAATCTCATCTTGAATTGTAGCTCCCACAATCCCCATGTGTCATGGGAGGGACCTGGTGGAGGTGGAGGTAATTGAATCATGGGGATGGCTTTTTCTCATGCTGTTCTTGTGATGGTCTCATGAGATTCGATGGTTTTATAAAGGGCAGTTCCCCTGCACATCCTGTCTTGCCTGCCACCATATAAGATGTCCCTTTGCTCCACCTTCACCTTCTGCCAAGATTATAAGGCCTCCCCCACCATGTGGAACTATGAGTCCACTAAACCTCTTTTTCTTTATAAATTACCCAGTCTCAAGTATTTCTTCATAGCCATATGAAAATGGACTAATACACCATTTAAACCCGGATTTTACAAAATGTTATGCTACATGCTGACATCAGCCAGAAGTGCAGTGTTGTGACCTTTGTAGCTGTTGAGGGCTGAAGAACACTGGAAAGATTAATCCTCCAGGTGGTCATAATTCAAAATGGTGCATCTCATTGTTCACTTTGTTTGGCAAAAGAATGTCTGCTTCAGACCAGAAGCAACAGCGGTTAATTGTGTAATTGCGGAAAGAGTAAGATTTCCAGCAGAGTGGGAGTTTGGGTTTTGTTTAGAAGCAAAGAGGGTTGAGTAAGAGTTATCTTGTTGAACTTCTCAGAAGTTAAAAATGTGTGTTTTCCATGTATGAATGAACATGGCAAGGCTCCACTGTAAAGGAGATTTTCTTTTCTCAGGTAGACAACATGATCTACTACATGGATGTCAGTGTGCCGCCTTCTCTGGCAAGGAAGCCGCCTTAATGCTTTTTCAAAGGGATAATGAACAACATGGTCACAGTATAAAGGAGTAAAATTTTTCATTGGCTTGCCAATGTCCACTTACTGTGCCAAGGCTAATCGACTGTCAATCACAGGGGACCAGTTTGTTAGCACTGTGACCAATCCAGAGACCTGATATGGTCCCATACTTTACATGAGTCAGGAAACCATATGGTGATCATTTTAGTATACTTAATTATTCTTCTTCTGGAATAGACAAATATCTGTATTTAGATTCCCTTTCCTTGTCTGCCATGTTTCTGCCAATAACCTCACCTCTGGGATTTTTAAAATTAATTTATTATTAAATGTTTTACTTATCACAATCTATACAATATTTGGACTCATGGAAAGGTAAAATGTCTACCGATGCCTTAATTTTTGCAACTACTAGAAGACCTTATGAGATTGGCATCCACTTTACAGAATTTGTTCTAGAACAAGCCAATGGCCAATATTTTGTGACTTTTCTCCCATGACCAGAAAACATAAATCCGGGCAACAATGGGACAGAAGTGAGAGTGGCTTCTTCATTCTTGCAGTTAATGATTTGCTTCCCAAATTTTTGCACCACATTTCCTTTTCCCTAGACTCTACTGGTTTAGAGGTGTTAGGACCCAATGTCTCAATGTTTCCACCAGAGGATATAACAATAGTCCTGTTGAATTAGAAGCTAAGGTCATTATAGTTACTTCATGTCACTGAATAAATCGGCAAAAAGAGTTTCTCTCTGCTTACTGGGATTATTTCTTAGTTATCAAAAGAAATAGAATTGCTGTTATGTAATGGTAGCAGAGAGGAGTATGGTATTGGTGCAGGAATTGCTTACTCTATAGAAGCGTATAGAATATTCACAGAGACAGATTCCTTATTAATGAAGTATTGAGCAACCTCACCAGGCAAAGAACCTGAATCTGCTGAGATCATTCTGAAGGAAAGCAAACATAGTGTAGAAAGGATAGTGGAAGAAGGAAGTTTTTATTACCATCTATGACCTCATAACAATTACAGAAACAAAAACTGTAGAATCAGTCAGTGTTTTCTTTACTGCTGTGATGTTGCAACCCTTTCTTTTTTTGTTGTTGCTCTCAGTGTCTTATTTAGGATATCTTGGAGATGATTTATATGAAAATTTAGCTCCCAGGTTAGAGTCTATTGGAAAGAATGCTAAATACATTAAATGATGAGAATTTTGATTATTCCTCTGGAGTGGAGGACAAGCACATTTGTGTTAAGCAGTAGCACTTTGTTTTTGTTGGAGTGTGATATGGTTAGGCTTTGTGTCCTCACCCAAATCTCATCCTGAATTGTAATTCCCATAATCCCTATAAACTGCACGTGACAAGGGAGAGACCAGGTGGAGGTAATTGAATCATGGGAGTGGTTTCCCACATGCTGTTCTCCTGATAGTGAGTGAGTTCTCAGGAGATCTGATGGTTTTATCAGGGGCTCTTCTCCCTTTGCTTGGTACTTCTCCTTCCTGCTGCCTTGTGAAGATGGTGCCTTGCTTCCCCTTTGCCTTCCACCATGATTGTAAGTTTCCTCAGGCTTCCCCAGCCATGCTGAACTGTGAGTCAATTAAACCTCTTTCCTTTATAAATTACCCATTCTTGGCCAGTTTTTTATAGGAGTTTGAAAATGGACTAATACAGGGTATTTAATGTCTTTGTCTCTTTGGGCTGCTGTAATAAAGCACCATAAATGGGGTAGATTATAGACAACAGAAGTTTATTTCTCATCATTCTAGAGTATGGGAAGTCCAAGATCAGCATGCCAGTATGGTTGGGTTCTGGTGAGGGCTCATTCCTCAAAGAGAGTGTCTGCTTGCTATGTCCCTACGTGGGGCATCTCTCTAGAGTCTCTTTTATAAGGGCATTAATCCTGTTTATGAAGGCTATGCCCTCATGGCCTAATCAACTCTCAAAGGCCCTACATCTCAATATCATCATGTTGGGGGTTAGGATTTCAGTGTAGAAATTTGGGGAGGCCACTTCCCCAAAGTGGATGTTTATTCAGACCACAGCATTTTAGACTCAAAAATGGAATATTTTAATGTTTTCAGAACCACAGCATGGACTATAGTTGACATTTGTCACATAGCCCATTTAACTAACTGCTATTTTAGGTGAAGTACTTTCCCTGTAAGTGCTGAAACAGAAGAGTTCCCTGATTCCTCTCGCAGGACGTGCAACAGGGATGTGGCTTGCCTGTTTGGTTGCCCCACTGCTCAAACCCCTTACGAGAAGGGGAGCATGCAGATGGGCAGATGTAGAGGCCGGGGTTAGGGCTTTGGGTTCTGGCCCTGCGTTAGTGTCTGTCTAGAGATGGGTGCTGGCAACCCCAGTGTTATGAAGCTACAAAGCTCTTTCAGCTTGGCCACCCGCAGACGGCTGGAGTGTTAACCAGCTCAATGGACCTTCTGCTTTTTCACAAGGGTAAAGGACCAGGGGACAGCTTTCTGTATCCCGAGCTCTCTTTCAGCATCCAGGAAAAATCGGGTCACACACGGACTTGAAGGATGTATGCGAGGTTTTATTGAGTGGTGGAAATGGCTTTCAGCAAGATGGATGGGGAGCTGGAAGGGAAGGTGATCTTCTTCTGGAGCCGGGCTGCCCAGCGGCCGGACTCCTCTCTGGCCCCAGCCGAACTCCTCTAGGCATCTGAATGTCCCTCCTCTTCCCTCTTTCTCTGCCACGTTGTTCCACTGTCCGTCTGCTTGCTTTCCTCATCTCCTCACCTGCTGGTCTGCTTCTGGAGCTTGGGGTTTGGGGTTTATATGCGTGCAGGATAGAGGGCATGGTGGGCCAAAAGGCAACTTTGGGGGTGCAAAAACAGGAATGCCTGTTCTCATGTAGGGCTGCAGGTATCCAGGGTTTGAGCGTGTGGCCTTTGCCAGGGAACTGCCCTCTTCTACCCAGTATTTCCTTGCCTCCTGTCCATATCAGTAGCACCTCCCCAAGTATGAAGCCCGAGAACCACCTTTCCTGGCTTCTTTGGCCCTTGTGACCAAATCCTTTCAGTGAAGATGGTTCTTATGCTTCTTACTATGAATTCATTGTTCCTACCTATTAAGTTAATGTTTTTAACACTTCATATTTGATATATTACACTGGAAATAATCTATCAGGCTAAGGGAAATGAAAGAAATATCTATCATGCTAAGGGAAGTGAAAGAAAGGGTTAGCTTTTATTAAAGCCTTAAAAGAAGAGCAAACTTCCTAGGGGTGAGCAAGGTGAGAAGCCCCAAGAGAAACCTAAAACTCACAGGAAAGTAAGACTTGGTCACAGCGACTGGATACTTCTTGGATGCGTAGATTCTTTTCACTGCTTACACATTGGAGATCCTGAACTATAAGGAAGAGGATTGTTCTGTTACGCTTTCTCTTAAAATCAAGACAAACTTCTATGTCAGATTTTTCTAAGTGGAACTTCTATTTCTTAAGTAACAATATACTATTATTGTTAGACCCAGACATCTCAAGTGATCAAAGTCCTATAGTGAGAATTATATTGAGGATTTTTTTCTTCCAAAGATATTTTGCTTTCCAGAGAGTTTTCAAAGCTGCTCTGATTGTATTTGGAAAAGACCAGAGTGTGAATATGTAGGTGTTTGCTTTTGAGTTACAGCAAGAAATAGTCTGGGATTTTAAAGTCCCGTGCAAAACAATTTCACAGGCTCTTGAATGTGACATGAACATGAATGTAACAAATCCTTTATTATTACTCTTTCTTCACTTACTTGACACAATTATTCAAATTGTTTAGAAAAAATGTATAATATTTCAGAATGCTTTAAGAATTCCGTGTTCTCCTTAAGGTTGATCTACTTTATTCATTTTGAAGATGATCTACTTTATTCATTTATTCTATTTTGGAATGGTTAATATTCAAATACTGTGTCAGGCTTTACATTAGAATACAGTCATTTTTCCAAAAAAAAAGTGATTTTGGTATATTTATTTAGAAATCTAAAATATAATCTAGCCATGATATTGTATAAAGTGAGCCAATTTTGGAGGTTGCTAGAATCAAAGTTGAAGGTGAGCTAATTTTTTTCCCAAACAGAAAACTTTTTCAAAGTTAATTATAGATGAAAAATTACCAACAATACCAACAGATTGTCAGAGTAAAAATTTGAGTTGCTCTGCTTTTGAACACTAGGAGGGCAAAATACTGGCTGGTTTGAAAAGAGAAATGTGAATGAGAAGGTACAAAAATGAATGTTAAGTTAATCTCTTGTTTTTACCTAGCATGTGGGGGTTGCAAAAAGTGCAATCTGTGTCTTTATTTTCTTTAGATTAAAATGGTTTTTCTCAAAGGTCTCTCTCTCTCTCCCTCTATTTGTTCCTCTCCATTCCTGGCTCTTTTTCTCCTCTGGCAAACCAAAGTTTGAGGTTAAGTTTAAGTGGAGCCAAGAAATTTCTGGCTTAGGACACATTTGGCTTAGAATGAAGATTCCCATTCAACCCTTGGATCCGAAAATGACAGCTCGAACAAAACTAACACCACTTCAGCCTAAACCACATGATCGTGCTCCTCTTTAGGGGCCTGACTTTCTAGTTCACAGTGGGCAGGACAAAGTGTTACTAACATGAGCATGCAGAGAAGGGATAAATACCCATCTTGTGGTAATTTATGGATTGATCCAGTAGGGTAAGTGCAAATAGTTTGGCCTAACTACCTCCTTTTGTTATGGATAGCACCCCTTGGTAAACACAAATTTTATTTTTACTTAGAGCCCATTACAAGCCATATGGGAATCTTACCAATGCTACATGCCAGTAATGTTGGTTTAAATGCCTATAAAGTTTCCCTAGATGATCAGACTTCTATTACGTCATTACATCGATGTCCTTGGAAGAATGTTCAGAGAACCAATGCAGAGGAAAGGGTAGGGAAGCTCTCAGGAGAGCTTCATTGTAAATATAACCCTCTCTTCTTTATAATAGACTGAATATTGAGGATAACTTAGGAACTGACACACACATTATGTAATAAATTATTTTCATTTTGTCTGTTTGGCACGATTTTGGTAACTCCTTCTGTGTCTGCTCAAGCATCAGTTCCCCATATGTTGGAGGTGTCTATGCGTTTATTAGTCAGATTGGGTTGGCTGCGATTTGCAGTGTTTACCTTCACAATAGCCGTGTTCACTATATATTTCTTGAACGGGAACTTGCGCACTGCTTCCCATTTGCCTTCAATCACTAGCAGATGCAGAACAGTCAGATCATTTCCTTTTAACTGGCCTAAGGGATTAAAGGAATTCAGAGGAATTCTAAACCGAGTGGTAACTCTGTGTTGCCTGACTTCACTTCTTGAACCTTAAGCCTAAGAGGCTCGGGTAACATAATTTGACTCTTCTAAAGTGTTTGCTTCCTTTCCTTTGTTTATCTTTTAAGCTTCAACCTTCACTTACTCGTTTATTCTTACACATTCATGCTATGAGTGAATTGGTGTTGGAAGAAGTACAGCATAAGAAATTAATCTTGGTATTTCTATTAATGCTTCTTCTGACATTTTTCAAAAGACTACAGCATTGCATAGCAGACAAGTTCTTGGAGTCAAGAGAGCCAGGATCAGGTTCTGGCTCTGCACCTAGCCCACAGATGACTGAAGGCTGAGAGTGCCCTCTTAGTCTCTGGTTCCTCGTCAACAGACAATGGCTCTTAGACATCATGACCATGACCTCCCTGTCTGTGGTTACCTTCTCCAACTTCTACCTTTTGAAGTTACCTTAATTTCAAAATTGTAGATATGCACATAGATGCATGTACACATACACACATATATTAGGTCCCAAAATAGATCTGAGAATCTAGAAACAGAAAGGAGAAAACAACACTGTAAGGAGCATATGATGAAGCAGAAACTAATGAAAATGAAAAGACTGGTCATGTTGAACATGAAAATTTGGGAAAACAGAAAAAGGAGAAAAGCAAGGTAGGACCTGGAAAATACAGAAGCAAATTATAAGGAAAATAAATACAATCTTAAACCTCACTTTTCTTCACTTTTTTCCTCTAACAGGGAAATTCTATATAGATATTTTTATGGATTTATCTCTAAGTTAGACCCTGAGGTCTAGTTCTGGCCAAGAAAATATTCCCTGCTGAAGACAGAGGCCACATTTCTTTGTGGCTGAGAGTGACTGATTAAACACAGAATGTGTTGGGGCTTCTAAGACTTAGATCATTCACTCAATATATTTTCCAAAAGAAACCCTAGAATGAGGTAAGTGTTGAATTAGGATTACTGTCAGAATCCCGCAATTATTGCAAAATAGGCTTTTGTGAAATAGGATTGGGCCAGCACCCAACCTTGTCATTTTGCCAAACAAATTGGCCATTCACTTTGAAAGCTCTCTATACTTATAAAAGAACTACTAATGATATATTTCCTATTCATTTTCTTTTAATTCTTATATGATTGCCTGTTAAATATTATTTGAGGTCCAGAGCTATTTCAGATGGTTTATAAGTCTTATTTTAAGAGAAAGAAAATTACGTCCTGCAGTTTGGACGTTAGTTATAGGATCAGTGTGGATTGTAAGTCCAAATGTATAAGGTTTTGAAAAAAAGTTTCAAATGTCCAAAGCTCTATTATGCAGTATTTCTAAGCAAAATTGTTATGGTAATCTAGAAAACTCTTAAAAAAACAAAGACTTACTGATGCAATAAAATATTATCTCTAGTATGTTTCTTATTTTCATTTTGCAAAAAGAAAAAACAAAAAACTCAATTAAAAATGCATGCAGTTTTGAGCAGCAGTCATGCAGCTTACTGAATGAAGCTTTTTTATTTCTGACAACTTTATGAAACAGGTTAACATTGAACACCACGTCTAACTTCTAATATTCAAGGGTGCCACAGTCTAGTTGCTTAAACATGCCCTTTCTCATTTTGTTAATTACAATGCAGAGACTGACCAGGTGTGAAAACTGGAACACTGGGTATCTCCATCAGTTTATGTATTCATTTGGTTTGTTACTATAAACTGCTGGCTGACATTGTCACACAGTTCCTCTTCCTCTCACAAGTGTGGCTATCTTGCTTTCACCACAGTACAACTGGATTCAGTAGAAACAAAATAGCCCAATAAAACAGATGAATTCTGCTTCTTCTTTCCTTGCCCTGCCCTTTTGGCAGACAGTCAAAATTTTTTCTGTGCCAGTATTATTTTGGGTTAAAACTTTTTTTCAATGACATAAAATTCATTAGAATGACAATCTGTACAAATAAATATTTTACTGAAATACTTTACCTATTACTATGAATTTATACATGGCAGGCACTCAGAACAGTTTCTGGCACACAATATGCTCTCAATAACATTAGCTGTTCTTGTTGTATTTTATTACTATTAACATGATTCTTTCTATCTCCCCAGACCTTATTCCTTCCAATGAGGAAAGCTAGCTGGAAATCAGTCTGCCAAACCCATAAAAGAGAGGTGAGAAGGAGGGTATATATAGCAGAGAGTGAACATGAGTTCATGGGACATTCTCAATTTCAGATAACATTTTTTGAGCACTTTCTATGTGCTCTTTATATATTTTATCATAGACTTCTCTCAAAATCTCAAAGAAGTAGTTATTATTATTCTTGTTTTAAAGATGAGGAAAATGAGGTTGAGAAAGGTTAAATTGTCTGTGGTTGCAATCTAGAAATTTGAAGAGCTGGAGTCCAGGTCAAAAGTTTTCAAAACCCATGCTCATAACTACTCTTCTAGACTGCCTCCTTGTTCTGTGCCTTCAAGATGTACTCCATGTTCTCAGCCTGTAATTGAACTAGCATGATGCCTGGGACATCATAGGTCCTCAATGAATTTGTGTTAAATTGGTTTGGTCCCTATGATGCAGCGATCCTCAACCTTTTTGGCACCAGTAACCTGTTTTATGGAAGTCAATATTTCCACGGATGGGGTGGAGGGATGGTTTTGGGACGATTCCAGCACATTATATTTATTATGTACCTTATTTCTTTTATTATTACATTGTCATATATAATGAAATAATTATACAACTCACCATAATGTAGAATCAGTAGAAACCCTGAGCTTGTTTTCATGCAACTAGATAGTCCCATCTGGGGTTGATGGGAGATAGTGACAGATCATCAGGCATTAGATTCTCATAAGTAACCTGCAAACTAGATCCCTCTCATGCACAGTTTACAGTAGTGTTTGAGCTCCTGTGAGAATCTAATGCCACCAGTGCTCTGACAGGAGGTGGAGCCCAGGCGGTAATGCGAGCGATGGGAAGTGCCTGTAAATACAGATGAAGCTTCACTCGCTTGCCCACCACTGACCTCCTGCTGTGTATCCTGGTTCCTGGGGATTGGGGACCCCTGCTATGATGTATGTGGTTCTGTATTTATTGTTTTGTGAAACACAGTGAGCTGTAATAATAGATATGATTTATATGATGGCCACCATATGCCAGTTACTGAGTCTTTCTATTTACACACATTTTCTCATTTATTTCCTGTAATAACACACTTATAGAAGAGGCATTGTTGGCCAGACAGAATGGCTCACGCCTGTAATCTCAGCACTTTGGGAGGCCAAGGTAGGCGGATCACTTGAGGTCAGGAGTTCTGCCTGAGCAACTTGGCAAAATCCTGTCTGTATAAAAAATACAAAAAAGAGCCAGGTATGTTGGTGTGTACCTGTAGTCCCAGCTACTCGAGAGGCTGAGGTGGGAGGGTGGCTTGAGCACAGGAGGCAGAGGTTGCAGTGAGCTGAGATTGCTACACTGTACTGCAGCCTGGGTGACAGAGCCAGGCCCTGTCTCAATAAATAAATAAATAAATAAATAAATAAATAAATAAATAAGACATCATTATGCCAGTATTGTACGTGAAGAATTTGAGATTCCAAATGCTTATACAATGTCCCATAATAAATAACAGAGCCAGGATGGAACCTGGTTCCTGGGGATTGGGGACCCCTGCTATGATGTATGTGGTTCTGTATTTATTGTTTTATGAAACACAGGGAACTGTAATAATAGCTATGATAACAGAGCCAGAATGGAACCTGGGGCTGTCTGATGGCCATGCTCTCCCTGTTCTATGACATCATGCTGCCCAATAGAGCTGGCTTCTGTTGTTAGGGATCCTGGAATGTCAAAGACCTCATTGCCTTTGTATCTTCAGCAAATAGGACGGTGCTTTATACCTGTAGGATTTTAATAAATATTTGCCCATTCATTCACTTCAACAAACAGACGGTTGTCTCATGCTCATGTCTCTGCTTTCATCTGTAGCATTCTCTACTCTTTACTGATCCCATTGCCTCCTGCCTGGCGTGCCTTTCCCATAATTCTTATTTACCTAGGCCTTTCCATTCTCCTACTTTACATTCATAATTTACCAGCTGCACAAAAGCTTCCCAGGCCACGACAATCCAAAACGATTTCCTCCTCTGAAGTTTGAGAGCCCTCATTCTCTACTCTACTTACTTGGTACTTATTACTAACTTTGGCTGGCTATTTTCCAAGTTTTATAAGCTTTTTTGCCTCCACACTAGTTACAAGCTCCTCCAGGGCCGGAACTATTTTATATAAATGTGTGTTTAACATAGTCACCAAATTAGTGCTTTTTACATAGTGAGTTTTCAGTTTACTACAAAGACAGCTTTATTACCTGTTACATTTCTGTGGGAAGGAAAATCATTTGGTTCATATTGCTGTTCAGTTAACTCAGGTGCAAAATGAAATTTCCATTCTACAGAAGAACACATTCAAAGTTAGGCTGTGTGTATATATGTGTGTGTGTGTAAATATTCCAAGCATACATAGGTTAGAAAAATGTGAACCAAAATGATAGAATTTTTAGAAAAAGCTTGTGATGAATGTCACATTGTCAGGACAGATTAGTACTTAGTGATATGGGGAGAGGGGTGTGATAATAGCCCCAGTGATATGAAACTTGGGTCTGTATGAGAGCATTTACTATGCCAGCAATCGCAATGGATAATTCACTGCTACATATGGTGAGAATGTGCTAAAAGTGAGTTGTTAATCTACAGGGCAAATTTCCAATTGGGAGTGGGCAAAGCCTTGACTCATACCATGTCATACATTGCTGAAGAGTTTCTTTTTAGGGTAGCCTCAAACCACTATTAGTAAAATTACATTAAATTCAGAAAAAATAAATGTGTCATCTTGATTGCTGCCCAACCTCTATGCCACTATTCTTTGTGTATTATTTTCTAGAGTTGGTGCCATTTACTTTGATTTATCTAGTCATTTTCTCTAGGAATCCTGCTCAAAACCAAGAGAAAAGACATGTTCCTGAAATGGTTAATTCATCCATTTTTCTAGTTACCTTCTAGTGGAGTCTACTCCTGACATCTTTTTTAGATCATTTCTATTCTTTTATCCTGTAGCATCTTTCTTTCTGCTCTTATCACAAAGTCCTCCTGCTAGAAAGCAGTAATTGTGCTGATTGACACCTTTACAAGGAGTTGAAGATTTTGTTTGTTTTGGTTTTGTTTAATTGGGATACTTTAATATAGAGTATATAGAAGTCTAGTATATAAAAAAGTGGATTAAAGTTTTTACATGCTGAAAAGCCTAATTCTGTATAAAGATGATCTATTTCACATATATCATCAATGCTTAAATATTATTAAAAGACAAATGCTGGCTTAGAAGGATCAAACATCACTTCCAAGTTTAAAACACAAAGTTCTTATAATGCTGTTTGCAATATGTCATCATATACATACATTTCAATGATTCAGCTGCTTCCTTAGTTTAAATTAGCAATGGTTCCCCATCACTGTTATCCTCTTACTTGGCTCAACCCCCACTAACACCAAAAAAGTAGGAGATATGATTGTTTTGTATGATGATTTATGCTCAAAATATTTCCTAAAGGTGGTAGGAAAGGTGTCTTCTCCCTCTCTTGCATTTTTCCCAGCCATTGTATTTCATGTTGCTTTGGGTCTGGAAAGCTGCTCTATTTCCAGATTAATATGTAAGTAGGGTAGAGGACACCCTTTTTGGCTTTCCATTGTATTTTTATTATTTCTTAGATAATCTCTTGTAGTAGAAGTAGCTTCCAGGATCTTTATGCATCAAAAGCCTTAGAACCAGTAAGTACATTTGCATTGCAATTCTTCAATAGTAAAATCACGGTGTGTTGTGCATTTAGAAAACACCAAAAATACATGAGTCTTTCTGATCTATTTTCCTTCTACATAAATCTAATGCCATTTGAAGAGAAATGAAGAGAAAGACTGGAGAGACTTCAAAATATCTTTTGCAGAAAGTATGGAAGGATTAATAGATAAAGACAGTACATTCCGTTTAGCTTTCTCGTGGTTTTTTTTTTTTTTTTGTAAATTTACCCCAAATTATAGTTATAATGAAACATCACAATGCTATTATGTTAGAAAGAAGCTATTATTTCCATCCTTGCTGTGAAACCTCAGGGAAATTTACATCTTCTAAACATAAGAACCTTTCTGATATTTTTTCAGCTATAGAAGAATAAATAATAAGAGTCACAAAAAAGATATTTGAAGTCTTTGTCAGACTAGTAAATCATTTCTCAGTAGAAAATATAATTGTGGCCATGAACTTGACCAAAGAAAGAAAAATATTAAAACCTCTCTGCTGCGACTGAATTAAGGAAGGACCAGTACTTGCAAGAGTTAACTGTTGCTCACACCCTTCCTTCAGATTGATCCACTGATCTGAAGCTCAGCCTCCTTCAACACGGCTCCTAGCTTTTGCTTTGCCAGTCTCTGCCAAGAAACACCAGCTTTGGACAAAAATCAAGATTACACAAAGCTAAAGGGAATGTGAGAGATAAGAATCCTAAAGTGACAAGGTCTTCCTTGGAGATGTTAATAGTCAACACATTCAGGAATATCACAGAAAAGGAGCCGATCCTTTGCCAGTGTGTGCTCTATCTTCTACCTAGTGCCAGTCTTAATATTAAACATATAGACAGGCTTTAAAATCTTTTCCTTTCCTTTTGTTAAATTGGGATTGTTTTCAGTGGACTGGCAAAAGAGAGCTGTCTAATTTTAGTAGCATAAAGGAAACTCCTTTGTGGCTGCTTTATGCTGAATTTTATTCCCTGAACTTGTGTGGGTTCCTGTGCATGAAAAGGGGCATATTTTATGTACCCCCAAAAACAGAATATGGGAGAGGAAGAGAGTGCCAGGGGAACAGATTCTGGAGGCAGAACTAAACTAAAATGGCTTTGTCCTATTTTTTTTATTTTTATTTTTTACAAAACTCAAGGCAAATAACCCTACTATTGGATTATTTTTAAAGAGACTAAACCTCAACTGAATTACATTAAAAAAAAAAACATCTCAATAGCCCAGCTAAAAATCTAAGGATGTTGAGTGCATCAAGCTCTTGGGAAGCTTTGTCTCACAGCTCCAAGAGCATGTTCTTGGTGCTGAGGGGCAAGGTTTGCACTAGGATCTCACACCCTACACTGCAGCATCACAGCTGCCCCAGGCTTTGTCTCATCTTTTTGCTCTGTTCTCCTTAAGTCAGAAATAAAAGGAAGAGATGATGAAGCCTGTCCCCATAAGGCTGGTGTGAGGTGAGAGCGGGAAGGTGGAGGTGCAGGGGAGGAAGGACTTTATGCTGCAGCCAGTCAGCGCCAGAAAATGCCATTTATGTGGATCCAGTGCTCACTGAGGAAGCAGAAATAAAAGCCTCTGATGTGATGTGGCGCCGCCCCTCTCCTGCTGCACTCTCGCTCATTACAGCTCTTTCTTTAAACTGCTGGGTAGACAGCTGGCAGCCAGTGCCTCGGAGGAAGCAGGAGTAAGGGAGCATATAAATTACTGTTGCATTTTACAGCTAAGATAAACGCAAACTGCAGGGTTATAGCCTGAAATGACATCAAGGGGAAGCTCCAGCAGGCCTCTCAAAAGAACAAGGAATGGAAAATGGATAGAAAGATTTATTCAGGGAATATGGGATCATGGAGAAGGAAAAAAAAAATCTAAACAAGTTGTGTAAAATCTGCTGCTTTAGTGAGTCTTAAAGAGCTTATGTCAGCTTAATTCTGTGTGGTAGCATAATGTAAATCTATGGGAAATGGGGCTGTAGGCATATCTACTCTATTCCATTTCTGCAGATTGCCAAACATGGCAATAAATGTCAAGTGATTATTTATTTGATCATTAGAAACTTCATTAGATTTTGATTTGATGCTCTACAACCTCCCCCCTCTCCACCACCACTAAAAAGAGAGCTCAATTTTGAAATTCAATCCAGCTAGTTTGATTGGAGAAAAAAATGTTATGAAATAAAATCTAGCAAATACCAACATGTAGATGACAACATTCTGCATAAATATAGAAAATCCTCTCCAACAAGTTTACAGCAATTTGCTCAAGCGATGAAAGATAGATTTTGGCAACAGTGGTAAAATTTTTGGAAGTCTTTTTAACATTTCATTAGATGAAAGGCTGTTTTTGAGGTGAGCTCAAACTCCCTGGCTACAGACAGAGTCTGATTGTATGTTCTTGGCTTAACAGCCTTAGCATATAATGTATTTGAACTTTCACTCAGCTTTCTTGAACTTGATTTATTTGCCATCATATCACCTGGGAAAAAAGTCTGTGGGTCCTCAGTTGGCCTAGGTAATTTGGGACTCAGCTGGTTGATGCCTATGTGTTTGTTTCACCCTAGCTCAAAGCATAGAACCTGAGCCTTATTATGTTCATAAAATGGGGTCTTTTTACTGTAGTGAGCAATGTCAGATATACCGTTTACAGCTGACTTTTTCATTGCGATTTTAGTTTCTCCGGTGCATTTCACACTACGGTTTTCCTAAGAATTATGTATAACATGGAAAACAAAGAGAGGAGGAGAGAGAAAGTGCTGCAACTAGCTTTCTTCCTCAGGGAACAGTACTTGCATGTCAAAAGATTCACCAAATAGGCATTGGACTGACTTTCATAAAACCAGGGATATAAGCACAGTGTGGGGTGTGTATTATTGCCACAGAGCACACGCTAGAAAGCAGCATAAAGAGACAAGCTTTATCTCTCTGCCTGAAACTCTCTTGGAACCTTCTGGGAGTGCACATTCTAAATCAAGAATCAAAACGTTTTCCCAGCACAACTGCAAATTGAAAATAGGCACTTGAACACAGGCAGAGATGTAAAGGAAGAATGACTTTGAAATGCCTACAACGCACCCCGAGCCACCCTGGGTCTTTCTGTAGACATAAGGAGTATTCATCTACGGTAAAGGGTATGTAGCACTTGGTAGAAACAAATGACAGCTGACAAAAAGATCCATTAAATGCCTGAACTTGCCCCTTGCCAGCACAGAGTATTTTTCTTTTCCTATTTTGCCAGAATAAAGAGAGGGCAAGACATTTTTATTTCAAGAAGTGCCCCATAGCCATAGATTTTTGTTTCTGTTTTCCTCTAGCACTTTCTAGTATACTGTAATTGAAACAACAGCCTAAAAGCATTTCTTTTATTAATCTTAGTAGTGTAAAACATTGAAGAAAACAAACTTAGGAATATATTATTGTGCTGCATGGTTAACAACAACAACCACAACCACAACTTGCAGCTAAGGAAATCATTCCCCTTTTGGGGGAAGTCTCTATCATAAAAAAAAAAAAAAATTCATTGCTGCGTATCAGTCAATAACACTTCCTGGGCATATTCCTGATGAATAACTCTGTACTAGGTGCAGCTGGCAAGCTGAAAAAGCAACAACCATCAAAGGTCTGGGGTCCAGTTAGAAAAACTGGTCAACCTAGGGAGGGAAGGTGAATGTACCAACACACTCTTTGCTGAAAAGAGAAATAAAAGTTAAAGGATGAGCTTGAGGCCTGAGGCCTTTGTGAGTAAAGAATGAGCAGCTAGGTGAGTGGTTTCTCCTTTATGCAGGAGCGTTTGAAAGGATCTGCAGAGTATGCTGGCAGAGAAAAGGAGAGAGGGAATAAAATGTCTATGGCCCGGAGAAAGAGGCATGTTCTGGATGAAGAACTGGGAATGGGCTTAGATTTTGTTGCTTATACATTATCTGTGAGAGAAGTGAGCAATACCAGTGAGTTCAGCTATGAGAAAAGAGAGTCAAGGGTCTTGGCAGAATATCTGGATAATCAGGTTGAAGAATATAAATTCGATAGGCGAGGCAATAGGAAGCAATTACGCATTTGCGTGCAAATGCAAGAGTGGCATGTCTAGAGAGATTATTCTCTTGCTGTAGGAGTGTGGGGCAGGGATTGTGAATCACTGAACTGGGCTTTTTAGGACACAGATGTGCTGCTACATCTATGCACTTTATTCTAGGCGATTTGTCGATGAATAGGTAGTGACCCTTACATTCAATCTTGTGGGGGTGAGAGCTGTGGACTTAACTAACACAGAAGATAAGTGACAGAGGGGCAGGGGCGAGAGCAGAGGGTGGTTGAGTGCTGGGAGAAGCAGATTTGACAGTTACTCAGAGAACCCTGGGGCTTGGATGTGGAAAAGCAGTTCCTCACTTCTAGGATTCTGCTGCTTGGGTACAGAGATGAGGAGAGCAGCATGATCGGAATGGTTAGGGGTTTTCAGTGTAACATACACCCACAAATAGAAACACCTACATAGCCTATATGGCCAAACAAGAATGGAAGCATGACTGGGTGCCAAACACAGTGGAGCCTGCCAGAGATAAAATTTTTATACGTGTGTCTCTCTATGTGTGCTTTCCCTTTTTAGCCAGCCAGATTGCTGCCTGATTCTAGGTGATGGCAAAGAAAGAAAATCACCATAAGACAAATGTTCCTTGTCCAGTGAAAGGTCACTAGGTCACTTATTTATGTAAATATAGAGCAAGAAGGCATCATTGTCCTGGGAAAATAGCCTAACAAGAAACAGAATATTTAAGGTCACATGGATAACATGTATCAGGCTAGGATTCCCATGCCAGGTTGACTGCCTCCAAAACCCAGGGCTTCTCCTTGTTTTAATCCTTATTCAGTAATATCTACTGAGCACCCTCTAGGTCCCCAGGCACTATCTTGGGTATAGAATTTTAGTATTCTGTAGAATTCTAGAGAAACTTTATCTTTCCCAAATGCAGATATACAAAAGGATATCTCTTCATTTATTGATATGAATGCTAGGATTCTTTTATTTTTATTATACTTTAAGTTTTAGGGTACATGTGCACAATGTGCAGGTTTGTTACATATGTATACATGTGCCATGTTTGTGTGCTGCACGCATTAACTCATCATTTACATTAGGTATATCTCCTAATGCTATCCCTCCCCCCTACCCCCACACCACAACAGGCCCTGGGGTGTGATGTTCCCCTTCCTGTTTCCAAGTGTTCTCATTGTTCAATTCCCACCTATGAGTGAGAACATGCGGTGGTTGGTTTTTTGTCCTTGCGATAGTTTGCTGAGAATGATGGTTTCCAGCTTCATCCATGTCCCTACAAAGGACATGACCTCATCATTTTTTATGGCTGCATAATATTCCACAGTGTATATGTGCCACATTTGCTGAATCCAGTCTATCATTGTTGGACATTTCGGTTGGTTCCAGGTCTTTGCTATTGTGAATAGTGCTGCAATAAACATATGGGTGCGTGTGTCTTTATAGCAGCATGATTTATAATCCTTTGGGTATATACCCAGTAATGGCATGGCTGGGTCAAATGGTATTTCTAGTTCTAGATCCCTGAGGAATTGCCACACTGACTTCCACAATGGTTGAACTAGTTTACAGTCCCACCAACAGTGTAAAAGTGTTCCTATTTCTCCATGTCCTCTCCAGCACCTGTTGTTTCCTGACTTTTTAATGATCACCATTCTAACTGATGTGAGATGGTATCTCATTGTGGTTTTGATTTGCATTTCTCTGAGGGCCAGTGATGATGAGCATTTTTTCATGTGTCTTTTGGCTGCATAAATGTCTTCTTTTGAGAAGTGTCTATTCATATCCTTCGCCCACTTTTTGATGGGGTTGTTTTTTTCTTGTAAATTTGTTTGAGTTCATTGTAGATTCTGGATATTAGCCCTTTGTCAGATGAGTAGATTGCAAAAATTTTCTCCCATTCTGTAGCTTGCCTGTTCACTCTGATGGTAGTTTCTTTTTTTTTTTTTTTTTTTTTTTTTTTACAGCCTCTCTTTAGTCTTAGATTCTATTCTTTTGTTTTGCTTTTTAAAACAATAGCTTTATTGAGGCATCAATTTATATGATTTTTTATTTATTTATTTATTTTTATTTATTTTTTTTATTATACTCTAAGTTTTAGGGTACATGTGCACATTGTGCAGGTTAGTTACATATGTATACATGTGCCATGCTGGTGCGCTGCACCCACTAACGTGTCATCTAGCATTAGGTATATCTCCCAATGCTATCCCTCCCCCTTCCCCCGACCCCACCACAGTCCCAAGACTTGGTAGTTTCTTTTGTTGTGCAAAAGCTCTTTAGTTTAATTAGATCCCGTTTGTCAATTTTGGCTTTTGTTGCCATTGCTTTTTGTGTTTTAGACACGAAGGCCTTCCCCATGCCTATGTCCTGAATGGCATTGCCTGGGTTTTCTTCTAGGGTTTGTATGGTTTTAGGTCTAACATTTAAGTCTTTAATCCATCTTGAATTAATTTTTGTATAAGGTGTAAGGAAGGGGTCCAGTTTCAGCTTTCCACATATGGCTAGCCAGTTTTCCCAGCACCATTTATTAAATAGGGAATCCTTTCCCCATTTCTTGTTTTTGTCAAGTTTGTCAAAGATCAGATGTTTGTAGATGTGTGGTATTATTTCTGAGGGTTCTGTTCTGTTCCATTGGTCTATATCTCTGTTTTGGTACCAGCACCATGCTGTTTTGGTTACTGTAGCCTTGTAGTATAGTTTGAAGTCAGGCAGCGTGATGCCTCCAGCTTTGTTCTTTTGGCTTAGGATTGGCTTGGCAATGCAGGCTCTTTTTTGGTTCCATATGAACTTTAAAGTAGTTTTTTCCAATCCTGTGAAGAAAGTCATTGGTAGCTTGATGGGGATGGCATTGAATCTATAAATTACCTTGGGCAGTATGGCCATTTTCACGATATTGATTATTCCTATCCATGAGCGTGGAATGTTCTTCCATTTGTTTGTGCCGTCTTTTATTTCATTGAGCAGTGGTTTGTGGTTCTCCTTGAAGAGGTCCTTCACATCCCTTGTAAGTTGGATTCCTAGGTATTTTATTCTCTGTGAAACAATTGTGAATGGGAATTCACTCAAAATTTGGCTGTTTGTCTGTTATTGGTGTATAAGAATGCTTGTGATTTTTGCACATTGATTTTCTATCCTGAGGCTTTGCTGAAGTTGCTTATCAGTTTAAGGAGATTTTGGGCTGAGACGATGGGATTTTCTAGATATACAATCATGTCATCTGCAAACAAGGACAATTTGACTTCCTCTTTTCCTAATTGAATACCCTTTATTTCCTTCTCCTGCCTGATTGCCCTGGCCAGAACTTCCAACACTATGTTGAATAGGAGTGATGAGAGAGGGCATCCCTGTCTTGTGCCAGTTTTCAAAGGGAATGCTTCTAGTTTTTGCCCATTCAGTATGATATTAGCTGTGGGTTTGTCATAAATAGCTCTTATTATTTTGAGATATGTCCCATCAATACCTAATTTATTGAGAGTATTTTAGCATGAAGGGCTGTTGAATTTTGTCAAAGGCCTTTTCTGCATCTATTGAGATAATCATGTGGTTTTTGTCATTGGTTCTGTTTATATGCTGGATTACGTTTATAGATTTGGGTATGTTGAACCAGCCTTGTATCCCAGGGATGAAGCCCACTTGATCTTGGTGGATAAGCTTTTTGATGTGTTGCTGGATTTGGTTTGCCAGTATTTTATTGAGGATTATTGCATCAATGTTCATCAGGGATATTGGTCTAAAATTCTCTTTTTTGGTTGTGTCTCTGCCAGGCTTTGGTATCAGGATGATGCTGGCCTCATAAAATGAGTTAGGGAGGAGTCCTTCTTTTTCTATTGATCGGAATAGTTTCAGAAGGAATGGTACCAGCTCCTCCTCGTACCTCTGGTAGAATTCGGCTGTGAATCCATCTGGTTCTGGACTTTTTTTGGTTGGTAAGCTATTAACTATTGTCTCAATTTCAGAGCCTGTTATTGGCCTATTTAGAGGTTCAACTTCTTCCTGGTTAAGTCTTGGGAGGGTGTATGTGTCCAGGAATTTATCCATTTCTTCTAGATTTTCTAGTTTATTTGCATAGGTGTGTTTATAGTATTCTCTGATGGTAGTTTGTATTTATGTGGGATCAGTGGTGAGATCCCCTTTATCATTTATTATTACGTCTATTTGATTCTTCTCTTTTCTTCTTTATTAGTCTTGCTAGCAGTCTATCAATTTTGTTGATCTTTTCAAAAACCCAGCTCCTGGATTCACTGATTTTTTGAAGGGTTTTTTGTGTCTCTATTTCCTTCAGTTCTGCTCTGATCTTAGTTATTTCTTGCCTTCTGCTAGCTTTTGAATGTGTTTGCTCTTGCTTCTCTAGTTCTTTTAATTGTGATGTTAGGGTGTCAATTTTAGATCTTTCCTGCTTTCTCTTGTGGGCATTTAGTGCTATACATTTCCCTCTACACACTGCTTTGAATGTGTCCCAGAGATTCTGGTATGTTGTGTCTTTGTTCTCGTTGGTTTCAAAGAACATCTTTATTTCTGCCTTCATTTCGTTATGTACCCAGTAGTCATTCAGGAGCAGGTTGTTCAGTTTCCATGTAGTTGAGCGGTTTTGAGTGAGTTTCTTAATCCTGAGTTCTAGTTTGATTGCACTGTGATCTGAGAGACAGTTTGTTATAACTTCTCTTCTTTTACATTTGCAGAGGAGTGCTTTACTTCCAAGTATGTGGTCAATTTTGGAATAAGTGCAGTGTGGTGCTGAGAAGAACGTATATTCTGTTGATTTGGGGTGGAGAGTTCTGTAGATGTGTATTAGGTCTGCTTGGTGCAGAGCTGAGTTCACTTCCTGGATATCCTTGTTAACTTTGTCTTGTGGATCTGTCTAATGTTGACATTGGGGTGTTAAAGTCTCCCATTATTATTGTGTGGGAGTGTAAGTCTCTTTGTAGGTCTCTAAGGACTTGTTTTATGAATCTGGGTGTTCCTGTATTGGGTGCATATATATTTAGGATAGTTAGCTCTTCTTGTTGATTGATCCCTTTACCATTATGTAATGGCCTTCTTTGTCTCTTTTGGTCTTTGTTGGTTTAAAGTCTGTTTTATCAGAGACTAGGATTGCAACCCCTGCCTTTTTTTGTTTTCCATTTGCTTGGTAGATCTTCCTCCATCCCTTTATTTTGAGCCTATATGTGTCACTGCATGTGAGATGGCTTTGTTTACCTACTCAAGCCTCAGCAATGGCGGGCGCCCCTCCCCCAGCCTGGCTGCCGCCTTGCAGTTTGATCTCAGACTGCTGTGCTAGCAGTGAGCAAGGCTCCATGGGCTCAGGACCCTCTGAACCAGGCACAGGATATAATCTCCTGGTGTGCCGTTTGCTAAGACCATTGGAAAAGTGTAGTATTAGGGTGGGAATGACCTGATTTTCCAGGTGCTACCTGTCACCCCTTTCCTTGGCTAGAAAAGGGAATTCCCTGACCACTTGTGCTTCCTGGGTGAGGCGATGCCTTGCCCTGCTTCGGCTCATGCTCAGTGCACTGCACCCACTGTCCTGTACCCACTGTCCAACAGTCCCCAGTGAGATGAACTGGGTACCTCAGTTGGAAATGCAGAAATCATCTGTCTTCTGCGTCGCTCACGCTGGGAGCTGTAGACTGGAGCTGTTCCTATTTGGCCACTTGGAACCACCTGAATGCTAGTATTCTATACCCAACATAGTGCCTGGTGACCAAGCAGGTGCATCTATAGAGATAGAAGATGTGGCCTGAAAGAGCTGCAGCTGCAGCACTCGTATGTCCACTAAACTTCCCAGATTGTGTTTCATAGTTCTTTCAAATTTTCTCTCAAAGGATCATATTTGAAATTGTATCTTGCTGTTTTGCATGGTTTTTCATAACTTATAATCACAGGAATAAAATTTCTTCTATAGATGCTTTAACACATAGCACTTAAAAATCAATTACATATTCAATAAACAGTAATTTTTAAGAACTTTCAACTGGCTGATCACGGAGCTAGATACCACGCCATGGTAGGATCCAAAGGAGACTGAAACACACTCTGACCTTCAAGCTGTTCTCTGTCTAGGGAGGAAGATAGCAGTGACAGAGTTCTGATAGCTAAAAGTAAATATTTGGCAAGAGCCAATCGTAATCCAGAAAGACACAGTCCCAAACACCATAATCCTGAACATAGACATGCTGAAAGATCAAAATCCCCAAAATATAATTCTAGAAAAAATAATTTAAAAGATTAGTTTTAAAATGCTTATTTACATTTTTAAAAGGGTATTTTTTTGGGGAAACATAGAAACATGATAGGATACTTCAGAGGCTACTTTACAAAATAAAATAGGTAATAGTAACACATTTTTGTAAGCATAAAAACTCAGGTATACTAACAAGTCATGTGAGTATAGCAGTTATAAGCAGACAAACTATATTCATGAAGCAGTAGGTCAGGCCAAGCGTGGTGGCTCACGTCTATAATCCCAACACTTTGGGAGGCCGAGGAAGGTGGATCACTTGAGGTCAGCAGTTTGAGACCAGCTTGGCCAACATGGCGAAACCCCGTCTCTATTAAAAATACAAAAATTAGCTGGGCATGGTGGTGGGTGCCTGGAATCCCAGCTGTTAGGGAGGCTGAGGCAGGAGAATCACTTGAACCTGGGAGGCGGAGGTTGCAATGAGCCGAGATTGCGCCACTGCACTCCAGCCTAGGTGACAGAGCGAGACTTCATCTCAAAAAAAGAAAAAACATAAGTCAAACAGTAAAGTGTATAAACACATACCATTACGGTCATTAACTGCGTGCACTCAGCTTTGTAAGTGCAGTCCTCTGAAATGCTTTGATGGACCACATAAGTCTTTTGATGAGTTCAATTTAAAAAATCAAGATGGGTCACTACCACATCACCACTGCACAAGTCATCCAAAGAACTGAGATCTTGAGAAATTTTATCTTTCACAAACACAGATATACAAAAGGATATCTCTTCATTTATTGAAGAAATTTCAGTGTTTTATATACACACACAGTGCTTGCACACAAAATCAACATTGTGATGATGCACTTTTTTTTTTTTTTGAGACGGAGTCTTGCTCTGTTGCCCAGGTTGGAGTGCAGTGGCGCGATCTCTGCTCACTGCAAGCTCCGCCTCCCGGGTTCATGCCATTCTCCTGCCTCAGCCTCTGGAGTAGCTGGGACTACAGGCGCCTGCCACCACGCCTGGATAATTTTTTGTATTTTTAGTAGAGATGGGGTTTCACTGTGTTAGCCAGGATGGTCTCAATTTCCTGACCTCATGATCTGGCCTCCTCAGCCTCCCAAAGTCCTGGGATTACAGGCATGAGCCACCACGCCCAGCCTCATGATGCACTTTTGTAGAGTCAAAAAGTGCATAAAATGAGTTAGAACTCTGTGAAAATCTGTATACAACTTATACCTCCAGTATTGGAAATAATTCTAAGATCACATAGAAGAAAAAATTGTAAAAAAAAAATAATAATAATAATGGTGACAATTTAAAATATGGGAAAAAACTTTCAAAAAGAAAAAGAACAAAAAACTAAAACAAACAAAAAACCAAAACATGAAAAACTAAAAAGAAAACCTGACATATGAAAAAGTGTATTACAGAGGTAGGTTGTGGGCAATTGCACGGAGATAGTCCATAAGAGCTGGTCGACCTTCATGATCATTAACTATAATTTGAAGTCTTACATCATGATGAATAGCTACTTTTTTTCTTTTAGGACATTGCTGTCCTCAGAGAAGACTTTACATTCATTTCCTATGTGTCTCTGCTCTTTTTGATAGTCTTCTGTGATTAGATATACAAGAATATGAATGTCCCCTGTTAAGTTTTTTCGTCTCTTGTGCCTTGTTTCTATGTTGTTTTGGGTACATGGAAATCCATTCCACATGAACTCATATGCAGATCACAGATTTGACAGAAACAATACAAGTGGTTAAACAGCAACATCGTTGGGCAAGTGTCTTTCTACTCTACGGTGCACATTATTTTTGAACCACTCAGTAACTTCTCTAGCTGCTTCAGGTAAATGCAACTTTAGTTCATTGAAACCTCCTGTAATGTCATCAGGTAGAAAAAATGTCAATGCAGACAAATGACCTATTTTTAAACTGAAGCTTTTTTCATTGTTGGATTGCATGGCCAATCTACTCATCTGAATTTTCCTCCAGATGCGTTGTGCTGAATCAAAAAAAAAAAAAGAATAGACTTTATTGGTAACACCTTGTAATTAGCTTTTAGAAGCCTTGATCACACCTAATTTCAAATCTGTTATTATGATTTGGAATGCAATTGAAATCCATTTTCTTTGCATACAAATAATAACAAGGTAATATTTCTGCCTAACATGATGCAACTATTCTGTGATTGTGATGTTCTGGATTTTAGACATTAGGATTTTGATCTTTCAGAATTTCAGCATTCAGGATTATGATGCTCAGGAATGTATCTTTTGGGATTATGGTTTAAACTCCCTAACAAGATAATGTATTTTGATTGACTTTAAAAAAACTGCTCTATTGATTATAATTGAAGTTATGGGTAATGGGTACATGGATGATCATTATACCATAACCTTATCTGATGTGTAGGTTTGGAAATTTATATTAAATTTATGTCTATATATTTATCCATATCTGTATTTTTAGCCATATAGAGGAATTACTGAACAGAAAACAAAGTCTGTAATGGGCCTGGGAGCAGGCCCTAATCTGGTGTGCCCCTTGGTTGAAAGCCATGTGTTGAAATGACAGAGTGATAACATCGGAGCGCGATCCTCAAGCACAAAACAGATTTCATTTTCTGAAAACATCATTGGAGCAGGGCTCCTGTCACATACACCCTGAGCCAGAGCATCATGTTAGATGAAGGCAGCACTGTGGATTCAGCCCTCCCAGGCTGTTTTGTGAGCTGGAGCAGCATGGCGCCTCCCTATGACATGCATTCTCCCATAGATAGATGCAGCTCCTGCCCAGCTCCTGGTCACCTAGCGTTTGAGCTTATTTGGAAAGTTTATATATGGCAGTTCAGCTCTTCCTTCCCCCATACCTTGGTATGACTCACACCAAAGCATCTCATTTCTACCATCAAATAAATCAGCCTAGTCTACAAGGATGTGACTGGAAGAATAATTAACAGAGCCTTGTCTGGAAGGATGCAAAGGCTGCATCCAGGAGCCTGTGGAACCAATCAGAGCAGAGGACATAGCCCTGCCTTAGTGCTCTACACCAATCTTCATGGATAGCTCCATTGGTTCATATTGCCTGTCCATTTACAAACTATTTAGGGTGACATTTAAGTTAACTGAGTAAAGGGCATCATATTCCACTGAAGGGATTTATGGCCAAGAAAGATTCTAAGAAAGCTACATGAATGAAGGGAAGGGAAAAGCTTACATACCTTAGTTTAAAGACTAAGTTAAAAATGTATCTTTCCTGGAGGTCTTTATCATCCAAGCTAGAAATGATGTTTTTCTTTGTCTTCCCCTTTCCCTTTCTAGCACAAATATTCCATCCATTGGAACTACAACTCCTAAAATTTTAGTTATTATTGGGACTTCTTAGCCATCCCACCTCCCCTGTGTTGATTGTAAGTTCCTGGTTGCAGAGGTGTAGATTAAACTACTTTGTAAATGCCATGGTCCATAAATAATATGTTCTCAGTTTTTGTTATGAACAAGGCACCGTGCTAAGCACTTTTACATACATGAACTCACCTAATTCTCACAAACTCCTCAGAAATATATTTGATATTATTGTTTCCATTGTACAGATGAGAGGATCGATGCACTAAGCATATAATAAACTGTCCAAAGTCACAGGATTTGAACCCATGTATTCTACCTTCAGAGCAAGCACACGTAAAGATGATGTTTTCTGCTCTGCTCACAACATGTGCACACAGCATGGCTTCAATAAATATTGATAACAAATTGAATGAAAGCAGGATCAGTCATGGGTCTGAACAAGGCTCTAAGGTGGGGCTGTGGTGGCATGGATGATGAGTACCTTTATTAAGTTTCAATGTCAGAGCCAAAGTTCTTTCCTCCCTTCCTATCCTCAGATCCCTATCCGTATTTTACCGATTAGTGGTTGTAATGTTTTAGTATAAAGGCCCTATTGGCCAGGCGCGGTGGCTCACGCCTCTAATCCCAGCACTTTGGGAGGCTGAGACAGGCAGATCACCAGGTCAGGAGTTCGAGACCCGCCTGGCCAACATGGTGAGACCCTGTCTCTACTAAAAATACAAAAAATTAGCTGGGCGTGGTGGTGAGGGCCTGTATTCCCAGCTACTTGGGAGGCTGAGGCAGGAGAATTGCTTGAACCTGGGAGGCGGAGGTTGCAGTAAGCTGAGATTGTGCCATTGCACTCCAGCCTGGGCAATTCTGGTATCAATTTCAATTAGGCATTTCTGAAGGTGGTTAATTTGGTACAAAATTATTCTAGCACTTCTTTTTCCCCCTGATTTCTACAACTCTCAAATTCATGAAGCCGCTATGCAGTGATCCAAATAAGAGCAGGATACTTTTAGTTCTATAATCCTACAAAATTAGGCTTTTCATTCAACCACAATTGTAGGTTAGGTCCCTTCTCTTTTTATCAAGCCTTTTCTTTCTTATATAAAGAAGTCATATTTCTGAGTGACTTCTGGATTCAGCTCTTTTTCATGCTAGTATAAAAGCAAAATGGCCATATTTTTAAAATAATTGCAAAACTACTAAATCAGCAACCTATACAGTATATTAATGTATTATAGTTGTTGCTCTGTTCTGTCTTAGCAACTGAAGCATTGGCTTCTTGTTGGAAAGCTCTTCTCCTTTGTTCTGTTTTTAAAGAGCCCAGGTTTTCACTTTTGCATAGCAAGGGAAGAGACCAACAGACCCTGATGGTGTGGGTGGGTAAGGCAGGCCTCTATCTTAAATGGCTGTTCTTTCAGTCTGAGACATGTAATAGACAGACGTAAAAATGTTATTGTACTTTATTTCTTTCATTCTCAGGGCAGAGGAACTAACAATTTGGGATAGTTCCTCTTAAGTCCTACATTCCAAACCCTACTGCCTCCTGTGTTCCTGAACCATCAATTATAACTTGACTCTTTAGTATCTTTGTGACTTTCTTCTTTCATTGATGATTTCATCTCAGACTACAAACGTTCTCAAATCTTTCTCATCCTAAAATTTCTTCCCCTGAATGTATCCTTCCCTTTCCCATTGCCATCAACTTCTATCTTCACATCAGTCTGTTTCAATTGCTCCTCACCCCTGTATAATTTGGCTTTCACTGGGTTAACAAATGCCAGCAAAAGGCTTGGATGGAGGAAAAGCCCCGGTGTGGACTCCCCTTGGGAAAATCTGTTCTAAAGAAACAGAAGGAAGTCAGTACCACTGGGATATGTGGCAAGATCAGAAACATGTACCAGGATAGGCACAGGTGCAAGTCATTATATCCGTACCATGAGAGGAATAGTTACTGATGATAATCTCTGAGAACAAGGGAGGGTCATGTTGGAATTGTTGGAAGGAAGCTTAACTGCACCTCTAGGTCCAGCACGGTGTAGCTTGACCTATCTTAAGCACCTCATGTGGACCAGGTATATTTAATCAACATCAGTTTTTCACAAGTACAATATGAATATTAGAGAAAAAGGTATACTGGGAACACTCAGGCATTAACAAAAATTTCATTCTTTATCTTCAGTTTCTCAGGCTATTACAACATGGGCCAAACACATTTCTGAAGTCAGAGGTGGGAAACAGATTCAACTTAAGTATAATAATATTATATTATATACCCAAATGCCTCTGGGATTTATGATAACAAGCCCTTAGACTGGCTACAAGATTTATTCTGCAACTTATTTTCAACTTCAATTTATTCATTCTTCTTCCTGCACTTTCCGCTCTTGAATACACGCCTGTTGAAGCTTTCATTTCTTGTTTTTTTCATTTGACTATTTCTCTTCAATCTGTTTAACTGGCATAATTCTTAAATATTAGTTAAACTAGAAGAATAAATAGCACTTTCTGACATATGTAATTTAAGAGATAGGAAGGTAGCAACAATTAATCACTGGACACTCAAAAAATGAAAGAGCTATATGTACACACCAAACTCATAAAGAGAATTGAAGAAGACTAGACTTGGAATGCTTATTTTCACCCTGAATTATTTCATCTAAGTCCCACAGGGTGTATTATTTTAGACTAAATAACTCAGATGTGCAGAAATGTTTTGCTGGAAGAGGAGGAAGAATTCCTAAGAGAAGACCAAACCTTTTGGGAAGTAAGTTCTATATTTTAAAAGACAGCTGTAATCTATGTAGCATATTTAGGGGAGACTCTCTTGGAAAGAATGTTGAGCAAAGTTAAGAATGGGGGTGTCATCTTGAGAATACACTTCATGAAAAGTTTAGCTTCTAGACTGCTTTTCCCTTGAACAATGATGGATTCAAAATCTTTTCTTCATATGTTGTGAACTTGTTGTATCCTTGAATGCCTCAGTAAAGTCTGACATACTCATATGTGTGTGTAAATAATAAGTGTAGAAGACACATGAAGGAACCCAAGAGAGTTGGAGGAGTCAGCATTGTCGATGAGTCAAATCCATGCCCTTCCTCTTTTCAGACTCAGTGGAGGAACAGAGCAAAGTTAACACATTTCTCATTAGCATGGACTTGCTTTTTGTATTCTACTCCCTTCTCTGCCAATATGTGATCCTGGGTAGTCTATTATAGCCTTGGCATGAATGGTTATCACTGTGTTGCTGACTCCCAAATCCTCAGTCAGTCCAGAACTTACCCCCAACCTCAAGCTGATCCCATCTCCACCTGGACGCACTCTCTCAATGTGCTTCAGGCCAATCTCTTTACCATATCTCTGCCACTCCACTACCTTCCTCCCTAAAAGCAGTCTTGTTTACAGAGTAACTTGAGAAAAATCCAGACTCCTTTGTCTGTTATCTACGTGACTCAATACTTTCAATTTCATTTCTAACATATTTTCCAATTTCATTCCTTCCCTTGCCTCTCATTCTCATTTGCCTCATTCATTCTGGAGAACTTAGTCAATTCTTCTCAATTCTTTTGTCATCTGCTTCCTAACCGCTTTCCATTGGCATTGTATTTCCAACACATGATTCAACTTAAGTATAATAAAAAATAAAAAAAATACATAACAATTTAAAATTTTCACGTCTTAGCAAGTTTCACCAACCACCTCTTTTAGTTTCATCCACCCTTCCTCCTCCATTTCAGCAATAAGTCCTATATTCCAGCACTCTGATGCACTAGCTATTCGTCTAATATAACCCATTCTATTTCGCGCCATGATTTTGTATGCACGATTCTTCTAACCAAAAATGCCTCTTCTTCCTTTCCCCTTTTGTCCAAATGTCAAGTTCTTAATCGTTCCACAAAACCAAATTCAAATGATAGTCCTCAGAAGCAACCTCTCTCACCATCAGACCTCCTCGGAAATGCCCTCCTTGGTTTCTCAAGCTTTTTGCACACTATGTTTACTATAACATTTTGGTGGGGGGAAGTATATACTTTTTAATCTAAGGGATTTTTTGTGCTTATGCTATCTTTACAATTTGTATCTCTACAACCTAGCTCATAATATCTTGCACATCATAGGTGCCTAATAATTGTCGAGTAGCCAAAGAGAGTAAATTTAGGGCCATGTCATCAGGTGTGGTTACTAAGAGTGGAATTCAAACCATGGGTAAAGACATTTGTTGCTGAATAAAGAAAAATTGTCACCTCATTCAATGACAAGGATTATATACATGTGCATAAATGTTCTCTCCCTAAGATAGTTTTTCACTAGCCCATTAGGACAGACATATAGAATATCTCTCCAACAGAGATCTCTAATTTTTGTTTAGAATTTTGTGCATTTTTAATTCACACACAAGAACTGAATTTTTCATCAAGGTTGCTCATGGAGTCTTCAATTATATATTCCTGACACTTGCCTTCAGCAAGTAATGATTCATCTCCCTGGATCTCACTCTGAGTCTGTAGTAGATCTGGAGAATATTCTGAAGTTTCTTTTTTATCCAGCAAGACTGGCTGAGACTGGATATGAAAGCTGTCTAAATACTCTTATCTATTCCCAACCCACAGAAATGCAGGCTCCACACACTCTCTGTTCACCGTCATGAATCATGATGCTGACAAGCAAGTCTGATTCATAACATTAAACACAAGCTGATAGGAGTAACTTCTTCCTGAATCCATTGGGAAAGGGCATGGGTGTTCTTCCACAGATGTGAGCTTCTGCTGCCAATGTAAATGTAAAGCTGGAAGAGAATGAAAGATAGCCAATCTTCGTTTCATTTTTCCTAGGATATACAAGATTCGTTTCTCGCCATGAGAGGTCCCTATCCGATTTTCTTTAAAGTTGCTTGCTGCCTTCTGGAAATTCCATTGTGCCATTGCTATAAAGTCTATTAATATTCTATCATTGAGTTGTTATTACCATGGCCTTTATTATAATGAATAATAATGTGCTGCAGTTACATGGCACCTTTCTTCTTGGATCATCCTGCTTAGCCTCATAAAACAAATTAATCAAGTTACACCTTTAAGGAAAGCATTAAGCTACTTCATTGTAAGAGCAAATTGTCTTTGTTTGCTCTGACTGCAGTTGTGTACAGTTTTCTGAATGGGCATGTTAGAATACTCTATCAGGGAAATTTCAAATAGGCCATTATTTAAACTGATTGACTGGTTTCCCCCCAAAATTTTTTAAAGTCTTTTGAAAATACTATGTGAAGAAACAGATATATTCTTCTAGAGCACAACAAAGAGATCAGTGCATATGTGTGTGCTTGCATATGTGTGTGTGTGTGGATGTGTAAACAAATGTAAAGACACTCTTTATGCAGTGCACATTTTAAATGTCTGTCAAAAAGAGTACTGGTAATATCGGAGTGGCCTTGTTCCCCCTGTTTCGAATACTTGCAGGAGCCTGTACAGAAGCCACAGGCAGGAGCTATTCCCAACAAGACCTCGTAATATGACTCTTTCCCACTTCCTGCTTTCTCCTCCAACATACATAACTGTTATGATTCCATTCTCCACAGAGAGAAATAAGAAGAAAAATAATTATTGTATTTAATTTGCATATGAGGAAATTTCTAGTAATATCTCATTGCTGGACTTAGATTTAAATTTTGTGTTTTTTTCCCCCCAGGGGAGTTTTTGGTGTACTACCCCACTTCTCAAATTGATCTTTCAAATGTTCTACATCTGACATAAGAAAATGATAAGGAGATAAAGACAGAATTTCTCTGTATCTAGAGCTATCTTTAGTGCCATCCATCTGCCATCTATAATCTTGAGATGTGTGCAGGTTTAGCACTGGAATTCACATCAATGAAGTCAGATCTGGCAATAGATTATTGTTATGTTGGAGACTCTCCATGTACAGCCAGGCCTTTTGGCTGTGTAGCTTTTGGCTTAGGGTCTCTGTGTGTCTAGAAGCAAGCAAGAATAGTCTTCTTAAAAATAACAGCCATAACCATGAAGTGCATTACATGTTATCTAAGAATATCACGATGTTTCCTTATAGAAAAGAGAGATAATGTTGATTGAGTTTTATTTAAGAAGTGATTCATAATTCAGATTGAGTGAGATCGACAGTCACAATAGTCACTTCTAATTGCCATATGTAATTTGGGTACTCTTGTTTCAAATTAATTGCAACTCACTGTGGTAGGGTGAATAATGTCCTCTAAAAAAATGTCCCTGTCCTAATCCCCCCAAACCTGTGAATATGTTATCTTACATGGTACAAGGGATTTCACAGGTGGGACTAAGCTAAAGATTTTTAGAAGAGGAGATGATCTTGGATTATCTGACCCAATGTGGTTATAAGGGTCCTTCCTCTTATAAAGGAGGAAGGAAGATCAGAATTTAAAAACAGAAGGCAATGTGACTATGGAAGCGGACAAAAACTGACTTTTTTTTTTTTTTTTTTTTGAGCCCGAATCTTACTCTGTTGCCCAGGTTGGAGTGCAATGGTGCGATCTCGACTTGCTGCAACCTCCACCTCCCTAGTTCAAGTGATTCTCCTGCTTCAGCCTCTCGAGTAGCTAGGATTACAGGTGCACACCACCACGCCTAGCTAATTTTTGTATTTTTAGTAGAGATGGGGTTTTACCATGTTGGCCAGGCTGGTCACGAACTCCTGACCTCAAGTGATCCACTTGCCTCGGCCTTCCAAAGTGCTGGGATTACAGGCGTGAGCCACCGCACTTGGCCAGAAACGGACTTTTAAAAGTACTACCCTGCTGGCTTTGAAGATGGAGTAAGGAGCCACAAACCAAAGAATGTGGTTGGATTTCAGATGCTGGAAAAGGAAAGGAAACAGGTTTTGCCTTAGAGTCTGCAGAAGGAATGCAGGCTTGCCAACACCTTGATTTTAGCCAGTGAAAGCCATTTTGGACTTGTGATTTCTAAGGCTGTAAGATGATACATTGGTGTTGTTTAAGCTACCTAATCTGTTACAGTAGCAATAGGAGACTACTAAGTATACTAATGATGATGAAGAGAAGTGTAGAGGTTAAGATCGCATACTCTAGAGTGGGCCTGGCTAGGTTTGTGTCTTGGCTCAGCCGTTTATTAATTGTGTGACTGGGAGCAAGTTCTTTATGTTCCTGTGACTCAGTTTTCTTTTCTTTAAAATGGGCACACCTATATCACATCGAATGCTGTAAAGACTCAATTAATAAGTTCATTTAAATAGCTGAGAATAGTGCCTGTTACAAAACCAATGTTAGCCACATCAGAAAAAAGAAAAATAGCAGGAGTTAATCAATGCATAGTTTAGAGGAATTTTGTCTCAGATAATAATTAGTGACAGGAATTTAAAGCTAGTCTTTCTTGGTCTCCATCTATTCGTATGAATAATATAGGTGCTAGTTCAGTGTATCTCTCAGTTTCCTATTCACTCTGATTCTCTGCTCATGTTGTGCTGAGATTACTACCTACTTCTGCTCAGTTCTTCAGTTTATTATATAGGGGTGGTTTGGATTCTGAGCTCTAAAATATAAACTGAAATAAGATATCCATCCAGAGATTTTATAAAGTTTATTAATACCCATATATACTGGTTTTAAATTCATTTTCTCAAAATCTTTTGTCTTTTATACAATATCACTTAAAAATTAACCCTTGATATTTATGCCATTTATTGATTTAATGAGGAAAAGAGAAAAAGTATTAAAGGCAATAAAAGCAAAAGAGTTCAGTTACCTACGAGTGCCTCTTTGGGGGGCTTATTGTTAGAAAATGCATGGTTTCTTAAAATGTTAAATGTCCTATGTCATGGACTTCAGAAAACTGGGTGGTAAAAAACAAAAACAAACAAACAAAAAAACCTAAAATATATCCTAGGCATGTTTAGAAGAAAATGTTCAGAATCCTGAGTTGAAGATGGAAGAATGAAAGACAACCAATCATCTGAACAAAACCACTTTATAATTGTTTTATTAGTCTAAAAAATGGAGACATAAAACAAAAAATAATCAAATGGGCATAAAGCGATCTTTTGTTTGGAGGACGGTATATCATCCTGATTGGTGAGAGAGGAAAAAAGAACGAGAAGCATCACTCTTTTTTTCCTAAAAATTTCAAAGATGCTTTATTTTTATTTATTTTTAATTTTTAAATTATTTCAATAGTTTTTGGGGAAAAGGTGGTGTTTAGTTACATACACAAGTGATGATTCCTGAGATTTTGGTGAAGCCATCACGTAAGCAGTGTACACTGTATCCAGTGTGTAGTCTTTTATCCCTAACCCGCCTCCCAACCATCCCCCGACTCCCAAGGGTCCGTTTAGTTTGCCATTCCTGAGTTACTTCACTTAGGATAATGGTCTCAAACTCCATCCAGGTTGCTGCAAATACTATTTAATTGCTAACAAATTACCCATGTATTTGGTAGTAGTAAATATCTCCTCACTACCACCATCTCTAAACAAAACAGTCAAGGACTAGAATTAGGCTATGAAAGGCTCATGGAAGAATGATGGCAATTAAACCGGACATAGAAGCAAAGTTCTGAGGAACTGAACACCCAGATAGGCACAGACCTTTCAACGAAGAGCCAGTGAATCCCAAGTCATTCTAGAAAATATGGAATGATTTCTCTGGATGTTACAGAAAACATCTAGACAGAAGGGACTTCATTTAATTTTCTATAATGTATTTGCTTTATGATTTCTTTGGAAGAATCTTTTTATCGGAAAGATCACTGAAATAAGTAATTTTACTTATTTCAACAAGTCAGTATTTGCACAGAATTATACTATAACTGATATTGAAGTAACCTAATTATTTACTCTGGTTTATTCCCAAAAGTCATACTCAATTTTTTCTATTGTCATGAGAAATTTCAGAGAAAGAAAAGATACAATAAAATTTTTATTCATTCACTGACAACCTATTTGTGCAGTATATAGTGTCAGGCACTGTGCTGAGCACTGGAAAGTCTTAGAATAATTCCTTTTAATAACGAATGGAAAATCTAGCAAATATCACAAAAGTTCAATTTGTTTACTATTTGAGATTGTAGCAAGGCACCTGTATGGAAAGGCTAAGATAAAACAACAGAGTTTCCAAGCTGAGGACAACAAAAAGTGGTGAAACAGTTAGAAAAGTTTTGGAGACAGGCAGCCAGAACAGCTCAAAGATTTTGAAAAGGTCTTTTCAGGTATGAGATTATGAAATCCCACAAAATCATACGGATACCATGGGTCACTACATTTCTTGGATTTCCACGATTATAGTTTATCTTATTTTTAATGTATGCTCTTCTCATTGAATGATTAGGAGTCGAAAATATTGACAGCATTGTCATATTTGTATTAATATTCCTCTAAGAGAAATAGTCATTTAGAAAATGTTCTAGCTGCTACAAAGTGAATTTGAAAAAAGAAATACCCACTGAGATCCCCAAACCTTGTGTCAAATAAAAAAGAGCCATCAATGTGTTTACTGCTCCACTTGGCGCTACTCATCAGTGTGCTTCTCCTGCAGGATGGTCAGAGTAGTTAATTGAGAGCCAGGGGAACTCTATTCTACAGAGCAGGGAGCAGCTTACTGTGAATGCAGGGTGAGGTAGCTTATGGCCAGTGCTAACACATTAATCCCAAATCAGTTAACTAGCAGAGTTTAAAGAAAGAACAACATCTACATTGGGCTTTAAATAATCGATGACAGCAGCTAAACTATTAAAGAAAAATCTCTCTTTTTTTCTAGGAAGTCTATATGCCTATAATTGCTGAGCTTATTTTCTCTCTGATTGGATACAGGTTCTCCCAAGAATATTTTCTTTCCCCTGAGACATGAAGAGGGAACTCCCGTGACATATTTTTGATGGAAGTGATAGAAAAATAACATGCTTTAAATAGATTGCCAAATTAACTGAATCAACTTCAAAAAAAATCATGCCCAAAATTTTGCTGTGCCTGTAGGTACAAACAGGAGAGAAACATAAAATGATAATAAATTTTTTTGCTGAGGGTCATTGGGAGTGAGGATGGGATTAGGAGGGTGTTTGCGGTGACAGAGACTTTGGGATAAAAAGGAAATGCTTTTTAAATCAAATCAAAAGACAAATGGGTTTTTGAAAACCAGTGATTACAAATAATTTTACAAAAGAATTGAGTGATATTTATTTACAAACTTGTGAATCATTTCCCCTGATGAAAGAATGATCTTTCTAACCTTCTAGCTAACTCTAACCTTCAGAAGAGTGGTATTCACAGAATTAGTTCTAACTGAGCTGTGAAACAGTGCATAATGCAAAGGACACTTATGAATCAATTTTTTCCTATTCCCTCTTTTTCATGTGCATTACAGAAGTACATCTCTAACAGTTTCCATAGAAACAGTTAAAGTTAGACTTTTGAAAACATAATGGGAGGGGGCAGAAGACCAAGTACATGGAGAGCAAGGAGCAAGTGAATCACTAGTGAATGCGTTAAAATAAAGGATGTAATATTTAAGTGCTGAATGAGAAACACAAACATTTCATAGATGCAACATTATGATAGGTTTTACAAATTCGATGAGTAAATGTTTGTACATGACAAAGTTGCAAGTCAAAAGTCTGAACATTCAATTCTAATCCTAAAAATATATACATGTATTTACATACCTTTACACAATGTCTTATGATTCCATAGTAGTCTTTTAGTGATCACATGCCTTATTCATGTACAAAGGTAGAACTGAAAGTAGTGATGCATTTGTTCATTTAATAAACATGTATAATATGCCTGTTGTATACCAGGCTCTCATCAGTGTGTTCGGAATACATTAGTAAACAAAGCAGAAAAGATCCCTTTGTAGAGCTTATATTGGGGTGGGGGATTGCAGACAGTAAATGATGTCAGAATATTATAAACCAATATTTTCTGTGGGGGTAGGGGGAAGAAGATTTGAGCAGGATAAAAGATCTGGGGATTTAGGTTTCAATTTGGAGGCGGGTGGTGAAAGGAAGCCTTGTTGACAGTATGGGTAAAGACTCGAAGGTGGTGAGGAAGTACACCATTCATATATTTGAGGGCTATCCCTCTGGGAAGAAGGAGCAGCTAGAAGAGGGCCTGCTTACTTTTGAGGCAGCAAGAAGGCTAGTGTGGCTTCAAAGGAGTAAGCAGGGTAGAGGTTTTAGGTCAGATATGTAGCTGTCAGCCAGATCATTAGAGTTTTTAGGCCATTAAACGATTTTGGCATTTCCTCTGAGGGAAGCAGGAAGCCATCAGATCATTGGGTCACAAAGTGTGGTCTCTGGACCAGCATCGTTAGTAACAGCTGAGAAATTATTAGAAATATGAAATTTGCAGGCCCTATCCTAGACCAACATTTCTGGAAGTAGAACCCAGTCATTTGTGTTTTAATAAGTACTCCAAGTGATTCTCATGCATGTTCAGTTAGGAGAAGTACTGACCTAGATGATTCCAAGCAAAAGAATGTCATGATCTAACTTGATCATTTGTCATAATAAGCTGCACTGAAAATTTTATATGATTATTTTTATAACATGGTAGAGACAATTCTGACCTTATTCAGGCCCTATGACTGAACAATATAATCATTAGCTTTTTCCATTGGAATTAATAAGCATTTCATTGCCAGGCTAGAAGTACTTGAAACTGTAAAAGACTTCCATGTATTGATCATAAGTAGAGTGGCCATGTGATTTATATTCCAAATTTGGGCATGCTGGAGAATAAAATGGGGGCTAAAAATATTTAACAGTTATAGTTTATCTACAGCATGGTATAAATTGGAATTTCCCTGGGCAAACCAGCACATATGAGACCACATGTCACTCATTTATTCTATAAAATATCTCAGGCTATTTTGCAGAACTTTCTCCTAAAAAGAGATCTAGTCACCAAGGGAGACTTTTATGAACTGAAAAGAAGAGAAAGAGGAAAATGACACTAAGTGTAGCTTCCCAGTCCAGAAACATTTGTGTCTCACAGGCAATACCCAGCTTGAAATTGACAGGAAGGATATCTCACTTGAAAGTACAGTCAACTTACTATACATAATCTGAAGTGATTTAAAATGAAGTTGGAGCTAGAATAGGATTTTTATGGAAGCCCGACCTTTGGTCTTGCTCATTTCGTTACCAAGTATTTTACTGCTGACATTTAGTCTGGGCCAAAGTTTGTCTCTACGCATTTCGAAGTCATGCCATTTCATCAAATGGCATTTTGCTTTTGATTAAGGTGCTATAGCATTAGTTGCCTTATAAAGTTAATAGTATTTAAATATTTTATATTGACCAGCTGTTTTTCAAAAATATGACTATGTAAAGGTAATATCTAATTTAATCTAAAATATTTAAATGAGGAACCTCTCAAGAGTGAAATGTTGCTGTTATCAAGGGTGGGCTGAGATGCATTCCAAACAGACCCCACCACAGACATAAAATGGCAGAAGATGAACCGCAGAGCCTAGGATTAGTGTTGCTCTGGGCCTCTCACATGCTGTGTCCTCCTTATGACACTGTGGAATGTTTCAGGCCTCAGCAGAGCTAGCTTCAACATGGTTTGAACCACAGTTACAAAGCTAAAGATGACAATCATCACTATTACAAATGTTTTCAAAGAAAAATGTAAACTAGATAAAAATAGAAACACATCATTTAAGCTTGAAAAGAGATTAAGATTTGAATCTAATGCTTCTCAAATGAGTTCACAGATCACTTGCATAATGGTCACCTGGGGATCACATGAAATACACAGAAACACCAGCTGCTTTGCTTGCCAGACCTGCTGAATCAGAATCACTGGGTGGAAGCTTAGAAATCTGCATTTTTAATAAGCACCCCAGGTGATTTTTATTTTTATTTTTATTTATTTATTTTTGAGAGGAGTCTTGCTCTGTCCCCCAGGCTGGAGTGCAGTGGTGTGGCCTTGGCTCACTGCAACCTCCGCTCCCGGGTTCACGCTGTTCTCCTGCCTCAGCCTCCTGAGTAGCTGGGACTACAGGTGCCCGCCACCACACCCAGCTAATTTTTTTTGAAGTAGAGACAGGGTTTCACCGTGTTAGCCAGGATGGTCTCAATCTCCTGACCTCGTGATCCTCCCGCCTCAGCCTCCCAAAGTGCTGGGATTACAGGCGTGAGCCACCGTGCCCGGCCCATCCCGGGTGATTTTTATGCACACTAAAGTCAGAGGACCACTATGATATGAACAGTGTCCAAAAAGAAAATAATTACTCAGAGCTAATAAAGGTGAAGATAAGAGCAATTAGGCAAAGATAATTTCCTATGTTTAATATATTTTTTGTTTGAATTACTGTAAATTAAGGAGAATGAGAGAATAAAGAGATAAAACAAAGCCCATAGGAATCACTGCAGCAAGTCAGAGGAAATGTTTAAATACTTGAGAAGCAGCCAGATAATTACTGGGGAGTGGGAGGTAGGGGGAACCTGCTTGGAGATCCCTTGGGACTAGCTTCACATTGCTAATTTACAATCACATGCTGTATCTGTCACTTTTACAAATCAATGGGAATGCCCACTTTTTAACAGCATGGAGTTACTCACAATGGTTGCTGGTGTTGGTCATCCAGAGGGGACTTTTCAGGATGCAAGAAAGAATCTTGGTGACACACATTCACACACACACACACACACACACACACACACCCTTTTATGTCACTTCCAATTTACTTTATCTTAAACTGTCAGCAAGGAGAACTTATGCTTATACTAATAATTAGAGGTTTGCATTTAAGCCAAAAATAATAAACCCCGTGGGTAGCTCTGCAGACAGCTGGGTTGTAGTAAGTAGAGCCAGAAGAAAAGACATGACTCTTTGTATTCGCAGCAATTTTATAATATGTAGGGAAGGGAAATGGTAGAAGAATAGATTTTATGTCTTTGTTTAGAAAAGGCATTTAGAGAAAATGATCGAGATTGTCATTAAACATGATTTTTACTATAAACAGCAGAAAAAAATGAAAAATTATTAGGTTAAAAATCATTAGTTTCAGCCATCTGGGAATCTCATTGTGCTGAAGAAATAGGACCTAAGACTTTTTTTTTCTTTTAAAAAACAAATGAAGAAATAAAGATGCTGCTTCTGTAAACTTCATTCTGATTAAAAAGGAAAAGTATTGATGATGAGAAATAGGTAAGTACTGTGGAGATTGCCATTTTGAAGAAAATAAATACTTGCTTAAGCCAGACATGGAACTAAGATTTTTTTTTTAAAGTAGATTTCAAAAGTACTTAAAGGAAAAATACAGCAGTTTCGTCCTTTGTATGAGCCTTAAAAGGGAACATTGCTCAAGGGGTGTGGTAGAAAAAATGAACTTCAGTTTATACAATCTCTGTTCAAATGGAAAAGAAAGGACTTCTAAAGGAACTGATTTAACTGTGCAGGAAGCTTTCTCAAAAGCTTGGAATATAAAAAGACATGTAGAAGAGGTAGAAGGAGGGGCACAGAGCCAGGAATGAAAACAGAAGCACAGCCTGGACTTAGAAGAACAGTGTCAGAAAGGTTAGAGGACAGAGGGCTGAGGCTTGCAGAAACAGCTAAAGAAAGGAAAAGGCTTTGCAAGCCATGTTCAGAGACAGACTGTGAACAAAGGAGGGCCAAGATCATTGCCCAGGGAAAACGGCACAATGAACAGATGACAGGAAAGCTTACCAGATTATCAGTTGATTAATCTTTATATTCCCTAGGGCTAGCACAGTGCCTGTCACCTATCAAGTGTGTCACACAAGTTGAGTAAATAAATAGATGAAAAGTTCAGGTAGTAAGAATTATTTTGAAAATTGAAGAGTGGCAGGATAAACATAGCTTTTAAAGAGGAAATTTCAATACCAAGACAGGAAGTAAAATTAATAAAGAGAATTGGTTTTTTAAAATTAACATCTCACTTCAGTCTGAGAAGGATGACATGCCAAAAGGAAGCAAGAATCTGCAGATCTGATGTTAGAACTGTCATTAATAATGTTCAGGATCAAAGTGTAGAAGTTTCAAAGGTGCAATCAGAGTACTGATCCAAAATTTCAAAAGGGGAAAATAGATGGATTTGGGAAATTTCAGAACAGTGATCTGATTATTTCTGTCATAATTCTATAATGTCTTATGAAGCAGAGAACTTGGAGTGATTTAGATAAACAATGATGTTTACAGCCTACTGAAAAAAGTGTAATAAAAAACTAATAGAATTTATTTTTCATAGGGTTAACTAGTCTATTTATCAAGAAAATACCATACTCGTGATTTCAGCAGCGCATCCTGCAAAATTTCTCCTTTATTAAATTTTTATTTTATTTTAGAGAAAATATGGAAAAAGATTAACTTGGTGATGGTATAAACAAATGGGTTCATAAATTTCCAGACATACCCCAAGAGGACCAAAATAGAGTGAAACATTTCCAAACTGTTCTGTAAGACTCTGTGATTGGCCTTGTATTGTTCAATATTTTGACCAATGACTTGAATTAAAAAACACAATAAGGAAGTAGTTATATAGTTTGAATATATAACAAAGCTAGAGACAAAAATATCATGCTGCCAGTCAAAGCAAAATGGTGTATACTCATCTATTCCTGCTCCTCACCCCTAAGTGCAACTATAATCCTTGGAGACAACACAAGAGACAACCAGAGGAGAATTCTGAAAGGTGATAAGACAGGCTGTATAATGTGCCCCTAGAGATATCCACATCCTAATCTCTGGGATGTGTTATCTTACATGCCAAAAGAAACTTTGCAGATGTGATTAAGAATCTTGAGATGCAGAGTATGATGAATTATTTGGGAGGCTCAATATAATCACAAGGGTCCTCATAAGAGGGAGGTAGGAGGATCAGTGTTAAAAAGGGAAGACTATGTCATGATGGAAGCAAAGAGAATTTGAAGATGATATGCTACTTATGGCTTTGATATGGAGAAAGGAGCTACAAGCCAAAGAATACAGCAATCAGAAATTCTTTTGAAATAAACGAAAAATTAGAAAATCTCAGGAAAAATGTTATTAAAAAAAGCCAAATGGATATTATAGAACTGAAAAATACAATAATAGAAATAAAAATAGTAAAGTGGAGATGACAAAAGATATAATCAATGAAATGGAGGAAAAATCCACAAGAAAACGGAAAAATACACACATATAAATACATATATTTATATAAATAATATATATACGTGTGTGTGTATATACTTACATATATATGCGTATATTTATAAAGAGTGAATAGAGCCCTCAGGGACCAGAAGGAAGGACAATGATAGATCTGACATTTGTAATGTCTGCATCCAGAATAAGTGGAGAAAGAGAGTGAGGCTAAAAGAATATTTAAAGAAATAATAGCTAAAATTTTCCCAAAGTTGGTAGAAGAGGTAAACCCATAGATCTAAGAAGAAAAGTGATCTCCAAATAAGATAAAATCAAATAAAACCATGCCAAGACCTAATATAATTAAACTTCTGAGAACTGCAAAGAAAAGTTATTAAAAGCAACTATAGAGAAAAGACACATTACCTACGGAGGAACACTATCTTTAATGCTGGTGGATTTCTCATCTGAAACCATGGAGACCAGAAGGGAGTGGTATATTTTTCAAGGGCTAACAAAAAAAATAAATAACAACTGTCAACTATGAATTCTACATCCAGTAGAACTATATTTTATAAAAGAAGGATAAATAAAGGCAATCTCAGATGAAGAAAAATTAAAAGTTTTGTTTTTAACAGAATGGCTTAAGGGAGTTTTTTAAACAGAAAACAAAAAAGTATTAAAAATCTATTTTGAAACATCAGTAAGAAAGAAAGAACAATTTATAAAAGCAGAAATGTGGGTAAATAGAAGAATCTGTTCTTTTCATGAATTTTCTAAGTCATATGTGAAGATTAAAACCAAAATTATATCACCACATGATACATAGCATAGTAATATTTAAAAGTAGGGATTGTAGAGGGAACTAAAAGGAAGTAAGCTTTCTACAATTCACTCAATGTTAAAAGGTTGGTTATAGAAGAATGATGATGTAGTACACAAAGAAACCACAAAGAAAATTATACAAAGCAACACATTCAATAATACGATAACAAATAAAGTTAAAATCCTAAAACAGTTAATGTAATCCATAACAAGAAAAGAAAATCAAAAATAAGAACAAGAAATAGGAAACAAACAAAAATCAAAGAATAAAATCACAGAGTTAAGCCCTAACATGCCAATAATAATCTTACATGTAAATGGTCTCAGTTAATCAGTTGAAAGGTAGAGATTTGCAAAATGCATTAAGAAAAACACAACACAACTATATACTATTTGTACGAAACATGTTTTATTTTCAACAATATAAAGAGGTGGAAAGTAAAAGAATGGAAACATGGAAACATTATTTTTTTAAAAAGAGTGACTATATTAAATAAAGTAACCAAACACTTGGTAACTAAACAAAATACTTATAACACATGCGTCAAAAAAGAAGTCTCAAAGGAAATAAAACATTTTCTCGATTTTCTTGTCTTGTTATGGGTTACATGAATTGTTTTAGGATTTTACCTTTATTTGTTTATAGTATTATTGAATGTGTTGCTTTGTATAACTTTCGTCATGATTTCTTTGCATGCTATATCATCAATCTTCTATAACCAACTTTTTAACATTGAGTGAATTGTGGAAAGCTTACTTCCTTTTAGTTCCCTCTACAAAACTAAAAAACATGAAAATACAACATATCAAAATATGTGGGATGCAGCTAAAGCAATGCTGAGATAAATTTATAGTACTACATGCTTACAGAAGAAAAGTAAAACCATCTCAAATCAATAACCTAAATTCCTAACTCAAGAAACTAGAAAAAGAAGGGCAAAATAAATTCTAAACAAGAAGAAAAAATAAATGTAAAGTTAAAAAGCAGAAATCTATAAAATTGAAAATAGAAAAATAATAGAAAAATCAATGAAATAGAAAGCTGATTCCTCAAAAAAAAAAAATCAACAAAAATAAGCTTCTAGCAAGACTGAAAAAATAAGAGGTACCACAAATCACCAACATCAGAAATAAAAGAAAGGATATTATTAGAGATCCTGAAGCCATTAAAAGGATAAAAGAAAATACTATGAACAAGTTTATGCTCATAAATTCAATGACTTAGAAGAAATGAGATAATTTTTCAAACACCTAAAACTACCAAAACTCAACCAGGATAAAATGAAGAATCTGAGTAGTCCTATAACCATTGAATACATTTAATTCGTAATTAAAAGCTCATAGAATACTATAGAAATTGCCAGGCCCATATAATGTCACTGTATAATTCTACCAAACATCCAAAGAACTAACAAAAACTTTTTACACTCTCCTCAGAAAATAGGAGAAGAGGGGACACATCCCAATTTATTTTATGAGGCCAGTATTACCCTGATACCCAAACCAGGCAAAGATAGTACAGTAAAAGAAGAGTAGAATCTCATAAACTTAGACACAAATATTCTCAGCAAATGCAGACAGTCCCTAACTTATGGTGCCTTGACTTGCGATTTTTTTAACTTTAGGATGGCGCAAAAGTGATACCCATTTAGTATACTTCTCCACTTAACAATAGATTTACATCTTGATATACCCATCATAACTTGGTTTTTTTTTTGAAATATTGTAAGTTGAATTAAAATGCTTTTAACTTACAAAGGGTTTATCAGGAAATAACTTCATCATAAGTGTAGGGATATCTGAAATAGCAAATTGAATCTAATGAGGTTTAGAACATATTACCCCAAATTATTGCACCACAGCATTCGAGAAAACAGCAGAAGCACGAAGACTCCTCTCGTATTCCCCTTGGCTTTCTTTCCCAATGCAGGCCATAAAACCTAGGAACGTCACTATGACCTTTTCTCTTCTGAAGACCCTCATGTGACAGGTTTCCTGGCCTGTACCCAGTGAAAAGCAATGTCACAAAGGAATGCCAAGAAAACCTGAACAAATGGGTCTTGCTAAGTTCCCCCAGTTTATTACCATTAGATCATACCCTTTTATCCTCCAATCATACTTCTACACAACTATACATAAAAATACACAGATTTCCTTATTTCTTTGGGTCTTTACTTCTGAAGACTCCTATGTCACATGAAATTTGTATGAAATAAATTTGTATGCTTTTCTCTTGTTAATCTGCCTTTTATTATGGGTGTCTCAGCCATGAACCATAACATAACCTTGTCATGAGAGAGGAAAAAATATTAATTCTCTCCTACAAATTCAAAAATGTATAATATTAAAAAAAAAGATTCACAACCTGTTCAAGTGGAATTTATTCCAAGTATATAAGGCAGTCCAAAAATCCAAAAATCAATCACTATAATCTACAGCAATAAGCTAAAAAAGAAAAATCATGTGATAATATCAACTGACATAGATAAAACATTTAGAACAACCAACAGTCATCCGTGACAAAAACTACAAGTTAGTAACACAGTGAAACTACCTCAACTTGATAAAAGACTTCTACAAAGAGCCTAACTAACATCATGTCTAATGGTGAAAGACTAAATGCTTTTTCCTAAGACATAGACATGGCAAGAAAAATAAATATAAGGCATACAGATTAGAATGGCAGGACTAAAACTATTCCTACTTGAAGATGACAGAATTATCTATGTAGAAAACCTCAAGAAATCTACAAAAAAACCCCAAACCTCTTAGAACTAATAAGTGAGTCCAGCAAAGTGTCAAGTCACAATACATAATATCAACACATAAAAATTAATTATGCTTTTATATGTTAATGAACACAAGGAAACAGAAATTTAAAACAACACCATTTACAATATCTCCCCCCAAATAATTATACATCTAATAAAAAAGGCGCACGATCAATATCTGCAAAATTACAAAATGCAAGATTACAAAATGATGAAGAAGACCAAAATAAATGGAGAGACTACCAATGTTCATGGACTGGAAGACTTAGTATAGTAAAGATCTCAATTCTTCCTAAATTGAGCTACAGTTTTCATGCAATTCCTGTAAAATCCCAGCAAGGCTTTTTATAGATACTGATATGCTAATTTTAAAACCTCTATGAAAAGACATGGGCCATAAAATAGCTACAACATCTTGAAAAAGAAGAACAAAATGAGAGGAGTCCTCCAAATTGAGACCTGCATATAGCTACAGTACTCAACACAGTGTGGTACTGGCAGAAGCATAGACAAATAAATCAATTAAGTAGAATAGAGAACCTTAAAATAGACTTTCACAAATATGACCCACTAATTTTTAAAGAAGAACATGGTAATTCAGTAGAAGAGAAATAGACTTCTGCTAGAACAACTGGAACATCAATAGGTAAAAAATAAACAAAGACCTAAAAATAAACCTCACATCTTATACATAAATTAACTCATAATGGGCCACATACTTAAATGTAAAAGGTAAAATTAAAACTAAAACTTTTGGGGAAAAAAAGGAAAAGCAGGAGAAAAATCTTCAAGACCTAGGAGTAGGCAAATAATTCTTAGACTTTACACAAAAGCACTACCCATACAGTTAACATTTATAAGTTGAATGTTATCAAAGTTAAAACAGTTTGCTTGAATAAGATCTCATCAAGAAGATGAAAAGACAAGCTACATAATGGGAGAAAATATTTGCAAACCAAATAACTGACCAAGGAATCATATCTAGAATATATAAAGACTCTCAAAACTCAAAAATAAAAATACTAAACGTCCAGTCAGAAAATAAAGATAGAAGAGAAGTCCATCAAACAGGATATACAGATTACAAATAAGCAGATGAAAGGATACTTTGGAAATGCAAATTAAAGCCACAATGAGGTGTCTTTGCACACCTCTAAAAATGGCTAAAATAAAATATAGCAATGACACAGAATGTTGGTGATACATATAGAAACTGCGCCAATCTTACATTGTTAATAAAGATGTAAAATGTTACATCCACTCTGGAAAACAGTTTGAAGTTTTCTATCATACCATATGTGCAAGTATCACACAGCACAGCAAAGCAACTGATCTCTGGGACATTTATCACAGGGAAATAAAATCATTCTCACATGAAAACCTGTACACAAATGTTCATAACACCTTTATTGAAAATAGCCCCAAACTTGAAGCAACCCAGATGTCTCGGAACAAGTGAATCGGTAAATTACTTGTGGTACATCTGTAGCATGGAATATGTGGAATATTAGAAATAAAGCAGTTAACTATTAATACATCCAACAACGATCTTGAGAGAATTATGCTCTGTGTAAAGAGCCCATTGTGAAAGTTATGTTGATTCCATTTATATAACAAATTTGTGATGGCAAATTGTAGAAATGGGAAATAGATTAATTATTATGAAGGGTTAGGAATGGTGGAAGGAGGTGGGTATTGCTATTAAAAGGAATTATGAGGTATCTTTTTGGTGATGAAACTACTTTTTATCTTGACTGTACCAATGTCAATATTATGGTTGTAATATTGTAGTATAGTTATACATGATCTTATGTTTGGGGAAAATTTGCTATGAAGTATACAGAATGTCTCTGTATTATTTCTTAAAACTACATGTGAATTTATCTGGAAATACAGAGTTTAATTTTTAAAAAAGACATTGTGAGAAACAGAACAAAGTTATTTTAACTTTCATAGATAGAATCAATATTCAGCGTTCTCCTGGTAATGAATTCTTTCAGCTTTTATCTTTTAGAATTTTTTTTTCTTCTTTGTTTTTGAAAGATATTTTCACTGAAAATAGAATGCTGGGTTGACTTTTTGTTTTGTCCCTCACTTTAAAGATGTCACTCTATTGTCTTCTGATATGTACCCTTTTTGATGAGAAACATTGTTCCTTTGTAAAGTTTTTTTTTTTCTCTCCAAATGCCTTAATAACTGTCTCTTTCTCTTTGATTTTGGTTTTCAGCTGTTTAAATATGATGCATCAAGGTGTGGTTCTTTTTGTTATTTTTTTCTGCACCACTTGAGCAATTTATAAAACCTGAGCTAAAATCAGGTTTTTGGGAATAAGTCCTTCACTTAACTACGGAAGTCAGTTACAGAGAAGTACCTCCAACTGGCAGAATAAAAACCTCTGAAAACATTTTTCTCCATAAAAACACCAAGAACAGTGGTAAATAGTCAAAATAAACATTTTCTGAACTCTTTAATCAGTCTTACAACAATGTGAGAGCATTTATTCAAGAAATATGGCTGAATCTTGGTATGAATGGTAAGATAATAGTAGATAAACTCGCCTTATATCCATCCTTGTCTTTCCAGCTTAGTGGAAGCCTTGAAAATTATCAGCCTTACAACTATGACAGCTATGAAAACCAGTAGCAGCCACTGTCAGGACAAAACTTGTTTGAAGGTCCCCTAAAATACTTGTCACTAAAAAATTACATGATAGCTCTCTGTAAAAACCCAATTTGCAGGGCTTGTATTTGTTTGACCTGACCAGAATTCACCCAATGGGAAAAGCCCTATCCATAGGGTGTTTGTTAAAAATAATAAGCAACATTTGTTTAACTTTGAAGTTTTCAACAACTCAGTGGCCTGGGGGGCATTAACAGTTTTACAAACAAGGGACTAGTAAAATAATAGAAAAGGAAAATCTGTCCACTGGGACTTTGAAAAGCTTATGCATATTTGAGGGGGATCTAAAAAGCCACATGCTTGTGCAGGAATCTGCAAATTGTAGGGTAAGACCTGAATTTAAGATGCAATATCACATGCTGCCTTGACAGGCCTAGCTATGAGTTCCCCTCCTTTCACCAGGTGTGCTCCCCACCAAACAGCAGGAAAGACTCCCCACCCACCGACTTGCCCTATCATCTGGACCAGCCGCACCTCACTCAGTTCTCAACCTAACCAATTTCACTTCCTTACCAGCCTGCTAAATCATTCAAACAAGCCAATCACAGCCTCCTGTGGGAACCAGAGGTCACCCCAACCACTTGTTATTGCAAAGCTCAGCTCCCAAAGTCCCTGCTTGTTCACTCTATCCAAGTGCAAGCCTGTGTGGCCCTGCATGGTGAGAGGTGTCCTCTCCTGCACATGGCATACGTGGCACTAATAAATTGCTGTCAATCTCATCTGGCCAGTGTCAGCTGTCATGTTTTCAGCCATCTTGTGCTATTTATTGGGGGTGACCCCTTCCTCACCAAATGAATGAATGGAAGGTGATCCAGAACACAGATACTCAGGGAAAGACATGAGAAGGCAGAAATTTCTTACGTCTGGCTCACCTTGAGGTTCTGCATAAGCACAAAGCGAAGGTGAAGCCAGCATTGTAAATTGACAGTGCCCTTTAACGAAGGGGAGGCATTGATTCAAAGCATTTAAGGAAATACCTGCCCAATCATTAGCTGACCATTAAGCTAACCAAGCAGATAGTTTGGTGACCACACACAAATTTGAAAATTAGACTTCACAAAACTAGTCCAGAAAAGTCACTAGACAAAGAGCAACAACAATAAAACAGAAACTACCGCAACAAACCTTGAAAAGGTGGAGAGAATTTGATTTCCAGAATTGTCACAGTATAGTACTTAAAATGTCCAGTTTTTGACAAGAAAAGAAACAAAAGACTATATCCCATATGCAAAAAAAAAAAAGTTAAAAAAAAAAAAAACTGTCCTGAGGATGCCTAGATGTTGGGGATAGAAACAAATAACAAAATGGCTTAAATTGATCATATCAAAAAAACTTTAAGTTTGGACTAAACATTCCTAATAAGTGTCAGAGATTTTCAGACTGAATAAAATATGATAATTATATGTTGTCTGAAGAGATACACATTAATTACAAAGATATAAGGAGGTTGAAAATTTAAAATAGTCAAACCAAAAGCATAGAGAAAAAACAAAGATGTAATTAAATACATAGAAGCTACTAACAAGATAGAAGATTTTAGTCCACTGATATCAATAATTACATGAAATGTAGGGAGTCTAAACACCAATTAAGACGGAAACTCTGATTAGATTTACAAAGTAAGATCCAATTATACGCTATCCACAAAGATTGACTTTAAAGTCAGATACGAGAAAATAAGCATATGTATGGCACAACCACTAATAAAAGCTGGAGTGGCTATATTAATATCAGATAAAATAGACTTTAAAACAATATTAGGGATAAAGAGAGACAGTACATAAAGATTAAGTGGTTAAATCCCAGACATGCATGCACAAAGCAACAAAGCTGCAAATACATGAAACAAAACTGATAGAACTAAAAAGAAAAACAAACAAATTGACAGACTTCACTGGCAATAACACTCCTTTCTTAGTAATCATTAGACCAAGTCCACAGACAAGCAGTAAGGATTTAAAAAATACCTGAACAATACATCATCTAACTTGATTTAATTGATATTTATGAAACATTTCACCTAACAGCAGAATGTACATTCCTTTCAAATGCACATGGAACATCCACCAAAATTGACCATATTCTGGGCCACAGATAAGGTTATCAAATGTTTTAAAAATGGAAATTCCACAAAATATGCCCTCTGGCCACAGTAAAATTAAATTGACAATCAGTAAGAAAAAATATATTAAAAATTATCAAATATTTGGAGATAACACACAGACTTCTAAATAATCATAGACAAAATGTAACAATGAAAATTAGGAAAAAAAGAAAAAATGAATAAGACAAAAACAGTAACAATTTGTGAAAGACAGTTAATATATGGCTTATGTTTTATGAAAGCTTATGAGAAGAATGATCTCAAATCAATGACCTACGTCTTCACATTAAGAAACTAAAAAAAAAAAAAAGGTAAACTCAAAGAAAATGAAATGTAATAATAAATATTACAGAGGAAACAAAATTCAAAGCAGAAAACAAAAAGAAAAATCATATAAATGTGATAAAGTTTGAATGTTTGTTCACTTAAGGGATCCTCCTGCCTCAGCCTCCCAAGCAGCGGACCACAGGTGTGTGCCACCATGCCTGACTAATTTTGTTAATTTTTTGTAGAGATTGGGGTCTCACCATGTTTCCCAGGCTGTTTTCAAACTTCTGGGCTCAAGCAGTCTTCCTGCCTCAGCCTCCCAAAGTGTTGGGATTATAGGTTTGAACCACTGTACCTGGCCAAAAATTCCTTAAGGACATAAAATAGAAGAAATCACTTTAGGACTCATATTTTTTAAAATCAAAATTATCTTGACAATAAATCTGGACATTCCAAAAAAAAACTTACTTACAAACCTTATTTATGAAAATAGACACAAATCTTCAACATAGTAAATCTAATACAGTAATATATAAAAAGACCTTTATTATAGTGAGGAAATTTTCTCTATACTTATTTTGTTGAGAGTTTTTAATCACAAAAGAAGTTAAACTTCATCAAATATTTTCTCTCCATCTATTGAGATGATCATGTGGTTTTTATCTTTAATTCTGTTCATGTGGTATATCACCTCGTTTGATTTGAATATGTTAAACCAACCTTGCATTCCAGGAATAAATCTCACTTGGTCATGGGGCATTGTTGAATTTGGTTTGCTAGTATTTTATTGAGGATTTTTGCATCTATGTTCATCAGAGATATTGGCCCGTAGTTTTCTTTCCCTGTGGCATCTTTGTCTGGCTTTGATGTCAGGCTGATGCAGGCTTCATAAAATGAGTTTGAAAATATTCCCTCTACTTCTATTTTTCGGGAAGAGAAGAGGATTGGAAAGCTTGGTATTGATTCTTCGAGTGTTTGGTAGAATTCAGTCATGAAGTCATCTGATCTGGTTCTAGGTTTTCTTTGTTGGGAGGTTTTGGATAACTACTTCAGTCTTCATTTGTTATTTATCTGCTCAGGCTTCCTATTTCTTCTTGATTCAGTCTTGGTAGATGTGATGTTGTGAAGTATATTTTTGGTCTTCAATCTCATTTCCTGGCATACAATATACTCTTTTCCTAAAATCCTTAGAATCTCCAAAGAGATGTCTTTTTGTACACTTATGATTAACTAATGGCTGGCAGCCTCCAGGTAGCTTCAGGATGGGGCTGGTCACCAGAAAGACCAAGGCATGATTAGAGGATTTGGACTTTGAACTATACCTCCCAGCCTCCAGCGAGGGCAGAGGGCCTGAAAATTAAGTTGATCATCAGTGGTCAATGATTTAGTCAATCATGCCTACATAATGAAGCCTTCATAAAAACCCAAAAGGACAGGGTTGGGGTGGGAGGGCTTCCGGATAGCTGCACATGCAGAGGCTTTCAGGAATGTGAACAAAAACTCATCCACATGCCAGGAGGGTGGTGCACCACAACTCCACAGGGACAGAAGTTTCTGTGCTCAGGACACTTCCAGACCTTACCCTATGTATCTCATCATCTGGCTGTTTATTTGTAATATCCTTTATAATAAACTGGTAAACATAAGTACATGTTTGATTTCTGCTAGCTGCTCTAGCAAATTAATTGAACTGAGAGAAGAGATTGTGGGAACCCCAACTTGAAATCAGTCATCAGAAGTCCCAGAGGCCCAGACTTGAAATTGATGGGAAAGTGCGGGGTTGGGAGGGTGGTGGTTCTTGAGGGACCAAGCCCTCTTCCTGTGGGATCTGATACTCTCTCCAGATAGACAGTGTCAGAACTGAACTGGAGGACATTCAGCTGGTGCCCATTGCAGACCTGCTTTCTTGCTTGGTGTATGGGAAGAAATCCCCAAACCTTTGGTCACAGAAAGCTTCTGTATTGCTTATTGTTGTATTGTAAGAGCAGAGGAAAAAAATGGTTTGAGTTCATTGGTTTTTCTACTCTGTAAGTTTTATGTTTTAAGAAATTATTCATTTCTTCTGTGTTACATGCCATTTGTTGTTGGTATAGTCTTTTATGATTATGTTTATTTCTGAGGCTTCCATTGCAATATCACTAATTTCTGGCTACTTATTAGAGTCTTCTCTCTTTTTCTTAGTCCTGCTAAGGGTTTCTCAATTTTGTTTATTCAAAAATCAACTCAGTTTTGTTGATTTTTAAATACTTTTTCAATTCTCTATTTGATTTGCTTTTGCTTCAGTTTTTATTATTTCTTTCCTCCTGCTAACTTTGAATTTAGTTTTTTCTAGTTCTTTTATATATGTTGCTTAATTAAGATCTTTGTTCTCTTTTTAGTGTAGATTTTTTTTATCATAAACTTCCTCTTAGTACTGTTGTTGCTGCACCCTGTAAGTATTGGTAAGCTGTGTTTTTGTTTTTATCTTGAGGTTTTTAAAAGTCTCTTTTGATTTTCTTTTTGACCCGTGGTTTTTCAGGAATGTGTCATTTAGTTTCCACATATTTGGGAGTTTTCCTATTCTCCTGCTGTTGATTTCTGGTTTCATTCCATTGTGGTTGGAAAAGATACTTGGTATGATTTCAAACCTATTAAATGTGTTAAGACTTGTTTTGTGACCTAACATATGATCTATCCTGGAGAATGTTCTGTGTGCACTGAAGAAGAATACACATTCTTCTGCTGTTGGGTGAAAAGTTTTGTATATGTCTATTAAATCCATTTAATCTACAGTGTTGTTCATGTCAACTCTTTATTGATTTTCTGTTTCACTGTTCTATCATTACCGAGAGTAGAGCATCGAAGTCTCCTACTGCTATTGTATTTCTGTCAATTTCTCCTTTCAGATCAGTCCATATTTGCTTTATATAGCTAGTCAGTCTGCCATTGGGTGCACATATACTTACAGTTATATCTTTTTGTTGAATTGACCCTTTAGTCATTATGTAAAGACCTTTCAGACAGAGATAAAAATATTGTAGGATCTCACTTGTATGTGGTATCTAAAATAAGTCAAATACATTGAAACAGAAAGTAGAACAGTGGTTAGCAGTGTGAGGGCAGAGGAGGAAATGGAGGGATATAGGTCAAAGAGTATAAACTTGCAGTTATATAAGGTGAATAAGTCTGGAGATCTAATGTAGAGCATGAGGACTATAGTTAGTATTATATGGTACACAGAAAATTTGCAAAGAAAATAGACTTTAGATGTTCTTGACACAAAAAAGCAACTATGTGAGGTTATTAATATATTAATTTGCCTGACTGTAGTAATCATTTCACTTCATATAATAAAACATGTTGACATCTTAAATTTATACAATTAAATGAATGAATGAACCAAGGGGGTCTATTGGAAAAATGGAAAGTTTTGTTTGACATTTGAAAATTAAAGTAATTCACCATGTCAGTGTACTAAAGAAGTAAAACCAAATAATCTTCAAAATAAATGCAGAAGAAGCATCTGAAAATATTTTTTTTTTTTTTTTTGAGATGGAGTCTCATCTCACTTGGTTGCCCAGGATGGAGTAAAGTGGCATTACCTCGGCTCACTGCAACCTCTGCCTCTCAGGTTCAAGCAATTCTTCTGCCTCAGCCTCCCAAGTAGCTGGGATTACAGGCACCCACCACCATGCCCGGCTAATTTTTGTATTTTTAGTAAAGATGGGGTATCAACATGTTGGCCAGTCTGGTCTCGAACTCCTGACCTCAGGTGATCCACCCACCTCAGCCTCCCAAAGAACTGGAATTACAGGCATGAGCCAGTGCGCCTGGACTAAAAAAAATTAATATCCACTTATAATTTAAAAAGAAAACCTCTCAGCAAACTTGAATTAAAGGTAACATCCTCACTTTAATATAGAACATTGACAAAGAACTTACATCTAACTTGATACTTTCTGCTGAATGACTGAATGCTTTCTGCCAAAATTTTGGAACAAGGCAAGAAAGTCCATTCTCACCACTCTTATTTAGCACAACACTGGAGAGTTTGGCCGGTGTAATAGGCAAAATATAAAACAAAACAAAACAAAACACACAAAAAATGAAAGATAGGCAAATGGGAAAGGAAAAAAGAAAATGATCTCTCTTTGCCAACAACATAATTGTATATATAAGTAATCCAGAGAATCTACAAAAGACTCCTAGAACTAATAGATGAGGTTAGCAAGGCCAAGGATACAAGTTTAATATTCAAAAATAAATTATTATATACACTAACAACAACTGAAAATTAAAATTTTAAAAACACCATTTAAAATATCACAAATAAGAATACTTAACATATATTTAAAAATATGTGCAAAATGTGTATGCTTAAAATTTCAAAACAGTGATGACAGAAATCAAATAAGACCTAAACAACTGGAGAGATGAAAAGTGTTCAGGGATTGAAATACTTAAATTTTTAATTTTTTTTTCTATTTTATTTTATTTATTTTGAGTTTTACTTTAAGTTCTAGGATTCATGTCCAGAACATGCAGGTTTGTTACATAGGTATACACGTGCCATGGTGGTTTGCTGCACCTATCAACCTGTCATCTAAGTTTGAACCCACATGCATTAGGTATTTGTCCTAATGGTCTCCCTCGCCTTGCTCCTCCGTGCCCTGACAGGCCCTGGTATGTGATGTTCCCTCTCTGTGTTCATGTGTTCTCATTGTTCAACTCCCACTTATGAGTGAGAACATGTAGTGTTTGGTTTTCTGTTCTGTGTTAGTTTGCTGAGAATGATGGCTTCCAGCTTAATCCATGTCCCTGCAAAGGACATGAACTCATTCTTTTTTATGGCTGCATAGTATTCCATGATGTATATGTGCCACATTGTCTTTATCCAGTCTATCATTGATGGGCATTTGGGTTGGTTCCAAGTCTTTGTTATTGTACGTAGTCCTGCAATAAACATACATGTGCGTGCGTCTTTATAGTAGAATGATATATAATCCTTTGGGTATATACCCAGTAATGGGTTTGCTGGGTCAGATGGTATTTCTGGTTCTACATCCTGGAGGAATCGCCACACTGTCTTCCACAATGGTTGAACTAATTTAAACTCCCACCAACAGTGTAAACGCATTCCTATTTTTCTATATCCTTACCAGCATCTGTTGTTTCCTTTTTAATAATCGCCATTCTAACTGGCTTGAAATGGTATCTCACTGTGGTTTTGATTTTCATTTCTCTAATGATCAGTAATGATGAGCTTTTCTTCATATGTTTGTTGGCCACATAAACGTCATCTTTTGAGATGTGTCTGTTCATTTCCTTCACCCACTTTTTGATGGGATTGTTTGTTTTTTCTTGTAAATTTGTTTAAGTTCCTTGTAGATTCTGGATATTGGACCTTTGTCAGATGGATAGATTGCAAACATTTTCTCCCATTCTGTAGGTTGCCTGTTCACTCTGATGACAGTTTCTTTTGCTGTGCAGAAGCTGTTGAGTTTAATTAGATCCCATTTGTCAATTTTGGCTTTTGTTGCAATTGCTTTTGGTGTTTTAATCATGAAGTCTTTGCCCATGCCTGTGTGCTGAATGGTATTGCCTAGGTTTTCTTCTAGGGTTTTTACGGTTTTATTAAAGACATTTAAGTCTTAATTCATCTTGAGTTAATTTTTGTAAAAGATATAAGGAAGCAGTCCAGTTTCTGTTTTCTGCATAAGGCTAGCTAGTTTTCCCAGCACCATTTATAAAATAGGGAATCCTTTCCTCATTGCTTGTTTTTGTCAGGTTTGTCAAAGATCAGATGGTTGTAGATGTGTGGTATTATTTCTCTGGTCTCTGTTCTGTTCCATTGGCCTATATATCTGTTTTGGTACCAGTACCATGCTGTTTTGGTTACTGTAGTCTTGTAGTATAGTCTGAAGTCAGGTATTGTGATACCTCCAGCTTTGTTCTTTTTGATTAGGATTGTCTTGGGTATACGGGCTCTTTTTTGCTTCCATATGAAATTTAAAGTAGTTTTTTCTAGTTTTATGAAGAAAGTCAATGGTAGTTTGATGGGAATAGCATTGAATCTATAAATTACTTTGGGCAGTATGGCCATTTTCATGATATTGATTCTTCCTATCCATCAGCATGAAATGTTTTTCCATTTGTTTGTGTCATCTCTTATTTCCTGGAGCAGTGGTTTGTAGTTCTCCTAGAGGACGTCCTTCTCGTCCCTTGTTAAGTTGTATTCTTAAATATTTTATTCTCTTTGTAGCAATTGTGAATGGGAGTTCACTCATGATTTGGCTGTCTGCTGGTCTATTATTGGTGTATAGGAATCCTTGTGATTTTTGCACATTGATTTTGTACCCTGAGACTTTGCTTAAGTTGCTTATCAGCTTAAGGTGTTGTTGAGCTGAGACAATGGGGTTTTCTAAATATATAACAATGTCATCTGCAAACAAAAACAATTTGACTTCCTGTCTTCCTATTTGAATGCCCTTTATTTCTTTCTGTTGCCTGATTGCCTATTTCTTTCTGTGGCCAGAACTTTGAATACTATTTTGAATAGAAGTGGTGAAAGAGGGCATCCTTGTCTTATACTGATTTTCAAAGGGAATGCTTCCAGCTTTTGCACATTCAGTATGATATCGGCTATGGGTTTGTCATAAATAGTTCTTATTATTTTGAGATATGTTCAATCAATACCTAGTTTATTGAGAGTTTTTAGCATGAAGGGGTGTTGAATTTTACCGAAGGCCTTTTCTGCATCTATGAGATAATCATGTGGTTTTTGCCATTGGTTCTGTTTATGTGATGGATTATGTTTATTGATTTGCATATGTTGAATCAGCCTTGCCTCCCAGGGATGAAACCGACTTGATCATGGTGGATAAGCGTTTTGACGTGCTGCTGGATTCTGTTTGCCAGTATTTTATGAAATACTCAATATTTTTAAGATGTCACTTATTTCCAAATTGGTATAAGATGTGACATAACTCTAAACAATTGATAAGCTTATTCTAAAATGTACTGTATATGAAAATGCCAAGGAAATAGCATAGCCAAATCAATGCTGAAAAAGTTAAAGATGATTCACATTCTCTAATCTCAAAACTTACTAAAAAGCTACAATAACCAAGACAATGTGTTATCAGTGGAAGAATAGACACACATAGATAAAAGAAACAGAATAGTGTGGAAGTAAATGCCCACATATATGGTCAGTTGAATTTTTACAATTGTACAAAGGCAATTCATGGAGAAAGGCTCTGTTTTCAACAAATGGAGTGATTCAACATAACTACATGCAACAAATAGAACATTGGCCTGTGCCTCATGTCTCATGGCACAGAAAACTAAAAATGGATAAAAACATAAATCTAAAACTTAAAACCATAAAATTCTTAGGAGAAAATACAAGAAAAAATCTCAATGCCCTTTACTTGAGTGAAAATTTATCAGATGTGATAAGAACAAAGAAACAAACAAACAAAAACCACAGTCTGTAAAAGGAAACATTGATAGTTGGACTTTAACTGATAATTAGACTTTAACAGAATTTAAAATGTCTGCTTTAGGAAAAACACTATGAAGATACTGAAAATTTAAAACATAGATGGGGTTAAAATGTTTTAATGTTTTGTATCTAGAAAATATAAAGGAAACAAAAATGCAATACAAACTGAGCAACCAATTTGAACAGATATTTCACCAAAGAGGACACGTAGATAGCAATTAAAGCATAAAAAGATGTTCAGCATTAGTCAATTAGAAAAATGATATTAAAACTGTAATGAAATAACTCTATATACCTATTGAAATAACTAAAAATTTTAAAAAATAATTAAACTGACTGTACCAAGTGGTGATGTAGTTGCAGAGCAACTGGGATCCTGAAACATTGTTGGTGGGAATGCAAAATGCTTTAGTCACTTTGGAAAACAGTTTGGCAGTTTCTCGTATAGTTAAACATATGCTTACCACACAACCTATAATCAAGTCCTAGGCATTTGTCCAAGAGGAATAAAAACTTATGTTCACATAAAGTCCTGTATGCACATGTTTATAGTGGCTTTATTCATAATTGGCAAAAACTGAACACAACGCAAATGTCCTTCAACAGGTGAATGGAAAACTATTACATGGAAAACTGCTCAGCAAAAATAAAGGACAAATTACTGATATATGTGCTGATATGGGTGAATTGCAACTGCATTTTTCTAAATGAAAGAAGTCAGACACGAAAGGATACATACGATGTGATTCCATTTACATAACATTCTGCAAAAGACAAAAATATGAGGACTGAAGACTTCTCAGTAGTCTCCAGAGTCTAAGGAAAGGTTTACTACAGAGGATCTTAAGACACTTTATTGAGTGATTGAGATATCCCATATCTTAATTATGGTAGTGGTTACATAATTCTTTGCATTTGTCAAACTCACAGATTAAAGTTTATTGTATGTAAATTACATTCAATAGACAAGACCCAACTGACAACATCAAATGTTGGAGATACAGAACTCTCATTTATTGCTGTTGGGAATGTAAAATGTTATAACCCTTCGAAGAAAAGTTTTGACAGTTTATCTTCAAGCTGAACATACATTTATCCTTTAACCAATCACTTATGCTCTTGGCTATATATTCAAGAGAAATGCTGAGAATATAAAAACTCAAATATCCATAATAGGAAAATGTGATAAATTAACACAATGGACTGCTCCTCAGCAATAAACAGAATGAACTACTGATACACACAACATGGATGAATCTCACAGACATTTTTGATGGGTGAAAGAAGCCTGATACAACAGAGTACATATTCTTTAACTCTTTTTATATGAAATTCTAGAAGAGGCAAAATAATTCCATTGTTTAAAAAAATCAGACAAGTGATTGTCTTGGGAGGTGAGGATTGACCAGAGAACACTTGGGGTCTTTGTAGGGAGACACAATGTTCTATATGATGATAGAGGAGTGAGGTTACTAAGGTATATCTATTTTTTAATATTGTGCAGCTAACATTTGTGTATTTCCAAGTAAATAAATTTCACTTCAGAAAGTATTATAAAATAACTGAGAGTCAGGTTTTAAAGTGTATAAAACTAAAAATGATATAAGAATGGCAGCATGATGATTATTTCAGAAACTGGGTGATGAGAACATGGGTATTCCCTTGTAATTCATTATATTATTCTACTTATTTTGCATATGTTTGCATTATTCTACTTACTTTGCCATAATAAAAAATTTAGAAAACTTGATAGAACTGGACAAGTTGAAGAAGAGAAAAATAGGAGGGAGAGAAAGAAAAGAAAGAGGGAGGGAGGTGGAGGAGAAAGATCATCTTGACTGCTGTAATGAGTATAGAATTTGCAGTTATAAGGGTGGAAAGAAACTAGAGTTACATTAAGTAATAAGAAAACTGAGAATAGATCATTGGATTTAGCCAAGTGGAAATTATCATGTATCTTAGCAAGAGCAGATTCAAAGTAGGAAAAGCAAAAACCTGATTGGAGAGAGAGGATGGAAGAAGAATTACAAACAAATTCAGACAGTCTTAGAATCATATTTTTGGTCTCCAAAGTGTTTTAGTCACTTCGTTTTGTAGGTATGTAATAAAAAACCCTAAGATATTGACTAGAAAACAATGGCCAGTTAGTGGGAAAAAGGAAACTGACACATTTACTCACCATTTAAAAATCCTTCATTCATACAAGTTTGCCTCCTTTTCAGAAAAAATAGTAAATTACTTTTATTTATTATTAGTTAAAAACCAGAATTTCTATTTGAAATAAAATATTTTCCCCTTAAGAAGAAGGCAGACATTAAATAGTATTATCTTAACATTTCCTAATTCCCTTTTCCATTACCACTTTATTTTCCAGAGAAATGGCAGTTGATTTGCCCGTCAGCCACCATTATACAAATAATGTCTTCAGCTATTCTTTGAACTATGCATGTTAGCAGCAAAAGTACAAATTCACTTTTGTATTTTGGTCACTCTGTTTTTCATGGACCTAAACTCACAAAACAATATTATCTCTGATTCTCAAATCTTTTGCTCAGAGTGAAATGTATTTTATTCTGGAATAATACAAACTGAACTTATCTTTTTCCTCAAATTCAAAGTGTTCCAAAGGTATCCTCCTCCTTGCCTCATTCTCATTTTTGAGGTTCTCCAGAGAATATAGGCAAGTGAATGACAGCAAACTTTTATCTATGTATCACCCCAGCTCAGCATGATCTCATAGAAGAATGGAAAGAGTAATCCGCAGTGGTCAAGGAGCTAAAGACTGAACTTGATCCATAATTAAACAACACATTCACATGGCTGAGCAAAGAGCTTGCAGCTATTGCTCATCTCAGATGTACTTTTACAAGGCTTCTCTCCTTTGAAAGCTTTTTTTAAAAAAACATTTCTTTGGTAAGTAGTCTAAATTATTCACTGCTTACAATATTAATTTTTGTTAGGCATTCCTGTGGTGTATTTTATACAATGGGATAGAATCATTTTATGCAGATTTTTAATTAAGGCTAGTCAAAGCCACTATGCTAATAATAATAAATAGACACATACCACACATATACACTGTGTAGTTCTGGCTCATTAGCTAAAATATGTAGCAAATAGCAATCAAAGCATCATTTCTTCGAACATTTATGTTAATTATACTATATACGACATATAATATTTATTCCAGGGGTGTGTAAAGGATTTTAAGATGAAAAAGTATAATTACGGTAATTATGATTTGGGAGCTTTTCTTTTTTGAATATTTCCTTTGGAGGTTTGTGTGCTATAAAAAAAATATTAAGTAAGAAAAGACTCTGGGAATGAACAAACACTTTGTTTTTAATAATCCTCATCGTATTCAATGCTGCTGCCATATTAGCATATTGTCATTTCTGCTTTTTACTTTTAAAAAAAGATCGATTTGCATAATTATGTAGAGTGCAATCTCCCTTTCAGGTTGTTCTTGGGTATGGAGTACTTAGCATTGCTTATCACTATGGGAGATAAGCCTCTGTAGATATTCATGACTTTTTGGAGCTGAAAAGAAAATAAATGTGCGTGTTTTTCTCTCTTTTTTTCTCGTTTCTTTATGAAGAGAAAAACTTTGGCATATTAGAATAATGAATATAAAATTGTCTTCTTTCTGAAATGCCATATGTGCCATATAAAAATACATGTGTATATACAGGTTTAAATTTTTGTTGTGATGAGAAATAGGCATATAAAGTTATGACCTCTACATTTCTCAAATTCTGTTCAGGTACATAAATGAGATATGAATACATAATAAAGAATAGAAAAAAAACTAGTCTAATAGTGGACTAGTTTCCGATGATCTTTAACTAACACATACACACAAAAGCACACTCATACAAACACGAACACACTCACACTCACACGCAAGCCTGCACCTACATATGATGAATTGCTCGCACAGGAGAAGATATTTCTTAAATGTGCAATAAATATTTTGAATGAAACTGTTCATTTACATAAAATGTAGTATAAGTATTTTGTGCCCTTTATAAAAAATATCCACTCATATGTTTAAAAAGCCGGAAAAAGAAAAAGTAAAATGGAAAGTTACAGAAAATGTGACAAAAATTTACTGTAAATCTCATCAACCGTCACTCAACAAACAGCCTAAAAAATAGGTTAGACAATGAAATAGTATCATGTAAAGTATTGTGAACTTAAGCTTAATTTTACTTGACTTTGATGAAAAGGAAACTGAGCTGAGACCTAAGAATTACTGAAGCTTGTGTGTGCGTGTGCACGTGCACGTGCGTGTTGCATACACATATATGTATGCAAGATGTAGCTTTTAAAGCCAGCATTTTATTGGGAATAATAACATTTGGGTTGTTTTTATTTTAACAAGCTTTCTCTGTATACTAAAAGATAATACAGAATAATTGAGAAAGCCGGAGGACCAGGTTTATGGCTAATAGCCAGTGAAAAATACACAGAACCATATCAAGTTCCAATGTGATTAAGAAGTGAGTACCAGCACTGCTGTCATTCACATCTGAAATGTCAGAAATACTACTTGATAACCTTGTAAGTAAAAGCTGGACATATCTCTGGCCATCATTCTAAGACAAAACAAACCAACCCAACAATAACAGTGACAATAACAACACAGCTAAATACAGCTGGGTGTGTTACATTCCTTGCTTTGGAATAGAAGACTCACAGGAAAGCTTCTGTTTAGTAAGTCCTGGGCCATGTGCCTGTACTCTAGCTGCCAGGTGGCTAGAAAAGCAAGGCTTCTGCATTCCACCTCCAGAAAGATAGGATTCAGAATGTGGGAACTTATGCTATCATTGGAATGTGAAGGATTGGGCTGTCATATATGACAGTTATCCATTCCATGTCTCTTGTTTCCTGATCTGATAATTCCCTTTTTCATGTTTTACTTCTTCCTTTTTGTGGAGCATATCCAATAATAGTTACTGAGAAAGTGTACATGAGAGGTAAAATTTTGAGCACTTGTATGTCTAAAAAGAGTTATTTTTAACTATATATTTCAAATTTGAAAAATATTTGACTCCCTGCTAGAACTATGAGGAAAATATCACTCATACTTCCTCCCACATTGCTCTTTTAATCTCCACTTTTAATTATATTGTCATCTGAACATTTCCAAAAGTGTAACATGCACCTTTGATTGCATAACTGTGAATACTTTAGTTCTCTCATCTTCAATGTTAGTATAAAAGTGGATTCAACTCTCCCTGAGCCTTGTTTTCAACAGTTTCTATTTTTCTACATTTTAAAAATTTTCTGTCATTTCCTGTTTGGCATTTTTTTATTATATAAGAGTGAGAAGTTATACCTTTTACCTTAAATATGAAGGACAACTTCCTCAGATATAAATTTGTGGTAATAGTTAACTTTTTAAAGAAATGTGTAGACATCTCTACACTATTTCTGCAACTGAATATTTCTTTGGAGACCTCTAAAGACCACTTGATATTCCTCTTTGTATATGACTTGCTTGTTCATTCATTAATGAATGTCCATACGATTCTTCCTTTATCCTTAAAGACCAGGGAATTTACCAAAATGCATGCACTTATATCAGTCCCTCTGTATCCATTTTTCCTGCAACATCATGAGACTCAATCTGCAGAGTTAAGCCTGACATATTTCAGAGAAGTTTACCCTAACTGCATACTTGAATTTTGTAATGTTTTTTCTGTTCTTAGAAACACAAGTTATATATAGTTCAATATCCTTTGCTGTATCCATAATTTTCTCCATAGTCATGTTCGTGTTTTGTTTTTTACTGTTTTATTTATGTAATTTGTTACACTCCATCTACTACACTTTTGATTTTGTTTTCAGTGATACTTATTTTTATGCATTATTTTTAAAGTGACTTTTAGAACCATCATATTTTTTATTCGCTTGCGTTTCTTTCCTAAGATCTATAGGCTCATTTTTCAACCATTTCTGTCTATTATATCCCTTTCTTTGAACATGTATAACTCTTTTCCCACTGTTTAAAGTATTATCTCATCTATAGCTTATTTCTATTTTTCTGACTTTACCTGTGTTTCTTTAATTCTTTTAATGATATTGCTTCTTCATTTTTCTTTTTAAGTGCTTCATAATTTTCCTTTTTATCCTCTATAACAAACATGTTTTAATGAGTGGTTTTTATGCTAGAGCTTTTGTGTTTATTACCTGATGAGAGACATGTCTGGACGGCTCTAGAGGCTCGTTTCCTTCTAACTTTTGATGTCTTAGCTGAGAGTTAGTTCAGTAGACTGAACTGGCCTTCAGAGAGCCAAGGCCTTTGGCTCATGTCAGCATTCCTGACATGTAAGACCGTTTCCAGGGCTTTTGGTTTGCATGACTTGGACTTTACTATGCATATTCCCTAGTGAAGTTTCCGGACCTAGAGATAATTTGATATATTTCTTATTTGTTTAGTAAAGGGATCAGGAAACACTATAACCACAACCCATGAAGCACACCCAGTCTGCTGCCTGTTTTTACATGGTACCTGAGCTAAGAATGGTTTTTATATTTTTATATGGTTTTAAAAAATGCAAAGAAGAATGATAATTCTTGAAATATGAAAGTTATATGGAATTCAAATTTTAGTACCCATATGTAAAGTTTATTTGAAACACAGCCACGCCGACTTTTTGTGTACTGTCTATGACTGCTTTTGTGCTACCACAGCAGAGTTGAGTAGTTGCAACAGAGCAGAGGCCATATGGCCAGTGAAGGCTCTCTCCATATAAAATATATGCTATCTGACCCTTGACCTTAAAACGTGTCCTTTCCTGACTTAGAGAAACAAGGTGTTCTGTAGTCTCCATCTTAGGCACATCCATAAACACATACCATAGTGTTAGGTACTCAGCCTCGGAGTGCTCAGTTGCATGTCCAGTGTGCTGATCAGGTCACACCCTCTCTCCTAGAACCTTGGTTTTCATGTATACAGAATATCTATGCCCATCCTATGGTAGAGAAAAATGGGACTTTGGGGGCTGCAATCACCCTGCTATTTCTCCAGCTGTAAAATTTTCCTTAATAAATGCTATGTTATATTAGGACTGTGTGGCACTTGATGTGTGCCTATGACCTTCTTGCATGACATTACTTATCTTTGAATGTTAATAGCTGCTAATTGAAAGATACGTGGGGTCAAAGTGGGCGTGGAGTGGGCTAGGGATCAGGAAGAATTTGAAAATCTGAAGACAAGTCTGCAGCCTCTATTTTGATGTTGGGATTTTTTGGTACGCTTTTTTTTTTTTGATCTTTTATTTCTAGCTTCCTCACTATTCTGAGATATCAAAATGGATCTCTACTGGGATGATTTTTCATTTTTAGAGACAACCCTAGATCTCATCTAATAATTAATCTAGTTAATTCTGATGATTTTTTGTGTCATCTAACTTTGAGGAAGTCTATACACTGTCTGTGATCCCTCATTTTGATTATCATTTAACAATATTTGGCAAGTGATCTTAATTGTTTTTCTTAAAAATTTGCTTCTTTCCCTTGTGATAGAATATCTTCTTCTTTATTTAGTTGTTTTTTGTTGTGGTGAAAGTTGAAGAAGCAGAGGGAGGAAAAATGTTCTTCTGCCTTTTTAAACTAGAAATTCCAGTTTGTTTTTATACCCTTAAGTATATTTAGAATCATGTATAATTGATCTTGCTCTCTGCTCCTGAATTTAATTTCTGTTCTGACATTAAACTACTAATGTTTTCAGCTGTGCAGAAAAAAAAATCACTAAAATTTATTTAAACTTAATGATCTGATATTCTTAGGAGTATCCTTTCAATTTGAATACAAGACTTATGCTAATAAAAGTGAACAGCAAAGTCCTTCGTAAATACAACATCCATTATTTCTTCCACAAAAAAAGTTGACTTTTAAATAAACCAGAATCATAATTATAAAATACTTCTCTCAATTCCTCAAAATCAGCTACCAAGAAGTTGCTTTCATTTATTCTTTCATGCCAAGTTAACTTATTCTATTTTTGCAGGTTGCATTATTTTTTGGGAAGATTGGATGTGCCCTCCCAAATACCCCTTAGAAATTGCTGGTGTGAAATTTTCATGTGAACAATTTCTGAATAAAATTTATTATGAATTCTCAGTTAGACAAGGGTATTTTTCTTCTTATTTGAAAAAAATAATTTTGTTGATGACATGTTTTAGGGGTAGTCATCCAAGACAAAAGGAATAAAATGCTTGGGAATGTCAACTATATGTAGGACAACAATTTGAAAACCATAAAATAGAGTGCTCCTTTAGGAAAACTGCTTCAACCTCAATCACAATACACAAAGCTGTATATATCCAAGTTACAGTAGCAGCATACTCAAAAGTTAGGAAAATTCCACCTTTAGAGATTTATGTACTCTTGAGTACAAGGAAGAATCAAAATATTTACAAAAGGATGTGAGCTATGCTTGGAAATTTTTAAAAATTGTTTTAACATTGTTTAGGAGCCTTTAATGTCTAATAAATACCATTTTCTAAGAAAAGAAAATGTTTACATTTTAAATATGAAAAAAATCAAAACTTTCGGTCAGCTGTTAATTATTCTAATTTTCAGTTAAATAGAATTTGTGTATATAAAGGAGAAATTATTCATAGATGATACAACACAAAAAAACCTCTTATGACTATTTTTAAAAAGCCAATGTTTATTGGATTCTTTTATTCCCAACACTTCAATGAGTAAGAATGTTGAAATAAATTATTTTTTCCCTACCCTTGTAGTGGTAAATCATTATAATGAAATAAAAAATAATGCATACTACAAAGATATTAAAAAAAAATCTGCATTCCTATGGATACAATTTTAAAGTGATTCTTGATGTACTCTTACAATGACACTTCTTTAATGTAGTTTTTCTTCTGGTATGGATAGCATTATAACTTATACTCCATTATTAGCTACCATAATCAACAATTTCTTAATATACCTAGGAACTGTTTCCATAATTTAAAGCTAGGATTTTAAATATTTCCATACATTTCAAAAAGTTTTATACTCTTTTATGTGTTGAGTTAATACAAAAATAAGTTAACCTCTTGTTGATATGATGTGTGATTCCTGGGATATATTGCTTAAATGAACACCCTAATTTGCTTATTTGTCAAGAACTACTACATAAACACTATGCCATTTCTAGGTCATAAAGATTTCATTATCTTCATTTACATTTCATTCTCCTATGTAACTCACTTATGTATCATTATGAATACGCAGAGATGATGTTTTCTGTCTAAGAATCAATCCCTACAGAGAAAACATGAGAGAGGGAATGAAAGAGAAGATAATGTATTCATTTGATGGTAATAATTAAAGTACTATTAATAAACTATCTCATCCCCAACATAGGAAGAAATATTGAAATAGTCGTGTTGCTATTTAACTGTCCATAACTGAGAGGGAAAAAGTATTTGCACAATTGAGAACAAAAATGCATGTAAATACTTCCAAGTTCTGATAAATACTGTAATTCTACTAATGCAAAATTATGCTCTTTGGGGTCCCAAAACTTTCTTTTCCCCACTATAAGACAGAATGTATCATATGAGGCAGTTCCCTAAAAGGCACTTTTGAATCTCATTCATAGCAATAAATCTATAGCCATCAATTCTTTGGACTTATCGACAAAATATTAAATTCCTGGATTGAACAACTTTCAATTTCAAATATAGTGAATTACCATTAGGCAGAAGACTTTTCCCTTCTTGGATTAAAAAAAAAGTCTAAATCTTCTGTTTGAAGGCATCATAGAAATGCTAAGGCAACCAAGCATTAGAGAGCCAAGATTATAGGTTTAAAGGAATCAAAGACTGGGAAACTCACATTGTGCTGGCCACTTTTCTCATAGTGGTACCTGTTGATACTTGGCAAAGATGGAAAGGCTAAAGGCATGCGAATGGGCCCACAGATAAGAATCTGAGCAGCCAGCCATACCTCTGGCAACTTCACAGGGCTAGGGAGACAAAAATTAGAGTCTAAACTCTAGGACTGCCAATATAGTTAGGACTTAAGGGACTAAGGGCCAGAGGGAAGGAAGATGTGGAGAACTGAGCTTCATACTTGTGGTTTTCCTCAAAATACATTTTCCAAATGTATAAATCTCATGGGGAAAATTGCTGAGAAGGTAAGCAGAAAGCTTTTGAAAAGTTGAATGAGATTTCCTTAGTCTCACCATGCTGAAAAAAAAATATATTGATTAGAATCTTCCAAGTAGAAGGGACTCTAGTAAACAACCCAGGATCTCAGTTGAAATCCAGAGTACTATGTAATACACAAGGGGATAATGTGAACCAATGATAGACACAGTTTTTACAAAAAATATAATCTAGCCTGGTGCCAACATAGCCCCTGGTTTGATTGAGGTAAACTGACCTCATTTTATCTATCTAATCATCAAGATCCTCAATAATTTTTCATGTGCAATATCTCATATTCAATCAGAATTTACCAGGTATGCAAAAAACAAAAACAAGGTCAAAAGCGAAAATGGAAAAAATAATAGAAAAATACACAGAGATGATCTTTACCACCAGCATAACCTCAACACTAAAATCTGATGAGATATTACTTTTGAGTTACTTCATGTTACTCAAAATTATAGGGCATTTCATGGCTGCAAAAAAATCTAAACAAAATATCTCATGTCAAAGGTAGTCATTCTAATAATATAAGATTGATTTAACATCACAATACCATTAGTGTAATTTGCCACATAATGAAATGAGAGAAAAGATGCAGAAAATATGATTTGAGGAAACTGACTCTCCATTCAAGATAGAAACTCTTAGCAAACTTGAAACAAAAAGAAACATCTTTAATCTGATTTAAAAAAAAAACTTACAGCAAACATTATACTTCACTGTGCACTATTAAAACCTTCCCCTAAGACCAGAAACAAGACAAGAATGCCTGGCATTATCATTTCTCTTTACATTTTAGTGTAAGTTTTAGCCAAGCAGCAAAATTCCCACATGTTGTAGGAGAGACCTGGTGGGAGATAATCGAATTATGGGGGTGGTTTCTCCCATACTGTTCTCATGGTAGTAATTAAGTCTCACAAGATCTGATGGTTTTATTATGGGTTTCCCCTTTCGCTTGGGTCTCATTTTCTCTTGTCTGCCGCCACGTAAGACTTGCCTATTGCCTTCTGCCATGACTGTGAGGCAGCCCCAGCCATGTGGAACTGTGAGTCCATTAAACCTCTTTTTCTTGATAGATTACCCAGTTTCAGGTGTGTCTTTATCAGCAGCATGAAAATTGACTATATATCGTTATTCAGAGATGACATTATCTTCCTGGGAACAATTTCTCCACAATGTCAGAGCAACAGAAAAACCAAACCAGGCCAAATATGGAAAAAAATGGTTTTAATGAGTCAACAGAGAGGAAATTTCAAAAGAGAAATGTTAACTGTGAAAAAACAAAAATTGAAAATGCTAGAACTGAAAAGTATAATAAATGAATAAAAATGTTTACAGTATGATCTTAACAAAGTATAGATGGTAAATGTTAGTGAACTTAAGGGCAGATAGATCTTCTCAAATCTGATGATCATTTCTTTTTGACAAAAATTTTTAAAATAATCAGAAATATGGGAGAAGTAACAAATGATGTAAAATATGTAACATGAGGATAAATAACCAATACTCGATGTCTTTCTGAAGAACACTATGCCTGCTAAATCAATATGTCAGTGTCTCAGTGCCTTCTACCAACTATTCTGAAGTTTCATCAGAAGAGAAAGAAATTGATAACCCAGTTGTTGTAGCATCCTTATCACCCAGCAATAGATTTTAGTTTAATGTCTCAAGCTTCAAGTCCAGTGGACTTTCAACTCTGTAAATTAATGGTGAGAACCTACACAACCATTCTGTTTTTCACTTTCAGTACAGTATTCAATAAATTACACGAAATATTTAAAAATTATTTAAGATTTATTAGAAAATAGGCTTGATGTTAGATGATTTTGCCCAACTGTAGGCTAATGTAAGTGTTCTGAGCATGTTTAAGATAGGCTAAGCTATGATGTTCTGTAGTTTAGATCTATTAAATGCATTTTGAACTTAAAATATTTTCAAGTTAAAATGAGTTTATTAGAACATAACCTCAACATTAAGTCAGGGAGGATCTGTATTTCTTTGTTCTGTGCTGCTATAACAAAACTGCAGACTAGGTAATTTATAATGACTAGAAATATATTGGCTCACAGTTCTGGAGGTTGGGAAGTTTGGTATCAATGTGCCAGCATCTGGCAAGGGCCTTCTTACCATGTCATCACATGGTGGGAGGTGGATGTCCATTCTTGCCACTTCTCCTGAAAATTGTACTGGAGGTCCTAGAAAGTATAGTAAAAAAAAGAAAAAAAATAATAAAAGTTAGAAACTTAGAAAAGAAGAAATAAAGCAGTCTCTATTCAGAAATGATATGAAAATGTGCAGAGAAAATCCTTAAAAATTACCAAAAAGCCCTACTAGAAAAAATAAGTAAATTTAGTGAAAATCACAGAACAAACACTAATATACAATGATCAATAGTATTTACATTTACTAGCAAGAAATAATGGGGATGAAGTTATGAAATAAAATTGAAACTCAAAAAGAAATATCATGTCTAGTAGCACTAAAGTCCAAAATATTTTGGAACAAACTTAACAAAAATATGCAGAATTTTTATACTGAAAACTGGAAACATTTCTCAGAGAACTTACATGAGACATAAATAAATGCTGAGATTTACTTTGTTCAAGAGTTTATTAGAAGATTCAACATTGTTAACTAATTCATTCTCCCACAAAAAGTCTATGTAGATTTAACACAGTCCCAATCAAAATGTAAGCAGACATATTTGTAGAATTTGTAAAAGCATAGGACATAGAAGAGCCAACAATGTTTTGAAAGTGAATAAAGTTAAAACAATCACATTTTCTAATTTGAAGATCTCTATAAAGCTAAAGTTAAAGTAATCTTGATAAATATTATTGGTACAAAGACATAGAGTGTCAGTGGAGCAGAATAGAATCCAGAAGTAAAGCCATGTATGTATGGTTCATTAAATTTTAACCAAGCACCAATAAGTTAATGAGATAAAATGAGTCTTTTCCATAAATGATGCTGGAATGTCTGTATAGCCATATGAAAAAAAAAAATAAAACATGTACCCCTATCTCATACTCTACATAAATATTAATTTGAAATAGGTCATTGGTGAATAGATTATTTATTTCTATTACCTAAAAATAAAAGGTAAAACTGTAACATTCTAGAGGAAAATGCAGGGGAAAATCTTCATAGATTGGAGTATGCAAAGATTTTTTTTTGGGCGGGGGGGTAAGAAAAAGCACTAAGCAAAAAAGAAAATTTAAATTGAACTTCCTCAAAATTAAAATCCTCTGTTTGTTCAAAAGCCTGCTAAAGAAAACCCAAAGGCCATTTACAACCTGGGAAGATATAGTTACATGTGCATGTATCCAACAAGGACTTCTATGCAGACGATATGAAGAGTTCTTACAAGTCAATAATATAAAGGCAAACAACCCAATAAAAAGAGGGCCAAAGGTTGAAAAGAACATCTCACAAGAGAAGATTAACAAATCACCAGTAGAATGTTTAAAGTCACTTTGAAAATGTTCAGCATAATTACTCATGAAGAAATGCAAATTAAAACCATAACAAAACACAAATTTGCACAATTGGAATGGCTAACATTAAAAAATTGTCAATATCAAACGTTAGCAGGAGTGTGGAGTACTTATGACTCATATATTGCTGTTGAGTGTCTAAAATGTTATAATCACTTTGTATAATCACTTTGGAAAAGAGGCTAGAATTTTCTTGTAAAATTAAATATACCCTTGTCATATGATACACTTAATGAAGATAACCACACAAAGACTTGCATGTGAATGTTCATAACAGCATTATTGTTAACACAAAAAAATTTGAAACAACTTTAAAGTTCATCAATAGGTGAGTGGATGATAAACAACTTGCAGTATGTATCTATATAATGGAAAACTACTCAGCTATATGAAGAAGTGAATTACTGATATGCATAAAAACATAGATTAACTAAAAACTTTATTTCTAATAAAAGAAGTAGATACGAAAGAGTACATACTGTATGATTAAATTTATGTAAAGTCTAACATTAAGCAACGCTATTCTACATTGACATAAATCAAGTCATGGCTTCCTGCAGTGAGTGTTGAGGGCATTGACTAAAAAGGGGCACAAAGGAATTTTCGAGAGTGATAGATATGTTCCCTGTTTGTATTGATATGATGATCACACAGATGTATAAATTTGTTATCAACATCACTTAAAATGCATGCATTTTATTGTGTCTAAATTGTACTTCATTAAAATTGATTGAGAATTACATTTCAAAAATTACAATAATTGAACTGACAAAACATACTGGCTAAAAACTGTTCAAGTGACATTATCAAGTGTTGGTGACCATGTGGGGCAGTTTGAATTCTCCTACAAAGCTGGTGAGTAAATTGATAAAATCACTCCAGAAAAGAATTTCACAGTATCTACTTTACCCAGTCTTTTTCATACCCTGAGACCCAGTAGTTCTACTTCAAAGTGAATGCTCCCCAAAATGCACAAGAATGTTTACAGCAGGACTGTTTGTAAAAGCCAAAAAGTGTAAACAATCCAAATGTTCATGAATAGAAGAATGGATAAACAAATTACAATGGAATGGTGTTACACAGCATTGAAAATAAGCCATTGGTACACATACTGTGGATAAATCTCAAAAAAAACCAGTATTTAGATGAAGAAGCCAAATCCTCCCAGAAGAGAATATACTATATAATTCTGTGACGCAATGATACGCTGTTAGAAGTCATGATAATGGTTTACTTGGTGGAGATAGTGACTGATAGTGACATGGAGGGATTCGTGCTGATAATATTCAAGTTTTGGGTCTTGGTCACCTAGTATGTTCACTTTGTGAAAATTAGCGAAGTTTTATTGTGGTATTCATGTACTTATCTATGTTACATTTCAATAAAAATCTTAGCGTATCTATCAAATGAATGAAAAGTAAAATGTTCAATCTTCTAGCTGTTGCCTTGTTGCCTGTATATTTCTGCAAATTCTATTATGTTTAGGAGAGACCCATTAGCCCTGGGACCTTCAAGAAGTCATAGAACTTATGGAATTCCTTCTTTGTAATCAATGCTGCACTGGGGAGAAAATTTAAAACAAAGCAAAACAAAACAAAAGACAAACTTTATTCCAAAGATGTTAACAAATTTTATTGGAAGACAAAACCGACTTAAGTTTTGTCTTTCAAAAAAAAAAGAAAAAAGACAAACCTTATTCCCAAGATAGTAACAGATTTTTTGAAAGACAAAAGCTGACTTAAGTATCTTTAACAATTGTCAGTGGTGTCCAAAAAGGCAGCAAAAGGAAATACCATATTTAAATGAGACTATATGTACTTCCCAAGGAGCAAATAACAATAGCCAACATGATTTCAACTTTACATTTTAGAAAATAACCTCAAAAGTACGTGGTAGTTAAATCTTCCAACCAGTGTTTATTATCCACAACATTATGACAAGTTAGGAGCATGCCCAGTGAAAACATTGGGACTTGAAGTACTGAGTGACTTCACACCCACTCATACACACATATAAACATGCGTATGCAGACACCAATGTAAGTAATGCATAGGGTTCTCAGTGTCAAAAAATAGCATATCAATTTTTAAAAGTTAGAGTAATACCATCATCTTATTCCCTTTTCTGGTTGTTGCAAGCATTTTCTGGATATTAATAATTTGAGTGAAAATCTTGTAATAATCTCCACTACATGCTAATTCTCACCGTTAAATCTTAGCCTTCACAGTAGCCCAAATCCAGCATAACTCAAATGTTAACTTTGATGTAAATATTATGCTTTTCAATAAAGCTTTATGATACTTCTAATTAACCATATGTGCAGCTTAGTTAGTGGCTACAGACTTACTTTATGGACTTGATCGTAATGAAAACTCAGATGCTGCTGTTTGTTTATTAAGTTGATATTTGCAGAAACACTTTTTGAGGCACTCAAAAGACTAACTGCAAAGGTTTATAGATTTGATTTACACCCACCTACACCTCCAAAGGGACGTGATGCAGCTACAAACTTTAGTAGAGTATAAATCTGGAAAATCTTCCAACCAGCTCTGCGTAATATTAGCTCCACAGGAGGATAAAAAGTATAATAAAGGAGAGAAAAGACATCTCTTTTAAATTTTATATTTAAAATTAGTCCATAGGTTTAATTGGCTACCCTGATTTCTTTAGCATAGGTCTTCATAATGAAATGTACATTGTTACTCTACAATGGGTCCAGGACATGTTATGTTTCTCATATATACTTGGTCACTGAAAGCTTTTTGTTGTTCTTTTTAACGTTTAGGCTCGGGGACATGTGAAGCTTTGTTACATAGGTAAACTCATGTCACTTGGGTTCACTGAACAGATTATTTCATCACCCAGGTATTTAGTTTGGTATCCAATAGTTATCATTTCTGCTCCTTTCCTTCCTCTCACCCTATACCCTGAAGTAGACCTCAGTGTCAGTTGTTTCCTTCTTTGTGTTCATGAGTTCTCATTACTTTGCTCCCACTTATATGTGAGAACATATGGTATTTGGATTTCTGTTCCTGCATTATTCTGCTAAGGATAATAGCCTCCAGCTCCATCCATGTTCCCTCAAAATACATTATCTCATTCGTTTTTATGGCTGTATAGTCTTCCATGGTGTATATGTACCACATTTACTTTATCCAATCTGTCATTGATGGGCATTTAGGTTGATTCCATATCTTTGCTATTGTGACTAGTGCTGCAGTGAACATTTGCATGCATGTGACTTTATGATAGAATGATTTATATTCCTCTGGGTATATACCCAGTAATGGGATTGCTGAGATGAATGGTAGTTCTGTTTTTAGCTCTTGGAGGAATCACCATACTGCTTTCCACAATGACTGAACTAATTTACACTCGCCCCGACAGTGTATAAGTGTTCCCTTTTCTCTGCAACCTTACCAACATCTGTTATTTTTTTGACTTTTTAATAGTCATTCTGACTGTTGTGAGATGGTATCTCACTGTGGTTTTGATTTGCATTTCTCTAATGATCAGTGAAGTGGTTCAAGTGATTATCCTGCCTCAGCCTCCCAAGTAGACGGGATTACAGGAATGTGCCACCATGCCTGGCTAATTTTGTATTTTTAGTAGAGATGGGGTTTCACCATGTTGTCCCAACTGACCCCAAACTCCTGACCTCAGGTGATCCATCTGCCTTGGCCTCCCAAAGTGCTGGGATTATAGGTGAGAGCCACTGCACCTGGCCAATAATTATACATATTTATGAGGTACATGTGATATTTTGATACATGCATACAATGTGTAATGATCAAATCAAGATATTTAGAATATCCATCACCTCAAAAGTTTATCATGTTTGGTTGGGAATGTTTCAAATTTTCTTTTCTAGCTATCTATCTTGAAATATACAATAAATTATTGTTAACTATAGTCACCTTATTATGCTATCAAACACTAGAACTTACTTCTTCTATCTAACTGTATATCTGTACCCATTAGCCAGCCTCTCTTCATTCTCTCCCCACAACTTCCCAGTGGTGGTAAATTCTCAGTCTCAAGTAACTATCATTCTACTCTCTACTTTCATGAGATCAACATTCTTAGTTCCCACATATGAGTGAGAACGTGCAATGTTTGTCGTCCTTTGCTTGGCTTATTTACTAAAAATGACCTCTAGTTCCATCCATGTTTCTGCAAATAAACTACTTTTAATTTTAAATGCAGCTACTCTTGGATCTCTTCTGATGTCTGGTCAGGACTGCAACTAACAGGCAAAATAGGGCTGGTCTTCCAGAGCTGTTCTCATGAGGCCTACCATTGTATGGTATGGCAGAGGAGAAAATAAATGTAGCTTTTGAAACCTTCTGACTTTGTGGTACCCAGGCTTTCTTCTCCAGACCTCTGCCACTACGACCAAGTAGCTCTTCAGTCAAGATCTTGGTGCCCAGGACACAAAGCTGTGCCTTCTCTCATCAGTCTTAAGCTGGCTTTCATTTTAATCCTCAGCTTTACTGTCTTCTCTTCTTCTCAAGGCACTGTGACTGTATGATTTAGTGAGTGTCATTGGACAAACATATGTGGAAGAGGCCACAGTGTGTAAATGGTATCAAAAGTACTAGCAGAGAGCATTAAAGCAATTACCTGGGATATGAAATTACAAGTGTTAAGGCAGTTTGAGGTCAGTGAAAATCTCCATCATATTTCAAAGGCTTTGGGGCTTACTATTGCTCTGTGGGAGTACTGTGATAATAAAAACATAATACAAGCCTAAGGACCTTTAAATGCCATTAATTAGATTCACCATAAAAGGATTGTGAAATTAGAATTATTTTGCCCTCAATTATAATTTAATTACATTAAGATGACACAATTTTGTTTTACAGTGAAGGTTCCAGACAGTCAATAGAAAGCAATGCTTTTCCACATACAAAAATTTGTTGTATAAAAATCTGTTAGGAAAGTATGACATTCTGTATGAAGGAATAAATCTGATTATATGTGCTACACACAATCACATGCAGAGACAGAAATGTTTTTGACCTGTGAAGGGATATGTGAAATCAGATTGTTATCCTTTTTCTAAGAAAGCTTTTTATGTAGTTAAATATAAAAAAGTGAATAATATAATTTTAATGCGATTAATTACAACTTACAAACATAAAATTCATTATAAAAGCAAAAGGTAAAAATTATAACTCCTCAGTGATTACCTTCTAAAACTGTTAATAAACATTTCCAATACGGGCTTCTGTTCGGAAAATCTTTTGATTGCTTAAAAATTGTCACAGCTTTAAAGAAATGCTCTATGGCTGATGCTTTGGTAATCTTTACACTTGTCAGCTTTAGTTAGAAATAATAGAGCAAACTAAGGTACTATATAAGTGTGATAGCATAAAGGGAATGCTAGAACAATAAAAATATCCTAAATATCAAAAGAGGTACTCAGTTTTGGAAGGAAGGAAGCAGAGAGAGAGAGAGAAGAAAGAAAGAAAGAAAAGAAAGAAGAGAGGAGGAAAAGAAAAGATGAAGAGGAGGAAGAAAGGAAGGAAGGAGAAAGAAAGAAAGAAGCAAAAGAAAAAAGAGAAAGAAAAAGGAAGGAAGGGAAGGAAGAAGAAAGGCAAGAAAGAAAGGGAAAGAGAGAGAGAGAGAAGGAAGGAAGGACTTATTTATAAAAATTTCACATATGACAAAAAGCTATATCTCCAGTCAGCAGGAAGAAGATGGGCTTTTAAATGAGTGATGGTGGAACACTGCATAGCTGTTTGGAAAGAGATGAAACTGCCTGAGTGCCTCATGTCTTACATCTTAAATTACGAATGGACCAAGATATAAAAAATAAAGGTTAAACCGTAAAAACTACAGCAACATTTGAGTGCATATATTTATAATCTGGAGTGAATATATTTCTCACTAGAATATATAAAATTTAGAGGCAAAAGGAAAGATTAATACATTCTACATCTATTTTAAAAATAGTTTTTGTATGGCAAAGGAAACCAGTGAAGTAAAAAGCAAATACCAAGCAGATAAAAATATTTGCAACATATGTCACAAAGGGCTAATGTCTTTAATACACCATGAGCTCCTAGAGACTGTGAAGAGGAAAGCCAAGAAACCAGTAAAAAATTGTGCAAACATTTTGAACAGGCAATTCATAGGAGACAAAATAAAAATGGCTATTAAACATATGACAATGTTTTCAACCTGACATATAATAAGCAAAAATAAATTCAAACTTTATTGGAATACCATTTCTCACCTATTAGATTAGCAGATATCCAAGAATTTGACAATATACTTGGCTAGTGAGACTACAGAGTGACACACACTCTCGTGAATTTCTGGTCAAAATGCAAAACATTACCACCCCTCTGTAAATCTGGCAAAATCTAGCAAATTTGCATATGGGTTTATTCTTTAATACAAAACTCACTTATATGACCATATCTCAAAAATATACCAGAAAAATTACTAAGGAACTAGGTTGTTAATTGCAGTATTATTTGCAGCAGCAAAATACAGGAAATAACCTCAACATCTTTTAAGAGGATATTGTTTAAGTAAATCATGCTATGTTCTTACAGTGGGATACTATGTAATCATACAAGGAAATATGGATGGTTTCTATGTAATTGCTCTCCAGAATATATCATTAAGTGATAAGAACAAGAGGCAGAAAGTGGGGAGAATACAAGTATACAAATAGTCTGTATAGCTGTATCGTCAGTATGTCCTATGAATATGATAACCAGACATATTGTCCTCCTAATACTATATGTTATGAAGAACAGAGAACCGCCAATGAAATATGATATTCTTGTCCAACATGAAACCTGAATTCAATCAAGCCTTTAGTACTAATATCCAGTGCATATTAAATGCCTAGAATAGAAAGCTACAAAATTATTGACCTGATTTCTTCAAAACCTAATATAAAAATATTAAGAGAAAATCCCATTATAGATTATGGAGATCCAAGAGTCATAAGAACCTTGTTTGAATCTCAATTAGAACAAACCAGTTGAAGACATTTTAAGACAATTAGTGAAATTTTAATATGAAACATTTCTTAATTTGTCTTGAAAGATGTAACATAAACTGCAGTTACATGAGAAAATGTCCCTAAATTTAGAGATGCATGCTAAAGAACAAAGGGTAGAAATGACATGATGAATGAAATTTGCTTTAAAATACTTCAGTCAAAAATATGGACTAATTAAAACAAGTAGAGCAACAACAAACAAACAAAACCATTATTCAGTATTTAGGATCCAAATATAGAGAAACAGAACCTTGCAACATTTCCCTAATCCTTGATCACACAGATTTCATAGGAAAAATTTTTGAATGCCATCTGTTGAGAAACAATTTTTCCACTTACTGGAAGCTTTCAGGGAATGCAGAGCTAGAAAATTCTTTCTTGCAACACTTTGCTTGCTTTGTTGGGATCTCCTAAACATAAATGTTCTATTTGCCTGTATGAGGTTGTGCTCTCAAAGTGACTGCAAACTCAGAGAGCTGGCCTCTGGAGCCACTGAAATAGAGTTCCATTTCCCACTTGCTTATCACTTCTCTAACTGAGATGATTTCATTTGGAACAAATGTTTCATGTGAAAAGAAACTAAGAGGTAAAATTAAGGAAGTGAGGATAAAAGAGGAAATTTGTCAAATAATAAACAGCAGAAGTCTAACTCCACGAGATTTTGGCCTTGCTTACTCTATTCCTTTTACTGTGAAAATGAAATAATGAACTGTATGTGTGGAACATTACCAAAAAAGAGTAGAGACTAGGTCAGTTCTGTTAATTGCTGTAAATTGCCATATTCTTTCAGTAGCTAAGCAAAGGGGTCTCTTAGCAGTTTGAGTTAAGTTAAGAGAAAAGAATGATAACCCAACAAACATTGAACTAGGGACGTGTGCCCTCCTAACGGGGCCACGTTACTTACACAGGAAACTCCACTCTTATTGTTATGTAGATGTCCTCCGCACTGCATTTCCCCAAAACACCCCTCAACATGTATATGCCCTGTGGGGACAGGGTCTCTCTCCTGGAGGATTTTCCATGATGACGCACACAATTTTGAACCAATTCACAGAATTAGTTCAGAAAAGTCAGTATACACATCCAAATGTATTACACATTTATTAATGTGAGAGTTGAAAATATAAAACCTCTGGAAGACCATGTAAAAAAAACCCTCTGTGTTCTTGTTTTAGCAAATATTAATATTTCTTAGGTAGGACTCAAAATTCAGAAATGATAAAATAATTGATAAAACTTCATCAAAATTAAAATCATATGCTCTTCAAAATATAATGTTAAGGCAGATCAACGTGCAGGCCACAAACGAGATGAAAATATTTGTAAAACCTACATCTAGTTAATAACTTTGTTTTTAGTGACCGATTCTCACTTTGTTGCCCAGGCTGTTCTCCCAAGGTGCTGGGATTACAGGCGTGAGCCACCGCGCCCGGCCACGTGTGATACTTTTAGGGTAGCCCTAGAAAACTAATTATAACCCAACAACAAAATGGCCACATCCGAAGAATTATACAAACGTCAGATAAGCACATAGAAAGAGGCTCAAAATTAGTAGTCATTATAGAAATGTAAATTAAAACCATAGTGAGAAACTACCATATGTTCACCAGAATAATGAAAATTTAAGTATGTTATTAAAGATGTGGTGCTAATAGAATTCCCATATATTGCTGGTTAGAATGCCAGATTTTACAGCCTCTTGGAAAAACAATGTGATAGTGTTCTATAAGTTAAATAGATCTATAACTTATATCCCAGAAATACCACTTTTTTTGTATTTACCTAAAAGAATTATTCATATGTATATATGTATATATATCCATTCAAAATCCTCTCAAATGCAGCTTTACTTATAAAAAGCCAAAACTGAAAACAACTGCAACAACTGAAAAACCTGCAAACTTTCCGTAACTGCTGTATGAATGTACGGATGTGTGAGATATCCATACAACAAAACAATGCTCAGCAGTGAAAAGGAATGAACTAGGAATTCGTGCAACAACATGGATGATTACTAAATGCATTCGACTAAGTAGAATACCCAGACACAAAGCCAGCATGCTCTATGATTTGCTTTTTGTGAATATCCATAAAAGGCAAAACGATAGTGGCAGAAAACAGAACAGAGTGGACAGTGGATAGAACTGACAGCAAAGGGACACGAGGGAACTTTTTTAGGGTGACAAAAGTGATCAATATCATGACTATAGTAGGAGATCCATGACCCTAAATATTTGTCAAAGCACATAAAAATGTACAAAGTTGGTGAATTTTATTGTATATAAATTATACCTTAGTAAGAATTATAAAAATAGCATAATCCCATTTTTATATAATCATGTACATATTCCTATCTACCTACCTATCTAATATTTCAGGTTTATGTGCTGGGAGAGATGTCTGAATAAAGTATATGCAGGGTTAATAGTCATTTCTGGATAGCATAGTTTGAGGACTTATTTTTTTAACTGTATATATTTTGCTGCATTATTTGAATTCTTCCTAATATATCTTTTCATAAAAAACAATACTCTTTTGGAACAAATGTAAAAAATTGCTAATGATATTTATATATATTGTGCTAAAATATACCTTTAAAAATTTTGTACTTAACCCTCAAATGCCAGATAATCAGACAAGGGAGCATACGATACATGATATTCAATCTAGGCATTAGTGAGTTAGGAAGCATTTACTTTCTAATCTTTTTGGTAAGATCTGGTCACTGTTATATGAATTATTTTATTTCAGCATATATTGGTAACATTATCTGATGTTATCAAAATAGAAATGCTTTTGAGCATTACTCACAGAATAAATTTATCTCTGATACCATTATTGTACTTGCAACTTTAATCCAAAAGTAGATCATATCTCATCATCTCCTTTAGTATTTCATCAATGTATTGTGTTTTTAAAGAGATTCCATGGTGAAATGCATTTGGGTAGCTCTATTTTAGAAAATAGAGCCCATGTCCTGAAATATACAATATCACTAGTGTAAAACCTTTCAGTGTTACTCAATTTTCCAAATAGTAGCCTATAAAAATTGGGAGTAGCCACACTTGAAATCTACCCTCTTAGATCCTGCGATATAACAGATATTAAAAGTTCTTCCAAAGGTTATCACGTTTATTAAGGTATTCTCTTCCAATCTCTCTCTCTCTCTTTGTATCTCTCTCTCTCTCTCTCTCTCACACACACACACACACACACACACACATTTCCATTATCTTGCTCAAATCCTACTTGCAGCCAAATGACTTATTCAGTATCTTTAGTGGGAAATATTATCCATTGTGCAGGTTTAAGTTTCTTTAATGGCTTTTCAAAATTATGTTTTCTGTTTCCCTTCAATTACTCTATTTGGTCAAACTTTGTTATTAACCATAGCATTTTATTCATTTATTTCTTTCATCTTCCACCAATTCCTCCATTTAAGAGCTTTATAGATTTAGATCTTGTCATAAAAGGTTTTAATAGAGACTATTTTCTAAGATAGCTTGTGATATGGTTTGGCTGTGTCCCAACCCAAATCTCATCTTTAATTCCCACGTGTTGTGGGAGGAGCCCAGTGGGAGGTAACTGAATCATGGATACAGATCTTTCCCATGCTGTTCTCATAATAGTGAATATGTCTCATGAGAGCTGATGGTTTTAAAAAGGGAGTTTCCCTTCACAAGCTCTCTTCTCTTGTCTGCTGCCATGTGAGATGTGCCTTTCACCTTCCTCCATGATTGTGAGGCCTCCCCAGCCACATGGAACTGTAAGTCCATTAAACCTCTTTATTTTGTAAATTGCCCAGTCTCGGGCATGCCCTTATTAGCAGCATGAAAACAAACTAATACAGCTTGCTATCATTTTTTAACATGTGAAAAAATTTTTTTAAAAACTTGAATGTGACTACTTTGTTTTTAAATTATTTTACAATGATTTTTTTACTTTGAAAAATGAGAATAATGCTAAGTTATCTATAAGAAGTTATAAGCGTTAACTAAAAATCAGTCCCTTGAAAATGAGATCACAGAATCAACAGTGTGTGTTTTACACCATGGAATACTATGCAGCCATAAAAAAGCAAGAGTTCATGTCCTTTGGAGGGACATGGATGAAGCTGGAAACCATCATTCTCAGTAAACTAACACGGGAACAGAAAACCAAACACCACATGTTCTCACTCATAAGTGGGAGTTGAACAATGAGAACTATGGACACAGGGAGGGGAACATCACACACCAGGGCCTGTCTGGGGGTGGAGGGAAAGGGGAGGGAGAGTATTAGGACAAATTCCTAATGCATGAGGTGCTTAAAACCTAGATGACAGGTTGATAGGTGCAGCAAACCACCATGTCACTTGTATACCTATGTAACAAACCTTCGTGTTCAGCACATGTATCCCAGAACTTAAAGTAAAATAAAAAAAAATGAAAAAACGAATCAATAGTGTGTGTTGAACAGTAGTGTATATAAAATACATGTTCATGCACATATATACATATATGACCCCATTATATATGTGCACTAAACACTAAAGAGACTTAAAATATAATTACATAAATATGGGATATAGGTGTATCTAAGTTATAATGAAACCTGTGCTTTAGTAAGAACATTTCACATATTTGTGCTTTGTATGTAAGTATATCCCCATGAGGTTATATGTTACTGAAATAGAAATACTGATTTGAGTAGCATATTTACACACTAATAAATTGCCTATATTTCCCTTGTCTATCTTTATACAACAGTCCCTCTCTTGTCTGCAGGGCATACATTCCAAGACTCCCAGTGGATTCCTGAAACTGCATATGGTACCAAACCCTATACATATTATATTTTTTTAAATCTGATAACTGTGACTAATGGGTGGGGATCATCTAAATGTAGATACACTGGTCAAGGGAAGATTCACGTTCTGGGCGGGATGGGGCATGGCATGGCGTGAAATTTTAGCTCCACCCAGAATGGTGCACAATTTAAAACTTATGAATTATTTATTTCTGAAATTTTCCATTTAAGAATTTTGGACTATGGTTGACTGCAGAAGTTGAAACCACAGAAAATGAAACAAGGAGTAAATGGACTGGGGAGGGGGGGCTACTGTACATAGGAATACATTATCCATTTCTTAATCGGGTCCTAAGTGTACCCCTCTGCTTAATGTTTTAATTGGGAAGAATTCTAGGTTCGCTTTCGGGGCTCAGAGATTCTCACGTATTAATTCTCCTTTAGCCTTTCGCCTTATTTCAGTACCTCTGACTGATGAAGCGGACAGTCATGTAGCTTGGGGCTTGCTTGCTTTGGGGGAACAACTTCTGAAAGTGGAGGTGACACAATTTTGTGTTCCAGAGTATTTATATTTTGAAGAGAAAGCAGGCCATTAATGCTAAACACACAAACAAAGACGTTTTGTGGCATTGCAGATCCTGTAAAACCTATACAGAGATTTTGTGTGTGTGTCTAAGAGAGACCTTTTAGTCAGCCGTCCAAATACTGTAGTGGTGTCTCGAACCACTACTGACTGGAAAACTTGCCCATGTTAAAACTTTGCAATTGTAAAAAGTAGAATGTGGTAATTCACTGCTTAATTAAAAGTAGTAATCTCTAGCCATACACTCACACATGGCAAAACAATAGATGCCACCTTCTACAACCAGATATCATGTGAAATGTATTCATGAATCCATATATCCATACAAGCTATGGAGATTTTTTCATAAAAGCAACAACGTTAGCATAAAGCAATCCATGTATCAAGCATGAAAGGTTTTCACTGAATATGCAAAAAGACAAATGATAGAACTGGAAAATGAGATACGCAGGTTAAACTAGTGTGTCTTTGGAGCTGGCTGCATATGTAAAGCTTTCAACAGAATAATATTACACTTTACTGACAATGAAATGTCCATTACATAGAAGAATAATCATTATCATTAAGCGAATTTCCTGCTGAGTACATTTTTCACTGTGAGCAGGCTCATCTCTTGGGACATTTGCAAGGTAGCCTCTGTAAAATTGTTTAGATCAAAGAAAGTAAGAGGACTGGTTGTTTGATTTAGTTGTCAAATAAGAAAATAACTTGAAGAGAGATTTTAAAGCAAGCTGAGGTGGATTTTTTACTGGTTCTTTAGGACAAAATTACGTACTTCTTTCTCATATTTTCATTGAAGTAATCTAAAGGATAAATGCATACATGTTGAAATTTTATTTGAAATAATCAAATCCTATTATAGGTGACACATTCCCATCATCCTTATATGCAGAGATATCTACATATCAAAGTAACTGCTCAAAATGTCACATTGGTCAAAGGAAAATTAGAAAAATCTATTGTAAAGTACGCATTTCTTTTAATAATATTTAAACTATGAATAAAAGCCAGTTTTTAAAATTTAGTCATGGAAAGTTTAATTTTTCTAAGTTGTGGGTATTTGATGTTGATTTCACACCTTTTGTTTGTTTCTACCTTTCCTGAGATTTTCATACATACTTCATATAAAGACCTCTCAAAATACCTTTATTTCAGGCTCCAGTTTCAAAATTTGGCTTTGAATTAGCAATGTTAAATAATTACGGGAACAAAAATCATTCAGAATTTGCTTATTCCTCAGCTTCACTTTTCCTTGATAAAAATCTAACTTGAAGAGTAAGGAATGTTTATATCTGGTCGAAGAGAAAATTCATGAATACTATGGATTCATAACATCATATTCCAAACATATATTTTCTGAAGAAAAAGCATTATAATAATAATAAACATAATAAGTTAACATTTTATGAGTAATTATTATGTCCAAGGCTAATTTTAATTTAGTCCTCACAACCATCATGTAAGGTACTATTTTATCTCTGTTTTTCAAAAACGGAAATTGAAGCCCAGAAGAATTAGGTAATTTTCTGATAAACAGAGAAGCCAGGGTTCAAATTCAGGCAGTCTGATTCCGGAGCCCATATTTATACCATTACCCTCTACTGTCTTACTGTGAGTGAGCAGCCAAACCATCGCATACACAGGGAGAGGAAATGTTTGCTGAGTATATACTTGCACTGATTGGGTGTGTTAGCGGGATTCTTTGATCTTGACCTATGTTGGTTTTTCTTATTTGTGTTGTATAAAGGAATTGGAAGGAAAGTAGATGTGAACAAGCCGAACAGGTTTCCTAGAATAGGTGGCTCTTAAAATCCAATTTTCTATATTTAACCAAATTGCTTTGTTTTGTCACATAACTTTTTCTTTAAGGAAAATATTAATAGCAATAGCTAATAATGATTGTTCTTAATCTGTAACAGGTGGTAAGCTCAGTGCTTTATAATCATATCCATGTTTACTATGCAGGGCTCCAAGGCCCACCTATATTTCCAAATGTGCCGTATCTTCTTTCAAGATGAAGTATATTTTCTAAGAACCAAGATTGAATCTAGAAAACCAAGTAGATCTATTGTGTGTATGTGATGGAGGTAGAGGGTTGGAGTGTAAAACAATTGGTAATTAATGCATAACCCAATTAATTTGGTTAAAAGATCATCAGTATGACCAGCTCAGGAAACAGTTCATTTTATTATTTCAATCAGCAATTGAATTAGATCCATTCTGCAATTACCTAATCAATTTCTCAGCAGTAGACTGCATAATAGCTAAAAACTATCAGCCACTTAGCTAGAGCTATATTGATAGGTATTATTTTAATTACACATCACTAGCTCATTTCCCAGGATGTAAACTGTGCTTTTTTGTATCTATCATAAAATATATATGTTCTAGTATCTAAAATATGAATCCATGATTTAATAATTTCCAAGTCTTATTTGCAAAATAAAAGTCAGTGTATTTCCTAATTATTCATTCTAATCAACTGTCGATTTTAGTACACCAAGCGGTCTTAGTGATTATACTTTCAATATGGTCCACTGTTATTCCATATCTTCTCTCAAAAGAATGGCTGTGTTTCAGTTTTCTATCAAGTTTTATTGTACTTTGCATTTCCACTATATTCATTGCCTTAGAATTAGATTTTCATGAATATCACTGAATTTTATATTTAGATCCTCAAACAGTAGAATAATTCACTGCATTAAAAAGAATTCCTAAAATTAAAACACAGTAGACAGAATATAACACTTCATTGTGCCTAAAATTAAAAATCTTTAATTTTAATAGATCATTTGTTGCAATGCTAGTTCTGTATTGAGTCCCACTCTTTATACACACAAGGTTTTTAATAAATAAATATTCGGAGGACATTTAATCTGCTATATCAGAGACATTTCACATCCTCAAGAAGAACCACATCATAAAGATAGCTATTCATATGCCAAAGAGACAGGAAAGGTTCTCAAGGAGTTACCTAATCCATAGTTTTTCAATTTAAACCTGAGTAGAAAAATACTAGTGGTCTAACTTTTCCTTCTCCTGTTCTTTTAAATCACTGAGAACAGTATCATTTGGTAACATACAGAGTAACTACCCCCTTTATCTTAGGAATGCTCTGCACAATTCTCATATATCTCTGTATTTAAATTCAATAATCACATTAATCTCAATAGAGACCTAAAATCCCGTCTTCTACCAAATTCTCACTGTCTAGCAAATATTCCAGAGAAAATTATTGCCTCTCTACAATCTGCCATCAAACTGCTTTTCCAGGCTTCTCTCACATCTACTGTTACTCTAAATGAGCCCTGACCCATATTTTCCCTAGTACACACTATACGCTCACATAGTCCCTAGGCCTGAAGACATTTCCTCTTAGCTCAGTCTGCTAAAATCAAGACGGTTTCTGTTTTACCTCCTTTGTAAAGACTTCCTTTATCACACCATATCCAGAAGTGGCATGCCATTTCTGCTTTTCTCTGGCATTGTGCATCTCCTGCATATTACTGATCATGTACAATGCCATTCGAGTACAATTTGATTGAATATGTAAACTGTAAAACACGTAGAAGGTAAATGACAAATGTTTGTTGAAAGCATAACTGGGGGGCCGGGACCAACCAGCCTAAGGGAGGCCACCATTCCTTGAAGGTACATTCTTGCCATCGGGAATGATAATTCCTTTTGTAACACAGAGTGTAATTCTGAGTAGAATAAGAATGGCTCCCATATTGCCCAGTAAAGACCAGTGTGGTTACATGGTCAGAGCCTACCTCAGCATTGACTTTTACTAAGAGTACCTCAGTTTAGTTTTCAGGATGGTGTGTCTTAAATTGTGGTCTATGGACATCTTTCATCAGAATCCACCTGAATGCTTGCTGGAAATGAGGCTTTTTGACTTTGCGAAAGTAGACCCCGGGACTTTAAGATTCTAACAAGTACCCAACATGTACCCAGTTGATTCTTATCCTAATTTAAAGTTTGAGAATCACGATTCCAGTCCAACATTTAGCTTGGTAGATGTTAATAAGGAGTAATTTTTTAAAGGCTCTCTGGTGAGATATATTTAAGAAACTCTATGTTAGAAGTAGTTAAAAGGGTTTACAGCAGAGCTTTTTAGAGCTTTTAGTAGCTATGTGTTGTGAATATTCACAAGGGGAGCATAGTTTATTGTGATTTTCTATGGTAGGAAGCATCCTCTCCAACCGGTTTCTGGGAAAATAAGCCTCAAGAATTTGGCTCCAGCAGATGCTTTTCAATCCAGAGTCAGCTGTATGTGGTTTGTTGGACGAATGAAATTGATCCATCAAAGGGGATGAAATGGACCCCTAATGATCTCTTAATCTTAGTATGGAGATAGGATGAGAGAGAAAGGCTTTGGAGAATGAGAGACACTCTCTTCTTTTAGGTAGTCTCTTTCTGCTCATTTCTTAATAATGCTATTTGCTTTTCTTTTTTATCTTACTTTTGAGGCATTCTATCTAACTTTTAATTTCAGCAATACTGAGTGTAAGTGGTGTGTATTTGTGTGTGTGTGTATATATATAAGAGGGGAGAGAGAGGGATTAAAAAACTATATACTCCTCATAATCCTAATAATATTGGAGTATAGCTTTTTACATAGAAAACTGGACTTATATTCCGGCTTTGTTACTATGCATATGAGTCAAAATTGCATAGCTGTTTGCCTCTAAAATAAAAAACTAGCAAGACCTCATTACATACACAGAAAAGTGGAATAAATGTAGTTCCTAAAAACGTCAGAATAAAAATTTATAATCTGATGATTTACAGTTCATTCCATGGTTTTAGTGTGTAAAGGATAAAGATACCTAGTGGAAACAGATGAATTGGGTCAAGTAAGATGGGAACCCATTAAAATTCTAGCCTGAACCTTGGAGGTCTGGAGAAGCTTGGCCACCCAAGTGATATATTATATAGGCCATTATTTGCCTCTGAGTTTCCTAATTTTTTCATCTGACCGAGAAAATGGAAGCCTCAAAAATCCCCCCTAAAACCCCTCATTTTGGAATCCATGTTGGAACAGTTAAGAAGGGATGGAAAATCACTGAGTAGTATTTGCCTATTTGAGGTTTAAAACAAATCCTTAATGCAAAGAATTTTGAATAAATCAGATTCTTAAATTTATCCCAAAACTTACTTTGTCACATGATGCCTAACCTCTACAGGTATGTTTCAATTCAAGATCATCACTTCATCATTAAAACAAAGGCATCAAAATGAGCCTGCATTCACTAAGTATTCAAAGAGGGAAATCTGCATCCTTTTCACTTGTTTGGAACAACTAATTTCAAAAGATGCAGTATATTTATGTGCACAAAGCAGTATCTCCCTAATTATAATTTATTTTTGCCTATTCAAGAAAAACACAACAGATGTATTTCTACCAACTCTTGGTTGGTCACATGGCAAAAGAACAATTGCATGAATTGCTTCAAATAGATGTTCAAGCATTCTGACATAAATACTTTTTCAGCATATCCTTCTTGCCATATTATAGCATTTAACCCTAATGCTATATTTGTTGGGAATGCAGATGATGAACAAAACGGTTTACATTCTACCCAGATCTCTTTCCTCTGTGATCAGTAAGTATCAGAAACAGAATCATCTACAGATAGCAGAGCAATTGCATTTTAAATGTCACATAGCTGCCTTTATTATTCCAGCTGGCGTGTGGAAAGAAAGGTCCCTCTGTTAATGAGACTAACACTGCCAGTCCCATTATAATGGATTTAAGCAAATAAATAACATGTTTGCCATTTCTGCTCTTGTTTTTCAAGCACTATTTTTGTCACTGATCTCATTGCTACAGACATTTCAGTGGAATAACTATAATTGTTGCAGGGCTTAGGAAATGAAAATTACACATGGAGTCCCTATTTATTTTAGATAATTTAGCATATTAATCCAAATTGTCCTCAAAGCCTGTCCTCCCCAGGGGTCTTGCTCACACTTGCCATTAATGCTAACATGACAGAAAGATACAATGGGTTAGGTTCAGTGGTTCACTAATGTGTGGCAATACCTATTGCACACTTGACAAGAGAGAAATAATAGCCATATTACTTCAAAAGGCACAAAGTCTCCTGCAAGCCAGAAAAGGGATAGTACAAGATCCATCTAAATTATTGCCAAAATTGATTCAAAATTAGGACCACTGATCTCTGGTGTTATGTAATTCAGGGAAATTTAAAGTCCACAAGGAAAAAGTTCCCCTCTGTATTGAGAGACCATAAATATCATTTTATGGAAAAGTCATGCTTTTCTAAATTCTTCAATAAGTCAGGATGTTTAGACACTGACTCTGTGGCTAAATGGGCAAGCCACACTATATGATCCATTCAATCTTACTCCTTTCCAATTTAGCCACTCTCATCTAGGCACTGCATGGTCACATTATAGTTCTTTGACATATTGAGCTTTCTTTTCACTATCTACAGGTTTTCTGTGGGTGACCTAATGAGTAGCACATGTTTTAAATATCATCTTGTACTGATGACTCCCAAATCTAGAGTTCTAGCCGTACCTGTTCCTATAACTCCAAATCCAAATATCCAACTGCTTAGTTGATTTTGCTACATGAATGCTTAAAATACCTCTCGAATGAGTGTCAAATAAGTCAAAACACAGCTCTTTATTTACACATTACCAAAACTTCTCTTTACTCACCATTCCTAAATTGGTAAATAACTTATATCCACCCACTTGTTCAAAGCAAGTCTCAGAAGAATCCTAGGCTTCTCTATTTTCTTTCTTCATGACTTCCCAACACCCACACAAACATATCAGCAACACACAGACCTGTTGGTTCTTTCTCCATCCTATCCGTCAGTCTGTTCGCTCTTCTTACCTCAACTACTAACAATGTGGTACCAGCTACAGTCTTCTTTTACCTGGACTCCTTCAAACAGCTCTTGTCCAGTTCCTCCCTTCCTCTCTTCTCTCCCCTTCCTTCTCTCTCCTCTCTTCTCCCCTTCCTTTCAAGAACAGAGGCTCCTGTAGATCATTTTATAATCAATGAAGCCAGTCTCCTAAACGGTTTTGAACAGAAAAAATAAGAGTGGAAAAGGCATATTAACATTTTTATGTTACAGATAGCTATTAAAGCTCAGAGAATAAGAAGTGTTTTGTACACACAGTGATTTAAATGTAGTTAGAGAATGCATCAATATGTTTCTTGAGGTGCAGTTCAGTGAACCTGGAAACTCTTATATATAACATAATAACAAGCATAAACTTTGTTAATTCTAAGTATTTTTAAGTCCGTTATAATATAATGATCAGATAACTAAGTATAATATTATATGGCTAAGTCATATGTCATTTTATTTTGGTTTAGCAAGGATATAAGCACTCCATAATTCTAAATATTTAAGGGCTTTCAGAGTTATTCATCTGTCTTAAGACAGAGAAATACATACTTTCAGTTATCTTTATTGCTCAATAATTTAAAGAACTAATGTAACTTAGAATTACTTAATTTTAAGAAGGAAACTCATATCATTTCATCTACTTGGGACCAGGCAAATGTCAAATTGGTTTACAATCCATAAGTAAATAGCCTTGAGGAGATCATTTTGTACTCCAAATACTAAGTTTTTTCTAAATGTATTATCTATTTTACTTTGTTGTGGTTATTATGTTGTTTTGAGGTATTTGTTCTGGAGCTTTTTTTGTTTTTTTTTTTTGGTAGGAAGAGGCAGGAGATACAGAAATAGTGACATTTGTGCACATTCCAAAGCTGAGAAGTAAAATCAATATTACTCAAGAAGCAACTCTGAACATGTTTATCTCAGTGTATTTCCTTCTAAGCTTCAGTAATGAGCCTCTAAAATTGTTATAGTATACACAGATAATAATCAGTGAGTTTTTTCACATAGCTTCTGGAAAAACTGCTTTGTGTTCCAGTTTTAATTAGTGTATTATTATCCATTGCTAATTTGAGGGGTTTAGTCTAGAATTAGTGCACAGCTGCAGAGAATGCAAGCACATGAATTGCTGGATTAGCTGGAGTTCAAACAAAGGGGAAGGAGTAAATGAGGGGAGATGCAACAAACCGTATCCCCCAAATAACTTCCAAAATTTCCCAGCTATTACCTATAATTTAAAAGTAAATTCCTCGATGGGAAGGAAGCTGTGTTTCTAAATCTGGATTGTTTTATAATAACAAAATATAGAATTACCTCTTTCTTGGTTTTTTTTTGAAAGATTTAAGACATTCAGAAAACTAAAGAGAATAACTTAACACAGACTCACTTACCTACTATCAAGATTTAACAAATGTCAAAATGTTGCCATATTTGCTTTACATTTTTCTAAAAGCAATAAAATTCTGCAGAAGCAGTTAGGCCCCTTTGGAGTCCTCCTAAGCCTGCTCTTCACCCCATTCTCTTCTCCCTCATCCCAGAGGTAACCAGAAATCCAGAGTCGGTACAAGTACTCCCCACCTAGGTGTTTATATTTTGCCAGATGTTTATAGATTTACAACACGTGGAGTTTTTCTTCATGTTTACACCTTACATAAATGATAACATGCTATATATGTTATACTACTGCATCTTATTTTTTTTTATCCAGTCTTATGTTTGGATGATTTCTCAGTTATGAAACATATACAATTGAGTTTGTTCATTTTAACAGCTATAATAAAAATCATGTTTTTTTAGTGTACATGTGCTGTGATAGGAATCATTTATAGCAGAGTTTCTCAAGCATGGCAGTGCCACCCCAGGAGCATTTGGAAAGGCAAGAAGCATTCTTTCGATGACAAAGTATTAGTTTTCTAGGGCTGCCATAACAAAGTGCTACAACTGGGGTTGATTAAAGAATAGAAATTTATTTTCTCCCAATTCTAGAGGCTAGAATTTCGAGATCAAGGTGTCTACAGGATTGGTTTCTTTCGAGGCCTCTCTCTGTGGCTGTAGAGGCTGTCTTCTCTGTGTCTTCACGTGGTCTTCCCTCTGTAATATGTCTGTGCCTGTCTCCTCCTCTTATAAGGACACCAGTCATGTTGGATCAGACCTTACCCTAATAACCTTAGTTTAACTTAATACCTCTTTAAGACCCTATTCTCCAAATACAGTCATATTCTGAGGTACTGGGGGTTACAACTTCACCATATGAATTAGGGGATAGGCACACAATGGACCCCACAACACAGGTTGCTACTGGATAGAGGGGCAGGGGCCAAGGGCCAAGAAACCTGAACATCCTGCACTGAACAAAGGCATGGTCCTGCACCCTGGAGTGTCAATAGGAAACTCCTTTAGGATGTAAACCAACAAGTAGAATTCTTGGGTTGGAAGCATTCTTCTGTTGTTCAACTTTGTTAGATACTATCAAAATACTCTTCAAATAATTGTACCAATTTAAATTCCAAAAAGCAGCATCTGGAAACTCAAATTTCCTCCATCCTTGCAAACAATTGGTGTGTTCTCACACTTTTAAAATATATGCTAACATCATGGATATGACATCATTGCTTCAGTTTTATTTGATTCCAAATGAGGTTAGATCTATCTATGCATATGAGTATATATATAGGAATCATTCTAGTTGTCTGCTCTGTGAACTACTTTTTTATAACATTTACCCATTTTTAATCTTATGTTTATTCTTTGTATTCTAGATACTGTCTTTTTGTTGCTTCTACATTTTTCAGATACCTTCTTCCAGCATGTAACTTACCTTTAACTTTGCTTCTGGTGTCGTACTGAAGAATAGTTCAATGTAGTAAAATTTATCAGTAATTTTCTTTGTGTAAGGGGTGTTTGAACCATACCTAAGGAAGCGTTCTCTATCCCAAGGTCATAAAGACATTCTCTTCTATTTCTTTCTAAAAAATTCAAAATTTTCCCTTTCAAATTTAGGTCTTTACCTAATTTTATTTTTGTTCTTGTGCAAGGTAGGAATGTATTTAATTTTTCAATATGAATAGACAATGGTCCCATCATCAATTAGTGAATATATAATAATTTTTCTATCTTTCTCAAATAATAATTTCCTAATTAAGTATGATTCTATTTCTGAGTCCTCTATTTTGACCCATTTGTCTATATGTCTATACTATCATCTGGAATGTCATAACTGCTATAACTTTTTGATATGTCTTAATGTCTCCTAGGGAAATTATCTCTCCTTATTGTTCTTCAAGATTGCCTTGGCCCTTACTCCTCCATCTGAATTTTCAAATTAGCTTGTCATGTTAATGATAAGGAGAAATACATGGGCATTTCCTTGAAGTACATTAATTTTATAGTTTGGGGAAAAAGTAGTCCTTAAACATTAAGTCTTCCCATCATGAGCATCTTATATTTTATTAATTCAGGCTTTTAAAAAGTTATGATTTTAAAATAAAATATTAAAATTTATTCATGTATTATGCATTTTTAGTTATATTTATGTATATTTATCTTAAAATATATGTTGCTATTATCAATGGTATGCTTTCTTTGATAAATTATTATATTGGGTGTTAATGGGTTCCTAAGGAGGTACTCTTGATTTTTGAATGTTGGTCCTAGATTCCAGCACAGTTACTAAATTTTCACTTTAGTTCTCACAACTCATCTTTAGAGCTTCTTTCTTTCTCTTTCTTTCTTCCTTTCCTTTCCTTTCCTTCTTTCATTTCAATAGCTTTAGGGGTACAGTGGTTTTTGGTTACATAGATGAATGGTATAGAGGAGAAGTCTGGGCTTTTAGTGTAAATAGTATACGTCGTACCCAATAAGTAATTTTTCATCTGTCACCCCTTCCCCTTCTGAGTCTCTAATGTCTGTTACACCACTCTGCATGCCTTTGCATACCCATAGCTTAGTCCTCATTTATAAATGAGAACATGCAGTGTTTGGTTTTCCATTTCTGAGTTTCTTCACTTAGGATTCTATTTCATATGTATATAATCATATCAAACAGAAATTATTAAACATTTTCTCTTTTAAATTCTTATTCCTCTTTTTCATATTTGTACCTTTGCTAGAGCTTTTGTAAAAATGTTGAATTGTGTCAACTGGTATATTTAATTTTATCTGTCTTTTAATGGGGGTGCTTTCAAGTTTAACCATTAAGTATAATGTCTGTTATAGGTTTTTAATAGAGATCCTTTAACACTTCCTAATCATAGTTTGCAAATATTTTTAAAGATTAATCACTTTTATTTTAACCCCAAAATTCTGTATATATTAAAATTATCTCATGGTTCATATCATTTAATCACTTAATGAGGTGAGTTTTATTATTGGTGCTTGAATTCTTAGGACAAACCTTCACTGGTAAAGCCATATTATTTATTGTTATTTACTATGAGATAGATTTGTTTTCCTCATATTTTATTTGCATGCATTTTCATTAGTATAATGTATCTACATTTCCTTTTCTTGTATGTCCTGTTCAGTTTTGATTTTGTTAACAACTAAGTAATATCAACTTTGCATCAAAGTTTTACTAGTTTCAGAAAATAATTTGATTAGTACAGCAGAGAGATCTACTTACTTCATAATATCTCTCTCAATCTGTATTTTTTCTTTCTTTCTTGATAGGAGATCTCTGATGATATTCCAGCATATTTTCTGCTCACTCTTACCTAGGTGTGACCATGCCATTAGCTCCAGGAGGGCTGTTGTGCTCTTATGTGAAATGCTTCTCATGACGTTATGCATGGACAATATTGAAGCGTGATATAATGGCTTTGGGTCTAGTCAAAGAGATATAAACAGAAGGGCTACAAGAGATCTCTAGGAAGGTCTCTTAAAAGAGAAAGTGTGGACTTTAAGTCTTCTCCTTTCCTTCTGTGTGTGGCACATTGGATATGATTGTTAGAGCTCCGCCAGCCATATTGAGCCATAATATGATCTTGAAAATGGAAGCCCATATACTGAAGATGGTGGTGGAAAAAGATTAGAACCTGGCTGTCTGAAGACACTGTAAAGTTGGCCTGGCATGCCAGCCATGAAAAGTGTATGTGTATTTGTACGTAATGAACTTCTATCTTGTTTAAGCTGCTGTGTCTTTAAGGTTTTTAGGCATATACAGCTGAATCTAATGCTTATTAATACTGGTAGTGTTTGTATTCCTTTTATTTTAGTCACTGAAATAATGGATTTAAAGTAAGAATGATCTATTACTTAGTTTGTTAACAATTTTCTATAAATCCTTTGGCTTTCAATATGCAGTTTGTTTCCTTCTCAGGAAAAGGGGCTCAAGGTAAATACAGAGTTACTGCTCTTCAAACTCTCATGGAGAAGTAGATCTGCATGGCCCAAGGGGTGGACTGTGGTGCTCAAGGTTGTAAGCTACTCAGATAGAAATGATCTACTTAGAAAATAATCAGTAATAAACCCATAGAATTTCAAAGTATGAAGTAGAAATAGAATTATAAAGAGACCTGAGAAATTCAGAGCCACAGCAGTAGAACTAGAATATCATTTTCTGAAGTTGGCCTCCTGCGCACCAGCCACTTTGTGCTCATCCTACCTGATCAGCATGATGTTATCGATGAAATGGCTTCATGTGATGTTCTCCAGGGCATCCATTAGAGGAGTTTCATACTGGGCAGAAATAGTCTTGCCCTAATACCTTCCCCATGCTCAGGCATTAGCTGGGTGCAGTTCAGAATGAATGGCCTTGGCATGAATCCCATGAGGGATCAGAAGATGCAACAGCTGTAGGCTAGCAGTCAATTATCTCACCTCCTCCCCTGGCAGCAAGTTCTTTTGAAGGAAAATCTGGAAGGCATAACTTCCTGACTGTCACAGAGCCTAAATTCCCTTTTGTCTGATAGTAGCAGTGGAACATCTATACATAAGTAGTGTATTACACATGGTATATTACAAATGCTATATCTGATAGTATACACGATATTAAAACTGCTATTAACACCACAACTAATTATCTGGTTATTAGATTATTGATTATCTAGATTACTTAGTGAATTATTTGATCATTATGCATGCTCTTTTTCTTACTGTTTCTTCTTCAATTCTATTTTTTCTGTTTTTAGTTTACTGTGCTGTATTCAATCTCAGTTTCCTGGAATTTTATAAACACAGCACACTTCTTCATCAGTAAATGTTAGATTTTTTTTCCCATTTTCAAGGATGTAAAAATAAAAGTTGAACAAACATTCAAATAGCAGAGTTTTTACAATCAGGCATATTCAACCCGAATTTCATAAAATAAAAAAAAAAAGTTCTCAGCAAACAATTTGCAAGTATGAAAGATAATAATAAAGAGAAAAGAGGAGGAATCATTGTGATAATAAAACATCCATATCTCACATTGTCTTTTAGTGAAAGCACAAAAAGTATTCCTGCCCATATGTGCAGAAAATGCAGGAACTACAAAAGGTACACTTCTCATCTTGTTTTGCCTCTGCCAAGACCAATTCTGAAGGGAAATAAAACAGAAACTGAAAGATAACACCAAATCTTAAAATCTTCAGAGTCTTTTAGGGACACTAATATCTATTTGTGTTGATTATGTGTATAGTGGCAGGATGTTATAGAGTACGTGGGAGTAGAAGTCAGGAGATAGGAGGGGATTTGTCAGAGAGGCAAAGTTTTAAGCTCTGCTGTTGTCTCTTTCCCGCATTGCCTTGGAATAGTCTTGGCTAGCCTCATCTTCATATAAATCAGGCTCACCTCGCCTGTGTTAGAGGAATGTTAGCAGGCTAGCACAAACAAGCTATTGGGTAAAGAGCTAAGAGAACTGGTACAGATTCACAACCCTTCAGCTCTCTGCCAAAATTTCAAATCCTGTCTTTCATTTATTTTGAAGATATTATGTGTAGATTTTAAAATTATGTATCTGTTAATGCTTTAAGAGTCCTTTTGAGTGCATTTTCATTGTCTGTAATTCTTCTTAGTTTTCATTCAAGCTGAATTATTTCTATGAGTATAGTTATTTTTATTAAATACCAGACATTGTATATGAACAATTATTTTTAATTGATTTCTCAACAAAACAACCGGCAAATCAAACCTGGAAACATAGGAAAAAATAATATATCAGGACCGAGTGGAATGTATCCCATACATTGCCAAGTAGGTTCAATGTTTTAAAATAATCAATATATTTTACTATATCAACAGGCTAAAAAAAAACTATATAATCTCAACAGAGGCATAAAAAGCATTTGACAAAATTGAATATGTTAATGATATTTAAAAAATATTTTCTCAGTCAAATATGAATTGAAGAAAACTTCTTCAACTAAAAATACATTGATTTTAAAAACATGCAGCTAACATTATACTTAAGGGCAAAATACTGAATGCTTTCCCCTTAAGATTAGTACTAGGGCAAAAAAGGCCAATGTTTTCACTTCTGTTCAATGCAGGTACTAGCTACTGCAATAAGTAAGAAAAAGAAATAAAAGGCATCTGGATTGGAAAGGAAGAAATACAACAGCCTCCATTCACAAATAACATGACAGTCTGCATTAAAAATCCTAAGGAATGTATAAAACAGCTCCTAGAACTGGTGGGTAAGTTTCAAAAGATCACTGGGGACAAAGTCAATATATAAAAATCAATTATTTTCAATATACTAGCAATGAAAAATTAGAAACAAATTAAATAAAACAGTGCCTTTTACAGTAGCATCAAAATATGAAATACTTTGTGAGAAATCTAACAAAATATACGTAAGATTTGGCTGTTATGAACTACAGAACAATTTTCATAGATTAGAAAAATCAATATTGTTAAGTAGCTAATTCTCTCCAAAAATGTTCTATAGATTTGATGTAATCCCAGTTAAAATGCCAATGCACTTTTTCATAAGAAAATCAATCAAAAAGCTAATTATAAAGCTTGAATGGAAAAAGCAAAGAAAGAATAACACTCCCCACCAAAAAATGGAAAAAATCAAAGTGGGTGAACTAATAGTACCCAACCTACTGAAACTCTACAGCAATTAAGACAGTGAGACAAAGTGAAAAGACAAAGAAAAAGATCAATGGAACAGACTAAACAAACAGTCCAGAAATAGACCCACACATATATGGTCAATGGACTTGCAACAAAGGTTCCAGGCAATTCAATAAATAAATTAGTATTTTCAGTAGGTGTTATTGGAATAATTGGACAGCTGTATGCAAATAAAACCTCAACCCATATATCACATCATGAATGAAAATTAACTGGAAGGATCACAGACTTAAAACTGTAACATTTTGAGGGGGAAAGCATAAGAAAAAACCTTAGTGGCCTTGGGTTAGGTGAAGATTTCTTAGAGCAATAAAAAGCAGAAACCATAGGAAAGTGATAAATAGGACTTCATCAAGATTAAATATTTTACTCTTTCAAAGGCTTTGAAAAGACAATGAAAAGACAAGCCATAGACTAAGACAAAATATTTTCAGAGCCTATATCTGATAAAAAAAAAAAAAAAAAACTTGTTTCAGAATATATAAAGAACTCTCACAACCAAATAGGGAAACAAACAAGCAAAACATTAAAATTATGGGCAAAAGATTTGAACACCTAAGAAGACAAACTGACAGAAAATAAGTAAATGAAAAGAAATTCAACATCATTAGTCATGAGAGAATTGAAAATTAAAACTGCAAAGAGATACCACTGCATATTTAGAATAGCTGTTTTTCTGTTTTTGTAAAGAAAAAAAAAAATCTGACCACACCAACTGCTAGCCAGTATGCAAAGCCACCAGAACTCTCATATATTATTGGTAGGAAGGCAAAATGATATACTACCACTTTGGAAAAACAGTAAACAGTTTAAATTTAAACTGTAATATGCTTCAATAATCCCACTCCTAGGAATTTACCCAGGAGAAATAAAAGTATGTGTTCACACAAAAACCTGTACAAAAACAAATTTATCAGCTTTGTTTAAAAATACCAAAAACTGGAAAGCATTTAAATATCCACAAGCTAATGAATAATAAACTGTTGTACATCCATACAATGGAATATTACTTAGTGACAAAGTAGAACAAATGATTGCTTTGTGCAAACACAGACATGAATTTCAAATGTACAATATTAAGTGAAAATACACAGATTCAAAAGGCAACAACTGCAGGATTTCATTAATACAACTTCCTAGAAAGGACAAAACCATAGTGACAAAAATTAAATCAGTAATTGCCATGGACAAGGTGTGGAGGAAGCAGATTGATCACAAAGGGACATGAGGGAACTTTGGGAGATGACAGACGTGTTCCATATCTTTATCATAGTGGCAGTTAAATTAGTGTATGCATTTGTCAAAATTTATAGAACTGTCCAATAAAAAGGGGGAATTTAACTGAATGTAAATTGTACCTCAATAAGCTTCATTTGAAAAAAATCAATCATTTAAGGACAAATGTAATTTTTTACATTTGTTTTTAGCACACAACTAGTGGCATTAGCAATCTGGAATCACTGCCGTCACTAAAATTGGATCAAAGTGACTGGAGGCTGGTGTAAGTCCCTGCGACAGCTGGGCTCCAACTACATCAGCCTTACCACACTAGGGGATGGAGGAGGGCCTTCAGAGTTCTAGCACAAAGTGTGTGGGTATCCTAACCCTTCATGATCCCTGGACTTCAATTTTTGTCCCTATCATTTTGCAAGTCAGTCACAGTTCTGCTTAGCTTCTTAGCTTCTCACTTGACTTTTAGAATTGGCAGCTGCTATTGGGAGAAACTGTCTCCAAGCACTGGGCTCACTTATCTGGGTTTCTTGTTTTTTCATTGATCTTATTCCTAAAATTCTTCACAGTTTTGTTAGCTATTAGATATCTTCAAGTAAAGATAATTATTTTAAAATGTCCAGTTTGTACATTCTCTTTTAATTATTTTTCTGCTTTTTTTCTACCCTCATCTCTACTCCAATAGTCAGTCTCCTTGTGAGAGCTAATTTACCTATTCTATCATCATGCAGCAGAGCTCTGCCTTTCTGATGTTTATTTTCCAAGGGTACTTTTTTTCTAATCAATAGAAAAGTGGATGTCCAGGGCAAGAGTTTTTGGGAGGTTTTGTTTGTTTGTTGTAATTTTTAATCCAGTAACAGCCATTCATTTACGTTCCACCGAAGAAAGCTTAGTCTTGACCATGTATCTATAAGGGAGTTTGAGTAATGCAGTTACATATGCCCAGCCTAGGAAGAATGAGACACCAACTGCCTTTGTCACATGAAGCTCCCAAACAATATGCTCAATTAATATTTCTGTTCTTGTAGTTCATGGACTCAGAGGTCTGCTCTTCATCTGAATCCTTAAGATGACAAATATTTTTTCTTGTTTTGCTGTATTTTTTTTCATTATTATTATTATTATACTTTAAGTTCTAGGGTACATGTACACAACGTGCAGGTTTTGTTACATATGTATACATGTGCCATGTTGGTGTGTTGCACCCCTTAACTCATCATTTACATTAGGTATATCTCCTAATGCTATCCCTCCCCCGTCCCCCCACCTCACAACAAGGGGGTGATGTCCCACTTCCTGTGTCCAAGTGTTCTCATTGTTCAATTACCAGCTATGAGTGAGAACATGCAATGTTTGGTTTTTTGTCCTTGCAATAGTTTGCTGAGAATGATGGTTTCCAGCTTCATCCATGTCCCTGCAAAGGACATGAACTCATCCTTTTTTATGGCTGCATAGTATTCCATGGTGTATATGTGCTACATTTTCTTAATCCAGTCTATCATTGTTGGACATTTGGGTTGGTTCCAGGTCTTTGTTATTGTGAATAGTGCCACAATAAACATACATGTGCATGTGTCTTTATAGCAGCATGATTTATAATCCTTTGGGTATATACCCAGTAATGGGATGGCTGGTCAAATGGTATTTCTAGCTCTAGATCCCTGGGGAATCGCCACACTGTCTTCCACAATAGTTGAACCGGTTTACAGTCCCACCAACAGTGTCAAAGTGTTCCTATTTCTCCACATCCTCTCCAGCACCTGTTGTTTCCTGACTTTTTAATGATCGCCATTCTAACTGGTGTGAGATGGTATCTCATTGTGGTTTTGATTTGCATGTCTCTGATGATTACTTCACGATTAATTTTAATAATGTGTCTTACAATAAAGAAATATCTATCTGGGCTTACCCTTTGGACATCTTCATGGCTTCTGGCCTATTCATCCTCCTCCTACAGAGAAGATCATGTTTAACTCCTAATCCAATTCCCAGGGTTTATCAAATTTTGTCTACTGCCATCCTGCTGGCCTGAGGTGAATTCTTTGCTTGGTCCTGACCCTGCATTTGCTTTGCGTTTTAATTCTTGAATGTTCAACACCACCTCCCAAAGCAACCCACTGACTCTCTGCTTGGATTTCTGCGAGTTTTAGTGGACAATCTCTTTCTGTTCACAGACAGAAATCACAGATGTTGTGAAAGGAAGGAGGAGACAGTATTGTGCTGCTTTGGAATGAAACTCCCTCAGTCCTGAGAACAGCTGCCTAACTGGCTTTAGTAAGGACAATTTACTGAACCAGGGGTAAAGCAGTAGGGAAGAAGCAAAGGTTTTCAAACCATTTTGGAGTGGACTGATCTCCACAGTTTCTAATTATATGGAACCTGGAAGTCATTTTTAGTTTTTGTCGTTTTAATTCTAAGATAATTGAAAGCTCCTTCATTGTTATTATTAGTTAACTTCGAGTCTAGTTTTGGTGCAACACGAGAATTCAACTTTTCTGAGTTTTTAAGTAATATTTTAGTGGTAAAATTGGGATAATGACTATTTTCTTCACTCTGTTTTAAATCAGAATATTTTTATGTTTGGCCATATTTTACATGTTTTTTTTTTCATCACTTAATTTTGAATTATCTTTTGAAATTTTTTTCCAACTCTTCAACTTTCTCTATCCAGTTTAAGATCACTATATTTAATACTCCCTAATGTCTATAGTACTTGGATAAGCAAGATAAATAAAATCAAGGGCATAGCATTGGAATGTGAATTGCATTATGCATTGAGAATGATTCAGGATCTGACAAGCCAGATGAATACTAAAGCAGCAACAGAAATACTTTCCACTGGTATGTTCACAAATTCAGAAGACCACATCACATGCACCGAAGGCCACATTTTATGCCAGTCTGTTAAACTCTAAATGCAAGCTTTTAACATAAAAATGAAACAGGGAGTTACATGACTATGTAACCATATAATTTCTTCTTTTGTGTGGGTGCTTTTGTTTTTGTTTTGCGTTTAACCCAGTGAGTTATTACTAGTTTAATACCTTCTGTTGGGATAAAAGAAACAAAAAGGAGAAAGGACAGGTTAGCCTCTTAACACAGTCCCCAAAAAAGGACAAAAATGGAGCATCTTTCATCTTTCATGGTTATTATTTGTGAGACTATAATTAGATCCTCCAGAATAATCATTATAATTCATATACTACATATAAGTCACTCACTCTTTTATGACATAAAACATAATGGTCCTTTCTATATCTATGTAAATAAACCTCCCCCACCCTGTATCTTTAAGAATCAGTGTGACATAGCTCCAAAATTAGATACTCCATTAAATTGATGAGTAAATAAATTATAAAGATCAGCAATCCTTTCTAATTTATATGCTACTTAAAGGTGTTATAATGCAAAACTTGCTTGTAACATTTCCAGGCATTCCACTCATCTAAATTAAATACAATGCACATATTTGATGGATAGATTTGCTATTTATATTTATATATCAATGACTGCTTCCTTTACAAATGGCTAAACCACCCTCAAGTAAAGCAAACACAGAAAATGCATGATTATTCCACATTTTCAGCGAACCTATGGATGCATTTGATTTTATACACATTGGCAGAGTGCAGCCCTTATGTCTTGGAATAGGAAATTCACAAGCCGCCAAAGAGGAAGAGACAGCTCTCATTTTTTGTCTTTAAATACACTCTGTGTCTTTTCTTTGCGATTCATCCAGGCTTTTGCTTCTTATTTGTATTTTGTTTGTTCCTCTGTGAGTTGGAGGTTTTGTTTTTGTTTTCAATACTAAAGGGATGTCCATAAAAGGTCATATTACCATTGAAAATACTTAAGCTCTGTTTTTCCCCTTTCAGAACAATATATCACTTCATTTGCCTAAATTCACTCAGCTTTTGTGGGTTTTCACATGTGTTACTTGAGAATGTTGGCAGATCTGGAATTTTATGAGGAGAACTGCCCTAGAGGTTGCTTTTTTTCAAATCTTATGGAGAAGTTTCTCTCCACAGCTCTCCAGGCTCAGGTCACAAGCTTTCTTTGCAGCATGTCAGGAGGCAATTAGAGCATTTGTTCAGGCTGGAATGCCCTCTTCTCTCAGAGGCTGCTCTTACTGAATTTGTTGGGCTTTTAATGTAATGTTGAAATCTGTTCCTGCTTGACTCCTACAGCTGGTTTTGATCAGGCTCCTCTAAAGAGGAAGTTTCAATTAGCACAGCTCCAAATGTGCTCGGGAGGTATATTTTATGACTACTCAACTAACAGCACTCTTTGTTCCTAGTGGTGTGTGACTCCTTAACAAACACAGCCATTCGTGTGAGTCACGGAGTGACTTTATAGCAAGGCTAGGCTTTGCCAAAACCAGAAGAATGAGACAGCCAAATTGAATTAGTGGTTGAAACACATTAATTTATGCTAGATAAATGTTATTGTGGTCCCGTGGGCAAGTACTCAGGTCATAGGCTTTATGAACTATTTGCAGCAAGAGGGCTTGGTGGCAGTAAATCAGCTCTAGAGCAGGACTTTGCAGAGGACTTACAGCCACTTACTCTCCTGTTTCCTTAAATTGCCTCTGCCATTTTCCCCTCCTTCCACTGAGATAGCTCACCATTTCGTACACAGTTTGTGATATTTAACATATAAGCAGTTGGATTAATGATTTGTGTAGGCTTCGCTTGACTCTGGTTGAGATGTGGCCATCTATTATGCCTGTGGCCCTCGCCACAGGCAGCTGTGTGTTTATCATTCCAGACTACAGATCTCAGTGGGTACAGAGCTCTGGCTCAGCACCAGCTTTCGGAGTCCGTGCAGCTGTGCCGTAAATGGAAACCTTGATGCCTCAAACACAGCACACACAACCAAGTCCTGACAAGGCTGTTTCTCTTCTGGGAAGGAATTAGATCCACTTAAGGCTGGATTATTTCTAGAGTAAGAAAAGTAGAAATAAGTGTTTTCTGGCTGCAAATTGTGGCAAGTGAGAGATGATGCCAAGAAAGAATTATGCATAAATGATAGTGTTTAAACTTGTTTTTATGTGTTTAAATGTGTATCTGCCAAAAATCTGACAAGGCCTTCCTGTTGGCATTTTTTCAGAGAGAGACCACTCACACACCAAGCATTTTCTTAATAAAGAAATAATTGTAAATCACTAGCGTCTAGGCAGGTGATAACCAGTTGACCTTAAACATGATCTCTTGCAAAACCCGGGGAAAACAACGGGCTGGGTAAAGAGTGATGAATCACTGCCTCCCTCCCTCCAAACCACCAAAAATGCCAGAGCATCAGTCAAGTCCCTGGAAATTTAGTGCCATGAATAAGGGGCTAAGCTTCAGACTTACTTCTAGGTTTAAACACTCATGGAACCCTTCTTGGCTTGGCAATCTTGAGCAAATGGCTACTCTCTGTCTGTGTCCTCACATATGAAATGGAGATAGTGGTAATATCTACTTTTGCAGGGCTCTTTTTAAGATTAAAGAAGTTCATGAACGTAAGCCATTAACAAAGGGAATGAGGAACAAGGTTAGCCCTCAACAAACAATAGCTTGCGTTAATTATTGGTATTGCTGTTGTTACTGCTGTGGATCCAAAAGAAGGCCTTCTTTACCTTTTATTTTAATTCCCCAGTGGCTAGTGGAAGGAGCTGCTGGTGCAGTAGAGGTTACCTTTTCCTGGTATAATCTCTCCTTGTAGATGGAAGAATACCCAAGAGCCACTCACCATATTCTGTTCAGCCCGTTGACCTTGACCTGCCTAACCCTTTAGGCTTACACTGCTCTGATGTTTGCTTTTTATGTTTGAAGACAGCTGCTATGACATTTATCATAAATATTTAGCATACAGCAGAAAGGCTTGACACATGTCAGGTTCTCATCACATTTCTCCTGAATTCAATTTTGTGTTAATGAATGCCTATGTATGTGCTTAAAGCTCTATGTTTAGACTTTGGGATAAAACTTCCCCCAAATTCAGCACAATTTCCTAAGATTAGATAAATGATATCTTTTCCAGATTTAGAAAAAAAATGCTGTGTACCCTTTAATCCTGGAAAAACAAAAAGGAAAATAAATACAATCTAGCCTCGGGCCCTTTAAGTTTTCTGAATTAGTTGAATCCTACGTATGTTGCTCCAGCTCAGTTCTCAACTAAAACCCATTAAACTGTTCGGATTTAATGTATCTGTTGCTATGCATTCATTACCTGGTTACTTGGTTGATTTAAATTTTTAAAAAACACACAAATTTAGTCAAAACTTTTTAATCCATCTATGTGTATAAGCACATTAAAATATGTTTTTGTTCTGCTTCCCATTTTAAATTAGAGTTCCTTAAGAGCAGGTCCTGTGTCTTCTCAAACTCCAAAAAGTGTCTATAGCACCTTTTACAACATGTACCTACTGAATGTTAAATACAAAATGATATATGTGGCTTAATTTCCCATGGTCAATTTTACCTTCTAAGTCTCAAGCAGAATTTCTTATCCCATGGATTTTTTACTGAGTTACTAAGAAAAAATAAGTATAAAGAATGTCTCGTCTTCAATATTAAAAGCTCCACGAGAGCAAGGACTCTGTCTCCTTAGTTCTTCCTCCCTAGTTCATCCGAGTGCCTAAAATAGTCCTCTGGCACACATGCCCTGAAATATTTGTTGAAATAATTATTTTATTTTATTTATTTTTATTTATTTATTTATTTAGTTTGAGACGGAGTCTCCCGCCTGTCACCCAGGCTGGAGTGCAGTGGCATGATCTTGGCTCACTGCAACCTCTGCTTCCCAGGTTCAAGCGATTCTCCTGCCTCAGCCTCCCAAGTAGCTGGGACTACAGGTGTGTGCCAGCACGCCCAGCTAATTTTTGTATTTTTAGTAGAGACGAGGTTTCACGATATTAGCCAGGCTGGTCTCAAACTCCTGACCTTGTGATCTGCCCACCTCAGCTTCCCAAAGTGCTAGGATTACTGGCGTGAGCCACCGCACCTGGCCGAAATAATGGTTGAGTTAACAAAAAGTGGCTGAACAATAAATTAACTCTTATTTCTTCTTTGTGTTTTTTACTTCCTTCAAGTCACGTTTTCTGCTTATTTTTTTTCTCTACTTATTAACCTTGTAGTTTTTATTACTGAAATTACCTTCTCAAGGATCAATTTTCATGGAAAAAAGTAGAACTGATAGTATTAAAACAGTTTTATAGTAAACAAATGGTGAAATTTGCTTAACAAGTTGTCTTATGCCAAGGCTACTGGTTTTTAAACCACCACCAATAAATGTGTTTTTCTCTGGCACTTTCTGAGTAGCTCAAAATGCTAAGACGAATCCCTGGTATATTAACAGACTGGAGTCAAGTGTGTGACATGATGAAGAGCATCTGTCTCGGGCCAGGAGTCATGGGGGTTCATAAGCTTTCCATGAAGATGGCTCATCAATAAAAGTTCTATGCTTAGGATTTTGTACATTTTGTTAATTAGGGCAAAGCAATAGGCCTTTGTGGCAATTACTCAGACAGTGATGTAAAAAGATAGCCTGACAAACAAACCTCCATAATCCACTTACATCTCACAGAAGCCAAAGGGTTGGAAAAGCCTATTAGCAAGCTCTCTGCCTGTCTGTTTGGAGATGTTGTTAAATGGAGAGTCTGCTCAGCACCTGAGGCAGTCTGTTAATAAAGATCGTTTGTAGCAGATTTCTGTTCTATTAAGAATGGACGTAAAACAGCATAATTTAAAACATGTCAATAACTCAAGGCAAAAATGCCAAACATAGTCTGTTCTGTCTTTATAAAATGGAGCCAAGTATACACAAGGAAGCTGCCAGGAAGGCTTCTGTTGACTGCGTTTTGAGATTGTTCATGATGAATAATGTGATCCTTCAAGTTAAAACAACCTCGTGAATGGGTATCTCTGTGTCTTTTCTGCAGTAAACTCAAGGGATCTTTTCTATTTACGGGCCAATGAGATTTCTAACCTCCAGTCCTAGAAGATGCCTTCAAGCCTGTGCCCTTTGTCAGCTTCATGAATTCACAATAGTTTGTGAGTGTTTCATTGTTGTTGTTGTTTTCTCTTATTCTTTCTGTCCTTCTCCTGAGTGGCATTTATGGGCTTTTTGGGAACAGATCTTTATAGACATAAGGCTAGAGTTAGGATGTCTTGGGAAGATTCACTAAAAAATGTAAAACCACCAACACAGTGCCACCCTTTGTTTCACGTATTTGATCAAATAAGCTAGTCTGTTTTCAATGACCGTGCTGTATTTTTAACAAAAAAACAACGACCAAAAAGTCAATATTCCTATAGTGTTTATCTGGCACTTACCATATTATGAGGGCAAAGGCAGATGGATAGCGTTCTAAATGAGTACTTCAGGAGGATGAGAGGAGGGCTTGGAGGAATGACAGTCCATCACTGCAGATGTGTACTAAACCCTGCCATGTTTAACAGGCCTGTAGATTAAAATTTAACATGCTGCGTCTCCCACATCAGGTTAGGTGGATGGTTGAGCCGGAGTGATATTATCGGCTCTATTAGAAGGCCTCTCATGAACCGAGTGGTGGTTTTAATTAAATCCAGTAGGTTGAGAGAAGTGGTTTGGCAGTTTCAATTGATTTATTGTGTTTATGACATCTGGGCCTGATTTATTGTATTATTAACACACAGAATTGTTTTTGGACACTCACCCTACATATTTTCATTCTGGTTTGGGGGACTCATAGCCTATAAGTATGTAGCATTTTCATTCTACTATGATTTTAGTTTTCTGTTTGTCTCTTTTTGTTTTTCTTATATTGGTAGGGTGGTGAACTGTTGAATTCGTTTTGTAGAGTCTCTGTGGGTTTGTGTGCCTGAACAGGTCTGCTTGAACAGTAGTACTGGGTTGGAGTTGATTATCATTATCTGACCTAAGTTCATGGAGCGACAAAGTGAGAGAGATTGACAGTTTTTTAATGTAGTTTATGAATTGCCAAACTATTTGCTCCATGTTATGGTTTTCTAAATTTTTTAAGTTTGGGCCTTGGATATAAATATGAATACCATGTCATAGAACGTTTGTTTCCAATTATCTGAAAGTGGTGAGCATATTCAGCTGGACGTTATAGACAAGTGTTGCCCAGTCCAAATTTTATAGCAGTCAAGTACATTTTAGAAAGTATCCACTTCAAACTCCACAAAGCATGTGTAAAAAGAGAGAAAAGGGAAGAATTAAGCTACAATTTCTGCCATACAGGAAGGGCAGAGAAGTAAGCAGGTCCCAATCAACCTACATGTCTTGTTAATCTATGACTGAGTGGTTGCCCATTCCAGTTATAGATGCTATGATAACTCATCGGGCTCCCAGCTTCCTGGCTTTCTATTCCCTGCAGCTGGGGCCACCTAGCCCCTACCTGAATCCCCAGCCAGGGTTCTGGACCAGATCAGGATGAATTTAAGAATGGCTAGGTAAATATCTTAGGCAAATCAACTTCAAGTCAGCCTGTGGTTTAGCTCACTTTGACCTTCTGCCTTAGTATTAGAATTTAGATTTTGCCATTGTTCTTGGTAGTCAGCCTCTACGTGGTATTTAATCCACTAAGAAATGACTTCCTACTTTTTATTATTGCAGCCATTTCTCTATCTCAGTAAACTATCTTGTTAGTCTTAGATTTCTTTCCTAAATACCCACAGTACTGCTTTGAACTCAAGTTTGGGACATATAACACAACTACTTGTCTATCTGGGTATCTGCCTATTACCTGTGGCCAGAATCCACTGATGACCACCTCCTGTGCAGATGTGTGCCTATGAATTACATGTTGGTCTACCATCCAATGCAGTCTGCCCCATTAAACTAGGCTTACTCTGCTATGTAAGTGTTTATACATCCTAATACACAGAAATATCAACATTCTTCTCTTTGAAACAATGATTTTGCCCTCATTTCCCTTTGTGGCATTATCAGATTAAATAGGGAATGATTTCTCATCACCATGCTACATAACTATTTAGGGTTAATTTTAAAACTTTATTCTCTGTAGTACTCAAATTGCTTTGGAAAACTATGAACTTGTTTGATTTTGGGGGGTCTGTTAAATGGAATCCTCCCAATTGGGTGAGATGGGATATGTGAAAGGAAGCTTAATCATAAAAGGCACTTACGGAATCCCTACCTGTATTTAACATAGACATGAAACTTAGCTGAGCATAAAATCTGCTTGGAAAACCTCATTCATGTTGAACTTAAGTAGGAAATCATACCAAATTACTTTTCTAAAAACAGCTTTACTGAGATATAACTTACATATCATTAAATCCAATCATTTTAAGTATACAACTCGATGGCTTTTTAGTACATTTTTACAAAATTGAGCAAATCTTACCAGAGTCCAAGTTCAAAACGTTTTCTCACCCCCAAAATAGCCTCATCTCAAAGAGATCATTAGTTATGGTTTTAGATGGTGAATTACCTTCAATTAGGGTAATCATGTAATATATTCTGTATATAAGTTAGAGAAAAAATATAAAGAATGTTTTATGTTTGAATTGCATATTGAGTGCTCACATGGGTGGCCAATTTAGATGAGCTGATTGACCTGATCCCTCTTGGGATCCCAGGGGGGTCAGACTCTGCAAGGCAACATACCCTTCATACAGAAAAGTATTTTGAAACCATTTTGAAAATAACTTATTTTAAAGTAGAATAAATCTATGTGTGAGTAAAAGTATGTCATATATTATATTAAACAGAACTGTGACTTCTGTGCCAAGTTCAGATGATGAACACTTCCTCATTATAGAATGTCATCAATCTGGTTTAACTGTGCTATAGACTGCCAACTCCTGTACCTGTAAGGTAAACATTCAAGATTTCTGGAGCTGCATTTCCCCAACCCTGTGAGTGGTGTGCAAATAGGCATTACTACTTAAACTCCGCCTCCTGTCAGATCAGTGGTGGCATTAGATTCTCATAGGAGCACAAACCCTATTGTGAGCTGCGCGTGTGAAGGATCTAGGTTGTGCGCTCTTTATGGGAATCTAATGCCTGGTGATCTGAGGTGCAACAGTTTCTTGTGGAAACCATACCCCACTCCAGTCCATGGGAAAAAAAAATGTCTTTCACGAAACTGGTCCCTGCTGCCAAAAAGGTTGGGGACTGCTGTCCTAATAGACTGCAAAGAGCTGGCCTTCAAAATATAGCAGAAAGAGAAGCTGGGGCCAGGTGCGGTAGCTCATGCCTGTAAGCCCAACACTTTGGGAGGCCAAGGTGGGTGGATCACCTGAGGTCAGGAGTTCAAGACCTGCCTGGCCAACATGGTGAAACCTCGTTTCTACTAAAAATACAAACATTAGCCGGGCATGGTGGCAGGCACCTGTAATCCCAGCTACTCAGGAGGCCGAGGCAAGAGAATTGCTTGAACCCGGGAGGCGAAGGTTGCAGTGAGCCAAGATCACACCATTGCACTCCAGCCTGGGGGACAAGAGCAAGACTTCGTCTCAAAAAAAAAAAAAAAAAAAATGACACCAAAGAAATAGCAGTGATAACAGTGATCAGGAGAAGGAGTTTGGTTTGGCAGACTCTGTAATCTAGTTTACAAGGGTTTTTCAAGCATTTTTCTTTGTATGAACAAGACTGTATTGGACCATAGAGAGAAATGTGTAGTTAGATGTTTATGTTGAAGGGTTTACAATCTAGCCGAAGAAAAAAAGTGTGCTTCCTTGAACAAGTTTGAGAGTCAATTCTTACTTCAGGCAGTTCTTTCCTTTTAAAAAACCTGTGGTAGTAATTGTATATAAACAATATTTAATAAGATGGACATTTGGTGATGTCTGATAAGTGTGGTATGAAAAAAAGCTACCCAGCTCAACTACCTCTTTCCTTTCTGCTTCACCTCCCACGGAAATCCTCCATTGCCTGGAGGGAGACAGAAAGTTTTTCATTATTGAGTTGATCAGATAAGTACCAATACCCTTATTTTTACTGGGTTAATACTGGCTTTTCAGAAGAAGAGAAAAGAAGAAATGGAGGAGCTCAATGAGGGTGACAACTGAATGCCCCTGAAACAATTCTCAATTTTTCCTAAAAAAATGCTCATCTTTTTACTCAGGTATATACATTTTCTAAGGAAAAGACCATGTTTTTGCAGTCTTGATAAAATTCCATCACCTTATGTTTTAAATGCATGCTTATTTCTACAGCTAGTCAAGACAAATTAGCAGCATATCCCCTCTCCATTCTCTTTGTATTAGTCATTGGTTGGTTATGTGCTGACATCCCAGTACATTACTATCACAGAAATTGGTTTTCCTCCTATCTTATCCAAACACTAAAACATTTGTTTTAAAAATGACAAATAATATCTATAGAGCTGCAGATGTAAGGGTCATATACTATAGGGGACATGATTTATCTACAGTTTTTGGCCTTGTGGACCATGATATTTTATATGCAAAATCTGAGTGATGAGGTCTGTACAATCTCAAATTTTATCTCCGTGGGAGTAAAAGTATGGCTCTTTTAGGTGGAGTACCTGCCTAAATTCTTATTAGTGATGTAAGTGGGCAAGAGCCTGTCTTATCTTGAGTTTTGTTTCCACATGTCATCTCAGGTTCAGCAGGCAAATATTTTGAGGAGGGTATGCTCTTAATGAAAGTCCTCGATAGACTTTTTCCTTTGATGAAGTATGCCTGCCGCCACCACCTGCCCACACTTTATTGTTCCAGTTTTCTCTCTTCAGCTGAAATCCAAAATACTTTTGAATGGTGCATCAGTAATGGAAGAAATAACTGACGCAAATTTACTTTATCCATTTTTTAGCACATTCCAATGTAATGATCTTGTTTTAAATTAAAGAGGAAAAATAAGTATCAGGGCAATTGAGAAGGAATTTAAACTTAGACATGGTTCAAGTATATTTACAATTTAACTATTATGCAACTGTCACTTCATTTCAGGTTGTTTTTTTCCTTAAGACTTTCGTTTAACTTGCAAAGGATAATAAATCTTAATTCAAAAACTTGTCAAGAAATATGTCAAATTTTTTGGGGGGATGGGGATATCTTTTCAACCCACTGACCCCATCCATGATAGTATAATGAGATTGCTGCTCCTAAAAGCTTGTTCCTAAACAGAATTTAACTGACTTGTTCATAACTAGAGTTATTCCAGTTTGGTTTTAGATAAATTTATTATGTACGTTCTTGGACAACACTTGACCAGGCAGGTTAGGGAATAACTAACTGCTTGAGAATAGAAATTACAAGATGCTAGGAAGAGAAAATTCCTTTCAGAGAGGTAATTTTTATAAACTTTTTCACCCTGGAGGTATTTGGTTTTTTAACCCTTCCAACCACTTTCTTCCAGGTCATTATTTTACTTCTAGTTTTGTTGTTTTCCCTTCTAATTGTTATTGTATTCAATTGCCATTATTCTAATAATTCTTGTAAAAATTCACCATTCTACTTACTTTCTGCTTGTTTTTTCTAGTCTGTTGAAGAAAGTTATTCATCATAAGAAGACTAGGTGCTCCTTAACTGGCCTTCTGAGTGTCTTTACTGGTGGTTGAAATCTTTTATTCTTTCAGCCTGACATGTACCTTTCTTGCTTTATGTTTAAATCTTCCCTATAGCAATCTGCCAAGTAGGTTTCCCCGGCATGTGGCAAGAATCGGAACCCAATCATTTCTGAGATCACTCTCTATTTATAGACAGGAAGGATTGCTAGGAAGTTCTTTCTTGGGATGCAGTATAATATGTGCCCTGTATCTTCTGTCAACAGATCCTACTGCTGTGCTGAGAATCATACAGAACATAAGCTTCAAACTCAGTCATCAGCCCATTATTGAGAAGACTTGTGCTAGAGCCAGACTTCCTTTCCAGCTCAAATGCCTCTTTTCACCTTATCTAGTTTCCTAAAATCTAAAGATGATCTCATCTTTAGATGAGATCTAAAGATGCACTTATTTTGTTCTTCTCACCTTTGATGATCTAACCCTCCTCCTTGATCCTTGATCTCATCTTTATCCCAATTAGTAAAGGAACTTGACCCAAATATTACCTGTTTTCTCACTTGAATCCCTAATTGCTTTCTTTCTACTGACCATACCTCTTTCTTTATGAATTTGTTCAGATCTACCTTGCACCACATAAAATGAAATAGATAAAGTCTCCCCTTAGTCTTGCTACCTCCAAATAACCACTCAGTTTTGTGCCATCCTTTTTATGTCAAACTACTTTACTAGATTTGCATGATTGATCTATATTTTACATTAATTTTTATAAGGTGCAGATATGCTATTTAGTACACTGTGTTATGAATTTGAAATAAACCTTACAGTTGACAGTTCTCCAAAAATAAGCAATGGTTAAGTTTGATAAGAACTAGTTCATCAGATTAAAACCAGATTAAAAGTTAATTCTGTCTAATGCATGAATATATTTAACTAATCTCTTGCATTTAAGAATAATCCTCTGAGAAAATTTTTGTCTTCATTTGACATTTAAATAACACATAACACATGATAATGTCACACATAAATAACATATTCCCAAATTCAACTATGCAAAATGGGTTGGTAAATTAATATATTTTTGTGATGAGTAGAATATATTGATGTACTATAAGTTAAAAGAAAATCTCAAATACTACAGACTTATTGTGAGCATATCTCAATACACATGTGGAAGAGTGAAGTATCGTATTTTCTTCATGCACTTATCTTGTTCTTCTTCTCACCTTTGATGGAATGTTCTTCAGTACAGCCCAGTAAAGAGACAGAGACTTTGTCATCATCAAAGCATCAAGATTTTCTACTAAAATATTTAATCATCAAAATTAGTTTAAAAAAGGTTCTTCACATGTGTATATGTTATTCTAAATAATCTTAAAAATCTAAATCACTTCAAGAAATATTGTAAAAAGCAACTTCCGCTTCCTGATAAAGCAGGAAATGAAGAAGAGAGCAGAGGAGTTAGAAAAGACCTGGATAAATTCAAGCAGGAACCCCTCTCCAAATAGAAGTCCCACGGAACACAAATTTGTGAAACAATGAATAAAGTAAATTATTTATAATATAAAATAATTATTTATTATAAAGAATTTCTAGTAGAGTTCTCTTGAATAAAGAAGCTCCCTGATGCATTGAAAATTAATTCTCTGATTATTTAATTCTTGCTATTTCCAATTACTAAAATGAGCTACACCTGTCAAAATAGGGATGCATTATATAATGTATACAAATAAAGTTCATTTGTATATGTGCATGCTAAAATTTTATGACATGCTCCAAATTCTAACATTCTCATATTTTAATAGATTTCTGTAACTCACAGCAATATTTTAGAGTTCCTTAAATTCTGAACACTATATAAAATCAAATTGGATTAAATCAGTTTTCCTTCATAGAAGAGAACATTACTTAAACCTTTCTGATTTGTGACTTATGATTGTACTCTGTTAAATGTGATTCAAAGGTCAAGTCTAACTTAAAGCCATGGAACACAGCACAAATTCATTACTCCATTTTAATTCGTGTAGCGACACAGCTAAGATCTCATGAATGCTTGTACCTCTGACCCAGAACTGTGAAGGAAATCTATCTTTCTGATGATGCCAGATTATGCAGGCCTCCATCTATGATACTGCATAGGCCTTCAAGGAAATAAAAGCTCATAATATTCATCAAGACATCTATGAAAATACAATATTGCTGTCCTATAATGCAAACGCAGAACACACAAAAAGTACCATGGATTTCTCATAATGAAGCCATTAATATATACCTTTAACTCCATGAACTACGTAGTTTCCAAAATCAAACTAGAAAAGTAGCCATCAAACAGGATTCATAACATCATTACATAACTGTATAAAGTTTCTCAACTCAAGAGATTTTGGAGTTAATTCAGTGCAGCCCCTTATGTTACAATTAAAGTGACTGAAAACCAGAAAACTGAAATTACTTGAGATTACACAGATTGTTAGAAGCAAAGCCAGAACAAGAGCTCAGGACACCTGACTTCAGCCTGTCCACTATAGCAATAGTCAGTTGCTAAAATAATTTTATACTCTTAAGATGTTTTTAGGTATGAAAGATCAATTACACTGTGGAAAGTCAACAGGAGCTATTATCAGCCCCAAAGGAGTGAACATTAGTTTCTGGGGGCCAAAATGATCTTAATTATTAAATATTACAATGGCTTGGGCTTCCAAAGGACCACAGTATATAATCAGTTATATGGTATATGTGTGGCATCAAAGTTTCTGAGGCAGGGCCAGGGTGACAGGAGAAGGCAGGATTAGGAAGAGAATGTCTAGAAAAGCTCCCTAAGGGTGATGATTGATAATGAAAAAAAGGTGGAAAAACACTGCTTTGGACCAAGGTCCATAGTCAGGACCTTAGGGAGGTTAATAAAACAATGTCTGAATACAAGTGCTGGAGACTCAACCTCAATTTGTTTTTAGAATTAAGCCAGAAAGTTGGGATACAGAAGCATGCTTTATTCATCCAATTTTGGTGACCTGTGTTGAAGCATACTAACCCTTTTATAATATCAAAATCAGAATTTATGCAATTCATCTTTGTGTAAAAAGAGGACAAATAAATAAGAAAGAGGTTACACACTGTGTTTAGCAAGATACAGATAGGGTGCTTTGGGAATCCAGTGGGGGAAAAATGCGTAGCATAAAGGAAAACACACAAAGTTCTCAGGTTCTGAATCCTACTATGTCACTCATTAATATTTATTTGCAAGTTATTCTGAGGTTTGTCAAATCTCAATTTTCTCACCTCTAAATGTGGAATTACCTACTCTATATGGGGGATAAATTTTTCAAAATCGTGAGAGTAATAAATCTGATATATAATAAACATTAAATAAATTATAATTATTTAAATTATTATTATTATTACCTTCAGAAGCCATGAGAACTAGATTGGTTCTAGATTAATTTATTCAGTAGGCAGTTTGTTCTTGGAGACTTTCCTATCTCCTCTTTTGAAAAACTCTCCTTTTTCTCCTCACTTTCATTCTTTTTCCATTCTTGACACTCCCTACCTCTGTCTTTGGCCCCCTTGTTGTGACCTGTTTGCTGAATGGCATGCCCCCAAGTTCTGTCTGACTGAACTTTTATGACTCGGCGTAAGCATCATCCTTGCCTCGTATTTCTGCCCTCCCATCCTTAAAATGCTGGAGTAAGGTATTAATATCTCATGGCTGTGCGTCTCCTCCATAAGACCTCTAACTCTTTGAGGACAGAGATTCATTTATTTGACAAGTATTTATTGGGCATTTACTCTGCTCCAGGCACTGTTCTAACTAAGCTGTTCCCAGGCATTATTCTACAGCCATGAATAAAATGGAAACTTTCTGTCCTCATGGGATCTATATTCCAGTAGGGTAGAAAGACAGTAAGCAGGTGAATATAGAGGTGGTTAATGGTAAATGCTAATGAGAAAATAAAATAATAAAAAGAAATGTTAAGTATAAGAAGTAGTATCATTTTAGAAATGTAACCAATTGAAGTGCCATTTTTAAAAACTGGGATTTGAGAATAAGATCGGAAGGAGGTGAGGAGATGGGCCATGCAGATATGGCCTGAGAGTTGAGAGGTGCATTTTCATGGCCATGACAGGGCCAGACATGTAGGGCCACATAGATCATTTTTAGGATGTTGGATTTTATTCTGAGGGAAACAGAATCATGCCCTATGCTTCTTAATGCCACAAGTACTGGGCTCATTGCCTAAAACATATTAGGCTTTGAATAAATAATTGATAAATGAACCAATTCAGGCAGCATTACATGTGCATGCACACAATCAACTTAGATGATATACAAAGACTGGCTTTGCAATGTCCTGTTTAGGGAGGTACCAGGTGAGATAGACCTCAAAACAGAACCCATTGCAGACAATATCATTTAAAGAAATTATTATACTAAAGCACATGGCTTATACCTGTCAGCCCTGTGCCAATAGACAACAATTGCAGACCTGGTGAGGGAGTTGGGGAAAGGAATAGGCAGGAAGGATTAGGAGGAAACACAGGCATTTGGACAGTGACTAGAGTTGGTGTCAATAAATAAACAACGCAGGATGCTCAATTAGGTTTGAATTTCAGGTGAAAAATAAATAAAATTGTAGTCTAAGTATGTCACATATAACTGGGTGTTCTGTATTTTTATGTGGTAACCCTAACCCCAAAAGATACAAGTTAAATGGACCTCTGCATCAAAACTGAATTCTCAACATGGCCTGCCTGCTGTGAGCTCTAACCCAGCAGTCTGGTAGAGATGGCTCACGGGTTATGGGTAAAAATATTCAAACTTCTATGTACATTTATTTGTATTTCATTGTTCTGTATTTTTATTGCTGCATATATTTTATAATGTATATAACATAGGTATTATAGCATATATATGTATATAGTTTATGTATAATTTATTAGTAAACATTTATTAGAACTGAATAGTTAAACGTTACTGATAAAGGAGAGTAATTGAGAAAGTTGGAGGCTCCTATTCAATAGATAAGTAGCTTTGATACAAAGCTTTAACAAGTTTTATTCCTTTAACAACAACAACAAGATACTCAGAACAAGAAAATCTTTATTTGCTTGCTAAAAATGTCACTAAGCTATTTAGTTTGGGGAGTTTGTGAAATTGATCAGATGTGCTGAAATATACCTTCTCATTACAAAATAGCTGATAATTCACTAGGATAAATCACTGTGAGGTAGTCACATTCAAAAACTCATTTGATGCATTCTGCATCTTAAGGGGAAAAAATGTTTTTCTGGGCTTGATCCTTACACTTCACATGGTCAGTCATACTTTGTCGTTTGGTTCTGACAATTGCCTGTCCATCTTCAAATCTGAAAAGCAAAAGCAGAAAGAAAAGAAGCCACAAACCACCCCCACTGTGCAGAGTGGCAGCATTATAATCCCATGGAATCTAGAGACAGATGGTGGCTTATAGCAGACATCAATCTTCAATGAGAGTAAATTTAGGATAATGCCCCTCTTTGGTAATGGACATGTCTTTGCAAAGTTATTGCTGACAGCATCCTCTAACATGCTGATTTGCTAAGACAAGGTTTTTATTGCATCTAATCTTGTCGTAAGGCATGAAAAAAATGGTTGGGTACATGTTTTTCATGTATAGTTTTTACAAGAACTGCCTGCATTAGAGAGTGGCTAAATTGTTTTCCATATTTTATGGCACATTTCTAATGTTCCACCACACACAATATTGATCACTATGTCCATTAGCTTATTATGATATCCTGAAAGGAGACACTTCCTTTGGGAAAAGCCATTATTTGAAATAAGATGAAGGCTCAGACTACATAGGACAAAGTGGGATGGCATCTATTTAACAACTGCTTAATTTCATCAAGGGAAATAGTCAACCAAAAAAAAAATCATGTAAATATAAAGTATGTATTTTTTCAAATTGTCTGACCCATCCAAATCTGCTTTGTCTGTTGAGTGGCTTAGACATGTCCCAACAGCTCAAAATATCCCCAGTAAGGATGACAATAGTTTTTTGTTACAAAACCTTCTGCATTGTTATATATGTTGAACAATACTCATGGTGTTATCAGAGTTCTAATATGATCACAGGAAAAACTGGAGGGATTTTAACCTAGGAAGTTGTTAACGCAAGTTGACAAGAGCTGAAGAGACAGACAGACCTGTGGAGCACCCCAGAGATGGGCAAAAGCAAAAACTGCCTCTACCACCAAATGGTATTTCCAGAGCCACAGGCTTTCAGAAGGAGATAGTAGACCCCTTCTGAGGCTGTCTTTTGGGAGCCAGGACCATGGAGGGAAGAGTTTTCCAGTGGTCTCAGAACCAGAGGAGACCACTGTGGAGATACAGTCCCTGAAAGAGACACCACTGAAAGTGAAATAAGAACATACTGGATTCCTCTCTCTTTGTACCTTCCAGTTTTCGATAGTTCCTTCCTTTGGCAAGAAAGCCAGGTAAATGCAGTTCCCAGCAATGCAGTTCCCAGCAAAGCAGTGAATGCTGCTGGAAGCCAACAGATAAACAGATAATCTAAGCAAGATTAAAATAGCTTTCTTTCTCCAGGCTTTCTTTTAAGATGCTTCTGAGCATTGTAAACTCCTCCATCCTACACAGGAAAACATAACTTTTCCCAAACTAAGTAAACTTTGAAATCTTTGCCAGTGAGGGTAAGGGTTGAGGTGGAGGTTGAGGGGTTAGAGGAAAATGTTTCTTAGAACATGTTTTGAAAAATGCTACAAGATGTGTATTTAGTCTCTTCATGCATTTACTTCAGAAAATGTAAGTGAATGGGAAAATGATGGTTCCCTCATTGTATTCTGCACCTACTGTACATGAGAAGCTATGCAACGTGCTTTGTACATGTCATTTCATCTTTGGGGTGGCCCAAAAGGAGAATTCATGTCTCTGTGGAGATATAAGCAATGCTGTCTTTATTCACCTCTGAAAACACCAAATCGTGTCTTCCCTGTAGGGGGTCCTTTTGTATCTGCTGCTGAGACAGGTGGACAGTGCTAGGTTCTTCTTTGACAAGAATGCATAGACAACTCGAATTATGTTAAGCCTCTGGTCTGGAAACTTAATAGTGCATGAGTCACTGTACCATATCAGGCCTTGGGTCCAATCAATTATTTTGTCTCTGATGATAACAGAGATGGTTCATGAACTGTCATGTTTGTTCTCTAATAAATTTCTTAAATACTTTTAAGGTTGTACTCCAACTCATAAAACACTTACTGGGTGCTTACTAGATGATAGGCACTGGTGTGAGCATTCTACCTTTATTAATTAATACTTGCTATAAACCTGAGAATTGGCCTTATTATTATTTTCACTTTATGATTGGGAAAATAGAGGCAAAGAGTATTTATATAACTTGTCTAAATGCATCGAGCTATAATTGGTAGAGCTGGAGTAGGATCCCATGTCCTAAGGATTATAATATTAGACTTCTCAATATCTCATGGTGACCCTTTAAGGATTTGTGGCACATAATTCTAACTAACTGATTCTTTGTATAAGCAGTTCCCTAATGAAGAATGTGATCATTTCTTGTGAAGAAAGGCAAGATGAGTCATATTAAATTTGTACATGTCAAGATACTGAGTAGGTGAGGGTTTTTAATATGCTCTTTTGAGCAAAAGGACTTAGATACGCTTTTTACTGGTTTATAATTTGGCCATGAGTATTTTTGGCATTCAACATTAGTTAAGCAAAATTTTGCTTAAGCAAGATAAAGCAGCGGAAACAATAAGATTAGGATTTCTGTTTCTGAGAATATAAAACTCTAGAGGAAGGACTGGTGAAGATCTACTCCGATAGAAAGGAGCAGGAACTGAGTATTGTAAAAACCCTGAACCCTGGTCAAATTATGGAACCACAGAAGTATTTGCTCAGATTATATTTGAGCCCTGACCCAGCATCCTTGTCTTCTCTTATTGAAAGAACCAATTAGTGATGTGGACCAGACTGGAGAAATTAGGGGCTAACAAAGATTATAACACAGACTCTAATGCCAGCCACCTCCACCATGAAGAATGCCAGGACAAGGAGTCTATCCTGTTTTAGGACAAGGGATGGAGAATGAGCCAGTTTTTTTCATTTTCATCCATCTACTTCTCTGTTCATTACAACCAACTTATAAGTCACCTTTTCAAAAAATAAATAAAATTTCATGAACAGGTTAGGATAGTTCTAGCTCTTATCCTAATTCCTCAAGCTAACTTGGAAATTTATTGAATTTACCTATATGTACAAATTTTGCTACTTCCAAGAATTCCATACTTCTGTACTATTCATTGCAGTGGGAGGCCTTCATATTTTCCTAAAACTGCTACATCCAAGTCATTTCTAAGCATACGTTGCCTCTACTCATTTTATGACCTTTTGTGATTTTCTTACGGATTACATATTTTATCATAGAAGTTACAGTAAATAGATTTACATAATAGACTTAACACATTTACCCATTTAATCCAGAGATTGTCAGTTACGTTGTTTTGCTAAGCAGCCTCATTTTCCCCAAGGCGAAAGGTAAAGTCACTCTAAAGGGGTCACACAGGCTGATTGCCATGTTTATTTGCAATTCATCCCTGCTGAGTCCTGACTCAGGTCTCTCCAGACCAATGGCTATAGTAACAGAAATCAGGTTTTTATTACCTAATTGGTGAACAATGGCATTTTCCTGGGCAAGCCTGAATGCTCTGATTGTGTGCCACACTGCTACTCCCTTCTGAAGGCAGAGCCTAACACTAGTACTTCCTCCAGCAGGCACCACCATGCATTGTCCTTGGGCAACAGTTCCCCTCCTCCTATTTGTTTGGGCTGAACTGAACTAGCATCAGAGAGGTAATCTGGCTGGAGAACTTGGTCAACAGGTAAATTTTCTTCTGGAGAGTGAAGAACTGTCCCAGTACAATTCTTTCTTGGTATGTTTGAATGTGAAACACAAAGAAGAAGGGATCTGATGATAGGGTAGAGCGGAATGGAAAATGAATGAGAAGCAGATAGAAAGTAGTAAGTAGAAGACATGAGAAAATAGCAATGAGGGAGTAAATGCCACGAGGTGGAGAGTGAAAGTCATAGCAACTAACACAGTAGGAGCAGGATAGAAAAAGCCAAGAGACACAGACCAGAGAAGCTGTCTCAGAAGAACATCTTCTTCTGACGCTTACTGGGACACTGGAGCTAGAGTATTCTAACTCATGTTCCAAGGCTCCCCCAAACCTGTTATGCACCAGCTAGGCCATTTTCTGTCCCTTCTTACTTCAGTGTGTATCCCGTGTCATCTACAAAACCCCTGTCCTCCTTGGTGCTGCTTCTGATCTGAAAGAGGCCAGCACAGACGTTGTTATCTGGGATTAAGAGTACCCATACACACTCCTCACTTTTTCAATAATTTAATGCAGATTTTTCTTTCTCTTGACCCCAAGGTAAAAATATGTGTTAGCATACAAAAAACCAAATCCTTTAGTGCAGAGCAACATCGCTTTGAAATACAGAACAGTCACTAATCACATAGAAATGTATTCCCAAGGTCCTAAAAGCTTAGCTTTTATTTCATTGTATAATTTGTGTTATTCTCTGAAATTTCTGCAATGCATAGTATAATACAATTATTTGTCCCACTTTTATCCTGACAACAAATTAGACATCAGTAACTACTCGAGGCTTCCATAGCATCCAGGATTTCTTTTTGCTAATGTATATTTGCAATTATTCTGTTAATATGCATTACTGCTGCAAAACTCTATAAAGACAAGGAACCAAGTTTTCTGGCTTATTACTGCACACTCCATGTCTGGCACAGAGTAGGCATTCAATGACTACTTGTCAATTGAAAAATAAATAAAGGAATAACTGTCATTCTGATATTTACAGGCCCTGATTCATCATAGGGTTTTGTGATTTTTATTTGCAGGTCTTGGTTTATCATCTCTGTTAGGGTTCCAGTGGACTGTGGATTTATTGAAGTTCATCAAAGAATTCAAAGACAAACTGGCATGGAGTAATGGGCACTGCTTCAATGTTTAAGTTTCTTGTTGGTGAAAATATTGGCCATAGCCTTTAGCCTTGCCTAATGATCCAGAGGAATTTTCAAATGAAGTAATTTTTTTTTTGCTCCATTTTTCTAATTCTCTGCTACTTGAGCTGCTTGCAGTCACACCTGATAAGCTGCACTGTCCCTGTTATATTTTGAGTTTTGGCATTTAAATTACTCAGCTGGCTGCTCTCTCCTGACTGCTAGTTTCACTGAAGTCTTCGGTCCTAGTTTCTAGCCTGCCCATTCTTGTAGAAACCTTGCAAATTCTGGTGTATTTATAGTCACGATTTCCTAAGTGTATTTCAGAGAACAATAACTCTGAGAAATGTAAATAGTTGTTATTAAGGATCTGTGATAAAGTGAGTGTGAAAAAAGATGATTTGAATAAGCCACAGGATTTTTAGTAAGACAATTTTCCCAACTTGTTTGTTCTTTTCTGTCTTGCAGCTTATTTTTGAAGCATAGCTGGAGAAGCACTACCTTATGGCATCTGTGATACAGTCTAGCATATTATTTGTTAATATAAACATTTTAATGAACTATAATAAATCCACAGAAAGCTGTAGCATCATGAGTGTGCAGCTCAATTGATTTTCATAAAGTGAACATCCTTGTGTAACCACCATCCAAATCAAGGAAAAAACACCAATAAAACATCAGAAGCTTCTTCTTATCCTTTTCTCCAGACACTACCCCATACAGGGAACAACTACCCTAATTTCTAACACAGAAGACAGAGGTTATTTTCAACTGTTTCTTAGCTTGGCATGAATGGACTAATGTAGCATGTACTCTTTGTGTCTAGCTCCTTTGATCTATGTTATGCTTTCGAAATTCCTCCATATTATTACATGTAGCAGAAACTTCTTTTACATGGCTGCATAGTATTTCATTGTATGACTATAACATGGTTTATATATCCATTCTGTTTATAGACTTTTGGGTTATTTTTAGTTTAGGGCTAATACAAACAAAGCTACCATAAAGTTTATTGTATCTGCATTTTGTTGTACACGTGTACTCATTTTTGTTGGGTGTATACCTTGAAGTAGAATTGCTGAGTCATGGGGTATGACTAGGTTCAGATACGTTTCCAAAAAAAGGTATAAGAATGCCAGTTGCTCTGCATACTTGTCAACATTTGGCATTGTCAATCTTTTCAACTTTATCCATTCTAAAAGCTCCCCCTAGATAGCCGATGCTTATCTATTATAGGGAGAGCTTTGTGTGTGTTTGTGAACTACCTGTTCGGGTCTTATCTCAGTTTTTAATTGTATTTTCTGCATTTTCTTTATTGATTTATAGGAGTTATATATGTACTCTTGGCTATGAGTCTGTTGTCAATTACATGTACTACAAATATATTTTCCCATTTTATATATTGCATTTCATTTGTTGATGATATCTTTGATAGTTTGACATTTGTTGATAGCTCTTATATTTAAGGAAGTATAATTCATCTATTAGTATTTAAGGAAGTATAATTCATCTATTAGTCCAGCCTCCTTTGACCTGATTGGTAGTCATATACTATGGCCCTCTCATCTTTATAAAACAGTTCTTAACACATAGTTTCTTTCCTGGACTTAATCAATAATTTGCAGTCCATTATTTATAAAATTTAGAATTTTCCCCCCAGATGCATTACTTCATCCTTGCTCACTTCAAAGCCCTAATGCCTTTTATTAGAATCCTCTCATAACCTTGCTATATATTCTCATAATTTGTCTTGTATGATAAAAAATATTCACTGCTCAGATAATTTCATAAAAACGTGATAATTTCTTTTGGTGGTCTCTCATTCTTGACAGTTACAAATATCATAAATATAATTTACTCTGGCACTCCTTGGGGGGCCACATTTTCCCCCTTCATTCAGAATGATTTATTTATTTAACTATTCAACAAACACTTATGGAGTGACTCCTGTAGGTTGAGCCCTATGAAGGATATCATTACATAATGATAAACAAAATTGGGCACAACACTGCCCCTCATGGAGTTTATAGTCTAGAGGGAAAGATAAACATTACATCAACAATTAGACACGTTTATGTAAAGTTGTAATTGTGTTCAGTATTACAAAGGAAAGGTGCCACGGTCTAGGGATGAGACTTTTCCAGGGAGATGTGTCAAGGGCTTCATTCATCCTTGTGGATCAGGCACAGAAGTGCTGACAAAATATTGATGAATGATTACTGGGAGCTTGGGGATAAGAGGAATGACTGCAAGCCAGTGGTTGTACTGGATGACAGCCATGGTAGGTGTCTTGGGGTCTGCTTAAGTGAGAAAACACGGTAGCAGCAGACAGCCCAAGAAAATCAAAGCATGTGTTATCTTTGGAATGTTTTGCAAGTTGCTGATCCTCATTCTGTGGAGTAAAGGTTCATTTTGAAAGACTCTTGTTCTAAAACATGTATTATAATCTTTTCCAATTGCTTGGATAAAAAGTGTTTCATGAATATTTCAAGAGGTATTTTTCCTGTCTAGGAAATGCTGGCAGAAAGCCTGGTTCCCTTGTCATTCTGCCCACTTCTCCTATAGGGCTTTTTCTTTTTAAATCAATTGTGTGTGTGTGTGTGTGTGTGTGTGTGTAGACATTTTCAGAAATAACCTAATTTGTTATGTATCTCCTTAGGTGACAACAGCTCTTCAATATACTTAATCTAAGAGAAGCCACCTAATTCTTTGCATACAGGAACGCCTGTAGAGAGAAATCTGCCCATATTTTGCCAATATATTTTTATTTTTTAAATCTGCATTGTCAGTGGACAAATTATGCAGTATTGGCAATGGATTGCAGAGCATTCTCCATTTTTAATATGGTGATTTTGATAATCTCCTTTTACTCAACTTTTTTAACTGCCTTATGTCATATAGGTATGTCATTTATTTTAAATGACTAATTATGAGGTTTTATTACTTTTAGCATGGTGGAATGAACTATAATATCTGCAATACATTTTACTTATTGTTATTTATTTATTTATTGAGACAGGGTCTCACTTTGTCACCAGGCTGGAGTGCAGTGGTGCAATCTCAGCTCACTGCAACCTCCGCCTCCCAGGTTCAAAAGATTCTCATGCTTCAGCCTCCTGAGTAGCTGGGATAACAGGCAAGCGCCACTACACCTGGCTAAATTTTGTATTTTTAGTAGAGACGGGGGTTTCACCACATTGGCCAGGCTGGTCTCGAACTCCTGACCTCAGGTGATCCACCTTCCTCTGCCTCCCAAGTGCTCGGATTACAGGCATGAGTCACTGTGCCTCGACAAATTTTAAATTAATAGTTTGATTTTTCTCTTTATTATTGAAAAGTGATACAGATGACTTACAGATAAGATTGATAAAATGATGAAAATTAAAAACTATTACTTTTAGAATTTTGCTGTATATTTTTATAGTCATTTAATTCTCCATAAGAATATATTTATTTATAGAAATACTATTATATTCTAGATGCTGTTCTTTCATTTTTCTTTTTTCATTTAATTTGAGGTAATGAACATTTTTCTATGTCATTACATGGCCATAAGTTAACAAAATTAATGACTATTGCATATTTGCTCACTTAATGTGCCATAATATATTTAACCTAGAGTTTCTTAATCTAATTCAACCACATAACAATATTTAAAAGTATAATGTGTCACTGGAAGACCAAAGGAATATATAACACAAATTTGGATTAAAGAATGTAGCAAAAATGACCACACAAATGAGTCAGAAAACTTATTTTTTCAGAAATACAAAAAGAAAAAATAGAGAAACGAAGTTATGCATATTTACTAGACACAAAAATGAACCAAATTTTTAAATATGTACCGAAACTATAATACAAATTAGATTTGTATAAAAAGATCATCAAAGTGATGACATATTACCAGAAAGGTGGAAATGCAGTTATGTACCAATTCATATATTGAACAGCATGAATTGTGTTTGAATTATTACATAATGCACTGGTAGTATTCAATATGGCACTTCCTTTTTTAAATTGGAATTCTTTTGGTCTCAATTATTCCTCCATTTACTCAGTCAGCAATTATTCATCGAGGACCTGCTATCTGCCAATCTCTCACACAGCTGCAGGGTACAATGGTGAACCAGATATGATCTTTCCTTTCATGAACTCACAAACAAGTGAAAAGGGCAGAAATTAAATACATAATTACACCTCTGAGTGTGGTGGCCTAAGATTTTTTTTACCTTTTTCACACTCTCTCTGTCCTCAGATCTGGCACGAACAAAACCCAGAACATATAGAGAGGCCGAAGGCAATGAATCTTGTCAGTGTGTAGGATTTTTATTGTCTTGAAATCATACCACATGGAGGCGAAACCACAGAGTGGCCCTTGCTTAACCTCTGTTGCTACACAGTGGAATCCAAACCTATCCCCCTTCTCCTACTCCCCCATCAGATGGGGAGCTGCGTCAAAGAACTTCAGAGGCCTCAAGGGAAAGGGGGAGATGAAGACATTTCAAAGTGGGGAGATTTCCCTATTGCCAGGAGAGGTACACTGGACTTATGTATCAATGTATCTATATCTATGTACTTGGATGTTTAAATTTGGGAAGATAAATATACATATTTAAAACATTTTAGTACAACTTGTTCTACTTTTCTCTCATTAGGGAGGTATGTTGAGGGAGATAAAGATTTATAATTCTTTAGGATTTTGGTGCATGATAACAAAAGAATATATATCAGCTAATATTCTGCATCTGGCTTTGCACACACAATAACAAATGTATTCTCAATATACAATCGTGTGAGCAAATGTCTGTGTGTGTGTGAATTTTATAATCACCTACATCGTCCCCTTCTCTGAGAAAACCCTGGAACAGTGTATCTTGACTACGCGTTGGAATCAGCTGGGTAGTTTAAAAATTTTTTTACCACTTCCAAAGAATCTGATTTGATAGGTCTAGAATATGGTCTGTGCATTGGGAATTTTAAAACGGCCTAGGTAACTCAATTGCGTGTTCAACATTAAGAACTACTGGCCTAGAACAAAATGGTATAACTTAAAAGGAGACAGAAAAATATATTATCTTTCCTTATTAAATGTGCTATAAATATATGCATTGCATTTGGAGTTTAAACTCTTCAAGTGAACTTTACTTTTTGCTTGTTTTTCCATCCTCTTCCAGTACAAGTCTCTGAGATAGAGCTGCTCAAGACCTTTACTAGATTCTACCCTCTGCCCCCCAATTCTAGATCACTATCTCCATGGAGTTGCACCTCTGCTCTTAGGATGTATAGTCCTACTTCACGTGGCCTGTGCCAGGAATTTCAGATGTCTATGAGAGGCTCCTTCCTTTATGTCACAGAAAGAATTGAAGTAAGGGTCCTTAAGATGATGATTCTATGACCACACATACTGCTTTCTACTGAACCCACATTCTCAGAACTGTGCTGCTTCTTATGGTAAATATGTACAAATCTTATTTCAAAATATAGATTAAATTACACTTCAAACACACTTAAATAATGTAGAGCTACGACTTAAGATGAGGAAACAAACATTTTCCATTTTCCCTGAGGCAGTTTTACACAAAATCTGAAAAAAAGCAAATTGTTAAGCTTCAAATAGCATTGAGCTTCTTTTCTCTTATAACTATTTCCTTGAGGTGCAGGCGAGATTTTAAAAATGAACATGGGAAATAAGATGTCAATTTCAACCTGAGCATACCTGAGCAGAATTATTAAATTGTGAGTTACTATGAGTATTAGACTTAACTTCATGTACCAATTAGATTGTTCTTTAAAATTCTCACCACATTTAAAATGAACATTAATACTTAAATATTTACATTTCCAAATGGTCTGCTTTCTAAAACTTGGAACACAAGCATCATATTCAATTTGTAATAGGACTTATCCATCTTTCTGTTTTTATTTAACAAATATTTATTGAGTTCCTACTGTGTGCTAGACAACACTCAGTACTGATGCACTAAACTGAAATTGGATTCTCTTGTGGAATTCATGGTTCAGTGGGACACAGGTAATTAAAATATAAGCAAATAAATGTGTAATTATAAATCAAGATAAGTACAATGAAAAATGAAATATGTGCTCTGATGGCAAATAAAGGGTGAAGAGGAAGGATTTTAGGGTCTTGTGAATTAAAAGTCCCAGGGTGAACAGATCATAGAAGTGGCATTCTTAGCAGTGGAAATAGCATGTGCTGAAAGCTTCCATATGTGAGGGAACTTGGAGCATTCAAGTTCACATGGCTGGAGCTCATTGAGCTGCCAGTGAGTGAGGTATAAGAGGTAAGTATGGCCTTGGAGGACAGGGTACATTTAGAGATTATTCTAAATGTAATGGGAAGCAATTAAGAGATTTTAAGCATGATCCAATTCACACTTTTAAAGTATCATTATGTCTGTTATGTGGAAAATGATTATATTTAAGGCCAGCATAGAAAAGAGAGATGAATTAATAGGCTATGGCAGTAGTCTATGCGAGAGATGATGGTAGCCTAGATTATAAAGGGGCAGAAGAGATGGATTTGGTCTTATTTTAATGATTGCTGATGGGGGAGCTAACAATCATGATGTTGGATTGGGTGGAGAGGCTTGGAAGAGGGAAGAATTAAGGATGACACACAGCAACTGAGTGTATGCTGCAAAAAGTACGAGTGGGGAGAGACTAGGAAAAAAACAGGTTTTATTCTGACAAAAACAAGCAATGGGGAAAGGATCTTCAACTCAGCAAATGGTGCTGGGAAAACTGGCTAGCCATATGCAGAAAACTGAAACTGGACCCCTTCCTTATACCTTATACAAAAATTAACTCAAGATGGATTAAAGACTTAAATGTAAAACCCAAAACCATAAAAACTCTAGAAGAAAACTTAGGCAACACCATTCAGGACATAGGCATGGACAAAGACTTCCTGACAAAATGCCAAAAGCAACAAAAGCCAAACTTGACAAATGGGATCTAATTAAACTAAAGAGCTTCTGCACGGCAAAAGAAACATCATCAGCGTGAACAGGCAACTTACCAAATGGGAGAACATTTTTGTAATCTACCTGTATTAGTACATTTTCAAGACACACTTGAGACTGGGAAGAAAAAGAGGTTTAATTGGACTTACTTACAGTTCCACATGTCTGAGAAGGCCTCAGAATCATGGCTGGAGGTAAAAGGCCTTCTTATTTGGTGGCAGCAAGAGAAAATCGGGAAGAAGCAAAAGTGGAAACCCCCGATAAGCCTATCAGATCTCGTAAGACTTATTCACTGTCACGAGAATAGCACAGGAAAGATGGGACCCCATGATTCAATTACCTCCCCCTGGGTCCCTCCCACAACAGGTGCTAATTCAGGGAGATACAATATAAGTTGAGATTTTGGTGGGGACACAGCCAAACCATATCATTCCACCCCTGACCCCTCCAAATCTCAAGTCCTCACATTTCAAAACCAATCATGCCTTCCCAACAGTCCCTCAAAGACTTATTTCAGCATTAACCCAAAAGTCCACAGTCCAAATTCTCATCTGAGACAAGGCAAGTCCTTTTCACCTATAAGCCTGTAGAATCAAAAGCAAGCTAGATACAATGGGATAACAGGTATTTGGTAAATATAGCCATTCCAAATGGGAGAGTTTGGCCAAAACAAAGGGGCTACAGGCCCCATGCAAGTCTGAAACCCCATGGGACAGTCAAACTTTAAAGCTCCAAAATAATCTCCTTTGACTCCAGGTCTCACATCCAGGTCACGCTGATGCAAAATGTGGGTTCCCATTGTCTTGGACAGCTCTGCCCCTGTGGCTTTGCAGGGTATAGCCTCCCTCCTGGCTGCTTTCATGGGCTGGCTTTTGAGTGTGTGTGGCTTTTCCAGGTGCACAGTCCAAGCTGTCGGTGGATCTACCATTCTGGGGTTTGGAGGACTGTGACCTTCTTCTCACAGTTCCACTAGGTAGTGCCCCAGAAGGGACTCTGTGTTGGGGCTCCAACCCCTCATTTCCCTTCCACACTGCCCTAGCAGAGAATCTCCATGAGGGCCCCAGCCCTGCAGCAAACTTTTGTATGGGCATCCAGGCGTTTCCATATATCTTCTGAAATCTAGGTGGAGGTTCCCAAACCTCAATTCTTGACTTCTGTGTACCCACAGGCTCAATAGCATTGGAAGATGCCAAGGCTTAGGGCTTCCACCCTCTAAAGCCACAGCTCGAGCTATACATTGGCCACTTTCAGCCAAGGCTGGAGCAGCTGGGACACAGAGCACCAAGTCCCTAAGGCTGCACACAGCACGGGGACCATGGGCCCAGCCTACGAAACCACTTTTTCCTCCTGGGCCTCTGGGCCTGTGATGAGCGGGGTTGCCATGAAGGTCTCTGACATGGCTTGGAGACATTTTCCCCATGGTCTTGGGGATGAACATTAGGCTCTTTGCTACTTGTGCAAATTTCTGCATCTAGCTTGAATTTCTCCCCAGAAAATGGGTTTTTCTTTTCTATCACATAGTCAGGCTGCAAATTTTTCAAACTTTTATTCTCTCCTTCCCTTATCCTTTAACAGCACCCAAGTCACCTCTTGGATGCTTTGCTGCTTAGAAATTTCTTCCACCAGATACCCTAAATCATCTCTCTCAAGTTCAAAGTTCCACAAATCACTAGGGGCAGAGGAAAAATGCCACTAGTGTCTTTGCTAAAACATACCATGAGTCATCTTTGTTCCAGTTCCCAACAAGTTCCTCAGCTCCATCTGAGACCAACTGGATTTCATTGTCCATATCACCATCAGCATTTTGTTCAAAGCCATTCAACAAGTTTCTAGGAAGTTCCGAACTTTCCCACATTTTCCTGTCTTCTTCTGAGCACTCCAAACTGTTCCAACCTCTTATTCTGTTCCAAACATTTTATTCAGTTCCAAAGTTGCTTCCACATTTTCAGGAATATTTTCAGCAGCACCCCACTTTCCTGGTACAAATATACTGTATAAGTCCATATTCAAGACATACCCAAGACTTGGAAGAAAAAGAGGTTTAATTGGACTTACAGCTCCACATGGCTGAGTAGGCCTCAGAATCATGGCAGTAGGTGAAAGGCACTTCTTACGTGGCAGTAGTGAGAGAAAATGCGGAAGAAGCAACAGCAGAAACCCCTAATAAACCTATCAGATCTTGTGAGACTTATTCACTATCACAAGAATAGCACAGGAAAGACTGACCCCCCATGATTCAATTACCTCCCCCTGGGTCCCTCCAACAACATGTGGGAATTCTGGGAGATAAAATTCAAGTTGAGATTTCAGTGGGGACACAGCCAAACCATATTACCACCCATCTGACAAAGGTCTAATATCCAGAATTTAAAAGGAACTTAAATAAATTTACAAGAAAAAACCCCATCAAAAAATGGGCAAAGGATATGAAGAGACACTCCTCAAAAGAAGACATTTATGCAGCCAACAAACATATTTAAAATTGCTAAACATCACTGATCATCAGAGAAATGCAAATAAAGACCACAATGAGATACCCTTTCATGCCAGTCAGAATGGCGATTATTAAAAAGTCAGGAAACAATAGATGCTTGTGAGGATGTGGAGAAATAGGAATGCGTTTACACTGCTGGTGGGAATATAAATTAGTCCAACCACTGTGGAAGGCAGTATGGAGATTCTTCAAGGATCTTGAACCAGAAATAACATTTGACTCAGCAATCACATTACTGGGTATATACCCAAAGGAATATAAATCATTCTACTATAAAGACACATGTACACGTATGTTTATTGCAGCACTATTTACAAGAGCAGACATGGAACCAACCCAAATGCCCATCGATGTTAGACTGGATAAAGAAAATATGGTACATATACACCATGGAATACTATGCAGCCATAAAAAGTAATGCAATAATGTCCTTTGCAGGAACATGAATGAAGCTGGAAGCCATCATCCTCAGCAAACTAATACAGGAACTGGAAACCAAACACTGGATGTTCTCAATCATAAGTGGGAGTTGAACAATGAGAACACATGGACACAGAGAGGAGAATGACACACACCAGGGTCTGTTGGTGGGGGGGAGTGGAGAGTGACGCGAGGGAACTTATAGTATGGGTCAATAGGTGCAGCAAACCACCATGACACCCATATATCTATGTCATAGACCTGTATGTTCTGCACACACACACAAACACAGGTTTTATTGCTCTTGTTATTTTAGTGGACCTTGGAGAATTTGGGTTGCGTTTTGCATATAGTAAGTTTGAGATTTCTATAAACCAGTGATACTGAGATGTCAAGGTATAAGCATATACAACTTCTGTGGTCAGAGGAGAGCAGGACTAATTATACAAGTTCAGTTAACATGAGCATATGGTCTTTTAAAAAACTTTTTTTATAGATTAAAAGGCACACAAAAGACACCAATACAATGTGCCCTTCACCCAGTTTAAATAATTATTCATTTATGGCCAGTCTTGTTTTAACTACACCCTCCATTCCCTATCCCCTCTTCCCCACCACTGCTGCTGACACTACTAGATTATTTTGAATAAACTCCTGGATATATAATTTGCATCGTAAGTCTGTATGGATTTCTAAAAGTTGAGCACTCTATAAAAATATAGTCACAATATCATTATAACAACTAAAGTAACAATTATTTAATATTATATATTCTGTCAGTGTCACAATTCCCTTAACTATTCATAAATTATTAGTTACAGATTGTTTTTGAATCAGGGTTGGAATAAAGTGCTTACATTATAGTTAATTTTTTTCTTACATTTCTTTTAATCTGTAGGCTTTTGCTTCCCTCTCTCTCTCTCTCTCGCAATTTATTTGTGGATAAACTAAATTCTTGGTCTGGTAGAGAGTCTTACAAACTGGATTTTTTTCTGATTGCATCACCATAGAGTTATTTTTCCCATTATTTTTTCTTTCTCCATTTCCTTCTGTAAATTAGTACAGTAGTTCCTTCTTATCTGTGGGGAATACATTCCAAGACCCCCAGTAGATACCTGAAATGACAGATAGTACAGAACCATGTAGACACTGTGTTTTTTTTCTACACATGCATATGTATGATAAGGTTTCATTTAGACATCAGCTACAGGGTTCTCATGCCTTGGGGGCCATTATAAAGTAAAATAAGGTTGACTTGAACACAAGCACTGTGATTCTGTGACAATCTGAGAATCGAGAAGGCTACTAAGTAACTAATAGGCAAGTAGCATCTACAGTGTGGATCCGTTGGACAAAGGAGCAGTTTGTGTCCTGGATGGAGATAGAGCAGGATGGTGTGAGATTTCATTACGGTACTCAGAATGATGTGCAACTTAAAACCTATGAATTGTTTATTTCTGGAATTTCCTATTCCATATTTTCAGAACTCAGTTGACCACAGGTAACTGAAACCTCAGGAAGCAAAACCACAGATAAGGCAGAACCACTGTACTTACATCTATAGATTTTTAGCAGGCTCAGATTTAATTATTTTTGGTCACAAACATTCATATTGGCACAAAATGTGTAGTTTTCTTGCTTTTTCTGACATTAGCAGCCATTGAGGATCATTGCTTAGGTCTATTATTTCATTTGGTGTTTCAAAAAGCCTCTTAATTTAGTTTCTGGACAATTTTGACACATTTCCAGCCTTATACCTACAGTCAACCATTTCTCTTGGGAACCCTAGTTTTTTTTAGTAGAAAAATGGTATTTAAAGAAAGAAAAATGGTATTGTATTAAATACAATCTGGCTACTCGTTGATTTTGGGTTGATCTCTGGTGCTAGGTCTTGTCAGTGGCTACAGCTAGAGGATGCATCACACCTTCATCCTGCTGTTTCCCTTTTCAGTTCAGGACCCTAGGGTATTTACTTAACCTCTTCAATGTTGTATAATGATGGTTTCTAATGTCACCAGAAAAGATGATTACCTAGTGAGAGTGCAGAGAGGGCCTATAAACTGAGTTCTGTGAAAATCGATATTTAGGGGATGGAAAGGGGGGAAATGCCTGGAAAAGCTGTTACAGAAAGGTACAGCACCCTGAAAGCAAACATAAGAGAATACCTGAGAAGGAGGAGATGATTGCGTTGGAAGATCCTGAGAAGTCAAGTAGTATGAAGTAACATTGCCTGACTGTGTATTTGGCAAACAGGAAGCAATTATTTGCGTAGAATGACTGGGGCAGAAGCTCTGTCACAGTGGGCTGATAAGTGGGGGGAAATAGAAGATGGAGGTAGTATGGATAGAGATATGTCCTAATTCTGAAAGATGGAGATCAGGTGGCCCATTTATAAGCAGGTTTGCCTCAAGAGGTATTTTTTAATTGAAACGTAGGTCTGAGTCAAGGAAAGTTCTTTCTGAAGAGATCTCAGAGGCAGTTAAGGTATCCATGTTTATAAAATCTAAATTAATGGGGCATAAATCTATTCCAATACAGTTTTCCTTTTACATTAACTGGATTCTTTAGTGTACTGAGTAATTCAATGTATATAGGCATATTTACACAAAGTTCTTTCCGTGAGTCTTTTCCATAAACAGAAAATTTCCGTCTTCATTGAACAGCAGAGGTCTAGTGGAATTGTAAGTCATTGATGTCTCTTACTAGTGGTCCCATCACTCATACTATCATTTCTGTACATTATCCCTGGATTCCTCTTTGTTCCAGCTGACTGTTCCATCGTTAAGACCATAGGAAGATTCACAGGGCAAAGAAAGAAAATATCCAAGCTTTCTGTCATTTCCATGTGTTGTAATAGATTCACCTAAAGTAATTACCTAGGCTATGCATTCTCAGCCTCACTGCCTTGGCCAGATGGTGTGTTGTTCTCCTCTACAGCCCGTTAGTTTATTTTAGCAAACCCTTGAGACTGCTTTAACATCTCATAAACGAAGTGAATGAAGGCCAGGTTCTTTCTAGGTTAATGATTTTGAGATCTGTATTTTTGAAACCAAAGCACTGTTTCAGCAAAGGAAAAAAAAAAATCAACAGATGGGAAAGAGGGTCACTATCGGTGATTATGATGGGAGTAAAACAGCTTACATAAGGCAAAGAACAGACTGTAGTTGAGTTTAGTTCTTCCCCATAGTTCTGTGGACACAGATACAAAAGTAAATGAGGTTTGCCTGTTGTTTCAGAGAATCTTTAAGAGTGGAGAGATGGTAAAATGACAATAATGATTCTCATGCTTTCCATTTGGCAGTGTGTTACTTCTCACTGAGAGGTTTTTTTCCAGAATAGCAAGCTTTGCTTTGAAATGAAAGGGGCCATTTTTATTGATTAACTTTTCTTTTATAACATATAGTCTGTAGCAAGTAATTTTAATATGTTTTGAAGAAAAACAATATTTTGAATTGGAAGCCTCCATTTAAATGTACCCAGTGTGACTACTCAAATTCAACAATCATTTCTCTAGGATAGAAGGGGAGTGGAATTTCTTTTTTTTTTTTTTTTTTTTGAGACGGAGTCTCGCTCTGTCGCCCAGGCTGGAGCGCAGTGGCGGGATCTCGGCTCACTGCAAGCTCCGCCTCCCGGGTTCACGCCATTCTCCTGCCTCAGCCTCCCGAGTAGCTGGGACTACAGGCGCCCGCCACTACGCCCGGCTAATTTTTTGTATTTTTAGTAGAGACGGGGTTTCACCGTTTCAGCCGGGATGGTCTCGATCTCCTGACCTCGCGATCCGCCCGCCTCGGCCTCCCAAAGTGCTGGGATTACAGGCGTGAGCCACCGCGCCCGGCCGGAATTTCTTTTTAATAGCTGTATTAAAAAAAAAACAGTTTATCTAAAAACAATAACTTAGAAGATACAGTATTTTTCCGACAAATGAATTCCCAGGAAGGGAGTGGGGTGGGTTTTAAAGAAAAGAAAATATGAAAGACTAATAGAACATTTTCAACCACATTTCTTTTCTTCACACAGGTGGAGGGACAGTAAGAGCCCACTATGGCTTCAGATTTTCTCTCATTTGTCTTGATTATTGTCATCATCTGAGGGCTTTGAGTAGCACGTACAACAAAGATCAAATGAAGACACCTTAGGCAAAAGTGGGGTGAAGGATAGGTGCAAATAGATGGAGATGATGACTGTAAAGGTCACTAATTCTGTGGGAAGAGAAATATTTTCCCTCTAGCCTTACATTTATTTTTAAACTTACTTAATATCCTACCTTGTCTACTTTGCTGATTCATGCATATCTAGTCTGAAAGAAGTATTGTTCTAGGGATACCATGAATATAGTTTAAAGGCCATAAAAAATGACTTTCACAAGTCACAACACTCAATTATACATGCAATTTTATTGGCTAAGATCTTCAGTCATGTGTAGACTGAAAGCTAAGCTGATTTCCAGGAATTCTGTATGTCAAAGATGGCTGGCAGTACTAGTTTCACTTCTGCTCTAGAGTGAATGGAGTAAGAATGGAGGTGAGGGGACAATTCCATGTCTAAGTATGAGAACTTGGATAGAAATCACTGTTTCTTCATGAAGTTTTAATTATCTGTACAAATTTCACAGTAAAACGAAAATATTTGACTCAAAAGATGCCATAAATATGAAAATGCCTGAGTTTTACAGCTGTAGTTCTAAGGAGCTCTACATTTTTTAAAGAAATGATCTTACTCACTTGGAAACTATGACTTTTTCCTGATTTCCATTTATTTATATAAATATTTAAACCTAAAAAGCACTTAGCTCCCATTTGCCAAAATGGTTCATATCCTGACACAATCAAAATTGCTGTACTGATGGAAGTAAGTAATGGTCCAGGAAGAATAAGAGAACAATACTTCACACTTTCTCTTATTTTAAAATGTATCTTATATAAAGGGAGAACCCCCTTTGTCCTTTATGTCTCAAATCATATGTATGGCAGAGCCCAACTATGCACCACACAAAAACGAAAACCTTTTCTAAATTCACAACAAGGAGCAGAAAGCATGTGAAAGAGAGTCACTGGGCAGTAGCCAATATTCTATATGTCTTCCTTTCTGGTACCATGGAAAGTTAACATGTACATTTCCAACACATTGCCTTTTGGTTAGCTTCTAATTGTCCTAAGGAAAAAAGTCCTAACGTCTCCTTTAAGCATATGAGGCAATCAATGTTTATGCATCATCTTAAGAACAAGATGTTGCCAAGTTTTACATTTGAATCAGTTCCCATAACTTTGGAGAAAAAAATCTGAGCAAAAACTCTGCTTTCGCATTCTGAAATGGATATAGGAATACTTTCCTCTCCCATTTGCAAAGAAGTCCTCCATTTGTCCCATGAAGTCACTGTCTAATCACACTTTCTCACATTTGGGGGATCCCATCTGTTGATGCTAGCAATGAGCAGGCTAGGCAGAAAATGGAGAAAAAAATCAGAGGTGGGAAACTGAGCCTTGAAAACGTGTGAGAAATGCTCAGAAAACACACACATATACATATTTTAGCAGTTTCCTGGAAACAATGGAAATCCCTTTTCTTCTTGAAAAACTTCCCTTCCTCCCTCTGCTCTTCAATTCCTATCCAAAAACCAGTGTTCTAACAGTAGTAACGTGGTTCAGAGGTAGCATGGGAGACGGAGAGCCATGAACATATGTGCGATGGCGTGTAATAGTAAAATACAGGCCTTTTTAATTAGAACATAAAACCGCTTTCTTACCACTGTTTTTGAAGTTAGACAACTGTATGGTTTTCTGTCATATAGATTCATGTTACCACCAAGCTTTCTTTTTAATTAATACACAAATGAGGGATACATAACGGGCTGCCCAGTGACGACACATTTATCCTCACTAATGAGGATGGAGTGTGAGGATGCTCACTTCTTGCCTCAGGCTATGCTGTTTTTAGTTCTTCATCCTGTAATTGTGGAATTAAATAGTTTACACTGGCTTTTGTGATTAGAAAAAGGAGAAACACATTTTAGGAGGTTAAAAATACACTTGAATATGACATAGTTACAATTTTCTCTCAGCAACAAGCCTTTAAACATTTTTGGGTGCATGATTTCTGTCTAGTCTGCCTTCTTCCCCACCGCACCTCCAAATCCCAGAATAAAATTCTTTGGTAGAGAAGAATTACATAGTAAGAGTTCAAGCCACTCTCATTGACCAGTAAGAAACACTGAGCCAGACACTTGAAAAGGAGTTGAGAGAAAGCGAGCAACGATGACAAATATTTATTTGGAGAAAGCAAAAACTGGCTCATCAGGACTTGAACAATTAGGTTTAAAGAAGAAGCTTTCATTCAAGTTTCTCTCTTAGGTACTCTGCTAGATGTACAGCAAGAAAAGAACTCTGCCTTCAGGTGCTGAATCACCAAGAGAATGAGATGGGAAATATAAGTAAGTGAAATAGAAGGTAGACCAAACCTAACCAAGAGAGTGTCACACTATTAATGTTGGGAAAGCTTCTTCACAGGGGTGGGAAATTGGAAGAAAGGGTTAGCAAGACAATTGTTTCAAAACTGGGCTGTTTGCCGTAAAGAGAGAGTATTAACTTATTATCGAGGTGGTTGTTTTGACTCTTTCCCCTGTCCTTGTGTACTGGGTGCAACATAGACCAGGGAAGGAAGAAAGCGTTCAGTAAAAAGTAAGTAGGGAAAGGTGAAACTCAGGGATCCAATAAAATCAACTACAAATTAACAGTTGAAAATAGAAGCTTCAAATGATCCAGTGGGTTGGAAAAAAAAGAAAAAGAATAAAGAGGAAAAAGAAAATGTGTGAAGGAAATAACCAACATTTCACATTCTAATACTCTTCACTCCATGAATCATTATTATAGTAGGGATATCCTACGGTCCTTTCATTCTGCACACAATAGAAGTTTCACAGTTTAGTGGTCTTCTTTGGGACCAATAAAGCAGACAAATAGAAAATTTGTGTGCCATTGATATAGAAAATATTAAGTTGCCCTATTTCTGGGTGGAAAGATAAATGACATAAGTTACTTGTTGACATGAGTTTATAAATTCTAATAATAAAAAAAGAATATGAATAAAATTCGTGCATGAATTTTGTATTAAAATGTTTTTAATAACAGATGTGGGTTACATAGAGAAAAGGCCATTCTTGTAAAGAGACTGGATCTAAATCAATTTGTACAATATTTATCTATCTAATATATAGCAAAACTATCTACTGACAAGAGTACTTTATTAGAAGGGAAGAAACCTGCAGTTGATCCCTGGTCCTGCCCATTACAAAAAACATGTCCGTAAACCAAGTACCCAAATTTTTTCAAGTGTTCACTTTTTTCTTTCTGAAAAAGTAAGCGTAACATCCATTCTTCCTTTTGTGTAGCAATTTTTGAGGATTGATAGAGATATTATATGTGGACGTGGCTTAAACTTTTGCACGTTAATATTTAATTAAATATAATCTTGTGAATAGATGCTTTGAAATGTTAAATTAATAACAAGCCAAAATAAGCCTCTTACAACTCAGCAGACTAATCCCTTTACAAAGTAAAAGACCTAGTATTGAAGAATTTCAAGGTAGCAATGCTTTTGCAAATCTTTGTTTTTTTTTTTTTACTGGGGTTAGTGCCTTGCTGTAAATGATCTATTACAGACAAAACAACTGAGGTTTGCCAACAAAGTCACCTGTATTAAAGCCACATAAGACTCTCTCAGATAAACTTAATCCATTGAAAGCTTCTTTGAAATTAAATTATTTTAAATACATGTGGGGCCAAAGGTAGTTGAATGTAGCTGATCATTTGACTCTGAAAATCATCCCAAACCATGAACTATTCAAATGTCACTGTTAACAGCCTTGCATCATAAACACATACACCTAGCCACTTTAGTATATACCTAATTTATCTGTTTTCTCATCAGCCTCATTGTTTCATTTTAAAACAAAATCTCCAGAGGTCCTTTCTAGGGGTTGGACAATGGAACATTTGCTTATTTTGAATTGATTCTCTGAATGAAAAAAAGCTCAGATAATATAGTAATTTTAGTTAAATATACTTTAGTTAATCTGCCCTTAAAAAGTAATCAAATTGCTCTTAAAAGTATCTGTGAAAATTTCGTTTTGGTGCTATGTTTCCATTCAAGTTTCTCATAAATTGTTTTGTTCAGGGATTATGTGTCAGAGTTTGATGACAGAGTTTGTCACTTCTGGTAACTAGTAGGTAGAATAAAAAATGCATAACTCTATTTCAGTGTGTGGGTTCAGATTATTCTTAGCAAATCCTTGTTTATTTTTTTTCTTTCGAAAAGCCCCAAGTTAAGGAAACACCTTCCAGATTTGTTTAGATAGTATAACAGCAACAACAACAGAAATACAGGGGGCAGGGAGATTATTGGAAAATATCTCACAAAACCAAAGGCAAGAGAAACAACTAGGCTCCAGAGAAACGAAAGCAAAGACAAGGGAGACAGTAGGAGCCAAGAATCGCATCTAGATCTTATCCGGACTTTCTTGGGTTTGAATCTTTGCTTCTCTTGTCACACTCCACTCATCCTTTTTTCTCCCTAGATAGTTTTCCATATATATAAAAGTCATAAGTGTACAGTTCAATGAGTTTTTACAAAATGAATTTACCAGTGAAATCGTTACACAGATTGATGAATAGAGCAGTACCCATGGCCAGAAGCCCCACTATAGCTTTTCCCAGTCATTGGCCCTCTGCTCCTTACAGGTAGACTTCTTCCATCATAGCTTAGTTCTGCCCATTTTGGAAATACATTTAAATGTAAATGAAATTATATAATACATAGTCATTTATGCCTTGCCTCTGTCACTCAATATTATTTGAGATTTATCCGTAAAGGTATGTGTAGTTTTATTTGTTTTCATACGTAGTATTCCTTTGTGTAAATATACCACGATTTATCTATTCTACTGTGGTTGAGAATTTAGCTTGTTTTTCATTTGGCAATAAAAAAGTGTTTCTATGTACATTCTTGAGCTTCCCTCTGATGCATGTGTTTGTGCATTTCTGTTGGATGAATGCCTGGGAGCAGAAATCTTTGGTCATAGGTTATGTACATAAGTGCTTAATAGATACTTCTGGACACATTTCCAAAGCATGACTATAGTCAATGATAACTTAATTGTATATTTTAATATAACTTTAAAAATGTAATTGGATTGTTTGTAGTACAAAGGATAAATGCTTGAGGGGATGGATACACCATTCTCCATGATGTGATTACTTCACATTGCATGCCTGTATCAAAGCATCTCATGTACCCTATAAATATATACACCCACTATGTATCTACAAAAAAATTTTTAATTAAAAATTAAAAAAATAAAATGTACAAAATACCCCAGAAATTTCCAAAGTGGATATACAAACAATGTATGGCTTCTCCAAATGTTCCATAGTCTCCCAATGCCGTGAGCTAAATGAAAATTAAAACCACAAGTTGTTACTATAATAGGAAATCATATTACATTATAGTAGTATATATCCAGAATAAGATTAATAATGGATGAAATTTAAAATGCATTAATTATAGCATTTTTTAAATCTGGAATTTTCTTCTTTTAAAAATAGATCTGTCTTTGCAGAAAGCCTTCATCTTGTTTGCTTTTTTATTTAAATTTTTTATTTCAATAGATTCTTGGGGAACAGGTGATATTTGGTTATATGAATAAGTTCTTTAGTGCTGATTTCTGAGATTTTGGTGCACCCATCAACCTAGCAGTGTATACTGTGCACAATGTGTAGTCTTTTATCCCTCACCCTGCTCCTACCCTTGGCACAGAGTCTCCAAAGTCCATTATATCATTCTCATGCCTTTGCATCCTCATAGCCTAGCTCCCACTTATAATTATAAATGAGAACCATATGATGTTTGGTTTTCCATCCCTGAGTTACTTTACTTAAAATAATGCTCTCCAGTTCCACCCAGGTTGCTGTGAATGCCATAATTTTGTTCCTTTTTATGGCTGAGTAGTAGTTATCCACTCATTGATCAGTGGGCATTTTGGCTGGTTCCATATTTTTGCAGCTGTGAATTGTGCTGCTATAAACACTCATGTGCAAGTATCTTTTTTGTATAATGACTTCTTTTCCTCTGGGTAGATACCCAAAAGTGAGATTGTTGAATCAAATAGTGGATTGACTTTCATTTATTTAAGAAATCTCTACACTGCTTTCCATAGTAATTGTACTAGTTTACATTCTCACCAGCAGTGTAAAAGTGTTCCCTTTTCATCATATCCACACCAACATCTATTTTTTTTTTTATTATTATCATTCTTACAGGAGTAACGTGGTATCACATTGTGGTTTTGATTTGCATTTCCCTGATAATTAGGGATGTTGAGCTTTTAAAAATATGTTTGTTGGCCATTTGTATGTCTTCTTTTGAGAATTGTCTATTCATGTCCTTAGCCCACTTCTTGATGGGATTGTTTGTTTTTTTCTTGCTGATTTGTTTGAGTTTCTTATAGATTCTGGATAATAGTCCTTTGTCAGATGCATATTTTGCGAAGTTTTTTCTCCCACTCTGTGGATTGTCAGTTTACTCTGTAATTATTTCTTTTGCTGTGCAGAAGCTTTTTAGTTTAATTAGGTCCCATCTATACATTTTGGTTTTTGTTGTATTTGCTTTTGGGTTCTTGTTCATGAAGTCTTTGCCTAAGCCAATGTCTGGAAGAATTTTTCCGATGTTATCTTCTATGATTTTTAAGGTTTCGGGTCTTAAATCTAAGTCTTTGATCCATTTTGAGTTGATTTATGTATAAGGTGAGAGATGAGGATCTAGTTTCATTCTTGTACATGTGGCTTGCCAATTATCCCAGCACCATTTGTTGAACAGGGTGTCCTTTTCCCACTTTACATTTTTGTTTGCTTTGTCAAAGATCATTTGGCTGTAATTATTTGGCTTTATTTCTGGGTTCCCTATTCTGTTTCATTGGTCTATGTGCCTTTTTTTTTTTTTTTTTTTTTTTTTTTTTTGAGACAGCATCTTGCACTGTTGCCCGGGTTGGAGTACAGTGGCGCGATCTTGGCTCACTGCAACCTCCGCCTCCCAGGTTCAAGAGATTCTCCTGCCTCAGCCTCCCGAGTAGCTGGGATTACAGGTGCCCACCACAATGCCTGGTATGTGCCTATTTTTATACCAGTACCATGCTGTTTTGTCGACTGTACCCTTATAATATAGTTTGAAGTTGGGTAATGTGATTTCTTTTTGCTCAGTCTTGCTTTGACTGTGTGGGCTTTTTTTGTTGTTCCATATGAATTTTATGATTGTTTTTGCTAGTTATGTGAAGAATGGTAGTGGCATTTTGATGGAAATTGTATTGAATGTGTAGATTGCTTTTGGCAATATGGTCATTTTCACAATATTTACTCTACCAATCCATGAGCATGGGATGCGTTTCCATTTTCTGGTGTCATTGCATTTGTTCATTTTTATACTGCTATAAAGAACTGCCTGAGACTGGGTAATTTATAAAGAAAAGAGGTTGTTTAATTGACTCACAGTTCTACATGGCTGCAGAGGCCTCAGAAAATTTATAGTCATGATGGAAGGCAAAGAGGAAGCAAGGTGACAGGAAGGAGCAGTGCAAGCAAGGGAAATGGCAGACACTTATAAAACCATCAGATCTCATGGGACTCACTCATTATCACAAGAACAGCATGGGGGAAACCACCACCATGATTCAATTACCTCCACCTGGTCCTACCCTTGACACATGGAGATTATGGGGATTACAATTCAAGGTGAGATTTGAGTAGGGACACAGAGCCAAACAATTAGTTGTCTATGATTTCTTTCAGCAGTTTTTTTTTTTTTTTAATAGTAGTTTTCCTTGAAGAGGTCTTTCATCTCCTTTGTTAGGTATATCCCTAAGTTCTTTTTTTTTTTTTTTTTTTTTTGCAGCTATTGTAAAAGGAGTTCTTGACTTGAATCTCAGCTTGGTTGCTGTTAGTGTATAGCAGTGCTACTGATTTGTATACATTGATTTTTGTATCCTGAAAGATTACTGAATTCATTTACGAGTTCTAGGAGCATTTTGGTATGAGTCTTTAGGGTTTTCTAGGTATACAATCTTATCATCAGTGAACAGTGACAGTTTGACTTCCTCTTTACTGATTTGGATGCCCTTTATGTCTTTCTCTTATTTGATTGCTCTGGTTAGGTCTTCCAGTACTATGTTGGATAGAAGTGGTGAAAGTGGACATACCTGTCTTGTTCCAGTTCTCAGAGGGAATGCTTTCAACTTTTCCTTGTTCAGTGAAATGTTGGCTGTGGGTTTGTCATAGATGGCTTTTATTACCTTAAGGTGTGTCCCTTCTGTGCCAATTTTGCTGAGGGTTTTAATCATAAAGAAGTGCTGGATTTTGTGAAATGCTTTTTCTGTGTCTATTGAGATGATCGTGTGATTTTTTGGTTTAATTCTGTTTATGTGGTATATCACATTTATTGACTTGCATATTTTAAACCATCCCTGCATCCCTGGTATGAAACCCACTTGATCATGGTGGATTATCTTTTCGATATGCTGTTGGATTTGATTAGCTAGTATTTTGTTGAGGATTTTTGCATCTATATTTATCAGGGATATTAGTCTATAGTTTTCTTTTTTTGTTATGTCTTTTCCTGGTTTTGGTATTACGGTGACATTGGCTTCATAGAATGATTTAGGGAGAATTCCCTCTTTCTCTATCTTTTGGAATAGTGTCGATAGGATTGGTACCAATTCTTTAAAGGTCTGATAGAATTCAGCTGTGAATCTGACTGGTTCTGGACTTTTTGTTGGCAATTTTTTTAATCACCATTGTTATTTGTCTGTTCCTTCCCAGTTTAATATAGGAGTGTTGTATATTACCAGGAATTTATCCATCTCCTCTAGGTTTTCTAGTTTGTGTGCATAAAGGTGTTCATAGTAGCCTTCAATGATCTTTTGTATTCTGTGATATCAGTTACAATATCTCCCATTTTGTTTCTAATCGAGCTTATTTGGGTCTTCTTCTCCTTTTTATGGTTAATCTTGCTGGTGGTCTATCAATTTTAAGTTTTCAAAGAATCAGCTTTTTGTCTCATTTATCTTTTGTATTTTTGTTTGTTTCAATTTCATTTAGTCCTGCTCTGATTGTTGTTAATTTGCTTCTGCTGGATCTGGGTTTAGTTTGTTTTCGTTTCTCTAGTCCCTTGAAGTGTGAGCTTAGATTGTCTATTTGTGCTCTTTTAGACTTTTCAGTGTAGGCCTTCAATGCTGTGAATTCTCATATTAGCAGTGCTTTTGTTGTATCCCAGAGGTTTTGATAGGTTGTGTCACTATTATTCAATTCAAAGAATTTTTTAATTTCTATCTTGATTTCATTGTTTACCCAATGGTCATTCAGAAACAGGTTATTTAATTTCCATGTATTTGCATGGTTTTAAGACTTCCTCTTCAATTTGACTTTCAATTTTATTCCAGTGTGGTCTGAGAGAGTGCTTGATATAATGTTTACTTTTTTAAATTTATTAAAACTTGTTTTGTGGCCTATCATATGTTCTATCTTGGAGAATGTTCCATGTGTTGATGAATAGAATGTATATTCTACAGTTGTTAGGTAGAATGTTCTGTTAATATCTGTTAAGTCCATTTGCTCTAGGGTATAGTTTAAGTCCATTGTTTCTTTGTTGAGAGAGTAATGAAATCCCCCACTATTGTTGTGTTGCTGTCTATCTCCTTTCTTAGGTCTAGTAGTTATTCTCCTATAAATTTTGGAGCTCCAGCATTAAGGGCATATATATTTAGGATTGTCATATTTTGCTGTTGGACTAATCCTTTTTTCTTTGTCTCTGCCTCATTGGGTTAATTCAAAAGCCTTGTCTTCAAGCTCTAAAGTTCTATCTTCTATTTGTTCAGTTCTATTGCTGAGACTTTCCAGTGTATTTTGCATTTCTTTAAGTGTGTCCTTTATTTCCAGGAGTTGTGATTGTGTTTTATTTATGCTATCTATTTCTCTGGATAATTTTCTGTCCATATTCTGTATCTTTTTAAAAATTTATTTAAGTTTGTATTCACCTTTCTCTGGTGCCTCCGTAAGCAGCTTAATAATCAACCTTCTAAATTCTCTTTTTTTTTTGGCAATTCAGAGATTTATTCTCATTTTGCCTCCATTGCTGGTGAGACAGTGTGATCTTTTGGGGGTGTTTCATACCCTTGTTTTGTCATATTACCAGGATTGTTTTCCTGAGTCTTTCTTACTTGGATACACTATGTCAGAGAGCAGATCCAGGGCTCAAGGGCTTTGTTCAGATTCCTTTTTCCCATGGGGTGCTCCCTTAATGTGGTGCTCTCTTCCTTTCCCTAGTGATGGGGCTTCCTGAGAGTCTAACTTCAGTGATTGTTATTTGTCTTCTGGGTCTAGCCACCCAGTGGGGCTCCCAGGCTCCAGGCTGGTACTGGGAAGTGTCTGCAGAGTCCTGTGATGTGATCCATCTTCAGGTCTCTCAGCTATGGACACCAGCACCTGCTCTGGTGGAGGTAGCAGGAGAGTGAACTGGACTCCGTGAAGGTCCTTGGTGGTAGTTTTGTTTACTGTGCTGGTTTTGTGTTGGTTTGCCTCCAGCCAGGAGGTGGCACTTTCAATAGAGCATCAGCTGCAGTAGTATAGGGAAGATGCAAGTTTGCCCTAGGGTTGCCTGGATAAGTATTTGGGTTTCTCAGGTAGTAGGTGGGACCACAGACCTCCCAAGAAATTATTTCCCTTGTCTTCAGCTACAAGGGTGGGTGGAGAAAGACCATCAGGTTGCAGCAGGGTTAGGTGTGTCTGAGCTCAGACTCTCCTTGAGCGGGGCTTGCTGTAGCTGCTATGGGGGAAGCGGGTGTGGTTCTTAGGCCAATGGAGTTACATCCCCAGGGAGATTATGGCTGCCTCTGCTGCATTGTAGCAGTCACCAGGGAAATGGGGGAAAGCCAGAAGCGACAGGCCTCATCCAGCTCCCACGTAGCCCAAAAGGCCAGTCTCACTCCCACTGTCCCCCCTCAATAGCATTGAGTTCATTTCCAGGCAACTGGTGAGCAGGGCTGAGAACTTGCCCCAGGTTACAAGCCTCCTGACTGAGAAAGTAAGCAGGGCTTTCAGATTTCACACCTCCCACCTGCAGCAGTTTCTGTGCTTGTATCTGCACTCCCCATTCACCCCTCCCCCCACCCCGGATGCTGTCCAGGACACCATGCATTTGGTCAAAATTGTTACAAAGTTTATGTGAAAGTTTCCTTCTCCCTGTGGTTTTTCCACAGTTCCACTGGCAGCCCTCCCCAAGGACCCCTGAAAGTCAGGAATTGTTTCCCTGGGGACCAATAGTGTCTACAGAGCTCTTCCTGCTGCTTCTTGTACCCCTACATTTCGCTCAGCTCTCTAAATTCATCTCAACTCCAGGTAAGGTCAAATCCTTCTCCCATGATCTGGACCTTCAGGTTCCCCAGTGAGAATGTGTGTTTGGGGTAGACATTCCCCCTCTCACACTTTGAGTACTCACAGTTTTTGGCTGTCTCAAGGAGCCTGCAACAGCAAGCCACTTCCTTCAAAGGATCTGTGGATTCTCTCAGCTTTCCTGGTATGTTTCTGTGGTAGTTCTGGGAAAAAAATTTCATAATTTGAGTCTCCACATGCTGCTCTGCCTGTCCAAGTAGGAGCTGCAAGTTAATCTTGCCGCCTCTTCACCATTTTTCTCTCTCTTTTTATCTCTTTATTGAACATAATAGTCAGTTATTTTAAAATACAGTCAATATAATTTTAATGCCTGGATCAGCTATGTGACTGTTTCTGTTGTCTGCTTTTCCGCTTGTTTCTATCTCTTGGTATGCCTTGTGAATTTTTAATGAATTTTATGCCTTGTGAGATTTTTTTTTTAAAGAAAAGTTAAAATTCTTGGGAAATGTGGCTTTCCTCCAGGAGAAGATTCTTTTTAGCTTCACCCAGGATGTCAGAATAAATCAACTTTATCCAGGCTTACCCTAAGTTGATTTGGGATCATATTTCATTCTGGGAGAGGTGGTTGTCTTATCTAATGTGCAGACACCAACCCAGAAAATCAAAAAAAAAATTAAGAAACAAGGTAATGTGTTCCAAATAAAAGAACAAAGTAAATCTCTAGAAACCAACTGTAGTGAAAAGGAGAATGTGATTTACTTAACAGGGAATTCAAAAATCAGTCATATAGATGGCCACTGAGGTATAAAGAGCAATGCTTAAAAAACAGAATTTCAACAAAAAGAAAATATTTAAAAGTACTAAATAGAAATCATAAAGCTGAAAAATATAATAGCTGAACTCAAAAATTCCACAGAGGGATTCTAAATCAAACTAAATCAAGCAGAATAAAATACAGGAAAACTTGAAGACAGATCAATGGAAATAATTCAATCTGAAGAGTAAAAAGAAAAATATATAAAAGAGTGAAGATAGCTTGAGGGACTTGTGGGACACCATCAAGCTAAATAATGCATATATTTTTGGACTACTAAAAAGACAGAGAGAAAGGAACAGAAAATACATTCAAAGACATAATGGCAAAAAACTGTCCATGTCTGGGGAAGGAAATAGAAATTCAGATCCAGGAAGCTCAATGGACACCTAATAGGATAAATCCAAAGAGACCCACAGCATATTACAATTAACTTTTAAAGGATTGATCTATTTATAGCTCAGATGTCTCAATGGAAGGCTGGACTGTTTACTAGGGTCTTCTAATTTGGGTAGGCTTTTAGTTCCAATTTTTATCTCTCATCACAGTTGGACTACTGATAAGTATACTTAGATCTTTAGGCACTTAGCAACTGTTATCTGCTCAGTTCCCCAGATGTTCAGTCTGTTTCACTTATGAATGACAGATTCTTTAAGGGAACAGCATCTCACACTGTCAGGTTTACTTCTCTGAGTTTCTCTGCTCTTCAAAATTGTGACCCCCCTCCCAACCTTGAGCTGCCTTGCTAGCCCTGAATGACAAAATTTTTCTCCCTAAGCCCATGAGACTGCTGAAGGCTATGTTCAGCTTCTATACTTCTCAGTAGACTCTTTCTGCTCGATTTATTAGTTGTCAGCAATGCTGTTTATGAATCAGCACATAGATTGAAGCAACAAAATAACCCAGCATAGAATGTCATGTTCACTTCAGTGAATTCCTCTTCTCACTAAGATGTTGGCCCATCAAGGGCTGGCTGTTTTGATGGCTTAACAATATTTCCAACAGATGGTTATTGTGTTTTCTCCAGTTTTTCTCAGTTGTTTTTATTATGAAGATTGATGTGCTACATAGAAAAAACAATTGTATGTGTTTAATCTAGTTTTAGTTGTGTATCTGTGGTTTCCATTTAACACATCCTGACTAATATGTAAAACTCAACTTCTATGTTGATAAAATTATCTAACAGAATGCAGGGCGAAGAAATAACAAGTAGACAATTTTAAGTTTTTCTATCCTCATATTGCTCAATTTTGTTGATTCTCATCCATAGATTCTTGATGTTATTACATAGCTATTCAGTGGTTTGCAGTGTTTTACTTTCCTTTACATTCCCAATTGCTAGACATTCTATGAGACTCTGCCAGATGGTCTCTTAATATTTTCTGAAAAGTATTCGCTCTCTACCATGTCCACATCACTATGCCCATGGTATTCTACATTGATTTGTAACCTGTGTAGTCTGTGCCTTAATATTCTAGCATGAGTCTCAGGTTCTTGCAGAAACAGGCAGGGCCTTTCAAATCTTGCTCAGTTAAAAAAATTCATTCTTATGTGGCTCCACTTTGAAAACGTTAAAAGAATCTAAATAATTATAAAACATTCCATTGAGCTGCCCAAGCAGCTCAGAACTTGCTCCTTGTTAATGGTATATTGTTCCATATTGGATAATGCCATCGTCTTTCTGCATTGGCTTAAATTATTTCTTGAAATAGACTATTATAAAGAGAAATGTAATTTATAATTCATGTGGAGTGCATTTCTTCATTCACTGAACACATATTTATTAACTCTTAGCCTTATTCTAAGCACTGATGATAGAACAGTGAGAAAGATAGACAAGTTCCTTCACTCCAGAAGCTTACAGTTCTATTGGCAGACAACAAACCAAAAAAAAAAAAAAAAAAGAAAAGAAAAAAGTAATCAGAAACGTTTGAGCCATTATCTCAACAATAAAAGCTATGAAGAAAGTAAAGTAAAATAGTATAATATAAAAGAAGCATTGAGAAAATATAAGATACGGTGGGAAAGAAAGAATGTCTTGAGAGGTGACATTTGATCAGCGACCTAAATGGTGAGGTGTCACCTTTGCAAAGATCTGATGAAAAGGTGGCCCAAGTTGAGGCAAAAGCAAATGCAAATATCCTTGTGCTAACAATATCCTTGTGCTTGCAATGATTCCTTCATCTTGAGACCTAAGCCTGTGAAGTATCCTACCATGTTGAACATTGCTAACTTGTGTAACCAGCAGGCCAATGAAGAAATGATGATGTGTAATTTATGAAGCTATGTCATAAAAGATATCGAGGCATCTATCTTACTCTCCTTGACCATCATTGTTGATGAAGACACTTTCCGTATTGCTAGAAACTCAAGAAATCCTGTGGAAATCCCATGGGTAGGGCCATATGGTGAGGAATTAAAACCTCCTGAAAAGAGTCAAGAAGAAACAGATTCCTCCTGCCCAATCATCATGTGAATCAACCATCTTGGAAATGAACCCTCTAGCACCAGATGACTGTAGCCCACACTAACACCTTGACAGCAACTATGAGACAGACATCAAGCCAGACCTAACCAGCTAAGTCACTTCTAAATTCATGATGACAGAAAATCAGAAATAGTGTTTATTATTTTTAAACCCATAAGTTTGTGATAATTTGTTAAGCAACAATAGCTACCTAATGCTGTAACAAATACCTAAATATGTGGAAGTGGCTCTGAATCCAGGCAGTGGGAAGAATGTGGAAGAACTTTGAAGGGAGGAGAGTGAAAACCTAACGGTCCTTGAGCAGACTGTAGGGGGGGAAGCCTGAGGGCTTTTGAGGAGGCTGATTATGAGGCATTAAAGGAGAATGAGGGTAAAGGAATTCTTGTTATGAATTGGTAGAAAGTTTACCAACACTATTACCTGCAGTCATGTGGAAAAGAGAAATGTGATTAATGAATTGAAAATGATCTGCTATGGAGTTTTCCCAAACTTCTTCCTGATTACAGCAAAATGAAAGAGGTAAGAGATAACCTAAAAAAATTGTTAAACAAAAAACAGACAAGACTTGGTGGTCCTGAAAATTTTTCCAGATGGCAAAAATACTAAAATTAAGAAATGATTTCCATGCAAAGATGAAACCCAATGGCCTGCCAGGCAAACGTGATCTAAGGATAAAGCCAAGGGGGCAGCAGTAAAAATCATTATTAACACCTTTGGAAGAGTTAAGGTGGCACCTCAGAGAACCTTCAATCAAACAGTAAGACTTGTAAGAAGTTTGAAAGTGTTGCCCCTCCACAGTCTCAAGAAAAGGCTGAGATAGTAAATAGGTTTGTGGGTGTGGCTTTTATAAAAAGATTAAATTCCAAATGATTCATAATGGGCCCACAGAGTTTTGTTTTTTAATTATTAGATTGGCAGAAACACTGCCAGCTTGGACTGGAAGGAATAGAGATAAGATAAAATTTTTTAAAATGCATCTAGACTCAAGATTCTGTTGACTAGAAGGCTGAGAAAGCACTGCAGCTGTAAATATAGACTATTTTTCATGGAAGAAGAAGGATAATTGAGGGGATGGAACCAAGAGCCCAGAGAGCAGAGCGAAGGGCCATACAGTTATTCCCAGACAGGAATACAACTGAGTCCTAATGAAGGAACTTCCAACATTGGTTTGTTGGGATTTCAGTGACACCCGTGTGCCTCTCATTTTTCCCCTTTTTGAATGAAAGTATATTTAATCGTTATCCTAGGACTATCCCATGATCATTATCTGCTGGGTGTACAGGGAGACAGATAACTTATTTCTATAGTTCATAGATCTTATGATCAAAAGAAACCATACTAGAGGGAGCTGTATTCAAGGAATTATATCTGAGAAGTATCGTTAGTTATGAGGTCTTTATTTAGATGACAGATTCTGGAATTTGAGCTGGTGGTATAATAAAATGGGGCTTTCAGGGGGGTCTTGACCATGGGTTCAGTGGATACTGGATGTAGGAAATATGTGAGTCATTGTGAGACAGAGGGCACACTGTGCAACGCAGCCTCCAAGATGACCCCTAATTTATCCAAAAAGGGTAGTACCTTCCCACATTGAGTAAAACTGATTTTGTAGTTGATATGATTTGGATCTGTGTCCCCACCCAAACTTCATGTCAAATTGTCATCCCCTGTGTTGGAGGTGGGGTCTGGAGGGAAGTGATTGAATCATAGGGGAGATTTCTCATAAATGGTTTAGCACCATCCTCTTGGTGCTGTTCTCATGATAGAGTTCTTATGAGATCTGGTTGTTTAAAAGTGTGTAGCACCCACCCGCTACTCTCTCTTGCTCATGCTCCCACCATGTGAGATGCCTCATTCCCCAATCGCCTTCCGCCATGACCGGAAGTTTCCTGGGGCCTCCTCAAAAGCAGAAACCTCTATGCTTCATTTACAGCCTGCAGAAGCATAAGCCAATTAAATCTCTTTTCTTTATTAATTACCCTATCTCAGATACTTCTTTATAGCAGTGCAAGAACAGACTAATACAGTAGTCAATAGGATATTGTGGAGATGATACTGCATGAGTACGGAGGCTAGATTATAAAAGCCACTGTAGTTTTTGTCTTGTTCTCTTGGATCACCTGCCCCTGAAGAAGCCAGCTGCCATGACATGAAACTACTCAAGAGGCCTTAGAAGCCTTATGAGGAAGGCAGTGTGGCAAGGAACATAAGCCTTCTATCAACAATCAGGGAGGAACTGAAAGGCCTGCTATCAATAGCTATAGGAGTGAACAGTCTTGGAAGTGGATCTTACAGGTTCAAAAGGCCACTGGAATCTCAGTGAGCATCTTAATTGCAACACCATGAGAGATTCCAAGCCAGAGCCACCCTAACAATCACCCGCAAATTTCTGATCAACAGAGACTGTGAGATAATAAATACTTTTGTGAAGCCACTATGTTTTAGGGAAGAAGTGGAAATATCAGATGGACACAGGATATTTCTGTTAGCCCTAGCTTTTGAAGTTGCTGTTAAATGGAGATGGGAGGGTGGTTTAATGGGTTGCAACAGGCTCTTTTTACCTTTAAAATTAATAGCACAACTCATTTTCTGCCTAAAAAATTATATGGCAAATATTTTAAGTGCTTGTAAAAATTAAAGTAGATGCTAATTAATTAATTTTGTTTCAAATTGCTAAAAAATTTGCAGCACCTCTTGAAATCATTCACACGGTAAGGAATTACCAAATTTTAGTGAGTAATGCTAATTCTTTGACCTTGCCTAAGGTCTCTAAGAAAACAAGGAGAGAACATACATGATAATGTGTAAAAATAAATCCTTCAGCTAGAAAATGCCAGCAACGTTCTGATGAGAGAAACATAATAAGAATGATTTTCTGATGTGAATCTCTCTGTTTAGAAATTAGTTGTCAAAGCTCCTCCTTTGCATGCACATGTCCATTTTTATATATTTATTTATTATGTGGATAGATTCTTTGTATGCATAATGGGTGCTTGCATTTTTACTACTGACCCAAAAGGCTCATTACTTTCCTGTCTACCCCTTATAAAATGTTTATGTTGTATTTTATGTAATCTTTAGTACATCATTTTCATTTAGGAGCCCCCTCCTCCACTTTTTTTTTAAGAAAAAGACATTTAGTTTGGGTGATTTCGATTGTATTTCTCAGATTCAGTAGAAGTATTTATTCCAATATTATTCCAAGAATAATATTTCACCAAAGTTAAATATCAAATTAACTAGGGGTTACTGACAAATATCTGAAATATTAGATATTATGTTTTTTTCTAGGGATTTAAGATCAAGCATTCTTCCTTCTTAACAATTCAGTTGTTGAAGGTAATATCCATAACTCTGCCATGTGGTTACACTTGGAGTTACTCATTCTCTGAGTTGAAGCATTATATATTAAGTAATATTGACATTAAGGAACCATAGAGACAACAAAGCTGTGTGCCCAGTCAAAAGGCAATTGCCTGGTGGCAACAGTTTTCTCCCAAGGCCATTCTTTATCTATTTCTTAAGGTAGGATGTGTTAGGCTATTCTCATGCTGCTATAAAGTGTGCCCGAGACTGGGTAACTTTTAAAGGAAAAAGGTTAAATTGACTCACAGTTCCACATGGCTGGGGAGGCCTCAGGAAACATCATAGCAGGAGGAGAAGGAGAAGGAAACACATCCTTCTTCACGTGGCAGCAGGAGAGAGAAGTGCCAAGCAAAGTAAGAAAAGCCCCTTATAAAACCATCTGATCTCATGAGAACTCACTATCATGAGAACAGCATGAAGATAACTGACCCCATGATTCAATTACCTCACTATCATGAGAACAGCATGAGCATAACCACCCCCATGATTCAATTACCTCCCACTGAGTCCCTCCTACAGCACGTGGAGAACTACAATTCAATATGAGATTTGGGTGGGGACACAGTCAAACCATATCACAGGGTATGAAGGAAAAACTCTTGGAAATCTGGAAGCAAGATGTAATTTGTAGTTTAAACCACAGCCTCTTCTATTTTGATTTCCAAAAGAAATCTGTTTCATGTAGAGTTTTTCCCCTAAAGCAATGTTAGCTTTATTGATTATTTGATTCCTTCCTTCTCTACATTTTATTCCCTACTCATTGTTGTTTACTTCTTTATGTTGTCTTTAACTCACAAAGTATATCTATCTCTTCATAAACTTAATGAGCATCTCCATACCCTTTCCTAATCAAATTTTATTCTTATCTATCTATCCTTCCTAACTTTCACACCCACAATCCCTTTATGTATGTACACATCATTATCTGTGTATATGTAGAAAGCTATATGGATGTAAGAATTTTTATATGCTGGTGACTCTGAACAATTGGACTCTTCATGCTTTCTTCTATTTCCATACCTAATCATTACCTTCTTCATATTATATCGTAATCTCCCCTAAATGAGCCCACACATGCAATTTTAATACGTGTGCTTCTGATTAACAGATTTTAAGGATGAGAACCCTACAAATTAGCAACTTGGAGCTTCCAGCCCTAGAGATTTCTATTACCACTGGGGAATAACAGAAGTTACTAAAGATGGGTGTGAGAAGCAGGCTTTCTAGCAGCTCTCAGAGGCAATTGCTGACGTACACAATTGTGCTGGGGTCTGGAATATGTTCTCTGTGGATAACAGCTATTAGTTGAGGGCCTGCTTTCTTTTACTTTCTTTCTTTTCTTTTTGCTAAATGCAGATGCAGAATATATTATATACTTGTATATATGCACATATATATTATGTAAATATGAGAATTTAAAGAAAAATAGTGAACCAATTAGCAATCTAATCACAATCCAGTTTAAAAAATAAAATACAGTCTGTTCTTTAAAAACCTCCTTTATGCCCTATCTCAAGACACCCTGCCTTTTCCTCAAGGGTAACCAATAGCATTAATTTTGTATTTATAATCTCCTTACTTTTTGTAGAGCTTTATTACCTATAAATTGGCAAATGTTCCAAAGGGAAAAGCAGTGCAAAATGTCATGTTCACCTTAATGGGTTTTCCTTCTCCAGAGTCCCTTTACCCTGCCAGTCCTTGCTGCCTGGCTCCACAGTGTCTTAGAACAAAAGGTATTTTTTTAATCTAACTCTTCCAGTTATTCTTGATAGAACAGTTGGCTCAATATAAGCTAGTCATCAATTCTAGAGGCAGAATTACTTTCAATATTTAACTATTAATATGAAAAGTACGGTATGATATGAAGAAACCTAAGGGCAGGCTGGAAGCCTTCTTACAGATGTTTATTAGAGGCTCACCAGGGAGGAAGGGCATTTTAAGCAGAAGGAATTGGGCAAAGCCTTGGAGGCATAGACTGGCATGATATCACTGGGAAACTGCAAAGAGTTCTTTCTGCATCCCTCTTTTGTTAGAACTTTGAGGCTTGCCGATTCCAATTCATCATGAAAATTAGAGTAATATCCCTGTCTTTCCAAGCTGAAGAATCAAAATCTACTTTAAAGAAGGCCAAGAACGATGGCATGTCAATATGAGTGTCACCTACAGGTTCTCTTTTAAAAACAACCCTCTTTTGCTCAAGTAGACTTTCAGTGTCGCATGCTCCTCAAATAATTGACATACGTCCTTCACTCAGCATGTTAACCTCTCACATATGGAAGATTGGCTGTGCCAGCCACGTGCCTGACCTCATGTGTCCCAGATCTCAGCAGTTTATTGAGCATCCAGTTTGTGCCCATCATTCCTATCTCAGAGAACTCACCATGGGCTTAGCCAAGATGTAAATACATAAAAAGTCAATTAACTTTAACAATGACTCATCCACACCTACTATGTCTGGAAAGACACTAATTTCTGCAATACAAAGATGAATAGGATGTGTATATATCCCAGGAACTATATACAAGGGTTCTCCAGATATAATAATGGAAACACTAGACACAGTAAAATTATCAGTCAGTGAGAAAAGAATCTAAGCTATGATATAAACATTTAGTAGAATATGCTATAAATGAGTGAGTAAAGATTAATTCACTCTGTTTGAATATATCAACATGGGTACATCACAAAGATGTAATGTTGACTGAAAAAAAACTACATTGCTACCTTTTATATAAACATAGACCATACACATGGACAAATATTTGTAATATTAATAATAATAATGATAGCTAACATTCACGCAGAGCTTAATACGAACTTTTAGAAACATGAATAAATTTTATCCTCACAATAACCAGATGGACTAGACTCTATTATTTCCATTTTTCACATGAAGGAACTGAGAAGTTAAGGAATGGAATTTGCTCAAAGTCACATGATTAAAAAGTGGCAGCACTGGCCCCAGCATCTACGATCTTCAATGCCATGCTATACTGCCTCATGAAAGCCTGAGACTTTTGACGGGCAGGATATTCACCAACTTCATAATGATAGTTAGTTACCTCAAGGAGGAGGAAGAAAAATGGTATAAATGCCATCTCACACCAGTTAGAATGGCAGTCATTAAAAAGTCAGGAAACAACAGGTGCTGGAGAGGATGTGGAGAAATAGGAACACTTTTACACTGCTGGTGGGACTGTAAACTAGTTCAACCATTGTGGAAGTCAGTGTGGCGATTCCTCAGGGATCTAGAACTAGAAATACCATTTGACCCAGCCATCCCATTACTGGGTATATACCCAAAGGACTATAAATCATGCTGCTATAAAGACACATGCACACATATGTCTATTGCGGCACTATTCACAATAGCAAAGACTTGGAACCAACCCAAATGTCCAACAACGATAGACTGGATTAAGAAAATGTGGCACATATACACCATGGAATACTATGCAGCCATAAAAAATGATGAGTTCATATCCTTGTAGGGACATGGATGAAACTGGAAATCATCGTTCTCAGCAAACTATCACAAGGACAAAAAACCAAACACTGCATGTTCTCACTCATAGGTGGGAAATGAACAATGAGAACACATGGACACAGGAAGGGGAACATCACACTCTGGGGACTGTTGTGGGGTGGGGGGAGGGATAGCATTAGGAGATATACCTAATGCTAAATGATGAGTTAATGGGTGCAGTACACCAACATGGCACATGTATTCATATGTAACAAACCTGCACGTTGTGCACATGTACCCTAAAACTTAAAGTATAATAATAATAAAATAAAATAAAAAAATTATGTTTTTAAAAAAAAAAAAGAAAGAAAATACTGTGGGACAAAGAACTCCTATTAGTCCTGGAATCCAGAATCTACATTAGCCTCTTATTTTCCTGTGATTATAGGATATTTGTGGGTATCGTTAGAGAGGCCAAGCAGATGTCTGCCAACGGTAGAGACCTGAAATGGACAGGATTGAGTGGTCAATGCCTGAGAGTTCGGAACAGAAGAGGAGGGCCCTCTGGAAATGAGCTCTAAGAACAGTGTTTGTGAGGAAGTGGTGATAAGTTCCATTAGTGACAGGGTCTCACGTGGAAGCAACTTCTCCAGCAGGTCTTCTGTCTTGTGTTGTCACTAGAGAAGAAGTCCAATTGAGTGAATAGAATCTTTTATCTAATGTGCACAAAAATCAGTTCATTTGAGGGCAATATTGTGTATATTGTCAAAATGTTTTTCTTATTCACATAGGGTATATTGAGAATACCCATCACCTGTTCTCTGTGTCAAGAAGAAGAGAATTTAGCCACATGAACTATATATGCAGTCCATAAATTAAAAGCACTTGACATTTTCTATAGCACATCTCAATATGAATCATCCACTGTCCAGTAAATGGGTTATGCTGAACACTTACATTCATTAGCTAAACTGTCATAAAGACAGAGTGTTGGAATTGCTACTTCTAGTCCTAAATTCTGAGTGTTGGACACTTGGGAAACAGGCAGACTTTGCTCACATAGCCCATAACAGATCTCTTCATGGGAGCTGCCATCAGCATTCTTTCTTCTCTCTTTCGGTGCTTCTCAGTGAGTGCTGTGGAGCTAGAGAAAGCTGTCAGATCCCCTGCAAGATTAAACGAACAGCTCAACAGAACAGAAAGGCAAAAGAAAATCTGCTCTTGCAGAGGGACACATACTTCGGCTTGTAGCTGTCAGGAAAAGAGGAAGCTCCAATGCCATAAGTAAAAATGGGTTCCTTCTTCAGCCATTTAATGATAAGATTTTCTTAGAAAAGTACAATTTTCTCAAGTCACTCAAGCCACTTTCTGTTCATTCCCCTGGGTGTGGTGTCTATTTGATCTTAAATTTCTCCAAGATCCATAGCCTGAAACCCTTCATCTCTCACCTGTTTTGCCATATCTCTTTCATGATTTTCTTCACTGGCTCTGTCATAAATCCTGTGAAGTCATGCACTACATCTGGATACAGTTTTCTCCAGCAGGAATTTATTGTTTCAGGCTTGATGGCTTTCACGGCTTTTTCTATAACAAGGATGGCATCTTCAGTGGTGTAACCCTTCCAGACTTTCATGATTTTTTTTCTATCAGGGTTCTTTTCCATAGCATTGACAATACTTTCCATAGGTACCCTGTGTAACGAGCCTTAAAAATCCGTGGCCCCTGATCTAGGGGCTAAATTTGAGATATTGTCTTTGGGGGTAAATAGAGCACTTCAACACCTTTAGTCTTGAACTCATGGTGTTCTGGATGGCCAGGGCCATCGTTCAATATCAGAAGAACTTTAAAAGACAGACCCTTTCTGGCAAGGTGCTTCCTGACATTAGGGACAAAGCATCAACACAACCCATCCAGAAAAGGTATTCTCATTGTTCAGACTTCTTGTTGTACAATCAAAGACTGGCATCTGATGTTCATCTTTCCCTTCAAAACTCAGGAGTTAGCAGCTTTGTAAATAGGGCAGTTCTGATAATAAAGCCAACCGTATTTACACCGAAGAGTATAGTTAGCCTATCCCTTCCTGCTTAAATCTTGATGCTTGATTTTTTTTCTTAAAAATAAATGTATTTTGTGGCACTTTCTTTCCAAAATAGAACACTCCTGTCTGTGTTAAAAACCTGTTCGGGCAGATATCCTTTCTTCTTAATGATTTTCCTAGTGGTGTCTAAAAATTTGTCTGCAGCCTCTTGGTTGGCAGAAGCTTCTTTTCTTGTTATCTTAACATTACTTAAGACAAACCTCTTTCTAAAATTATCAAACCATCCTTTGCTGGCATTAAATTCTCTAGCTTTAGATTCTTCTCCTTCCTTTTGCTTTAAGTTGTCATATAATGACTTTGCTTTTTTCACATAATATTGGAGTCTATATATATGCCTTTCTTATAGCATTCCTGTACCCACATAAAAGCTGCATTGTCATTATGAGATAAAATGATATTTCACAAAAGGTGCAAAAGTTTTCCTATATGGTGGTATGGATGCAATGGCGACTTCATGAATTTCCTTTTCTGTTTTTACAGTGGCCCATATGCTGGGTGCATTTATCTTGAAATAGTGGGCAATCACAGCTATAGATCTCAATCTGTGGTGCATTATCAAGCAATTCAACTTTTTTATTGTAATGTCATGACTCTTCTCTGCTTCTTGGGAGCACTTTCAGCAACACTAGTGGCACTCCATGTGGGTCCTATGGTGTTATTTAAGGTTTACAGTATTGCACTAAATACAGTGAAAAATATGTGAGAACCACGAGAATCACTTTTTATTGCAATAAGCAATTTACCGGAGAGACAAACTGCTCATGTGGAGATTATTAGCATTACAGGGTATTTTAAGCAGATATTATAACACTTGAGTTCTCCACAATAGCACCAGGAGATAGCTACAAAATTATTACAGTAGTACAGTATGTACTACAGTTAATTTTATGCAGTTATAATTCAGTAGTGCCTCTTTATCTTTGTTTACATTTCTCTTGACTAAATAGCACCAGGTAAAGTCTGTGTGTGTGTAATTCTTGATAAAATGCAACTTTTAAAAATAGATTTGTGTATATTTTATGATAGTAAAAGATAGAAAAATGCCTATATATATTTTATGCACTCATGATATACCTACCTTCTTAATTTTTGATATTTCTAGGATACACAATTCATTTGTAAGTTGTTTCAAATTGTTGCAAATCTCCAAAAAATGTTCCAATATATTTACTGAAAAAAAAATCCACATATAAGTGGACATGCATGATTCAAATCCATGTTATTAAAGGGTCAACTATGTGTATTTATATATATACACACACATATGAAAAGAGAGAGAGAGAGAGAGAGTACTTACTGGTTTCCATAGTGTAAATGTTCTCTCATTTTATGTTTTTAAGCTAACTATGACTTCACTGTGAGTAGCATTAAGAAGAGATGGCACAATCAGCTCTTCTTAACTGGTGTGAGCTGGTTCTAGCACATTGCCGAAGACTTGCATCTTTCTCTCACATCCTACATCCCATTCAGCAGTAAATCCAATTGGCTCTATCTTCAAACTATATCCAGAATCCTGCCACTTCTCAGCCCCTCTGCTGCTACCATTCATGTTCAAGTCACTATCTTCTCTCATCAGAGTTTTAGAACAACCTCCTAACTGATCTTTGACCCTACAGTCTATTCTGAGCCAAAGGGATCATTTTAAAACATAAATCATGTCACTCCTCCTCTCAGAACCCTCCATTAGCTTCTATCTCATCAGCGTATGTGAAAGCCATCAAATAGTAGTCTATTTCCACTGTATTTTTCTTATCATTTTTTACATAGCAATTTACTAATTTACCTCCTGTTATCTGCTTTCACTTTCAGGAATGTAAGCTTCATGAGGCCACAGATTTTTGTCCTTTGTGTCTGAATCCCCAGGTCCCAGAAAAGTGAATAGACATAGAGTAAGCATTTAACAAATAACTGTTAAATAAATGAATATATTAATCAGTGCATCCTACTTCTTGACTGCTTTAACCCGGGTTGCTCCTCATTTGCATCCTCCTGATTTCTGAATCTTACCTGCTCCCAACCATAGTGTGTCCTGCCTCCATCCTAACCTGGATCACTGTCCTTCACTGCTTCAGACCTCACGCTTCTCACCCCTACTTATCGCCCACTTCCCGTTCTGCCGGTTTTGAGCTACTACATTGCCAGCCACAACTTGGCATAACACATGGAATAGTCCTTTTAGGCTGCCTCCCAGCTTCTTCATATTTTTAGAAACATGCCCAAAATGAATGCTCATATAACCCATTTGCTCACATATATCTGACACTACTAGGATAACTAAAAATGAATAATTTAGATGAATGATTACACTTCTCATATATTAAGCAATGTATAATCTAAGTAAAAGTTAAGTACCTATCATCACCTGGTACAAGAACATAAATGGCAATTAGTGGGTGAGTAAATTATCAGAGTGATGATAACTAATATTTATTGAGCTCTTACTGTATATTGGACACATCGACTGTGTTATCTCTTTTTGCATCTTTCCATTTCCACTTTGTCAACTTAGAGCAAGAATATAGCCTTCCAATCAGAATCTTCATTTTCACCTTGTTCTCTTTCAATATAATTTTTCATGCTATAGTCACCCTGACTTTTAAAAAAATTTAAAGACACGCCAGAGCCCTCTCATCATACTCAACATAATACAAACTTTTTATCAGTATCCAGTGATAATATTTAGCATCACTAGGTGCTTACTGTTTTCAAAGCTTGTTTGAATATTTCATATAATCCTGTTTAGTGCCTTCAACAATCCTATGAGGTAGGAAAAGCAGACATAAAGAGGATAAATGATTTGCTCAGTGTCATGAATTTAATAAATGGCAGAGCTGGGATTTGAATCCAGTCACAACCACTCTGCCATTCTGTCCCCTGAATGAGTGAGCTGGCCAAAGATACCATCTCAATTCTGTCTCCTACCGTGCCCTCCACCTGCTGAGCTAGAGTTCACTGCACTGCAGACATACACACTCTTTCTACCCTGGAACACATACAACTTAATGTTATTCCTCAGCAAGGCTTTCCTGAACCACCCAATCTAAAGTTACATTCTCTCTCTCATAGCATTCAGTTCTTTTCCTTCACAAGGTTAGTCACAATTTATGGATATACTTGTTTGCTTACATATTCATTCTCTTTCTCTACCACCATCATACCATGTTTCTACAAAACAGCCTGTACCCAGAACTTTCTAGTTCTTAATAAACATTTGTTGAATCCATTTGTGAATTTAGCATCATTTAATATTCACTACAAACCCTGAGGGAGGGCTTCTTTTAATTGACAGAGATAGTAAATAACTTGCCCAAGGTCAAAGAGCTTGTAAGTAGGGAGGCCTGGATTGCAACCCCAACCTTTCTGGTTCCAGAACACCAGCAAGCTGTGCTCTTCCCAAGGTGCTCAGGATTTGAGGACCTTAAACAGGGAGATGACTAAAGCAGCTGGCAGATGGGTTTAATAATCTCCTCTGTAATTATCTGCAAATTTGTAAACCTCGAAGTGAAAAATAAATCCTCCCTACTCAAGCTACTTTTTAAGAGTAAAGACTGAATGACCGAATGGAGCCTCATCTTGGGGGCTGTACTGAGCAAATCACAGTGCAAGGAGGCAGCTAATTGCTCAACCTGATTGCAGCTGCTAATCACAGTCATAGGGAAAAAAGTGTCGGGAATTAATTAGGCAAGGACCTTCTGAACAGCAGCAGGAAGCCTCCAAGTGACCTTTATTTACAGTCAGTTAAACAGAAGTGTGACTAAAAATGCCAGGGAGCAAATCAGATTATTAATATTGATTGCTTAAAGAAAATGAATAATTTAGAAGCCGAGTCAGAATAAATATCCAGTGACAGAGATGAAAGAGCACAGCATCCCACATTTCTAACATTCATCCGTCATGCAGCAGTGTCCCCTGCTCGGAAATTGAGAATTTTCACCCTCACAAAGCACAATTAGTTTCATGACCCAGCATGATTGCCCAGGAACTGTTCTCATTCAGCCAAGCATGGGGGAAATCCAGAGTGCTGAACTTGAGCTTTTGTCAACACTTTGCATGGTAAACTAATTACAAGTTCATGGAAGGTTTCTTTTCAATTTTTATTAATAAAACATCAACCAAAGGAAGTTAGATTGCATTTTCTGTACTAACTGAGCAAGGCTCAAGGGTTTCCATTTTTGATGTAAATATGTCTCTTGTGGTGCATATAATACAGAAGTTTTCAACAAAAAGGGCAGAGGTCTCAGATTGTTTATAACTCAAGATTTTCAGAGGTTATCTTCAATTTTCAATAAAAGTTGCCTTTCAAATACTAGAGTCAATTTGATACCACACTTCAACAACAACACACCTCTATCCTAACTCTATTTGGTGATAAGGCAGATATAGAGCACTTATTTATAGCAATATCATGAATGAGTGCTTTTGAGTTATATGGTTTTCTTTAAGCAGTGATTTTTGACATTTTTGAGCCATGTTGAAAGTTTAAGTTATGCTTAAAATTGTACTCTCCTCTACCTAGAAGTACTAATTCAATTTCTTAGTGGAGAGTTATTGCTACAATTATGTTTTTGGGCAGTAGATATTAATAGTTTTGCTGAAGTGGGAACATTTCAGAACTACCACCATGGTGAAATTCAGGCGTGTTTATTTTGGATAAGACTCAGAGAAATTAAGCTCTGTTACCATCAGATTAATGTAGCAAATTAACTAGCCATGTTCAAGGCAGCTACAATTTCTATATGACAGTAAACATAATTTGTAAACCAATCAATAAAGCAAGGCAAATCACTCATTTTGTCTAGGCATTAGTATTCATTTATGCCCATATTAATTTATGTCACTCATATTATTTATTGAGTATAAGTATTAGCATTATCTCATACACATATAAGAGAAATACTGAGATGAAATATTTTCCGTTTCTACAGAGTGAATAGAACTGAATTGTCCCCCCTTTTAAACACAGTTGTTTAAAGTGCATTCCTTTAATACCTTACGTTGCGGTGGAATATCAAAATGTGTATCTGAATAATCTCCCCAGATGTTCCATTTCTTTACAGTTGAGAAGAAACCAAATGTAAGCCTCAGCCGTGGTTGAGATTCACTTCAAATGTGAATTTTTGACATGTATTGGTCTCGTTCTATTGCCTATTAGACTTTAGTAAATACAGCCCAGCTAAATGGTTTGACCAACCCTAAGTAAGACCCATGACCAACACAGTTAAGTTCTTCGGGTCCAAAAAGATAGGCACTAATGGTAGGAAGTCTGCACCAAGCACGGCTGCAATCTTCCCATTTGGCTGATTATTGATTTAAACATTGAGGGAATATCTTTCAAACATGAACAAATTATCACTTCTCTGTTACACACAAAAGTTCACAATAACATTCTATTCTTTAAAAAAAAAAAAGAAAAAAAACACTGATTGATTATTTCCCAATAACAGGAATCACTGCTCATTTTGACCTATTTGAAGGAGCAATAAAAGGTCATCTGGCTATGCAGCTATCTGGTTATATAGACTTTTTTCTATGAGAAATTAAATAAATATACCCCTCCTGGAAATAAAGGTCATGTAAAAATGAGACTCCTCAGTCCTCTATGGTCAAATACCAGTATGCCAACACTGCAGACTGATCATTTTCTGATAGAAGAATTCTCCTTCACTTGGAATGTTGCAGGGAAATAGAAGCCAGTGAGAGTTTTGTGCTTGTCCTACAATTTGAAAAAAAAAAATCCTCATTATGTATAGACTATGTCAGTGGTCCCCAACCTTTTTGGCGTGAGGGAATGGTTTCGTAGAAGACGTTTTTTCCATGGAAGGCAGAGGGAGGTGGGGGTGGGAGGTGGGGGCTGGGTGTTGGATACTTTAGAGATGAAACTGTTTCACCTCAGATACTCAGATCATCAAGCATTAGTTTAGATTCTCACAAGGAGCAGGCAACTCTTGCGTGCACAGCTCACAATAGGTTTGGTACTCCTATGAGAATCTAATGCCAGTGTTGATCTGACAGGAAGCGTTGCTCAGGCAGTAATGCTCACCCGCTGCTCACCTCCTGCTGTGCGGCCCCGGTTCTTACCAGCCCACTGGGACTGGGGACCCCTGGGCTATGTTATAATATTTCTAATATCTCTTCCTGGATGTTAGCTTGTTGTTTTTCAAAATATGCAAAACTGATGCTCAAAGGAAATGCAACAAAAACAAAGTGCAGAGAGCTATAATTAAGTGCCAGCATAAAGTCTTCATCACATTTAGTGTTAAAGTAATACAGTTTTTATTGAGGTATACTAAATGATTCAGGTAGGTGGCAGGTGGGTTACAACAAGTCATTAGATTGTGAGAGGATTTTATGGGTTCTTGTTTACATCTAGATAACTAGCACACTGACGGTGGTAACCACTCTTCCCCAAAGCAGTTTTCATTTTCAAAAAAAAAAAAAAATCATGCAGAATTATGGTCCTGCATTTAGATTCCAGAAACCTACCTAAAAGGGGCTAGACCATGGCTAGAAAACTGAGCTTACTTTTTCTGATTCTTTTCCTATTTTCGGGAAACTAAATGAATCAGGTTCTTTAGAAAAGCAATAATGTGAAAATGTGCGTCTTTTAATACATGACAGCTATTGTTAAATACACGACTGTATGGCATTCTTAGATGTCTTCCTTTTGCTTCTAGTGGGTGATGATTTTCACATTAATTGTATGTCATTTGTAGTAGGGATGCCTGGCTTTACATGCAGATGTGCCCTATTTCTTCCCATTATGGGAATCAAGTAATATGATTGCAATAATTCCTGGTTTCAGATTATAAAAAGCAGCATCTTTAGAATTTGTAAATGTGATGTTTTTATTTTATTCCTTTGTTTATACACAGATTAAAACATGATCCCTCATGGCTGCAGCTTATAATTGAATTGAGTGTTCTGAGGCTGACACAGAGCAATGGAGCAATGCTTGAGTGACTTGGGAACAGAGTCAACACCTGAGGAATAAATTTTCTCCTTGATCTTTCACCATGGTTTTGAATCTTTTGATAATGTTGAGAAGACACAATAAAAATGATATTATTTTTAATGAGCAAAGACATGTAGCTGACACTACACTGCCTGCTGCAGAAAAGGATTTTTCAATATTATTTGAAAAATTTGGGGTGGGGGGATATTTTACATATAATTAATTTCATCTTAATTTGCTTAGCTCTCTGTTAAAGATCATCAGGTTGGAAATGCAATATGTTTCTTTGTTCTTTTTTATCCCCTTGAAGTCTCAGCATAATTTAGAACTACGGAAAAGTGATTCTTTAGCACTTTGCATGCAAGTCACAATTTCTTTATTGGGTTCCAAAAGATCCCTGGTCTCCAAGCTCCCAGTGCTCAGCTGCCACTGCATATGGTGCTGCTGCAAACTGAAACTTGCAGAAATAATCATTCCCTATGTTTGTAAGAGGCCGTGTTTCAAGCACTACTTGACACATCTCATTTCTTTAGGGAGTTTGCATTTGTATTGCAAAACAGCAGAGCCAATAAAAATCTAAGATCTTTTTCTCTGTTCAATACTGTATATTATGAACAATCCTTACTATCATTGCTAATAATCAGAACTTTTCAGCCTGAGGCTTTGTATGTACTTTCATTCCTAGAATGAAAACACAACTATAAATTAACACAGTATAGTAAATATGAAATATGGACACTTTTCCAAGTATGTGATTTTAAAATGTATTTTGTATTTACACTCAAAATTACACCACTTATTGCAAATCATTAGAGGCTTTATTGACTTTTTTCCTTCTGTGATCTTGCTATTGATTATTTCCTTAACCATCTTTTTAAATAAAAAGTCAAAAGTAGAAAAATGATGTTTTTAATTGCTTTACTAACACATATAGAACTAACACATATAGAATACATAATACTTACCTTAATTCAAGGGATATATGAGATACCTCCATACAGGTAGAGATGGCTCCAAGCTTAGATTTCTATGACCTTCTACTTGCTCTATTACATATAAATAAGACTGTAAAAATATAGCTGCCAACCAATATTTTCAAAAGCTAACACAGAGAAAGAACCACTTGAACACAGCCAAAGTCTCCATAAATTTTCAAGTTAGGTTTCTATGAGAGAACATTATATTTCAAGATAAAAAGCTTTGTTGTCAGCATCCTTACAATGTAAACTTAACAATATATGTTAATGGAGGCCAGGCGCGGTGGCTCATGCCTGTAATCCCAACATTTTGGGAGGCTGAGGCAGGTGGATCATGAGTTCAAGAGATTGAGACCATCTTGGCCAACATGGTGAAACCCCATCTCTACTAAAAATTCAAAAATTAGCCGGGCGTGGTGGCACGTGCCTGTAGTCCCAGCTACTCAGGAGGCTGAGTGTGTATATATATATATATATATATATATATACACACACACACACACACACACACATACACACACACACATATACACACATATATACACTTATATATACACATATGTATTTCATATATGCATATATACACATATATATTTCATATATACACATATATATTTCATATATACACATATATATTTCATATATACATATATACATTTCATATATATACACACATATATAAATGAAAGATAGTCTGGGCAGAGTTAGTTGACAGCCTGAAGATCAAATTATCATTTAGGGTTTCCTACCATTTTCTTTCAAAAAAATTCTTCATAAATAAGGACACTAAGGCTGTTTTCTCCGAAGGCCCATATATGCTTTGTTGGTTTTTTTCTTTAAGAAAAAAAAAAAAAAAAAAAAAACTTATTTTCCCATTCTGGACTTCTTGATTGTAAAACAGAAATAGAAAATGTTACTAAATTTTTTAAAAGTTCTAAATATGGTTTTAATTCAATAATCACCACTGGATTGAATTTCAAAAACTTTAAATATTTTTGTTTCTATGTTAGAAGGAGAAAAAGAGAACATAAATAGCATTTGAATATTTTAATGGCTTTGTAAATAATATTTATGTTTAAATTTGAATGCAAAATGTAGAGAATTTCAGGTAGAATGGAATTCAGTAGTGATAACCTCCTTAGCTAAGTTTTAATCAGTGTGGAAGATCCTATGCTTTGTGGCTTTGCTGAGTTCAGATGATGTTGGTGGATTCTGAAGCAGAAAAATAGGTATATGTTTCTTTGATGTTTTTCTTAAGAAAGTTGGAAGTGCATCCCATAGGAAAAATAAGTTTCTCCTTGCCTTCTTAATAGCCACTAGAGACACAGGAAGTGACCAGAATATCTACATTTGATTGATTATTATATAACCATTCAGTTTCTGAATAATTCAATGACCCAATTTTTTTTTTTTTTTTTTTTTTTTTTTGAGACGGAGTCTCGCTCTGTCGCCCAGGCCGGACTGCGGACTGCAGTGGCGCAATCTCGGCTCACTGCAAGCTCCGCTTCCCGGGTTCACGCCATTCTCCTGCCTCAGCCTCCCGAGTAGCTGGGACTACAGGCGCCCGCCACCGCGCCCGGCTAATTTTTTGTATTTTTAGTAGAGACGGGGTTTCACCTTGTTAGCCAGGATGGTCTCGATCTCCTGACCTCATGATCCACCCGCCTCGGCCTCCCAAAGTGCTGGGATTACAGGCGTGAGCCACCGCGCCCGGCCCCCAATTTTCTTCTTAATAGAAAGATTGCGTCTTTCATATAAAATAAATTTTTTTAAAAATACCTTGTCGTGCAACTGCTTAGAGGTGAAGAAAGCTATCCATGACTCGATCCATTTGGCTCTTTACAGTAAAACTTTCATTGATCAGGTAGTCAGCTACAAAGCTGACCCTAGAAATTCATGTGGGCAATGTTTGCCATGTCACAATTCATTTTTCATCCATGGTTGAGTTTCAACAAATTCATCTTCCTTTATCAAGCCCATTGAACATCAAAATGATTTCCATTACAATACTTACTAGATCTGGCTGTATTGATAGGCTTTATAAAATAATTCTTTTAATCTTTCACTCAATTATCTTACATTTTAGTGAATGGTATGAAAACCAAAAAAAAAAAAAAGCTTGTTTAGAGTACCAGGTACGGCAAATTGGCACTACTTGGAATTTTTATGCAGGCTTAATCATCATGGATGAAGATCATGGCTCAAAATGCCTATAGTTCCCACAAAAATAATTTACAGATTGGAGAATTATTTACCATTAGTTAGCACATCTAAGAAAAATCCTCTATCTGATAATATGTTTACCCTCAATTGAGGTTGTGACAGAACTGTGTCTAAAACTTTACAAATGTCTTAACTTGAGAGGGAAAATATGTTTTAAGAGCTAGCTGACTGATTAATTGATTGCTTATTGTGACAGTTAGCATAAGAAATAACAGAGAACTGGGTATTAGTCCTACAGATAACAGAGGGGAAGTCTGTGATCTATAGACTGTGAGGTGATGGTACCCATTAGAGTTGACTGATTACTTGTGAGAAACAAGAGACCAGAAACCGAGAGTTAGATTTGCCAGGCTTTAGATTTGGGTAGCTGAAAGGAAAATAATTATGTGAGTAGAAATATGGGAACTAGAAGAATCTGGGGATATTATAATCAGTTCAGATTGGAATCTTTTAGTTTACCTAAACTCCCATTTAAGAATATCTAGATGAGAGATGGTAAGAGCTGATGGCTTCAAGATGTTGAAGCTGGAGACAGAGATGGAGTAGTCATCTATATATGTGTCTATATCTAGTGATTGAAAATAACAAATAAACAGAGTTTTAAAAAATTACCCAGGATCCTGCTACCCATAACTAATCGAATAATATAACACATGCCCCAATCTTTTTATCATACACAAATACATACATAAATGTGCTCTTTCAGCCACTTCCTTGCATAGCATAACTATTTTATTTTGAAAATTGGTAAGAGGGAAGCTGAGATGTTTTAGCATCACCATTGTTCCAAAGCACTAGAGTTAATTTGTCACCTTGTAATTGCCACCAAATTGTAGTAATAGTAACTAGGAGGAAAAAGAATAGACTAGGAGAATACTCTTGAAAATTTAAATATGTTAAGTGCTAGTAGATAGTTTTTTTAAATCACATCATGATTCAAAGAGAATTTGAAGGAAAAATGTAATTCAAAAACATCTCTGTATTTCTTAGGTTAATACATCATATCAAAATTGTTTTATTTATTCCCTTCATTATCCCCACTCTCTTCATACTTGCTTCTCTTCAGTTTTGGACATGATTTCAGCCAAGTTAAAATAAATGCTGATTATGATGATCGCATAATTGGTTAGCAAATCAAATGTCTTTTTTTACATTAAGAAAAAGAGAGTTTGCTCTAAGTTGGTAGACATCACAATTATATAATATAGTCCCATTTGGACCTGCAATAACAGTTTTAGGCATTACAGCCTCAAATTGCTGTGTTTCACAGGCTCCAAGCAGAATTGTCATTCCCTGTAATGCCTTAGTGTAAGCACACGAGAAGTGAGAAAAAAAAAATCACTCAAGGAGGAAAATTACATGAAAATAGAAGGTATGAAAAAATTGCCTTGATATATGCTCCAATTACGTAGTCTAGAAATACAAAGAACAGTGGGTGTGTGCCTCTCAAATCTCCAGTGAGAAAAACATCCAGAAGTTCACAAAGCTCAATTGTTTTTCCAAAATATCTGATTAAGAAAATCAATTAACTGGGCATAATCGGCCCTGTGGAGAAATTACTTCATTTCATTGGAAGAGGAAGAGAAAATGTGAATAAATCCATTTTTTTCTTATTGCTTTACCCTTCCACGTAACTATGAGAGAGAGAGAGAGAGAAAAAAAAGGAGAGAGAAAAAGGTGATAGAGGAAAAATAAATAGAAAGATGTCGGAAAGATGCACAGAGATGTCCTCACCTGGTGAAATCTCAGCAACCAGTTTTAAAATGCAAACCTCCTTGTAAAATTCCAATCTTTCACGTATAGCTCTGGGGTAGATTTTTACTCTTCGGAGTTACCACTGAGTTTTAGGATCCTAGTCTTCCATACTAGGTTCTAATTAGGAATTGACCTCTCCAGATTATTCTTAGTTTATAGATCTGGAAAATAGATTAAAACCTTTTTTCAGTTTTAATTTTTATACTAATGGTGGCTGAAAAGATAAGTAGCAACAACACTTACCAAAACAAACACAAATTACAGCATTTCCCGAAATTTCCAAACTTTGTCCTAGTAATTATCTCAGATACTCAGAGACTCTTGTTGATATCTTTGGCTCCAAAGCATTAATTTAAGGAACTTTGCTTTCTTTCAGTCTCTGAACCTTCTCTAGACGATAAAGAGTACTTTGTTACTTCAAATCCAGTTGATTCAGCAGAAATCCAGTTGATTCATCAGAATGGCCAAACCCATTCTGTGAGAATAGGTGTGCATCCACAGAACCCTTATGTAAACCTGATTTGATAAGGATTATCTGCATTTCTGGCAATTACAAAACTCTAACTTTTAGCTCTTAAGTGCCTCTACTCTACAGCCTCAAGGTCATAGTAGGTCATTTGTCACCATGAAAGCTCTGACCCAGCTAAAACACAAACTACAAACTAGATACTGCTTGGACTTCAATCCCAGCATCACCAGATGCTGCATGAGTGAATTATTTAATCTCCCTGTGCCTTAATGTATCACCATAAAATAGGAATAATAATATTTCCTACCTCATAAGGATGCTGTGAGAATTCAGTAAGTTAATACCTTTAAAAGGCCCACAACCATGCCTTTCACACTGTAAGCACTGTGTAATTATTATCATTGCCAAGATTTACCTTGGAACAAAGTTTTGCCTGGCCTACACTGATGTTATGGGTTGAATTGTGTGTTCTCCTAAAATTTATAGGAAGTTCTAACCTTCGGTACCTCAGAACATTATTGTATTTGGAGATAGGGTCTTTAAAGAATTAATTAAGTTAAAATGAGGTCATTACGGTGGGCTCTAATCCAAAATGCCTGGTGTTTTTATAAGAGGAGATCAGGGAAAAGACACAGAAGGAAACCCATGTGAAAACACAGAGAGAAGACGTCTGCACGCCAGGGAGAGGCCTCAGAAGAAACCAACCCAGCTGACACCTTGATGTCGAACTTCCAGGGTCCAAAATTGTGAGAAAATAAATTTCTGTTGTTTAAGGCAGGGGTCCCCACTTCCGGGCCGTGGACCTGAACCAGTCCCCATGACCTGTTAGGAACTGGCTGCACAGCAAGAGGTGAGCGGCAGGGGAGCAAGCATTACCACCTGAGCTCTGTCTCCTGTCAGATCAGCAGGGGCATTAAATTCTCACTGTGAACTGTGCATGCGAGGGATCTAAGTTGTGTGCTCCTTGTGGGAATCTAATACCTGATGATCTGAGGTGGAGCACTTTCATTCCAAAACCACCTGCCAGCCCCCACCTTGGCCATGAAAATATTATCTTCCACAAAACCAGTCCTTGGTGCTAAAAAAGTTGGAGACCACTGGTTTAAGCTACTCAGTTTTAATACTTTGTTATTGCTGCTCCAGCAAACTAATATAATTCGATTCAAGTTTTTATCTGGGGCTGACTCTCTTGAAAAGTCGGGAGATGTGATGACAGGAGACTCTCCTTAGCTACATGGAAAGAGTAGATGGCAGTTAAATAATACTGTCCCCTTTAAAGAAGGAATAGATTATCCAGTGGATGACAAGCCCACCATCTTCCATTTTCTCACATCCAACCGACCTCACACATTTATGTAATTCTCGTGGCACCATTGGTATTTACAGCACCTGATCTAAAGATCTAGCTCATTTTTAGCTATTATATAAACTAGTTCTTATTCTTCCAAATTTAGCTGGACCATCTCTGGTGTAGAAAAAGACAGCCTCCTTCCCTGACACCCATGGAAAACCTTCATAGTGATGGCAGCATATGACTGGGGGGAGGAGAGGTTGTTCACAAGTAATTACCTCTGTAATTCTACTTCTTTCTCTCCTTGGAACCGTATGAAAATGCAGAAGGGTGAGAAGTATAATTACAGGGAACACTTTAAATATCAGTAGTAGAATACACATTTTACAATTCAATTCACATTGTGTGTTTGTATATGCATATATGTGTGTGTTGTGACTTTATATTTAAGAATTGCTTTCAACAGGATAGAAAATATTTTCCATTTTTAAACAAATTTGGATACCATGAAGCCATAGCCTTCATTTTCCTGATTTTAACTGAAAACTAGCTCATCTACTTTTTAATGTGTAGCACATTGCCACCTCATTCCTAAAAGCTCTATCCTGTCTAAGATGCCAGTCGAAGGCTCTATCTGATGTGGCCAGCCAGTGAGGCTCTGCAGTAATTCCATGCTGGGCAGCCTGTAATGAGGACAATTCCTGTTTGGAGGCATTTCTTTTCATGGGTTGCAGCTACAACTAGAAGTACGATTTATGTCTGCTGCTGGCTGGTCAAAGAAATACTGTCAGTTTTTTATTAACAAGCTGTAAGCACTTGCAAGTGAAAGGGAGGGAGGGAGAAAAAGGAGTGTGCCCAAAGTTATTTCAATAGGCAAGCTCTAAAGTATTCTAAGGTTAATACTGACTAATTAATGACAGCACCAAATGGAGCCAAAAGCGTGAAGTCTGCAAATGCCTAGTAATGAGGGCAGCATAGATATACCCCACTCCCACTTTCCATGTATGTTTGTAGGTCTGGCTGCAAAATGTAATTGAGGTAAATAGGGTTTTCAACTTATTGCTTATTCTTTAATACTGAGAAAGCATTTGGCTATTCTCTTTTCTTACTTCAAAGAACCCCACTCAATTAACTCTAGTAAATCTTATACCTGGTAGCGTCACCACTAGAGTCCATGACATAGAAATCTTTGAAGGGCATTTATAGAAGGAGGGGGAGACAGAACCACACCATACATTCAGAACACATTCATCTCTTTGCAGTTAGAACTGATGAGCCCTAACTGTTGGGGTGGGCTGGAAGAAGGGGGCTTGCTGTTTTCAACTCCTTATGCTTATGAAAACCAAGGCTCTCCATTCTTAAAAAAAAAAACAAAAAAAAAAAAAACTCTCAAATCCAAATCATTTTTTAAAGCACCCTGACCCTTTAATAAAAAGAGCCAGTAAGATAGCATCTGAAAAAAAGAAAGACAGATTTTAGGAACAAAGGATTTTTTTCCTCGTGCTTTGTTTTCCCAGTCTTGAATTAATCACAGCTGTCTTTCCCCAGCAAAGGTTATTTTTATCTAGCATGCTTTAAATTAAAAAACAACAAAAACAAAGGGAGCAATCTGATGTTCTTCAAGCTCCCAGAGCCCTTGCACAGAAAAAGAAGCATTTGCTCTGTGCAGCTAAGAATCCAGCTTTTAATTCTATCTTTTCTTGTGTTTACATAAACTTTCGTTTGCATTTCAGAAGCCTTATGGAAAGATTCCTGTGGCTGACCCAGGAGTAGTGGTGAATTTCTCCATCAAGTGAGTATTGATGAGCTGCAAAGTTCAGTGAACAGGAAAATTCTGCTCCTTTTATTGCCAATGTGACAGGTTACTTTATTACCATGCCTTTCACAGCAATTTAACAGTTACCCTGGTAACGGATTCAGTGAGGTAATGGGATCACAGGCATTGGAGCGGAGGCAGGCTGGCCGCTCGGCGCAGCCATCTGCTGGCTGCTGTTCCGGAGGCTGTCTGCCTGGAGGAGCCCTGACAGTCACGGGGCCTGCATGGCAATGAGCAGGTGAAACCGCAGGCCTGCCCTATTTAGCTGTACTCTGGTGATTTGTCTTTCTAATTCTATTGAAATAATCATCAGGATTTGTTTCTGATTAATTAACTAACCTTTTGGTAAAAAGATTAGATAACGAAATTGCTGCCTATTCAGAGATAATGAGATTTTTATTACTCTGTCAAAGGAAAAAAAGTACATTTATGTGTCACCAGCCGCTGTGTCAAGAGGAAAAAAAAAAAGAGAGATTTCAGTCTTTGTCGAATGTGTATATTCCTCAACAGACGAAGGGTGTGCTTAATTCTGTAGGAACTCCCCAGCCTCGTTTGACGCCTTTAGGAAGAGTTTTTAAAACAGCAAACAAAGTAATAAACACATTTAGGCCAATAGGCTTTTGGGGAGGGTGCTAATTTGTTTTAAAATGTCTCCTAATGGGAGAGAAACGCTTGGGAGTCTGGGGAACTTGCCTGTACTGTGTGGGTGTATTTATGTAAGTGTGAGAGTGTGAAGAAAGCAGTAAAATCTCCGTGCGAGGCTTTAAAATGACATATGTAGACAGGCTGCTTTTCCTCCGCACTACAGATATGTCTTCGACTTGCAGTACATTTGTCTTCTGGCAGGAGCTGCACTCGGGCAATGGGAAGGGGAAATCATCCGAGCTTAGCAGGCTGGGAGGTCACCTGTGACTGTCACAGGTAGGCTGCCTTAGGAAATGAATTATTCTGACTGGCGGTGAGTAAAAAGGGAAGCAGCCCTTCTCCTGTTTCACTCCAAGACACGCAGCCAGTCAATTTAACCTTTTCTCTTAAGAAGTCACAGCTCAATCCTTTGTTAAGGGGGACTTTCATTTTCTCACTCCTCTGTGCCTTCTTCAATGCTGTGATGCCAAGAAAAAAAAAAAAATACCAACCCCGGGAAAAGCGCTTCCCTTGGATAAAGAGATGCCAAATGCGCCAAATAGGCTGTGTGAGCCAGGCAGCATTGGAGGGAACAAAGCGCAGTATATTTCCAAATAAAACTTCAAAGAGCTACAATATTGTTTTAATTACTAAAACCTGAGGAGGAAACACAGTGCATGTCTCTTCCTTCAATGCAATGAAACGGAGGAGTGGGAGAAAGGGCCAAGTGGCAGGCTGGGACCCAGCTGAGCATTTTGTGAAAGTGTATTTGTGTCACTGTCTTTTCAGAGTCAATGAGACACTTATGTTTCTTGTGATATCCTGTGGCCTTGGCTGCCTCCGTTTGTGTGTGTATGAAAATGAAAAGATTTCAAGTTCTAAAAATGGAAGTTTCTATTCTGAATTTCGTATGGTTCACAGACAAGTTGCAACAGACCAAAGGAAAAAAAAAAAAGAAAGAATGTGCAGGGGATCAAATGTGAACATTCCAGAGCCCACTTTCCTGTCCTGCCTGGCGTTCCCACTCTCCTTCCCCTCTTTATTCCAGTTCCTCCTGCACCTCCAATTGCCAGCTAACAGGCTCCATTCCTGATAACAGATGCTTGACAAAGAAAGAGAAATAAGACATTAAAAAAGAGTAGACTGCTGCTGGGGGTGGGGATTTGATAGCACATTGCCAATGGCTTTTTACAGGAACTTGCTCTCCCTGGCTCACTACCAAGACAGGGAAAGAACAGGGCGGGGGAGGGAGCCTTTGTCCTCAAACTCCCAGTGAAATATAGGGTTAATATTAGCAATTATTATTAAAATTAGCCAAATGTTATTAAATGATCTTTGTATAGAAGAATAAGTATAGTTTTCCCTTTGGCAGACAATGACATCTGCAGCTCTACATTTTCATGAAATGACTATACTTAACAAAAACATTACTTCATTTTCATGGTATTTCTTTTGTGCCTAGGAGCAACCCTGTAATTGTTCACTTCAATTACAACATTACTATTTTAAACCGAAACCCATTTTATCTGCATGCCAGCTTTTTATTTGTTTTACCAACTATATCTATTTCCATTACTGCAAGGCTGATGGTTTGTCTCAAGAGGAAATCAAATCCATTAATTCAGAAATTTCAAGCCCGACTAGCTCTGCCATAAGCAGCATTTCTTATGCTAATAGCAAATGTGCTGAGACTGAAAGGAACTGACATGGCCCTGTTTTTTATCATAACTTAAGCATTTATGTAAGAAGGCAAATCTAATAGTAGTAGGAAACTGTAAGTGTTATTATATATAATTCACTTTCCTGAGATCTGGACAGGGCTCTGGTTTGTGTAGCCATGGTTTAAATCAGGCTGCCACAAGACTTTAACTCACCTGACTTTCCCTATTCAGCCAACATATTGCTTCACAACAGATACATCTAGCATGAAACTAGATTTGTGTGTTTGTGTGGATTTGTTTGTTTTATTCTCTACTGTTTTTTCCCCCTGCAAGACGGACTTTTGTCAATGCAGGGGGAAAAAAAATCATTTTGTATTCAGGGGATGTCTGAAACTTACGCGTGTAACAGCACTAGCCTGAGACAAACCTGGCTCCTTCTGTTTCATTTTTAATACACTCTGTTTGGGTCCTATCACATGGTTTGTGTTCAATTAGATAGCTTGACTCGATAAAATCTGACTCTGACCCAGAAAAAAAGGAGAGAGAGAGACTGCTCCTGACTCCTGCTTAAGCTTTTGCAGGCACTGTGACCTGTTTATGTCAATGGTAAAGTTTAAGAGATTCCTATCACAGAACCACATCATCTTCTGGGATCTTAAAAATACAGAAAGCACTCGAGGACCCTGGCCCTCCTTTGTCACTGCAAAGCCCTTCAGTGCTGTAAATCAGTCCTCATTGGGAGCTCTTATACACCAGCCGTCACCGATAAGCTTTGGAGAAGTAGACAAGGCTTTTAGGAATTGCTGAACCATGAAGTTGACCTGCTTAGGGTTTTGTTGTAGGCTATTAAATCCGGGATGGCCGTTTTAAGATGATTCCGCTTTCTTTTTCCCTTGGCCTGGTTAAGCAACTCTACCCCCACCTCATTATTTGACTGATTAAAAAAAAAAATCAGAATGGAGCAACCTGCTGTTTAAGAATACTACCTTCACACATCAATTTAATGAGAGTGACTTATGCTGACGTAGTTTACGGGCTCAAGCAACTTGACGCTAATTTTGCAGCTAAGAAAAGATTTACTAACTGTACATACTGCTCTGCTTTTGTTGGCAAGGGTACCACGATTCTTTTCTCCAAAAACAAACTCTAAATCTTTTGTAAACATGCATTATTTGGTTAACACATTGTAAATGGATCCCAGTTGTGCAGCACAAGCACTGTTCACTATTATGTAAACAATTATTCACTGAAAGCCTTGCTTTAAATTGTAAATGAATATATTTCAGCTGTAACATTGCTTTCAGACCTGCCCAGTGGTATAAATCTGGTCATTTGTTTTTTGCACTCTGCCTATTACTAACCGGTTAGAAATGTGCTGATTATTTGCACAAGCCTTTCACACTGCGGGCACAGTTAAATTGCTGTTTTATTTTTCCTGTGTTTGATGAGTGTTAACAGGAGCGCCATTTGAGGAAACCCAAACCAAATACAGCTCTTTAATTGGGGTTGGAGTGTTTGGGAAAAGCCACCCGGTGAGTAATTCCACTGTTTAATGTTTGAAAGTTCATCCACCTCACTATAGGACTTATGACAAGATTAATTAAAGGGAGTTAACAAAAATGCAGGGCTTTGCTCAGCCAACCAGAATAGCTTGAAATACGGCGCACTCACTTGCAGGGATGTAGATTATTTGGTGCAAGGTCTAATTCCCAACTCTCTCCTTTAAACTCCTGTCATTGCCAAATAGCTCCATTTTAAATTCAGTATCTCTTCAAGAAAGCACAATCTGGAGAAAAAAATATGACAGAGGTATCTCATTGGGCCCCTGTGACTTCCTTTGCTCACAGGGTACGCCCAGTGGCTGATGAAAGTTTCAGCTGACTCAGAAAGCCTTGTCTTTTTATTTCCCCCTAAACAGTCAATGATTCATTTTTAATGTTTCCCCACCTCTTGTGGTTTAATTGGGTTTCAGTAGTGTGCTGATCTGCAGAGCTTGGAAGACAGAAATAATGACCTTGGATGATCTCATTGGTGTGCACCAGAACAAGTGTAGTTTTATTGAGCTCTGTTGCTAGAACTGCAAAACTGTATGTTCATTAACTTAGACAGTGCTGACCTTAGATCAAGCCTAGGATAATGGGAAAAGCCCCAGATTCCAGCCCTGGATTTGCTCCTGACTTTGCACACTCATTTTACCTCTGTGAGTCTTGCCTGTGGCATAGCCGGGTTGGATGGCACCATCCTTATTGTTCCTTCTGAAACTGAAATTCTCAGATACCTGCAGTGCATAATTCTACCTGCTCTTTCACATCTATAAATAAATAAAAGAGGAAGACTCAGTGATCAAAAGATATGGTGTTTAATAGCTAAAAGGACGAGGCTTTTTATTTCCACATTGAACATTAGAAAGGGGATCTGCAGTTTTTTTTGTTACTGAAAATTCTGTAGAATTCAGGTAGAATAGGTATGCTTCCTTCTGTGGCTATTCTTTGCAACTTAAATGACTATACTATCCTTAAGTAAACCACACAAGAAATACTTTGTAGATCTACAATGGTTTGTAATTATATTATTTATAATTTGTTTAATATACTTTCCCTTATAGTGAACAGGACTCATGCTACCTTTTTCTTCCTAATAATCTACTTATTCAGATAGTCTATTTTGCATATTACATTCAATTTAGGTTGAAAGAATGAAAGTAATGTGCACATCAATAAATGGCTGTGAAAATTAAGATAGAAGACTTTTTTGTCTTCTCTGAAACTTTCTCTTTTCTAGATACTGATGCAAGTTATCACTAATGACAAATTGGAATCATAAGCCTTGAGTACAAAAAGTCCATTTAAGGACAATTATGAGCTTTGTCATAATGGAAAATACAGGCATTGATTTCTTTTCCTCTGCTAAACACAGTTTTCTAAAGAAGAAACAGTCAGTCTCCTGTAGCATTTCTCTTACCTATATATATGTGTTCGATAGGCAGTTCCACAGAACAAATGGAAATATTTTTTAATTACATATGTTTTAGTTAGAAACACACTTGGAATTTTTTTAAATTGTAGTTTGTAATAGTCCTGAGTCCTGGTAGTTGGTTTATTTTAAAATGTAGATGTTACACCAAATTGAAATATTAGCAGTGCTTTATTTTACCTGCTTCCCTATCTGCCCTGCCTTTCATCCAGTGCTTCCAAGAGAAATACACATTTCACACTGCTCACAGTTCTAACATTTTCTTTGCCTATTTCTGACTTCTGACCTTGTCCAGACAGATAACCATGCTATGATGACTTTACCTTTCCACTCTCTACTTTATAACACCATGTCTAGGAATGCCCCAGTTAAAAGAAGGAGCCACTGATTCAGGCCAAATGTGTGGAATATTGATAAAGTCCATTCAGAATTGAAAAGTGTGCAGGGTTGCTCACAATGACCTTCTTAGAAACACATTAAGGATGTACAAGTGTTTCTGGTCTTTATTATGGTCTTGGCTATTTATATTATACAAGGACAGACTTCGTCTGACTGGTTTTTGCTATCAAACTTTCACGTTTATTTCAATAAATGGTCACTTAAATACCTGAAAGAGTTCAAGTAAGTTTTTACATCAGTATGTGGAACGAGTGCAAAGCATTCAAATAGTCTACTATGCCCAAGTCGAGACTTTTCTGCTGTTGTCAATGAGTCCATATAATCTAGCTGAAAAATATTCTGAGCATTTTCCTGAGCAGACAGAATTCCTGTCCTGGACTTATATCTTAGAGAATGTGCAGGTAATCTAAAGAATCTTTAAAATAAAGGCCAAGCAGCCTTGGTTGATATGTTCCTCTTCAGTTACTTAAATTCTAAGTTCTTTGGCAGTAAGGAATTTATCTTATTCATCTTTCCAATCTGACTACCTAGCGCAATGCCTCACATTTAGCAAATGTCCAATAAATGTTTGTTGACCTAAATAATTATGGCATCCTGAATATTCATTCTTTACTCCATGGTAGTAGAGAGATGAGTCATGTAATCAATGTGTACAACTTACATGTATAGGAAAATAGTCATTCCTACTTACAGAATGTCCAGTTTGTGAATTCACCTAAGGCTAGACACAGGTTCAGAGGCAGAAATGTCATTCATATTGCAAAAATGAAGATTTCCCTAAAATATGATTAAAATAATACACCTATTAGAATTAAATCAATATACCAGCAGTAGAAGGGAAGATTACAAGGCACAAATAAAGAAACAAATCTTTGTATTTAGGTGAGTCCTCATCTTAAAAATGTCTTCTATTATTATGTATTTAGAACGTGGTTTTTTTTTTTGCATAAATGTTTGCAAGAACCTGTAGCTGCACCTTCTTCTGCTTTTAGACCTGTTGGAGTGAGACTCAAATTTGACAATCACTTATTTAAGTACTTTAGTAACAGAAAGAAATAATTTAATAGTTGATATGGTTTGGTTGTGTCCCACCCAAATCTCATCTTGAATTGGAGTTCCCATAATCCTCATCTGTCATGAGATGGACCAGGTGGAGATAATTGAATCATGGGAGCACTTTACCCCATGGTGTTCTCGTGATACTGTGTGAGTTCTCAGGAGACCTGATGGTTTTATAAGCATCTGGCATTCCCCTGCTTATACTTCTCCTTCCTGCCATCATGTGAAGAAGGATGTGTTTGCTTCCCATTCTACCATGATTGTAAGTTTCCTGAGGCCTCCCCAGCCATGCTGAACTTTTAGTCAATTAAATCTCTTTCCTTTATAAATTACCCAGTATCTGGCAGTCCTTTATAGCAGCAGGAGAACGGACTAATACAATAGTCATTGTCATATAACATATTATTTCACTCTTCTTAAGTAAGCATATATTATTTTTATAAAAATAATAAAGCTATTTTGAAAAAGAAAGTTGAGTATGCCATTCTTTCAAATGCAGTATGATACAAAATACAGTCAAAAGGAATCAGGAAAGTCTGCAGATGGATGTTACAACCACACTAAGTCTTGAAGGATAAGGGAATTTAGCCTGGAGAAAGGAAGCAATGTTCATTTCAGGCAGAGGGAAAAGCATATGTTGATATACAGCTTTGGGTTTAAATCACATCCTGTTAAAAAGGCCTTCCTTGACTATAATACAAATGTTATTTATATTTTATAGAAACAATTAATAATTTAGGAAAATTCTCTACCTCTTTCCTCAAAAAAGTATTTGTTTTTTACAAATGGAAATTTGATATTTATAATAAAACAACTAATAAATGACTCAATTTGACCTCATTCATTTTAAATTCTTCAAAATATACATCTTGTTTATTTGTTCATCTATCCAACAAAATTTTATTGAATCTACATAAACTTTTCCTAAGAACTATGGTAGCTACTGTGAATATAAGGGTGAAAAAACAAATGTAACCTCATGCTGTCATGGAGCTTATAAATCTTTGAGGCCATCTCTCCTCAATCATCATGAACGTGGTGAATGTGTCTAGAAGAAAATTTCCAAGTGAAACTCATATATTAGTGTTTGGGTTTTTATTTCTGCATAACAAATCATCACAAAACATAGTGTCTTAAAATAATAATTACTTATTATCTCACAGTTTCTGTGGGTCAGGAATTTCAGAGCAGCTTAGCTGGGCTATTTTGGCTGGGGGTCTCATGAAGTTTTGGTCAAATTTTGGCTGAGTGTAATCTTTTTGAAGGTTAGGCCACACTAGAGGATCTGCTTCCAAGGACACGCAGACACAAGGCTGTTTGTGGGAGGCCTCAGCTCCTTGCTGGTGCACTTCTCCACACAGCTGCGTAAGTGGCCTCATGGCATGGCACTGGTTTTCCCCAGAGCAAATGATCCAACAGGCCAAGTTGGAAGCTGTGGCTCCTTTTATGACCTAGCCTCAGAAAAAAACACAGGAACTCACCCATAGTATTCTACTTGATAAGCTTTGATTCAATGGTGAAGACCAAGCTAGGGCATAAATATCAGATGGTGAAAATCACTGGGGACAGCCTTGGAGCTGACTGCCACGAAGACCAAGCCTTTGTTCAGAAAATCTCTACATCCGGGAATCCAGTTTGTGACATAATCATCAGTTCAAAATGCTCACTTAGTTTCATAATAACCTGAAGTTGACAGCTTTTTTGCTTTGAAGAATGAATCTATAAGTTTATGAAGGAAATTTTCAGTAAGTCTAAGGTTTTTGGGTTTTTTGTTTGTTTTCAACTAAATAATCTTCTCTAGTACTTTGAGACCATTATTTTCAATCAGAGAGTAAGCTTACACTCTGCTCTGAGTGAAGCATAAGGGCCCCAGTAGGTGCTGAAGTGGAAATATATTCTTCCCAAACAGTGAAAATTCTTACTCGCCAAGGAATCATTTCATCTTTTTCATCTGAGAAAGATATCAATTTTTCAAAATTTCTGTTGCCAAAAAGTTAAAAGTACCGATTTAATTCAGAATCTTACCAAATGAAAGAATTCTTTACACAGCATCCCTTACAGATGGTCAATGGGTAGTTGGACTACTTTTCATGACAGGAGGCTCTTTTCTTCGTGGGAAACAGTAAATTCATATTCAGTATAGAGCCAAAATCATCAGTTCGCTGAAACCTCAACTCAAGGATTTTAATGGTGCCTTCTGGAGCCGTGTAAAACAGGTTGGCTCTCTTTTCTGCATGATAGCCCTTTTCAAAGCTGAAGATAAGCTGTCATTTCTTGCCTTTATAAACAAGTAATAAATTTACCATAAATTGAGATTCTAACTATCTATAAGCCATTATTATTTAAATCCCCTGAGGCTACATTCTATTTATCTGGTTGTAAGTCTTCACTTTTTTTTTTTGCAGATATTGTTTAATTCAAAATTTATGTTATTTTTTCTTAGTCCAAGTGTGAATTTTACTAAATGCAAAAGCGAATACTTGTTAGATGTCTTAGAGGTTGTGAATTTGATTTAGCAGCCCTCTAGAAATATGAAGCTTAACTGAAGCAAATTCCTTTTCTTCTACCTTTACATCTATTTCCCCACAGAAGGGCTTAAATATCAGATTGCAAATCCTAACTGCTACTTTCTTCTATCTGGTTGACAGGTAATCTTTGGGTTTACTTGGAGTCAGAGATGAGATTACTTAATCCCAAGAGTCCTACTTTCCCTTTTGCCTAAGGCCTTCTTGGTGTTAATCAGGTGCAAGGAGAGATGCAGAATTAACACTTTCAGGAGCAACATTTACCTTCCTCTCATTAGCTGCACTGCAGCAATAATGATGCAATAACACCCTTTATTGTTAAGGTTGCCATACTTTAAAGAAGTCTCTAGTGCACCAGAGACAGTTCATAGATATTGTTCTCAGCCATAGAGTTACCAGAGAAGAGCTCGAGTTTTGTAGACAATTTGCTCAATATTGTTATTCTTGAGGACTAACTACTTTTGAAAAATTGTCTTGCTGTTGGTGGCTGATTTGTTGCCTTTTCTTCAGCCTTCCTAAATGGTGAAATGCCTATCTTATGATAGAAATATTTCCATCTGGCTCTGTGCTCCTTTGAGCTGATGCCACATGGAAAGATTCTTCTCTTTCTCTTTATACATCAACAATTAAGATGGTTATTTCAGACTTTCTGGAGAGTCTTATCAATGCCAATAGCTATCATTGCACACAACGGTATTCTTTAAAGTGCCCTGTTGTATAGCAGTCTCAAAAATTATGTTGAAAAAGTAGTATCCCTATTCATATAATACAAGTAGTTTTTTGTAACTAGTAAAACCAGTGATCTGTGCAGGGTAAGAACAAGGTAAACATGACTTATCTCTGCATATTTATGCCCTGTTTACTTTCTTCCGAAAGTATTCAGGATGAGACGAAACTGAAAGAACTATACTCTTCAAATAAGAGAAGAAATGGCCTTACCAAAGACAGAGTCCGGTGAAATCAACTCTCACTTCAGATGCTAATATTCTGGGTTTAAAATGTAAACAATTTAAAACTCATGTTAAAACAGGCTGTTCATTAAGTTTATAGAGCCATGTTATGTGGGTAGGTGGAAAGTTAGACTGTAAAAATTTAAGACTTTGAAGATTAGGCATAGTAGGGAAATTGAAATTAAAATCTGATCCTCACTGTGACTTTTATTGCATATTTCTAATTTAAAAGTCATTAATAAAGATGGAGTATATTTCATCATTGTAAGAACTTATTGAATAGCATAAATAATTCATTTCTAGGAAAACAGAGAAATTTCTCATGATGTCTTTTGTTGGCAACTAAACTTTGAGCTCTTTGTAGGCTATATCTATGTTGGGAGAAACAGACAGACTTTAAAGAGAGTAAAATGGTCTGACTGACTTTTTTGCAGGTTATATCTGAAGAAAGATGTTGTAAGGAAATCATAGGAATGAAATAATGTCACGTGATTTCTCCTTTTATAAAAATTAAGCTCAAAAATTAGTTCTAAAGATAATATTACCTTATGTAAATGGTAGATTACATTATTGCCTCAAGACATTATTATCTTGATGAATCTATATACAGGGTTATCAAAGAGAAAAAAGACAATGCTAAATACTCCAAATGCTCTAAATAATGTTTGGATGGTCAGGGAACATAATGGTACCTTACAGCTGCATAAAAAATGCTTATCAGACAATTATAATGTACTTAACATGCTTAAAGCACTACATAATACTCAAAATGGTCTCTTTTCTATATTACCCAACTTTTAGTGGAACATTAGGAAGTTACTAAAATTATGTATTATCTCTCTTTTATAGATGACTAAACTAAAACAGAAACGTAATGACAGTAATAGATTTAGATTATAGGTCAATGAATGACTCATTTTGTGTACCTACCATTTTCCTCTCTGTATCCTCCAGGATTCTATAGCGCACTATTATGAATAAGAGTAAAGTTCTCTGGCTAAAATCTCTGTGGTTATATTGCCACATATTGCATATGGGGTAATAAATCATTGTATGGCTGGCACATGAATTGTAGGAATTTATCAACCTAACCAGGGCAGTTTTGAGAGTGAACGGGGACGCTACTAATGATTATGTCAGGACCTTATGTAGTGACTGTAAATATAAGGAGACATGGGAAAACTGTTGAGAAAAAAACAATTGTGTATATTTCTTTTTGTTTTGTTTTCCCAGAAGAGTGAGATTCCTTTTCTTATGCATATGTGAATTTTGCTTGTGTTTTGTTTTTGCCAGAGTAAGAGGTGTTTGAGGAACATAATTTCATTCTTAACCAAGACAAAGCACTTTTTTCCTCTTTACTTCTCAATTTCTCTGAAAGCATTATTCTGGTTAATCAGCCACATTCAATTAAATAGTATGAAAGATAATCATAGAGAAAATGTTCCATCTTCAGAGATTTTCCAGGATATAAATTTATGTATGTGTATTTGTACACATGTTTTTTGGTCTTTTTTTTTTTTTTTTTTTTTTTGGACATGACTTCTCACTCTGTCACTCAGGCTGGAGTGCAGTAGCATGATCATAGTTCACTGCAGCCTTGAACTCCGGGACTCAAGTGATCCTCCCATCTCAGCCTCCCAAGCAGCTAAGACTACAGGTGTGTACCACCGCACCTGGCAAATTTACTTTTTGTACAGATGGGGTCTTGCTTTTGGCCCATGCTGGTCTCAAACTCCTGGCCTCAAGAAATCCTCCTGCCTCAGCCTCCCAAAGTACTGGGATTATAGGCATGAGCTACCACACCTGGCTTTTTTTTTTTTCTTAAGCAAATTGATTGGGATAATGAAAATGACTACTGTTGAGCACTTTTTAAAGCATTCAAATGTTGCATAAATATGTTTAAATCTTCATTAAAACTTAATTTTGGAATGCTAAGAGTTACAATCTGAAACCAACAAATTCAGTGCTTACATTACCAGATTTTAATTTTTATTTCTCAATAACCTAAATAAGGAATTTTAATGCATTTATATTATTTCTAAAATGCATTCTTATTTCTACTAGCTTCCCTTATTTTTCTCTTATTCCGTTTTCTGTTTCTTATCATTTTGCTTCTTTAGCTTTTCCTTTCCTAATTATTGTTTGGTCACATTTTATTTCATTCTTGTTTTTTTGAAATACATAATTCTAACTATATTTTTTCTAGCTAGTACCATATATTATAAATTTTAAAAGTTCTGGATAAATTTTCCTAACAACATCAAAATCAATCAGTAACTTTATTAATCAGCTTTGCTTCATGACAAATAACCTCCAGGCCTCAGTGGGTTACCACAAAAAGCCCATTTCTCTCTTAGGTTTTATGTCAATTTTAACGGGTTGACTGTGGCTCTATGACATATATATATTTTTTTCATTCCAGAATCTAGGCTGCAGGAGCAGATCTGAAAAGGACATGCCATTCTTTTGCAACAGAAAAATACCAGACTAAGGCACTCGAGATTCTCAAAACTTCTGATTGAATGTGGTATATTTCATGTTTACTCACTGCCCATTAGCCAAAGCAAGTCACATGGCCAAGCCTAATATCAAAGGGGTTGGGACATAAGCTCCCCCTATAAGATGGTGCTTTATGTCACATGGCAACAGAGAGGGTAGAGAATAACTGAAAATGATGGCACTATGTACTACAGTAACTCTATCCTGTTGCTCTGACAAGATAAGATCAAAACGTACTGAGCTCATCTAAGTGTTAGAGATACTATAAGGAATAAAGCTATCCTTTTTTTATGAAACTTAAACTCAGGTTGTGATTCACCTATTTCACTGCTCTTCTGGCTTTGTATTGAAATTATCTGGAATTTGCACTAAGCTTTTCCAAACATTGACTAACTCATTTGCATGCAGCAGCCTATTCTTATTTTATGAATTGCGTATCCTCTCGAATCTCTGAGGATATGAACATCTATTTTAAATTTTTCTTCTATTTCTGGTATCAACTTCACTTTGTAAGGTGAGAGTTTATCATTTTATATAATAAATTATATATATAGGTATATATATATATATATATATAAAATGAATAATAGGTATATCTTTATGATATGTTGACTTTTCTCATGTTCATGATGATTGATCTATACCAAGGACTAAATAAGGCTTCCCCAGTTCAAGTAAATATCACTGTTCCCCAGGCAAGGTATGTGGGTTCTGTTCACAGGCCATCTGATTGTAGCAAATAATCAGTAGCAAATAAGCAGGAAAGGGCCTGGTGGATGGGAGCATATTTTCAGTTGATTTTCTCTTAAGGGACTTGGGATATTTTCTTTGGCATACAGGTGATTCTCATATATTACAAAAGGTATTTAGACCCCTCCTCTGTTTCTCTTCCTAAGCTCGAAGCCCATTCTGTAAGTTCCCCATGGACAAGTTGTCACGTTATTTAAATAACTTATCTCCAAGCTTTATCCTGAAGTCAAACATCAGAGTCAGTCACATTAAGAGTGGGCTCTGATAAAGAGACTTACAAACCTTTAAATAAATATCCAAAGATGGCCTCAGAGCCCACTTCTGCTGCCTCTGATCTTAAGGGGACTCCTGATATAGCCCAGACCAAGGAGAGATTCATGAGGCGAGTGAGGTTCTTGCCTCAGGCACAAAACTTAAGCTAAAACACACAGTAATCAACATAAATAATATTCTGGTGCAATTCTTTAAAAGATCCAAAAGTAATGCAAAATTCCATAATAGACAAAATATCAAAACCTTATATAAAGACAAAAATCACTGATGGTACTGTGCCAAGCCACAGCAGAGCATGAGGCAAAACAAAAAATCAGTAGTACAGATTTTTTGGTCTTACTTTTGATTTTTCAAAATATTTTCAAGTTTTTGGGGGACACCCTCTCAAATTTTATATTCAGTTCACTTCATTCAGCTCACCCCAGTCCTGGCTCTGGCTCAATGTCCTCCTGAGAAAACCTACCATTTTAGCAGTACTACATTATATTTGTACCATACGAGTGGTTCTTTAGCTTTGTTGGGACAAGGGAAAAATCTCATCTGTCAGCTTTAGAGCTTTTACAGCTTTCTCAGTGTAGTTGTCCACTGATGAAATATTTCATTTTTTTCTGCACCGATTATAGACTTCTTATTATTTTTCATGTTTTTGTTTCAGTAGGATTTTGAGAGAGAGAAAAGGTTAACTTATGTGTATACATGTGCTTAGTCAGCTATCTTGAAACAGAAGCCAGCAATAGACATAAAAGCAAGACAAAATAATGGTAAGATGAATTATTAAAATTTAAGGCATTTGGGGGTACATAAAAGAGATGGCATACGTAAAAATATTCAGCATTATTTTTAAGTGGCTACCATTCTATTTTCAAAAATAATGGAACAATTTGAGGTAGGTGTATTTTAGAGTTTAGAAATAAAAGGTTTGAGTAGAAAGGAAACAGATAAATTCAATCATCTAAATCCAGCCATAAAGAAATACACTAGAGACATAGGGAGACAAACTACTCTGCTTCCATTTCCTCCAAAGACTCCAAAGTATTGTATAATAGATAGCTTCACTAGAAAAGGAACACATAGCTAAGCAAATAGAGAACCTTTCAGAGGATTACATTTAAAAACTTACTAAATTCGGGTTAAAAATATAGTTAAAGACATCCCATGCTATTGTATGACGGAGACTAGCCATTGCTGACCTGTTTAGCTCTAGTGAAACCTTCCCCCTTGTGCCCTTGGCAGTTCATGTCAGGACATTAAATGACTAAATTACGTCTCAAACACTCAGGTGTTAAAATAAAAATATAATATCTACCCTTTGTTCATTGTTTACTATGTACCAGAAGGTGAGATATTATCTCATCTGCTCTTCATGATACCAGAAAAAGTAGGAATGAAAATTTTCCCTGTTTTTCAAATGAGATGACTGAGGCTGGGGAAGTCAAGTTACTTGATCAAGATTATACATTTTGTATTTGCTGAGCTGGGAGTCAAGCTCAGGCATCTGTGATCTTAAGCCTGTGCTCTCAACCATCATTTTATAGTTGTAGAAGGGGTTTCTTTCATCAATATTGGTAATCAGGCTAATTCCACAATAAACATGGACCAATAAGTAGAGAGCCCTAGTTGTCTCTTCCTCCAATAATTTTCTTTAAAACCTGTTTCTTATGACTGTGCAACTGTTCTTTGTACTTCAGTTTCTCACTTATAAAATGAAACAACGCCTAAGATTTCTACCCATTCTACAATTCTATGATTCTGTGATTATTATCAGCAGCCACTTGCCCTAAGTAAGATATAATTGCATAATCCAGTGACTTTAAAGGGTAAACTAAGAATAAGATGTAAATAGGCAGACTCAAAAGAAACCAAGGTAACACTCATAATTTCAAGAAGCTCGTTTTATTCTCATTCTCTCCCCTTCATCTTAAATCACTTCTTACTTTTTAATTGCCCCAATCTTGCCTTTGTTTTATCCTGTACTGATAGAAGTAATATGATTCCATTTGGCCTTGCTTTTCCTACCCAGCATTTCTCTACCTTTTAAAACCAAGATATCTTTAGCTATCAAAGCACCTCATGTTTCACCTTAGGAGATTCCATACATCTCCCTAGGGGAGCATGTCAACTTCACTCATACAGGAAGAACCTCAGAGACAGCCTATTGAGTTACCCTACCAGCTAAAAAATAAAATAAAAATAAAAAAATGTTTGTTGAACTTGGCACTCTAGAGTTTGTTTTTATTAAAATTACATGTTGTCAGGGAACTTTAAATTAAAATAATGAAGTTCCATCTCAGAACCATCAGACTAAAATTTGTAAAATACTGGAGAGGATATCTAGAAACAAAGACTGTTATGGAGGGGAGTGTAAAGTGATACAACCACTTTAGTGAACAGTTTACCAAATATCAGAAAGTTTAAGATATGCATGAACTAGGACCCAGCAATTTCACGATCAGTCATGTTCATTCAGATAAATTCTAAAAGTGCTCATTGCAGCCTCTCCATCAGTATTGAAAAACTATAAATAAATATTCATCAACAGGAGAGCAGATATATTCATTATGATAGATGCAGAGGGTGGAATTTTATTATTTTAGTCCATTTCATGCTGCCATATCAGAATATCACAGATGGGATAGTGAACAGAAATTTATTTTCACAGTTCTGGAGGCTGGGAAGTCCAAGAACAAACAGTTGCATCTTGTGAGAGCCCTCCTGTTGCATCATCACTGGTGGAAGTCAGAAGGGCAAAAAGAGGGCAAAAGAGAAAGCAGAGGCCGAACTCATCTTTTTACAACAAACACATTTCCTTGACAGCAGCATTAATCTATTTGTGAGGGTAGAGACCTCTTGACCTAAACACCTCTTAAAGACCTCACCTAACACCTCCACAATGGGGATCAAGTTTTCAACACATGAATTTTGGGGGACATATTCAAACCATAGCAGCTATTCATCAATCAATATGAATGAGCCAGAGCTATATGCAACAGCATGAATAAATCTAAAAACATAATAATGAGGGCAATGAAAACAAGTTGCAGAATGGTGCATACTGTATGAAGCCATTTGCATAGTTTAGAAACATGTAAAGCCAGAGAATATTTTGTTTTTAGATATATAATTTAAAAACTTATAAAAAGAGATTGGAGGATAATAAGTAAGACTGAGAAAACTACTACTTCTTGGAAAGAAGTGATTGGATTCAAGCTCAGAGTGTTTCAATTATGTCTGTTTTCCTTAATTCTTAAGTGGGCAATATATACATGGTTATTTGTTATATTATTTTGGTACTTTGTGCATCACATTATTTTATAATAAAAATGGACACATTTCTATTTTCTAAATGTAAAATTATATTATGAGATTCAAAGTGTTTTTTCAAATTGTATGTATTCTTATCCCTAGACTCTTCTGATATGTCCCCAGTGAGAAGGAAAATCTGCTTTGTCAATCCACACTTACTATTGACTTAATTATCCAACAACATTTTAAGTGCCTACTATGGGCTTAAACAAGTGCTGAATTATATTGTTGACCACTGTGTTCACTCCCACCTCTAGGAGAGCCCAAACTTGTTGGGAAATAGTAAAGGCTAGGAGAGGCAGCATTTTAATTAGCTTCTGGCTAGATTTTACAAACCTCAACAAATTTATGCTCTGCTCAGGGCTGCTGCTGAATGCAATGGCACTGGCTTACTCAAAATAATAATAATGGCCAGGCACGGTGTCTCACGCCTGTAATCCCAGCACTTTGGGATGCTGAGGCAGGTGGATCACCTGAGGTCAGGAGTTCAAGACCAGTCTGACCAATATGGTGAAACCCCACCTCTATTAAAAATACAAAAATTAGCTGGGCATGGTGGCATGCACTTTTAGTCCCAGTTACTCTGGAGGCTGAGACAGGAGAACTGCTTGCACCCAGGAGGCAGAGGTTGCAGTGAGCTGAGGTCGCACAACTGCACTCCAGCCCAGGCAACAGAGATTCCGTCTCAAAAAAAAAAAAAAAAATCCAAAATAATAATAATAAGGAAAACCTCTGGTCAGCAGCCCCCAGAACTCTCAAGCATGGAGGCTTGAGATAATCATTTTTTATGTCCAAACTGCTTTCCAAGCTGTCATGCAAGGTGAAACTAAGGAAGCAATGTATAGCCTGACTCCAATTACTCTTCACTTCATTTGCTTGTGAGTTTTCTCAGTAAAAGATCATTAGTTAAGGTTTGACTTCCATTGCCAAGGTAACAAGAACCATTTTCTAGATGGTTTGGCATCCACTGAGACTCTGAATTCCATTTCCTCAGACCACTACAATAGCCTTGGCCCTCTCACTCTTGTGGTTAACTAATGTCTATCATCCCACATTTCTGCAAGTATTCTCTGCTCAAGAATTCACCGTTGCTTTTTTTTTCTCTTGAACTTATTAATTTAATTCCACTAATCAGTCTCTCCTAATCAAAACCTCAATACATTTCCCCACCCTGCCCTACTCCACCTTAGCCACACATTCCATTACCACATCCTGAATTCTTGTCTTCAAATTAGTCACCCCTTCATTAGCTTAGCTCATTTTATTTCCTCCTCTCAGGTACTACCTTGTTCAACCACACTTAGCAAGAGCTCCAATTCATAATCTACACCACCACTCTTTCACTGTTGCTCATCCTCTTGTTCTTCCTTCTCTTTCCTGGGTGAGATTCCAAGAGCCAACATTGAAGTTCTTTCTTTGCAAAATACCCTCAATTCCCTGTCCTCTCTTCTTTCATTGCATTCATTTAGCAAACAGTGACTTCAGTTAAACCCAGATGTACTCTATGCTTTCTCCAAGCAACTACATATTGCTGGGGGAAAAAATCACAAAATTGGTTGACTGAAATTGTTTTAAATACAACACACAAACCTCAGAACAGAATTCAACACTAACCTCACCCTATTATATTTTTCTGCTTAGTATTCTTTCTCATTCTCCAAGGTGACTATTTCTTTTTTTTTCCTCTACAGTTCTTAAGCATATAATCCCTTCTGCCTCCCCTTCAAGGTACTCACAATTTAAAATCTTGCCTCATACTTGAGAAAATGAAATTGATAAAAATAAAATTTTCTAGTAATGTAGCAGACACATCTACCAACTTAGGTATATCCATACCCATATGCTCTATCTTCTCTCCTGTTAAACAGAAAGACAGATCCCTGTCTCTATTAACATCCAATGTATCCAGTTATACTATATATCACTTCCTAGTTTGTCTTCTCAAGGACTTCACTCTTGTGGTGCATTAGTTATCTATTGCTGCATAAATGATTATTCTGCAATACCACAGCTCAAAATAACAAACATTTGCTATCTCCAGTATCTAAGGGTCAAGAATCCAAGAGTGGCTTAATTGGAATGAATCTGGGTGAGATCTCTCACAAGTTTGCAGCCAAGTTATCAGCTAGGACTTCCATCGTAGCACTGATGGGCTGGGACTGAGGATCCACTTCCAAGCTCATGCACATGACCATTGGTCAGTTTCTCATTGGAGGTCTCAGTTCTCAATTCTCCACCCCTTAAGCCTCTCCACAGGGTTGCTCACAAGATAGAAGCTTACTTTCCCCAGAACAAATAATGAGAGAGAGAGAAAAATAGAGAGAGAGAGAGAGAGACCAAGTGGGAGCTGTATTCTAGTATAACCCAATTTTGGAAGCTACTACCCCATCATTTCTGTTGTATAGTCTTAGTCACACAAACCAACCCTGATGGAACTGGAAGAGGTCCACACAAGGTTGTGAATGCCAAGAGATTGGATCCTTGGGAGTGAGTCATCTTGGAGGATGGCTACCATATGCAGCTACCTCTGTGTAACCTAAATTATAAATTTCTCCCTTTCTATTGGAGCATTCCTAGCAGCATACAAAGTTAGACTTCTAACAGAAAACTCCAATGGCCTCACATTCACTTCCATCTGCCACCTACTCTATTTGCCAAATCTCAGTGCCAAACTGTTCACAGAACTTGTGGATACCCACTGTCACCATGCTACAGCACTTCTCATCATTTTCCATTCTCTTCCTCTGTTTTCTGGCCATACCACCCCTCTAAAATCATTCTTGTCTAACAAATAGTGATTTTATGTTGCCTATTCTAGTGGACCATTATCTGCCTTCATCTTACTGTAGCTGCTAGTATCATTTAAAAATATTCTCTTTCTTTGCATGTGGAGATGAATTTAGGTTTTATGGAACTTGAAGCTTATACAATTTTGGATCCCCATTGAAAAAGGAGTATAATTATAATTAGATATGAATAGGAACACTTTTACACTGTTGGTGGGACTGTAAACTAGTTCAACCATTGTGGAAGTCAGTGTGGCGATTCCTCAGGGATCTAGAACTAGAAATACTATTTGACCCAGCCATCCCATTACGGGGTATATACCCACAGGATTATAAATCATGCTGCTATAAAGACACATGCACACGTCTGTTTATTGCGGCACTATTCATAATAGCAAAGACTTGGAACCAACCCAAATGTCCAACAACGATAGACTGGATTAAGAAAATGTGGCACATATACACCATGGAATACTATGCAGCCATAAAAAATGAAGAGTTCATGTGCTTTGTAGGGACATGGATGAAACTGGAAACCATCATTCTCAGCGAACTATCGCAAGTACAAAAAACCAAACACCGCATGTTCTCACTCATAGGTGGGAATTGAACAATGAGAACACATGGACACAGGAAGGGGAACATCACACACCAGGGACTGTTGTGGGGTGGGGGGAGGGGGGAGGGATAGCATTAGGGAATATACCTAATGCTAAATGACGAGTTAATGGGTGCAGCACACCAACATGGCACATGTATACATACATAACAAACCTGCACATTGTGCACATGTACCCTAAAACTTAAAGTATAATAATAATAAAATAAAAAAAGAAAGTAAATATTATTTAGGATGCAAAATAAATTATAAAATATTACCAATATTGAAAGCTCAAAAATACCGCCAATATCAACAAAGGACAGAAAACAATACAACTCCTCCATAATTTTGTTCTCTTACAGTTTTGACTACATAATTTTTTATTGCCTCTTAACATAACAATGATCTTGATATATTGTTTTCTATAACGAGAATAGAAAGATATCCAACTTCTCCCCTGAAATGGTTGACCAAAAAATCCTTTTTATTTTTACCTCAGGAAATATACTCTCAGCTTCACAACTTGTTAGAATTGTCAAATTTGGGGAAATTTTTTTCAGGTTTATTTCATATATGAGATATAAGGTTTTGATGAATTTCCACAGACTAACATTGGCTCCATACATTTCACACTTTATTTCTCCTCCACTACAATTCTTCCCACCGTAGTCCAGCTGCTGAGTGAGTTGGTACAGCAGGCGCCAGGACATTCCTGGAGGCCATTCCTATGCTGGGATGGCAGCAATAACTCAATTACACAGGAAAGGGGTTGTGAGCTACATAAACTTATCCAACTAAATGTATAAATTAATACACAAATGTGCTATATTCCAATAAACATATGCATGCAATATCTGCATATTAGGTTTTTATTGCTGTGTAACAAATGACCACAAACTTAGCAGGTTAAAATGACATACAATTATAATCTCAAGGTTTCCATGGGTCGGGAACCTGGGCACAACTTAGCTGGGTCCTCCTCTGCTTAGGGTCTCAAAAGGCTCCACTCAAAATGTTATCCAAGACTGTGGTCTCATCAGAGGCTCACCAGGGGAAAAGCCTACTTTCAAGAACCCTCAGATTGTGGGCAGAATTTATTTCCTTGCAGCTGTAGGATTCATGGCAGTCTGCCTCTTCAAAGACAGTCATGTAGAGTCTCTAGCAGACAAATGTTACACTCTTGTGGAATCACATACACGTAATCACTTTTATTCCATTGCCCTTTTTTGTAATCCATTGGTTAGAAGCAAGTCACATGTCCTGCCCATATGAAGGGGAGGGAATTATACAAATGCATGAACACTGGGAGGTGATGATCATGGGGCTGCTTTCAAGTCTGTCCACCACAGTCTCTTAAAGAATAAATATAGAAAAAATATAAAGCGATACATGACATATTAAAAAATCATTTTAATGAGTTCAAAATGATTTGCACATATCAATAAGTTTCAATGGTTCTATGAGGTAGTGTATGTCTGCTTTCTACATAGGCAAATGAGAATTTCAACTTTTTCAGATTCCCAAGCCAGCTAGTTGAGCTGGAACTTGGATTTCTCAAACTTCATCTTCTAGTTTATTGCTTCATATTAGCTTCCTCTAGAAATACAAAAGAACGAAAGTTGAAACTTTTGTTCTTGGAGATAGTTTTTAAGTACAGGAACTACTGAATACACATCTTTTAAGCATAAGCTAATTATTGAGAATTAACTAGTCCTCTAGTTACCATTTGTATACCATTAAAATACATTTTCATCTTGACATTTCTTGATGTCTCACTGAGTCTTCAGATTTATCAACCCAAAGATTTTGTAGAATTTTTTCCATTTTTCTTTTACAGGTACTTGAGGCTGCTCTCCTCACTTAGTACTCATCTCAGTTTTCTAAAGACCCGCCTAAAGATGTTCATCTTTAGTTCATCTGAGAAAAGCAGTAAGAACACTTCAGACCATAAGAATAAGTTTATATTGGCACTAGTGGTTAAGCTATAACTTTTCTAATTCCAATGGCCCTGTGTATTTTTTCTTCGTTATCATTCTTCACTAGGAATCAAAATATAAGCATTCTTTGTTATTATAGGCTTTATCCTCTACACAGATATGCCCTTGGATGAAAAGAACATGTCCTTAAAGCAGAGAAAATACAGATGTTTCCACTTCCCCATTTACATCACTCCACACAGCAATGATATTAGCCTTTTAGTAGTATATGCCACATTAGCAGTCTGAGTGTTTTTGAATCAAAGCCGAAATTTGTAGTGCCTCTAATGTGTAATGAAGTTGCACATTTTTACCATGCATTCACTCAAGCATATGGCTTTTATAATTGAACTCAAGAGATTATATTTTGGATTGACTTCTGCTCTAATAAAAATGCACACATACCAATGCTTCTGTCCCCATTTGGAGACAAAATTTGATACAGTTTGGTCATGTTATAGCGTGTAGATATGCTTTCATTCTTCTGTTGAAAAAATAAAGCCATGATGACTTAATTATGTAAAATAGCATTACTAAATAGCAAATAGTTTATATTATATCTGCATATGGGCATTAAAAAAGATTACATGATGATCTGAATTACCAGTGCCCAGAACAAATATCATTGGAACATATATGCTTATTTTTGAGGAGACATGGAATTTAAAAGCATTGGCTTAGTTCTAATGTTATTGTTCTTAATTAACCAAGCTTTCAAATAAATGTTCACATTTATATGACTGTTCAGATTGTGGATTTCAGGAATGCTCAGATTACACTCAAAAGCAAGTATTTCCAGATATTGCTCAAAAGGTTACTTTTGAAATATGCTTTTTTTATTGCACTTGAATGTAGTTGAATCAGATCTACCATAAGAGAAGTAGTCAGAAAATTCATTTAATCTTTTCAGAGTGCTTTTAAAAGATTTAAAGTTAGATCTTTGGATAAGCTCATACTTAATGGTTGTCATCTGTGTACAGTGTAGTTTCAGGGATTATAATAGCATAAGTTAAACTTACTTTTTTTGCATTACTCCTTTGTCCTAATGTAGAGATGTTTATGTATATTTTTCTCACTTCTAATCATGCCATTAATGGAAGTATAGTAATAATATTTTTCTAATCAAGTAAAAGAAATGAAAGCTAAAATGATCAAAACTATCAAATGAACATTTTTAACTTAAAATTATGTCCTAGAAAGTTGCTTTTAGGACATTATGATAATTCACTAGGAAATGAATACAGTATATATTTGTTCTTTCAAGATGAGAACATAAAAATCACTAAAATTTATTGAGTGCTTTCTCCTCTAAGTGTTCATTTCAATGCGTTAACTTACTTCTCTATCTGTTAACTTACTACATCATCACGGCCACTTTATAAGACAAGTGCCATTATTTTTCTAATTTTGCAAAAGAGGAAACTGAGACACAGAGAAGCTAAATGAGCAGTAAGAGGTAAAGCTGAGGTTCCAGCGTAAGAAGTCTGGCTCTCTATGACTAACCCATGCCATCTTGAAAAAGTCAGCATAGCCTTGATAGTCTTCTAATGACAACTTAATCATTGTCTTCTCAAGAAAATGTTTCTTTGAAGTAAGAGTATAAAATTCATATTTTGTCTTATCTGTTACTGAATTACATAAAAATGTACAATAAACATCTGAAGTCTACTCTGTTTTTCTAATGTAATATTCCTGAATAAATGCAAAATTATTATATTGGTTCTTTTGCTTTAATACTATTCCCTCATGGCACCGTCAGTCTTGAAAATCTGTTTCCTCCATGTTCAATTCCAGTTTCCTGTCCTATACATACCAAGTAATGATAGCAGCTATCCTTTAATTGTTCAGCCAACTATTTTGCTCAAACAATTATATTTATTAAAATAACTAAATTGATTTTCTGTCTATAAGAACAGGCATTTTGAAATCTCTATGCTTCTCGGTCAAAGGTTGTGTCAATAAAATACTCAGTAAAGTGGAGATTTGGAAATCATCCAATAAATTTGATCAATAGAGAGACAAACTCAATATGTTAAATCCTAAAGGTTTTTTCCTCTTCTGAATTACTGTCTGCAGACTACATTGATACAATTAGCCAGACAATCACCCCATCTCATTGCTACTTGTGCTCTGTGGTGTTATGAGCCATTGGTAGACATGACAGGTTTTCTCAAATTGTGACCCTTTCTCTACCACTAGTGATCAGTGGAGAAGTAAAGCAATTTCAAAAAAATGTGTGCTATAACTGAATTATAGCTAATTAATAAACAATTTGACTTTGACTATAAGAATATGCCAAGTAATATGAATGTTTTAGATCACGTTTATAATCATATACAATTTTGACTTTAGCATTTCCAAATGCAGAGATTTACATGTTAATTTTTGGAAACATCTCTTTTACCCATTTTTAAACTTTACCTTGTTTAAAATTTTAGTAGAAATTTAAAGAAATGAACGGCAAATCAATTTAAAATGTTGACCTGATTTTACAGCTATAACAGTAACCAGAAATTGCTCCATTCCATTCATAAGGGTTTTGAAATACTAACCATATTCAAGAAGTCACCCTGTGTCTCTTGTTCGTTCTGTTTCTTCATAATATCCTGTATCATAAGACCATGTTTTGTGCTGTGAGCAAGTGCAAATGATTATGTAATGAAGAATCTACTATTATTCTATTAATAACTACATTTTCATAGGTAAAATAATGTTTTTCATTCAAAAAAATATGTCAACTCACTTGGCTTAAGCCACAAGATTTTATTACATTTAGTGTCAGGGAAAAGATTTGGGTATACATCATTTTGGACACTCTGGGACTCAAACAGTTAAAAGGAGGTTAATCACCTGCTTTTTTGAATGTGCAAATTTATGAAAAATACTAAATGGCATGCAATCACCACACCCAAAATAGTCTACAAATAAGAAGCAAAAGAGTGAAGGAAGGGCTTTTTTGCATGAATCCGTGACACTGTGTGATTATTTTACACATTAAGCTGATTTGTAACTGTTGAAAGAATTGACCCATTCTCAGAAAATGAGAGTACCTAGCAAATATAAGGAAATCCAATATGAACTTTCTGTACCTATTAATGTGCTGACTAGCTTTGGATGCTTTCCTAATTACTTCTTAATGTTTTGCACAAGTCATCAAAACCTGCTAACACATCTGTCGAGTGGGTGATTGGCTATGTATATATGCAAATATATATCTTTTTAAGATATAGATAAAACATACAAATATGTATTATATGATAGTATGCACCCTTTAATACCACACTATTTACTTTTGTAAAACTACTGGAATTTGTGCAGTACACATAATTGTTTTTTAACATTTCAGTCCAATTTTTGGCCTGTTTTCTGTTTTTACATTTCTGCTTTGTGCTGGAATTATATCCAAAATACCATGTGAATTTTCTCATCTGTTCTTTTTTAAACTTAAAAGCAGTTTTCCTTAATGGTATTTAAATCCCATTAAGTCATACAGGTATCTTATTTTCTTTTTTTTAAAGTGCCTGCCTCATAAATATACATAAGCCAAAGTTTAATTGGTCTGGTTTGTAGGTACTACCAAAAAGATTTTTTTGAACCATTATCTAAAAAAGGAATAAACATTTTTTATGTTGTCTTATTCTAAGATGAGATACAAAATTAACTTTGACATTCATAAAAAATACTTTTGAATAACAAATATTTTCCATTTTAACTTTTGGCCTGGTTATACTGCAAAAAAAAAAAAAAGTCTATCCAGAATCATTAAAATTTAGGGAGGGAAGAAAAAAAAGGCTTTTGTAATTATTTGAATTATTACATTAAAAATAATGAAATGAAAGTGTTTGAGTATTCAAAATGTTAACCAAAATACTGAACCAAGGAAAAATTACAATAGATAATTAGATTTAGGATTCAATTTAAACATATCAGATTTACTGCTAATATGCATTGAAATAGGAACTGTAGGTAAATAGGTCAAAGACAAGGCAGTAAAGCAAAAACCACACTAGGTATTACTGAGAGAGAACGTTCATTAGGGATAATTAGTTACATGGGTATTGGAATTCTGAAAAAGCAAAGAAGAAAAGTGACAAGAGATTGAATGTATAGGAAGCTGTCAGCAACTTTTAGGCTGGGGAAATGAAATGGAAGGTGTTACCAGAAAGCAGAAGATTAAAGGGGAAGCCCCTATAGGATTGGTGCTTGAAACTCTGAGAGTGGACTCATGGCTACTTCTGAGGAAAATGCCTGCAGTGGGGATGGTGATGTCTAAGAGAGACCCCCCCACATGGATGCTCAGTCTGCAACATAATAGGACACAGCTGGTGTTCAGAAGGCAGAGAGTGGGATGGTTGGAGGCACAAATGGTACATCAGCCACTGAGCAGGTATGGCATAGTTGGTGCTCAGCTCACTGAATGGCATGGACCAGATCATGATGGGAGCACCAGGTGAAATAGGAAATGAGAGCCTTCACTGTCTTTTGTCTCTGGAAACACAAGTGGAAAATGACCCTCCAGTGCCTCATGGCCACAAACAGGGAGAAAACTAAGCTCATATAGAGTCTAGAAAATGTATTTTACCTCACAGCACAAAATATAAAAGGATGGGCTTAAGCAGAGAAACAACAGATAAGTAACAAGCACTGTGGGTAAATCCAAAGAGGAATCTGACTGGCCTCTTGCCTTCAAGGAGTAGATTCTCAAAATATATCTGGTTGTAACGTGTGAGAACAGTCCAGACAAATGTGAAAAGAACAATGCTAAGGATTTCCTCTACTTGATAGCAAATTATATTTAAAAACTACTGTTAAAATAGTACAATAAAAGCTTATTGACAGACAGCTAGAGTCATGGAAGAAGTCCAGAAACACACACACACACACACACACACACACACACGAACACATATACACATTTAAGATTAAAATGGCATTTTAAATGAATTTGACAAATGGGTTAACAATTCAAAAAATCTTGTTGGGACAATTGGTTCTTCACTGAAGGAAAAAAAATAGATCCTTATAACACACTACAAACACACATACAAAATTCTTGATGGATTTCTGATCTAAATATAAAATAAGAATTTTTTAAAGTAAGCAAAAGTGAACACATGTATAATCTTTGGATCAAAAAGGTCTTATTAAACAAGAAACAAAATATAGGTATAAAAGAAAAAATGGATACATTTGACTACATTGCAATAAGCAAAAAAAAAAAAAAAAATGTCAGGACACTATAGCAAACTGCTTCAGAAGCCAGAAGCAGGAGTCAATGACTCTGCTTAGAATCTTGGCTGAGACTTTATCCCTTTGAGGCCCCCTTTCCACATATAATAGGGCTTTAATAACATCTACTTCAAAGGCTCATTCTGATGATTAAATAAAATAATCCATGTGAAGTGCTTAGCACATTGCCTGATACATGGTAAGCAATTAGTGATAACTAAACAACTTCCATTTTCCTATAGAGCTACTAAAATTAATTTTGAAGATAAATTGCTATAAAAGTTATTATGTTTCATTTTCTTTTAGATTTCTTAAACTTATTTTGCATACACTATTTGTGGACTATTCCAAGAAGACACTCTTTTTACATGTGTAGTAGAATTTCATCTTTATATTATGATCAACTCAAATCAAACATCATATTTTTAACCCTAACACCATAGTTGTATTGAATTCTCTCTGTGACTTTACACTTTTGTGACCTAAAAAATAATTTCTGGAAATAAATATACAAAGTATTCTGATTTCTATTTCATAAAAATACTTTATTTTATTAAATACAGAATGGACTCTCACTCAAAATGCTGGTCACTGCAAGAAGCAAAGATTGGAATCATTTTCAGAGAAGTAAGAATTTCAAAGTGTCCTAAATATGTGAGCAGAGTGAAATAAACCTTTTTTATGAGAAAGATATTAATTCCTAAATGAAAATAAAGAGAGAAAGAACCATAACAAAACCAGTATTTATTGTGCACTTTGTATATATAGGCTAGACACTTCTAAATGCTTGGTATATTAACTTTATTAACTAGTTAAATCCTCCCAACACTACGAAATTGATGTTACTATTATTTTCACTTTATAGATGAGGAAACTGTGGCATGAAGAGGTTAAGTAACTTGAAGGAGGCATAAGCAAGAAGGTAATGGAGGCCAGAAATTTTTTTTTCTTTTTTTCTTTTTTTTTTTTTTGAGATGGGGGTCTCCTCTATCACTCAGGCTGGAGTGTATGGCACGATCATGGTTCACTGCAGCCTCAGTCTCTCTGGCTCAAGCAATCCTCCCACCTCAGCCTCCCAAGTAGCTGAGACTACAGGCACACATCACCACACCTGGATAATTTTTCCATTTTTGTAGAAGCTAGAATTTAACAAAGGCAGTTTAACTCCACAAACAGTGACTTTTACTGATGATGCAATATTGGTAATTTTGGAGTCTGTTGTTGTTGTTTCTCTTTTGTATTTATTGTTGAGATAGGGCAGAACTACCTGCAGTGTTGCCCCAGAAGTAAATCATCCTCTTTGAAGTGTGATTTTGAGAAAACATCAGAGATAATGATTTTGAGGAAAGTAACCTAAACACTACTCAATCAAATGTCTATAATACTACTACTGGGAATTTATATCTTAGTATGTCAAACTTGTGTCATCTACAAATCTACTAATGAACTGTAAATAATATCTCCAGAAAAGGTGACAGAATAAGTCATATCAACTTTTGTCTACCAATTTTGAACAAATAGAAGCCAAAGTTGGAGGAGGTAAATATGGAGTGAATAAATTCACAAATGAAAGAGTATTTGCCTGCTATAAAGGGACTTTACCAATAGCACAGTTTGTTCAGTAGCCAATAGTCTCCATAATATGGGCAAGTGCAAGATGCCATGGTGACAGCTAAGCCTTATCTTCGTGATGACACAGGAAATTGGCTACTCAGATACTGCCTTTAATTATTCAACAGTGACTTAGTGATCCTATAAAGTACAAACCTTTGTGGTGAGTTCCTTGCTGAACTTATACTCCTATACAAAAAGATCACAGTCCCATCTTTAACTATTGTCTTCATCTGTTTATGCTACTATAACAAGAGACTTGAGACTGGGTAATCTATTTTTTAAAAAATAGAAGTTTATTTCTCACAGATCCGGAGGGTGGGAAGTGCAAGATAAAGGTGCCAGCGGGTTCAGTGTCTGGTGAAGTCTTGTTCCTTACAGATGGTGCCAAGTAGGTGTCCTCACATAGCAGAAGGGATTTAAAGAAATGGCAAACTCCTTCCATCAAGCCCATTTAGAAGAGCATCTAATCCCATTCATGAGAGCAAAACCTACATGACCCAATCACCTCCTAAAGGCCACACCACTTAGAACTGTTACATTGGGGATTAAGTTCAAACATGAATTTTAAAGGGGATAAAAACATTCTAACCATAGCACTCTTCCCCTGGATCCCCAAATTAGTTTAATTAATTAATTGGATGAATTAATCCAAAATTAATTAATGAGTCCAAAGTCTCATCTGCACACCATCTAAATCAGTTATGGGTGAGACTCAAAGCTTTGTGTCATTCACCACAAGGCAAATTGCTATCTAGCTGAGAGCCTGTTAAATCAAGCAAGTTGTGTGCTTCCAAAATACAATAGAGGGACAGGCATAGGATAGCCATTTCCATTCCCAAAAGGAGAAATTGGAAAAAGAAATCAGTAATAGATCCCTATAAAGTTCAAAACTCAACAGGGCAAACATTAAATCTCAAAGTTTGAGAATAATCTTTTTTAACTCCATGTCCCATCTTCTGGGTTGGATACCCACATCCCTAGGGGGTCCCATCCCCAGGACTTTGCTAGGAACAGCCCATGCCACAGCTCATACTGGTTGGAGTCTTGCACCTTCAGCTCTCCCAGGCTGGAGTTGCTGACTGGTGGCTCTACAGTTCTGAAGTCTTGGGAGAGGCCCTTCCCCCACAGCTCCACTAAGCATTGCCCTACTAACAGCTCTCTGTGGCATCTTTGGAACCTAGGTGAAGGTAGCCATGCCTGCCCAGCTCTTGCACTCTGTGAGCATGCAGAGTCAGCACTAGGTGAACACCACCATAATTTATGGCCTCTATACCCCTGGGCCCACTTAAGCCACAACTTGGGCAGCCAAGGAGCCCTGTACCAGACTGCAGGGAGCAGAGACTTAAGACAGTCCTGGGCATTGAGCTCTGAGGTTCTACAAACTCCCTGAGCCCATTGTTTATAACAATTCTGCCCTAAAAGTCCTAGCACTCTGGGCCTGTGATAAGACTGGCAGCCTCAAAGATCTCCAAAAGGTCTTCCAGGGCTTCCCTCTCTCCATACTAATCTTATCAGCGGATTGTTGGACACAACCTTGGTTTACTTTCCTTAACACGTTCTTTTAGGCTTTACATGGCCAGGCTGAGAGTTTTCCAAATCTTCACATTCTGCTTTCCTTTTCGTTTCAAATTCTGTCTTTAACTTACTTCTCTCTTGCATTTTACAATAAGCAGTTGAGAGAAAGCATGCAGCACCTTGAATACTTTGCTTAGAGATTTTTTTTGCTAAATATCCTAGTTGATTGCCCTTAAATTCGGCATTCCACAAAACATTAGGACATGGACACAATTCAGCCATCTTCTTTGCCACTTTGTAGCAAGGATGGTCTTTCCTCCAGTTTCCAGCAAAATGTCCCTCATTTTCATTTAAAACACCATGTGAATGATCTTTTTTTTTTTTTTTTTTTTTTTTTTGAGACGGAGTCTCACTCTGTCACCCAGGCTGGAGTGCAGTGGCGCAATCTCGGCTCACTGCAAGCTCCGCCTCCCAGGTTCACGCCATTCTCCCGCCTCAGCCTCCCGAGTAGCTGGGACTACAGGCGCCCGCCACCACGCCCGGCTAATTTTGTTTTAGTATTTTTAGTAGAGACAGGGTTTCACCATGTTAGCCAGGATGAGTCTCGATCTCCTGACTTCGTGATCCGCCCGCCTCGGCCTCCCAAAGTGCTGGGATTACAGGCGTGAGCCACCGCGCCCGGCCGTGAATGATCTTTACTGTCCATATTTCTACTAACATTCTGTTCACAACCACTTAGTTATCTCTAAGACTGAGGCTTTTTCTGCAGTTCTCCTCTCCTTCTGAGACGTCACCAGAATCACACTTAATGCTCTGTTAATGGCAGTGCAGGCTTTTTCTACCATTCACTTTAAAACTGTTTCAGCCACTACCTATTACCAAGTTCCAAAGCCACATCCACATTTTCAGGTATTTGTTATAGCAACAGCATCATTTTTCTAGTATCAGTTTCTCTCTGAGTCAATTTCTTCTGTTCTAACAAAATACTCAAGACTGGATATTTTATGAAGAATTATATATACCAGATTTCCATATTGATGGACACATGTCACATAGGATAAGCACCCAGTACATATTTATATAATTCATTAATTTGTATGAATAAGTGAACAGAGATGAAAAACTAGAATATATATGTATATGTAACATAAATTCTTTTTTTTTTTTTTTTTTGAGATGGAGTCTCACTCTGTCGCCTAGTCTGGAGTGCAGTGGCGCAATCTCGGCTCACTGCAAGCTCCACCTCCCAGGTTCACGCCATTCTCCTGCCTCAGCCTCCCGAGTAGCTGGGTCTACAGGCGCCCACCACCAGGCCTGGCTAATTTTTTTTGTATTTTCTTTTAGTAGAGATGGGGTTTCACTGTGTTAGCCCATAAATTATTTATAAATATATAGTTGACCCCTGAACAACATAGGTTTGAACTGCACAGGTCCACTTACACGTGGATTTTCTTCCACCTCTCCCACCCTTGAGATAGCAAGACCAACCCCTCTTCTTCCTCCATCTCCTCAACACACTCAATATGAAGATGATGAGGATAAAGATCTTTTTCTTTTTTTAATTAAAAAAAAATTGTAGAGAAGGAGTCACACTATGTTGCCCAGGCTGGTCCTGAACTCCTGGCCTCAGACAATTCTCCCATCTCAGCCTCCCAAAGTGCTGGGATTACAGATTTGAGCCAGTGTGCCTGGCCTGAAGGTCTTTATGATGATTCACTTCTGTTTAATGAATAGTAAATATATTTTCTCTTCCTTATGACTTTCTTAATAACATTTTCTTTTCTCTAGATTACTTTATTATAAGAATACAGCATATAATACATACAACATACAAATTATGTGTTAATTGTTTAGGTTATCGGTAAGGCTTCTGCTGATCAACAGGAGGCTATAAGTTAAGTTTCTGGAAAGTCAAAATTATACAGAAATTTTTGACTATGTGGAGGGTCAGCATTCTTAACCCGCATGTTGTTCAAGGCTTAACCATGTATGTGTAAGTGTGTATGTGTGTGTGTGTGCACACATATATAATCTCAACCCTGTATATATAGTACTAACTTATAGTTTGTAACATTGTAAAAGATATAATCCAGAATATTCTCATCACAACAGCTGTCACTCTTCATTCCTTCCTCCTCACAGGCTCTGGTGACCATTAATCTACTTCCTATCTCTATGGAGATTTACATATTCTGGGTATTTCACGTAAATGGAATCACACAACACATGGCCTTTTATTCTGCCTTCTTTCACTTAGTATAATATTTGGAAATGTTGTCCATGTTGTAGCATGTATCAATACTTCATTTCTTTTTATGGATGAATAATGTTGCATGGTTGTGCCAAGTTTTGTTGGTTCATTTATCAGTTGATTGACATCTGGGTTGTTTCCACTTTTTGGCTATTATGAATAATGCTTCTATGAACATTCATGTACAAGTTTATGTGTGCACATATGTTTTCCATTTTCTTGACCATATACCTAGGAGTGGAATTTCTGGGTTGTACGGTAATACTATGTTTATCTTTTGAGGAACTGACAAAATGTTTTCCAAAGCAGTTGAACTATTTTACATCTTTACCCGAAATGTACGAGAGTTTTGATTTCTCCACATCCTTGTCAATACTTGTTCATCTTTTTCATTATAGACATCCTAGTGGGTATGAAATGGTATCTTATTGTGGTTTTGATTTGTATCTATCTAATAACTAATAACTTTCAGCATCTTTTCATGAGCTCATTGGTCACTTATATGTCTTTTTTGGAGATGTGCCTATTCAAATCCTTTTCTCCACTTTTAATTGGGATATTTGTCTTTTTATTGTCAAAGTGGAAGAGTTCTTTATATAGTCTGGTTACTATACCCTTATCAGATATATGTGTTGCAAATATTTTCCCATTCTCTGTGTTTTTTTCACTATTTTGATGGTGTCCTTTAAAGAACAAAAATGTTTAATTGTGATGAAGTCCAATTTTTATCTCTTATTTCTTTTGTTGCTTGTATTTCAGATGTCTCATCTGAAAAAACTGTTACCTAATCCAAGTCACAAAATTTTTCTCTAAGCATTTTAGAGTTTTGCTCTTATGCTTAGGTCTTTGATACATTGTGAGTAATGTTTTATATATGGTGTGTGGTAGGGGTCCAACTTCAATCTTTTGTATGTGGATTTTCATATATTTAGCACCTATGAAACAACGTATAGGATTTACTTTAAAATAACCCATAATGGGTTATAAATAATGGGGGCGGAGGAGTGAGTAAATATGTAAGTTTAAAAAGATTGGCCATGTTTTGGTAATTGTTGAAACTGGATGATATATGCACAGAGGTTCATTACACTATTCTAATTTTTATATATTTGACACTTTAAATATATAAAAATAAAAAAATAAAAAGTTGAACAATCAGGTACAACATCACTATTTTACAGCTTTGGAATAAGAATGTAAATGACTCGGGTTTACTTTTCCCATGTAGAAATGCTTTCTCAGTATATCTCAGAATATGTATATGTTTTTCCACTCCTAAATTGTGAAAAACAAATAGTCGAAAAAATCAGGAAAACAGGAGACAAGCATTTCAATGCTCCTACAAGATTTGGAGCTTGACAATCAACATAAGGACTGTATGATTAGAAGAAATCACTGATGTCAAGTTGAAAGCAAGAGCCGGGAATGCTGACATGGGAGTCAAGGGTTAAGGCTGACATTTTCATGAATAGGAGAAGAGCACATAAGAGAGAAGTAGTTCTCATCTAGCCACTCTTACTTGTAGTTGGATGTGTTCTTGGCTCTGACTGCTGCAAACAGTGAGTCATTTTCACAAATAATATAAATATTAATGAGCTTATTCACATAATATACTTTATACCAATCCTATCAATGGTGGTCCAAGAAATAAGCTTTAGAACCAAAATAAGTCCTTAAACTGGTAATTTTGATATACCATTCTATGTGTTGCTATTAGCCTTGCTAGAAGATCTAAATGTTATGTTATTTGAATGCTAGTTAATCATATTCTCTGGCATTCCCCAGAAATAGGGTAAGTGCTATGGTAGAGTTTCTTGTAAATACTTAAACAGAAAAAACATGCAAATAGAAAAAGATGTTATTGTGGAATATTACAACAGGAATTCAGAAATTGATCTAAAATCTCTATTAACAAAAGCAGTATTAATTTAAGTGACAATATCCAAATCAATGTCAAGCAAACAAAATGTTTGCATTATTAAAAAAATGAGATTCATGAAGCAACATATATCCTAATGCATAATGTTAAGAAGCTTGTGGACATATTCTTAACAAATTTGATCAGCGTCTTTGAAAAATACATGAAACTTTTCTGGACTGGAATATTTGTGAAAACTGACAATGGAAAAATGAAAAAAAGACCAAGACTATAAGTAGGCAATTAATGCTTTGTGAGTTTTAAAATTTCATCTTAAATATAACTTCTAATTATTAAATATATGTGGCATTTCAATTATTTAACTGGCTTTTGTCACTTATTTCATATAAATGTCATTTTCTTTAATGTTTTATTATCCAATTTCCATACCAGGTGGAGATCATTTTTATATGTTACTGAAAGATACAATGCTGTGAAAATCATGCTTTTATTATTATATTTTACATAAAACCTCTTAAATTTTTATATAAAAATGGTTCATAGTTTATCGTTACCACTCATGAACACAGGAAAAGTATTATGAAAAATGGAAAAAAACATATTATTTCAGGGCTGTCTTAGAATTTCCAGGAATTTCTATTTCTAGTTCCAGAATCCTGAAGATTATGATGTCAGGAATTTGGAAATACTACCTAAATTCTACTTAGAGACTGAAAAGTTATTGGATGAAGACTAGCAGCCTGGAAGAGGTAGGCTGCTGTGCTCCAGAAGGCAGTGGCCTGAGCTAGGAAGCTTTTAAAAATTACAAGTAATCATTCAGACTTAGTTAATGGAACTATTCCTCAGAGACAGCCAGAAACTCAGCAGGGAAGGAGACTTGGTAAAGAGCAGACATCCTGTATTCTGTGGAATCGGTGCTGAAAACACTATTTGATCATTATGGGGAAAGATGACTCCTAAAAGAACAGTTGGGGACATCTGATTTGGAAAGCATTTAAGTCCCAAAAGGAAGAATTACATGAACCCTGGCCATTCACCCTGCAAGACAGAAGGGGTAACTCAATCACTATTGTATAGGGAGTGTCAAGCTGTTCTTGACTACCATGGACAATCTCATAGAAGGAAATAGAAACAGTTGCAAGTGGACACAAGAAACAACTAAGTATCACTATGATGTTAACTGTTTAAGAAAGGTTGAAAATTACTGGTTCTGAATGGTAAAATTCATCTGAAGTACAAAGGTTGAGATCCTTGTGTCCTTCCAAAGTTATTTTTCTACAGATCTTAAGCACAAGTTAAAGTTTTATTTACTTCAGGCAACTACAAGCATCTATTAAGTTTTTTTCCCTGTGCCATGATCAAATATTAAATAAATCCATACAGTGAAACACAGATCATCTTGCAATCTAAATCAAAACAAATATTGAATTTAGTTGGGTATATTTCTCTTCTCATTCCTTTTTTTTTTTTTTCCTTTTTTTTTTTTTTTTTTTTTTTTGTGAGATAGAGGCTCGCTCTTGTTGCCCAGGCTGGAATGCAATGGCACAATCTCGGCTCACTGCTGCAACCTCTGTCTCCCGGGTTCAAGCTATTCTCCTGCCTCAGCCTCCCAAGTAGCTGGGAATTGCAGGCGCATGCCACCATACCTGGCTAATTTTTTTATATTTTTGGTAGAGATGGGGTTTCACCATGTTAGCCAGGCTGGTCTGGAACTCCTGACCTCAAGTGATCCACCTGCCTTAGTCTCCCGCAGTTCTGGGATTACAGGCGTGAGCCACTGCGCCCGGCCTCTCTTCTCATTCTTAGGGCATTAGTGGTAGAGGCTTGGGGGAGGGATAGTGTATGTGCGCACGTTAGTTTGAATGTGAGTGTGTGTGTGTTTGCGTGGGTAGGCAACGTATGAAGTAGGAAAGAGGTGATGTTACATGTTTATGTTAGTCGCACACTGTTAGATAAATTCTTGCTGATGAACATGAAGCAATACTTAAGAACATGAAAGATTTATTGCACCTTTCAAGAGAGGGCAGTTCTTTCTCTATTAGCCAAGATAATGAGGCTCAGTGCCTGTTTCACGGATGCAGCTGACTTTTTGCAAATTGAAAACAAACATGGACAAGCTTTTTGGTTTTCAAATGATTTTCAGAGTCAAAAGAGAATGCTGTACCCACAAATTTGCTTACTTGAAATAGAAAAACATTTCCATTTATTTTTCACATGAAAAGTTTTGACAGTTGAATTGAGGTGAACTGACTTTGGCAATTTTTCTGTTTGGCTTTTAATACTTACTGCTCTTTTAAAGAGAAACTTAAAGATCATTTAAGTGTATTATACTATTTTGAAATTGTATAGCATTTAACTAAAAACCTGAAAGCAATAATGCTTTTCAAGAATGGAAAAGAGGCATAATAGTCCATTAGAAGTGGGTTATTTGTATCATTAAGGAGAATTGTTATATGCTTTTGAATGAGAAAACACACTGAAGAAACAGAACTTGATGGTGAATGAACATTTGGTTAATAGTTATGCAGCATACATTCAAGAAGAAATAAAGATATATGTATGCGACTAATAGACAAAAGAATTTGAAACATAAGTTGCATATACCATTAAGGTACAATTATTCATGGAAAACCCATAAGAAGATTTTGTATCCACTTATATCATCATGTTAATACCCATTTTTCAAAGCTATCAATTTTGAAATATAATATGCTGTTTCCTCTGGTATTAAAAAGTTAAATAGCTGCCACTGAAGGATTTATACACTTGCCAGATGCTGCACAATTCTTCAGTCAAAACATAAGTATCTCAATCACAAACCATATGTACTTCCTCTTCTGTACTATGAACTGCAAATTCATCTTCATCCTCAACCAACCATGAGACTTGAAACACAGCCTGCCAATTAAATGGAAATGTACAGAATTGTACCGGGTTGCAGAGTGCTTGCAGTTAGGTGTGGTGTACCTAACATCCTTTTAGACACATACACATGAATGATACTTGCTGTCTTCATTTCTGTCTCCTAATTGTTGAATTAAAGCAACAACCAAAATTCTCAAAAACTAGTTTTAAATATGAAACAAAAGGAAGGCCTAAAGAAATCCATACAGGTGAAACCATCTCATATGGGGGAGATTACAGGTTTTTATTTCCTAGATTGAAAAATGAACATATCACTTACACTAAAACCCTCAGTAGGCACTTTCTAGGAGCAGAGAAAAATATTTTTCTTTTGATAGTCTCAAAAAGAAAATCACTAAATTAGCTTATTATCTCAATCTTTTTCAGTATTATCTTAAAAGCCCTGAAGGAGAGAATCTCTCTCTCTCCTTCCTCTCTCTCTCTCTCTCTCTCTCTCTCACACACACACCCACACACACAAATACTATGCATACACAATCAAATAGGATGATCAAAGGCAGCACAGTTCTGCATTGTAAAATTAAGAATTTTTTTCTGACATTTATTTGTCCCCTAGATTTGAGTGTTACCAAGAGACCATCTTGTCCAGATTAATTTTTGCTTAGCAGGTTCCAAATTTTATCATGTGTTCTCATGTTTCACAGCATCTGAACACTAAGCCTCTAGAAATTCTCTTTCAGCCTCTAATTTGTGACTTCTAATCTGCTGCAGTTTGGGAAATCAAATAATGCATCTTGCTATAATTGTATCCAATATCAGATAAAAGGGAACATGCCTGGAATGGGGGCCTAGAGGGGCCTCAGGTGACCTTCTGATGAACTTGATAATAGTTCTTCATATAGCCCTGGAAAATCACTTAAACTCTCTGAATTTCAGTTTTTTTCTTCTGTAAAATATGGAGCTGGACTCAGTGGTCTTTAAGCTCCTTTAATAGCTCTGGGACTTGTTTTGGTTCTCAATGGCAATATTTTTGTTGTTATTTTATGATTCTTGTTTCTTTTCTTAGCTTGCTGAATAAGAGACCTTTTGAAGTGTTACTGTGTTTTATTCTCGCAATTATTAATGGCAAGGTCTTTTCTAAGAATCCAAGTAGAAAATGATACTCAGTAGATAGGTCATATAAACTTTTCTGTTGTGGCATTTTAAAACATTCTATAGGTGTCAATGTACAGATTTACAATAATGTATTTGTATCATCCCATCGAGTCACATTATATCATTAATAAATGTTTGATGTTTGGATGAGTGAATGAACATGTAACAGGTCAGGTAGTATCACGCATCAATCAGAGAATGGGATTTAAATTTTAATGATTTTTCCATCATTCTTCATTTGTTTTTTATTTTATTTCTTTGGTTGTTTAGTTTACAAAAAAGGATCTGTCTCTTCCAAATTTATATGTAAATAGTATTTTTCAATCTATATGGACACAGAATAATTATTTTGATAGAAGTGATTCTTCACTAATATATTTGTTATTTGGCTTTCCTGAATCTCCTGTAACTAATATTGTAACTGAAATAAGCCATTCTGATATATACATATATATGTATATGAATGAGGAAATGACTAGCGATGATTGGTGGTTTATTAAAAGGATTTTTTTTTATTAACTAGCTGTGTGCAGTGAACCTAATTTCTTTCTTTTTACAACTTCCCTTCTATTACAAGCTGTTAAGCTCAGAGCCTAGATCAGCTAAACAGCAGACTCAGTAACAGTAAATGAAGTGCTGTGAGTTTACATCAGACTAATTAGTCTAAGGGATTAAAAAAAAGGGGGTGGGGGTGGGGGAAGGGCTTGGGAGGACTTTTCAGGTTGCTTTGTGAAAGGCAGTTTGCTTAATTAAGCCAACCACTAATTGTTAAATATTTTTTAGGCATTAACAGAGCTACTCTGAGTGTAATTAAATTTTGATTTTAGTGGTATTTGCCAGGATTAAAGTCACAATCTGCTGAGGCACTGGGGTTAGTTAATATTCACTTCACTGCCACAGCTGTCCTCCATTACAATACAAAGGACAGGAAAAGAGACAGCAGAGTGGGGGTGAAGTCATGAGAAAGCTATTCATTCATCTGAACCAGCTCTGTACTCCACAGCCTTGTGCAAATGGGTCTGAGCTGGATGACACACCACCAGGCATTAAATCCAATTTAATTTGATACAATGAAGGGATATCTAAGCCCTGCACGTTTTTTATTTTTATACATGAGACTACGGAATGTATTTAAAAAGTCATCATGTGATTATCATATGTTTCCATCCAAGTAATATTTCTGGATTTATTAGCTCTGTAGGAGTCCACCAGGATTGTAAACCAATTCGTGCTAGGCCATTATTTGTAGCAGCTGAGCATGAATGAGGGCTGTGGAGGGTGGTGGTGACTTTAAATCCCTGGTAAAATCTAACCTGGCATGATCAATGTTTTGAGGTTTTTTTGGTGTGGTTTTTTTTTTTTTTTTTTTGGACCAAGACTGCCAAAAAGAAAAACCAATGGGGTTATATGCGCTTGAGATGGTTGAAGCTCAGCATTCTTCCCATGATTGACAAGGAACATTTCCACTGCTGACTCGTAACATTGCTGGCGATTCCTGTGTTTTTTGGTCATTTTAATATTTTAATTAAATAGCTTTAAGCAATGCCTCGCAGTTATTCCATACTCTGGGTAAGCATAAGAAATCATTTTGTCCTCTGTTCCACTCCCCCCACTCCACAAAATAAGCTAATCAAGAAAGTGTTCAATTATTACACTGGCTATTAATAGTAGAACTTTCAGAATAATCTACAATGTAGGGTCCCTGCATCCACACAGAGGCCATCTGTGGTATTAGGCTCACCATATATACAAAACACCAGCCTTGGAACTAGCTTTCCAATACAAGTTAGGACTGGATGTATTAAGTGTGAGGGATCAAGTTGCTTATGTCTTATTTAGGCAAAAAAAAACTTTATTTAAAAAAAAGTCACCAAGAACTGGTGTTTACCTTGACATTAGAATAAAGAGAATGAAAATGAAAAATAAAAAGGGAGAGAAAGCGCTGGGCACAGTGGCTCATACCTGTAATCCCAGCACTTTGGGAGGCCGAGGTGGGTGGACCACGAGGTCAAGAGATTGAGGCCACCCTGGCCAATAAGGTGAAACCCCGTCTCTACTAAAAATACAAAAAAATTAGCCGGGCAAGGTGGCGGACGCCTGTAGTCCCAGCTACTCAGGAGGCTGAGGCAGGAGACTCACTTGAACCTGGGAGGCGGAGGTTGCAGTGAGCCAAGATTCTGCCACTGCACTCCAGCCTGGTGACAGAGTGAGACTCCGTCTCAAAAAAAAAAAAAAATAGAAAAAAAAAAAAAAAAGAGGGAGAAAAAGGAAGAAAAAAGGAACTGAAAGGAAAAGAAAGAGAAGACAAAAGAAATAAAGAAAACAGATCAATCTAGCAAACTTTCATCTCAAGGGAATTTGAAGTCAGCATTTCTATTCATAATCAAACAAGTTCAAAGACCAACTCGTTTGTATTAGTCATATCTTCTGTAATCTCATTGAATTATTTTATAGTGAACCCTACATTTGAGTTTGTGCTTTAATAAAAATTACTGTCTGACTGTTTCTGCAGGCAAAGTGAAGTGGAGAGATGAGTGGATTATATAGGGCAAACACCTTGAATTTCAATTAATATTAGCATAATTTAATTCTAGTGTTAAGATGACCTTGGCCCAAAGGACTGGGTGATTTTTTTAAGGGGCTTTTATTTTCACATGAAGCCCCCACTCAGCAACTGCAAAACAATTTCTATAGGATAGGTCAAAGCTTCCTACTGAAAAGAACACTATGTAGTACTTTAGGAAGAAATTTAACTGAAAGCAACAAGCATTAACCATACAATCCAAATATGCTGTGTAAATATCTCACAATGCCTCAATCTCTTGGGTCTGTAAATGACTAGAGGTGACAGAACATTCTTCTCCCTACATTAGTAATGCCTCTGCTGTGTGACACTTTCTTCTACCTGCTGACATAGAAAACTCTCCTGGTGCCTTAGATGGCCATGTGGTGGTCATTTCTTACTCCCCTCCTTTTACTTTCTTAGATGGCTGCAGAGTTTTCATTTAAAACTTTTAATCTTAGCAAAGGAAATAGCTCTTTATTTCCTATACTGCAGTTACATTAATAAATGAATTAATTAAACAAACAAAAAACAAAACCACTCCCAAGCAGGGCATTTTTCTCTTTTGCCATCTTCTTGTTACTAGTCTCATGGGCTAATCACCACCCCCAGTCCCAAGGGAAACTGCAATTTTCTAGTTATTTGTATTTCAGATCTGGAAGCCCTTCTCTTTACCACCCTTTGGCTGGGGAGCAGGAACAGACATTCTTCTTTGCTTCAGGGTACTTTACCCTCAATATATTATCCAAATAAAAATCTAAGCAAGAGAGACAAAATCCAATGATTTCCATGTATAATAATAATATTCACTATTACCATCCCTTAGATGCAAAGATAAAGCCTCTGATTCACCATCTAAAAGGGGCACATGCTTTTATTCTCAAGAGACAGAAGCCTAGATGTGTTATGCTAATCAGACCACAGTCCTCTTTGTTGGTTCCTTGCAAAGAACAACTGTGGACAATTTTAGGATGGCTTTTCATGAATGGGGTGTCCCATTACCATGAAAAACACCAAAGCTAGCTAGCTACCCACACAGCATAGATAGTAGCCATCTCTATGCTTAAACTAAAGAATCATGCTTCAATAAACTGAGCTACTTATTCACAGACAGGGTTGAATTGACTCTGGTTCACACTGTCCAAATTCATGAAGGAAAATTTCCATTTGCCTATGGAAATACAAACCTGTCTGATTTATAATTTGCAGTTGCCATCATGATATAATATAAGCTTACAAAGTAGAGTTTGCTTGATATTCCAGATCTCTTCCAACCAAACCGATACATTAATGTTTCACTCTTTGCTGGAGTTTACTTTAAAAGCCTCCCTTTCCCTTCAACATTATCAATCTTTCCTACTCATCTCTGTTTAATAGGTTTAAGAACAACTTGGGCAATATTTGGATTACTATTACATTTCTTTTTAAATTATTCAGTTCATGCTCCAAGTGGAAAATCGGTAGTGTCTTTGTAAATTTATATTCATTTGATCCTTAAAGTTCTGTAACACAATAAACTTGGAACTAGGAAGTAACATTATTCTGTTGGCATGTATGATTTGTTAGGTGATCTAAGCCTATTTTGGAAGCATTTTGCAAAGCTTCAGTTAAAGGTTTTCATAACAAGTATATAATGTACTAAAATTTAGGCCAAAATTGTGCAGGGAGTTCTTAACAGGGTATGAAGCTAAAGCTAAATCAGATTTCTTGTTGTTTTAATCATACTTACAGAGTTTTCTCTGTATATCCCAACAGGAAAAATTACCTCATTGTGATAGTAACAAATGATATTTGTTATTTCCCGTTTTGCATCTGAAGAGGGGGTGGGGGTGGCCAACATCATGTCATGACCTGTGCCAGCCGTGTTGTACATTTCTCCTGCTTTTTGTGAGATACAAATATTTATATCATGCAAAGGCTTTGCTTTTCTACTCAGAATTCTGTGCTTAGAAGACCACAGACATTAAGTGATAATAAACAGCACAGTTTGAGTCCTGTGGCCACTCTGGATGATCAAGTTGAGTTGGACTGCAAGAAAGCAAGTGCTTGTTTAACACATGTATGATATAATTAAGGAAAGACTCTAGGGAAATTATCCAAAGCACATAAGAATCAAATAGACTCACTTTAACAAATATAAAAACTCTGTTCACATAAAAGCTTTCTGTGGCTTTGTAAGGGCTCATATTGGAAAAAAATGGGGGAGAGGAATAGATATTATAATTCATTCTGAAACTATATAACATAAGTAAATGAACAATAAAAGTGATAAATTGGGCAATAAAAAATTATAGAAATAATGCTGTCACATACCAGGTATTCGTTAAATTGACTTCTCAATGTAATTACTTTAACATTTCTACTTCTGATTCAGTACAGATTTTTGGATCATTAAGTACGATAGTAAATATTATACATTTTTCAGGAAAATAATTTATGGCCTAACAAATTTTCCAACAGAAAATCCCAAAGTCGGACAACCAGACTAGCATTTTTTGTAGTCAATTTTTGGACTTAATTCTTCAAAACAGTTTCAACAAATCGGTATTGCACACCTGCTATGCACTAAATATAGTGTGGTAAACTAGCACATAATAGACATATGGCAATTGTTTCAGGTACTCCTGTATTTCCAGGGGATTTTGTGGATATACTTTATACTTTATATAATATACACTCTATGCATGATATAATAATTTCTTTGGGTATGACGTTTTTATTCCCAACTGTGATGGCACCATCACTGCCTCTAAGGAATGCACAATTTAAAAAGAAAACCATATATACAACTAAATATCGACAAAGTACTGTAAAAAGACAGATGATTCCACTGGGTGACTATAGTCAATAATAACTAAAAGAGTGTAATTGGATTGTTTGTAATACAAAGGATAAATGCTTGAGGGGATAGATGCCCCATTCTCCATGATGTGCTTATTTCACATTGCATGACTGTATCAAAATATTTCATGTACCCCATAAATATATACATCTACTATGTACCCACAAAAATTAAAAATATTAAAAGAAAAAAAGAAAACACATGATCAATTCTTCCTGAAAAAGGTTAAAAAAAAAAAAGGTTTTAAGAAGATGATGTTTGATTTAGATCTTCAGACTATAGGAATTCACCAGACAGAGAGGTGAATGAAGAACCTTCAAGCCTGGAAACAGCATAAGGCAGACAGGCAGAAGCACGTGGCATCTACGCTCAATGACGGAGCCTTCCTACTCCAACAGAGGCTTGAGTGGAGGCATTGGCATCGCCTGGGAGCTTGCTAGAAATGCAGAATCTCAAGCTCCATCCTTGGACTTCTGAATCAGAATCTACATTTTAACGATATTTCTAGGTGATTTGTATGCCCACTTGAGATGAAAACACACCAGTTTAGAGGGCTTTCGTTGTTGGAGTGTTGGAAGTCCATGCAGCTGGAAAAGGTGGACAGAAACTAGATAAGGACACAACAAGACTACAATATTTAGAAGCCTGAAGTTCATCCCATAGCCATGGGTAAACCACCCAAAGTTTTGTGAAGAGCAGAATAATATTACAAAAATCAATGTTTTAGGATGCTAATGCTTTTAGAAAACAGTGAAGAAGAAAACTACCTAGGGTATTTTTGTAACAATTTAGATAAGAGACTATGATAAATCCCTGGCCTGAGACAATGGTAGTAAAAATGGAAAGAATGAGACATATTTCAGAGACATGCCACAAAAAGGATTGCCAAGATTTTATCATAGCTGTAAGAGGCCAAAATTAGACAGGGAAGACTGAGAAAAGGAGTCACTCTAGGAAGTGACTAGTTTCAAGATGAACTATAATATATTGTTGAAGGCAAAAGTAAGTGAAAGCTGTAAGAGCTATAAAGGGAAAGAAACTTCAAAACTAGGATGCCAGATGGGTCAACGGTAATAACACCAGTCATTTATTCAGTCATTCATTTATTCAAAAATGTTTGTTAATTGTCTGGTAATTGCCAGTTTCTTATCAGCACTGAGGAAACTCTGAGTCTCTGTCCACAAGATCTCATGTTCTAGAAGAGACGGAAAACAAATAGGTAGATGAATGAATATGCAATTTTTTTTAGGTGGAGATTAGAGTTAGTGTTATTTTTTAAAAGTATGGTAAGCTCAATAGTCAGAAGCTATTTTAATTTTTTTTTTTTTTTTGAGACAGGCTCTTGTACTGTCACGAGGCTCAAGTGCAGTGGCATGATCATGGCTCACTGAAGCCTCAACCTCCTGGGCTCAAGCCATCCTCCCACCTCAGCCTCCCAAGTAGCTGAAACTACAGACTCATGCCACCACACCTGACTAGTTTTTTAAAAAAAAAATTTTTAGAGATGGGGTCTCATTATGTTGCTCAGGTTGATCTTGAACTTCTGGCCTCAAGTGATCCTTCTGCTTCAGCCTCCCAAAGTGCTTGGATTACAGGGGTAAGCCACTGAACCTGGCCTCAGAGGCCATTTTAAGTACAGAGCTCAGGAAAGGGCTCTGTGAGCATGGCCGTTCATGGCAAAGGAAAAAGGTGATGTATGTAGAACCAACTTGGGAAATTCAACTACTTTAAGAAGACATTTATTTTGTTTCACTGTTTTGCAGGAAAAAAAAATGGAGTCAAAATTATTTTAATAACCAAGATGATAACTTACATTTCCATGATTTTCATAGTTTTATACTTTTACATATGTTATCACATCTGACTCATATAATCCTTTTGAAAGGGAGAGAGGACAGGTTTTACAGATAAAAAGTCCAAATTTAAAATAGGTGGGGTAATTTGGTCAAGATTCCATAATTAAAAATTATGAGATCTTTTGACTTATAGATGAGTTAACTATTAAATGATTAATTATACATTAAAGTTTGTTAAGCATAGAAAAGAGAGAGACTCAGGCTACAGATCTAAAAATATAAACTTCTTTATGTTAGATTAAAGATGGCTGCAATTTTTTTTTTTTTTTTTTGAGACAGTCTTGCTCTGTCACCCAGGCTAGAGTGCAGTGGTGCAATCTCATCTCACTGCAACCTCTGCCTCACGGGTTCAAGCAATTCTCCTGCCTCAGCTTCCCAAGTAGCTGGGATTACAGGCACGCACCACCATGCCCAGATAATTTTTGTATTTTTAGTAGAGACGCGGTTTCACCATGCTGGCCAGGCTGATCTTGAACTCCTGACCTTGTGATCTGCCCGCCTTGGCCTCCCAAAGTGCTGGGATTACAGGCGTGAGCCATGGCACCAGGCCTTCTATCCAGGAGTGAAGTCTAATTCCCATCCTTTTGTATCTGGGTAGGTGTAGTTACTAAATTACAAATGAAAGATTGAGATGGTGATAAGATATACTTTATGATTAGGCTTCTTCATAGGCTAGACCCACAGAAGCCTAGCAGCAGGATTCTGTCTCTCTAGGTAACATCACTCACTCTGGGGAAAAGCTAGCCACTATGTAAAAAAAAAAAAAAAAAAAAAAAAAAAAAAAAAAAAAAGGGAAAAGAAAAGTCTGAGCATTTTGAAATCCCCATGCCATGAAGAAGATCAATGAGCCATGTGGGGAAGCTGCATGATGACAAATATCCAACTTTTTCCAGCTATTCCAGCCATGCCAAGCCCCAACCCAATACATATGAGTGAAGACACCTTCAGATTACTCTAGATTCAGCCACCTCTAGCTGCTATTTCATGGCAACCACATAAGAAATCCCTAGTGAAAACCACCCTGCTGGATCCGGTCAAGCCACAGAACTGAGATAGTAATAAATTATTGTTTGATGCCATCAAGTTTGGGGGAAGGCATGCAATAGCATTAAAAACGTAAATAAATGGATACTAACTGAACAAAGGACTTTGAAATTATTTTTTTTCTTTCATAGGTATCACATTCTACAACAACCACATAAACATCCACATAATTCAAAGGATATTAAAAAAAGTAATGACTTATTTTGGATTTATAAGGTGTTTTAGATGTAGTGCTCTGAGGAAACAATACAGCATCAAAGAATGTTAAATCTGTAAGATGCCTTTCTTAGAAAACCATTAGTCTGATTCTCTCAATTTGCATATGAGGAATGAGAGACAGAGAGAGGGAGAGAGAGAGAGAGAGCATGAAAAATTCCATTATTTACGGAAATTCATGCAAACCTTGTGAAAAACCCAAGGCCTTTGGACTCATACTTTCCTCTCTCAGAAGACATTTTAAAAATCAGTATTCAATAGATGAATGAAATTGGCATAGTATTATTTGCTTAGTAATGAAATTTTATATTGTTAGATGAATCCAAGCATTATAAAATTAGACCTAAATCTTCAACTCCAAAAGCAATACCATTTGTTTTTCTGATGTTCTGTACAATATTGCATGGCAATTTAAAAACAAATGTGTTTAGAAAAAAACTCCTCAATAGGAAAAAAAATCAGAAAATTGGTTGCCTGTATGGTGGAATGGAAATTGACTAGATGGGCACAAAAGTACTTTCTAAGGTGATGAAAATGATACATGTATTTTAATTGAAGTATAGATTACATGGGTGTATATATTTACAAAACTCATGGAACTGTTTTCTTAAGATCTGAGTATTTCACTGTATATAAATTACTTCTTGGAGGAGCCAAGATGGCCGAATAGGAACAGCTCCGGTCTACAGCTCCCAGCGTGAGTGACGCAGAAGACGGGTGATTTCTGCATTTCTATCTGAGGTACCGGGTTCATCTCACTAGGGAGTGCCAGACAGTGGGCGCAGGCCAGTGGGTGCGCGCACCGTGCGCGAGCCGAAGCAGGGCGAGGCATTGCCTCACCTGGGAAGCGCAAGGGGTCGGGGAGTTTCCTTTCTGAGTCAAAGAAAGGGGTGACGGACGCACCTGGAAAATCGGGTCACTCCCACCCGAATATTGCGCTTTTCAGACCGGCTTAAAAAACGGCGCACCACGAGACTATATCCCACACCTGGCTCGGAGGGTCCTATGCCCACGGAATCTCGCTGATTGCTAGCACAGTAGTCTGAGATCAAACTGCAAGGCGGCAGCGAGGCTGGGGGAGGGGCGCCCGCCATTGCCCAGGCTTGCTTAGGCAAACAAAGCAGCCGGGAAGCTCCAACTGGGTGGAGCCCACCACAGCTCAAGGAGGCCTGCCTGCCTCTGTAGGCTCCACCTCTGGGGGCAGGGCACAGACAAACAAAAAGACAGCAGTAACCTCTGCAGACTTAAATGTCCCTGTCTGACAGCCTTGAAGAGAGCAGTGGTTCTCCCAGCACGCAGCTGGAGATCTGAGAACGGGCAGACTGCCTCCTCAAGTGGGTCCCTGACCCCTGACCCCCGACCCCCGAGCAGCCTAACGGGGAGGCATCCCCCAGCAGGGGCACACTGACACCTCACACAGCAAGGTATTCCAACAGACCTGCAGCTGAGGGTCCTGTCTGTTAGAAGGAAAACTAACAAACAGAAAGGACATCCACACCGAAAACCCATCTGTACATCACCATCATCAAAGACCAAAAGTAGATAAAACCACAAAGATGGGGAAAAAACAGAACAGAAAAACTGGAAACTCTAAAACGCAGAGCGCCTCTCCTCCTCCAAAGGAACGCAGTTCCTCACCAGCAACAGAACAAAGCTGGATGGAGAATGATTTTGACGAGCTGAGAGAAGAAGGCTTCAGACGATCAAATTACTCTGAGCTACGGGAGGACATTCAAACCAAAGGCAAAGAAGTTGAAAACTTTGAAAAAAATTTAGAAGAATGTATAACTAGAATAACCAATACAGAGAAGTGCTTAAAGGAGCTGATGGAGCTGAAAACCAAGGCTCGAGAACTACGTGAAGAACGCAGAAGCCTCAGGAGCCGATGCGATCAACTGGAAGAAAGGATATCAGCAATGGAAGATGAAATGAATGAAATGAAGCGAGAAGGGAAGTTTAGAGAAAAAAGAATAAAAAGAAATGTGCAAAGCCTCCAAGAAATATGGGACTATTAGACCAAATCTATGCCTGATTGGTGTACCCGAAAGTGATGCGGAGAATGGAACCAAGTTGGAAAACACTCTGCAGGATATTATCCAGGAGAACTTCCCCAATCTAGCAAGTCAGGCCAACGTTCAGATTCAGGAAATACAGAGAACACCACAAAGATACTCCTCGAGAAGAGCAACTCCAAGACACGTAATTGTCAGATTCACCAAAGTTGAAATGAAGGAAAAAATGTTAAGGGCAGCCAGAGAGAAAGGTCGGGTTACCCTCAAAGGGAAGCCCATTAGACTAACAGCGGATCTCTCAGCAGAAACCCTACAAGCCAGAAGAGAGTGGGGGCCAAAATTCAACATTCTTAGAGAAAAGAATTTTCAACCCAGAATTTCATATCCAGCCAAACTAAGCTTCATAAGTGAAGGAGAAATAGAATACTTTACAGACAAGCAAATGCTGACCGATTTTGTCACCACCAGGCCTGCCCTAAAAGAGCTCCTGAAGGAAGCGCTAAACATGGTAAGGAACAACCAGTACCAGCCGCTGCAAAATCATGCCAAAATGTAAAGACCATCGAGACTAGGAAGAAACTGCATCAACTAACGAGCAAAATAACCAGCTAACATCATAATGACAGGATCAAATTCACACATAACAATATTAACTTTAAATGGAAATGGACTAAATTCTCCAATTAAAAGACACAGACTGGCAAGCTGGATAAAGAGTCAAGACCCATCAGTGTGCTCTATTCAGGAAACCCATCTCACGTGCAGAGTCACACATAGGCTCAAAATAAAAGGATGGAGGAAGATCTACCAAGCAAATGGAAAACAAAAAAAGGCAGGGGTTGCAATCCTAGTCTCTGATAAAACAGACTTTAAACCAACAAAGATCAAAAGAGACAAAGAAGGCCATTACATAATGGTAAAGGGATCAATTCAACAAGAGGAGATAACTATCCTAAATATATATGCACCCAATACAGGAGCACCCAGATTCATAAAGCAAGTCCTGAGTGACATACAAAGAGACTTAGACTCCCACACATTAATAATGGGAGACTTTAACACCCCACTGTCAACATTAGACAGATCAACGAGACAGAAAGTCAACAAGGATACCCAGGAATTGAACTCAGCTCTGCACCAAGCGGACCTAATAGACATCTACAGAACTCTCCACCCCAAATCAACAGAATATACATTTTTTTCAGCACCACACCACACCTATTCCAAAATTGACCACAAAGTTGGAAGTAAAGCTCTCCTCAGCAAATGTAAAAGAACAGAAATTATAACAAACTATCTCTCAGACCACAGTGCAATCAAACTAGAACTCAGGATTAAGAATCTCACTCAAAGCCGCTCAACTACATGGAAACTGAACAACCTGCTCCTGAATGACTACTGGCTACATAACGAAATGGAGGCAGAAATAAAGATGTTCTTTGAAACCAACGAGAACAAAGACACAACATACCAGAATCTCTGGGACGCATTCAAAGCAGTGTGTAGAGGGAAATTTATAGCACTAAATGCCCACAAGAGAAAGCAGGAAAGATCCAAAATTGACACCCTAACATCACAATTAAAAGAACTAGAAAAGCAAGAGCAAACACATTCAAAAGCTAGCAGAAGGCAAGAAATAACTAAAATCAGAGCAGAACTGAAGGAAATAGAGACACAAAAAACCCTTCAAAAAATCAATGAATCCAGGAGCTGGTTTTTTGAAAGGATCAACAAAATTGATAGACCACTAGCAAGACTAATAAAGAAAAAAAGAGAGAAGAATCAAATAGACACAATAAAAAATGATAAAGGGGATATCACCACCGATCCCACAGAAATACAAACTACCATCAGAGAATACTACAAACACCTCTACGCAAATAAACTAGAAAATCTAGAAGAAATGGATACATTCCTCGACACATAGACTCTCCCAAGACTAAACCAGGAAGAAGTTGAATCTCTGAATGGACCAATAACAGGAGCTGAAATTGTGGCAATAATCAATAGTTTACCAACCAAAAAGAGTCCAGGACCAGATGGATTCACAGCCGAATTCTACCAGAGGTACAAGGAGGAACTGGTACCATTCCTTCTGAAACTATTCCAATCAATAGAAAAAGAGGGAATCCTCCCTAACTCATTTTATGAGGCCAGCATCATCCTGATACCAAAGCCAGGCAGAGACACAACCAAAAAAGAGAATTTTAGACCAATATCCTTGATGAACATTGATGCAAAAATCCTCAATAAAATACTGGCAAACTGAATCCAGCAGCACATCAAAAAGCTTATCCACCATGATCAAGTGGGCTTCATCCCTGGGATGCAAGGCTGGTTCAATATACGCAAATCAATAAATGTAATCCAGCATATAAACAGAGCCAAAGACAAAAACCACATGATTATCTCAATAGGTGCAGAAAAAGCCTTTGACAAAGTTCAACAACCCTTCATGCTAAAAACTCTCAATAAATTAGGTATTGATGGGACGTATTTCAAAATAATAAGAGCTATCTATGACAAACCCACAGCCAATATCATACTGAATGGGCAAAAACTGGAAGCATTCCCTTTGAAAACTGGCACAAGACAGGGATGCCCTCTCTCACCACTCCTATTCAACATAGTGTTGGAAGTTCTGGCCAGGGCAATCAGGCAGGAGAAGGAAATAAAGGGTATTCAATTAGGAAAAGAGGAAGTCAAATTGTCCCTGTTTGCAGACGACATGATTGTTTATCTAGAAAACCCCATCGTCTCAGCCCAAAATCTCCTTAAGCTGATAAGCAACTTCAGCAAAGTCTCAGGATACAAAATCAATGTACAAAAATCACAAGCATTCCTATACACCAACAACAGACAAACAGAGAGCCAAATCATGAGTGAACTCCCATTCACAATTGCTTCAAAGAGAATAAAATACCTAGGAATCCAACTTACAAGGGATGTGAAGGACCTCTTCAAGGAGAACTACAAACCACTGCTCAAGGAAATAAAAGAGGATACAAACAAATGGAAGAACATTCCATGCTCATGGGTAGGAAGAATCAATATCGTGAAAATGGCCATACTGCCCAAGGTAATTTACAGATTCAATGCCATCCCCATCAAGCTACCAATGACTTTCTTCACAGAATTGGAAAAAACTACTTTAAAGTTCATATGGAACCAAAAAAGAGCCCGCATCGCCAAGTCAATCCTAAGCCAAAAGAGCAAAGCTGGAGGCATCACACTACCTGACTTCAAACTATACTACAAGGCTACAGTAACCAAAACAGCATGGTACGGGTACCAAAACAGAGATATAGATCAATGGAACAGAACAGAGCCTTCAGAAATAATGCCGCTTACCTACAACTATCTGATCTTTGACAAACCTGAGAAAAACAAGCAATGGGGAAAGGATTCCCTATTTAATAAATGGTGCTGGGAAAACTGGCTAGCCATATGTAGAAAGCTGAAACTGGATCCCTTCCTTACACCTTATACAAAAATCAATTCAAGATGGATTAAAGATTTAAACGTTAGACCTAAAACCATAAAAACCCTAGAAGAAAACCTAGGCATTACCATTCAGGACATAGGCGTGGGCAAGGACTTCATGTCCAAAACACCAAAAGCAATGGCAACAAAAGCCAAAATTGACAAATGGGATCTAATTAAACTAAAGAGCTTCTGCACAGCAAAAGAAACTACCATCAGAGTGAACAAGCAACCTACAACAGGGGAGAAAATTTTCACAACCTACTCATCTGACAAAGGGCTGAATATCCAGAATCTCCAATGAACTCAAACAAATTTACAAGAAAAAAACAAACAACCCCATCAAAAAGTGGGCGAAGGACATGAACAGACACTTCTCAAAAGAAGACATTTATGCAGCCAAAAAACACATGAAAAAATGCTCATCATCACTGGCCATCAGAGAAATGCAAATCAAAACCACTATGAGATATCATCTCACACCAGTTAGAATGACAATCATTAAAAAGTCAGGAAACAACAGGTGCTGGAGAGGATGTGGAGAAATAGGAACACTTTTACACTGTTGGTGGGACTGTAAACTAGTTCAACCATTGTGGAAGTCAGTGTGGCGATTCCTCAGGGATCTAGAACTAGAAATACCATTTGACCCAGCCATCCCATTACTGGGTATATACCCAAATGACTATAAATCATGCTGCTATAAAGACACATGCACACGTATGTTTATTGCGGCATTATTCACAATAGCAAAGACTTGGAACCAACCCAAATGTCCAACAATGATAGACTGGATTAAGAAAATGTGGCACATATACACCATGGAATACTATGCAGCCACAAAAAATAATGAGTTCATGTCCTTTGTAGGGACATGGATGAAATTGGAAACCATCATTCTCAGTAAACTATCACAAGAACAAAAAACCAAACACCGCATATTCTCACTCATAGGTGGGAATTGAACAATGAGATCACATGGACACAGGAAGGGGAATATCACACTCTGGGGACTGTGGTGGGGAGGGGGGAAGGGGGAGGGATAGCATTGGGAGATATACCTAATGCTAGATGACGAGTTAGTGGGTGCAGCGCACCAGCATGGCACATGTATACATATGTAACTAACCTGCACAATGTGCACATGTACCCTAAAACTTAAAGTATAATTAAAAAAAATAAAAAATAAAGAATAAAAATAAATAAATAAATAAATTACTTCTTAATTTAAAAAAAATATAAGAATAAAAAAGAGATTTTTCTCCTTCACAAGAGAAAATGACTTATCAATAGTTGGTTTGCCAATAGTGGAGCTGGTTTCGGTCTATTTAACTTACCTCTTTCTCTGTTTTCCAATTATGAAATGGATGGGCAAAGTCAATGGTATGTACATCTGTGGTCATAAAACAAAGTAAAGCTAACAAAGCCACTCAGAAGCTAAACTTATGTGACCACAAAACATATGAATTAAAAAGGGTCTGATAAATTATCTAATCCAAATTTTTTTATTTTGTAGATAACATTGGCCTTGCTAACAAATTTAATAAACAGTGGTGCTTTTAAAAAACTTGATGGTAACTGAAGATGTTGAGCCATTATTTGTAGAGTAGAAGCTCACTTATCCAACAGAATTAGATCAGTACATAAGAATGAGTTAAAGCTGGTATTCAAAAAGGAAGAGAGGAAAATGGCAGATAGGAGACAGGACTAATGTGCAGCTCCCACTTGGACAAATAGAACAGCATGTGGAGACTCACATCATGAACCTTTGCTCCAAGAACTACAGCAGGAACATAACAGGAAAACTGAAAGAATTCACAGACCCTTTGAAAGAAGAGGCTTGCTGCTGCAAACTTCAAGACAGCTGAAAAACTGTGAGTTCTCAAAGTGTGAAGAGAGGGAAAAGTCTGTATCTGAACACACATCCCCACAGGGGAACCTAAAAATCCAGATCATGAGAGAAAGATGTAACCTTACCTAGAGCTGAAACAGATTCAGGGAGCCAAGCAAAATATGAAAGTAGAAGAAGCAGCGGGAAGAGCCCTGTAGGCACTCCTGGTCCTGAGCTTGAGCCCAGGGAAGCCATCCCTGGCTTTATCTCAGAGCAGCCCTTGGGGAGGAAGCCAGCAGAACAGGGGAGGGGCCACAGGGTGAAGGAAACTTCTAGCTGAGCTTTAATAATTTTTGACTGAGCACAAATTTTTCTAAGCAGAATCCAGGGGAGTGAATGGGAAGTGCAGATAGGAGTGCAGAAGCCACAGCTGACAGTGTGGGAAGTTAGGGAGGGGAGAGGCCTGAGAGCCCTACTTGCTTTCTCAGTGGGGAAGCTTGTAGCCTGGGGCAAGATTTCAGCCCTGCACAGCTTCCTGGTAGGGCACAGCAGGAGAAAGACTGGCCTTGCTGGCTGTGTGGGAGCAGGGTGAGGCCTGTCACTGCTGGCTTTCCCACACATCCCTGGTGACTTGTATGATGCAGCAGAGGCAGCTATAACCCCCTTGGAACATAACTTCATTGGCCTGAGAAGCACCTCCCATCCCCCACAGTGGCCACAGCAAGCACTGCCTAAGGTGAGTTTTTGTTCAGACCCACCTAACCCTGCCCCAACCTGATGGTTTACTGCCCTAGTAGACAAAGACAAAAGACATAAACTCTTGGGAGCTCTATGGCCCTGCCCATCACCTGAGAAACCCAAATACTTATTCTAGCCAACATAGGGTAAGCTTGTATCTCCTTTCTACTATCACAGCTGGTGCTCTCTTGAAAGCACCACCTCCTGGCTGGAGGCTAACCAACTCAAGCCATTACAGCAACTCATACAAGAACAACCCTGCCCCAAGGAAGAAGAAAACAACAGCTAATTTCACTGCCTGCAACATCCTGGCTTATCAGAGGTCCTGAGTCTGTCCATGTGACAATTTGACTGCTAGCATAACCAGCATTTGAGAAAAACCAGCACACTGAACAAAACTACAATCAAGGAATTCCAAAAAGTCAACTTCACTCCCCTGCCACCTCCACTGGAGTAGGTGCTGGTATCCATGGCTGGGAGATCCGAATATGAATCATATAACAGGATTCTTTGCAGACATTCTGCAACAACAATCCAGAGCCCAGTAGCCCCACTGGGTGGGTAGACTCAGAAGCACAGTAACAACCACTGCAGTCCAGCTCTCAGGAAGCACCATCCCTAGGGGAAGGGAGAGAGCACCACATTAAGGGATCACCACTTGGGACATAAAAATCTGAACAGCAGCCCTTGAGTTCCAAATCTTTCCATTGAAAGAGTCGACCCAAATGAGAAGGAACCAGAAAAGTAATTCTGATAACATGAAAAAAAAAAAAAGGTTCTATAACACCCCAAAAGATCACACTAGCTAAACCAAGAAGAACTCTCTGAATTGCCAGATGAAGAATTCAGCAGGTTTATTAAGCTACTCAAGGAGTTACTAGAGAAAGGTGAAAATCAACTTAACTTCAAAAAACAATATAGGATATGATTGAAAAAGTCTTTAGAGAAATAGACATAAAGAAAAGACAATCACAACTTCTAGAAATGAAAGACACACTTAGAGAAATACAAAATACACTGGAAAATTTCAACAATAGAATCAAACAAGTGGAAGAAAGAACTTCAGAGCTCGAAGACAAGCCTTTTGAATTAACCCAATCCAACACAGACAAAGAAAACTAAATTTTTAGAAAATGAACAAAGCCTCCATAAATTTGAGATTATGTCAAATGACCAAACATAAGAATAATTGGTGTTCATGAGGAAGAAAAAGAAATATCTACAAGTTCAGAAAACTTATTTGAGGAAATAATCAAGGAAAACTTCGCTGGGCTTGCTAGAGATCTAGACATCCAAATACCAGAAGCTCAAAGAATACCCGGGAAATTCACCACAAAAAGATCATTGCCTGGGCACACAGTCATCAGGTTATCTAAAGTCAAGACAAAGGAAAGAATCGTAAGATCTGTGAGGCAAAAGGTAACTTCTAAAGGAAAACTTATCTGATTAACAGCATATTTCTCAGTAGAAACCCTCAAGCCAGAAGGGATTGGAGTCCAATCTTTAGCCTCCTCAAACAAAATAATTGCCAGCCAAGAATTTTGTATCCAGAAAAATTACACTTCACAAATGAAGGAGAGATAAAGTCTTTTTCAGACAAACAAATGCTGAGAGACTTTGCCACTACCAGGCCAGCACTACAAGCAATGCTAAAACGGGTCCTAAATCTTGAAACAAAACCTGGAAATACACCAAAATAGGACCTCCTGAAAGCATAAATTTCACAGGGCCTATGAAACAGTAACACAATGGGGAAAAAAAAAGATGTTCAGGCAATAACTAGCATGAATAGAACAGTACCTCCTATCTCAGTAGTAACATTGAATGTAAATGACCTAAATGCCCCACTTAAAAGATACAGAATGGCAGAGTGGATAAATTCTACCAACCAAGTATCTGCTATCTTGAAGGGACTCACCTAACGCATAAGGACTCACATAGACTTAAGGTAAAGGGATGGAGAAAGATATTTCACGCAAATGGAAACCAAAAGTGAGGAGGAGTAGCTATTCTTATGTGAGACAAAATGGACTTTAATGCAATAACAGTGAAAAAGGACAAAGAAGAACATTATACAATTATAAAAGGATTAGTCCAACATGAAAATATCCCAAATATTTACACACCTAAGAGTGAAGCTCCCAAATTTATAAAACAATTACTACTAAACCTAAGGAATGAGGTAGACGGCAACACAATAATAGTGGGGGATTTCAATACTGCATTGACAACACTAGACAGGTCATCAAGACAGAAAGTCAACAAAGAAACAATGGATTTAAACTATAACATAGAACAATTGGACTTAACAGATATTTACAGAACATTCTACCCAACAACTGTAGAATATACATTCTATTCATCATCACCTAGATCATTCTCCAAGATAGATCATATGATAGGCCACAAAAAAGTCTCAATAAATTTAAGAAAACTGAAGTTATATCAAGCACTCTGTCAGACCACAGTGGAATAAAACTGAAAATTAACTACAAAAGGAATCCTCAAAACTATACAAATACATGGAAATTAAATAATTGACTCCTGAATGAATTTTGGGACAACAATGAAATCAAGATGAAAATTTAAAAATTCTTTGAACTGAATGATAATAGTGACACAACCTATCAAAACCTCTGGGATACAGCAAAAGCTGTGCTAAGAAAGTTCATAGCATTAAATGCCTACATCAAAAGCCTGAAAGAGCACAAATAGATAATCTAAGCTCACATCTCAATGAAGTAAACAAACAAGAACAAATCAAACACAAACCCAGCAAAAGAAAAGACATAACAAAGATCAGAGCAGAACTAAATGAAACTGAAGCAAAAAAAAAAAAAATACAAAAGATAAATGAAACAGAAAACTGTTTCTTTGAAAAGATTTTAAAACATCAATAATTAAACAAGAGAGAGGATCCAAATAAGTTCAATTAGAAATGAAATGAGGTATTACAACTGATACCACAGAAACAAAAGATCATTCAGGACTACTGTGAACACCTTTTTGCACACAAACTAGAAAACCTAGAGGAGATGGATAAACTACTGGAAATATACAACCCTCCTAGATGAAACCAGGAAGAAACAGAAACTCTGAACAGACCAATAACAAATAGTGAGATTGGAACAGTAATAAAAACGTTGCCAACAAATAGGTCCAGGACTAGATGGATTCACAACTGAATTCTATTGGACATTCAAAGAGGAATTGGTACCAATTTCTACTGAAACTATTTCAAAAGATAGAGGAAGAGAAAATCCTCCATAAATCATTCTATGAAGCCAGTATCACCTTAATACCAAAGCCAGGAAAGGACATAACAAAAAAGAAAACTACAGACCAATATCCCTCACAAATACAGATGCAAAAATCCTCAACAAAATACTAGGTAACAGAATCTAATAGCATGTCAAAAAAAAAAAAATAATACACCATGATCAAGTGGGTTTTATACCAGGGATGCAGGGATGGTTTAACATATGCAAGTCAATAAATGTGATACACTATATAAAGAGAAGTAAAAAGAAAAATCATATGATCATCTCAACAGGTGCAGAAAAAGCATTTGACAAAATCCAGCATTGCTTTATGATTAAAACCCTCAGCAAGATGAGCATAAAAGGGACATATCTTAAAGTAATAAAAGCCATCTATGACAAACCCACAGCCAGCAGTATACTGAATGGGGAAAATTTGAAAGCATTTCTGCTGAGAACTGGAACAAGACAAGGATGCCCACTTTACAAAATCAATGTATACAAATCAGTAGCACTGCTATACACCACCAACGACCAAGGTGAGAATCAAATCAATAACTCAACCCCTTATACCACAGCTCCAAGAAAAATAAAATACATAGGAATATACCTTACCAAGGAGGTGAAAGATCTCTACAAGGAAAACTACAAAACACTGCTGAAAGAAGTCATAGATGACACAAATGGAAACACATCCCATGCTCATGGATGGGTAGAATCAATATTGTGAAAATGACCATACTGCCAAAAGCAATGTATAAATTTAATGCAATTCCCATCAAAATACCATCATCATTCTTCACAGAACTAGAAAAAACAATCCTGAAATCCATATGAAACCAAAAAAAGAGCCCACATAGCCAAAGCAAGACTAAGCAAAAAAAACAATCTGGAGGCATCACATTAACCGACATGAAACTATACCACAAGGCTATAGTTACCAAACAGCATGGTACTGGTATAAAAGTAGGCATCTAGACCAATGAAACAAAATAGAGAAACCAGAAATAAAGCCAAATACTTATAGCGAATGGATCTTTGACAAAGCAAACAAAAACATAAAGTGGAGAAAGGACACCCTATTCAACAAATGGTGCTGGCATTATTGGCAAGCCACGTGTAGAAGGATGAGACTGAATCCTCATCTGTCACCTGATGCAAAAATCAACACAAGGTGGATCAAAGACTGAAATATAAGACCTGAAACCAAAAAAATTCTAGAAGATAACGTTGGAAAAACTCTTCTAGACATTGACTCAGGCAGAGTTAACGAACAAGAACCCAAAAGCAAATACAGCATAAACAAAGATAAATTGGTGGGACTTAATCAACCTCAAAAGCTTCTGCACAGCAAAAGAAAATCAGCAGAGTAAACAGACAACCCACAGCATGGAAGAAAATCTTCGCTAACTATGCATCCACAAAGGACTAGTATCCAGAATCTACAAGGAACTCTGACAAACCAGCAAGAAAAGAAAAAAAAAATCCCATGAAAAAGTAGTACTGCTCAGCCACAAGAAGGAATGAAATAACGGCATTTGTAGCAACCTGGATGGAGTTGGAGACCATTCATTATTCTAAGTGAAGTAATTCAGAAATGAAAAACCAAACATCATAGGTTCTCACTTAAAAGTGTGAGCTAAGCTATGAGTACACAAAGGTGTAATAATCTAATGGACTTTGGGGACTTGGGGGGAGGGTGGGGAGGGGGCGAGATATGAAGGACTACACATTGGGTATAGAGTACACTGCTCGGGTGATGGGTGCACCAAAATCTCAGAAATCACCACTAAAGAACTTATTCATGTAACCAGACACCACCTGTTCCCCAAAAACTGTTGAAATTATTTTTAAAAAGGAAGAAAGGTAAACATTTTAGCTTAACTAAAATGTAAATTTGGTTTAGACATTCATTTATTTTTAGTCTTTTGATGAAGGACCACAGCCTTCCCCACCTCGCAAGTAGATGTGCTAGTTGGACAGTTCCATAAACTGTGGTGGATAAAAAGAGGCAGGATAAGACAGTGGGAAGCAAAGAGGCTTTGGACAAAGCTCCTGTGTTCTGAATCTCAGCTCTGCCACTTGCTACCTGTGTGACTTTCAGGAAGTTGCATAGCTGCTCTGTGCCTCAGTTTCCTTATATGTCAAAAGGGATATTACCTACCATACACAGTAGTTAGGAGGATGAAAAATCCTTAGAACAGCACTGGCTCATTGAAAGTGCCAGATAGTTGTTTATTAAATAGAAATAAACAGGCCAGGCACAGTGACTCATGCCTGTAGTCCCAGCCAGCACATTGGGAGGCCAAGGTGGGCTGATTGCTTGAGGCCAGGAGTTCAAGACCAGCCTGGGCAACATGGCGAAACCCCATCTCTACCAAGAACACAAAAATTAGCCAGGTGTGGTGCTGCATGCCTGTAGTCCCAGCAACTTGGGAGGCTGAGGTGGAAGAATCATCTGAGCCTGGGAGGCAAAGGTTGCAGTAACCCATGATTACGACACTGCAGCACTCCAGCCTGGGCGACAAAGGGAGAACCGAAAAAAAAAGAAAGAAAGGAAGGAAAGGAAGAGAGAGAGAGAGAGAAAAGAAAGAAAGAAAGAAACAAAGAAAGAAATAAAGAAAGAAAAAAGAAAGAAAGAAAGAAAGAGAAAGAAAGAAAGAAAGAAAGAAGGAAAGGAAGAAAGAAAAAGAAAGAAAGAAAGAAAGAAAGAAAGAAAGAAAGAAAGAAAGAAAAGAAAGACTTCCATGATGCATCAGCTTTGAATTCCGATTGTTTCTTTAGATGTCTTAGAATTTAAAGAGCCATTCTTTCCTCTTTTTTTTTTTTAATAGTTGTCTTATCCACTTAATTTGATAGCAAGTTTTGGGGTTTCTTTAAAAAACAAACAAACAAAAAAAAAAACAAAAAAAAACTTTGTCTTTCCTTGGCATTAAATTTCTCTCCAGAGAAACCCAAAACTGTTTTCCTGACATTCGTATTTTGCCACTTGGTGTAATATTTATTAAATTAAATAATAACAACAGGAAGTAAAACTTGTGTAGTATAAACATAATAAATGCTTGGTAGGCACCAATTCAACAGGTGAGGCAAATGCACAACCCCCCTGAGAACAGCCCGCTAGCTAGATGATTGCAGAGAGAGAATGATGGACATTAGTCACTGTGTTCTACAGAGAGAAGGAGAGTTTTAGCGAATCCAAAGAAGTGTTTTAAGAGTTAATGGATGTGAGGGTGATCTGGCTGCGACACATGTCACCCCATTGATCGCCAAGGTTGATTTGGCTGATCCGGTTGGCTGGGCAGGTGTCCCCTCCCTTCCTTACCGCTCCTCGTGCGTCCCTCCCGAAGCTGCATGCTCAAAGAGGATAACCATCCCTCATAGAGGAGGGCCGGCCTTCCATCAAGGGTATACGGGTAGCTACCCTCCCCTGCTAGAAACTTCAAACGAGCTCTCAAAGAGGTGGAATTTTTTTTTTTATTTTGCTCTTGTTGTTTTGTTATTGTTTTTTCTTTTCCTTTTGAGATGGAGTCTCACTCTGTTGCCCAGGCTGGAGTGCAGTGGCGTGATCTCGGCTCACTGCATCCTTGCATCCTCCGTCTCCCAGCTTCAAACAATTCTTCTGCCTCAGCCTCCTGAGTAGCTGGGATTACGGGCATACACCACCACACCCAGCTAATTTTTCTGTATGTATAGTAGAGACAGGGTTTCACCACGTTGGCCAGGCCGGTCTCGAACTCCTGACCTCAAATGATCTGCCCGTCTCGGCCTCCCAAATTGCTGGGATTACAGGCGTAAACGCACTCAGCCTCAAAGAGGTTTTTAAAAGAGTTGCAAATGTGCCATGACACTTTCATTCTAAGGACTCTTGGAGCCTTTGTGCCCATTTCAAACTTTAACTTGAAAGACCTTTGCTTAGTAGTTTATAAACCAGATACCTATAACATCCACTGAGTCTCTTTATTTTTCAGGAATTGTCATTAGTACTAAATAGTTTAGGGGGGAAAATTAAAGAACAGTTTGCAACAAATCTTTAACACACAGAGATTGCGTTTGATATTGTCAGATGAATTCAAGTGTTAATAGAAATTAAACCTAAGACCTCAAGTCCAAAAGCAGTACTATCCGTTTTTCTGATGTGCCATACACATTATATGACATGGTTTGGCAATTCAAAAGAAAATGTGTTCACAGAAAAATTAATCTACAGGGATACTTGTAGGCTGGGGATGAAACTGACAGTGAGATGGCACAATAAAATTTTTGGGGTGGTAGAAATGTTCTATATCTTCATTAGCACATGGGAGACATAAACAGTGTGACTTAAGTAACCACTTTAACCCTCCTATGCCTTTTCCAGGCCTGAGGACACCTACTGCCTGTTTGGTTCATCCCATTATTGCTATTTATGACCCCAGAACTGTTCACTACCAACGTGTCAGCAGAAGTGGCATAGCTTGTCCACATGCACATCTGGCTAGAACAGGACAGGAACTAAATCCCGGATAAAAACGTGTTTTAGAAATTGACTTTGACGTGAGCAGGGACTCTTTGTGTTTGAGAAGTATCTGTTGGACTACTTCATACCGACTAAGGGTTAATGGGTCACATTCCATTTCTTCCATCCTACCACAGAAAAAGCTGGGACACATAAGGACATGGCAAAAACACATCACATGACTGCATGGACCAGGCATGCATTCCAAAGATAAATACAAACATCTCCAACCAGTGTTGAAAAGCACGCATTTTCATCCTAGTCGGACTGATTGCAGCCTCACCAGCAGGGCTGAATGCTGAGCCCCATTCAGTAACACTTTGAATGCCTTTGTTCCAGCGTTTCCCAGCAGTGCAAACATAATGGAAAAGAGACTGCCAAATGACAGCTCGCTTCTTTTCTCTTTCTTAATATAAGAAAAAAATAACTGCAAAGGTAGACAATAAAGTGAATAAGAATATAAGAAAAAACAGAGACAAATGTGTAAAATAAATTCAGCTAATCTGAAATAAAGGAAACTTTCACGAATGTTTTATGATCTACTTTCCTTTAAAGGAAATGAACAGTAAAGCAAAACTAAACAAGAAAAAAAAATGTTAATGACTGCAACTGCTGTTAAGTAGGAAGTGAACCTTTCAGGCTGAACTTGGCCTTCCAATGGAAATATGAGCAGAGCAGTTCTTAGGGAATATCAGTGAAAATAGGTGTAATTAAGGAGAATGCATCCCAGCAGCCCTCAAGACTGCCTAATAATAAAGCTGTACTCTTAGCATAATAAAGACACATTCTTGTCCATTTCCAAACAACAATTCTGCACGGAGAAAAACAACGTGAGCCCTTATAAATCAATGGGAAAAATGATCAGGTGGGTTCACACATAACTAGTAAGACCATCATATGCTCTACCATTTTTGTACCATTTTTAATATTAGGAACTGGGTGACTTTTTAGGTCGTCATTCTCTGTTTCCTTCCTCTACACCGAAGCCCTTGTTATCATGCATATGAAACACACAGGAGCACTAAAGGCATTCATTATGGCCACTGCTGAATTCCAAATGAGAATAGTTTAAAAATATATGTTACTGTTCAAGACAAGTCAACACATTTCAAACAAGAGGGCCCTGTTTGAATTTAGAAAGCTGACTAAAACCCACAGCAGAGAGGAGATCTGAGTCCCTGACGCTCTGTGCTGTGAGGATTGGGGGTGGAACCATCACGGCGAGGAGGCGCTCAGTAAAAGAGAGGTGGAATTCAAAGCCAACACCAGTTCCCCTGGGGTCTGTTGTAATCAGGAGACAAATGGTCTGTACTCAGTAGCATGTATTCATTCTGTCGCAAGAGGCTGCCAACGCGAGCTTCCCTACGCTTTTGTGGAAATACAGTACGAGTCTTTTTCTCTTTCAGTTGCTATAGAACAAGAAGAATAAAAAGTCCACTGCTGACAAACACTGCTTTGGGCATTTGACACTGGTCTTTGATCTAGTTACTCAGACAGTTCAAAATGAACAAATTAGGTGTTTACAACAAAAGACATTCCGTTTTAGCCTGTTCAAGTGCCAAGTGGAGTGGACAGCTCGCTCAAACAGAACTGGGAAATTTCTCCCTGCCAGGCCACAAGATGGGCATTGGAAGTTCATTCCCCAAGAGCAATCAATAAATTATGATACTGTTTTTTTAAATTAAAAGAAAAAAAAGAAAGAAAACATGGGGTTTGGGTCAACAAAGTAAATCTACACCATCTGGAATTTGAGTCACGACACAGCAGATCCTTGAGGCTAGAGACCCACAGGGACAGATCTTCATTCTTCATGAGATGGTTTGATTATAGGACAGACCATGAAAAAAACACTCATTTTAAAATTTCTGCCTGAAAATCAAGTCTATATAGCACACAATCTACAGTCTACACATCACATAGAAAAGGGCAACATCTGTATTCTATTATGTAAATTCCCCTTTTAAAAGTATTGTAACATTATTCTTAAAGACAGAAGGAAAATTGGGTGTCTGAGAGTGATCCCCATTCACAAAAGAGAGTGGTTTTGTTCCCTTGACTTAAGTGTCTGCTTTATTTCTGTTGAAAACAGTGCGTCTTAGACAAGAACCCATTGCCTCCATTTCCTTCTTGTGAAAAGAAGTGTTTGTGCTATGAAATGATTTGTTAAAAGCTTTAGCAGTCTATGGCCAAGGAAGGATTGTAAATGGACTATGTGATTTGCACCATTTTCTTCTAATAGGGGACATCTGATTAAAATCTTTTAAATAATTACAGTTTTTAGAAAAGCAGACACCACTTCAGCAACTGCGTCCAGCAGCAGTGGGTTTTGAGGTCGGCTATGTGAGGCGAAGCAGACGCATGAAACATGCTGAACAGTGGCACTTTAAAATCACATTTTATTTTCAGCAAGCAATAGGGAGTGGAAAAGGAAAAGCAAGTGTGGAAAAAGAAAGAAATCTGTTAGCACAGATCCAAATATCCCCTAGAATCGAAATGTCAGCCTTGAAAATACCGAGCAAGCCAGCTTGTCTAATATGTTACCATCCTGCCTTATAATTACCGGAAAGTAGTTATTTATCTGTTGTGTTCACCTACCCTGTCAGTATGCCTGAGTTTAATTATCAGACCTCACTGGAAGTTCAATTTCCTCTGTTCCTTCTTCTTTTTGCTGCAACATAAATCGAAATTGCTTCATAATTTCTGTTAACTGTTTTGGCACACTGTCTCATACATCCAGAGTTCTTGCCCACAGGACAGTCTCTTCTCACAGCCTCTCCAGCTATAAAGAAGGCATCTGTTTGCTGCAGTTTCAACCCTCACATACCCCATGATTCTTTGGTATATCAAAGTTCACAGCCTCTTGTCCATCAGCTTGGTGAAAAAGAGAAGTAAGAGGCCAGGCGCAGTGGCTCACACCTGTAATCCCAGCCCTTTGGGAGGCCGAGGTGGGAGGATCACCTAAGGTCAGGAGTTCGAGACCAGCCTGGCTAACGTGGCAAAATCCCATCTCTACTAAAAATACAAAAATTAGCTGGACATAGTGGCACGCACCTGTAATCCCAGCTATTCGGGAGGCGGAGGCAAGAGAATCCCTTGAACCTGGGAGGCAGAGTTTGCAGTGAGCCAAGATCTTACCACTGCACTCTAGCCTGGGCAACAGAGTGAGACTGTCAGAAAAAAAACACTTAACAAAGAGAAACAAAAGAGGCAGTTGTCTGCTTCTTTCACCTTCATGGAGCACAAGAGCTTCAAACATCTGCCTGTGATGGGGCAGCCGAGCCAAAAAATTCAAAACTGCTCCAAAGAAGGGGCTGAGAGAAGTCAAACAAACAGGCATTACCATGTCTTTCCCCCTTCGCCTCCCCGACAAGCGATCCTTCCAGTGAAAAGGATCTTGTTCTGGTGTGCGATTCTTTCCCATAAGCCCTATGTAGGAACAGAGCCTTGATTGTCAGAGACTTTGAGATCTGCATATATCTAAATTAGAGGAAAGAAAAAACAGAGCTTAGGTGCAATATTCTCCCACTCTCTCATCAATCCTCCACGAGTGAATCCAGCCCTAAGGAGAAAACTGGATACTTAGAACAAGGTATTAATATTATCACAGGTCTGCTAAGAATCTGGACACACTCTGCAGAAATTATCCTACATAGGAAGTACATTATCAGATGGTGGTGACTTTTTTGAAGTTTATTTGCAGCTGGGCATGACAGCAATTGAAAGTTTCTCTATCCTCTGAGGTCTACTTCTCGCCATCACCCAAGGTTAGTGGCAGTCAAATGAGTACAAACTGAATCTCAGCTCTGCGACTTACCATCTCTAGGACCCTGGGCAAGTTGCCTAACCTCTCAGTGACTCGGTGTTCTGTAGAGTGGGATAATAAAAGTTCCAGCCTCACAGGGATGTTGTAAAGGTGAAGTGTATTATATGCAAAGCACTTAGAATAGTGCCAGATATTATTATTATTATTACTATTACTATTTCATCGTATTCACTGTTTCCCCCCTCCCTTATGGTTTCTGGCATATTGATTTGATCTACTCAGAGTAAGCTTTCAATAATATAAATTGATTAGCAATATCCAGTACAACAACGTTACAGGCTTTTAAGGGGAGCGATCACATTGACAAATACTTACACCTAATATTCTAAGTTCAACTTCTGATAGTATTAACACTAATTTGCGTGTAGTAAAGTTCCTCTGTTTACAAACAAGTGTCTAGAACAGATGGAGTTTTGTGTGTTTTACACAATTTTAAAAGCTAACAGTGTGTTGTCTATATTAGTATTCTGCAGCTGCCATAACAAATTACTGTAACCTTGGCTTAAGACAAGAGAAATTTATTTTCTCATCATACTGGAGGCCAGGAGTCTGAAATCAAGGACTCAGGAGGACTACACTCCCTCCAGTCAGAGACACCTGGGGAGAATCATGTACTTCTGTCTTCCAGTGTCTGCTGTCTACAGGCATTTTTTTTTTTTTTTTTTGGCTTGAGGGTGGATCACTTCAATCTCTGCCTCCAAGGCCATGTTGCCTCCTCTTCTGTCTGTCTTCCTCCTGGTGTGTCTGTCAAAATCCCCACTCTGCCTCACTCTTAGAAGAACACTTGTCATTGGATCTGGGGCCCATCAAATAATCCAGGACAAACTCCTCCTCTCAAAATCTTTAACTTAATTTCATCTTTTTGCCTTATAAAGCAATGTTCACTGGTTCTGGTGATTGGCAGGTGGACATATCTTTTTGAGGAACACCCCTCAGTCGACTACAATGCCTATTATCAATATATATTGGGAGACACTGTAAAGGTTGTCTGATTTATTTTAATCAGGTGGCAATGACTCATATTCATAGATGTATAGGGAACATTTCTGCTGATTAGCACTAGTAATTACACACACACACACAAACACACATACACTCATGCCTACTCTCTGGCTTGTATTCATTAGAGTAGTTGAGAGTTTTTGTTTTACAACTGAGAGAAGAGATGTTTCAGTGGGTGAGGAGCCAAGGGAAAGAGGAGGGCAGTATTCCTATATCATGTCTTATAAAGTGGTTTTCATTCTCCTTCTAGAAGGAGATGCTACAAAGTGGAAGGCAATGAAGGAATCTCGTGAGGTTCTTCACAGAAAACAGAAAAGACCTCATGAGGCCCCCAGGCACCAGGAGAGCCGCTTTGGAGCCCAGTGACTATGAGTGGCTCTGAGACAGGAAAGGCTGTTCTCCCTGCCTCTGTGCAGAACCAACCAAGCTCCTGCTCCTTGGAATTCAAAGCTTGGGGAGCATCCTGCAGCATCTCCCTTATCGTGCATGTCAGTCACCTCATGATGTACTGGGACATTGACGAAGCACTGGAAATGGGCAAGAGGGGCCAGAGAAGGAGAGAAAGGGGCAACTGGTGAGAGGACATAAGTAATCCATCCCACTGGAGACCTCCAGAAAGATCTGAAGGACACTTTCCCCAGATGGGTGAAGCCCTGTTAGTGCACGAGTGAAGGTTATATGCAATTTGATATTTTCATAAACATTTCCCTATGTAGGGAAGGAAATGTTGCCACTCTTGTAAGGATACTTGTCAAAGGTTAAGAAAAGATGGGAGAAGCATTTTAACAAATTGGTTACTTCCTTTTTCTATTGCTGCTGTAAAAAAATAAATACCAAAAACTTAGTGGCTTAAAACAACACCCATGGTTTCTTTCATGATTCAGCTGAATTCTGAAATTGAAATCAAGGTATTATTGAGACTACATTCTCTTATGGAGGCTCTGGGAAAGATCCACTTCAAGGCTCATTCAAGTTGTTGGCAGGTTTAGTTCCACATGGCTGCGGGACTAAGGTTTTCATTTCCTTGTTGGCTGTTAGTTGAAGCTTCTCATGGCTGCCCACATTCCTTGGCTCCTGAACTCTCCATTTCTAAGCTATCAGTGGCATGTCTGATCCTTCTTCTACTTCCTATCTTGCTGTTCTCTTGTCTCCTTTTAAGAGTTTATGTGATTACATTGGTTGCAACCAGATAATCCAGGATAATTTCTCTACGCTAATGTCAGCTGATTAGTAACCTTACTTACATCTGGAAAGTCCCATTCAGCATGTGAGAAACCATATTTATAGATATAACATCAAGAGCTGAAGGTCATGGGGGCCAAAATTATGCGTCCCACACTGGTGAAACTTACAATAAAGTATGCTCCCCAACCCCACCAAAATAAAAGATCTCTCGACTAGCAATCAGAAGACCATATTCCAGTTTCAGCTCTACGGCCAGCTCATTTGTTGATGAAAATGGCTTGCCACGTTCCTGCTTGGGGACTAGTTTCTGGTAATTGTAAAGAGCAAGAGTCTGAGCAGATGCCATGTAAAGTCTCTTACTTCTCCAAAATTATGTAACTTTGTTTCTCCAATAGTGAAAGGCTACATACAACCCATTATCAAATCCACAGTGCAAACTGTATCTTGTGGTTTTCAGTGAATTGCCCAGTTATTGTCAGCACCACCACTGGGGTCAGAGCTGTGGGATGCTGTCAACTTATATATGAGCTGTGTTTTAAAATAGATGACATGGGAAGTATTATGATATACTAAGCATATTAAATAGTTTCCTTTAGAAATTCACCGAGTAAGAGTGCAATTGAGTCATTCAAACTAAATGTTTGAGCTATGTGAGTCTAGGCTTTATCAGCTGATGCTACTTTTATACAAATTTTTGCTTATGGAGTTTAAATGCAGCCAAGTATCCAAAGTGAAAGACACAGAGGCTTGTAACTTCCAGTATGCTTCAACTGCAACCCACAAAGAATGCAATGAATTCCTCCTCCTATTTGTAACGTTTATCTCCTTCCATAAATCTTTCCCAGGTACCCAGCCAGGCTCAGATAACATTTTCCAAAAGGATTGCAAATTTGGCAAACCTTGGCAAAGTGTAAAGTCTAAGGCATTACCTCAAATCTACTGGCTACTAACTGAGGCTTAAAAAGATCTAAATATCTATTCCTATCATTTTTATCAGTCATATTAACAAGGTTTCAGTGGATCTTTATATGCAAAGTGGTTCAACACAGTATTCACACTTTAAATTGTTGAAAACAATAAGAACTCCATCTTTCTCTTTTCCAATTACTCTCTCCATTGCTCTGTCTGTAAATCTTTTGTTTTATTCCTATATCAGTAACATTCTTCAAAATCTAAAGAACTAAGTATTTGCAACAATTTTCCTGAAAGGTTACTAGTAGTTGTTGAAATTGAGCAACTCAAATTTTCCAACACTTAAGCAAAGATGCTATTAAGAGCCCATATGTTAGGTCTAGAACTAAATTAAATTTCACTTATTCAACACATATTTATTGACTATCTACTATGTACCATATGTATCTGCTAGGAATAAAATTATGAACAAAGCAGTCCTTGATCTCAGAGCATTTACATTCTAGTAGAAAACGCATAATAAACAAATCAAAATGCTGTGAAGAAAGATAAAGTAAGTAAGGGAATAGAGTATGTCTGAGATAAATATTTTTAGACAAGCTACTTTCTGGCATAGGGACAAATTGACAAATTAAACAGAAGTGAACACTGAATATGCGGGGCAAGAGTATCCCAGGCAGAGGGTCCTAATGGCAGGTACAAAGGCCCTGGGTTAAGAATGTCTTTGACAAGTTCTAGGAACATCAGAGAAGTCAGTTTACGTTTCGTGGTGTGAGGAAGTAGTAGAGTGGTAGAAAGTGAGTTTGAAGGGACAGCCAGGGTCAAGTCATGTAGAGCTATGGTAATGACTTTGGACATTATTCTAAGTGTGATGAAAGCCAATGGAGGTTGAGGCCAGGGGTGGTGGCTCACACCTGTAATCCCAACATTTTGAGGGGCCAAGTTGGGTGGATCACCTGAAGTCAGGAATTCAAGACCAGCCTGGCCAACATGGTGAAACCCCATCTCTACTAAAAATATAAAATTAGCTGGGCATGGCGGCACTTGCCTATAATTCCAGCTATTCAGGAGGCTGAGGCAGAACTGCTTGAACCTGGGAGGTGGAGGTTGCAGTGAGCCAAGACTGTGCCACTGCACTCCAGCCTGGGTGACAGAGCAAGATTCCATCTCAAAAAAAAGAAAGAAGAAAGAATGAAGGAACGAATGAAGGATAGGAAGGAAGAAAGGAAGGAAGGAAGAAGGGAAGAAAGGAAGGAAAGACAGAGAGGAAGGAAGGAAGAAAGGAAGGAAGGAAGGAAAGACAGAGAGGAAGGAAGGAAGGAAAGAGAGAGGAAGGAGGGAAGGAAGGAAAGAAGGAAAGAGAGGAAGGAAGGAAGAAAGGAAGGAAGGAAGGGAGGGAGGGAGGGAGGAAGGAAGCCAATGGAGGTTTGAAAACAGAGGAGTGACATGCTTTAATTTACAATTTCAAGTTCTCACTGTGATTGCAGGTGGAGACTATTTCATCAAGAATGAAAACCAGACAGCAAGTTAGGAAAGTTATTCTATAACAAATATGAGTTCAGACAAGAGAGGGACTAGAGTGGTAGTAGTACAAAATTGGTCAGGTTTAAGATATATCATGAAGGTTTTGCTGACATATCTTGGTGATGGAATGGTTGTGGAAAATGATTAAAAGAGAGGAAGTTGAATGCCCATCATTGACCAATATAGGGTAACTGTCAATTACATCTTCAAGCATAAATGAAATCTTCTCTTCAAGGAGATGGGATTGCTTTTTTTTTTCTTTTCTATGCCTTTACGAGGACTTACTAAAGTCTAATGTGACATGATGATGGATAGTTAGAGAGACAGATACTACTCATGGTGATGTCCATGTCCAAAGCATACCAGCAACATGGAGAAAACATATGTGACCCACTCCATGCACATAGGGAGCTACACTGAAGGAAAAAGGCTAGCAGGAAACATACAATCGACTTTTTTCATAACAGTGCACTGAGGAAGCCATAATCAAGGAAGACACAAAATCATTTTGCTTTCAACTTTAAACTCTATGGTATAACTGTGTCAGCTTGTAACCAGACTGGCATTTGGCAAAGTAAAATGAAAGAACATTTAATGAAGTTTTCAGATATGTTACAATTATGTTTCAGATATGTTTCAGTTATGTTTCAGATTCATACTAAGGCCCAGTATCAACTATTTTATTTCAATTTAATGTAATAAATCATTATTGAGTTCTTACTATAGGCCAGATGTTATATAGATTCTGGAAATATAAGATGTAACAACTCTGTTGTTCCCAGCCTGCTAGGAAAGAAAGAGACATAGATGAATATCTGCATTAGTATATGGTGTCAAGATAAAAGAAAGAATAAAGTACTATGGGAATACTGATAAACTATTATAATTACTATTTGGGTGAAGGTGCCAGGCAAAGTGATTGAGAGAGCTGACATTTGAATTGGACCATGAATACATAGAATCATGACAAAAAAGGAAAAATAAAAGGAGAAAGCAAGTCTGTGCTTGTTGCAGATGGCAGTAGCTCAAGATCACTGGGGGTAGAGAGCAGGATTGCATAGTGGTCATAGTCTTTGCAGCTACAGCTTCAGCTTAAATACCAGTTCTACCACTTATCATGTTATTTAATCTCTATATGCCTCAGTTTATCCATCTGTAATACTGGAATAATAGCTATTTCGTAGAGCTTTGTAGGGAATAACCAATTTAACACAGGGCATTTAAGTAAAGCTTTTAGTACATAGAAAGAAGTACACAATGTTTGCTCTATAGCAATAAAAGGCAGGCTGATGTTTTCTTATTTGAAGCATATTAACAAAGAGCACGAGACGACTTTTGTGGAGTGATACAGGCGTAAAAATATAATTATTTTGCAACTCCTTTGATCTCAAAAGTTAAGACTGAACATGCCAGGATGGGAATTTTACTTTCTAATGCCTGTGTTTGTGGTTAGTTATTTTTTATGACGTTGAAGTGATAGATTTAAAACCTAAATGGGTCATATGGCTTCACCCTACTCTTGGCCACAGACTGAACCCTTAACCCTAGCTAACCATGAGGCAAATAGATCATGGAAGAGGCAGACCACACAGTGGAAATGTATCTATTTTACTCATCAATTAGCCACTAGAAAAATAATCAAAATCATGCCCTAGTGGCAGTGAGGTAGCAATGTCACTTTAATAAGTTAACTTAATGCTTTAAAAAATATAAATTGAGCTACGTTGTTCTTATGCCCGAAGAAGAGACCATGTTTGAATTCTGAGTGAGGTTTCAGCATGCTTACTGCATGATAATACCTCATATATGTATGGTAATTGATATTTCACAAAAAAAGTTTCCATTGGTCTTACCATATTCTAATTTCCAAGATGGTAAAACACTGAACTTGAGAAGTCTAAGCAAGCCTTCAATGTGGTTAAGGTGCAAAGATGCCATGGAGAGAAATGGTCAAAGTATTGGCAGGCAAGAGATAAATTACTAGCTTTTTGCCATGGTTAAGGCCAACTTGATAATGAGGACAGTGAGAAAGAACTGAAACTACAACTGCTAGAAGCTACTGGAAGAAAACACAGAGGAAACACTTTGTGATATGGGACTGGAAAAGGATTTCTTGGATACAACTTCAAAAGCACAGGCAACAAAAGCAAACATAGACAAATGGGATTACATCAAACTAAAAAGCTTCTGCACAGCAAAAATAGTAATCAACAGAGTGAAAAGACAACCTACAGAATGGGAAAAAATACTTCGAAGTCATACATCTAATTAGGGGTTAATATCCAAAATATATAAGGAACTGAAACAACTAATCTAAAAATGGGCAAATGATCTGAATAGAAATTTCTCAGAAGAATAAAAAGGCCAGCACACATAAAAATGCTCAGCATCATTAATCATCAGGCAAATGCAAATCAAAACCACAGTGAGATAGTAATATCATCTTACTACATGAGAAGAGAGACTGGCCTAGCCTCTCAGCCTGTCTTTCTCCTGTGCTGGATGCTTCCTATCCTTGAACATCAAACTCCAAGTTCTCAAAGTTAGAAGGGCTACTACAATAAGACAAAAAAAAAAAAAATGCTGGCAAGGGTACAGAGAAAGGAGAACTCTTATACATTTTTGTGTTAGTGTAAATTAGTATAGCTATTATGGAAAACAGAATAGGGCTTCCTGAAAACATTAAAAATAGAACTACCATATGATGTAGCAATCCCATTTCTGGGTATATATGCAAAGGAAATGAAATCAGCATGTCAAAGAGAGATCTGTACCCCCGTGTTTATTGCAGCACTACTCACAATAGCCAAGAGATGGAACCAAATATTCTTCAGCAGAAGAAAGGATAAAGCAAATGTGGTCTATATGCACAATGGAATACTGTTTAACCATTAAAAAGAATGAAATCCTTCCATCTGTGGCAACATGGATGAACCTGGAGGACATTATGTTAAGTGAAATAAGCCAGAAAAACAAATACCACATGATCTCACTAATAAACGGAATCTTAAAAAGTTGATCTCATGCAAGTAGAGATTATAGAAGAGTGATTACCAGAGGCTTAGGAGGGGTGGAGGAAAGAGTGATTAAGTACAAAGTTACAGTTAGGTAGGAAGAATATATTCCAGTGTTCTATTACATAGTAGGGTGACTATAGTTAATAAAAATCTATTATATTTTTCAAGGCAGCTAACAAAGAGGATCTTGAATGTCATCACTACAAAGAAATTATAAATGTTTGAAGTGATGGCTATGCTATCTACCCAAACTCAATCATTATACAATATACAGGGGTATTAAAACATCACATTGTACCCCATAAACATGTAAAATTATCATGTAAAAAATGTAAACATGTAAAATTATCACAGGGAGGGGAACATTACACACCAAGGCCAGTCAGCGAGTGGGAGACAAGGGGAGGGAGAGCATTAGGACAAATACCTAATGCATGCAGGGCTTAAAACCCAGGTGATAGGTTGATAGGTGCAGCAAACCACCATGGCACAAGTATATCTCTGGAACAAACCTGCACATTCTGCACATATATCCCAGAACTTAAAGTAAAATAAAAATAAAATAAAATAATAAAATAAGATGAATAAATTATCATGTGTCAGTTATAAACAACATTTTTGAAAGTTAAATTTAGGAAAAAGCAAAGGAAGGCAACTCACATTAACTGATCTTTCTACACCTTCTTCATTTAATCTTTTTTCCCTCTTGGCTTGGCAACCACTAAACATGTTGTTATTGCCACAGCTGATACACAGCCAGTGTCTTCTGTGCCAGAGACACATTCGAATGACAATGTGACACATTTTATTATGAAAGAATAGCCCGGTGAGCTGGAGATGCCTTGCCTACAGCTGCTTTGCTATGTTTAAACTGTCCTTTGTGCATCATTTATTCTGAACACATTTGAGGACAACTGGAAACAAACTGATGAGTAAGTCTGAGTACTGAGAGAGGTGAAGGAATGACATTTTAAAGGCAAACATTGAGACTTTTCAGCCAAAGAAGCAGCAGCTGCTGCAGATGTTGATATAACAGAGGACACTGGGAGCAGTGAGCAGGGCAGAATGTCAGTTCAAGACAAGAGGTTGCCATCAGAGAAAACAATCCACTAGAAACAAAAGCTACAGTGCCCAGGCGGTGCTGAGGGGCTGGGCTCTTTTCTCAGCAAGATGGCTGGCAGAAAGATAAGTTGAGCACCAGTGAAAATTATCATTGTAGGAAAGAGAGAGAAACAGAGAGAGATTTGGAATGCATCTACCTCTGTGGCAGAAAAGACATTTTAAGTAGCATTAAAAGCCTGGAGAGTGTAGCCTCACATGCTTCTTTCTTCAGTGCAAGCTGTGCACACCTCCATTGGAAGCAAAAGCCTTTTCCTTTACGTTCATTGACCTTAAAGAAACTCTACTTTGGTACCTTCAATTCAAGAATTCTTCGCCAACACCTCTGGTTTTAAGTCATTACTAATAATAGGGACAAGTGCCAAAACATTTGACTAGCTGTCCAATGTATTTGCAAGTTTAAAAACATAGTCTTGTTGGTTGAAAATGCCAGTTAGTCATCAGTTAACCTTGAAGTCTTCCTGACCCATGTCCTCTGGAAGAGTTCATGGAAATAAAAACAGAGAGAATCAAAATGCACCTAACTCAGGATCTGCAAACCCCACGAAACAGCAAATCAAAGAGTTGACTCCAAGTCAGTCTGACATTTTAAAAAGCAGCAGGGCTTACATCAGGTGAGACATCAAAAGCAACAAAAAGGAAGTCAGACTATCACAGCCTTATCTGGCCTTTGCTAGGAGAGAAAGGCTGGAAAATCTGAGACATCCATTTCTCAATATGCTCACTGCAAGTCAGATGCTTTCTATTACACAGAGAAGTTACAGAGGCCCGATTTCCATTTGGTCATTCAAAAACCACTTATTGAAGCACTACTATGTACCAGGCATCATACTGGGGACTGAAAAGTAGCTGCAAAAGACACAGTGCCTGATAATAGACATATATAACTAAACAATTTCAAAGAAGCACAACACATATTCTAAAAAGGGCTGCAGTGCTTTCAGAATAATAGAAAGTGATTTTAAAGAATCATTCAGAGGAATCTAGTAAATAATAATAGCAATATAATAATATGAGAAAGTCCCAGGTTTTTGGTAAGAATAAAATGTAGATTGTGCCATTAATTGAGGGAGCATATATAAAGAGGAGTACATTTAAGAGGGAATATGGTGAATTCAGATTTGAATATTCCTTTCGGATATGCACAGTTTTTCCCAAAATAAAAAAATGGCCCAAGTTGCATTTATGTCCTTCTTTCTGCCACCATCATCACCTTCGATGTTATAACACATAAATAGCAAAGTGAACAGAACGGAAACAGAAAGAAAAGAGTGATCTTACTATATTAAGAAAAAGCATTTAGGATACCTGAGAGTTTGGGACAATTTTGCCAGACACTCAGACTTTTTTTTTTCTTTTTTCCCATCCACATTCTCTATAATTTAATTGTTAGGAGTATGAATTCTAGAATCTACATAGGTTCCAGTTCTGAGTCTACTGCTTTCTGCCTGAGTGACCCTGTTGACTTACTGAGTCTTCTAAGGGTCTGCTTCCTCCTCTCTAAACAGGGATACCAGTACCTGGTTCATAGAGTTGAGAAGATCTATGGGATGCTGAATATAAAAAGCTTAAACCAGTGCCTGGGGCATAGCCAGTGCTCAGTAAATATAGTTACATTTGTTCCCTAGTCTTGTTTTTCTCCCATTTCTTGTGCTTTTATTTCCGACCCCCACCAACCCTCTCACTTTCCTGTGAGAAACTTCATATAGTTTTTTCTTTAAAAAAGGAAAAAAAAAGGTTTAGATTGAGAAGACCTAGATTTCAATATTGGTGCTGTCACTTATTACCTGTGTGTTCTTGTAAAAATTCCTTGACCTTCTGGATTTAAGTTTTCCTAAGCATAAACTGCAGATATTAGTAATGTGTTTCTTATTAGGATATGGTAAAGGGTGAGTGAGATGTTATGTCCCCTGTGCAACACTTATTCTAGATATTCTTCATTTCCTTCTCCAATTCTACTTGCCCATCTTCTACACTCTTCTGTGCTCTAGATAGCTGACATTTATCAACTAAATCAATGGGCAACCTTGCCCTCTGGCTTCTAGCTTGGAGTGGCAGATGGAAGAGACCAAAAGGATTTTGAGAAGACAGAAAAGCGTAGTCAGGATATTGATTTCCCCCGTTCTTTTGCTTGGTCTTCTCTAGGTAAACTGTGCCAACCTATTGAAGGTCATAGCTTTTGTTAAGAAGCCCCTTCTCTCTCTGGAGTACTCCAGCTGCTCCATCTCCTGGTGCTTTGGTGCTCAAGGCTTCCCTACCTTTGCTAGTTCTGCACTGCCTTTGCCAGTTTCCCTAAAACAACCCTGCACACACCTTTGTAAAGCATGTCTTTATTAAATTCTCCTCACTTACCCCTGTTTGAGTGTGCCATCTGTTTCTTTCTAGGATCCTGACTGCTACAACATGTAAAGTCCCTGGCATGTCTGGCTCCTAAGAAATGAGTCTCTCCCTACAAACAATGCCTGTCAATGTCTTCCTCAAACCTTGCTTGGCTACGAAGTGGTGTTCACAGTCAAGGAGAAGAGTCCTGACCTTAATAACCTGAATCTGGACAACAATGAAGAACCTCTGAAAAAAGTGGGAAAATAACAGTCCCCAAAGTAGAGAATAATATCCACATCTTTCTTGGAAATTCAGCCCTGAAAGCGAACCTGCAATAAGTACAGTCTATATTCATTGCTCTTACATGCTGCCCCTTCTGTATGCCGCCATCTGCAACACTGCTTTCTCATTCCGTGTTTTGGATAACTGCAGAGTCCTCTAACACATATGTGATGGTTAATACTGTGTCAACCTGATTGGATTGAAGGATACAAATTATTGATCCTGGGTGTGTTTGTGAGGGTGTTGCCAAAGAAGATTAACATTTGAATGAGTGGGCTGGGAAAGGCAGACCCACCCTTAATCTGGGTGGGCACCATCTAATCAGTTGCCAGCATGCCTAGAATGTAAAGCAGGCAGAAAAATGTAAAAAGAGAGACTGGCCTAGCCTCCCAGCCTACATCTTTCTCCTGTGCTGGATGCTTCCTACCCTTGAACATCGGACTCCAAGTTCCTCGGTTTTGGAACTTGGACTGGCTCTCTTTGCTCCTCAGCCTGCAGTCTATTGTGGGACCTTGCGATTGTGTGACTTCATACTTAATAAACTGATATGTATGTAAATACTTAATAAACTCATATATATTTATTCATACTTAATAAACTCATACATGTATATTCCATTAGTTCTATCCCTCTAGAGAACCCTGCCTAATACAACACGAGGAGTAGTAGCAGACCACAAGAAAGAAAAGCAGTTTGTTTTCTGTCACTGATCTGCAAAATATACATCTCTAAAGGAGTTTCTCCCAAAGCCACTGGTTACATGATTGGGTAAAATTGGAACAAGAACAATCAGAGGTTGACTGAGTCCTTTAAAAACGGTATTTAAAAGTTCAGTAAGGTTTTACATGGACTATAAAGTCTCTAAACGGTTTTCTTATTTATAACTGCTCTACCAGCATCTCCTTCAGTAAAATCAAAATATTCATATTTTGGCTTGCAAAAAATGAAACGAATGTGAATTATGTATCTGCCAAATAATACAGGAGGATTTATGTTTTTATGTGATACACTTCTCCTATTTTGTTTTCTTTTTCCTGTGCCCTGGCTTTTTTCCACCTCCACTGGCTTCATTTCTACATTCATTTTTCATGTATTCAAACATACTTTTCCTAAGCTTCATGTTATATTAGCCTCATTCCAAATACCAAATATTTTAAATTTAATCCTTGAATATATGCAAGATATTAACTTTTATGGTGCTGTTTCCATAACCCTTGACACTGTATATTTTAAAGGACTTTAAAAATTTATGACAATTGTTCTTAGTTTTGAGAAAATATGTGCTCAGTATTTTAAATCATTAGTGCTAACATGCATCAATGTGATATTTCTTTTATATGTAAATATAAGCGATCTCTTTGGATGTTTTGTAGTCTTTTTTATCTGCTTCACAACTGTTTAGCTTGCATATTTTAAGAATTGTGAATCTCACTGATGCACAGATAATAAATACTGATGTCTCTATTTTGTTTAAAGTTTGCAAACTCTGATTCTTTTCTTCTCTTCCCTTTTGACTGAGGGCCTTAATCTTCAAGTGCCTCATGAGAAGCTACACAGTTCATGTTCCTTCATAACAAATTTGACACATAATAATAATTACGGGACAGAATTCTTTTTCCTTAAAGAGTTAAAGGTGTGCAATTTGCCCCGAGGAATCTGTAGCTTGTATCTACAAGACTGTGCTAATGTTTTGGTTTACTAAGGGGAAATAAAAGAGATGCTGACAGATGAAGTAGTCCTATGAGGAAACACTTTTTTTTTTTTTTCAATTTGAGGCTCAAGGTTTTCTTTTCCTCTTTTTAAAATTTTATTTAATGCTTATACAACCAAATAAAAGTGAAAGAGCAACAGGCTGTATGAAGAGCCCTCAATCTCATTCTGCACCTCTTTCTGTCTTATACTTCCAGCATTGATCGGTGCCTCAAATATTTGGCTATGGAGCAGCCATAATAGGATTTCAACTATGTGCTGTCAGAGAATTTCTCCAGGGGTTTGGACCAGTTCTTCACAGACAACCTCAACCCATTAGCTTTGCAACCAGACTGATGCACTTGGAAGAATCATTAAAAAGACATGGTATAGAACAATCTTATCAAAATGTACAAATACTCTGTGTAATACACTTCACTGCATGACTATAAAAAATATTATCAATTCAGCAAGTTACTTTTCTGGATAAAGTTTTTATGGATACTTTTTAAATACGCATTCTGTCACTTGTAAGAAAAATCTTCCTATTCATTGCTTTGGATGGTGGCCAATGTCTAAAGAAGGCAGAATCTGAGTGCCACATGTTTAGTGAGCTGATTAGTTGCCAGTTGCCATGCTCTATAGAGAGAAAAAGAGGAATTGCAATTTTAAGATAATCTTTTAAAATCTGCCATCATTTCCCACTACAAAAACTGTGATACAGCCTGTTAAATAGAAGATAATTAGTCTAGTGAAGGTCTGGTAATTGTAAACTCATTCCTAATTGAAAAAAAAACACTGTTATTTTGCTGGGAAACCATCCTTATCACTTAGAAAATTCAGGGTTATAACAAAAGTGTATGGGCTCAGTAGCTAGAGGCATAAGAAGGGGAAACTAGAGAATAGCTTTGGAGAGCATTTTATATTTCATATAAATAAGGATTGAGTAAGTCAAATTAATTCAATGAAAATAGTGCAGATTTTGTAGCAATAAACAGTTGCAAATTCTGACTCAGCTCCTTATTAGCTGTGGTCTTAAGCAAGTCATTTAAATTTAGTCTCATCTTCATCCTCAGTAAAATGAATAATAATAACGTATGAGGATTCACAGCACACCTGCAAAGCCAGCGCAGAGACTGGCAAACGGAGTTGCCCAATAAACAGTTTTTCTGAAAAACTACATTTTGTTTAATGTTTATCACAGTGTGCTATGAAAGAGAAGAGTTCAAAGAGGAAAATATTAAATTCAACCAATATGACATCTGCTAATCTAAAATTGACTTTCTCTCTCCCTCAGTATTACCCCAAACTTTAACTCAGCCCCAATTTACTAGCTTCTTCTTCTTTGTTCATAAGAGGGAAGAGCTTAATTTTCCCGGCCAATTTACCACTTCCACAGTGACCAAGAGTTTCCCTGAACTGTTCCCTCAACACAGGAAAGACTGAATTATTTCCCATAGCAAGAATTTCACTTGTCCTTTTGCTCTCTGCTCCCCTAGAGTGCCTCTGCCTCCTGGCTAAAAAAACAATCTGAACCTGAGAAAGAGCACTTGGTGATCTTACTTTTCTTCTGATTTACCAACCCTAGTTAATATTCTTCACCCTTGATTAGCAGTTGATTTTTATTTTACAACTTAAGTAAATCGACGGGGAAAAGACAGATACACTCTTACAGATAAATCATCTAGTTATGGACCCAGACTTTGCAGCCAACCTGCCTGGCTTTTCTGGGTTCCCTGTTTGTTGGCTGTGTGACCATGGGCAAGTGATTAATTTCTCTTTTCATCAGTATTTTCACCTGGAAAAAGGAGTATAAAAATACCACCAACCCCTTAGGGCTATAGTGAAATTTAAATGAGTTAATACATGCAAAAGACCTTAGAGCCTATAGTAAATGCCGCATCAATTTTGGCTATGATTTCCCAAGGGTCTCTATTAAACCTATTTCATAGTTAATTTTCATGCATATATGTATATGTGTGTGTGTGTGTGTGTGTGCGTGTATTTGGAGATGTGTATATACACATATATATATATATATATATATATCTCCAACTACTGACGTGTAGTTAAGATGGCTGGTTTAGTCTGAGCAATGTAACCTGATCCCTCACCCTTCCCAGAGCCCCAATGAGCGCATGTGCTTGAAGAGAGGTGCTTTTAAAATGGTTTCTGTCCACATCAGGCCAGTTGCCTTGGGGACTTTCCCCCAAATCCTTCTTCATCCAAAACCTCAAAAATTATGTCTTTGCAATTAGATTCAATCCCTGTCTCTAACACAACATCCTGAAGGTCACAGGCCGTCTTTCACTATCCCAGAAAGGCACCAAACTCCAACATTCCCTTCTCCCACTTTACATCCAGGAAGAAGCAAAAAGCTATCCAGGGCCATAGTGCTGGGGAGCAGGGATTTAGAAGGGATAACAGAATTAATCAAGAATGCTTGATTTTCAACTCTCTTTGGATTGTATTTCTTGATATCATTTCCTATTTCCTTTCCCAAAAGTTGCCGTATCTCCTGCTTGACAGGGATTTCCCTGTTCTTGGAAGGCTTGGGTGTCATTGGCTTGCCAACCTATACTGTTCTCCAGGTCTTGGGGCTAAGCTGGCAAACTGAATGTAGGTGAGCCAGACACCTCCTAAAGTTCACACAGAACTTTTAGTGTCTTAATTAGTTACCAGTATTTAAAACTAGTAGTATTTCACCTAACAATTTGATTTTAGCTTCTCTTGAAAATTTGAAAGATTTAGCAAAATTGGGCCCAGCATCTTTCATAGTAATAACTGTTTGGAGCTCAATGTAAACTAAGCCAGAATTCCTACCGCTCCTTATTATCTCAGCCCATCTGCTGTACACTCATTTATGCAGCCTGCAGAGGCCCCTAAAAGTTCTCAAATGTTTGACCTTTGTCTTGAGAAGAACCATTTTTTTCCCCCTTGGTATATCCTTTATCTGTTCCTCCTCCTTCTTTTAATTTTTTCCCTTCTTCTTCCTTCTTCTTCTTTCTTTTCCTCCTTCTTCATCTATTCTGACCACTGGATAGCCTCAAGCACCATGGTCAAGAATTAGACCTGAGGAAAAGGTACACATGAGACTGACTTGAAATCAAAGATTTTAGGCCCATTTGCTCAAACTAAAAGAATCCTCAGCCATAATAGCTGTCCAAGATGAGCCAGGACACAAGAACCATCTCTTGTGTCCCTTTATTGCCAAGTGTGCCATCCCTGTCTAATTTCATATCTCCCACTGGGAGAAAAGAGGTAGCAACAACATTATTACCAATAATGCCACGCTCTTTAGAAACTGTTTGTATTGAAACAATATAGACCTTCTTGCCTCTGTAATTATCTAATACCATTCACTTACTGCTGGTTCCATCATTAGTCATACCACTGCATTATCCCTCCTGCTCTCTGTGGATAATGGCTTCCAATGACCCTTTCAACAGTCGTTACTGAGCTTTGTTGATGACGACCACAATACAAGAATATCCAGGGTATGCAGAAAAAAATGCGAACCACGTTTTGTTTTCTGGGCATGTTAAATGTACCATACAAAAATTTACATTGTAAAAACATAGAACTACACATCTCCCAACTGAGTAGGTCATAATCATAGCACTCCTATAATCTGATTGGTTTCAATGTTGACTGCTCTCTCGACTTCCATATACCACAACCAGCAGGGACAATAGGCAAAAGCCCTTAGGTAGGGTGGACAGAACAGTCTCATTCTCACAAGAAATGTCTGTTCCTCATGTGGTACAGCTAAAGACAGACCAGGGTGAGTAAAACATCACTGCATCAGTAAGAAGCAAAAGAGGATATCAAATGAAGGGCCTGTTGGCTTTGCATAGCACTTGTCTGTCCTCTGAAGAGATAAGTCCGCTCCCCTAAGACTGCCTGGTGAGGGGGTGGACTGACAATCCTAGGTGCCACTGAGGGTACATACAGAGTAAATAACACCATGGCAGCCCCTCACCACCTTTGTGTGCTGGACTTGAGGTGATGCTGTGGTGAAAACTCAAAGAGCCAACACATGGCCTTCACATGCATTTGAAACTTAAAAGTCAACGGTAGATGGTAGGCAAGACAGAATGCTGAAATCGTTCTGCGCCTCATGTGAATGAGGATGTGTCAGCTTGTCAATACCATTCTCTAGGCCCAACTCTGCATGATCCTGCCTGGAAAAAGCAGGCTGGCCAGTAAAAAAAAAAAAGCACTCTGCATAGCTCCACCATCCGGAAACAAGGTCCTGGACACAGGCCCCTGGGATGTCCCATAGATGAGGGTCTTGATGCTCCTTAGAAGCATCTGATCAACCCTTGTTAAAGGTGGGGTGGGGGTAAAATGGTGGGAGAATACCCTGAAAGGAAAAAACATGGACCAGGGCTCATGCATCCCTGGTGCAGATTCAGGTCACCTTATCCCAAAGGAACGGTTGGCCTAACCAAGCCCAGGCACCAAAAAGACCTCACTTGCTTAAATCTGAGGGCAGTATTGGCCATTTAGGCACTCCTTAGAAGCATTTCTGAGACTCTTTTGAGGAGGGTTGATATGGGCCACAGCTTTATTCTGTGGTTGTTGGTTACTCTAGCAAGCTGCTGTCTTGCCCCATTCTTTCTGGCCATCTATTGCTATCACATAAAACGATTCTCTTTTTTCTCTTAATATCGGCAATTTTATATTGTCATGTCACTTTGCTTTTAAGCTAAAAAACATTCCTCTCTTAAATTCTTAACCACAATCTACAACAAGGCTGTGGGGTTTAATAAAACTTTAGTAACAGCTCAAGAGTATAGAAGTGACATGAAAAAAAGAAAAGGAAAAGAAACAAACAGAAATAAATTAGGTAAGCATTCCTGCTCTTACACTCTCAGGGCCATACCCAATCCCAAGGATTCTTTATGACCATTGCCCAGTTAGACAATGTCAGCATAAGGTAGGTGCCCAGTGAATGAATATTAGTTAAATGACTGAATGAAAAGTTGAAAATTCCCTTGCAGTGGGAGAGTCTTTGACTATATTCTTCTTAGCCTGGAGTTACTGCCCCGACCCTGAGTCTCAAGCCTCACAGAGGTGCTGACAGGCCATTCTCAGATCTGCCACACAGGTATAGAATTACCCTACTGTCTCAATTCTATTCACCGTGACGTTTACCTCTTTCATTATTATTCACAGACATTTAACTCTCAGTTTCCATTCCAGGATTATATCTTGAGTTTACCTTTATAAAAACAAAATCCCATTGGAAGTTTTTTTGCCACCTCCTCCACCCCACCCCCAAATAAGCATCTTTCTAGGCAGAATTCAATACCAGCAACACTAATTTTGAAACTGCATTTTCTTCCCTTCCTTTTCTCCGCAGCCTTCCAGTGTTTCAGTTGCCAGACAGGATTCAAGATTCAAGTTTCTGGACTTTTCTAACCACCCAGCAGCCCCTGCAAGTGGTTACATTTCCTAAACAAATGACCAGTTTGGGGTGGCAAGCAGGGAGATAATTTGCGCGCCACTGCGCTCCAGCCTGGGTGATAGAGCGAGGCTCCATCTCAAAAAAAAAAAAAAAAAAAAAAAAGAGTGAGCATTTTGCTTGGCTTTGCCCTCTGTGTTTAGCTCTTCCTCATTACCCTAGCAATGATGGCTGGTCAAAGATCCTGGCCATCTCTACATCTTTTTCCACTTTAGAGACAAGACTAACAATTACCAACGTGCATTATAAGTTCACTGCTGAAAGCCTTAAATTGTTAGTTTAAATATCGAGTAACAAGGGAGCTTTCATTTCCTAAAAGTTGTAATTGTTTAGAATTCACAGCCTCATATTTATGCTTCGACAATTTCTTGGGTGATAAATCCTCAGTTAGTATCAGGTTTTAAACTTAATTTACTTATAATCTACACATAGTATTAGTTAAGAAACCCTACTTATAAATGATAAAACTTTGCTATAATTAGCAGGAGTGTGGAAGGAAGAAGAATTGCCTTGGGCCACACATACAATACACTTACAATAATGATAGCTGATGAGCAAAAAAAAAAAAGTCTCATAATGTTTTAAGAAAGTTTACGAATTTGTGTTGGACTGCATTCGAAGCCATCCTGGGCTGCATGCAGCCTGTGGGTCATGGGTTGGACAAGCTTGTAACTAGAGTTTATAATGATTCTTCCATCATTTAGCCTCTCTTTTCAAAAATAAGGTATTTTTCCCTAATAGCTTTTGCAACTTGATAGTTAATTGTTAAAATAATCACTAAAATAGCCATCCTACCTATGACTCCATAAAGAAAATCCATTTGTATAAAGGAAGATTAAGTGAATAAATAAATAACTTAGCTTAATAGTAAATTCACAGCTAATATCAGAAGTTACATAATTTAGGATGGGCTCCTCTAAATTACCTTTGGTTAATTATAAGACAGATCAAAATGTTTAAAAATATAACGGTTCGAGTTAGCATGCAGTCCTAGGTAATTAAAGACATTGTGCCCTTTTTTGTATTTATTTAAATAAAAGTAAAATATTGACCTTCCTAACTATCCTATAGAGTAGTCCTAACCTTGCCTGGAAGAGGGTGATGATTTGTAGAGTTATGATTGTTAATGGCCTTCAAATGCAGCCTGCACAGGCCCTTAACTCCCCAGTGTACAGTAAGGTTTAGCCCTTTCCAGATGGGAAAATGATAAGGACACTAGAAAGATAGTAGGTCATTCTTGGGCAGCTGCCAGAAACTTGCAGCAAAATGAATCATGTAGGGCTGTGGTGCTTTAGCCAGCATTTTTCCATTTTAATTTATCAAGCCAAAGCTTGTTGACATGAAAGTGAATGAAATTGTTATACAGTGGGCTCTAAAAAGCCAGCTCAAGGGTTTAGTGGAGAAGAGCTCTGACTATAAATAACAAAGAAAATACAGGGAATGTTCTTTCCACTAGCACCTGCTCTGTTGTTTGAGATGCATCGGCAATTAACTCAAATCCCAATATCAGCAGCAACTGGAAAAAGGCCAATTCTTTGAAATATTACGGAGGCTCCAAAATCTGTTGTAGATGATTATCAAAGGGCTGATTCTCAAACTGGTCATTTTAGTTTTTTGATATGTAGGGCTGTATTTATTTGTTTACCAAATGTAGTAAAGTAACTGACCGAAATGACAAAGTATTATTGATATTGCTAGGAGAGTGGCTTTGCAATCAGAAAAGGTTAATGCCATCCTGCTTGAAAAAAAAATATTTTGCTGTGACTTGTCCAAAAAAGAAAACAATGAAATAAATCACTGACTAGCATTCACAAATGAAATCTCTGCATTTAGCTGAGGCATATAAATCAGGTTTTACAGTAAAAACAAGATACCCGCAATTTCCACTCTGAGTAAAAGAAAAAAACTAGCTGATTAGAGTAAGATTTAACACATGTGCATTAAGGAAAAAAAAAAACAAAACCTTCCTTGATGAAAGAGTATTTAACATTTTAAGCCTCTACTTAATGTTTTTGCACATAGTGACTCCTGATTAAATATATTTCTCTTAATAAAGAATGTTACCTGTACTAGCAAGAGACGAAGTATAATACTGTCTCTTTTCTTCTGAGGATGGAATAACACAATGTTTCCACTGCATATGCTCGCATCCTGTGGAATCTGGAAAAAAATATATACTCTCTGAGTCCATTTATTTCTTAATCGTTAGATTTATTTATTTGTGCCTTTACTCAAACAATATTTATTGAATGTCTTTTTGGGGCAACACGCCATATAAGGTTCTGTCAATTTTCTCAACTGACGCTGCAGATCAGTCAACTAAGTATGATGCCTACTTTTTTAAAATCAGGAAAGATAAAGCGTAAATAAATATTTAGGATATAAATACAAAGTAATAAATATTTCCATTAAAGAATGAAATATTAATCAAAGCTTCCTACTATCATCATTCTTTTTCCACTTTGTGAATTCACTTATATTTATATCTCACAGAAACATAAAATTAAGTGCCATCTAGATTCATAATAATTTATTGCCTTTATTTAAAATAATAAAATTGCACGCTGTGGTAGCTCTAGAAAATCTAGACTCTATGTTCACTATACTATAATCAATACTCTGCACATAGACCATTAGGCCATTCCACATATCAACATTAAAAGTCATTTAAAATTGCTATTAATATTATTTAATGATGATAATAAAAGACTAGACTCTGTAATTAACTTTGAGAAAAAATAAAACAATGATTAACATTTGTAAATGCTTATTATGTTCTCGGCATTTTGCTAATTGCTTTGTACACTTACTAACTGGATCATTATATTATCCCTTTGGGGTAAGTGCTGCCCTTCTCAGCATTTTACAGATGAGAAAACTGAGGATCAGAACGTTTCACTAACTTGGCAATATCTGATTTTGGACCCAGATGAGCAGTACTACCAACAATTATACTAATCTGAAACAGATTATAAATATTTAAAAATAAAAGATAAAGTGTTGTTTACAGATAATATAATTGCATATGTGAAAAAATAGAATGAACTAGAAATTTGTTACAAATGAAGACATTATGATATTTATATAGTTAATAAATATAAACTCTCATATATAAATAATAACCACTTTAAAAATATAATGGAAGAAAAGATCTCAATCACAGTCCCAAACAGAAAGATCTTTATAAAAACAAACTTTATATGGAATGTGTAGGACATTACAAGGTGAACATTTTTCAGAATCTATGGAAAGACATACTGTATGCCTTCAATAAATTGCAATTTATCTTGTTCTTAGAAATAAGAGCTCAATGTTAAATCATCATTTCTTTTGGGGAAAAAAAAGAACACTCTAAAATCTACAAAATAAAACTGTCACTACAGTAGCCTGAAAAGTAAATATATAAAACTAGCTGGATTATAAAGAGGAAGAATAAGGAGTTGTACCAGATAATAAAACATACGGTAAAGCTGCAGTTCATATCACTTCAGTAATAGGCCAGGAATACACAAAAGCATCAATGGAAAAGAAAGTCCAGAAACACACCCAAATACATACGGAAATTACCATAAAGAGAGCATTTCAAACCAGTGTGGGTAAAGATAAAATTTTCAATAAATCTGTGATAACTATATAGTCATTTGGAAAAAGTAAAACCACATCTCCAAATCACTACTTAGATAAAAATAAACTCCAGATGGAGCAAAGATTTAAAGTAAACAATGAAGCCATTAAAGAACTGGATGAAAACGTGACTGAATTTATTTATAACTTAGGGTGGAGATGGTCTTTCTAAGCAGACACAAAATTCAGAAACCATAAATTTGATAATTTAGACAACACTAAAAAAAAAACACTCTTTCAGCAAAGCTTAAAACATTACAAAAGGAAAAAGCATTTAACAAACAAGAAACACAGGACCCACAGCTAATTACCTAAATTTAGAGAAAAAGCTTTACAAATTGATTTTTAAAACAGAGAGCAAACTCACAAAAAACAAACAACAAGAAACATCAATGAACAAAAGAGGGCACTTTATAAGAAAAGAAACAAATAGCTAGTCAGCATATGAAAAAGTCTTAACTTTCCTGACCCTGAAACAAATACAAATTAAAAACAAACACAAATTACATAAAAACATAATGATACATAATTATATTAAAACATGATAATTTTAAAATGGGGAATAACTTAAATATCACTCAGATGTTTTAAGTCATGGTATATCTAAATAGTGTAATAATGTACAGCCCAGCCAATTAAAAAATTTGACTAGATCCGGGTAATATGAAACATTTTATCACTTAACCAAATATTTAAATCATTTTAAAGAGTGATAAGAACCATAAAGCGAAAAGGTGCTAATGGTAGATTATTTCTAGCTATAAACATTCAAAAAAGGTGACTCTTAGAGAGTAAAGAGATTTTAAAGAAAATTGGAGAGAAAAGAAGGAAATTGTATTTCACACTTTTACAAAAGCCATTCTTACAGGTGTGAGGTAATATTTCATTGTGGTTGTAACTTGTGTTTCTCTTTTGATTAGTGATGTTAAGCATTTTTTTTCCATTACCTGCTAGCCATTTGTGTCTTCCTTTGAGAAATGTCTGTGCAGGTTATTTGACCATTTCCTAATTTTTTTTATATTAAGTTCCATATATATTTCGGATCTTAACTCCAAATCAGATGTATGATTTGCAATATTTTCTCCCATTCTGTAGGTTGTCTCTTGACTCTGTTGATTGTTTCTGTCAAGCTTTTTAGTTTGATGTTATCTCACTTGTCTATTTAGGTCATATTTTCAGGTCATATTTTAAAAAATATTTTGCCAAGACCAATGTCAAAGAAGCTTTCCCTCTATGTTTTCTTCCAGTCGTTTTATACTTTCAGGTCTTGTGTTTAAGTCTTTAACCCATTTTTAAGCTGATTTTTGTATATGGGGTGAGATAAGGCCCAATTTCATTTTTCTACATGTGGATATTCCATTTTCCTGGCACCACTTATTTGAGATTGCTTTCTCCATTATGTGACCTTGGCACCTTTGTCACAGATCAGTTGACATAAATTGTCTTTTTGTAGTTTAAAATGAATTATAAATTTTAAAAGCTTATATATATTTGGCATTTTCCTTTACCTCTTTTTTGCCATATGTGTATACATATATATATAATTTTTTTTTTAAGACAGGTCTTGCTTTGTACCCAGGCTGGAGTGTAGTGCGCCATCTCTGCTCACTGCAACCTCCATCTCCTGGGCTCAAGTGATTCTCCCACCTCAGCCTCCCTAATAGCTGGAGCTACAGGCACCACCATGCCCAGCTAATTTTTGTATTTTTTGTAGACTTGGAGTTTCGCCATGTGGCCCACGCTGGTCTTGAGCTCTTGGGCTCAAGGGATCCTCCCGCCTCAGTCTCCCAATGTGATTACATAGACTTAAGCCACAGTGCCCAGCAATTGCCAGATATTTTTTATTGCTATTTTAAGCAAACTAATTTGTGGCACTCAAACACCAGATGAATACAACTGATGTTTCAAGAAACTGCCAAACACAAACATTTTCACAGAGGCCATAAATAGCAATGCCAATTAATTTTCTTGCCTTCCGTTTTCCTTTCTTTCTTCCTTCTTCTCTTCTTCTGTCCTTTCTTCCTTCTTTTCCTCCCTACTCATTTTTCCATTCTTTTTTTCTTTTTCTTCCTTCCTTCTTTTCTTCCAACAAATTGGCCAATACTGCATGGCAGTCACAATTCCAGGTAAAGTGAATAGAGAAGTAAACAAGATAAGGCTTCCAACCTCCTACTGCTCACATTCTAATGTGAGAAAATACAAATAAATAGTACAAAGTATTCCAAATAAAACATTTTTTTAAATGTAACATGAAATAGGCATTTTTAGATAAACAAAAGCTGAAAGAACCTGTTGCCAGCAGACCTGTGAGAAATAAATTTCATAGTTTATAAGCCACCCAGTTTATTGTATTTTGTTGTAGCGGCCCAAGCTAGCTAAGACATATGCTGTGTTAATGGATTTGAAGACTCAATGATGAAAAGGTGTCAATTACTCCCCAAATTAACGTGTGATACAAGTCTAATCAGAAATCTAACTAGGCCTTTATGTAGAAATTGACAAGCTGATTCTAGAATATACAGGGAAATGCAAAAAATCTAAAATATCTTTGAAAAAGAGGAAGATAGTTGGAGAACATTCACTATCTTACTTCAAGACTTATTACAAAGCTACAGTACAGCAACAAGAAAGTTACAGACAAATAAGGACAGAGATATAGTTCAATAAAACAGCAGAGTCCAAAAATAGATGTGTATACGTACAGGTCTATTTTTTATTCAACAAAAGATCGAGGGAATTTAATATGAAAAAAAGGTTTTTCAGCAAGTAGCATTGCAACAACTGGATAAATGTATGAAAGAAACATGAATCCTGACCCCTGTCTCAAATAATACACAAAAATTAAATAAAGATGAATCATAGACCTAAATGTAAAAGCTAAAGTCTTAAAATTCTAGAGGAAAATATAACAGAATATCCTTATGGCCTTGGGGTAGGCAATGGTTTCTTAAAGAGAAAATAGGGCCAGGCACGGTGGCTCACGCCTGTAATCCCAGCACTTTGTGAGGCCAAGGAGGGTGGATCACTTGATGTCAGAGGTTCAAGATCAGCCTGGCCAACATGATAAAACCCCGTCTCTATTAAAAATACAAAAACTAGCTGGGCAAGGTGGCGGGCACCTGTAATCCCAGTTACTCGGGAAGCTGAGGCAGAAAAATTGTTTGAACCTCGGAGGCGGACGTTGCAGTGAGACAAGATCGCTCCATCGCATTCCACCCTGGGTAACAGAGCTAGCTTCTGTCTCAAAAAGAAAGAAAGAAAGAAAGAAAATGGTAAGCACCAACCATAAAAGACAAAAGAAAAAAGAAAGAAAAAAAAAGAAAAATTTGATTTCAGCAAAATTAAACCTAACAACCCAGCTTTAATAAGATAAAAATACAAGGCTCAGACTAGAAGAAATATTTGTTATATATATATAAATGATAAAGGACTTATATTCAGAATATATGAAGAACTACTAAAACTCACTTAAATGACAAATACATAAGAAAGAAAAACTTGAACAGACCTTTCACAAAAGAAAATATATGAATGGCCATAAAGCACATAAAAATCTCAAAATTATTTATTGTCAGATAAATGAAAATTAAACCTTCAATAAGATACCACTTCACACCCTCTAAAATAGCTACATTTAAAATACTGGTAATACCATGTTGTCAAGATAGTGGAGCAACCTGAATGCTCAAATATTGATGATGGTGAGAGTGTAAAATGGTACAAGCATTTCAGAATACAGTTGAGCATTTTATTATATGCTACATTTATCATACGGTCAGTGAATTTCACTCTTAAGGATTTATCTAATTGCCCCAAAACACTTGTACTTGAAAGTTTATAATAGCTTTACTCATAGCAAAAAGTAGGAAACAATCCAAATGTCTATCAACAGGAGAATGGATAAACATATTACAGTATATTCATAAAATGGAATTCTAATCAGAAATTGACAAAAACATGACTAATAATGCATATAACAACCTGGATGAATCTCAAAAACATTATAATGAGTAAAAAAGCCAGATGTGCAAAGATACATACTGTACGATTCTATTTATGTGAAATTTAATAACAGATACAATAAATCTGTGGTGTTAGAAATTGGAATGGTGGTTGCACATAATGGGTGGAATTTGACTGAAATGAATGGACACAGGAGATCAAGGTGTTGGTTACATGGGCAGATAGGTTTGTCAAAACTCACTTAAAATCTGTGCATATCATTGTATGTAAATTTTACTTCAATTTTAAAAAGAGAACAATAGCAATAAAAACATTTAGGAGATGATTGCAAAAATCCAAGTAAGAGAGGACCATGGTAGCAATGGAAGTGGTGAAGTAGTTGGCTGTGAAACATGTTTTGGAGTGTACAGATAAGACTTATCTATGGATTGGATGTCAGGAAGGAGGAAAAGAAAAGATTCACAGATAAGAAAGTTGACAGGTGTCATCTTCCCTGAGAAGCTTTCTCAAAGCACGGCTCATCATCTCCTCCAACAATCGTTCTACATTTTCCTCTTTTCGCCTTTGTTAAAGGAGGGTATTTCCTGAGTTGGAAATTTAGTGCTGGTCTTCGACCGAGTATCTGTTCCTTGCCCTTCTCCAGCTCTGCTCTTTGTGACACCGGGAAGGAAAGAGTTGCTCCTCCCTCTAGACTGTGTGTCCCAGGCTACCTCATCACAAGGCTTCTGGTTAGGTCTGGCCAATGGAAAAAAATCATAGGAAGATTAAAACATATGAGGCAGAGAGAGAAGTCAGGATTATTTCTCTTCCTGTCTCTCTGTGGAAGCATTTCTCATTACGGTTACGCCTCCCTCAGGGCCTCAGTTTGCATGAAGTGACTTCCACTCCTGGGCTCCCATAACACAGCACCACCACTTTGGTCCTTCAGCCTTGTAGTGGCTTCCTGTTGTTGCTCATACTTGGGTTGCCTCAGGGTCTCCTGACAGGTTTTCAGGATTTCTATCACTTGTATGCCCAACTTCCTGCACTGGCTTCCCTCCATTTAAAAATCATAGTATGATTTCAGTTTCCCGGGTTCAATCCTAATAGTCAAGGGGAAAAAACAGAGTTAACTTAGGGAACTGCAAACCCTTAAGACTAGGTCTGGTTATGATCTTACTATTGTGGTTTGGTTCACGTTCACAATATATACTTGTAGGAAACATCAAATTAATAATAATAATAATAACAGCAACTTTGCCTTACAGAATGTTTTACGAGACCTTTTATTATCTAATTTTTCCCCTTAACATGTGCAGTAATTAGCTTAGTGCTTCTCTCAGAAGAAATAAATGTTAGATATTATTATCACTTATAAAGTTTCTTGGATTTACTAGTCCTCAATAAACTGTCCTCTGAAATCTTGAATCCTGAAGAAAATACATTCATAATGAACCTCAGGCTTAGGGATTCATACATAAACAATTATATTAAGAATATGATTTAATGAACCTCATGTAAGAAAGACAGAAATGTTTCCTAATGGACTAAAAATGTGTGGTTGTTTAAAAATATGTCTAAAAGTTTGGAATGATGAAGAGTTCTGGAAACGGAGAGTGGTGATGGCTGTATAATATTGTGAATGTACTTAATGCCACTGAATTGTGAATTTAAAAATGGCTTAAATAATAAATAATATTATATTTTTACCACAATAAAAAAGCAAAAACAAAAAACACTAAAGAAAGTAAATATGGGGTTTAGAGGTATCTGATGAAGTGCATTTTTAAAGGTTATAATTTTAAAATATGTGTATAAATGTGTGTTAGTCTAGTGTTCTTAATTTCAGAGCATAATACAAAGAAAATGTAAAGGAAAATGAGGCATAGTTTATTTCTTTTCCACTTCTACCATCTGTTCACATTAGTCACAAAGAAACACCCTTATAAAATTCATTAAACTACTGAGGTATAATTCAATGTGGTAATGTCTTCAACACAATGTACACAATCGCCAAATGACTATGGCAATGACATCATTGTAATGGTCATAATTACATGACAATTCAGATATTTGATCATTCAAAACATCAGTAAAATAACTATTCTTCTTTTTTGTCAGCCTCTAAATACCTCTATTCATTCTTTATTCAAGAATCTGTGGCTTTCAGAGAGGAGAAAGAAACCCAATCCAGCAATGGGAGAGACAAAGCTAGGGGGAGGGGAATAGGGTTTGGAGGGGCAGGCAGGAAAAACACCGCACCACGCACTTGGAGAGTGGAGGGAGGGAGGGAGATGAAGCCAGCCTAATTATCGGAGAGTGAAAGGTCATCAAAATCAATTTGCAGCATGATGTACAAAGGTCATTATCAGACTCAGATTTTCTCTGCCCGTTTAAAACACAATAAAAATGAAGTGAGTGCTTTAATAACTATGATTAGTAAAGAAAAAAGCATATCATTGAGCCATCTGTTTAAATATTTGTGCTACCTTAGTTTTACTCAAAACAGCATGAAAGATGAGCAGGAAGGCATTTTTTTTTTCTATTTGTTTGCTTTTAAAATCCTGACATTTTCTCCGCTGGTTGCCGAGATTTATAACACAGATGAAAGAGCTCCTCTAAAATTACTGCCCTTTGAAATCAATAGCACGGTATTTGTAATGACTTTCTTTTTATTATAGAGCACTTCATTATTATTTTTATTATAATTTTATGGGACAGTCTGGAACAGAATTCATCATTCACTTATTTGAAGTATCTCACTTACTCAATGGCACAGATGGCCTGATCTGAGGAGGAGATTTAATCACCCCGTGTTAGGCCTGCCTGGATGCTAAATAAATGCAAACCATGAGAGAGACAGGAAGCAACGTGCAATGATAACATTATCTTAGTCTCCATTAAAAACTCTGTGGAAACTAATTCATTGGGGAACTTTGGAAGTTCGAATTATAAAGCTGGATTTTTTTATTTTGTTCTTATTTTTCCTGTAAAAATTAATATAATACTATGACATTATAGCGCAGGACTTCTGAAGTTTTTCAATTGTGTCTATCAGTAAAAAGTACATTTTACATTAGGACTCAGTACATGTGCACACATGCATACACATGTACACACACACATACACGCACATACACTGAAACAAACATTTTAAGAAGCAGTATTTGCTATTATTATATATGATGCACGATGTTATTTTCCAATCTAATTTATTTTTTTTAATGCTAGTCGTGATCCACTAAACTGTTTTAACAAATGGATCTGGACTCTCCATTTGAGAAATAGATTCAGGAGGTCCTGTGTTTTAAATGAAATATGTCTGTGAGTGCTTAGTGTAATATCTGGCACATAGTAAACATTCCACATTTACAGCAGTTTTTATGAGAAATGTCTTGAACAGATTTTGCAACTTACCACAGTTTAAAACAACTAGGAAATGCTCTATCTATAAAGGTAACATCTCTGATTTTTTTTTCTATTCATATTGCTCTAGCCTTGATTCAACCACCTGTTTCTAAAAAAACTGACCAATTATTGATTTTACGTTGTGGACCTATATTGGTAGACAAGAAAAACACAAACATGAGGAAAAAATATCAGTGAAAGAATGAGGTTTCCTTTCTATCCTCAGCCTTTCGCTTCACTTACTATTTAGCTTTTGTCTATATTATACAACATAGGCAAAAAGGTAATAGTATGAATTCTGTAAAATCCCATCATTTTAAAGAGTCAATAAACTGTGACCACAAAGAAGAAAGAAAAGAAAGGGGCAAAATGAGGACTTCTCTAACTTCTATGTATCATGTCATGCATGTACTTTCCATAAGCCTAGAAGGAGACTTTTGAAATTCTTTAGCTAACTGAAGTATTTTCACACTTATTCAATCAATAAATATATATTTATTGTAAACCTGTATTTCTACCTTACGAGAGTGTAAGTTTTATTTTTTTGTGGCTTAGTGAAATTACCCTTTCTTAAATATTAAATTTTATGCCTCTCCTGTGATGAACTAGCCACAAATCAAGAAATATATAAACATGTTAAGAAATTTTCTGAAACTTGTTCTTTTAGTTAAGAGTGAGAATCTGAAAATCACACCAGCATGCAATTTGAAGCTAGACTGAGACAACATTAATCTGTATTAGCCACAGATTGAGGGAGGGACCTGGGAACCATGCAAAATGCACTTGTAGAGAAATAATTACCAAACATCAAGAAGTGATGAAAGTCAAATAGGAAAGGCAAGAAAAGATAGCTTTCTATATACACTGGTGTTGTTTCCATCCAGAGGATGAAAAGATGAGAATTTTTCATTGTGCCCCTTAATATTCAGTATTCAATGAAAGCTGAACATTAGTTGTTTAGCTTTGCTATAGCCATAGACCTGTGAGATGTGTACTTTGCACTAACCTTTGTAATGGCAAGAAAGCAATAACTAAAATTATGAATGGGCCTGAAAAGATAATGGGGCCCGGCAGAAGCATGCTGTGTGTAATGCAGGAGTTTGAGTTCATATTCAGGAATGTGGCATCAGTGGGAACACACAAATTCAGATATGAAGGGAAAATGTCAAACATTTTTCTCATTTGCTTTCATTGTTTAGCCCTATTTTTGCCAAAAGTGGCCATTCTGAAACTCCAATGTTCCATTTTCAAAAATTCACATGAATAGGATTTTCAACATAAACTGGGTTTTATAATACACTACTTGATGAGTGTTGAGGTTGACTGAATTAACGGCTGTTCACGTAGACAGTTTGAATACTGAAGCCCAAGTACAAAGATGAAATAGTCAGAAGCGGAGGCACCCAGAAAAGCACCTCTTCTCCTTCCCCACTCAGTTTATCTAAAGATAGGAATTCTCATTTTAACTGTCCTGTAAATCAGGGTTCCAAGTTAGAAACAGTGAGTGTATGGATGAAAGTGAGCTCTTCTTAGGCTGATTCTAGCCATTCTGCTGTGCTAGCCAACCACCGTGGCTAGTCATTTGGTCACAAAATGCAGGGGTCACATTCAGCAGAAAAGTTTGGGCTAAGAACAGATATGCATTGTGGTATTATTGGTCTGATGCTAGGCACCTTGATATGGTTTTCCTCTGTGTCCCCACCTAAATCTCATCTCAAATTGTAATCCCCACATATTGAGGGAGGGACCTGGTGGGAGGTGATTGGATCATGGAGGTTGTTTCCCCCATGCTGCTCTCGTGACAGTGAGGGAGTTCTCATAAGATCTGGTTGTTTGATAAGTGTGTGGCAGTTTCCCCTGTGCTCTCTCTTTCTCTCCTGCTGCCATGTAAGATGTGCCTTGCTTCCCCTTTGCCTTCTGCCGTGATTGTAAGTTTCCTGAGGCCTCCCCAGCCATGTGGAACTGTGAGTCAATTAAACCCCTTTTCTTCATAAATTATCCAGTCTCAGGTAGTTCTTTATAGCAGTGTGAAAATGGACTAATACAGATAATTGGTACCAGAATAGTGGCATACTCCTATAAAAATAACCTGAAAATGTGGAAACAACTTTGGAACTGGGTAACAGGCAGAGGTTGGAACAGTTTGGAGTGCTCAGAAACAGACAGAAAGATGTGGGAAAGTTTGGAACTCCTAGATACTTGTTGAAAGGTTTTGACCAAAATGCTGATAGTGATATGGACAATGAAGTCCAGGCTGAGGTGGTCTCAGATGGAGATAAGGAACTTGTTGGGAACTGGAATAAAAGTGACTCTTGCTATACTTTAGCAAAGAGACTGGTGGCATTTTGCCCCCTGCCCTAGAGATGTGTGGAACTTTGAACTTGAGAGAGATGATTTAGAGTACCTGGCAGAAGAAATTTCTAAGCAGCAAAGCATTCAAGAGGTGACCTGATTTTTCCTGAAAGCATACAGTTATATACACTCACAAAGAGATGGTTTGAAATTGAAACTTATGATTAAAGGGGAAGCAGAGTGTAAAAGGTTGGAAAATTTGCAGCCTAACCATGTGGTAGAAAAGAAAAGCCCATTTTGGGGGGAAAAATTTAAGCCAGCTGCAGAAATTTGCATAAGTTAAAAGGAGCCAAATGTTAATAGCCAAGACAATGGGGAAAAATGTCTCCAGGGCATGTCAAAGACCTTCATGGCAGCCCCTCCCATCACAGGCCTGGAGGTCTAAGAGAGGAAAATGGTTTCATGATCCGGGCCCAGGATCCCACTGCTCTGTGCAGCCTTGGGATGTGGTGCTCTATGTCCCAGCTGCTCCAGCTCCTGCCTGGCTAAAATGTGCCAACGTACAGCTCAGGCCATTGCTTCAGAGAGTGCAAGCCCCAAACCTTGGCAGCTTCCACATGGTGTTTGGCCTGCGGGTGCACAGAAGACAAGAGTTGAGCTTTGGGAGCTTCTGCCGAGATTTCAGAGGAGGTATGGATTGGATGTCCAGGCAGAAGTCTGCAGCAGGGGCAGAGTCCTCATAGAGAACCTCTGCTAGGGCAGTGCAGAAGGAAAATGTGGGATTGGAGCCCCCACACAGAGTCCCCACTGGGGCACTGCCTAGTGGAAGAGGGCCACCATCCCCCAGACTCCAGAATAGTAGATCCATTAACAGCTTGCACCATGTACCTGGAAAAACAGCAAGCACTAAACACCAGTCCCTGAAAGCAGCCAAAGGGGTTGTACCCTGTAGAGCCACAGGGATAGAGCTGCCCAAGGCCTTGGAAGCCCATCCCTTGCATCAGCATGCCCTGGATGTGAGACATATAGTCAAAAGAGATTTTGGAGTTTTAAGAACCCTGGCTGGGTTTCACACTTGCATGGGGCCTGCAGGCCCTTTGTTTTGGCCAATTGCTCCCTTTTCAATAGGAACATTTATCATGTGAATGTACCCCCATTTTATCTTGGAAGTAACTAACTCGTTTCTGATTTAGAGTCTCATAGGCAAATCCTGTACCCCCATTTTATCTTGGAAGTAACTAATTTGTTTCTGATTTTAGAGGCTCATAGGCAAAAGGGACTTGCTTTGTCTCAGATAAGACTTTGGACTAGGACATTTGAGTTAATGTTGGAATGAGTTAAGACCTTGGGGGACTGTTGGGAAGGAATGAGATTGGTTTTGAAATATGAAAAGGACATGAGATTTGGGAGGGGCCGGGGCAGAATGATGTGGTTTGGCTCTGCATCCCCACTCAAATCTCATCTCTAACTGTAACCCCCACATATCAAGGCAGGGAACTGGTGATTGGATCATGGTGGCAGTTTCCCCCATGCTGCTGTCATGATAGTGAGGGAGTTCTCAGAAGATCTTGTTGAGTTTCCCCTGCACATTCTCTCTTTCTACCAATGCCATGTAAGATGTACCTTTCTTCCCTTTCCCCTTCTGCCATGATTGTAACCCCTTCACCTTCTGCCATGATTGTAAGTTTCCTGAGGCCTTCCCAGCCATGTGAAACTTTGAGTGAATTAAATCTTTTTTAAAAAAATAAATTTCCCAGTCTCAGGTAGTATCTTTATAGCAGTGTGAAAATGGACTAATACGTACCTGTACTCTGGAAAAAAACAGTCTAGGTTTGAATCTTGGCAGTGTTCATTATAGTTGTATACAATGACCAAATCTTGACTTCATCATCAGAAAAATGGGAATATAATATCTCTCAAGGTTGTTGGGAGAATTAAATGAGATATTCCAGATAAATCCTTGAATCACAAACAGGACATAGTAAGCCTATAATAAATATGTTGTATCTTTTTGATCACAACCAAAATTTTTAATTATTAGTGTCTTTTTATTATACTTTCTAGGCTTCTTGATGTAAGAGAGAGGAGGATAATTTCAGATTGTCTAGCTTTCATTTGTGTCTTCTGCGGATGGGGAGAGACCCAGACATACCAGATCATAGATTCTCTGACTTTCCAACTCTTAAAAAATGTAATCTTAGTTTCTTAAACAATCCTCCAGTTACACATTCAGAGAATCTTGGAATATATTACACATATTCCTGGAATGTGTTATACAAGATATCCAGAATGGAATTTTGAATAATATGACTCAGACTAGGAAATGTGAGGACAAAAATTCATGAGCTGTTTAGTGATTCACTAACACTACTAGTTTGTTCTTATAGTTATGATTCCATGTCATTGGTAGGCATGAATAACTGGACACAAATAATACCAATAGTGAGATGTTTTAAGTATCTACTACTGTATCACAAGCCATCCCAAAATGTAGTTACTTAAAACAATGACTATATTATCTCTCATGACACTGCAAGTTGGCTAGGCTCAGTCAGTTCTTCTGCTCCATGTGATACTCCCTGGGGCTGCAGTCACTGGGGGGGGTTCAACCTGGACATCCAGAACATCCAAAATGGCTTACAGTTGGTTCTGACTGTCCACTAGGAGCTTAATTAGGGCTGCCAACTGGAGCACCTCTGTTCTCCTCTACGTGGTCTTTCCATATGATCTGGGATCCTCACAGCATGGTGACTGCGTTCCAAAAGGCCAAAAGTAGAAACTTCCATTCCTCTTAAAGCCTGGACTTCAAGGTCTCAGAACATCATTTCTTCTTCTGAAATTGCTATTCTCGTGGTCATATTCAGTTATAAGTCAGAATTCAAAGAGAAGGAAAGTGAGCTCTACCTTTTGATCTGAGAAACGGTATGTACAGACAGGGAGGAGAATAAACTTACAAGATAGATATTATGTAAGCTTCATCTGGTACTTTTTAATTTTTTACCCCATTAGATCAGAGGTTGGCAAACTATGGCCTGTGAGCCAAATCCAGCTGAATGCCTGTTTTATAAATAAAATTTTATTGGAATACACATTTGTTTGTTTACATATTGACTGTAGCAGCTTTCAGGCTACAATGGCAGAGTAGAGTGGTTGTGACAGACTTTGTGGCCAGCAAAACCTAAAATATGTATTATCTGGCTATTTTCAGAAGTTTGCCAACCCCTGAGTTAGACTATTAGCTAGTTCTTGCAAGCAGGTAATACACACATACACACACACATACACAAAGAGACAGAGAGAGAGAGAGAGAGAGTGAGTCACTGACTTAACAATGGTTTGACTTACAATGTTTCAACTTTACAATGGTAAGCAGGTGATATATGCTCAGTAGAAACCATACTTCAAGTACCCATACAACTATTGTGTTTTTCACTTTCAGTATAATATTCAATAAATTAAATGAGTTATTCAAACTCTATTATAAAGTAGGTTTCTGTTAGATGATTCTGTTCAACTATAGTCTAATGTAGCTGCTCTGAGCCTACTGAAGTTAGGCTAGGTTAAGCTATAATGTTTAGTAGTTTGGTTGTATTAAATAAATGCATTTCAAGTTGATATTGTCAGCTTACAATGGCTTTACCAGGATTTAACTTCATTGTAAGTCAAGGAGCATCTGTGTCTGAGGGCGTGTGTGTGTGTGTGTCTGTGTGTGTGTGTGCATTTTTTCTTAAATCTGCGAACAGTACACCTGCCCACCAGAATTGTTCAGCAAATTAATACTCTAATGTATTTTTTGATATAGGCAGCTATTTTTGACTACTTGGTAGTAATTATTCAAATAATATATTTGTGTAATTTTTATTAAAATCATAAGACTATTCTTGTACTGTAGTTCATCATATTTACTTGTGCTTCAACCTGCTGAAGTTTTGCTAAGTGAATTTCCGTGCAAAGCAAGTAATCAAAATTCACATTTCAAATGAATCTTCATGGAAGTGTAAGTCATGGTAAAAATGGGGGAAATGTTATATATACAATGTATCAGCTTGTATCTTTAATATAGTTACAATGACTTTAAGAGGATATAGCATCACATTTTTGAAATTCTTTTGTAAAAGCTGTTTTTATTCCAAATAGCCTTTCTCTTTCTAAATTGAGCAAACTGTCATCAGAATCTTGCAGTGGTTTAAATTTCTGATATATTTCCCTGGAGAGCAACATAATCTTGACTTATGGAGATGTGTATTTATGAGTGTTTACTATATACTCACGAGTATTAATTAGGTTGTTTTTAATAGTCTCAAACATAACTAAAATATTTGCAAGACTCTTTATTATATGTGGTGGGAGAATATAAAGATACGTACTCCACGAATCTCAAATGTATTACCTAGGTTAGGACTTCCCATACTCCCCTAATCATAAGAATTCTGGCCGGGCGCAGTGGCTCATACCTGTATTCCCAGCACTTTGAGAGGCCGAGACGGGTGGATCACCTGAGGTCAAGAGTTCAAGACCAGCCTGGCCAACATGGTGAAACCCTATCTCTAGTAAAAATGCAAAAATTGGCCAGACGTGGTGGCATGTGCCTGTAGTCCCAGCTACTTGGGAGGCTGAGGCAGGGGAATTGCTTGAACCCAGAAGGTGGAGGTTGCAGTGAGCTGAGATTGCACCATGGCACTCCAGCCTGGGTGACAGAGTAAGACTCCATCTCCAAAAAAAAAAAAAAAAAAAAAAAAAAGAATTCCCAGAGGTGATCATTAAACATGGAGATCATCAATTTACACATAAGATTATTATTCAGAAGGTCCAGGTTGAGGCTTGAGAATTTGTTTGTTTAGCAAATACCTCATATGAGTCTTCCATCAATGAAGCTGGAGAAAGATGGATATGGGTGATTCCTGAATATTTATTATTATTGGGAAGCTTGTTGATATGAAGCGTTTAGAAAGCTGTTATACATAAAATGGGTGCTATTCACAGTAGTTACCAGTCACTAAGTCAACTCTTGGTAGTAGGATATAATTTAGTCAGAATAAATAACTTGAGCAGTTATAAATATACTACTTAATACAAGCATGGTCTGAAAGAATTACAACCCCTTCAAGGATGTTTAATATTTTACCAAAAGATTACTTCGACACCAGAGAAAATTGTAGACTTATTTAGGGAGTTGGAGAAAAACATTTTGATAAATATTATTTATATTTAGGTTTCGTGGTCAAACTTTCTGATCTTAATTTAACTACAACATAAAAATTATTCATCAATATTTTAAATGCAATTCTAATAATAAAGTGTGTATCATTTCATCAATTGGGTATTTAGGTTTGAATTGTCAATAACATTCATGTGGTGCACATCATTTTTGAGACATTCACCCTATTGTCCTTTTATATTATTTATTCTCTACCTACCTTCACACAATTTCTTTTCTAGGGTTTAGTCATTAATTTGCTCTCTATACATGTCTGTTAGCTAGATATGAAAACTTGAAAACTTTTTTTAATTGTTGTGCTCTTGAAATCTAACTACTCATTTCTATACACAAATAATTTTCAAGCTGAGAACCAAATCAGGAACTCAATTACATTTACAATAGCCAAGATAAAAATAAAATGTCTAGGAATAAATTCAACCAAAGAGGTAAGTTATCTCTACAAGGAGAGCTACAAAACACTGATGAAAGAAATTATAGATGACACAAACAGATGGAAGAACATCACATTCTCACAAATCAGAAGAATCAATATTTCTTAAATGATCATACTGCCCAAAGAAATCTATAGATTCAATGAAATTCCTATCAAACTACCAATATTATTCTTCACAGAATTAGAAAAAAATTCCTAAAGTTCATATGAAACCAAAAAACAAAACAAAACAAAACAAAAGCCCAGTAGCCAAAGCAATCCTAAACAAAAAGAATGAAGCCAGAGGCATCACAGTACCCAACTTCAAATTATAGTACAAGGCTATAATAACTAAAACAGCATGGTACTGGTACAAAAATAGACACATAGGTGAATGGAACAGAATAGAGAACCTAGAAATAAAACCATATACTTCCAACGAACTGATCTTTGACAAAGCCAACAAAAATAAACAGTGGGGAAAAATGGCTAGCCACATGCAGAAGAATGAAACTGGACCTCTATTTCTCACGATATACAAAAATTAACTCAAGATGGATTAAAGACTTAAATTTTAAAACCTGAGACTATAAAAGTCCTAAGAAAAACTCTTCTGGCCTAGGCAAAGTATTTATGACTAAGACCCCCAAAGAAAATTCAACAAAAAACAATAACAGACAAATGGGACATAATTAAATTTTCAAAAGTTCTGCACAGCTAAAGAAGTAACAGGATAAATGGACAATCTAGAGAATGGGAGAAAATATTTGCAAATTATGCTTCAACAAAGGGTTAATAGCCAGAATCTACAACAAACTCAAACATTTCAACAAGAAAAAAAAAAAACCCTATTAAAAAGTGGGCAAAGAACATGAACAGAATTTCTGAGAGGAAGACTGAGAAAGACCTTTCCCAGAGGAAGACATACAAGTAGCCAAGAAACATTTAAAAGGCTCAACATCACTAATCATCAGAGAAATGGGATATCAACTTATACCAGTCAGAATGACTATTATCAAAAAGTCAAAAAACAACAGACGTTAGTGTGGATACTGAGAAAAGGGTATGCTTATACACCGTTGGTAGGAATGTTAATTAGTAACACCTCTACAGAAAACAGTAAAGAGATTTCTCAAAGAAGTAAAAATAAAACTACCATTATACCCAGCAATCCCATTGCTGGCTATCTACTAAAAGGAACAGAAATCTTCCAGGCACGGTGGCTCATGCCTATATTCCCAGCACTTTCAGAGGCCAAGGCAGGCGGACCACGAGGTCAGAAGATCAAGACCAGCCTGGCTAACATGGTGAAACCCTGTCTCTACTAAAAAAATACAAAAAATTAGCTAGGCGTGGTGGCAGACGCCTGTAGTTCCAGCTACTTGGAGGCTGAGGCAGGAGAATGGCATGAACCCAGGAGGCAGAGCTGGCAGTAAGCCAAGATCGCGCCACTGCACTCCAGCTTGGGTGACAGAGCGAGACTCCATCTAAAAAAAAAAAAGAACAGAGCTCATTATATTAAAAATATGCCTGAGCTAGTATTGCAGCACTATTCACAATAACAACAAAAAAAGGAACAGAAATCATTATATTAAAAATACACCCACTAGTCACAATAGCAAAGACACAGAATCAACCCAAGTGTCCATCGACAGTTGATTAAACTAAATGTGGTATGTATACACCACGGGATACTATGCAGCCATGAAAAAGAACAAAATCATGTCCTTTGCAGCAACATGAATGGAGCTGGAGGCTATCATCCTAAGTGAGTTAACTCAGAAACAGACAATCAAATACTACATCTTCTCATTTATAAAGTGTGAGCTACATGGATAGGAAGAATCAATATCATGAAAATGGCCATACTGCCCAAGGTAATTTATAGATTCAATGCCATCCCCATCAAGCTACCAAAGACTTTCTTCACAGAATTAGAAAAAAGTACTTTAAAGTTCACTTGTAACCAAAAAAGAGCCTGCATTGCCAAGACAATCCTAAGCCAAAAGAGCAAAGCTGGAGGCATCATGCTACCTGACTTCAAACTATACTACAAGGCTGCAGTAACCAAAACAGCATGGTAATGGTACCAGTACCAAAGCAGACATATAGACCAATGGAACAGAACAGAGCCCTCAGAAATAATACCACACATCTACAACCATCTGATCTTTGACAAAGCTGACAAAAACAAGAAATGGGGAAAGGATTCCCTATTTAATAAATGGTGCTGGGAAAACTGGCTAGCCCTAAGTAGAAAGCTGAAACTGGATCCCTTCCTTACACCTTACACAAAAATTAATTCAAGATGGATTAAAGACTTACATGTTAGACCTAAAACCATTAAAACCCTAGAAGAAAACCTAGGCAATGCCATTCAGGATATAGGCATGGGCAAGGACTTCATGTCTGAAACACCAAAAACAATGGCAACAAAAGCCAAAATTGACAAACGGGATCTAATTAAACTAAAGAGCTTTTGCACAGCAAAAGAAACTACCATCAGAGTGAACAGGCAACCTAAGAATGGGAGAAAATTTTTGCAACCTACTCATCTGACAAAGGGCTAATATCCAGAATCTACAAAGAACTCAAACAAATTTACAAGAAAAAAACAAACAACCCCATTAAAAATTGGGCGAAGGATATGAACAGACACTTCTCAAAAGAAGACATTTATGCAGCCAAAAGACACACGAAAAAATGCTCATCATCACTGGCCATCAGAGAAATACAAGTCAAAACCACAATGAGATACCATCTCACACCAGTTACAATGGCGATCCCTAAAAAGTCAGGAAACAACAGGTGCTGGAGAGGATGTGGAGAAATAGGAACACTTTTACACTGTTGGTGGGACTGTAAACTAGTTCAAGCATTGTGGAAGAGAGTGTGACGATTCCTCAAGGATCTAGAACTAGAAATACCATTTGATCCAGTCATTCTATTACTGGATATATACCCAAAGGATTATAAATCATACTGCTATAAAGACACGTGCACACATATGTTTATTGCGGCACTATTCACAATAGCAAAGACTTGGAACCAACCCAAATGTCCATCAATGATAGACTGGATTAAGAAAATGTGGCACATATACGCCATGGAATACTATGCAGCCATAAAAAAATGATGATGTCATGTCCTTTGTAGGGACATGGATGAAGCTGGAAACCATCATTCTCAGCAACCTATCACAAGGACAAAAAACCAAACACCGCATGTTCTCACTCATAGGTGGGAACTGAACAATGAGAACACTTGGACACAGGAAGGGGAACATCACACACCGGGGCCTGTTGTGGGGTTGGGGGAGGGGGGAGGGATAGCATTAGGAGATAAACCTAATGTAAATGACGAGTTAATGCGTGCAGTACACCAACATGGCACATGTATACATATGTAACAAACCTGCACGTTGTGCACATGTACCCTAGAACATAAAGTATAATAAAAAAAAGTGGGAGCTCAACAATGGAAATATATGGACATAAATATGGAAACAATAGAGACTGGGGATTCCAAAAAGGGGCAGATTGAGAGGGAGGTGAGGGTTGAAAAATTACCTATTGGGTACAAAAGTCGCCGTTTGGGTTATGTGCACACTAGAAGCCCAAACTCCACCATTACACAATATGTTCATGTAACAAACCTGCACATGTACCCAGAGTCTAAAATAAAATTAAATTTACAAAATAAAAATTAGTTACTGTATGAAGAAGCTGAGCTAACCTACAAGGAGAAAATCAAGGTACCCTGTTTAACAGTCCAGCCACTAGCTAGATATGAGCAAGACCATCCAGGACAGCCCCCTCCCATCTACCTGGCAACTGACCATAACTGCATATGTAAACTCAGCCAATTATACGTATGTGTGTATATTATACATACATGTGTGTGTGTATATATATATATAGGCCTTCTCAATGGTCAATCAATTATGACAAAAATAAATGAATATTATATTTTTCCACTAAGTCTTTGGGTATTTCTTTATATCACGATAGACTCCTTACACAGAAATTGTAATCAGAAGTGGAGTGTGCTAAAATAAATACCTGAAGCATTAACAATGGAGCTCCGTGGGTAAAGTCCAGGCAAGGTAAACAGACTATACAGCTCATCCCGTTGAGAGATAGAGCCTCCTTTCCCACCAATTGGACCTGGGCTGTCTTTGTGATTTACATTCATCAATAGTATGTGGCAGAAGTGATATTGTGCAATTTTTGCTCAGGTCTTAGAATGTCTTAATAGTTTCTGCTCTCATCTCCTTAAAATCTAGTGGCCACGTGAGGAAGCCCATGGTAGCCTGCTAGAGAAGCCATGTAGAAAAGAGTAGACTCACTCTGGAAAACAGCTCTAATAACTGCCAAACATACAAATGAGGCCATCTGGGACCAGTCAGTTACCAGCTAATGTAACTGGTAGGACTGCAAATGTATGTATAAGCCTAGCCAACCCCTCTTCGACCAGAGACAAGTCATCCCAGGTAGGCTCTGTGCAAATTATTATTTAGACAACAGTATTTTTCTACATAGCATTAGATAAATAATACAAGGACCAAGACTCAGATTTTGTTCATTGTTGCTCTTTCATAGATATACAACCGACAGCAATGAGCAGTAGAAAGGATTTATACCAGATGTGAATACAAATGAGTAGACTCAGCTGCCCATTACTTTCTTCATTACTTACAGAAAAACACACTCAAAAGTTCTTTGGTCAATGGAGCCCAGAAGGAGTAAATAAATCACCAGTCTTAGGAGTCTTGAGCTGTGGGTTTACTACTCTAGAGGAGGACGTAATACCATAAAAAGAAGTTCTTGATGTACCTGCTTACATATTTCTGTGTTCTATTTCCTTCATCATCATTGGGTCTAAGCGAGTCTGGTCATGTCTTATCAACTATCCATAAACAGTGCTTATTGTTCAGATTAAATTTTCTTTTCCTTTTTTTCTAATTATTTTTTTTGAGAAGGAGTGTCACTCCCGTCATGTAGGCTGGAGGGCAGTGGTGTGATCTCGGTTCACTGCAACCTCCACCTCCCAGGTTCAAGTGATTCTCCTTCCTCAGCCTCCCAAGTAGCTGGGATTACAGGCATGCACCACCACACCTGGCTAATTTTTGTATTTTTAGTAGAGACAGGATTTTGCCATATTGGCCAGGCTGGTCTCTAACTCCTGACCTCAGGTGATCCACCCATCTTGGCCTCCCAAAGTGCTAGGATTACAGGCATGAGCCACTGTGCCTGGCCCAAAATAAATTTTCAAAGTGCCCTCTAGGGAAAATAAATCAATAAAAGATATTTTTACACCTATGAAAATCCACCAACTGGAATACAGGTTCCCATTTGAAGAAAGATAATTGTGGTCAATAAATATTGATAACAAAATATTAATGGCAAAATTTGATGAAAAACTGTGCTTGTTTATAAAAATAGCTCCTTCATAAAAGTTCTAATGAATTGTTTCTACTTTTTAGGTCTAAAATTTCCCCTTTCAAAAACATTCCTAAGAGAAGGCATTGTGAAACCACTGACTTAAAAAGAGAGTGAGAAACTGTTCAAGATACGGAAAAGTAGGCCTGGAAGGATTAAAATCCCTACCTAAGATTGCACAGTTGTCAGTTAAAAAAAAGTCAAAACCCAGCTCTTGATTTTCGGGCCAGTCCCATAACCATTGCTTTATTTGGTCTCCAATGATTATGAGCAAGTGTATACGCACTGGAGACAGGCAGTCACATGACATAGATAATTGTGTGTGTATAGCATCTTTGCTCCTTCATGCTCTTTCCACCTCTGCCCACATCACCACTCTTGGCACATTTTTCATCTTGTCAGCAGTTTAATATTTCTCCAGCTTACTGTTTTAAGATTTGATTCTGCCTGAGGCAAATCAAGTTGGGAGTTAGCAGTTCTCTGACCACAATTAGACATTGAGTCAATATTGTTGTAAAAATACATGGTTCTCCGTTTTGAATAGAGACCGAGCATGTCAGTGTCCTCCCTGCAGAGGGGTGTGTACAGGAGGACCTTCCTGTACATCTGGCTTTTCAAAGGAGGCCACCATGTTGGTTCCCAAATATGTTGCTAGTCCTTCTCAGCTTCTAATACCTACTTGTTGGTGAACAAGTCACCCACCCTTTGAGAACATAACCTGTTTTACGTGAGAAAATAGGAAGGCTATATCATACCCATGACTTCCCTCTGTTGGCACATGGATTTTTATTGTCACAAGTTGCTTCAGAAAAATTTAAAATAATTAATAATACCGGTATACCTCTTATTTCCTCCAGTCCTTTCCTTCTTGCCTTGGCAAAATGGCTTAAAAAGAGATAAAGAACATGCCTCACCAGAAAACAGGGTTTTTTGTACAATAATTTGTGCTGTATGTCACATTATAGTGGTGAGTGTAAATTTATCTTTGAGCCATGTTTTATTAACTTTTTCCCCCAAAGAGTTACATCAAAAGGCTCTATAAATAAATGATGTGCTCAGCCTGCTAGTTCCTACATGCATACCAATTACTTCTATTGGTTTCAAAACACGTAGTCAGTACTTTAAACAACCATGATAATATCACAAACTAAAATATTCAACATCTCCATCTCAGTATGCTGTCACCATGCAGACAACGATTAGAATTGGTAATCAGTTTCACTGCTGGTAAGTTGAGTGGCATGATGCATTTTATATCCATGCTTATGTCAAACTCAATTAACATTCTAATACAGTGTATTTCAAAGACACTGACCTAATCTCAGAGAACAATGCATTTATTTATTCCATGTTAAAAGCTCTTACATTTTATGCAGGATCCTTGAAGCAAAGATATTTATTGTCACAATAATATTTTAAGTTGGAGCTTGTGAAGAAATGCAAAGAAATACACGTAGTTTAAAATTCCTGCTGTTAAGTGATGCATGTCATTACTGTGGAAGAATAAAAGAATCTCTCAAGCTATAATTCTTCAGAATTTGAAAATTATATGAAGATACTGTCACCTAACAAATAGTACATTTCAAATAAGCCTGAGGTATGGAATTTTTTTGTATACTCCAAAAAGAACACTCGAAATTAAATTGTATCACAGTGAAATTTTAGGCTATGCATGTATGTATGTATTTACCTATTTATTTATTTACATGTCAAAGACTCATCAGTTATTAATATATAAGCTAATTAATGGAATAAGATTTATATATGAAATGAAAAAACCCACAGTGTTCTATGTAGGCATACATATGTATGTATGTGCATTATAGCTTGCTTTCTCTATTAACAGCATATTAGCAGTACATCATAAGCTACTCAACAATGTCAGAATAGTTACTTATTCAGAATACTTATGGGTAAATATTCAGGAAGTTTAAAAATCAGTACCAGGTGTGGTGGCTCATGCCTGTAATCCCAGCACTTTGGGAGGCCAAGGTGGGTGGATTGCTTGTGCTCAGGAGTTCAAGACCAGCCTGGGCAACATGGCAAAACCCCGTTTCTACAAAAAATACAAAATTAGCTCAGTGTGGTGGCGTGCACCTGTAATCCCAGCTACTTGGGAGGCTAAAGTAGGAGAATCACTTGAGCCCGGGAGGTTAAGGCTGTGAGCCATGATCACGGCCCTGCACTCCAGCCTGAGCCACAGAGTGAGACCCTGTGTCAAAAAAAAAAAAAAAAAAAAAAAAAAACAGGAGTTTTTCAGAGAAAACTACCAAATGTAACTATATTGATCTAAAGTTTATATCCAGTATCGACTGTTAAATGCTGGTGAAAGGTGTTGCCAACAGGATGGCAGAATATCCAGATTAAAGAAAAATGAATGATGCTGCCAATTATCCATCTGCTTTGTCTCCACAGGGTGAATAGCCATATACTCAAACCATGGGGCTGGTTAGCACAGTATAGACAAAACATCCCAATATTTAAAATTTTTTCAGAGTTAACATTTGTATGGTTGAACATTTTTCACAGATATGGCTCTGGCACAAAATTACCACCGCATTTCTTTGTAAAATTTTTTCATGTATAGTTCACTTGATATTATATTTTTAAAATCGCATCTACTGAAACCCTGTATGTGTAGAAACACATATCAGAGAAAAGCTGGAGGGATGAAAATCAAAATCTTCTGTCTCTCTGAATAAATTTGATTAAACATTTATAGAAAGGAAATGGTAAAACAATACTGAATGTAGGGTTAAAATTTTTTTTCAAACTTGTTTCCCTGGTTGTGTTGGTATTTCGAACCTGGCAATTACAGCCAGAATTCTGTTTCAGGGAAATAAATGGCAATTACAGCCAGAATTCTGTTTCAGGGAAATAAATGTGATCATGTCTTTGGGGTGTACATAGAAAGAATATTTTAGAGAAGGTTGAGGTCAGAGTTCCTTGGCTTTTCTCTATTCTTCTTAAGTTCTTGAAGACCTATGGACATTTACTTTATCATGTTTGGAACGTGAAGTAGCCAATTTCACCAAGTAGGAGACTATAATATAATTAGTAATATTATAATACGACAACCCAGAGGGAAAAAGAAACTCTCTAGCATGATCGCCCCATAATTTTTTTTTCCTCCGAAGTATGGCTACATTAAAGTAAGTTATTTTTGTAAAGATTCATTGCCAGAAGAGAGAGATCTTGATCTGCTTTCTTTATGTGCCCTAAAAAATGCTAATTCTCTGTAAAAAAGATGTATTTAAAATTTAATATGAGGATACAAAAAAAATCTTTGTAATCTGCTACTCTCTGCCAAGAGAAAAAAAAATCTCTTTTTATTTCTTGTTCAGTAGTGACATTTCTGATGAAAGCATTTGTTTCAGGCAATTTATTTTTGCAGCAAGTTTGATTTTTATGTAGCATCGCATGGCTCACTTCAATTGAATCCTTTTTTTTTTTTTTTTTTTTGTCGTTGTGAACAGGTACATCTCCAGAACAAAACTAAGGTCCTACTTGAAACTGAATGCAGGTGTCTTCAACTGTGTGTTTAAAACAAAGAAGATCCAGGACACACTGCTCAAACTGTTAGCATGAATCTAACATAAATCCAAAGCTGTTCTCCTGGCAGAAAAGTAGCACAGCCCTGTGCTGAACCCACTCAAGCAGATTTTATTGATGCAACTGCCTGGGGTACACTGGGCCACTATGTCCATAAAAATAATAATTAAGCTGTGGGATGTATTACACAGCTTAGTACCTGAACTAAGCTCAGAGCATTGATTAATATTTCTATTTATATGTCTTGTTTTTTGTCATTGAGTAAGGTACCTCTAATCTATTTAGCATCTTTCACTTCCATTTTACTTTTATCACCACCTCCAATAAAAGAGAATCAAGAAAGCAATGGAGTTTCCTTTCAATAAAACAATAAGAAGGCCTATCTCCTGAATGTGTTTTTCAGATTGAAATCATTTAGATTTACTTGCATTTTTATTTGACACTGATGAGTTATAGTCATGCTGACTGATTCTGTGAATAGCATGATGGAAATAGAATGTGAATAACACAGCATCTACAGCTGTTTTGTTTTGGTTTGTTTGTTTTGTTTTGTTTTAAGCAGTGCTCACAACTCAACATCCCACAGATCCAAGGGATTCCACTTCCCAGCAGGATTGATGGCAACTTCTCATGGCCACAGAGATCCCTAGGTCTAGAAGCTAGCTCTCCCAGACAACTCCTGTAAATAGCTGTGATGTAAACTCAAACCGCCTGGCACATTCCTACTCTTTTTGTACCCACACTGATAATGATACTCTCATGCCTATCCTGTAAGGATAGAGAACAACTGGAGTAAGTCCCTGTGCACCCAACAGATTGCCTGGGCTGTCTAGAGCACTCAATAAACTGCTGAGAGGGAGGAGACTGTAGGGCTTTTCTCTTCTTCATGATCCTTGCTTACAAATTTCCCTAATAATCCATACTGCACAATACAGTGGAATTTTTTTTCCTGTTTCTGGTGCACAATGTGTAGCAAAGACAAAGAAAGCCACCTTACCTGATAAGTATGGGGCTGCATTCCTTTTGAAGGCTAGGGTGAGGATCCCTAAGTTCAAGTCCAGATTAAGTGCAGGTATAAGGCAGAAAGGGCAGCTAGGAGGCCTTCATGTCACTTCTGAAAGGTGAGAGTGACAGCCAAAATGCAGGCTGACTCATCTACATTGATGATGCCTGGTGTTTCTTAAGAGCAGGCTGGAAGTTACCAGCAGGAGCTTCAAAGAGGAGCTGAAGAGAATGGCAGAAGCCAAATAATAAACTCAGACAAGAGCCTGAGACAGAAAGTCAACAATAAGTAGGCAGGATGATGAGGAAATGAGAACCAGGTAGCAAAATTGTTAGGATCAGGAAATTCTAAGTCATCCAGAAAGCCAGTTCTAATAACAAGGAATCCTTAAGAGCAATGAAAACAAACTAGCAAAACCAGGAATAAATTACCAGAGAGAGAACTTGTTACAGAGTTCTGAGGAGACAGGCAAGAATCATTAACAACTCATTAGCTATTTGCTATAAAGGCAAGAACAAAATTTGCAAGATCCCTAATACCTATTATCTAAAATTGGTTTGCCCATTTCCATCAATCTTTAAGAAAGCCCCAGGGGAAAAAAAAATCTTTAGTGATAAATGATGATATCCCTCAGCTTGGGTGGAAGAATCCCAGATTATGCCCTTGTCCTGGCATAACAGTCAACAGCACTTCCTTTCACTGTAAAGTCCTGGTTTCAAGGACAAACTTTATGGTCACCTTATTTAGAGAGCTCTGATGAAGAAAAAAAGAGAAAGAAATAAGGAGACAGCCACTATCCATTTATGCAACAAATATATATTGACCATCTACTCTCTGGATCAGGCTCTGGTAACGCAGCTGTAAATTAGCCGTATCTGCCCTCCTCACAGAGCCAGCCAAGTAACTGGGAAGAGAAAGAGGCAAAAGAGAAAGTAAATACCAGACACAGCCCAATTAAAATTACTTTAAGAAAAGGTAGCCACCTGGCAATTAGGGACTGATATCAGAAAATAATATAGATATTCCTAAAGCGGGAAACCTAAACAAAATCAAAAGCTATGGAAAATAGGATGCATTACTGACCTTCTGGCCCTAGCAGTGAATTGGACAGCATATCCCCTTCCATCTCCACTCCCAACCTAACAGATATGAGTCAGTAAAAGTTCTCTATACAAGATCTATTTCATCTGTCAATCTGTCCGTCTACACATATTTATTAGTTCCATCAATGCTGAGAACACCGTGCCAGGTTGGCATGCCGTGATGACCAGTGGGCAGACCTTATCCTCACAGAGCTGAATCACCTGAATTCTGAATGCTCACAGCTATCTCAAATACTTACAGACTAGCATTATTGAATACCTAAGAGTCAAACTAAGCATATGTGTTTTTGGAAAATCATTTATATATCTATATATTTTTAAAAATTGATGTAGTAATCATAAAAAAAACAACTTTTTGGGAACTGTAGTATGTATTGGGTTGGTGCAAAAGTAATTGCATTTTTTGCCATTACTTTTAATGGCAAAGACCACAATTACTTTCGCACCAACCTAAATAATATGTTGTACACATTACTCTTGCCCTTATGTTGAAGAACACATCGTATGTTTCGGAGTGAAGGGGCAAGTGCTTACTTTTGTGTTTAAAGACTCAGAATATCTTTATCTAGCCCCAGGAACTGACGTCTTGGCCCAGATTTCCTTCACTAGGATATCCTGCCTGTTTGTTTTTCCTTTCAAAATGACCTCTTAATGCCTAGGTCAGCATCCTTTGCATCCTTATCTCCCACCCAATTGCTGGCTTCTAAGAGATCAAAGAAGGGTTAGGGCTTGGACCTTCAGCACTATAACTGCACTATAACTGCCCCTCCATCCCCTCCTCCACACTGGTCTCATTAGTAGCATCCCAGCCCATCTTTTCACCAACCTCTACCTATGGACCACATACCTTCCCTTTTGGACCAGCATACCCACAATAGCCAAGGTCTGGAGGAGCAGCTGAAATTGAGTTAACTCTTATCATTTAAGCACATCACCATTACTAACTACTATTATTTTTAAAGAATTACTTTGGTAGAATAAACAACAGAGGTTAAACTCTCTATGTACAACTATATTTCTTTCCCAAAAAGAAGGAATTATTTTTTAGTTTAACCTGAGTAAATAACTATATCATAAACTCCAGTTGGTAGGAGAGAAAAAAGTATATATATATATATAAAGAGAGAGAATGAGAATTTCAAATTAAACAACTGATTGACTTCTAAAAGAGGTTTTGGAACCAAACTTGTAAATCATTCATCTCCTTTGGGTTTGATACATTAATCACCAAGCGGGCACCTATCTGTTTTTTTTTTTTTTCTTTTTTCAGAGACAGGATCTCACTCTATCACTTAGGCTGAAGTGTAGCAGTGCTATCACGGCTCACTGCAACGTCCACCTCCCAGGTTCCACCTCCCACCTCAGCCTGCTGAGTAGCTGGGACTACAAGCATATACCACTATGCCTGGCTAACTTTTTTATTTTTATTTTTTAGAGACAGGGTCTTGCTACGTTGCCTAGGCTGGCTTTGAATTCCTGGACTCAAGTAATCCTCCTGCCTCGGCATCCCAAAGTGCTAGAATTACAGGCATAAGCCACAATTTCGTCCCAAACTTCTGATCTTAATTTACTTTCCCCAATGGGAGGAGTAACTTGATGGGTTGACTGAAGTATTCCAAACTAGTAAATAGTTAAAATTTCCAGTGTGTATCAGTAACTTATTGCTGTGGCCTGCTGAAAGTGCCCGAAGATGGTAACTGCTGTGACTCACTTCTCTGAGGACTGATGACAAATCCCCCAAGTAAACTGATTATTGGACGAGGTGCAGAAGTTACCTTGCTTCTCTTCCAAGGTACTCACAACATTCAGGATTTAAAGAGCTACCATATCATTCACATCCAAAGAAAGCCAGTAGTTGATTAAGCTGACTCATCTCAAAACTATAGCTGACATTAATGTAAGAGTGAAACTTGGATGGAATCCAAGAAGAACAAGAAAAAGAATGCAAGTTTTTTCAAGGGTAGAGACCAGTATATATTTATCTCTGCATCCCTATAATTTAACATAATTTTCCTAAACTAATTTATTAGGTTGGTGCAAAATTAATTGCGGTTTTTGCCATCAAAAGCAATAGCAAAAACCACAATTGCTTTTGCACCAACCTACGTTCTAACTGTAGGATTTTTGCCAGTTATTTATCATCTCTCCTATGAACTTAGATATTTTTCTTTAAATAGACATTAAGTTAAATTGTTTATTGTACTTAGCCAAATCCTGTGAATTCCTTCAGAATTTTGTGTGCTTGTTAAATTTTACTCTGTATAAATCAATTATATAGACACATATATTATACGTAAACAATCATTGTAATAAAATCATCACATATGCAATCTGTGAGGCACACAATTACACTTTAAGATACACTGGCTCACCTCGGTGCCTGGAAAGCAGAGTAAAGGCTGACAGATGAAAGGATGACACAATATTCCAACCTCCAGCATCACCAAGCCAACCCTCCCTCTTTCCATGAACCTGGGGCTTATCTGACAGTCCTTGTCAGAACATTGCTCCAGATAACTGCTTTGAATAATCAGAATAGCCAAGAGATAAAACCAACTTGCCTTCCTGACTGTAGCAATTCTCTAGTAGTGCTCAAGTTGTTCAAGGTCTTTGCCAAGTGCTTTATATGGCAGTGGCACTCTTCACCCACCAACAGTCACTTGAGGCTATTCAGAAAATTTTCTGGAGCAGTGATATATTTCACTGATCAGCATACCCCCTGTTTGAAGAATGCATTTGCAAGACAGTTGGTGCAGATTACAGATGTTAGTGATAGACCACGCCCTAAGATTTTTCTTCATCAAATCTGGAATCCTACATATAAACAGACACATATAGTCTGAAACTGGGTGGCTTTTTTGTTTATTTGTTTTATGTATTTGTTTGATCGGATTAAAAAGCTAACAAAGCTTTGTTTCTTGCAAAAGCCTGCTCTTAATTTTATCAACCTGCACTGCAAATATATCCATGACGTTGGTATTAGGTAGACTGGGGAGGACAGGGTAGAGATCACAGTCCCCATTCATCAAGTTATCAATGCTGATATCTCATGCCTATCAGGTCCACCAATGCTATTTTCTAATGCAAAGGACATGTTATTTGAAGGATGATTCCCATTTCACCATTAGACTATCAATATGTCAGCCTCATGATGATGTCGGTTGACTGATAATGCCACAAAAGAAACATTAAGAATATTTTTTTATTTTGATACTTTATATCAAAGTTGTTTTACAGCCAAACATTTTCAAAAGGGCCAAATCTGTTTCTTCAAAATCCAAACATTTGCTTTAAATGGTAATTCTCAAGCTGCAAAGTGTGCAGTAAAAGGCAGAATTGAGCTAGAAATGAACATGACAAGGTGCAATATTCAGCGTGTACACCAGATTTAATTTTGCATAAGAAATGAATTTCTTCAGCTTATTTTTTAATTAGCTTAAGCAAGTGCATTCAGGAGCCAATAACACAGACTTACGGGAACTGAATTACTGAAAGGGTTCTGAGTCTAGCCTCTAAATCACAGGCATTGAGCTGATCTCATAATTAACACTGAGCTGAAGCACTGCATCAAATGCTGCAGAAACTCCTTCGCCAAAGAGTGGATGGGGAACATGGCAATCATTAAACCCAGGCAGTAGCATCTCAGGGACTACAAAGCTTTGTTGAACATAGGGAAGTCAGTTACGTCAACCTGCTAAGCAGTTAATGTCCTGGCAGGCACATCTGTGTTTACTACCATCAGATACTCCCAGCTGTTCACATTGCCTCTGTTTGATGGTCATTCCGGGACCTGCCTGATGTTGAGAAGTATGTTATTAGAGAAGTAAATTCCTTACTGAAGATTGATCAAGGAGGGATGTAAACTCCAGGATGCTGGAGTTGGTCCATAAAGTTTAGGACATAGACATGTACTGGCAATTACAGAAGGTGAATTTATTTAGGACTCTTGATCAGAGCTTTTAGGGATCTATTATTGCTTCAGTTTAAATTATATTTTAAAATCATTCCTGTAGTCAGGTACTTTTAGGGCACCTCAAACAGATATAAACCACTCCCTTCCTGTGGGGACTGGAAGTAGGCCAGTGCATCACTACTATACATATAAGGAAGAAGGGACACTGAGCTGCCAAGAGCATTCTCTTAATCAAACAGCTGGTTGCTGATACCCATCAAGCCAGGTGCTATGGATTTAAAAGAAAAAGTGTGACATATCTATGCTAGGAATCCTCAGTTTGCTACTCCTAGATCCACTCTCAGCCCTTCTCAACCCTGCTCTCAGCTCAGCGAGGCACTCAGGACTCCTGAGCCCTCTGGCTTCCTATTGAACTCTGCCCATGGGGACGCCTGGCAGAAGAGCCAAGGAAGGGAAAAGAGAACTGTCTCTCCTTCTTTGGCCCACCCTCCTCTGTCTAGTGTCTGTGAGGGGCCACTAAGCCTCTCTGCAGGATTTTCCTCCTCAGGCTTTCTTCGAGCTTAGGGTGGTAACAGCCCCTCTATTTATCCCGGGGTGCTGCACCACCCCCTCCAGTCTTCTTTCACCTTGCCTGCCCTTTTCTGTACACTTCCTTTATTTGACCCTCCTTGAACAATCCTAGTTTGCATGTGCCATCCTGTTAGGGCCCTAACTTAAACCATATTTCTGCCTAAAATGAGCTTATATAGGTTGTCTGGTAGGAAAAACTACTGCATCATCAGTATAATAGCAGATCAAGCCCTGGGTTATTTGCAAGTGTGTAGCACACTTGAACACACACAGATCTTGATACTTCACCAGGTGATAAGATCATGAAGTCTATGCCATTTTCTCCTCATTTCCTCTCTTGTACAAGTAGACTTCAAAGATAAAGAAAAAGAAAAAAAATCTGCAAGTCAGCATCACCTCAAGAGCTGGACAGGGTCTCACCCAAACTTTTATCATCTATCTCAGGACCTTTACATCTCATCTCTATTCTTGCCTTCCATGCTTTCAGCCTTTCCCCAGCTTTGCTTTATTTTTCTTTTAATCACAAGTAGCCGACTCACCAAATTTAACTCATAGCAAAACTCAGATATGCAAAGAAAACATAAATACTTCATTTTGTCTTAAACTATTTAAGCTTTCGGCCCTGTCACTATGCACACTCTGCTCACCAACTTCCCAACTCAGCCTAATACAAAGAATACTTTGGCAAGTCCCCTGGACACAGATGTAATCTATGACTTAAATTTTCTAGCCCATCCAGAAACTACACACTCATTTTACAGTTAAGCTCTGAAATATTCAAGCTTAGACCCTCTTACTACTGCTTACATGGTTGGCCATTTTGCTGCACTCAAGCATTGGTTAGAAAAGATGGTTAAAGCAATCTAGCATAAATGCAAAACTACTACACGAAGGGAGAGCCACCGACAGCTCTCCTACTTATGCTTAGCTGTTTTCTACTTATGCAATTATATCTGGTAGCCAATTTACCGGAAAAGATTGAGTTGCAATCATTGGCCAAAATGAAATTTAAAGATGGGCTGAGGAAGGAAGTGCTTCATGGCTATCGTTGTTTTCTCAGTAAAATGTTCATTGTTCTATAGGTAAGACTTGTATCTTTCCTGATGACCCAGCAAAGCCAAATGTCTGAGAATCCTCAGGAAGCTCCCAATGGGTTAAAAAAGAATGCCTGGCTGCTCTGTGCTGCCTTTATTATTGGTTATGGACCACCTCCGTGGAACTACTAAAAGTCTCCACAGGTACAGCAATTTCTTTTTTGGCAACTTTATTGTCAGACAACCTGCCTTCTGGGTATGTTGTTGTCACTGTAGTCAATTGATGTTTCTGACATTGTTCTTGGCAGGCTCAGTTTTCCAGGGCACTGCTGGGAAGAAAACACGAAAAACCTGGCACTGTTTAATGCACTTTGCTGTCTTATGTGTTATATTTCGCAAGAAGAGAGGTGGGAAAATTATACTTTGAAAAAACAGGGTGCCACTGGATAAATATAGGGAGTAATATCAAATCTTGAAAAATCTTTCCTCGCCAGATTTTCCCACATGAGAGAGTCCTGGGGTGTATGGAATTTTAGCAGACAGTTTGAAATTGTTTGCTTTATTTTTCTTTTAATCACATGTAGCCGACTCACCAAATTTAACTCATAGCAAAACTCAGATATGCAAAGAAAACATAAATACTTCATTTTGTCTTAAACTATTTAAGCTTTCGGCCCTGTCACTATGCACACTCTGCTCACCAACTTCCCAACTCCAGCCTAATGTTCAACAGGAAAAAAACTTGCTGAACGTCAAATCCTGTCTAAAGTACAATCTATTCTGATCATTTAAACAGCCCATTTGCACAGAGTTTAGTCTTTGGAGTCAGCATGTTTTGCTCAGAGGTTGTTTCCACCACCACCCCAACCCCCGCCCTTCGCTGACAGGTACAGCCTCTGAGAGCTTCCAGGAGTGAGTGGGAAAGAAGCAGAGCCCTTGTCCCCAAGCAATTTGTCACTTGTGCATCCATGTGCTGCTGGTCCTGAAGGTGTTCACAGCTGAATTCTGTGGCTGGGGTAACTTACCACCTTGACTTAGTTCAGTCGGGGCCTATTACCACTCTCTGGTGGTTTTGATCTTATTTGGGTTTGTGCATTTTCCACAGACTTCTGTAAGGTGTGGCTATGACTTCTATTCAGCCCAGTCTTGGTTATTCCCACAGTTGCCCTTGCCAGAGAGCCATCTTACCCCACACCAGCAATCCCTCTAGCCCCTTCTTCAATCAAACTCTCTCTCTCTGCTACTATATGTTCTGTCTACACAACTTAGAAACCAAGAGAAGCAGCGGAAAACTAAATGTTAAGGACTCCCCCTGCCTGGACTTGGTGCAGCACCGGGTTGATGTGATCTATCCTTGAATGAAATAAGAAAGTGTCCTCCTAGAATCCCAAATACAAATAAAGGGAAGAAATGACTACCTGCAACAGTCCTTTCAAGTTATTTAAAGTTACTCCTCTTCTCCAAAATGACCCCCAGAGAATGAAACTCAGAAGACATGGATATGAACACATATAACTCTCCTTTCTGCCGCCTCTATCACAATATAATTTTAACTGTTTCAGTGACTTTTCCCCAATATACATATGAATAGGAGAATGAATTAGGGAAAGGTAAGGATCACTGATAAAAGATGAAGATCCTGGTCTAGGCACTATTTAGCAAAGGGGTTTGAAGGTAAATCCTGGTCCACAAACAGGTCCAGCTTCACAGGCATGTGACCGATCCAATTGCACAGAGCCTTGCGCTCACAAAGGCCCACGCTTGGTTCTGTTGTCATCATCTTGAAATTCTTAATAATTTCAAACATGGGGCCCCACATTTCCATTTCACAGTGGACCTCACAAACTATATAGCCAGCCTGCCCACACATGAGTATGCACAAAGGTGATGAGATAGAGCTAGGCACTAAATGTCTTCAAACCACATTGCAGGAAGCCCGTTGGATTTAGTTGAAGCATCTCAGAGCCTCTGCAAGATGAGGGGATCAAGCAGATGCTCACCCACATAATTTTATTCATTTTATGCATGATATTTCACATGAGGACTGCATTCTACTGCTAAAAATTAGTTGATACAAACTTATTTTTCTATTTTGGGATACAATATTCCTCACTACCTGGATCCTATAGCAAAAAGTCAACTGCAGTGTAATCAAAAAATATTGAAAACTTTGTCTCAGGGCACCTGGGTTCATTTCCTAATTCTATCACTTATTAACTTTGGGATCTTACACAAGCTAAAACTTCTCCAAGTATCAGCTCATTTATCTGTTAAATTGAAATAATAATAACTTGGGATTATTATTGTTTTAATTGTATACAATAATATATTTGTTTTTACTTCATACTTTAAAGTATAATCCTTTAAAAATAATAATGTATAACCTATATAAATAAAAAGCATTACAATGGTTTATAAAACATTTTGAATAGGTTGTTTTGAAATTTATTTCTTTCAAAAATATAAAATAAATATGAAATTGAGATTAACTATAAGGGAGTCAGAAAAAATGTATATTTGATTCCTCACTTCTTGTTTTTTTGCTGATTATAGGCCTTATATGACAGGTATTATTAATAGCATTGTTTTGTCAAGCCAGTAAAAACAGTGAAGTTAAATGAGCAAGATATAAGTCAAATTTGATTTTCCAAAAAGAGTTTAATTAAATGGCATTTCTTACTATTGATAATAAACATCAATTCTGTTCCCTCATACTCCAGAGTATGTTAAAAGAATTAGAATCCTGGAACCCTTCATCACTGAATACCACACCCAGATATTTCTGAAAAATAGCTACTGCAGAAGAGATCCTCTCAGTGAGTGAACTCTTAATTAATTCTAGAGTCTCTGGACCCTTTGTGGTCTCCTACCTTGCTGGCTAAAGGAACACAGATCCCATTGGCCTCTCTTCCTTGGTTTTTGTCCTTGAGCCATAACCACATAGTAAAGTGAAAATCCTATGCATGGAAAAGTCCTTCCCCCTAGAGCACAGCTTCCCTTGTTTCTTTCCCGTGGATCCCATCTGAGTTGTGAATCTCCCATTTCAGAAACTCTTCCCAAACAAGAGACAATGTTAAGTCCCTTACTTGTAGCTTAGGAGAGAAGGAGGGACAAACTAACATGAAGAAATTTGAAGAAGAAAATGCACATATTCCAAAGAGAAAATAAATCCTGAAGGAAACCAGTCTAAAGAGTACTCTTCCAGCAGGAAGAGCCCTTGACCTCTTTCTTTGCGAGGTGCCCTGGAGTGGGGTGGCCCTGTTGCCCTTGCCCTTGATGCATATATCACAGTTCTCACTGGTTGGGGGTGGAATTAATGCAAATAGAGGGATAAATCCTTCAGTTCTTCATAGAAGTTAGAGTTTATAGTCAGCACATGAAAATTTGATTTAATTTTCAAATGCCATTCTTCTGCCTTTCTCTTGTGTGATGGTTCCCAGGCATGCAACTGGTAGACTTGGGGTCTCATATGGCTTACTTACAAATTGCTATGGTGACTCAGTATTAAAAGATTGCCAGGGGTTGGATATTGGTAGGGAAACTAGAACATTTAAAATAAAAATAAAAGTCTAATATTTGTGAGCTTGTATTACACTTTTTAGACTAAGAGTTGTTACATTAATTATCTTAGTTAAACTTAATGTCAATCTATTATTTAGGTATTTTTATAATAGTAATTGCTATTTTCCAAATTTCCTAATGAAAACACAGGAGCTCAGAAATATTAAACAGCTTGTCCAAAGCTGTATAGTTCATACATGGCAAGGGTCAAGACTCACACCCCGGACTTCTGGAAGTCAGAGCCCATGCTCTTAGCCCTTTCTACCCTGCTGCTCTCAGAGTACAAAAGTAACATGACTACAGGAACCATAAAAAGATAAGCCCACTAGATTTGGCAACCCCGGTGTCAAATTTTTATCTAGGACTAAGGAAGGGCAAATGTATTTTGGCAATATTCTGGTGAATTTGATCTGTGACTAGAGCCAGAGAAAATTAATCAGTCCTACCCAGTGGTCTGATGGTTGCTAATTTCTTACTTTCTTTGATCAGAGTCTCAAAGCCATGTCAGTCAGAGACGGCATTACTCGCTGTGGGAAAGGGGATGATTTTCCTGATTTTCTTCCATCTTCAAAATGGAAAATGCTGCAGCTACAATTTGCATTTATATGCTGGCCCTGCGAATTCACCAGAGGCACCTTTTCCTTGGCTATGATTTTCACAATAAAATCATACCACTGTTATTCAGACCATCAAGAGAGGGTATGTAGCTCAAGCATTAAGCATAAATCATACTCTTTTACACTTTGTTCACTTCTCGTTAGCATTTAAGAGTTTGTCTTTGAAACAGTTAATATGAAAATCTACTATAATTATCTTTTGGTGTCTTTGATTCAAATATGAAATGATAGCTTTAAACTATTATGACCCTCAGAGTGTAATAAACATTTTAAGCTAAAAATACTGGTTCTCTACCAAAACCTCTAACATAGAAAGCCCATCAAATCTTCAAATGAAAATTCCCCATCATATTATAATGCTCTTGAACAAGGAAAATATTGATGTCTTTCACCACTGCATTTCCCAGGCCTAGCAGAGATGATCGCCAAATAGTTTCGGAAGAATGAATACAGAGCTACAACTCCTACTCGCTCTCTTCAGAGCTCCTTCCCTGTATTCTAGGACTGGCATTGTAGGCTCGTGCAGAAGAAATTACCAGTAGTATCTGGTTTTAGTTTACAAACATCTTCTCTTCATTTTTTTATAAAAACGAAATTTTAGTACAATCAAATCACTCTGTCAGACAATATCATTGATCACTGATTAGAGTAAAGAAATTGTTCCAAATTACATGTGGTTTTTATGTGAAAGTAGTTTAAAATCTCTATGGGATTTTGGTTTTTTGGCCTCCACTGGATTCTGACATGCTTCCGACTAACAGCCACTTGCCTTCATACATTGTCTGTTTAGACTCTAGGTACACTGGCTTAATAGAAGGCGGTTTTAGAAAATTTGGGATTGGTAGGATGATGCCAAATAAAATAATTAGATTTTAAATCTGTCAAATTACTTCGTATTTATGACTTTTCTTTGTAAGCCTTTTGTTTCATTTTTTATGAACAGCAAAGTTCATTTAATTTCTTATATTTCATCACCGGGTGCAAATACATAAACACTCCCAATAATTCCTTATCATATAGATACTGATAGGTAGTATATATGGCAGGAAGAAGAAAGAGGTCACAGAGTGTACTTTTTTTTCCTCTTCAGCTCCTCTCATAGGTCTGTCCTGATTTTTTTTAAGCCCATTTTCAACGCTGCTTTCAGCTTTATGTAATTCTAATGGTTCTTTCTTTACTCAAACTCCACATTACACATTGTTAATGCCGAATAAATGTTTTGCCATTCTTGTCACCGGGGCTTTCTTACTGGGTTTGTGTGCATTAGTAAGTCCGATGGTAAAATCTCATTTCTCTGAATAGCTTTACAATTTCGTGCACCTACCATAAAAACAAGCAAATTGACACCCTGCCAGGAGTAGCCAGAGGAGACCTTAGAAGAGAGTTCATAATGACATTGTTGCCATATTGCATGCCTGTAAATAATTCATTAAATCAACCACCCTTTTGTTTTAAGCAAACACAAGCAGATGCCTTTTTAAACTGGATGCAGACAACAGTCTTCAGAAAAACATTATTGTAATATGACACTTAAAAAGAATAACATATTTGCTTTATTGATTTTTGCAGTAGTAATACACAGTGATTACTTCTGTTATGCATTTTATCTTACTCATGGGCTTTGTCCTCTGCTCTTATTATTTTATACTTGTGTGAATATGTGTGAAATTTTATTAAGAGCAAGAGTGTGGAAAGGTAATGAGATCAATTCATTATCAATCAAGTAAATCCAGGTGATTTTCCTGATCAACGCTCTTTGCAGGTCTGTGATATTAGCACCCCATTCACAACCCTACTGACTTATTGACTAAAAATAATGTATATAACTAAATTATTAGGAGAAATGGAAAAATTTCCCAAAGACTAGAATCTCTATCATATTTCAAAGATCGATGAGTTATTATCTTTTAGATAAACCAGTATGTATATAAGAGTCAAATAAAGTTTAGGGCCAAAAATCATTATGTTTATATTTTCTAAAAGGTAAGCTTTGTCCGCACTGATAGGACATTTTACTTCATGAATTCATGCATTTATTAATATTCCATATTGTTCCAGGAAATATGTTGTCTGATTTACTCCTTAAATGGTCATTTAAAAAATATCTGTGTCCAATAAGCTGACTCATGTTGACTGCTGCAGTAGTTCACAATCTTTGCTGTACATTAGAATCACATGTGGGAGATTTTACAAAATATATATATCTGCTCCCAGGGTCTAAATTTAACTGGTTTGAATGGAACCCAGGCAATACATTCTGTAAAAGTTCCCCATATATTTCTTATGTGCAGCCAGGTTGAGATTACTGCAAATGTCTATTGACTAGATATTCTCACTTATTTGGGGATAGTCATTGTAACTGGAGAACTTTGAATATATTTGAACCTACTTAGTAGCACACAGTGGGTTATAATTGTTATTCCCATAAAGATATATATACTATTACAGAATGCCATAACTGGAAACAAAATTGGCTATATGGCTTTCCCATTGTATAGACGAACAGAAATCCCAGATCAGAATTCTAATTATGGTAAGTCCAAAGTAGAATCCACATACCTCAGAATTCTGCTCTGAGAATTCTGCTATACTTAATTAGACTTATAATTTGGATTGGCCAAAGGAGAGATATCTATCTATCTGTCTGTCTGTCTATCTATCCATCTATCTATCTATCTATCATCTATTTTAAACTCTTGGGTGCAATCCAAGCAGGTTAAGAGGTGTAGAGAAAAAGAAGCAATCAAGGGTCGCTAGAGAAACAAGAACTAAATCTAGAATGTCTGAGAACACAGAGAAGAAATATTGAGGAGGGTGAAGAACCAAGGGTCAGCTCCCAAAGTAGATTCTGAGCAATATGGTAGCAGAAACCCAAGATAGAGTCTAGAAAACAAGAAATCAGAGTTTAGACAAAAAGTTTAAGAACAGGCACAAAATTAGTAGAAACTGTGTTTTGCTCTTAGAATTAATGAATTGCATGCCTTCTATGTAAGCTCAGATGAGATTCAGAATGTGGGTTGGTTTGGGCTGTAGGCAGAGGTAAGGTAATATGTCTGGCTAGAGTTAGACAGAGACAGGGTGGAGGAAGCTGTTGTTGATAGTCAACACAGCTCAACAGGAACTTCTCTACCTAATACAATCTTTGCAGGAGACCCTAGTAAAGGAAAACCCTAACCAGATGTTCTGATTATCACCATTAGTGAAGAGATTGGAATATTAGTACAGGGTTTATTGGTTCCTCCATGGTGGTTAAAATTAGTGCCAGATGGCTCACCTGACCCATACCCTGTTTTCTGTTCTCATCTATTTAAAAAAAAATAATAATAAAAACAAAAATTTTAAAGGATCTGCTATTACTGTCACTTCAAATGCTGATATAATATTCATTTCAGTAAGATTAGTAATAATTTGTATCATTCTATAGATCTCATGCATTGTGCATGCACTTCCCTTTCTTGATATTAATCTAATGAAACAACTTTATCTCTTTTTGCTTGTAATAGCTTATAGCGTCCATTTTTCTTCCTGAAAAATAGAAGTGTTAGAAGTGAAATATTGTAGGTGAATTGATAGAGACAAAATAGAAAGATAACTACATTTATTTTTTAAATACATGGAATAAATATGTAATCTCTCTAGACATTTCATAATTTAAAAATTATTCCATATTTTAGAAGACTCATTCTATGACATTTATGCAGGATTTTCAATTGTGTGATCATATAGTCATAGGTTTCCAGAAAAAAGAATTTAGATGACATTTTAATAACCTTTGGCATAAAACTGCATAAATTAGGAGAAACCCTTCTGTTTACTCCTACCCAACTACCCCCTTGCAACTTATAATTACACATAAGTAGTTGTTTCTAATTTCTTTGAAGAATTTGATTCAATAATATGGTCATCATCCTTGTATAGTCTTACAGAAGTCAAAGTTTCAAATATTCAGGTGGCCCATTTGAAACGGTCTATCTAAACCAGCAAACTTTGTTACAATACTTTCAGTTATTTAAATAAATATTTAAGAATTTCACAATTTATTTTAGCCCTGGGCATTAGAAACAGACTAATCTTGATAGAGTTCGAAATTGTGTCACTTATATGAGAGCTATACTTTTGTTTTGTTTTGTTTTTTGAGAGCAAGAAGAACAAGCACTGAAATCTCTTTCAGAAAGATTTACAGCATTAATAACTCCAGGCTATTTTAAGTCACAGTCAATCTTTATGGAAGAAGTACAGAGATTATACAACAATTCTTTTATTTTTTTTTCCTCCTAGAATTGCAAACTGATATTTCACATAGAAGTTATTTGACGAAAACAGTGCATTCACACTTCAAGAATATGCCTAAGGTCATTACTTCTTCTTTTTTTATTCTTTCCATCTGTGCTCAAATGCTTGATGAAAAAAAAAAAAAGTGCTACACTGAATTTATCAAGCCCAAGCAGGGCCTGAAATGGAAACTTATTTGGTAGTCTGAAGTACACAGTTGTCTACATAAACCCAATGGACTGTCAGTTTTGTGGGGAGAGACTGGGAACCTGAAATAAGATGCAGGATCTAAAGATCTATATAGAAATGTCCACAGCAACATTATCCATAATAGCCAAAAATTGGAAACAGTGCTGGTGTTCATAAATAGAATGAATAAACAAATTTTGGTATAATCATAACAGAATCTCCCTCTGCAATAAAAAATATCAAACTACTGATACACCAAACAACATGCCAACTGAAAGACGACTTATGCAAGAGCAGAATTAGAATTAATGAATTGCATGTTTTCTATGTAAACTCAGATAAGTTTCAGAATGCAGGTTGACTTGGGCAGTAGGCAGAGTTAAGGTAATACATATAATTCCATTCAAAGGGTGTATAATTCCATTCAAAGGATGCTCTAAAGAAAACTAATCTTTGGTGGGAACAAAAATAAGAACAATGATTGCTTCTGAGGGGCAGAAAGTAGGTACTGACTGGGAAGGGGTGTAGGGAACTTTCTGGAGTGATGGTAATATTTAATATTGTGATAGTTCTGGTAACACTGATGCATACATTTTTCAAAACACAGAATTCACATTTAAGATATGTGTCTTTTATTGATCATCAATTTTAATCATAAGAATAAAACTGTAAAGAAATGTTGAATTCTAGCTAATACACCTAATGGAGAATTGGGGGAAATGTACTGAAGTCTGCAACGTACTTTGAAATGCATCAAGAAATAAGATGGATTGATTGATACCTAGGAGGATGGACAGACAAATGAATAGAGAATAAAGCAATACAGTAAAATGTTAATGGTAGAATCTAGGTGATGAGTATACAGATGTTCACTACAATACTATTTTAACTTCGCGGCATGTTTGAAATTTTTCATAATCAAAATTTTTTAAAATAGGAGAGAAGGGTCAACCTTGAAAGAAAGATATCTATAATCTAATGGTGATTTTGTCAAGAAATCTTAGTCTGCTGATGTGCCATTTTATATATTTAAATATATGAAGACATCACAAAACAGCATTCAAGTCTCAATATTCATCTGAGGAATACTGAGTTTCTTATCGTGTATATCTTCATTGTGAGCCTTACTGAGCTAAATAAAATTCCAGAAAGTCATTTTTCTATACAATACAAACATATCCTTTGATTTTTATTTTTTATTTTAAAGTACACCCTACTAACTGATGATGTTATTTTTTTAAATTAGAAACCAAAAAGAAATGAAAACATTCTTAGTTCTAGAAATCACCTAATGGTTACTAATATGCTTATTGTTTGGCTTTTAGCTAAAAATGGTGTTTGACTTTCTGGGGGGGAAAAACAAACAACAACTTTTTAGTTACTCTTGGAAACAGTCATCCAGAACTCTCACAGGTTCTTTCCATGTCAAAAACTGTGGTCATGGAGATCCTCAACAATAAGTGAAAAATACTTAGGCTGATTTATCTAGAGTCTGGTTTGTCTCAACATGATTCCTTCAAACATCTCATTACTAAGTTGCTATTTAGTTTTCTGCAGGTTGTTGCCATCTGCAATTTTCCTTGCTTTTAGAAAATGAAGGACAGTATGTGGGTTTTGGGATAATGGACAGCAGAGTCACATATTTGCAAAGTTTGTGACAAGAATGACAACTCTCTCAAGACATTGTTCATTGTGAGTCGAATTCAACATAAACTGCTCATTCTAAATGTTTCTTTTGATCTAGATTTCTCTGTTGCTGAACACAGGATCTTTCCGTATTGTTTTATAGGATATAAAATGTTTGCACAATGTTGTCTCAGACCTTAAAGCCTCCTTGGCTGTTCCATAGCTGAAACTCTGCCCTGCAAGTCAAGGATGGAGCAATTTTAGCAGCAACTGGAATCTGTGCCCTCAGTTTGTGCTGGCTTGTTGTTGATGTAAATAATGTGCAGTAGTTTTGCCATGGCTTCGTGATACTAAGTTAGCTACACACTCATCGAGAGCTCAGAAATTGGATGTAAATCTACTGATAATCATATCAATTTATGCCATTTCATTTTTTTTCTGTCCATTACCATCCAGGCAATTTGGTGGTGGACAACTAATCTGTTATCTTTTTCTTTCTTTCACTTAATGTGAAAGAATTCACTTAATGAGAACAAGAATTGATTTCATGTTTGCTATCCCTTCATCCCCTTTCCCCAGGTTTTCTGTGCCAGAGATATAGAGCTGACTGAATCAAGAAAAAGTCTCATCAAGCAGAAGAAATAGCAACTAATGTGTTATTTATGTGATACAGTGTTTTTTGCATTTTGTGTTTTTTATTTTTCATTTTTATGAAAAAACAGTTGGAATGCCAAAGATGGAGAGTCTCAACACATGCTCCATTTAATCTCTGATTGTTAAAAGTCAGACTGTTAAAAAAAAAAAGTGCTGTTTTTAGTAGGAAAATCCAGAGCTTCTACACACATTAGCTGAAATAGTATTCAGTCTCTACAAATACCTTGTAATGGATCCAAGAAGGAGAAAAAATTTCTTTTTATCTGTCATTTTCACTAATGCATTGAACCTAGAATATATGAGTTACATGTGCTCCTTTATCTTATTCTGTCCTTCACTTTTCTTGTTTCCTTGTTTATAAATACAAGTTTCTACACTGTAAAAAAATGCATGGTTGTTCTGATTTATTTCACACCAAGTTTATGTCTACTCTTGCCATTTTCATGTGCATTCACAGAAATCTTCTATTCAATTAGCCATCTGGAGTAAAGAGTCTTTCTTTTCTGTAATATTTGGTATATTAGGGACCTCAGTTTTCTCTGTTTTATCATAATCTGAATTCTCTTTGTCCATAGCATATGTTACCTATTTTTGTAAATTTTATACTCCTATAAAAATATTTTTTCTCTAACATGACATTTTAAAACTAGAAGAGGCCTTTGAGGCACCTAGACCAAAACCCAAAATTCTTTTTTCTCATTACAAAGAAAGAGTAATAGAGCCATGAAGTCATACCTGAAACCCACATATCCTGACTTCCCATCTAGCTCTTTTTGTAGGCCTGTGTATAATCTCAAACTATTCTTATTCCTCAACTTCTGGCTTTAGTCCATAGGTAAGGCAACTATTAATTTCCTGTAGGTAAAAGGGTTATGTACACTTGAATTTTGAACAATTTCCTTGCAATTAATTTTTCTCCTGGAGTCCAAGAATATAGCTTGGGAGCTAAACTTTTTAAAGTTATTTGAATGGCACTGTCTCATTCTGTCTCTCTTTCTCTGCTCTTTCTGTCCCTTCCCCCTTTCTTTGCTCCCTTGCCTCCTCTCATCTCTCTCTACTCCCCTTTTGTCTTTCCCTGTCCCCACTTCCCCCACCCCTCTTTCCAAAACCTTCTAAAATTTGATCGCAAAAGTTAGTGCAACAAGTTTTGTTCCTGTTTTAGTTCACAGCTGATTGTAATGAGCCATTATACTTACGACTTTTGAATTGTATTGCTTCTTCATTTGTGTAAAAACCCTACTAAGCAGCAGTTTGTACACTGGTGACAGCAACAGAATCATGTGTTATTTTCTGAAAGATGTGGTGAGATGGAAGTACTGGAAGTATGCTACCACTCTGGCATGACACATTCAGTTTTCCCTTGCTAATTCATATATTTTTTCAATAAGGTGTTATTAGCCAATCTTGAGGAGCTGAGACAAAAGATGATGTGATTCAGGATCTAGTGAAATGCCAAACTATGCATCTTTCAGAGTTTTGCAGATAGAACATCGTCCATTCATTAACTATTCAAGGAACTACTCTGTGCCAGGTACTGTACTAGACATTAATGATACAAAGGTGGATGAGGCACAGATTCTGCTTTGAGGAACTCATGCTTCTTTAGGACGATGGAGAAGTAAGCCCAGATAATGTATGAGCTCAGCAGTGGAGCATATCACTTAGCAGAGGAGAAAGGGGACTTTAAAAATTATCAGGAATGATTCCTGAAGGATGTCACAGTTAAACTGCCTCTAAGGATGAATAGGGGTTAGCATGTAAAAGATAGAAGAGAAATCTAGGTCGATGAATATCATTTACAACAAACTGATGTTATGACAATAAATGTCCTTCCTGTTCTTGGAACTGCAATGAACAAAAATTTATAAATTTTAGGCAATGTTTTTCAACTCCCAAAACAAGGTAAGGAAATTGCAATGATGTCCTCTGTACTAAAGAATCCAGCTACAGAGTTCTAAGCCTGCTCCCTTTTTATGTCCAATTGGATAATTCCAAAAGGTATTATTATTTGCCACACTTGCTCTATTTACCACTTTTTCCTCACCAAACACACATAATCAGCAGCTGATAGTGGAAGAGATGGGGGAAGGACACAAAGGGGAGTACAATGGAGAGATGACTGAGCATGAAGTCAGCAGTCTAAAGCCCACCCACAGCTCCAACCGTCTCCCAGTCTCTGATCTTGAAAATAGCATTGAACCCCTCTGCACTTCAGTCCGCTCAGCTTTTCATTGGGACAGAACAATATCTTTACTTCTTGACAACATAATGAAGAGTAACAAATGAGAAATAAGGAAGTAATATAGAAAGTGTACAGCATTCTACAGATATAAGATATTACTATCTATATATAGGGTACATATAACAGCCCCGTCTGTGCAGAAATAATGCACACATCCATCTATATGCCAAGGGAATGAAGGGAGCATGTGCTGTTTCCCAAACTGATAAACCCCATGTCTGTTCAGTACATAGGTTCTGTACATTTCCTTTATAGTTCTTCATACCTGTAATAGTTAATGTTCACTTTCTCTGTTAGGTCTGAGATTGTATTATTCACTACCATATTCCCTGCACCTAGTAAACTGCCTGGGAATATGCTAGAGGGGAGGAACCGACATAGTTCTCAGTAAATCTAGTCTGACTAAAGAATGAAGGTTTTAAACCTGAATTATATGGGTTTAAACGGGTCAGCATTTTACTAGCTCTGGAGACATAATATTTTAATTGTACACAAAGCAATATTTGATTGAAGAGATTAATTTCCAGTGGCTTTTCTTACATGGTAGTTTTGGCCAGCTTTGATCCTTTTTGAACATGCATAGGAGTACTCTCAGCCACATTCCATTTCTTCAATGCACAGTTGTTAGATATCTACAATATAGGTTTATGGCATTTAACTATGTTCTGTGCAGAGAAACAAGAAGTATTTAATTGAAGCCTCCTATCCGTATAAAGTTATCTGGCCATTCAAATTAACGAGTGTTCAAGAGTGCAATGAGGAGTTCAGGCCAAAACAGTACAGTAGTTTAAAGGAAGGAAAGACATGGGCTAGTTGGGGAATGATTTCATGGTGCATTAAAATAATAGCCAATGTTTATTGACTTCTTGCCAAGTGCCAGGCATTGGCCTAACTCTTTTATACATATTAACTCATTTAATGCTCACAACAACACTTGACTTAGGTACCATTATATTCTCATTTTAAATTCAAGGAAATCATGGCTGACTGTGGCTTAGTAACTTGCAAATTTCCATAGCAATAGAGCTAAATCTGAACCTACGCAGTCTCACTCCAGCACCTACACTCTAAATCACTATAATATGCCTCCTCCAATAAACCTTCAGGGCTGAGTCAGATGTGATTAGTCAGAGAAAAACAAATAAGAATGGGGGAAGAGTGAGTAAGAGCAAAGGCATGGAGGTAGGATAAGAATAGCCCAGTCAGAATGTAGGTGTATTAGGCCATTCTTGCACTGCTATAAAGAAATACCAAAGACTGGGTAATTTATAAAGAAAGGAGGTCTAATTGGCTCTTGGTTCTGCAGTTTGTATAGGAAGCATGGTGCTGGCATCTGCTCAGCTGCTGGGGAGGCCTCAGGAAACTACAATAAGGGTAGAAGATGAAGGGGAAACAGGCACATCACATGGCTAGCACAGGAGCAACGGGGTCGGAGCTATACACGTTTCAACAACCAGATCTCATGAGCACTCACTCACTATTGGGATGACAGTACCAAGAGGATGGCGCTAAACCATTCATGAGAAATCTGCCCCCGTGATCCAACCACCTCCCACCAGACCCCCTCTCCAACATTGGGGATTACAATGGAACATGAGATTTGGGTGTGGATACACACCTAATCCATATCAGTAGGATTACAGCTGAGCAATAGCAGAAGTCTGATCTGGAAAGTTCAGATGAACTGATGCTATGAAGCCTTGAAAGATAAACTGAATAACTAGTAGAGACTGATTAATGAGAGTTCAGCCAAGTTTAAATATGTTAATACAGTGATGTGCAGAGGTATGCAATAGAATCTGTGCCTTCTGGCCTTTGAGGCAACTTTACTTTTCCAGAAAGAAGAGCATGCCCATCTCTGAACATTCTGCTTTGGCTGCCTCACAGCCATCCCTTGCCCTCTTCCTAACAGCCCTGATTTCCATGTGGGCATCCATCAGGCTCCATAGCTGGAGAGGGTGAATGAGGCTAAGCCAATCAGAGACTCTGGGCTCTCTGACAAAAGAGATAGTCAAATCTGCATTACCTTCAGACTTTTCCTTGAGGTGTTTAGACAAACAATGGGGTTGAGAGTAAGAATATAAGGCCAGAGGAGCTAGGCCAGGAATAAACCCGACTCACAGGGTAGAGCACAACAATGAGAAATGGAGCTCAGACTCTCATGATATCATTGATCTATGAATCCCACATGCCTGAAGCCCACCCAACTTCTGAACTTTTCAGAAAAGTGAACCACTATATTCTCTTTGTTATTTAAGCAGGTTTGAGTAGGTTATCTATTACTACAATAAAATAGTAAGTAATACACTGCTTCATGATAAGGATTTCACCTTGATTTTAGGACAACTAGAAGCTCTCTCTGAGCTGGGTGACACAGCTCATAATATTGTCTCCTTCTTTTCATGACCTGCTCTTCAGGACATCACCTGGACAAATCCCAGTGATTTTTTACAGTTCAGCCCTGAAGCCTCAAATCCCAAGTCAGTATCATCTTTCGCAGGACTGCTGACATCTCTGCAATCTGGAGCTTATAAAGACACTGGGGTGACCGAGGAATAGCTGTATATCATCCCCAGGGTTTTCACATCAAAGGACCCAGTGGAGGCCTCATCCTGTTCAAAATGACAAATTAAAATGAATCCCAGAGCTTTATTCTCTAAGAACATAAGACATGTTTTCTTTTTGAACATTTCATTGCACTGTCTTCAGAATCAAGCTCTCTAAAGAATGTTATTATACCTTGAGCTTCTTGACACATTTCCTAATAATTTGAAGCTTCTGACATTTATACAATAAAAGATTGCGCTCTGCAAAAGAAAAAAAAATCAATGAATCTTTTTGGCAATCGTCCTAAATCTGTAGAGATTAAGTTCACTTCCCAGACATTGCTATTTCATATCAAACACAGAGTCACGCAGTATAATTAAGATAGTTGTAGAACCATATATTTCATGCCCTAGCTGTCTGCTTTAAACTATCTTGGGAAGTTCAGAAATAATAGGGAAGCTACATCTTAACCAGAGTAATTACATTTGCTAAGCAGAATGGGATGAGCAAGAGCTATGTAAAAGAATAAAATAAATCCACCACAAAACCAAGAACTTCTACATTCATTCTGATATATAAACCTTGTTGATAAAAAAGAAAAAAAAATAAAGGGAATAAAAAGAAGAAAGGCTCACCTCCAGTTACAACTCCCAGGAGAATGACAGCTATTATTTCCTATTGAGTTGGTACTTACCACACAGAGCCTGAACAATTCATACAGAAAAATAAACCATAACATTCCTGTTTATTATTACTTTAGCTGAGAGGTGGTGACATTAAACAGTTCTGCACTGCTGCTATAAATCAGCAGGCTAGAGATGTTCTCAGCATGGGACTAGGACTCCTTGGAAACCACTCTCAACAAAGCAACCAGCTGTCAGAATTCTTCAAATTAAACTGTTATTACAGTAGTATTCATTAGTCAGTTACTGGCTATTAAGATATTTTTATATCAGCACCATTGACATTGGCTGTTGCTTTTTAATATGCAAGTTATATATAAACATGATTCAGTGGCTCATGTGAGGATGACAGCCTCTATTAGAGCTTGGTGTCCCCTGTCTAAAGGCTGCTACAAAGGGTTGCTGTCTTATCTGTGCACACTTAAATTTCTCTGGGAAGCTGGATGTTTGTTCTGGTGGTTGGAGTGGGGAGAGGGCTAGTAATAATATATTTCAACACTAGTGTTTGCTCAGAAAAGTGATAGCTCAACGTCAGAAATTATAACTCTTAAAACTGTTACTAAGCCCCTGATGACAGTGGTTTATGCTCCTCCAACTTGACACTTTGGGTTTCTGTTTGTCTGAGATACTGGGCATGTGTTTAACTTTTGCCTGAAGTCCAGAATTAAACAAAGGATGTAAAATGGAATATGTGGAGAAGTGAAGAGGAGAATCAGTCTACAGGCTCTGGTAGAAATAAAAAGTATGACAGGTATTAATTGAAACAGTGTTCTTAGCATTTGGAAAAGTTCTTAAGTCTCAATTTAGTTTCAGGGCAAATTTAACCTAAATCATTTTATTCCAACTAGGAAAAAAAACATATACTATTAACTAGCTTAGAAAGATTAATATAATACTTACATGCATACCACAAACTCATTCACACATGGAAACCACAGAGTTTTTACTTTTCCCCAATCCTCACTTTAATCTTCATACAGCATAGGGAATACTAGCCTATTTAATTGAAATAGAGAGAATTCAGTCCAAATTGTTTATTTTGTAGATGACAAAAATGAGATTCAATGAATTAGTTTACTGGTATCAGCCTTAATTTTGTTTTCTTCCTATTTTCTAAAACATGTTGGAGCTCCCTCCTCCACTTGGAAGATAAGCCATTTCCTGATCCTCAGACCGATAAGATGCCAACAGACAGTATATAAACAATCTTTGCCTCTGCTGCAAGGAATTTTAGCATTTGTCATTCCCTCTGACTGAGAATCTGAGGTGCCCAGGGTTCAACACTGGGGTAGAGTTTGATTGGTTGTAACTGGCTTGTACCAGCTCTTAAGAGACAATTGTTAAAGTTTCAGGAATTTTGTGATCAATTAACATCATGTTAGTAGTATTCAATTGATTATTTATACCACAAACACTACAAATGGACAAAAACCACAAATCAGGGTTGTTGTTGTTGCTGTTGTTGTTTCTTCTGAAGATCCAGTTGTTACCCATTTACCAGCATACCACCGGTTCACTGCTGAGTCTCTTTGCTGCATCCAGACCAGGGAGAGCGTGCTCCACTGATGAAAATGGACACAACCAACCCCCTGAAGTTCATTTATTAAACAAATATTTAATGAATGCCTACCTGATTTCAGATACTTCGGCCACCTCCTACCATTGTGTAGAACAAGTAAGGGCTGAAATTCAGCCCACTATCTGCCTGCACACCTCAAAGGAGTCTTAAGATTGTGAAAAATGTGAAAACACATTGTTCTAAATCTCTCAAAGAGATTCACGGAACTATGGGCTTGTAGGGTGCAGTCTGTCTTGGTGTCTGTCAAGAGGGGTGCTTTTTCTTATTTACTTAAAGGGACATTCTGGACAAACGGTGGGTGCTGAATGCTGTGCATGTGCTGAAGGCACAGGAGTGTGCAAGCCAGACAAAGTCCTGTCTGCAGAGCTCACCTTCCAGAGCGGGAAGAAAATGAACATGATAATTTCAGAATGTGACCGCACCTTGAAGCAAAGCCACCAAGATGTGAGAGAGAGATGGAGGTGGTGGGAGGGGTACTGCTTTGGGGCAGGAGTTCAGGACTGGTCTCTGTGGTCTGTGTAAAGTGCACTCCAAACAGAGAGAACAAGAGCAAGTGCCCAGGGTGAAAAGGGAGTGTGTGTTACTAAGGACAGACGACAGCCCATGTTACTTGGAGCAGAGTGAGAAACACAGAGAAGGGTACAAGTTGGGGACAAAGAGGTAAGCAGGGGCCCTAGTTGTCCATGAAATGGAAGTTAGATATTATCTTTGGGTAATGAGAAGCTATTGGAATGTTTTAAGCAGAGGAGTGATTTGCATTTTTAAAAGATCATGCAGGCTTTCATATGAAAATAAGATTGTAAGGAAACAAAAGTACATGCAAGAGACCAGTTACAAGGCTGAATGCCTCTCTCCCCAAATCTGAGTGCACACTTCCCAAGATGAGGTTTCTCCTTTGTGTTTTCATTTTTATTTATTTTAAAATCTTATCCCTGCACCCCAGCCCAGACTTCCTGACTTAACCACCACTTACCAGTCCAAGACCCAACTTCCATCTCTGAAAGCTTGTGTTTGGTTTTCTTTGAATTAGTTCTCGATCACTATTTATTAACAACATATCATATCATGGTGTCTATACCAGAATAATTCAAAAGGTAATTTAAGGAACACAAGGCATCCAAAACAGAGCAGCAAGACAAAGGAAAAATAATCCTGGTACATACCAGATTCAATTTTGAGTTTGAGATTAGATTTCACACTGGGCTTATTAGCCTTTGTTAAATCAAGTTTAGCTTAAAGCTGCCTCCTTACCTATTGTAAGTCTGGCTTAAATGTTTCTCTGTACAGCATGAACTATAACCTAAATGGGAGTGTAAACAGACTATAGTCTACACTTGTGCCAATCGCCAAGTTTTGACCAATCAAATGTGGCCAAATGGTCAAACTGTGTTCAAATAAGACAAATGTCGAACTTTAACCAATCCAGCTGTTTCTGTACCTCACTTTAGTTTTCTGTACATCACTTCCTCTTTCTGTCCATAAATCTTCCACTATGTGGCTGCCCTGGAGTCTCTGAGCCTACTCTGGCTTGAGAGGCTGCCCGATTTGCGAATTGTTCATTGCTCAATTAAACTCTTAAATTTAATGTGACTGAAATTTTTCTTTTAACACCTTACAGGGCTAAATATCCCTTTTCTAAATTGGTTCTAAGTCCTGGAGGCATTTTGGTGTCACCTAAAGGACTTTTAAAAATACCTATGCCTAGGTTCAATTCCAAGAGTTTCTGATTTCACTGGTCTATGGCAGAACTGTATTATTGTAGTCTTTTTAAATCTACCCAAATAATTTTAATGTATAACCATGGTTGAAATTATGCTTCTTATGCTTCTAAATGCACGGGCATTTAGCCAGAAAGAAAGGAAAAATGATATACGGAGCAATAGCAGCAAGACCTTCTCACCCTTGAGCCTGAAATGAGGAAGAGCAACACTATTTTTTTTTCCATGAAGGATGCAGGTGGAAAGTTAATTCGGCAATACAGAGACCAAACAGCAAAAAAAGGGAGTAGTTCCAGAACTCAGAGACTTAGCTAAGTCTAGATCTAAGCTATCTCAAAAAAGAAATGTAAGCTGTCTCAAATACTAGATTTCTGGAAGTGACTATTTAAAAGCAACTGGCTCTACTTTACACTTACACAATTTAAAATACAAATCTAAAGTGGAATGATGTGAGATCTCTTTCCAAAAGACTGCCACTTACATACTCAAATCTTGAAAGGAAACATGCACCCAAATAAATATCAAAAGGGAAGTTCTCTCTTGCCTTCCAACCATCTGGCTCAAACACCTTCATCTTCCAAAAAATAAACATTAATCAGGAAATGATGCAGAAGAGCAGAGTTCTGGAGAATTCAGGAGAGGGAGAGGCAATGGCAGGCACTGCTTTCCTACTATGTATCAAGCATTGTGAGGGACAGTCCCCAAATTTTCCCATTTATCATAAAAATAACCCCTTGTTAGCATCACTTGTATTTCACAGTTGTTTAAACTGAGGCTTCAAGTATTAAGTGATTTTATTAAGATCCCACATCTAGAAAGCAGGAGAGAAGTGTTCAGAGCTCCAAAACCCATATTCTTCATTATGCTATGCTTCTTCAGCCAAGATAAGGTGGGGCAAAGGGACTGAAGAAACTAGGCAAATTGGAAATCAGGAAGATACTGAAAAATGTACAAAATTAAGAAGCCGAAGACAGACAAATGCCAAAATTAAGAAGTTGAAGGGGGACAAATTTCTGCCTGGAATCCCTGATGTAGTGTCTCTGCTCCCTCCTTTCTGGCACAGAGACAGGAATAATTCCAGGTAGGAATTTAACATGGAATGTTAAGGGACCCCAGGCTAAGAATATGGCATGGACAAGAGAGTCAGCAAAATGAGGGATGGAAGAAGAGAGAGCCACCTGGGACTCATAGCACCAATTGCCAATGGTTTGCCTTGTGAGGTGGGAGACTCTTTTCTTCCTCCTCACCTATCCCAGAAAAGCATTTCACAGAGACCTACTTTCAAATGTCACTTTTCCCGCTTTTCCTTTGTAAAACTATCATATTCAAGAACACTTCCTGCCTTCTTGTATGTTTATTTTATGTTGGAGCTTATTCATTTATGGTAATATAGAAAAAAAGAGCTTTGGGATGTTTTTCTTTTCTTTTCTTTTCAATTTGCAAAGGGATTTTGAGAGTGCTGAGAAATAGTGTTCTTTCTCCATGAAATAAGCATTTGCTGAAATGGACCAAGGAAACAGAAGTGAATATTTTCTGCCCACTGCAACACTTCTCAGCTTATTTCGTTTGAGCCACTTAGACACCTTGCTTCTAGTTAAGCAATTTCATACAGAACTCTATTTTCCATTATGAAATCATTGTCGTTGCTTGAGGGACAAAAGATCTTCTCAGCAAATGAAAAACTTGATTCTAATCATTTACTCTAATCAGTAATTAACATTTTGCCAAACTACTAAAAATACAATGACACACAGAAGAACATTTTCATGAGGGTTTATGAGTGTTTCCCAGCCTGTTTCTCTTTAATTTTTAAAACTCTCACAATAATTGTCTTAAAGATTCTATCAAACTACCTTTCTCGGTCTCTGTGAAATACAAGTCATTAAGAAGACAAAGACTATTTATAAATGGCTAGTGGACATCAATATTCTGTCCATTCATTGAGTATATATGGGCCTTTTTCTTTGTTTTGTTTTGAGTCCCAAAGAACAAGACAAAGATAAAGGTGAACACAAAGCAGTCACTCTTTGCCGAAGAGTGGGATGATATCAGAGGCAGCCAAACCGGTTATCTGTTAGGGAGGCTATTGGAATCCTGCTGCTTCATTGGTTTCCTTGTTATAAAGGTTGCTCTGGCCTTTTCGCACACTTGGAGAAAATTTTATTCATTGCAATGTCACACCTGTGAAATAGAGCTCTTTGATGACAACACTGCCTCCAGATAGAACGTAACCTTTGCTTCACTAACAGGCAGCTGGGGAAGTGCAGTCATATATCAGTGCTGTGAGTGATGTCATTGAAAGGCAAGGCTGCTAGAAGGGAAACCAAACACAAAACAGTGGACTCCCACTGCATTCTCTCCAATAGGAAGACATTCCATCCAATAACAACTGTCATGGCTGGGTTGGATTACTCCGAAAGTACCAATGGCACGCCAGAACAAAAGGCATTGATAGCTGCCAGAAACCCAAACCATGATAAAAAAGCAATTATGTCATGGCATCATAGGTGTGTTTCCTCTTTTTGTTCTGTTGCCACAAGGAAAAGAACTTTATCCCTGTAGATAAAACTCGAAGGTAGAAGGCCAAACTGAGAAAAGATGGTGTCGAAGACTTTTTAAATTTCTGGTGAAATTCTAACCCACAACTCCTAGCTCAGACTTTGAGTTGGTAGTTACTTGGCTTACTCTTACTTTAACATAAAATAAAAGCAGTTCCTCTGTTTAGGGATGTATATGCCTCCATTAAAAAAATCGGAGATTTCTTTATGATCTGCTTTTTTCTGAAATAATAACTTTTCTTAAGTGTATGCTATTCTTAAGCTCAGTATAAAAGAAACTTTGAACTATTGACCTTACGGATGATATGGGCAGGTACCATTCACCACCTTTTCAAGCAGCCATTTCAATTTTCTGAGGGTGAATTTTTTCCCTCATATTAGGCAACTCTGGTATCTTTACAGATAATTATTCACTTGGTCAATTTTCTGGACCTTTTTTTTCCTTTTCTTTCTCTCTCCTGCTGCATTATCATGACATGACTATTCACTCTGTGCCAAAGGGAACTCAAGGATATAGGAGTCACACCAGCCAGCATGGCTCCCTGGAAACAAGTTTGGCAAAGAATATCATGGGTGAGGAAGTACTGGGAATTCCTAGCTCGAATAAATTTTTAGAGTTTTCCATGTATTTTTTGGTTTTCTTTGGTCTCAACATCTCCAATCGAAACATAATTGAAATATCACTGTTTTATGTATCAGCATTTGAACACAGCAAAGTCCATTGATGTAATATGATGTTTGGAATAGTAGAACATCTGGTAGGAAACAGGGGTTTTGACACTTGTCTAAACCATAGATGTTGTAATTCTTATTTTTCTATCCAGTGTTTATAGAAGAGTACAATTTTCCCCATTGTTGACATAATTTATATATTAAAATCATATGAAGATGTTGTTTCAAAGCATACATATGCAGTATCCACGCCTAGGATTCTGATTTAGTTGTCTGTGTTGGGGATGAAGCATGTATGCTTTTTAAAACTTTCTAGGTGCTTCTCAACTAGACCACTAAGTGAAAACCAATGGTGTAAAGATTTATTTTGCATACTTTTTTAAAATGACATTTAAAAAATTTTAAGCTACATCTCCACTATATATTTTATTTTATTTTTTGTTTGTGTTTTTTTTTGTTATTATTTTTAAGACAAGGTCTCATTCTGTTGCCCAGGCTGGAGTGCAGGGCCAGGATCTCGGCTCACTTCAACCTCTGCTTCTTGGGCTCAAGAGATTCTCCCACCTCAGCCTACTAAGTAGCTGGGACTACAGGTGTGCGCCACCACATCCTGCTAATTTCTTATATTTTTTGTAGAGACAGGATTTTGCCATGTTGCACAGGCCAGTCTCTTACTCCTGGACTTAAGCAACCCGCCTGCCTCAGCCTTCCAAAGTGCTGGGATTACAGGCTTGAGCCAGCTCATGGAACTCTACTATCCGCTTTAAAAAGAATCTCCTGGATACTGTTTAAATGTCTTATACATGGTATCTATATTTCCATGGTACAATTTTTTCAAGATCCACTCCATTAAGTTGCATGCTAAGATCCTGATTGCTGTATTCATTTTAGTCAGCAAAATTAGATTTCTCAATTTCATCGATTAGAGAACAGACATATAAATTCCTGTTGTCAAATGCTTAACTTTAAAATTACACACCGTAGAGTAAACAAAAGATTGGAGTATGAGTCAGAAATGTGGGTTCTAAACACAACCATGCCACTAACTTAGAGCTCAGTATCTGCATTGGTTAAATGTGGGGTTGGTTTAGGTGTGGCCTGAGATCCTGTTCGGATTCAGCATATGTGATCCCATTTACACTCTGATCCTGTGTGAAATGGACTGGCAGTTGCTAACAGAAATAACAAGTGCATGAGAGGTTGCCTTTGCTGCTTTCCAGAGGGCCGCTGTAGCTATCAAGTCAGGAATACCCAGGAGCTAAGCTTCCTCTGTGCCATCTGCTCTAGCAAGTAATGGCTTAGTTCACACAACCTGCTATCTAGGTAGCAGGCCTTGGACTGTCAGCTCGCCCCGTCAACTTCAGTCCTGTTAGATTCATGACCCCTAAAGGTATTAGTTGCCTAATTAACTGACTGATGATGACTGACATGTATACACAATTAACTCTTTAGTCTCACTAGCCCTCAAATGAGATCCATATGTTCCTAATCTACAAATATGCTTTAGTCTCTCCTCCCATGGTGAAATCACAATTGGGCACTTCTTGGGAGATATAGACCAGTGATTTTTAAGCACCTTTGCAGTCACGCAAAATTTCCACTCCATTGACTGATCCATACCACACTTGATAATGCCTGTCCTTTACATGTGATTTTATAGCCATCCATAGAGATTACACATAGAGAAGTACATTTTTTTTTTCTTCGCCAAATCATTCTTAAGCTACCATTGACTTAGTTTGTCTTCATTGTTTGCGTCTGGACATTTGGGCTATAAATAATTTTTCTACTAAAACAATTTCTGTTAAAAATATTCTATACACATATCAACAACACTAGTTAAATACTAACACATCATACTATATGTATAATATGCAAATATGTGATTCACAGTAAGATCTGCTTATTTGTGCATCTGTGGCACAAAGTATGTAAGTTGAATTATCACTTTCATTTAGAAATGCCTACAATTTCTTGAATATGGAAATGAGTAAGGCTTGGATGGGTAGATTTTAGTGGACCTAACAGCCCTTTCTGAGTTTAAATATATGCCACCTACTTTGGTTTTTAGAATCCTTCCGAGCTGCTTTCTTGTAAAGAAGGAAGAAAATCTGTTTTCTATAGCATGCTCATTTCCTGAGGATAGTAAGCCATTGAGGAAAGGAAAAATATCTAGTCTTTATTTGTACCCCAAAGTGGCAGTGCTCTGTGCTTCACACGAGTCAATAACCCAGATTATCATACATTCTCCCCACGTTTCCAAACATTGACCCACTCTTCATCCATGCATTCAACAAAAACATCCTGTGAGTTTCTACTATGGATAAGTACTCTACACGGCTGTAACTATAGTACTCTACAGTGAGCAGTTTGCAAGGAGAAACCATCCCTATGGCTCAAAGAATACCAATAAAAATAAGTAAATAAATGAGTAAAAAAGATATATTTTGGAGAGTATTAAATGCTAAGAAAGAAAAGAAGGGGCAATGTGATAGATGTAAGCTAGGGGATTAATTTTTTGTTTACTAATAAAAAACTGCATTTACTTAGTAGCATTCAGAATATCAGCAAAACAGCTGCAACTTTTTTTTCAATTACAGAGTGAGATTCAGTTAACAGAACAACCATTATTTCATATAAGCTGCATCAGAGATGACTAAAGATGAGAAAAACCACCATCCTTATATATAACTAATTTGTGCTGTGTACCACAAAGAACGTGCTTTATATTTCCAAGCCAATTTACAACCTCTGTACTGTACCAGGCAAGGTTAATGGCTTTGGAAAATGCCAGCAGCATGGGCTATTTAAAGACACATGTGGTAGTATGTTAACTATATAAAAAAGACACTACAGTTTTAAAACAAGTCATCCAGTCTTACGTTTCCATTTTTGTTTGAATTCAAAGGAGTGAGTTGTGTATGGGGCAGGGTAAGTGCTTTTTAGAACAGAAAAAAACACTTTGGGCCAGGCGCGGTGGCTCACGCTTGTAATCCCAGCACTTTGGAAGGCCGAGGCGGGCGGATCACGAGGTCAGGAGATCGAGACCATCTTGGCTAACATGGTGAAACCCCGTCTCTACTAAAAATACAAAAAAAAAAAAAAATTAGCAGGGCGTGGTGGCGGGCACCTGTAGTCCCAGCTACTCGGGAGGCTGAGGCAGGAGAATGGCGTGAACCCGGGAGGCGGAGCTTGCAGTGAGCCGAGATAGCGCCATTGCAGTCCGGCCTGGGCGAAAGAGCGGGACTCCGTCTCAAAAAAAAAAAAAAAGAAAAGAAAAAAACACTTTGCTAGAACCAACTTTTTCATCATCATCATCTTCATGCTTCTCATCTTCCTTCTTTTTCTTGCTTTTTTCAGCCTTGACAATTCCCTTTTTTACTGCATCAGGTAGGCAGTAGCACGCTTTTCATATTTTCCCATCAGCTTTGCAGCCTTCTTTTCATAAGGCTGCTTGTCATCTGCAGCAGTGCTATTGCACATCTCTCCCAATTTTGTTGCTACATCACCAATGGATAGACCAGGATGTTCTCCTTTGATTTTTGAGCAATCCTTGAACTTTTTTGTTTCCCTTTTAGGAGGGATATAGGTTTTCATTCCTCTTTTGTAATGGGCCTCATATGCCATGGCCATGTCTTCACATTTTTCCTTTCTCTTTAGCAGACACGGTCTTCCACCCCTCTCAGCACTTCTTAGAAAATTCTGAGAAGCTGATTGAACCGTCTGAGTTCTCTTCTTGTGCTGTTCCTGACAAGTTTATACAAAGAATATGTATGATGATATTTTGCCTCTTGGCTTCTTAGGATCTCTTTCTCCTGTGTTTGGTTCTTTTGCCTCAGCAAGGCACAGTGCCTCTTACTTGCCTGAGTGCTGTCTCTATGGAGCTCAATGGACAGCAGTGGCTCTGAGAGTGGGAGACAGATGCCTGGAGGATTACTTTAGATTGAGAAGTGAAGAAAAGCTGTGCTGAGGAGGCAGCAATTTAAGTTGAACCTTAATAGGAAAAGGAAAACCAGCAGGTGAGATGAAGAAAGAGAATCCAAGGGCTGAGGCCCCAAGGCAGCCACAAACATCGTGTTCTTGAAGAACAAAAGGCCAGTTGTATCAGCAAGATGGAGAAAAGAGAAAGAGATCAGAGAGGGAAGTGTAAACCACAGCAAAAAGGTTGGATATTATTCTAAGTGCCCCAGTGAGCTGTGAAGGACTAGTCTACCTGTAGTAGACAGCCCTGAGAAGTATCGTCTGACTTATATTTTCAAAACTGGCTACGTCATGGAAGTTGGATTGCAGGGAGCAATAGTAGAAGAAAGACATGGGAGACTGTTGTCTTCCTTGTGGGATAGTTATGAGGCACATAGAGGAGTCTTACATATTTTCAGTATTTAATGAATGCTAGGCATCAGTGTAATTTGTCTTCTTCCTTCTTTTCATTTTCCTTCTGGTTCTCCTGATGATGATAAAGATAATCCTAATTATCATTACTATTACTTTCATAGTTAACCTGGAAAGTGATAATGGGCTTGAACTAGGAGGTTATTGCTGGAGATGAAGGAAAGTGGATGAATTTGGAAAATGGTTTGCAGTTCCTACTTATCTTTTGAGGCCCAGATTGTCCCAAATCTGTGGTGACATTTCCCCTACAACCATCACTTCTTCCTCAGTATACCTACAGTAACAGTCATTTGGCTATTATGGACCGTATCTTCTTGAGTCTTCTTCTAGCCAATTCTGTGTCTAAAACTCATTCAGCAAAAGAAAGCATTTGTAAACATTGTTGAGACAGTTTCACTCTTGTTGCCCAGGGTGGAGTGCAATGATGCGATCTCCACTTACTGCAACCTCTGCCTCCTGGGTTCAAGTGATTCTCTAGCCTCAGCCTCCTGAGTAGCTGGGACTACAGGCACCCACCACCATGCCCGGCTACTTTTTGTATTTTCAGTAGAGACGGGGTTTCACCATTTTGGCCAGGCTGCTCTCAAACTCCTGACCTCAGGTGATCCGCCTGCCTCGGCCTCCCAAAGTGCTGGGATTACAGGCATGAGCCAGCATGCCTGGCCATAGTTCTTACTCAGTATCCTTACTCAGTAGGGTGAGGAAGAAATCTGCATTTCAATACAAATACTCCAGGTGATTCAGATCATGGTGGCTTGTCAATCTCACCTGAAGGAATACTTGTCCAGATCAGGACTGGAGATATTTAGAAGTCATTCATGATACATAGCATTAAAACCAGGGACATGGATGCAACTATGTGGAGATAGTACATAGAGGAAGGAGAGGCTTAGAACATTACCTTGGGGAAACTTGACATCTAAGAGACAGGTGACAGAAGACCCTCAGGAGAATAAAAAGAAAGAAAGCCAAGAGCTTTGTCAGTAAAGCCTAAGAGCAGGATTTCAAAAAGATGTAGTCACAATTCATTCATATAGCAATATTTTTAGAGGGCCTTCTTTGTGTTAGGCAATGGGATGTAGCAGAGAATAAGACAAACAAAAATCCCTGCTTTCAGAAAACGTGTAATCATTCCTCAGAATTCCTCAGAATTCCTCAGAATTAGTGGGAGATAAGAAAGTAGAAACAGGAAATGTGATTTACCCTTTCTACATGGCCATAAAGCAGAGAAAGGAACAAAACCCTGTATGGCCTCTCTCTGCCACTTACCTTTGAGTTGTATAACCTCAGTGATGCTACACTTCTATCAATAAGTGAAAATTTAATTTTGAACTCTAACAAACAAAGTTATAGATTTTGAAAGAACTAACATACTTTCAAGTCCCTGGAACCAGGAAGAACAAAAATAGAATTATTTGTAAAATGGTCCCAAAACCTAGCCTATGACAATAACAATTCTTTGGCTTCCAGAAGAAAAAAAATTTCAGGATATTTGAAGGTTAGCAAAATAAAGAACAAAAGTGAATTAGTAAATGCACAATAATCAAGCATGCAAATTATAAGATTAATATTCTGCAAAGTTGTGAGACTTTTTTAACTATATAAAAAATAGTGGTAGAAAGGAATTCAAGACCAATTCAAATATACAAATATATGATTCACACCCATTTCCTCCCTTCCTGACTCGTTTCCTCCTGCTCTTTTGTCCGCAAACTAAAAAGAGCACTTAGGTCAGGGAAATTAGTTGAAAATCCATACTGCCATTCTTTGTTAAACTCTTAAAAACTAGCTGGGGTATAGAAATGCCTTATTCTAAACTCAGAAAACCTTAACACCATTTCCCACTAGCGCAATAAGATGTTCATTTTTGGAGGTATAGTCTTTAGTTATCAAGACGATTGAGTCTCTCCAATAATAAATTAAAATGTTTTAATCTTTTTGAATTTTTCCATGATTTTAACATGAAGCCAATCAAAATCCCAAATATTTTTGGAGCATGTGTTAGTATATTCAGCAAAATGATAATAAATTGATAACCAACCTGGAAAAAATGTATGAAAACTATCACAAAATTTTATAAAGAAAATCAAAGTACATTTCTTCCTCATACTAAATGAATTTCAGATAGACCAAGAATACAAAGATGAACAATAGAACCACACAAAAGCAAGAAGAAAAAAGACAGAAATTTATTTATAATCATAGAATAGGTAATACTTTGTTTCAAACAGCATATAAAACCCAGAATTGATAATGTCTGACCAGATAAAAATTTAAAACACTGTATAATAAAACAATTACTGTAAGCTGAGTGACAAATACAAAAGAAGTACTTGCAATGGTTATGATAAGGAGTTAATTTTCTTAATTTCCAAAGAGTTCACATAATACATTCAGAAAAAGCGAAATAAACCATTAAAAAATGGCAAGAAATATGAGCAGAGGCTTCATAGCATAAGAAATATTATTGGTTAGTAAAATAAATATAAAGATTCTTCCCTACATTCATAATTAAGTCACAAACTAAAATAATCCTTATAACAACTGCATGACTTGAGGGTACTATTATTAGCCCTCTTTCAGATGGACAGTGAATTGTTTGAATACCATTTGCTTAAAAGTCCCTCTATTTCCCACTGATTAGCAACGCTACAGCTGCTATGCGGTAAATTCTCCTATGAACTTAGCTATTACTGGGCTCTCTGTTCCACTGGTTTAGTTGTCTATCCCTGAACAAATGTCACAATATCTTAATTACCATTGCTTTATAATAAGTTTTGATACATGATAAGCTAAGTTCCTCCATGATAGTCTTCTTCAGAGTTTTGTAACTATTTAGGGGTCTTTGCATTTTCATAAAGTCTCAGAAAAATCTATTTTTTCTGTTCCACAAAAGAAAACTTGTAATAAGAAAAGGAAGTTATAAGTATATTTGTGGAGAATTAATATCTTTTCAAAACTGAATATTCTCCTCCATGAACATGGTATAGCAATTCACTTATTCTGGTTTTCTATAATTTTCTTCAATAATATTTTATAATTTTTATGTAACTTGCAAAATATCCTTTTTAAGACTTATTTTTAGTTACAAAAGGCTTTTATTTTCTAACTACCTTTTTCTTATGTAGGAAACATTAACCAACTTTTTGGATAGAATTGTAGCAACAAATACCACACACTCAAAATTTATAAGAACTGGATTCTGGGAAGGAAGAAAGAAAGAGTTTACCAGCCAGAGTCTTCACATATAAAAATAACAGCCTTTCTCTTTATATCTGCATATACCTGATCAACCTTACTTCCAAGAATGTCTTAGTGATCCACAGAAGGGAAGTTTCCTTCTTATTACAAGTAAACAAACTTTGAAAGAGTAAACTGGCAGTATCCAGTTGAAAAGAGGTCAAAAATATACATTTGAAAGGAAAGAGAATTAAATTATTCAAATAGTAGTATGCCATTAAAAGTCTGTATAAGAGTAATGATAATCGTTCAAGGGAGTAACACTTTAAGAATTTTTTTGCTAGTTGAGTTTTTAACTTTCAGAATCACGACATAATCTGTTGATTAAAGAAAATTATCTCCTCTTCGGTTGCACTCAAAAATCAGGAACACTTGTCCCAACTCATTTCTTTGTAAAGATGTTCACATTGCAAATTTACTAATGATATTATAGTGAACAGTGAAAGGAGAGGGTCTTAGAAGAAATGTGGGTTTAGAAAACAAATACAGGCCGGACACGGTGGCTCACGCCTGTAATCCCAGCACTTTGGGAGGCTGAGGCGGGTGGATCACGAGGTCGGGAGATCGAGACCATCCTGGCTAACACGGTGAAACCCTGTCTCTACTAAAAATACAAAAAAAAAAAAAAAAATTAGCCGGGCGTGGTGACGGGCACCTGTAGACCCAGCTACTCGTGAGGCTGAGGCAGGAGAATGGTGTGAACCCAGGAGGCGGAGCTTGCAGTAAGCGGAGATCGCACCACTGCACTCCAGCCTGGGTGACAGAGCGAGACTCTGTCTCAAAAAAAAAAAAAAAAAGAAAGAAACACAATAATTAACACAAATTCTTTTTTACCCCTGAAATTCTACTGACCATGCTTGCTTTATTATATACAGTCTCTCTTTTCTAGCCATTCTCATTTTTTCTTAATGCCCATAACCATGACAACTTTATTAAATGACTACTCAATAGCACTGTGCTAACTTTAAAGAATATATAGGACTAAGATAATTATCAAACCCCAAGAAGGAACTTAAAATATTTTTGTGAAGGTAAGAAATATCAATATGTACTAATTAGTGACCAAATATGCATAACATAGACAACAGATTTCAAAACACAAGTATTTGTCCGCTAGAAAACAAAACAAAAAAGAAAGAAAAACTTAGATTTTCCCACGGAGGTCTATGAAATATAAACTAAAAGGAAATAGAAAGAATATTTCTATTTTCCTAAAGTCTGGTGTCTAACTTCTCTGAATGTCTATGCCAGTTTTTTTTTAGGCCTAGAGCACCTGCATAGAAAGCTAAAGAGTTAATATGAAGGATTCAGTAGTACATTACTGCTTCCTTTTATTCTCCCTTCAGTAATAGGGAATGACCTACTCAAATATTTTGCCCGACACTTAGCTTGCATTTGCAAGAAGAAAAATGACCATTCTCCATTGCTTGTGTGATTACTGCATCATATCTAAGCTTCTGGAGTACACATTGTTTATTGCTTAAATGTGCCCATGTTGGGCAAAATGTTGCTCCCATTGGGTTAAACCAATCTCTACAAAGTAAAGTTCTGCATGGTAAGGGTTTCTGTTTGTTCATTAAATAATATTTTGCATGTAGTGGGTACTCAATAAATACTTGTTGAATAAACAGTGGTTTATTTAGACCTGTCACAGAAAATAATATTTGGCACATATTAGTAGGAAGGGCACATACAAGAGTAGGCTGTAATAGTGAACACATGGTTAGGCTATGTGAATCATGCTCCTTTGAAGCAAGGCTTGTAAGTGATATTATTGTTTCGTTATACACATCCTTAGATTTTTGATACATCTTTCCCTGGTTTGTCAGTTTTTTGACGAGGGTATAACATTTTATAAGAAGAGATTTCAAATCTATAAATATAGTGATTTCTCCTCACCATTATTCAATATTGAGGGAAAATAGTTTAAAACATTACACACTTGGACATTTACAAGTAGATGGTACCATTTTATTGGATGAAGATGAGCAAGGAATTTGATAATGTTTGTATCAGTTAACTTGCTTCTTTCTTTAAACAGGATAAAAGATAACAACCCCTGCCCCTGCCTTCTTTGCTGAGGACATGCAACAAAGAAGGTGGTTTTGAGGCAGAGAGATAAGTAAATTTCAACTTTATGGATAACCTTTGTTATTGAACAAAAAAACAAACATAAAATCTCAATATTGGCCTTCAAAGCTCTCTGATGTATAAGTTAATGTCAGCTTCAGCCTTTGTCCAGCATTAACAATGACCATAATATTTAAATATTAAAAATTATTTCAACATTGCAATAGCTAGAATTTAGGGATGCTTATGAATAATAACTTTTTAAAAAGAAGTCTCTATGAAGAGGAATTTACTCTAAACGTATCCTTGGCTCTCCCTGCTCTTTAGTCACTCTGTCCCACAAAAAGTGGAGTGATCTGCCTGAAAGGTGAGTCTGAAAGCCAGATCTGGGCATGCGCAGCTCTCTCAGCCCTTCTGCCTCTTGAGAGCCTGAACCCTTAGCACCTCCTGAGGCTATCTACCACGGATGATGGCTGGGGAGCATGTTAGTTTCCTGAGACTGTTTTAACAAATTGCATCACATTTAGTGGCTTAAAACAATAGGAATTTATTCTCTCACTGTTCCAGAGGTCCAAAGTCTGCATTCAGCTTCACTGGGTGGAGATCAAGGTGTCCAGTGGCTGTGCTATCTCAGGAGAAGGGAGAAGAAGTTCATTCCTTGCTTATTCCAGCTTCTGGTGGCTGCCTGTGTTCCTTGGTTTGTGAGGCTGCATCATTTCAATCTCTGCCTCTGCATTTGCATTGCCTTCACTTCTTGTCTGTCTAATCTCCACCTGCCTCTCTCATAAGGACACTTCTGCAAGTATTTAAGGTCCACCTTGATAAACCAGGAAAATCTCCTCACTTCAAGAATATGTATTTAATCACACCCACAAGTTACAAGAATCAGGACCTAATATCTTTGGATGCCATTAGAGGGGGAAGTCTGCCTTGTCTGTATAATTATGACAGACCAGGAATCTCCCAAATGCTGCTCTATTTGGCCCACAGACCAAGTTACATCCCCCAACTTAAACTCTGTCCATGATAAAGCTGATATTTTGATTTATCAATCTGTTCATCCTTATTTGTCAGCATATTCAGAACATGAACAGAGAAAAGGGGTGCTATGTATTGGAGGCCCCCTTGAAACTGAATAGGGGAAATGAAATGAAAATAATGGCATAGATAATTGCAGCTGACTACTTGTGAAACCTCCTTTTACCATGTACCATTGCAAAGAAGTTAAGAAGCAAAAACAAAATAAGATGAGTGGACAGAGGGGAGGCAGAGCACTGAGATCTAGACCTAATTCAACTACTACATGCATATTCATTATGCACAGTGGAGTATCTACATATGACACCTGAAAAATATCACTGAATTAATAATTTAAGTCATGATTATGCCTCTAATTTCCTACCATATTCTACTAAATAGACATTGTAATGAAAAGCATATTTTATTTACAATTATAGTTTATAAACCCAAATGTAAACTGACAGTAATGAGAAGATGGTGTCACTAAATCCATTTTAATGTAAATTGCCACATTTAAGATATTCTGAAAGCAGCGAGGGCAGTTAATGAACCTAGTCCTGATATCCTTGTCAGAAATGCCTGGCTTAAACCCTGATCTGTTTCAGACTGGATGATGATCACTTCCTCATCATTTAAGTGTTTATTGTTTCTCCTTGTGATACTCTAATTATAACTGTTTTTCTTTCTTGCCCCCTCCCAGCTATCAGCAAACCTGGTTTAAATTAGAAAGGAAAAACTCTTTGGCTATAAACACAAATCTGTCTTCCAAGCAAGAGCTCACTTGCTGTGTGTATAGCAGGGAAAGGGATGATGTAACAAGGGTAATTATAACCTGAGCTAGCTGGTGTCATTGAAGAGAAGGGCCTGTCAGCATTTCACTGTGAATAATCATACCCATGCCTCTGCTGACATGAAATGCCAAGCGTTAGTGCTTTGGTTCTCAGACAGCTTTAAGTCTAAGAATGAAAGTTTTAATTGAAGAATGTGCTACAAAATGCTCTACTTGCTGCGGCGATGCTATTATAAGGTACAGGGTTTTTTTTGTTTGTTTGTTTGTCTCTCTCTAGAACTGGAAGCTACTCCTGTACTTAAGGCCAGGATTTTAGAAAGGAGCCATGAGAAGAATGATTCAGACTAAAGGTGAGAAGGTAAAGAAAGCAAGAGTTTATTTAACAGCTCTTCTTTTTTTTTCCTCTTTTTTATTTCTTCCCTCAAAAATATGTTCTCTTGGTGATATTTTAGTTTGTGTTATCCAGAGACCTACAACAATCTGATGAAAATTTGTAGAAACTAGAGAAAATAATGACGAATAGGTCAACACCCACCCTTAAATTCACATAGAAAGTAAATGATTTAGGAAAAATAGTTGCAACTGCTATCATATATAAGGTCTTCATCACATGAATAAACTCTTAGAACTTGATTTAAAAAATATCAACAATCCAATAGAAATATGGGCAACAAACATGAACAAACATTCCTTTAATACAAATAAATATAAATGTTAAGATGTTCAATCTCATTCATAAAAAGAATAGTGCAAATTATAGTTGCACTGAGATACTCTTTCTCACCAATCATCAGATTGGCAAAAATCTCAAAGACTAGCAACACATTCTGTTTGTGAAGATGTGGGGGAACAATCTCGTCAATTGCTGATGTGATGACAGTGCAAAATGGTCCCTAGAAAGGGTGTATTTGTTTTCTGTTGCCGCTGTAATAAATGACCACAACTTCAGAGGCTTGAAACAAGACCAACTTATAATCTTGTAGTTCTGTGTATCAAAAGTCCAACACAGGTCTTGCTGGGCAGGGCTGCTTTCCTCACTGGAGACTCCAGAGGAGAATTCATTTCTTTGAAGTTACAGGACAATGCCCTTGTTTTCTCACTCATCCAGGTTGTTGGCAGAATTCTGTGTGCTGTGGCTATCAGCTGAGAGCCATTCCTAGCCTCCCAAGGCGGCCTGAATTCTTTGGCTCATAACCTACTTCTTCCATCTTCAAAGATAGCAAAGGCAGACTGAATCTTTTTCAAAACATATCGCTCAACAACTCTTCTGGCTTCTTACACTTTAAAGCACTCATGTAATTAGACTGGGCCCAGATAATCCAAGATGACTTCCTCATTTCAAAATCCTGAATTGTAATCACATGTTTAAAGCATCCTTTGCCATGGAAGGTAATATATTCACAGGTTCCAAGGATTAGGTTCTGGACATCTTTGAGGGGATGTTATTCTGCCTACCACAGATGGCAATCTGTCAGTACCTACCTTATTACAAATATTAAATTGGTGGAATTACTTTTGCACCAACCTAATATGTTTATCCTTAACTCAGTAATCTCACTTTTGGAAATTTATTCTACATATATAGGTTTGCACAAACAAAATGGCCTATGTACTAATTTATTCTTTGTAGTATAGCTTGTCATACAAAAGAATAGAAAAATCCCAAGTATCTACCAGTTAGGCACTGATTAAACTATGGTATATCCTCTTAATGCAGACCTAAAATAGTATGAATAAACTTTGTATTGTTATAGAAAGATCTCTAGAAAAAGCAAATTTATATAAAATATATTTCGTATGCTACTTTTAGTTAGTGAACTGAATATTCATAGCCTTGTAAAAAATTGCCTAACCTAAATCTTCATATATTCACTATATACTGTATTTATAGTTGTTTATCCATAATGACAGTCCATATACAAATTTATATACACATATACAGTCTATATACATATATTATAGAGAGAGAGACTGTATTTATATCTATCAACAAACAAAAGAGCATAATAAGCTAATTAAAGTGTGATTCCCTGTAAGGAATAAATAGGCATAAAAAGCTGGAGCATGTCAAGGGTGGGAATGTGATTTCTCAATAAACCACTCTAATATTTTGACATTTGTAACCTGTGATTGAATTACTTATACTGAAATACGACATTAAATTAAAAACTCAATGAGTAAAGAACCAATTTTCAAGAAAGCCACTGGAATTGAGGGAATGGATGTTGTTCTGCACCAGAGTAGCTTTATATTTTCCTTATGCATTAAGCAGCATCTTGGGTAAGTTAATGGAGGGCAGGCATACTAGTTGACATGGGAGTTTGTTTTATATTATAGTTAGGAAAAAATGATCAAATGTAAAATAATCAGCAATAAGACTTTTTTGTAGCATTGGGAATAATGTGAGTTAAAAATCAAATATATTTGCACAGTAAATGTGTTTGAATGTCTACTGAGAGTTTTTCTTCTTTTCTAACATTCCCTGTACTTTTCAGTTACTATGAATTCCATTTGAATAAGAGGTTAAATGTCATTAATTACAAATTTAACATTTCAGCCTAGCATGAGCTTTCTAGTCTCCACAGAGTATAAGAAAAGAAGATGAACTGAAGAACCATGGCTTGGTACTCAGAGCCAGTATTGAGGTCAGTCCAATAAATATCTTCTGTTTTGCCAGTGTCTAACCTCAGAAATGAACCAGGGTAAATTACAAACTGCCTGATATGGTTTGTCTCTGTGTCTGCACCCAAATCTCATCTTGTAGTTCCCATAATTTCCATGTGTTTTGGGAGGGACCTGGTGGGATATGATTGAATCATGGGGGTGGGTCTTTCCCGTGCTGTTCTCATGATGGTGAATGGGTCTCATGAGATCTGATGGTTTTAAAACTGGGAGAGAGCACAAGCTCTCTCTTTGCCAGCTCCCATCCATGTAAGATGTGACCTGCTCCTCCTGGCCTTCCATCATGATTGTGAGGCCTGCCCAGCCATGTGGAACTGTAAATCCAATTAACCTCTTTCTTTTGTAAATTGCGCAGTCTCAAGTAGGTATTTAACAGCAGTGAGGAAAAAAACTAATACAGTAAATTGGTACCAAGAGTGGGGTGTTGCTGAAAAGATACCCAAAAACGTGGCAGTGACTTTGGAATTGGGTAATAGGCAGAAGTTGGAACAGTTTGGAGAGCTCAGAAAAAGACAGGAAAATGTAAAAGTTTGGAACTTCCTAGAGACTTGATGAGTGGCTCTGACCAAAAGCCTGATAGCAATATGGAGAATATGGTCCAGGCCGAGGTAGTCTCAAATGGAGATGAGGAGCTTGTTGGGAACTGGAGCAAAGGTGACTGTTGTTATATTTTAGCAAAGAGACTGGCAGCATTTTGCTCCTGCCCTAGAGATTTATGGAACTTTGAACTTCAGAGGGATTATTTAGGCTATCTGGCAGAAGAAATTTCTAAGCAGGAAAGCATTCAAGATGTGACTTTGGTGCTGATAAAGGCATTCAGTTTTATAACAGAAGCAGAATATAAAAGTTTGGAAGATTTGCAGGCTGACAATGTGATAGGAAAGAAAGTCCTATTTTCTGAGGAGAAACTCAAGCCGTCTACAGAAATTTGCATAAGTAACGAGGAGCCTAATGTTAATCCCTAAGACAATGGGGAAAATGTCACAGGGTATGTCAGAGGTCTTCACGGCGGCCCCTCCCATCACAGGCCCAGAGGCCTAGGAGGAAAAAGTGGTTTCATGGGCCAGGCCCAGGGTCCCTGTTCTGTGTGCAGCCTAGGGACTTGGTGTCCTGTGTCCCAGCCACTCCAGCCATTGCTGAAAGGGGCCAACGTAGGGCTCAGGCTGTGGCTTCAGAGGGGGCAAGCCTCAAGCCTTGGCAGCTTCCTCATTGTGTTGCGCCTGCGAGTACACAGAAGTCAAGAATTGAGGTTTGGGAACCTCTGCCTAGAATTCAGAAGGTGTATGAAAATTCCTGGATGCCCAGGCAGAAGTTTGGTGCAGGACCAGGGCTCTCATGGAGAACCTCTGCTAGGGCAGTGCAGAAGGGAAAGGTGGAGTTGTAGCTCTCACACAGAGTTCCTACTGGGGCACTGCCTAGTGGAGCTGTGAGAGGGGGTCCACTGTCCTCCAGACCCCACAATGGTAGACACTGACAGCTTACACCATGTGCCTGGAAAAGGCACAGACACTCAATGCCAGCCCATGAAAGCAGCCAGGAGGAGCCTGTACCCTGCAAAGCCACAGGGACAGAGCTACCCAAGACCATGAGAACCCACCTCTTGCATCAGCATGACCTGGATATAAGACATGGAGTGAAAGGAGATCATTTTGGAGCTTTAAAATGTGACTGCCCTGATATATTTCAGACTTGCACGGGGCTTATAGCCCCTTTGTTTTGGCGAATTTCTCCCATTTGGAATGGCTGTATTGATCCAATGTCTATACCCCCATTGTATCTAGGAAGTAACTAATTTGCTTTTAATTTTACAGGCTCATAGGCAGAAGGGACTTGCCTTGTCTCAAATAAGACTTTGGACTCTGGACTTTTGAGTTAATGCTGAAATGAGTTAAGACTTTGGGGGACTGTTGGAAAGGTGTTATTGGTTTTGAAATATGAGGACATGAGATTTGGGAGGAACCAGAGGAGAAATGACTTGGTTTGGCTCTGTGTCCCCACACAAATCTCATCTTGTAGATCCCATAATTCCCATGTGTTGTGAGTGGGACCTGGTGGGAGCTGATTGAGTCATGGGGGTGGGTCTTCCCCATGCTGTTCTCGTGATAGTAAATGGGTCTCATGAGATCAGATAGTTTTAAAAATGGGAGTTTCTCTGCGCAAGCTTTTTCTTTGCCTGACGCCATCCACGTAAGATGCGACTTGCTCCTCCTTTCCTTCTGCCATGATTGTGAGGCCTACTCAGCCATGCAGAACTGTAAGTCCAATAAACCTCTTTATATCTTTAGTATATCTTTATCAGCAGTGTGAAAATGAACAAATACACTGCCAAAACTTCCAACTTCAGTAGTGTTATCTGTTACAAATTATAGGGTGCAGGATTTATTATCACCTTGGTTTTCTACACGCACAGGCCATGTGAGGCAGTGGGATTGTACTCAATGGGTTTGGACTCAAATGAAGACAGCATCTTACCTGCTTTCATGCCTCCCTATAAAGAGTGATTTTACTCACACTGAGACCAGGTAAAGGTAAACAAAGGAAAGAACAAGCATTCAAAGGACAGAGCCTACAGGAGGAATATGTGAGTTCTTAGTGTTTTTTTTTTTTTTTTTACCTCTCAATGATGGTGTGAAATTCCAAAATATACAACAGTCTTAACAGTATCATCTCAGAGTAGCAGGATTATGTGATTTTTGTTTTCTTCTTGTAGATATTTTTCCAAATAAATATATATTACTTTCTGATCAGAAGAACTATAGGTTATTTAAAGATCCATTAGAAAAATTTCATTCTGGTTTTGTATGAATTTTCCATACCCTACTATAATAATTATAAGAGTGTGTCAGGTGTTTAACAATTATGCCTATCATGTTTCTGATCCTGAGCTTACTGACCTGATTCTGTCCTTTCTCATCATCCTTAATCAGCCTGATGCTTCTGCTGCTTGGCTCTCCTAGCACATCCCAGTGTGCCTTTTAAAAGTGAAGTCCAAAAATGAGAGAAAGACAGAGAGAGAGAGAGAGAGAGAGAGAGATTACACAAGAACAAGGAAGAGGAGAATAACTACTTTGCAGTGAAGAGCACACCCTACAAAACCAAAATGACTCCCATAGGAAGAAGAAGCAAAGAGAAAATCACATGGTCATTTGCAGTTTGATTTATGGTTTACAACACATCACCTATGACTACTTACTGACTTCTTTATAGATTGATTGCAAAACCAACCCTGTGAGTAGAAGGAACAAAATTTCCTATCAAAGATTCTGCTTAGCATCAGCATGGATTCATTTTTAAGTCAGAAAAGCATCCTTTCTCACCACCTTACAAATTTTGGCCAACCATCATCCTCAAATAATCTCTTTTTCACATACTACCTCTTCATACTGAGATCACATCCCCCAAATCCCAGCAGAGACCTTCAGACAGTGCAGTGGAAAACAAACAGCTCAAAAATTAGATTTGGGTTCATATTCCACACCTTCATTTAACACCTGGGTGTCTTCAGATAGGTGCCTTATCTCTAGATCTTCAGCAACTTTATCAGTGAGAAGTCTTCTTGCCCTCCAGAACTGTCTGGGGGACTTGAAGAGACAGCAAGTGCAAAACGCCTGTGGTTGACATTCAAGAAAGATCCCTTGCCTTGGCTTCTGGTCTTGGGACTCAAAAAAAATTCACATGGACATAGCAAAAAAAAAAGAACCCATTTTTAAGAAGTACTTGCTACTACAAAAATAAATTTACCAGAGATTACTTCAAAGCAAGAAATTACATTAATGCATTCTTAGCCAGGAAAGACATTATTTCACCCCACAACCTCAAGTTTTCTAAAATCCAAATTTGCATTGGTAGCTTGGCAAAGCCTGTGTTGATATCCTAGGCAGCACCTGAGAGGATCTCATGAGTGGATCAATTCTTCTTCTAGAGAAGACAAGCATTCATAGGGAAGCCCTACTTATGTAAACATAAGCAGAAATTTCTCTAAGATCTTAAATAAGGTCCTTGTGTAATCTACCCATGATTACCTATATACACACTTAAACACATAAAAACTTTTTTTGTATAAGCCTGTGATGATGTGGCTCAAAAAATAAATACTTGTTTGAAATCCTATCATTTTACTTAGACTCAAATTTATGAATCTTATTGGGATTCCAAATTAGACATTAGAGTGTAAAGATACTGTTCACACAGTAATGAAAAAATGGTCAAGTTGGGCTCAGTATATAGATCTTCTTGGACCTCATTATAGGAGATGAAACTAGAAATTGGACTTGGAATTGGAACTGGGGGGTGGTGGAGGTGGTAAGAGACGAGCTACGCTTGATGTAAACAATGCTTTTTCACTCGATTTTATTCTTTGGGGAAACACACAGATAAACCTCATTAAGTCAATATGGGTCTAGTAAAAATGGCCCCCAATTCTAAATAGCTCTGATTCCTCAGCCAAATAGATGCTCCCTTATTATTTAATTAAAGCATCAGATAACTCAAACTGGTTCAGATAGTGGTGATCCATGCTTTCATATTGGTGAGGTTTTCCCTATTGTCTTGAATTGGAGTTTCAAAACACAATAGTGAAACAGAATACCAAACAGTATAGACCCTACCTGCTCAGAATGTCCATCAGTTTACACACATGTACACGCACACACAGGTACATGCACAAAGAAACATAAACACACACTGATATTGCTTGAGATTGCTTCTCAAGTGAATGAAATAACCAATAGGTAAAGCTCAAAATGTCAAACATAAGTAGAGAAAGCCAAGCAAATGAAGATCTATTCCAATTGTACCCTTCAGGAAGCCAAAGAGAAATAAAACGCTTTCATGCAGTTTGTGAAAATGGGAAAGAGAAACTAATTCTTTTACTAGAAGCCCAAAAGTTAAAATATGCAACTGCAACTTAATTCTGAATCAATCATGGGACAAATTCACTTTTATGATGTTTGAGGTAGATTTCACACTGTAAATCACACTAAAACCTACCCTCCCAAACTGCAGCACACTCAGGAACTTATCCATCTTGAAATTAGATTAAAGACTTTTTGTTACATCATTGAGTCTATTTGGAACAAAAGTTTTGTGAACTCAGGAAGGTCAGAAAGAAACAGGAATTACAGCAAACAAAGGAAAGCTTGGGTGAACTTTTCTGAACTTTAGAGGTATTTCAATTTGGTTCATAATGACCCTCGAGAAAGAAGATCAAATACATTTTTATTTGCTTCTTCATCAAGACCACAAATAGGTCTTCACAGCGCAAAGCAAGGCCCAAGTGCATGTGATTCAGAAATGATGTACTTGTGTGGGTAGCCAGCTCTGTGCCTGGACTGCAGCAGGCATGCAACAAAGGTGTTTGAATGGAGTGTAACTTTTATCCAGATGACCCACAGTTCTAGGTCTCTTTTCTGCCTTTAAGTAACTGCAGATAACTGGTTTCAATATATATAAAAAAAAATCTGTAACACTGCTTTACTCTGTTTTTTTATTTGTTCTCTTCCGATTTATAAGGCAGCAAATGTTTGAGGACTAGTACCAGGCATTATGCTGTATGTGGGAGATACATGATGCATAAGATGAGTTTCCAACCTCAAGAAATGCACCAACTATCAGAAGAGCTCACAAAGTTTGTTTTCAAGTGCTAAATTATAGAAGTGAGACTGATCCTTGCAAAGCTTTGGTAGGACACTTCACACAAATGTTGCTTCTCTGCAGCATACTGACGGATGAAACACCTGAAAAATCTGGCTTAATCTCTTTTTTTTTTCTGTAGACAACTTAATGCAACAATTTAACGGTAACATAGTAGAAAAATTCCAAACACATTATCTAGTGAATAAAAGAAACAAATATGCTACTGCAATAAAAGGCACTGTGCAGAACTATGCATTGGATATTTTTAAAGCTTTTTTTTTAAATCTTGACTTTCATGTAAATAGAAGAGTCACTTCTCTGGAAGAAGAACAACTTAGTTGCAACTACAACTAAATGTTTCTTTATTGAGTGGTTACACTTTTCCCAGAGGCAAATTTCAGATAACTCACAGCTGCTCATTACAAAATTATGCATTTAAAACACAGAGAAAATATCTATGTTTGATAGTAGAAGTGGCGAATGTTTAAAAATGTTAATCGATTAAATTTGTATTTGAATATTTACAATGATAGAATATAATGTCAAAATAGTATTTTGTGTCTTTCTATTTTATGTGATGCCCACAGTCAGAATGAATTTCTTACTATCCGAAGCAATCTACAGATTCAGTGCAATCCCTTCACAGAAATAGATAAAACAATCCTAAAATTTGTACTTAATCACACACAAAAAGCTCACATAGCCAAAGCAATCTTGAGTAAAAAGAACAAATCTGGAGGCATCACACTACCTGACTTCAAAATATACTTCAAAGCTATAGTAACCAAAACATCATGGCACTGGCATAAAAACAGACACATAGACCAATGCAACAGAACAGAGAACAGAGAAATAAATCCACAAAGGTGCCAACATTTGTGGATTTATTTCCACATATAAATGGGGTACATGTAAACAAACACTGAAGGAAGGACAGCCTCCTTAACAAATGGTGCTTGGAAAACCAGATATCCATATGCAGAAGATGCAAATTAGACCCCTATCTCTCACCACATATGAAAATCAGCTCAAAATGGATTAAAGACTTAAATGAAAGACCCAAAACAATAAAACTACTCGAAGAAAACACAGGGAAAACACTTCAAGAAATTGGTCTAGACAAAGATTTTTTGGATAAGACCTCTGAAGCCCACAGGCAACAAGAACAAAAATAGACAAATGAGATTACACAAAACTAAACAGTTTCTGTGCAGCAAAGGAAACAATCAATGGAGTGAGGAGACAATCTGCAGAATGGAAGAAAGTATTTTCAAACTATCCATCTGATGAGAAATTAATATCCAAAATATATAAAGAACTCAAACAAGTAACAGCACCAGCAATAATAATAATAATAATCTGATTAAAACTGGGAAAATGATTTTAATAGGCTTTTCTCAAAAGACAACATACAAAATGACTAACTGGTTTACAACAAAATGCTCAAGATCATTAATCATCAGAGAAATGCAAATCAAAACCACAATGAGACATTATCTGACCCCAATTAAAATGATTATGACCCAAAAGACAAAATATAGCAAGTGCTGGTGAGGATGCAGAGAAAAGAGAACTCTTATATACCGTAGATAAGAATGTAAATTAGTGCAGACATGAAAAACAGCATGGCATTTCCTCAAAAATCTAAAAAAAGAAATATCATATGATCTAGTAATCCCACTACTAAGTATATTTTGAAGAAATCAGTATGTTGAAGAGATATTTGTATGCCCATGTTTATTGCAGCACTATTCGCAATAATCAAGAGATAGAATAAACGTTAAGTGCCCATCAATGGAAGAATGGATAAAGAAAATGTGGTATATATGCACAATAGAATATTATTCAGCCACAATAATAATGAAATCCTGTTATTTGTGGCAACATGGATAAGCCTGGGGAACATTATGTTAGGTGAAATAGGCTAGTCACAGAAAGACAAAAAACATGTTATCACTCACATATAGGAGCTGAAAATGTTGATCCTACAGAAGTAGACAGAATGGTGGTCACTGGAAGTTGGGAAGGGTAGTAGTAAGTGGGGGACAGAAGGAGGTTAGTTAATGGGTAAAGTTACCATCAGATAGGAGATATAAATTCTAGTATTCTATAGCACAATAAGGTGACTATAATTAATACTAGTTTATTATATATTTCAAAATAGCTGGAAGAGAGGATTTTGAATATTCCTAACACAAAGAAATGATAAATGATTTATGGATATGCCAGTTAACCTGATTTAGTCATTCCACATTGTATGCTTATATCAAAATATCACATGTATTCCATTTAGATGTGCAATTATTATGTATCAATTAAAAATAAAAATCATTAAGAATGAATTTTGTCAAGTACAGGATATTGTTAAATTGTCAAAATGTATCTTTTTTGTGTGTGACCAAGGCCATTATTACATTGGTATTTTTGTTGTTTTCTGACTATTGACTTATTTTAATTCACTCTATAAGCTGTTTGCTGAAGCAGATAATGGAATGTGTGCAATGTTAAAAGAAAAACATGATTGTATATACATGTATGCTAGGCTTACAAAGTTGAGTTGAGGGGTTTCCTCATTAATATTTTCATATAGTAGATTTTAAGGACTAGTATAGAATTTCAAAGTACAATACAGTTCTGTTATCAGTTTTTTGTTTAAGCTGTCATATGTCCTGAATTATGAATAATAAGTGTAGACAGATTTATCAAACTTCTTTCTCTTCCTTCATAGAACACACATTAACTTCAAGTATTGCAAGCTAAGAGAGAAAACTCTGCAATAGGGGTGTTTGGCTCTCTTTTTGCACTTTCTACCACTCAAATGTAAGTGTACATCCAAGGTCTTAATCTAGAGAGAGCAAGTGATTTTTTTTCTCTCTGATATTTAAGAATACTTTTTTACCACCTTTTCCTAGTATGCTTGCTGACATAATAATTATAATAATTAACATCTATTGAATGTTTACTAGCTGCCAGGCCTGTGACCAAGTTTATTATAGACATTTGTTTTTATTATAGTCATTTGTTTCATTTAATCTTCAAACTCAGCAAGGTAGGTACTATTATTAACCTCATTTTACAGATGAAGAAAGTGAAGTTTAAAGAGGTTAAGTAACTTGCCACAAAATCATACAACCAATAAACAGCACAGCATTTATTGGAACATTGGCAGGCTGATTTGAAGACTTTGTTCCTAACCCCCATAATATCCTGCTTAAGAAAATTATTCCTGGAGAAACCATGTCAGGATCCATCAAGTCAGCAGGGGAGCGGAGCTGGGCACCAGTCTGTCTGGACTCAGCATGGAGCCTGGAGAACTTCTCCAATGCAGAAGATGGTGAGTGACTGAGAACCCCCAGGGGGATTCACACTTTCCACAGGGACATGTGCAAGACTGGGAATGAAAGAATCCCCTGGCCCTCCTGAATGCCCCACTGACCAGCAAAGAGACACCCGAACATTTCTAGACAGCTGAAGAGCCACCTAAATATTTTATGGGGGCAACTCTCGAGTCCAGGGACCTGCTATAAGCCTTGGGCCCCGGAGAGGACCAGTACTGGTGCAACAGACCCAGTAGACATTGTAGTTGCAGTGCCTGGCAACTGTTAGATTGCTCCATGCCCCCTTGTTGGTCAGGAGTTGGCACTAGCTTCCAGCCCAGCAGTCTCACTTAGGCCTGAACTCAGCTGGGCTGCTCCACCCACTCCCATCACTGGTAGCAGGCGGACAGTGCTTGCTAGAGCTTCCAGCCCAGCAGTCCTGCCTTTATGTGAACTCAGCCAGCTAGCACAGCTTCCTGTTGTCCCGGGAAGCACCCTGAAGGTAAGGCATGTGACCCCACCCACCCCTGCCACTGATAGGCAGAAGGGCAACACCTGCTAGAGCTTCCCGCCCAGCAGTCTTGCTTCTGTGTGAACTCAGCTGAAGGGTTCAGCCTTCTTTTGTCCTGAGATACACCAGACAGCAGGGCGGGTATCCCCAGGTGAGCCATACCTGCTCATGTTTCCAGTCCAGTGGTCCTACTTTTGCCTGAATTTGCCAAGGGGTGCAGCCTATTGTTGCCCTGGAAACAGACTTAAACTAACAAAAATCAAAGAAGGCAAATAATGGCATGAAATAATGGTAAAGGGCTCAATTCAACAAGAAGACCTTAGTGTCCTAACTATACGAACATCCAACACAGGATGACCCAGATTCATAAAACAAGTCCTTAGAGATCTACCAAGAGACTTAGATAACCATACAATAATAGTGGGAGAATTTAACATCCCACTGACATTAATACATAGATAATTAGGGCAGAAAAAAAAAAGATATTCGGGACCTCAACTCAACACTTGACCAAATGGACCTAATAGACATCTATAGAACTCTTCAGGTAAAAACAACAGAATATACATATTTCTCATCTGCACATGGCACATACTCTAAAAATAGACCACACAATCTTAAAACAATCCTCAGCAATTTAAAACATACACACACGAAATGATAACAACTGTACTCTCAGACCACAGAGAAAAAACATCAGTGTTAAGAAAATTGCTCAAAACCATATGATTACATAGAAAGTAAACAACCTCCTCCTGAATGACTTCTGGGTAAATAATAAAGTTAAGGCATAAATCAAGACATTTTCTGAAAATAATGAGAAAAATGATGCAACATAACAGAATCTCCGGGACACAGCCAAAATAGTGTTAAGAAGGAATTTTATAGCACCAAATGCCCACATCAAAAAGTTAGAAATACCTCAAATTAACAAACCAATATCACACCTAGAGGAACTATGGAAACACAGGCAAACCAATCCCAAAGAAATAACCAAAATCAGAGCTGAACTGAAGGAAACTGAGAAGTGAAAAACCATACAAAAGATCAATTAGTCAATGAGCCTGGTCTTTGAAAGAATTAATAAGATCAATAGAGCACTAGCTAGACTAATAAAGAAAAAGAGAGAAGTTTCAAAAAACATGATCAGAAATGACTCAGAGGACATTCCCACTGACACTTGCCCCCCACTGCCAATAAAAAAGACTCTCAGAGACTATCATGTACATCTCTATGCATACAAGCTAGAAAACCTAGAAGAAATATGTGGAGCCCTGGAAACATACAACCTCGTAAAACTGAACCAGAAAGACTGAACCAGAAAGACATTAAACCCCTGAAGAGACCAATAATGAGTTCCAAAATTGAGTTGGTAATAAAAAGTGTACCAACCAGTAAAAGCCCAGAATCAGACGGATTCATAGCCAATTTCTACCAGATGGATAAGGAAAAGCTGGTTCCATTTCTACTGAAGTTACATCAAAAAACTGAAGAAGAGGGACTCCTCCCTAACTCATTCTATGAGTCCAGCATCATCCTGATGCCAAAACCTGGCAGAGGCATGACAAAAAAAGAAAACTTCGGGTTGGTATCCTCGATGAACATAGATGCAAAAATACTCAACAAAATACTAGCAAACCAAAGTCAGCATCACATCAAAACCCTAAGCCACCATTTTCAAGCAGGCTTTATCCCCGGGATGCAAGATTGGTTCAATATACACAAATCAATAAATGTGACTCACCACATAAACAGACCTAAACACAAAAATCACATGACCATCTCAATAGACGCAGAAAAGGCTTTCGATAAAATTCAATATCCCTTCATGTTAAAAACCCTCAGCTAGGCATTGAAGGAACATATCTCAAAATAATAAGAGTGATCTATGAAAAAATCCACAGCCAACATCATACTGAATGGGCAAAAGCTGGAAGCATTCCCCTTGAAAACTGGCGCAAGACAAGGATGCCCTCTTTCATCACTTCTATTCAACATAGTCCTGGAAGTCCCAGCCAGAGTAATCAGACAAGAGAAAGAAATAAAAGGCATCCAAACAGGAAGAGAGGAAGTCAAACTACCCTTGTATGCAGATAACATGATTCTATACCTAGAAAACCCCATAGTATCTGCCCAAAGGCTCCTTGACCCGATAAACAACTTTAGCAAAGTTTCAGGATACAAATCAAGGTACAAAAATCAGTAGTATTCCTATATACCAACAACATCCAAGCTGAGAGCCAAATCAAGAAGACAATCCTATTCACAATAGCTACCAAAGGAATAAAATACTTAGAAACACAGCTAACCAGGTAGGTGAAAGATCTCTACAATGAGAATTACAAGACACTGCTCAAAGAATTCAGATACAACACAAACAAAGGAATAAACATTTCATGCTCATAAATAAGAAGAATCAATATTGTTAAAATGGCCATACTGCCCAAAGAAACTTACAGATTCAGTGCTATTCCTATCAAACTACCAGTAACATTCTTTATGGAATTAAAAAAAGAACTATTGGAAAATTCATATGGAATCAAAAAAGACCCGAATAGCCAAAGCAATTTTAAGCTAAAAGAATAAAGCTGGAGGCATCACATTACCCGACTTCAAGCTACACTAAAAGGCTACAGTAAACAAAACAGCATGGTACTAGTGCAAAAACAGACACATAGACCAATGGAAGAGAACAGAGAGCCCAGAAATAATGCCACACACCTACAACCATCTGATCTTAAACAAAAACAAGCAATGGGGAAAGGATTTCCTATTCAATAAATGCTGCTGGGCCACCTGGCTAGCCATATGCCAAAGATTTAAACTGGACCCTTTCCTTACACCATATAAAAAAATTAAACTCAAGATAGACTAAAGACTTAAATGTAAATGCTAATACTATAAATCACAATGCTATAAAAACCTAGGAAGTATAACCTAGGAAATACCCTTCTGAACATAGGAACTGTGAACTGGCAAAGATTTCATGATGCAGATGCCAAAAGCAATTGCAACAAAAACAAAAATTGACAAATTGGACCTAATTAACCTAAAGAGCTTCTGCACAGCAAAAGAAACTATCAACAGAGCAAACAGACAACCTAGAGAACGGGAGAAAATTTTCACAAACTATGCGTCCAACAAAGGTCTAATATCCAACATCTGTAAGGAAGTTAAACAAATTTACAAGCAAAATACAACCCCATTAAAAAGTATTCAAAGAACATCAACAGACACTATTCAAAAGAAGACATGCATGCAGCCGTAAGCATATGAGAAAATGCTCAACATCACTAATCATTAGAAAAATGCAAGTCAGAACTACAGTGAGACACCATCTCACACCAGTCAGAATGGCTATTACTGAAAAGAAAAAAATAACACATGATAGTGAGGTTATCTAGAAAAGGAAACACTTATATACACTGCTGGTGGGAACATAAATCAGTTCAGCCATTGTAGAAAGCAGTTGGTGATTTCTGAAACAAAGTAAAACAGAGTTACCATTTGACCCAGCAATCCCATAGTTGGGTTTATACCAGAAAATACATAAACCATTCTACAATAAAGACACATGCATGCATATGTTTATTGCAGCACTATTCACAATAACAAAGACATGGAATCAACCTAAAAGCCCATCAACAGTGGACTTGTTAAAGAAAATGTGGTACATATACACCGTGAAATACTATGCGGCCATAAAAAGGAATGAAATCATGTTCTTTACAGGAACATGGATGCAGCTGGAGGCCATTATCCTGTGCAAACTAACACAGGAACAGAAAACCAAATACTGCATGTTCTCACTTATAAGTGGTAGCTAAACACTGAGTTCATACAGACACAGAGAAGGGAACAACAGACCCAGGGCCTACTTGAGGGTGGGTGGTGGAAGAAGGGTGAGTATCAAAAAACTACCGCTGGGTGTGGTGGCTCACACCTATAACCCCAGCACTTTGGGAAGCCAAGGTGGGTGGATGGCTTGAGCCCAGGAGTTTGAGACCAGCCTGGACAACATGGCAAAACCCATCTCTACAAAAAATTCAAACATTGGCTGGGTATGATGGCATGTGCCTATAGTCCCAGCTACTTCGGAGGCTGAGGTGGGAGGATCACCTGAGCCTTGCAGGTTGAGGCTGCAGTGAGCCATGATTGTGCCACTGCACTCCAGCCTAGGTGACAGAGGGAGACCCTGTCTCAAAAAAAAAAAAAAAAAAAAGAAAGAAAGAGAAGAAAAGAAAGAAAAAGAAAATAAAAGTTACCTATCTGGTACTGTACTAGTTACCTGGTTGACAAAATAATTAATATACCAAACACCCACAACACACAATTTACCTATATAACAATCCACAGGTATACCACTGAAGCTAAAATCAAAGTTAAAAATAAAAAGAATGTTGATTGTGACACTTTTGTAATTATAAAATAAAATGGAAATGGATTAAATGTTCATCAAAAAGAAATCAGATGTGATATAATGATGTGTAGTCATTAAATAAGTGAAATAAATCTATATGTACTAACAAAAAGAAGAAAATAATTCTTTACAAACTAAAAAAGGAGGTTGTTAACTTTGGCAATTTCATGTTCATCAGGTTCAGTTTAAAAAAACTTTAGAAAGAAAAACATGGCTAGTAAGTTTTTTCACATACTTTTTCAACATTCTGTCTTTCACCACTAGTTAGATATATGTTGAAAAACGGGAAGAGAAGCACTAGAGATGTTGAGGACTCTCCAGATTTTGAGAACTATCCATTTTTATCCAAATTAAATCTTTCATTTTAGTATGTTTTGAATGGCAGGAAGAAATTTTGCCTATAAATTTTCAAAGTACATAATTGCATGTATGTCAGCAAACAATACCTTAACTATTAGGCATACATAGTTAAAGCTGTTTGCAGATATACATTGTTAATTGAGCATCTTTAAATTTTTATTATGTAATATTTGATACATACAAAAGAATATACATGACAAATATAAGAGGTCTTTAAAAAGTTCATGGAAAATGTGTACTATGAAAAAATTATGCATTAATTCAAAATGTTTTTGTACCCAAAGAAACTTATACTAACTTATTATAACATGCCCAACCAGGACCTAGTTTGAGGCAATAGGAAAGATCAGACCTCAGTTTGAAAAAAGTCCTTTTCAGAGCAACATGAATTCTGCTAAAATTGAAGTAAGAACAAACATGAAATTTATGGTGAAGCTTGGGTGGAAGAATAGTGAAATTGTTGATGCTTTACAAAAAGTTCAGAGGGACAATGCCCCCAAAGAAATCAGCAGTTTACAAATGGACACATTTTAAGAAGGGATGAGACAACATTGTAGAAGCCCACATTGGCAGACCATCTATATCAATTTGAGAGAAAAGAATAATAACTCTGTTTGTGCCCTAACTGAAGAGTATCAGTGATTAACAGCGCAAATACAGTCAACACTATAGACATCTCAATTGGTTCAGCTTACACAATTCTGACTGCAAAATTAAAGTTGAGCAAACTTTCAACTCCGTGGAAAACTTTGGCATTGAGTCCTAAAACCATTGCACCCAGATCAGCTGCAGGTAGGATCAGAGCTTTCAATGGCAAAATTAGACAAGTGGGATCAAGATCCTGAAGCATTTCTTTGAAGAATTGTAACAGAAGATGGAACGTGGCTTTACCAGTATGATCGTGAAGCTTTACAAAACACAATCAAAGCAATGGCTACCAAGAGGGGGAAGTGGTCTAGTCAAAGGTATAGCAGACTGGTCAAGAAGAAAGGTCATGGCAACAGATTTTTAGGGTGCTTAAAGCATATTGCTTGTTGACTCTGGAGCACCAAAGAACGATAACATCTGATTATTATGAGAGAGTTCTGAGGTCAGCCAAAGCTTTATCAGAAAAACACCCAGGAAAGCTTAACCAGAGAATGCTTCTCCACCATGACAATGCTCCTGCTCATTCCTGTCATCAAACAAGGGCAATTTTGTGAGAGTTTTCATGAGAAATCACTAGACATCCACCTTAGAGTCCTGATTTGGCTCCTTCTGACTTCTTTTAGTTTCCTAATCTTAAAAAACCCTTAAAGGGCACCCATTTTTCTTCAGTTAATAATGTAAAAGAGAGTGCATTGACAAGGTTAAATTCCCAAGACCCTTGGTTCTTTAGGAATGGACTAAATGGCTGCTATCCTCACTTGCAAATGTGTCTTGAACTTGATGAAGCTTATCTTGAGAAATAAAGTTTATATTTTTTGTTTTTATCTTTAATTCCATAAACTTTTTGAAGTTCTCTTGTATATAAACTATGACGCATAAAATTTAAATAAACATCAGTGATGTCACCAGCAAACTAATACCATAGGTAGCTAGCTACATGGCCCTTAACTAATGCCTTTTCCAACTTCTTGCCCAAAAGGAGGTAACTGCCATCCTCAATTTGGTTTTATCATTCTCTTGCTTTTTGTAGCTTTTTTAAATTAAAAAAAAAATTTGTAGAGTTGAAGTCTCACTATGTTGCCCAGGCTGGTCTTATACCCCTGGCCTCAAGCTGTCCTCAAGCCTCTGCCTCACACAGTGCTGAGATTATAAGCATGAACTCCCTTGATTTTTCAAAACAATCATATCACATGGGTATACATTTCTAAGCAACATACTGATTAGTTTTGCAAATTTTTTAGCTTTCTAGAATGGTATCACAGTGTATACATAGATAGTCTATATGGACTTGTTCACTCACTGTTTCATAAAATTGTTATTATTGTATAGCTGCGTTTCATTTGTTTTGTACAAATATAACATTCCCTTTTATTAATATACCACTTTTTATCAATTCTCTTGGCAATGGGCATTAAAGTTATTTTCTGTTGTTGCCCTTATAAAAAATGACCATATGAAAGAGAATTATACATATCTCCTTTCCAAGATTATCTCTAGATTGAGGATAGCCATAATTCTAGAGCAACATTTGGAAGCTCTTTCTTAAAATCAAGTTCTCAAGCTAAGACTTGTTGACATGGTTTGGCTGCATCCCCACCCAAATCTCATCTTGAGTTGTACTTCCCACCATCCCCACGTGTCATGGGAGGGACCCGGTGGAAGTTTATTGAATCATGGGGATGGTTACCCGCATCTGTTCTTGTGATAGTGAGTGAGTGATCATGAGATCCAATGGTTTTATCAAGGGCTTTTCACCCTTTATTTGGCACTTCTCTTTCCTCCTACCATGTGGAGAAGGATGTGACTGCTTCCCTTTCCGCCATGGTTGTAAGTTTCCTGAGGCCTCCCCAGCCCTGCAGAACTGTGAGTCAATTAAACCTCTTTCCTTATAAATTACCCAGTCTTGAGTATTTCTTCATAGCAGCATGAGAACGGACTAATACACTTTTGAGTGTTGTTTTCTTATTACAGCAAATGCTTGCAAAGTTGTCTTGTATAATAAAAAAGACATTTTGTCATTAAATGTGTATTCTGTTTACTGTGAGTATATATAAAGGCCAGAAGCAGGTACCTTTTAGTCATGAATATTTGCCAAGAAATTATTTAAATAAAATACATTTATAATGAAATAACAGAGTTGAAAAATGCCCATAATACCATTTGTGCTTTTGTAGTCTTTCTGACCAAATAAGAGGGCTAAAACAGTTTGTTTGTTTAAAGGGCTATTAAAAGTGTTAAACACAGGCTTGCTTAGTGAGTCTATTGCCATACTCATTCTAGCAAAAGAAGTAAAAGTGATATTTAAAATATACATATGAACAGGTAATGAAAATATCATTCAAAGCTGGAAAAGGTGATAAGAAACCAGAGGTGATGTCAGGTATATTGTTTACAGCCACAGTCTAATCTCTTCCTTTATAGTTCATTGATATTATGGGTTCTAATTTCAGTATCTTTAGGAAAGAACTTTAGTGATTGCCTTGTTCAATGTTTTTAAGACATGTACATTTTCAGATAAAACAATCTAATGATCATATATCAGAACTCTTTCCATTGCAAATGACAGAAAGCCCAACCTAAATCTCTAAGCAAAAGGGCAATTTATTAGGTCACGTTATTAAGAAGTCTTGGATAGCTCTAGCTCTAGCTGTGGCTTGACTCAGCATCTCAATGGCTGAGGACTTGGTCCTTCTTCTGATCTTGGCTTCATTCATTGTTGTTGGCTGTCAGAGCTACACAATTGCAAATTTAGGGCTGGAGAGAATAATAAGCATGCATTTCTCTCAGCAATTCCTGCCAAGTATCCCGCATTTCACTGGCTGTCTTACCAGGTCACATGCCCATCCAGGAGTCAGTCATTGTAGCCAAGAGAATGCAAGGTTCTGATTAGTCAGGCCCTCCTCACTTGCCTACCTCTAGTGAGAGAACAAGTCATCTTTATCCAAAACACTCAGCTGAGCCACAGAAGAGTGTTGAAAAGATGCTAAGTGGCTGATTTTCACTTCAAGGTTTTTTTCCCTCTGTTTCTGCAGAATTTCATTTCAGATTCCATAACTCATTCCTAATTACCCTTCTCTTTCTGCTTTGCTTTCAGTAGAGTTATTTCATGTTCTCAAAGTTGAGTGGGATATGCAAATCACATTGATTTGGGTACCAAGCGTCACCCTCCACAGTATCATTACAGAGAATTATAATATATTCTGCACACTTTCATTCAGTGTAACTCACTACAGCAATCTGTAGCTGTAGAGACGAATCTGACATTCCTGCAGTCTCCCTCTAGCAAGTCTGAAGGGAATAATTACTTCATTCAATAGATTCAAAATGTCCCAAAGCAAGTTCAAAACATTTCAGACTTAATTTTTTTTAAGTTAGCTTATAATTATCTCAGCTTTGGTTTCAGTTTTCTTGTCATCTCCACAAAATTCTTTTTATTATGTCATGCCAGGGGAGATCTCCCCCTTGGCACCTAAATAGTTTAAAATCTGACATTCTACTGTGGCTAAAATAACTACAAAAAGAGTCTTCACACACTCATACTTCCACCGGCTCATTCCTGTGAAACACACATGAAACATATGCTCATTAGTTACAGGAACCAATTTAAATGATAATTTTTTCAAATGGCCAACATCAAATAAACTTAGGGAGTAAACATCATTGCAACATGGTAAACAAGCTATGAAGTGCAGCTGAGTGTGAAGGTGATTGTCAAGGGACAGGGCTGGTGAAAACAAGGCAAGCAAAGCAATCTACTACTGGATAATAATGCAAATTTCTCATGCAGTGCACTTGATTACTTCTCCCTCAGCTCTGCTGCTATGCTCCTCTCCCCTGCAGGATTAAAAAAAAAAAAAATTCCTAACCTCTCACTGGCACGTTCAATGTCTGCTAAAAGTAGGGAGAGATATTTCACACAGGGGAGGTCGGGCATGAAGGGTTGGTGTGTAGCCACATTGCTCTGCAAGGTGTTTCTGAATAGGCACATGAGTATTGTTATGCTATTGCTATTATGTGTCTTCAAAATTCTGAATATCACAGACTTACTATATAAGCTAAAGTTCCTATTCTAAACTTCACATATAGAAGCATGTAAAAAACAACTCTCTTCATCTCCTCTAGTATTAAGCTTATTTTTCAAAGATGCCATAATACTTAGAACATTTTAAGAAAAATCTTAATACCAAGTAACATTTTCTAAGCACAAGGTTAAACACTAAAAATACAAAGAGTACAATGGACTTACAGTATTTGAGTTGGTGTAAAATAGTAAAAGGGGAGTTTACCAGATTGGCAAAGGAGGAGGAAGATATTCCCAGCAGAAAACCCAGAGAAATGAAAATATATGACCCATTCTGAAAGTAGCCAGTTAAGGAATGGGAAAAGGAAAAACATAGGAAGAAATGGAGCTAAAAAGGCAGGTTAGGCCTTACTGGTTGTTAATTTTAAATAGCAAGTATTTGAAATTCTTTAGTAAATTATGAATAAGAAAAAAATCATAATCTCAATACCCAATTCACCTTGTTGGTAACTTTCTAAACAAAACCATAAATACATATGGGTTATTAAAATTATCCATAAAAATACAGGAAGAAGGTAAAAGCCCTTCTCTCTGATGTCTCTCCCCAAGGAAATTTCTACTAATTGTTTCTCGAGTTTTCTTAAAGGAAGAAGTATTTTGAACAATACAAATTTTCATATGAGAAGTCATGTTATATGAGCTGTTCTGCATCTTGCTAGTTTTTTGGAGGAATTGTGATATATTTGTAGGATCCTCTCCTGGTAATATACAAAGTCCTAACTCAATATTATTAGCACCATAATAACTTATTGTAGCATTAAAACAACTTAACTGATTTGATTGATGACTAGGTAGTTTTCTGAGTTTTTTTGTAATTACCATTTTACATAAATACCTTGGTAAATAAATGTCTTGGCCAAATAGATCTCTAGACTCTCCATTCTATCCTTTCATCAACAGTTTATCCAACATGCTCTTCTATCCACAGACCTGCCAGCCATCAGTATCATCAAACCTCCTAAATTTAATTATGTAATAGGTGGAAATTTCATGTCTTGATCATTTTACCTATATTTCTTTTTTAAAAACCATCACTGACAATCTTTCCATAATTTAGTTAGCTATTTTTGGACACAGATTTTGAAGAAATTTTTATTCCACTCTAATAGATTTGGACGTTATTCTAGCTTTGAGAATTTTTGTGTCTTTAAAAGTTAACTTGATAAAATCTAGCTGATAAAATGGTAAGGGAAGTAACTAAATTCTACTTTATGATTCTTGTCATTTTATTTTACTTTAAGTATTCTTAATTACTACATTATAAATATAAAAATGTCAAGTTTACTCTTGAGGTATGTGGAATAAAAAGTAACTAGAGGAGGAGCCCTTCCTTCAAGCTTTAGTATTAACCTACTGAAGAGAAGCAAGAGGAATAGGAATGGAAGCTCTCATGCATGGAGTAACCATGGTGGGAAAGGCACTGCCATGTGTATTTAATGATATAAACTCACTGAAATCAATGTATTTATCATTGACTTCTCAACAAATATTGATTCTTTTTTATTCTGATTAAATCAATCTCATTGCATGAACAGGTTTTAAAAAGATCAGAACAAGAACAGTGGTTAACTTTTAAGTCATTTATTCAAATCCTTATCACATTCTGATTCAACAGCAATGATACGGGCTTTTACTTTGTTATCACTGCACTGAGTGGTAATAGAAACCCAGAAAGACTAAGTAACATTTTCAAAGGGACACTAGAATCCTCATTGCATGTATCTGGAGAGGTCAGCCTTGCTACACCACATATAATAGAATCCATAGCAGTCTCTGGCCTTTGTATGCCACTTTATTATTATGCACATGACTTCATCGGTATTTCTAACACCAGGTCTCAGAGGCAGACTGAACTTCAGCATATTTTATGAAGTACTTGGGGTATATGCTTTTAACACTCTGCCTTGTTGACCCCCCTACCACCATGAAAACATGTATTTATGTTCAAAAACCAGGTACCCAGTTTGCCTATGTGATATGTGACTCTACTAGAAACTAAACTCCATTCTCAGTAATGTTGTCAGCAAATTGTCAACATAGGATGTGGGCAATTTTTCAGAGGACAAATCAGTCAGGAGCAGAAAGGAACTGTTTCTGTCAGAGTCACCATGTCCTTCTATAAATTGCTGCTTTTATAGGGAGGCAGGGACCCCATGCTTGCCTTCAGTTTACCTTCCGTTTAATCCAAATATTAAACAGAATTAAACTTCTCCTTTTGGGATAAATAACCATAACTTAAACTGAGCTTTAAGGAAATACTTCTGTGCCATATTATCTAGTCAATCTCATGAAGTTTGGTTTCAGCTTTAGGTTTTTTTTTTCCATAATGAGCCACACATTCAACATGTTTTGTATTTACAAAAAACAATAAACTGAACAACTTCTATTTTAATATTTTTTAAATAAAACTGTTAGGATAGAAAATCCTACTGCATTAAATTATAATAATGTTGATATCCCTCTCCATGATCCCTCAACCTGATATTCTATTAAAGGGTTATTTTATGGTCCTTTTAAACCTCCTCATAAATTCATTATGGAGGCCGAAAGAGATCACTTTCATATTGCTCAGCAATATCCCTCCCTTTCCTGTTTTCTTTTTCTTTCCTTATATTTGTAATCCAAAAATCACGGATGCAAGAGCATCATCACTATAGAGATTCTCATGTGCCTTATTCTTCCTTCTCTCTGACTGTGAAAAATAAGTCTGTGTAGCACATACAACACTGTAATTGACTCTCTCGTGCAGCTGCCATTGGGTATTTCTTACAAGAAATTATATTAGCCTTCCTTTTAAATGTGTTCAGGGTAATAAGTCATCCTTGACATTCACCATTCATACAACAAAATGTCTGTGTTACAAAATCAGCCCCAAGCTTATCAAATAATTAATACCAGATTTGTAAGTGACACAGATGATGTCAGGTTTTTGTATTAAGTAGGACCTTGATCCCTAGCATTTACTGGTTGCAAACCTTTTACTAACAGATAACATCTGCCAATGAGTAATACTTGGTTTCAGGAAAGAACAGCTTTTAGTGATTTTGTTCCTATGACGTTCACGAGGTTGCCAAAACTTGAAGCCAAATGCTTTTGTTTAACCACCATAGAACAAGAAATGGCCATGCAATCTCTCTCACAGTTTTTTTAAGCCTGAGGGAATCATGTTTAAGGATAAGAAGAATCCTATTCAGTTCCTGGCAAGGACTTAGTTCAGAAATTATCATTGAATTAATTAATTGCCTGTATAGTTTAAGGTAATATCAATCTGTTGAGTAGGAAGTGGAAATATATTCTATTCTACAATCATGGGCAGATAGAAATGACTGAGTTACTAACTATGCTAGCTAGATGTCAAAAGAAATGTAGAAGGGGTTCCCAAATTGACCAAGTTTCTCACTGTTGGAGTTGAAAGTTACAAATAAGCAAAGAAGAGTCTAGTATGATCTATGAAGATTTGACCTGGAGACCCTGGTATAAACTCATGTTTCGCTTACTATAAATACATAGTGTTACATAGGTTAATATTTATAGATACGTGAATATATTAATACATGGGTTATACATACATATATTTCCTTACTCTGTCAGCTGAGAGGACATAGAACAATGATACTTCAGTAGCAACCAACATACCTCGCACCAGATCTTGTTCTCTAAATCCATTCTCCAATAAAAGAAACCAGGGCTCCTTGGAGAAATGGCTGATCCTAAAACTGGGGTGGTAAACATACAAAATGAGGCTCACCAAACAGCCAAAGTAATACTAAGTAAAAAGCACAAAGCTGGAGCCATCACATTACCTGACTTTACACCATACTACAAGGCTACAGTAACCAGAACAGCGTGATACTGCTAGAAAAATAGACACATAGACCAATGCAACAGAAGAGAGAACCCAGAAAAAAAGCCACATACCTAAAATAAACTGACTTTTGACAAAGTTGACAACAAAAATGGGGAAAGAGCACTCTATTCAATATATGGTGCTGGGAAAATTGGCTAGCCACATGCAGAAGAATGAAAGTGGACCCCTACCTATCACCACATACAAAAATTAACTCAAGATGAGCAAAAGACTGGAATGTAAGACCTAAAACTATAAAATTACTAGAAGGAACCCTAGGAAACACCCTTCTTGACATCTGCCTTGGCAAAGAATCTATGACCAAGTTCTCAAAAGCAATTGCAACAAAAACAAAAATTGACAAATGGGACCTAATTAAACTAAATAGTTTCTGCATGGCAAAAGAAACTATCAACAGAGTAAACAGACAACCTACAGAATGGGAGAAAATATTCACAAACTATACATCCAACAAAAGTCTTAATAGCCAGAATCTATAAGGAACTTGAACAAATCAACAAGCAAAAACCAAATAACCCCATTAAAAAATCGGCAAAGGACATGAACACTTCTCAAAAGAAAACATAGAAGCCAAAAAAAAAGCAAAAATGCTCAACATCACTAGTCATCAGAGAAATGCAAATCAAAACACAGTAAGATACCATCTCACACCATTCAGAATGGCTATTCTTTTTGTTTGTTTGTTTTCGTTTTTTTTGAGACTGAGTCTTGCTCTGTTGCCCAGGCTGGAGTGCAGTGGCGTGATCTTGGCTCACTGCAAACTCTGCCTCCCAGGTTCAAGTGATTCTCCTGCCTCAGCCTCCCGAGTAGCTGAGACTACGGGCGCCCGCCACCACACCTGGCTTTTTTGTATTTTTAGTAGAGATGCGTTTTCAACATGTGGGCCAGGATGGTCTTGATCTCTTGATCTCATGATCCACCTGCCTCGGCCTCCCAAAGTGCTGGGATTACAGGTGTGAGCCACCGCGCCCAGCCCAGAATGGCTATTCTTAAACAGTTAAAAACAAAAAACAAAACAAAACAAAACAAAAAAACAGATGTTGGTGAGGCTGTGTTGAGAAAAGGGAACATTTATACACTGTTGATGGGAAGGTAAATTAGTTTAGCCACTGTGGAAAGCAGTTTGGAGATTTCTCAAAGAACTTAAAACTACCATTTGACTGAGCAATCCCATTACTAGATATATATCCAAAGGAAAATAAGTCATTTTACCAAAAAGACACGTGCACTTGTATGTTCATCACAGCACTATTCACAATAGCAAAGCCATGAACTCAATCTAGGTGCTATCAACAGTAGTGTGGTACATATACACCATGGAATACTATGTAGCCACAGAAAGGGACAAAATCATTTCCTTTGCAGCAACATGCATGTAGCCAGAGGCCATCATCCTAAGCAAATTAATGCAGAAATGGAAAACCAAATACTACACATTCTCACTTATAAGTGGAAGCTAAACATTGGGTACACGTGGGCGTAAAGATGGAAACAATAGACACTAAGAACTACAAGAAGGGGGAGGGAGGGACTGGGAAAGGACTGAAAAACTACCTATTGGGCACTATGCTCACTACTTAGGTGACAAGTTCAATTGTACCCTAAACCTCAGCATCACACAATATACCCTTGTAACAAGCCTGCACATGTACTCTCTGAATCTAAAAGTTAAAAAAAAAAAATGAGGCTTAATCATCTTGTAGTCCCAGAAAGTAAAAAAAGTCTTTTTTTTTTTTTTTTTTTTTTTTTTTCAGAAAGCCCCACAACAATGGAGACACTTTCAGATCAATCAAAAAATTTCAAATGGCCAAAGTTGAAACAATTTGAGCAATAAAATAACATGGTATATTATACCCAAAGTAGAAAATAAACATCCATGAGTTTATATTGATATAAATATATGGTTAAAAACTATATGGGGAAGACTAGACAAATCTCCCATGTAGAAGATTCTGTATAATTCAGGTAGATATCCCATCCTCAAGGAGGTAGTGCAAGACTGCACTGTTTAAGCGTGGGCTGCACGGTGACCTCTTTCCAATGGATGTGATATGGAAAGGGGGAAAAATGTAACCCGACAAACACTATGTCAGCCAGGTGGTCAAGGTTAACATCAACAGTGAGACGTCATGGTGATAGCATGAACCCTTGATATAATGTGATACAAATGGCATTCTCCTCTGTGGTCTTCCAAAAACCGCAACCTGAGTCTAATTACGAGGAAACCATTAGACAAATCCCAAATTGAGGGACAGTCAAGAAGACACTTGATTAGTTCTCCTCAAAACTGTCAAGGTCATCAAAACAAGGAAAGTTTGAGAAACTGTCACAGGGAAGAAGTGCCAAAGGAGACATGACAACTAACTACATATCATGAGATATCTTCGATAAAATCCTGGGACAGAAAAAAGGACAGTAGGTAAAAACTAAGGAAATCTGAGTAAAGTGTGGACTTTATTTAATAATCATGTATCAGCATTGGTTCTTCCATTATGGCAAATCAACCACAGCAATATAAAATGTTAATAATTAGGAAAATTGCATGTGGGACCTATGGGAATTCTTTGAACTATCTTCACAATTTTTTATAAAAATATAATTTTATTATAAAATTTAAAAAGCTTATTTAAATTCATTTAAAATACTCCCCAGTTTACTCTTTTTATTATTCATCTGGACTTTAATTGGATGTCAGTATTTTTATGACAACCAACCTAAATTGTTAGTCTCTGATGCCCCACAGATTGAGTTGGTTCTTCTAAGTGCTTCAATCAAAGCCTTAATTTTACCCTGAGAATAGTCTTTTCAATTGTTAGGAAAATATTTTCTAAGTTGTTCACATGCTGTCATTTTGGTTATTACACCATTTCTGATAAAAGACTGCTATAGTTTGACTCTCAGTTTTATTAACACTCTATTATGATTATCCTTTTAAAAACACTCTAAACTCTGGTCAGCCTCACTCAGGGTAGTAATGAGGGTGAATGTATCATTGCAAGCCTAATTCTGCCCATTATATTTCTGCCTCTCCATTTATGCTAGTCTAAAAGTGTTATTTGAGCCGAAAGATCATTCTGTGACCTTCAGATTACTGCTGGGTGGCTTCGGCGAAAAAGGAATTACCAATGCATTAAATTTGAATTAGCTCTGAGAAATCATGCAGATGTATGCACAGAACATTGTAGCAACACTGTCTCCCAGGCACAGCAGAATTGCTTTTATGCAGTTTTAAAGAATCACTTGAGCAACCCTTAAATTGCACACATGATGAAGCTGAGCCAGCATCTTCTGTTAAAAAAAAAAAAAAAATATATATATATATATATATATATATATATGTCCTGCAGCCCAAATATAGCCTTCCAGGGAGTTGTCTTTCAGAGAAATCTGATCATATAGGGACTGCTGCTGAGTGGACTGTTTGGGTTCCAGCCCCACCATATTAGAGTGCCCTGGCAGAGTGATTGCAGAAGTGTCACTTAGACTAATGATTATGAATTATGCAGAGGGTCATATCCTCTTAGTTACAAGTCATTTACACAGTTTCCCTCTAGACTGCCTAGACTGGTTCAATTTTTTTTCCTCCTACTAGGAAATAACTCATTGAATAGATGTTCGATGTTGAATTTATTGACATTCTATTTTTCTTCCACAGTGCTAAGCTTGCAAAACAACCAAATGAAAAAAAAAAAACAACAACAACAACAACAAGATACCTACCCTCAGTGAAATTATAGCGTTAACAAGTCTTGGTTTATTTTTTTTTCTTCTAGTCTGTCAGGGTGCTTCCCATTTTAAAGTTCTGACAGTTCTAATCTCTCTCTGTCTTGCTCTTCTATCTTCAGTTACATTGAAAAGGTGGTGTAAAGATGTGTGCATGGGGAAAGAGAACACAGTTAACACTAAAATCCACACTTCTCAATCTGTAAAATGTATAATGTTTCAGTGAGCTACTTAAAAGGAAGAACAACAGAAATATCAGAGATTCTCATTTTTGGAATTAAAGCCTGTCAGATTTCCCCAGATTTTTCTGAATCTAAGCCCTTGAGCCTACACTTAAAATGAAAGAGACAGGCCGTAGAAAATTCTGTACATTTTAACAAGTGATATGAACAGTGATGTGACTCATTAAGCATGACCTTGTAGACGGGTGATGAAGTCAGCTGAAAAACAGGGATCTGCTTTTTCTATCGCTTGCTGACCTCAGTTTCAACGGAAAAAATAAAAGAAACATTGACCTCTCCCAAAAAGTGGACCATTCATGACCATCTTCAAAGTCAGAGGCCATTTCTTACAGTAAAGCCAGCCTGGAGAAAGAGGAAATGTCTTTTCCAAATTGACCTGGCCGATTTCATCTTGATGAGAGCTGAGCAGGGCAGAGCCTCTCATGCCTCCATAACCAATTTCAAAGCCAACAGGCCTTGTTATTGTTTATATGGTGGTGGTCTTTCAGCCATGCAAAGTGCCAGGCAACACCAACCTCCAGGCAGAGGAGCTGCCCTGACAGCCAGACCACTTGGAAAGGAGGCCCCTTGTGGCCAGAAATGGAAAGAGAGTGCTCCGGAATTGCTGTTCACACTTTCAACAACTTGATTTTTGAAGGTATTGGAATAATTCGGGGATGGCTTCAAGCAGCCACATTTTGCTACCCCTGGGAAACCTGAGGCATCTAGGAAGATCCCTCAGGAGCACAAATATGTCCCAAGGAGTAACCATCACATTGCAGCAGCTGGACCTCATTCCCATTATCCCTCTGTGCCCCAAAAATAAACCCAGAGAAGCTTCCAAAGGGCAACTTGTGCTAGCACAGTGGGGTTTAATGGCATTTAAGGGCCTTCCATGGCAGGATGCTTCATTGATATAACAGCCAGAGGGATCCTTGTGTTTAACACAGAACTCTTGCCATGCCCCTCCTCTTCTCAAACCCATCTTTTCAACTCTCTCAGAAAAAAAGCAAGGTTGTAGAGTGACCTACAGGTGAACAGCTCTGCTCCTCCCAACTGTTCGACCTCTGATCTCACCTCCACACAATCCCAGTGGCCCCTCGCCCTCCCTCACATGTGCGGAGCTTGCTCCAGTCCACAGCCTCTACTTGCAATGCTCTGCCCTCAAATGTTCACCCACACGGGTGAAGGGGTTTCTTCCCAAAACCCCTCCAGGTCTCAGCTCACACATCATCACTGACATTAGGGACCTCTCTCTAGCAGATAACAACCCCCACTAGACATAGCCTATCCCCTGTACTGCTTTGTTTTTCTAAATAACATTCCCCCTGAATGCACAGCATATTTTATGTACTTATTTGCCCACTCTTATCTCTTCTAATAAAAATGTCAACTGCATGAGGATGGGGAGTTTGTTTTGTTGACTGCTTTATTCCTAGAAACTTGAAAGTACCTGACACAGACTGGGTGCTCAGTGACACTCATTCACCTAAGAGAATGAGTCTCAACGTGTGTTATTGCTCTGCATTTTTTGCTACCCTATTTCCCCCTTCATCCTCTCTCCCATCACACACACACATACAGACACACACACACACACACACACACACACACACACCAAACACACACACACACACTCTCCAAAACGACAGCCCAGAAGATCCCTTGCCTGGGAGACAACTGTGTTACCAGATAGAAGCACCCCACTTTCTGGATTTTGCTTTCTGGAAGCCTGAGCTTCTTGAGAACTTTAGGTGAAGAAGAGAGAAGAGTCTATACTCCCATAGCTGGGAAAGGAGACTGTTCTGTGGATTTCCAGATCTTCGGACTCAGGACCCACAGTCCCAGCAGTCACCGGCAGAGGAGCAGAACCTCACAGTGCATTGGCTATGGGGGCATCTGGGAAGACAACTGATCCTTATGCAGCCGAAGACCCTCTAGGACAGGGAAGCTGCAGAGTACCCACCCCCAAGATGGTGAACAGAAACGCAGCAGCCCCCCTTGATGTTTGTTCTGTGTAACATCCACGGGACCGTTATTCATGGGAGGAGGCCTCCAAAAGGGTAAGGGTAATTTTTGATGTTAGGTTTAAAGGGACCCTGACTGAATGTGGGTTGGTTTAAAGTCAATAAAGAAATATGACATTACTGAACACCAAGACTGCACATCCACCCCTGTGCAGGAAGCCCTTCCAGACTAGATGAGAATCCTTGGCTGGGTTGGCTGGCTACATGGTCTTGCAGACTATAAGGTCACACAGGGCCCTTCTCAGCTACACTTGGCTTAATGCTCTGGTATCAGCCTCTTGAAATGTTTTATTGTGCCTGTGAAGTTGTGTTTTGTGAGTAAGTCTGACTAGACAATGGAGCCCCAGGTGAGCAGGGGGAAACACTCTTGGTGCCCATGCTGGTGCTCAGTCCTGCAGGTGCAACAGGCAGCCTGAGCCCCAAGTGGATGGCCAGAGCCAGGTCCTGGGCCCACATTGCTGGTGACAGTAGTGGCAGCAATGGCAGAAGCTGCAAGAATGGTGGCAGCATCCACTGACCCGTGAGAGAGGAGGGGCTCTGCCTGTGCCAGTGAGGGGACCTGGGGTGTCTGTCAATTCCCAGAGCCCATCTCTATAGCATCTGCATGAATATTAAATCGATGGTCTGAAAACCAGGACAGGAAGTGTGGTGCTCAGACAGAAAACCTTGTCAGTAAATTCTTACAAAATAAAAGTGTACTCATGGACATGGCAATAAAGCATATCAGGGAGTTATTAGGATTCTTCAAAGAGCTAGAATCTCTGGTTTCAAAAACTGCTGCAACATTAAAGAGCAAACATCCACAGAATTAGAAATAGAGATTGAATTTAACCATTGTCACATTTGACAGAAGAGTACACTCTTTTCATATGAAGCGTTGGATGAATCAATTATTAATGAGGGAGACAATTTTAAAATTAAGTTTTTCTTGTAATTGAAGAGACGATGATAGAATATATAAACAGGCTCTTTGAATTAGAGACAAATCACAAAACCACTTTAGGTTTGTTATATGACCTCCTCAAGTCACAAGAAATGTCAGAGAAAATATCAAAATGCCATTATGTAAACTTACATTTAAAATTAAATTCAGACAACTGAAAACTGACTTATATGAAGAGTTAAATTTTTTATTTAAAAAAATGGGTACATAAGAATCGTCAATGCTGTAAACATACTAAAATGTATATTTTGAAATAATTTACCAGAAACTTATCCCAATGTCATCATAGCCTTTAAAATACTCTTAACAGCTTTAGTAATGGTTGCATCAGCAGAAAGATACTTCTCAAAATTAAAAATTACTTGCAATATCACACTTTCCAGGAGCAACTGACATTGCTTTCAATTATATCAATTGAAAATACAGTAGCTAAAGTATAAATTTAGAGATCTAATGAATAAATCTGTAGAAAGGTAAGTCAGAACAATCTTATGATTGAGACATCATGTTAATCACACATCTTTATTCTGTTATATAAAATTGTAATCCCATAGTTTTTTTTGTAACTTATAACTTTATGTTGTTTACTCATATATTACTAGTCCCCCATTATGTTTTATAAGCAAAAGTTATTTTTAAAAAGCTCCATGTTTTCATTTTTTCCTGTGACCCACAAATTACATAGCCAGCCATTCAGCAAAGAAGATACTTTGATTATCATGGCTAATGAGGGACTCTCTTAAATGTGGCATTTAGCAGGTAGAGGCCAAAGATGCTACTAAGCATTCTACAATGCACGGGATGCTCTGACAATAAAGAATTATTCAGCCTGATGTGTCAAGTTTGAAAAAATTCTGCTGCAGACTAATTTAACTCATAAAATTGGAGCAGATTAATTTAACTCACAGAAGTGATTTAGAGTCCCAATTGTGATTGACATCAAATTGCCTGACCTTCATGGTCTGCCAGGAATGGGTGGGGAATGGGGGTTGGGGTTCTTTGCTGAATCTGACTTAAGTTGACTTGAAGAAAATAAAGAACAGCAACATTTCTTGAATATTTAAGATGTGGCTACAAATGTATATCCACAGGTGTAGCTTTCATCCAGGATTGCTGATATACTGCATCACCTAAGACTTATGAAATGCCTAAAACTGTGACCCATGTTTCAAAACAATGGAAAAATAGCTATGATCCTCCTGGAGAACAGTGTGTTGATTGAGGGAATGGAGTGACTTGGTGAAGGACTGAGTTTGAAAGAGTAATATCAGCACTTTCAAACTACTAAGGGGTTGAATACAGGATGGTGATAAAAAGTATGAATAAAAGAATAATTATTCTTTTATTATTGCTAATCTTATTAGTAAATACAATATTATAGGTATTTGCTAATAAGATTAATTTTTAGTAGATAATACCCACCCGAATCAACCTAGCTTAGGGATATCTACCAAAAAAAGACACTGAAGAGAAAATATTAAAAACATATCCCAAACTCTGGGTTTCCACAAACACTGATCCTTTTCATGGAAAGGATAGGGTAGTATCCAGCAATTGATCTTGCAGAGTCTAAAGCATAAGAACATTTCTTGTTGCCCAGATTCTGGTTCTGTCACCAAAGGCAGGCTACCGTACCAGGATAGGCTATAAAATGTTTGTTTTTCCTTTGATAAAAATAACTTCCCACCAAAAACTGAAGTTGTTTCCAAGGCATGAAACTCCAGTCCCCAGAAAATATGCATGTGAATCCTGGTTATGACACACTTCTGAAATGCTACACATCGGTGTCAGATACCTGAGGCCAAGAAAAGGTCGTGAATTTCAGAACACCTGAGGAGTCTAGCTTTTGAGAGTGTGGACATTGTCAAACATCAGGGCTTTAGTCACTAGGGCTGAATATCCAGGCTTTTGAGCTTACTAAAATCAAGTTCATATGGCAAGCTAAGTTCTTAAATAGTCCCCAGAAAATAGGTCTGCATTTATTCTGAGGTTAGAAATTGGCACAGAGGGCACTGACCCAGGATATTCAGACTCAAAAAGCACACACAAATATAACCCATTTAAAGCGCTGCTGGCATGACAAGGTCAAGGCTGAATGGCCTGCTCTGTTCCAAGCTTAGTCTGACTTGCCTCCAAACTACTCACAACTTCTCCCATTAAGAGGAGCTGATGACAGAAGGCACTGAGGATGAATCAATTGCACCTTCCTCATCAAACGGACACAGACACAAATGGGTCCACTTCAGTAGCACCAGCTCAACCCCGGCTGGACAGGGAAGATGGAAGGTTTTTTCGCAGTATTTAACACTTTGTTGGGTTTATGAGAAGCCATTCAGCAGGCTGTCTGAGAGGTGGCTGCCAAGGTGAGAGTTCCAATCATGCTAAAAGGGCCTCCCCTTAGTCTACTTTCAGAATAACCTTGCCAGGGATGGGAGGTGGGGGTGGGATTGGCTTAGCAAACCGTAGAGGGATAAGTGAATAGTCCCTTAGGAGAGGTACGTATTTCCTCCTCGGACCTTAGATCCTGAAAGTGGGAGTCAATTTTTTTTCTTTCTAGGGAAGTAAAAACATAATAGGTGCAGAATTTGGAAGGACAACTTAATAAACTATCAAATTGAGTTGATTTTCTGTATTTTTTACTCTTTGACCCCTAGGGTCATGTGAAACAGTCAGAGTCTCTTTCAATCTTTCATTCAATACTGCTGAATGAACAGTGTTCAAGCCCAAATTGTTCCACAAAGCCTGGCAGCTTTGTGACATCATGCAATACTTGGGCCATGGGAATGTTTGGCATGCCTGGAGCCCTGGAGCCCAGTATCTCACCCTCTAAGATAACACAACTCATCATTCCCTCCTGAGGTTCTCCACCTTAGAGATGACAGCCAATGACCTGTACATGTATGTGAAGGGGAAAGTCTGCACTTAATACCTGAAAACTACTTATCCACCTTCATAATAAGGCACTCTCTATGTATCCAACTTGGCATTGGGCATGACCATTATAAAAAGGAAACCAACAGAACTCCTGCTTCTGGTAGAATGTTTGAAGATAATATGCAGAAAGTGACCTGAAACTGCACAAATGGAAGAACTGGCTTTCAACTAAAACTCCAAGAAAGGGAAACACATACACAATGTAGCAGAGGTGACATTTTACCTCTACCCTCCTAGGGTTTTTGGCTGGGCCTGAGAATTAAATTGATACAAGACTGATCAATCAACAGGAGAAAAAGATATAGATTTGTTTAGTATAAGTTTTATGTAGCATAGGAGCCTTCACTAGGAAATGAAGACCCAAAGATGAGGTTAGAATTGAATACTTACATACTGAGTTGGACAAAGAGCAGCAAATTATAAAAATGTGACAAGGCAGAGGGGGTCGGGCTAGGGTAGTTAATTGGGTAGAGAAGTGATGAGGGGGATGAGGGTAGTTTAACAAGGTTTGTTGGTATAGATTTCCCTTGGTCCCAGCTTCCCATCCTTGATGATGAGAATGATACTTTCCTTATGGTACACGGAGGATATCTTTCACCTGGGAATTTCATTCCCTGCTTTTAAGAAACAGAAGGAAGGTCAGAGTAATCTTCTTGTAGCTGCTGTTTTCCAAGTGCCTTTAACTCTAAGTAGCTAATATGCCAGGGCAGCATATTTTGAGGTGGCATATTCTTAACTCTGTCAACACACACAAAGACACACACTCATGCACACACATGTATCCACCTGAATGAGTTTGTATTGCCAGACAGACCACAGACATAAGAAACTGTGATGCAAAAGATAGAAGCACTTCTTCATAGCAAAAATAAACAAAAACAATAAACTCTTGAGCTCCCAAATAAGATGCCTAGTATACTTGTCTTGTGATATACCACCATTGTGGAGAACATGAACACGGAATGTGCCCCACAAGCATTTCAGTAGATTCAGTAACTATAGTCCCACACTGGAAGAAAACAGAGGTAGACAGCATAATCTATTGCATATATACATAAATATATATATACCATTTAGCATATATATACACCATATGTTATATATGGCAAATTACATGTATTATTCATTCATGTTATAACAGCATGTTATAACATATGACAGGATGTCCTTTATTAATGTTGAATAATATTCCATATATTATATATGGTATATTACATATATTATTATATATATTACCATATATATACCATAGTACCATATATATACCATAGTACCATATATACATATATTATATATGGTAAATGATAGAGTTTACATATATATTATATTTATGGTAAATGATAGAGTTTACATTGTAAAGTATATATTCAGCTATTCTCTAAATATAATTTCACCATCTTTTAAAGATGTTTTGAAGGGACAGATATTCATGTTATTGTACGTAGATGCTCAAACTAGGTAGACTTTTGAGTACTCAGAATGGGCACAGCTAGATGAGCAGCTCCTGCATTCAGAGTTCTTTCCAGTTGTTCTATGTGCAACATCAGCGTGTACATTATTTTGATCCACAGACCCTTATACATAAATTCAAGCACCTGAAAATTACACCCTAAGCCAAGGATGGAAAGTTGACCTCATCTTGCAACTAACACCAATCCATTGGTGTGGCTGCCATGTGGGTTGTGTTAAGAGGAGTTCAGATGCTATGCCTGGGTGCATTGGAAAAGAAAGTAATATGATTCATTTCTGCCATGTATAAAAAAAGGGGACAGTGACAAGCATATGTGCCTTTATTTGCCATCTCTGTTTTAGATTCCAGCAGCAATTTCAAGCTTGGAAACATACTAACTAGGGGTGTGCTGCAGAAATCAGTGAGGGATGGGCCTATGATCAGTGTGACAAGATATATTCAAAAATTGCTATTGTATAAATTTTTAATCATGCTGTATAATTTATTTTGAAATTACAAATAACACGAAAAAAGATAAGAGCTTTTGTGCTTGATGAAAGAAGGCAATGCATTTTAAAATTCTGAGAAACACTGCCCTAGTCTATAAATTCATAAATAACTTCTTCTACCTTGGCCAATAAATATAATTTGGTCTAATAAACATTACTTAAACCTATTTATGCAAGCCACTGTACTAGACACTCTGGGCAGTTCCCACAATCAAAGGTTTATAATTGCCAAATTAAATGCACATTCATGTACTTTTTTTCCATCTTGCAAAACTGAAACTGTATACCCATTGAACAACTCCCCTCTTCTCCCTCCCTCAACCACTGGCAACCACCATTCAACTTTCTGTTTCTAAGAGTTTGACTACTATAGATACCTCATGTAAGTAGAATCATATAGTATTTGTCATTTTGTGACTGGCTTCTTTTGTGTAGCATAATATCCTTAAGGTTCATTCATGTTATACCATATGATAGGATGTCCTTTATTAAGGTTGAGTAATATTCCATTGTATGTGTCTACCACATTTTCTTTATCCATTAATCTTTCAGTATACATCTAGTTTGCTTACACCACTTGGCTATTATGAATAATGCTGCATCAATGTGCAAATATCTCTTTAAGATACTGTTTTCAATTATTTTGGATAAATACCCAGAAGGATTTCTAGATTATATGTTAATCCTAGTTTTAATATTTTGAGGAACTTCAATAATATTTTCCATAGTAGCCGCACCATTTTACACGCCCACTAACAGTGCATAAGGTTTTCAATTTCTCCATATCCTCACCAACAATTTTCAGGTTTAGTGGCTGGGGTTACAGGTACCCGCCACCATGCCCAGCTAATTTTTTTGTATTTTTAGTAGAGACAGGGTTTCACCATCTTGGCCAGGCTGGTCTTGAACTCCTGACCTCGTGATCCACCCGCCTTGGCCTCCCAAAGTGCTGAGATTACAGGCGTGAGCCACCATGCCCAGCCTTCTCTTTTTTTTATAGTGGCCATCCTAACGAATATGAGGTGATATCTCATTGTGGTTTTAATTTGTGTTTCCCTGATGAAAAGTGATGAGTATCTTTTCACATGCTGTTGTCCATTTGTAGACCTTCTTTGGAGAAATGTCTATTGAAGTCCTTTGCCCATTTTTAATTGGATTGTTTCCTGTTGTTGTTGAGTTGTAGGAGTTCTTTACATAGTCTGAATATTAATTTAATATATCAGATGTGCAGTTTGCAAATATTTTCTCTCATTCAGTTGCTTTTTTTCACTCTGTTTACTGTTTCCTTTGCTGCACAGAAGTTTTTGAGTTTGATGTAGTCCCATTTGTCTATTTTTACTTTTGTTGCCTGTGCTTTTGGTGTGATATGCAAAAAAAAATTGCCAAATCCAACATTAGAAGCATTTCCTCTGTATTTTTTTCCAGGAGTTTTGTAGTTTCAGGTCTCATGTTTAGGTCTCTAATTCATTTTAGGTAATGTTTGTATATAGTATATAGTTAAGAGCCTGACTTTATTTTTTGTAGGTAGATATCCAGTTTTCCCAACACCATTTGTTGAAGAGATTATACTTTCCCCACTGTGTACCCTTTTGAAGATAATTTGATGATAAATGTGAGGGTTTATTTCTAGGCTATCTATTATGTTCCTTTGGTCTATACCTCTGTCTTTATACCAGTACCATACTGTTTTAATTACTGTGGACTTATAATATGTTTTGAAATCAGAAAGTTTGAGGCTTCCCCCTTCGTTTTTCTTTCACAATATTGTTTCATTTATTTGTGGTCCTTTGCAATTCCGTTAAAATTTTAGGATAGTTTTCGCTATTCCTACCAAAAAAAAAAGTGGTTGGGATTTTGATAGGGATTGCATTAAGTCTGTAAATCACTTTGGGTAGTATGGACATTTAAGCAATATTAACTCTTCCAATTCATGGAAACAAGATATAATTTTCATTTATTTGTGCATTATTTAATTTATTCTGCAACGTTTTATACTTTTCAGAGTACCTGCTTTCTTCCCCCTTGGCTAAGTATATTCCTAAGTATTTCATTCTTTTTGATGTTTGTAAATGGGGTTATTTACTTAGTTTGCTTTTCATTTTTTTCATTGTGGGTATGTAGAAACGCAACTGATTTTTGCGTACTGATTTTGTATCCTGCAACTTTACTGAACTGGTTTATTCTAACAGGTTTCTTAGGGAAATCTTTAGGGTTCTCTACATGTAAAATCATGTCTTCTATGAACAGAGATCATTTTACTTCTTCTTTTCTAGTTTGGATTTCTTCCATTTCTTTTTCCTGCCCAATTGCTCTGGTGAAGGCTTCCAATACTACATTGAACAGAAGTGGTGAGAGTAGGCATTTTTGCCTTGTTCCTGAACTTAGAGGTAAGTGCACCTCTAAGTTTTGTTACCATTGGTGTATGATGTTAGCTGTGGGCTTTTCATATATGGCCTTTATTATCTTTAGGTAATTTCCTTTCATTCCTAGTTTGTTAACTGTTTTCATCATGAGTGGATGTTAATTTTGTCAAATGCTTTTCCTGCATCAATTGAGATAATCACATAATTGTGTCTTTCATTCTGTTAACATGGTGCATTACACTGATTTATTTTCATGTGTGAAACCACCCTTGTATTCCAGTAATAAATTCCATTAGGCCATGGTGTATAATCCTTTTAATGTGTTGTCGAATTCTGTTTGCTAGTATTTTGTTGAGGATTTTTGCATTAATATCTATCACAGCGATATTGGTCTGTAGTTTTCCTTTCTTGCAGTATCTTTGTCTGATTTTGGTATCAGAGGAATACTGGCCTCATAAAATGAATTAAGAAGTGTTCCATTTCTTGGAATAGTTTGGGAAGGACTGGTGTTAATTCCTTTTTTAAATGTTTGGTGGAATTCTGTAGCAAAGCCCTCTGGTGCTGAGTCTTTCTTTGTTGGGAGGTTTCTGATTACTGATCTGATCTTATTAGTTATAGATCTGTTTAGATTTTTATTTCTTCATGACTCAGACTTGGTAAATTGTATGGTCCTATTATCTTTTTTTAGCTTATCCAATTTGTTAGAATATATCTGTTTATATTAGTTTCTTGTGATCCATTTTATTTTTATGGCTTCAGTTATAATGTCTCCTCTTTCCTTTCTAATTTTTGTTATATGAATCTTTTCTCTATTTTTCTTAATCTAGCCAAGGATTTCTCAATTTGGTCAACTTAAAAAAAAAAAGTCTTAGGTTTTTTTTTTTTTTAATTTTATCTAATGTTTTTTCATTCTCTACTTCGTTTTTTCTGCTTTAATCTTTTTTATTTCCTTTCTTCTGTTAATTTTGGGTTTAGTTTGTTGATATTTTTCTATCCTTTGAGGCATAAAGTTAGGTGGCTGATCTGAGATCTTTTCTTTTTTCAACGTACTCATTTATTACATGAAACGTACTCATTTATCAAATGAAAATATAAACCTCACTTTTAGTACTATTTTTGTTGCATCCCATAAATATTGGTGTGTTGTGTTTTCATTTTCATTTGTTCTCAAGATATTTCTAATTTCCCTTATGAATTCTTCCTTGACAAATTGGATGTTTAATTTCCATTTCATGTAATTTTTTGTTAAAGAAATAGTTCTGTTAGAGATAGTTATTAGAGCATGCCCAAAATAAAAAAGAGATACAAAGAGTTTTGATACTATCCAAGTAATGTGAAAATTCAGGCACCTTATAGACAAGTAAATTTAGTATACCTAGCCCTGGGATTTTATGACAAAAGCTGTAAATCTTTACAAAGGAACCTTCTCCTCTAATATTATTTCTCCTAGATATTTGTAATATACCTAAAAGAAACAATCCCTGCTTCATCTTTGTCTGTCTTGTTCTAAGTGGCTCCATGGTTCAGATCCTAGTCTCATTATCACCTCTGAATCAACAGTTTCTTATCCTGTCCAGATTATTTGCTACCCACTAACTAAAGACCCATGGTCTCTGGCTACAGCATGATTTTTGAGAGCTAGAGTTTTATCAGAGCTTATGAGCTTATGGTTTTCTGTTTCTAAATTAAAGAATATGAGACATATAATTTTCAGTGTCCATTTTCTAGAAGGAGGAATAAGATAATTTGTAGTATTTGCTTCTGTGTAATAGCCACTTACATACTGAATATATATAGTTAACAATACCCAATTAGCAGTCAAATAGAATTCCAAGCAATCCATAGAGAGATGTAAAGTTTTTCTTTATAATGATCATAATACCATTTGCATTTATTATTTCCACTTATTGATTTATGCAATTTTCATAAAATCTTAGTGAAAAATGCAGGGTTATATCTTAAACACTCAGCATATGTAGATGTAATATTTGTTGTGTTAACTTTTGAAACAAGCCCTAAATTCTGTGACTTGAAGTAACTGGCAATTGTGCTGACACATAAATTTCAATAGTATGCCCTATAAGCCTGGCTTGTTGGAACAAGCAGCATATGCTACAGTGAGCCAGGGAGCATGAGGGATACTAGATAAGAGTAAATATCTAAATACAAAGGCCAGGTGAGGTGGCTCATGCCTGTAACTCCAGCACTTTGGGAGGCTGTGGTGGGCAAATTGCTTGCTCTCAGGAGTTTGAGACCAGCCTGGACAACATGGCGAAAGCCCCTCTCTACTAAAAATACAAAAATTAGCCAGGCATGGTGGCATGCCCCTGTAGTCTCAATTACTCAGGAAGCCGAGGCATGAGAATCGCTTCAATCCAGGAGGTGGAAGTTGCAGTGAGCCGAGATTGCGCCACTACACTCCAGCCTAGGTGACAGAGAAAGACTCTGTCTCAAAAAAAAAAAAAGAAAAAAGACAACCACAAAATACTGGCAATCAAAATTCAGCAATAAATGAAAATACAACACAACATAGCTGCACTGGATTTATCCAGAAGTACATATTAATTTAATATTAGAAAAATAATTAATTACATTAATTATATGTTATATAATTATCCTGATAGAAAAAAGAAAAATATTTGATACAATTTAACTTGCAATTATGATTGAAAAAAAACCTCTAAGCAAACCAAGAATAATGGAAAACTTTCCTAATTTATCAAAGAGCATCTATAGAAAAATCTATAAACATCCTACTTAATGATAAAACACTGCAAGCACTCACCTTACTTTCAAACAAAAAAAAAAGAAATAGATTTCTATTCAATATGGATCCTATCCAGCATTGCAAAGCAAGAATAATAAATAAAAGGCATGAAAACAAGAATGGAAGAAAATAAAAACTGTCATTAGTCGTAGACAATATGAGTGTCCACATTAAAAAATAGGAAAGAATATACAAGGAAATTATTAAAATTAATTGGAAAGTAAATTAAATTGCTAGGTCAAAAAATCAGTACATTGAAATTAATTACATTTGTATATACCAGAAATAAATGTTTAAAATAGATAATTTTAATGAGTAACATCAAAAATAGCATCTAAAAAGTTAATAAAATGGCTAAGACAAACAACAAAAAACGTATAAGGTCTTTGTAGTAATTTCTATAATTTTAGTGAAGGAAATTAAGAAAAACATATATAAATGGAGAGATATACCATGTTCATTGATTAGAAGACTAAATATTGTAAGTCAATTCTGGCACAACTTACTGATAACTCACTAAAATCGCAATCAAATTCTGACAAGCTTTGTGTATGTGCATGTGTATGTGTAAGTAACTTGGGAAGCTGATTTAAAATTGATATGGAAAGAGCCAAGAATAGCCAAGAAACTCATCAAAGGAAACGAGATGGGAGGCCCTTATCTTACAAGATATTCTGCATTACTAGAATGCTATTAATTAGGAAAGGATTATATCAGAGCAGGAATTTAAAAAAAAAATGACCAATTGAACAGAACAGACAATCCAGAAATATGTTGAGAACCAAAACCTTTTACTTTCATGCTTCAAGCATGAAGTGTGGACACTGAGAACTGAAACCACACCTTATTGCCCATATGAATATGACTGTGCTATTTCACTATTTTCGTAGCATTTCTTTACTATTCCATGACTGTCCTGTCAAAGCAAATGGTTTTATTGTTTATCACAAGAATGTTACAAAAGACTCAACAACTCTTCCATGGAAAACATCAGCAGTTTACACCCTGAGATGCGTTGAATTCCTGACCTCAAAATCCCCTCTTTACTTTTCCCACCAGTCCTCAAGTGTCATGATTCTTACCTACTACTAAACAAGTCCTCACAGTAAAAGGCAAGTCTTAAATCACACTTCCATTTCTCAATAAATTTTGACCTTACTTTCCCCACTCTAGGATGTTGCCAGTATTTTGTGAAGTTATGTTCTCTTTTAACACACTATGCAATAAACTCAACTTTGTCTCTTGGTAATACCGGAGGAGGCCAATTTAAACAACATGTACATTTATACAGAAACTTAATTTATGTCAGAGCTGGAGCAGAAGATCAGTGAGGAACAAAATTATTGACTTTCAATACAAAGTGCTGAAATAATTAATTTCATCATTATAGAAAACTGAAAACTTGGGCCCATGTCTACCATGTACGATAATCAATTTCAAAGGATATTAAAGACTTATGTGCAGAAAGTAAAACTATAAAAATGTTAGAAGACAATATAGAATATTTTTATGATCTCCAGATAAGTTATTTAAACAAGATACAATAAGCCCAACACATAAAGAACAAGATTGATGAATTTAATTTTATTAAGATTAAAAATTCTAGTTTATCAAAATATAAAGAAAATGAAAAGGCAAACCATAAATTTAGAGAAGAAAGTTAACAGCACAAATAACACAAAAAATTAAAATTGAGAATACAGAAATAACTCCTACTCTTCAGTAAAAAAGAAAACAAACCAATTAAAAAAGAAACCCACTTAGCAGGAGAAGAAATAATAAATAGGCACTTAATAGGAGAGAAAAATACACATTAAAGATGCTCAATTTTACTTGTAATAAGAAAAACACAAATTTATACCAAGAAATCATTTTACACATACCAGATTAGCAAAAATTTACAAGTCAGATATTATCAAATATTGGCAAGGATATAGACTAGGAATCATAGCATACAATTTGGCTTGCAAATAGGTAGAATTTCTTTGGAAAATCATTTGATGTTATTTGACATATAGCATAATTGCCCTATTTCTCAACAATTTTTCAACTATTTTTATTATTGTTTTTTCAATCATTTGAAAAAAGCAGAAAGAACAAATGAAAATCATCCAAAAAAGCCTTCTAAGACTTCAAATGGTTCAATTCTTCAATTCACTATCCATTCTCCTACCAGCCTTTAGTTCCTCATCAAGAGACTGACATATGAAGGAAGAGAAAAGGGAAGGAAAAGGAAATCGCTATTTTCCATGCAAGGCTCTACAATCTAATCTGAAAGTGCCTGGAAATAATATTTCCCCTCTTGCAATCCTGAACTGGGCACAAATTGGAGAAACTATTGAAAGGAGAGAGTGGGGATGTGTCAGTGCCTCAGTCTGCAGTTAACTGCAGTAATTATAGTTTGTCTCTAGGACATTATTTGAGAAGTCAGCTACAGGCACATCATTCTGTCAATGGCTAAGGTCTCCTTCTTTCAACCAGTGGAAGAAAAAGCCAAGGGGCTTTTTCCCCCTTCATACTCTTATGGGAATGCTTTATTTTGGCTGAGTGAAGGCCCACTAAAGGCTGGTATTTCTCCATTATTTCTGCCTCTGTTCTGAATTCCCACAGCTCTTTGTACCACTATCAAGACACTTATCAGAGTTAGAAGGATGCTGCAGATTTCTATCCTGCTAAATTGTAGACCTTTTCAGAGAATCTTTACATCCCCTAACACAAGGCCTTGCAGGTAGTTTGCAATAAATTGTTGCTCTTCGACTTGAAACCATTCAGCAAATATCACAACTCCAAGTGACATAACTAAATTACAGGGCCCAATTTCTGACTCTTTGCTAGTAAAGAAGAGGTTGCTAACAAAGGTTTTTGAGTCATGTGTATCTCCTAATGCAAAAACCCTAAGGTTGAAAGTAGCACCCTAGATCCTCAAATGAGTGTGAATCAATCCTTGTGAGATTTAACTTTTGTAAAAATCCACAGCTTTCTCAGCATGTGATATAGCTCTCATCTGGTAGATGGTAAGTGGAAAAAAACCCATAAATGCTTATTTAAGAAACAGCATGATAACATTTTAAAGAAAATACTACCTGGAAAAAAAATAATCAGCAGATATTAAGGAGACTCTATGATCATTGATCCTCTTTCTTCTAAATAGCTTTTCTGTTTTACAAGCTGAAACCAAGAGCTTACCAAAGAAAATGGGGTGCATGGCTGTCACTTGGAATCAAATTAAGCAAATGATGCCCTAATGGCCTGAAGGAATTAATATACCTTCAATATGTGAGCTATTTCCTTCAGAGAAGTAAGGTCTTTATTAATCTGGACAAGAGATTCATGAAAAAAGGCAGGTATCAGAAATGTTATCCCCCTTTTGGGGGATATAGCAAGCAAGACAGGAAATTAAAATGGCTGACCTTTGTCATAGAGGGGGCATGTGTCAGAGCTAATTATGGAGACCATTTTGGCTTCTTATTTTAAATTGTCACACTTTAGCAATTAGAAATCACTTATGCTCTCAGTGCTATATTAATTTGTTCTTAGATCAAAGACTCAGATTATCATACCTAGAAGCAGCCTTGGAGGCCAACCTCTTCATTTTTCAGATGAGGAAACTGATACCCAGAGATGCGATAAAATTTGTCCAGTGTCAAAGTCACACACACACACACAAGAATAAAAGTTTGGCTTAAATCTAGTAGTAGTCTTTCCTTTGGTGATGCCATATTATGAAGAAAATGTACTCATTTTAATTTCTTTTTAAAATATTTTCTATAATAAATGTACTATACACATGTTAATTTTTAAAGCATGTTATAAAATTTAAAATATGTTCACCTCATGCATTATTGCTTCCAGGGCACCTTTTCTGATATTAACATGTGTACCCCAACACATATGTGAATACATATGCCACTACTGGGTGACATTGCCTCCGAGTACCTTGATCATTGCATTAAAGATACTTGTAAAGATCTGTTTATATACTTGTTACTCTTACTATAATGCTAGTCCATTGAGGAAAAAGGTTAGGTCTTACTCTACTTTGTACTCCAAAATCTTAATACAAAGTAAACCTGTTGAAAGAGTAAATAATTTATAATCTACCTATTACACGACAAACATTCTACAAGTAATCTATGACTTTATCTGAGGCTAATTAGTGTTTTCCATGATTTAATAAGAAACATACTTTGGGTCTTCTGGAGAAGGAATTCCTAAATGAGGTAAACAGATAACAGCATCTCCTGTCTCCATCTCAAAGAAAGAAGCATGCTATGGTTTGTCAAATCCAACTCCTCCATGCAAGGATGTAATCTTAACACACTTTCTGGGCATTATTCTATTAGTCACTCCTGACTGCTCAGTCTCTCCACTTACTTATTGTCCTCAGCCTAACCATACCAAACAAATGGAAAACCCTTCCTGTTACCCCATGTGCCCCATAAGCTACTGCTTTGTTTTTCTTTTTCACCCTAAACCTATTCTGATCTCTACTCCCTATCTCTTCTCATTCAGTGTTCATTTTTTCCTCCTCTACTATACATTTGACACATAAATGAATGAATGAACGAATATGATAATTTCAAAGTCTAAGCTTGTGGAGTTGAGTCACCAGGTCCAGCTGCCTTAACTTGTCTCAGTTTGTTTCCTGGGAACATCCAGGTCTCCATGGCTCCTAACCTGTTAATTCACTGCAGCCTCTTTTGTTTACCAGAGTGAAGAGTAGTCCTTACTCTGTAGCTTTGATCCTGCTTTTGAGTCATATTGGAATTTTGGGAGGTAACAGGGCAAGATGAGCAGAAGGCTGCCTAGCAACTCTGAAAAAAATCTTCCTCTTCTATAACCCAAGTTCTAGGTATCTAAACCAAAGCATGGGTTTTCCCTACAGGCTTCTTTGAACAGTTGGCCCCAGAGCCACCACAAATGAGATCAGAAATAAAATCTAATCAAGGTAAAAGAAGAAAAAAAAAGGTAAGAGAAAATTTAAGAAATTGATTCATTAATTTAGAAAGCCAGCATGTCATCTGACATGTCAGTAGAAAGCTCTCTCATTATCATCTCTACCCCAGGTCATGCCAAAGGCTTTCAAAGCTGTTGTGTATTACCCAGCCATTCCCAGAGAACAGATGTTCTTGGTGAGAAAAACTGCCCCCAAACCTTGTCCCAGCTTCTCTTAGGTCTTTTTCTTCTCCCCTGCAACTGTAGCCCAAAGCAGCCTCTGCTTTGGCCACATCAGCCCTTCTGAGATTTCGGCACAAGGCCATCTGTTTTATTGCGTCAGCTTGCTCTTCAGGGTTTTACAGATCCCAGCACAGACATTGGAGTGGCCAAATCAATTACCTTGGCCTGTCAGAAATATCAACACTAGCTCTTGCCTGTAAACAAGGAATAGTACAATTTGCTTAAATCCCATCTTAGGCACCCAATCAGCCATGTGAACTTGATCAAGGTTCTTAACCTTAATGATCCCTGGAGTTCTCAGCAGAAAAATCAGATATAATGATACCTAGATAGAATAATATCTGGCCTCTGATAAGTTGGAAATTTTTGATTAAAGTACTAGCAAATGATACAGGTTAAAGAAATAGTTATTGTTTTAGTATTTATCATTTCTAATGTTATTATTTGTTATTATTTGTTATAACAGTGGTTCATTCCAAATATTTGCATATCTTCTCTGACTTGTGCCAAGATATCTGCCATAACAAAGTACCACAAACTGGGTAGCATAAACAGAAATTTATTTTCTGACAGTTCTAGAGGCTAGAAGTCTGAGAACAAGGTGTTGGCAAGTCGAGATCGCCAGTTAGGAATAGGTTTTTATCCTTTTTTATTGAGGCCTCTTTCCTTGGCTTGTAGATGATTGTCTTCCTGTCTTCACATGATCTTCCCTCTGTGTGGTTCTGTGTCCCAAAATCCTTTTGTTAAAAGAATACCAATCCTACCGGATTAGGGTCCTCCCCAGTGACTTCATTTGAACTTGGTTACCTTTTTAAAGACTCTGTCTCCAAATATAGTCACATTCTAAGTCACTGGGGGATAGGACTTCAACATATAAACTTAGGGGCACATATCTCAGCCCATAACACTGGGACAAAGACCAATTTTCCTGGGGAACCATCCTAAAAGATTCCTTAGGATGTATCTCTATCCTAAGATGGAAATTTTGCTGTGAGAATGTCAGTAGCAATTCCCTGACCTGGAAGGACCATGGAAGGTCTTCAGTGACAACTTCTGAGCTGCTGTATCAAAACCCACCTGCTGAGACAAACAGAGCTTTTCAGTTACTCAGATCAATAAATTCCTTTTGTACTTACACCCATTTTGGTCTAGTTTTTTTTTTTAATCACTTTAATTTTTTTTTACAGTTAAAGCCTAGAGTGAGTTCAGTGATTTAAAATATTAATATAGAGGTTATATTTAAAGTCTAAATACCATTTTTCCCTGTACCACCAACTGAGGTCTGTCTCCCTTATAATCTCAAATGAGTCAAGATCCCCAGATAGCAATAGGACACAGAGATAAAATATAAATGTAGCACAAGTGGAAATACACTTTTTATTTCTTCTAAAGAAAGCACCAAAATAGTCATCTAGACAAGGGATTAACCACGCAATTGAGAACAAAAATTTCTAATTTCCACCACCAGTTACAGCAACAGCTTTTAATTTTTTTCCATAAAAGTAGCTGTTTGGTTTCGGCACATAACCCTAGTCTTAGTCTCCCCTCCTTTGAAATAAGCCCAAACACTTCCTTGGCTGTACACACAATTTGTATGCCTGAGAAACTCAATCACTGAAGAGAGAGATGCATATCGAAAGCATGGGTCCGTGGTGACTATATATAATAGATCTTCTCAGCAAAACAATCAGAATTAGGAAGTAACAGCTATTTATCTTTCATGATAAGGGCCAACTCTAGAGATTCATGTCATGGTATTTAAGTAATCATTACTTCAGGTTTTATTTGTATTTCAATTTTCTCCTAGCTTTCTATGCTACATACTTCAGTTGCCAAGAAAACTCAAAAGAACAAGATTTTCTGAATGATTTCCAGTGTTTCTTCCTCCTTGAAAGAAATTGGGAAAATCATGTTCTTATAAAATACTAAAGCATTCTTTTATTGATTCTGTATGCCAGGAAAACAGTGCTAAGGAAGTTTCCTCAAGGAAAGAGTTATTATGCTGCCAAAATAGCAGAGCTGAAGAGTCAAAGTTCAGAGATACAATATCATCTTGTCTCAAAACATTTCCTTTTTTTTAAAATTATACTTTAAGTTCTGGGATACATGTGCAGAATGTGCAGGTTTGTTACATAGGTATTCACGTGCCATGGTGGTTTGCTGCAGCCATCAACCCATCATCTACATTAGGTATTTCTCCTAATGCTATCCTTCCCTTAGCCCCCCCACCCCCTAACAGGCCCGAGTGTGTGATGTTCCCCTCCCTGTAACCATGTGTTCTCATCGTTCAACTCCCACTTATGAGTGAAAACACGCGGTGCTTTGTTCTCTGTTCCTGTGTTAGTTTGCTGAGAATGATGGTTTACAGCTTCATCTATGTCCCTGCAAAGGACATGAACTCATCCTTTATAGGGCTGCATAGTATTCCATGGTGTATATCTGCCACATTTTCTTTATCCAGTCTATCATTGATGGGCATTTGGGTTGGTTCCAAGTATTTGCTATTGTGAAGAGTGCTGCAGTAAACATACATATGCATGTGTCTTTAGAACAGAATGATTTATAATCCTTTGAGTATATACCCAGTAATGGGATTGCTGGATCAAATGGTATTTCTGGTTCTAGATCCTTGAGGACTCACCACACTGTCTTCCACAATGGTTGAACTAATTTACACTCCCACCAACAGTGTAAAAGCGTTCATATTTCTCCACATCCTCACCAGCATCTGTTGTTTCCTGACTTTTTAATGATCACCATTCTAATCGGCATGAGATGGTATCTCATTGTGGTTTTGATTTGCATTTCTCTAATGACCAGTGATGACGAGCTTTTTTTCATATGCTTGTTGGCCACACAAATGTCTTCCTTTGAGAAGTGTATGTTCATATCCTTGGTCCACTTCTTGATAGGGTTGTTTGTTTTTTGCTTGTAAATTTAAGTTCCTTGTAGTTTCTGGATATTAGCCCTTTGTCAGATGAATAGATTGCAAAAATTTTCTCCCATTCTTTAGGTTTCCTGTTCACTCTGATGATACTTTCTTTTGCTGTGCAGAAGCTCTTTAGTTTTATTAGATCCCATTTGTCAATTTTGGCTTTTGCTGCCATTGCTTTTGGTGTTTTAGTCATGAAGTCCTTGCCCATGTCTATGTCCTGAATGGTATTGCCTAGGTTTTCTTCTAGGGTTTTTATGGTTTTAGGTCTTACATTTAAGCCTTTAATCCATCATGAGTTAATTTTTGTACAAGGTGTAAGGAAGGACTCCACTTTCAGTTGTCTGCATATGACTAGCCAGTTTTCCCAACACCGTTTATTAAATAGGGAATCCTTTCCCCATTGCTTGTTTTTGTCAGGTTTGTCAAAGATCAGACAGTTGTCAAAACATTTTCTATTTCTCTGCTTAAAACATCAGGAAAATTGTATGTGAGAGAAGCTCAGAAATAAAGACATATTTTTGAAATTACAGTTTAACATTCCATTATCAATGTATGAGAACTTAAACATTAGAAACTTCTGTCAAACTTGTCAAACATGTAAACAACTTCAAAGGACAAGGGACTCAAAGGAGGACACAACTCACATTGCAGTGAAAACAAACATCTCAATCGCCTGATCAGGAAGGAGGCCCTCTGGATTTATGCTTGGGTCTTGTGTTTCAGAAGAGTGAATGACAATGAAGTGGAGTTTTCTTGTCCCCGACGGTGAAGAATAAAGTTACCTCCTCCCAGGGCACTGGGACATTTTATTTATTCACCCCTTGTCCTAACAAGCTTCTCTCTCTTCTTTCACCTCAGGTCAGGAACCTTTGTCCCAGCCCCTGCCTTGTTCCTGTTTTTAGCTTGAGTCAGCGGCCCGAGATTATCTCATCTCTGTCTTGTTCTCATCAAAAGTGTCTTTCAAGGAGAAATGGTATACCACCCCTCATATTCTAACACTACAAGTTTAGAGTATCTCTAATCAAACAATACGACAGAAGGGAGGTGAAAATACGGATATCCCTCTTCTGTCATATTAAGCATGATAGCTGTCATCATTCTTCAGGAAAAAAAGAAAGAACCAGTTGTAGAAAAAAAATTACAGATTATATCTTCCTCTTACTACAATTGAATTACACTTTGCAGTCTCAGATCTACCTCGCCATTTACCACAAACACAGATTAACACTTGGGCCTTTTTGCTTTTCCTGTTCGTTGAAATGTCTCTTGCTAAGCCAAATGTGGAAAAAATTTTTTCTAACAGTTTAGTCATAAGCAAAATGACTTCTAGATGCTTCTCAACTTTTAAGGGTAATTATCTTTAATGCTTTCAAGTACATTAAGAGTGCCCACTTACCAATGATATTTTACATCTTAAAAATATTGTGTATGGTTATGTTAGTGAAGATCTTTTAAAAAAAGTTAGAGAAGTAAGACATCACAAGGGAGAAATGTATATATCATGTCCTCCCTATTGACAGTGCAATTTGCCAAGGTTTGGGGGTTTTATTTTTGTTTTTTGTATTATTTAAGTAGAGAGAATGATGTTCCTCAATAGAAATATAATGCAAGCCATGTATGTCATTAATTCAAACCTTTGTTTTTTTAAATGCAAAGAGATGCATAAAGTTAACTTTAATAATATGTTATATATAATATAGTATGTCTAATCCATATATATTATATCCAAAACCCATATCTAAAATATTATGATCCAAGCAAAATAATATGTTTAAACATGTAATCAATATAAAGATTTTAGATATTTTACATTATTTTCTTATACTAAGTCATTGAATCTGGGATATATCTTACACTTACAGCACATCTCAATTTGGACTAGTTACATAGCATGTGCTTAATAGTCACATATGTCTAGTGTCTGCCATACTGAACAGTGCCAGCATAGAAATATGCTTGTATACTCTCTGATTTACATGGGTATCATTATGTACCATCATTTATGTAAACTTTTGACCTGGACATGCCTGTAAGGAAAAATGCTTCTCTTGAGAGATAGGGTTCATTATTTTTTTCTCTTAATATATTGCAACTGATTATTCTGAATAATCAAGTTTATAAGCTCAGACATTTTATTTTTTTAAGGTATTAAAATTATTGAACACCAGCTCCCCAAATATCAGCAACACAACCTGTTGAGAAGACGAAACTCATTGTATCACTCAATGTAGCAATGGAGAACACCACCTTACCTTTCATAACCCCTTGGGGATGGGAAGGCAAAGTCAAAATTTATTGAGCATTGAAAGTGTCACTGTTGGAGGTTGTCCATGTTCTTTGCATCTTGAACAAAGAATTGGACAAAAGACACAAACAAATCAAGGAAGGAATGAAGGATTTATTGAAAATGAAAGTATACTCCACAGTGTGGGAGCGGGCTGAGCATAAGGGCCCAAGGGCCCCAGTACAGAATTTGGGGGAGTTTAAGTAACCTCTAGAGGATTCCATGGTTACTTCCATATGCCCTATGTAAATGGAGAGGAAGAATTAAAGTTACAAAATTATTTACTTGGCCTATGCCCTTAGGAGAGGATATTTCCTGTCATAGCTAAAGTGTGAATTGGCCTTATGTTCCCTGCCTCCTGACCCTATTTTCCTGCTTCAAAAGTTTGGTGTGAAGTGGTTCTTCCAACACAAGGACTTGATTAGGATTGGGTAAGGATTGTAATATATCAGTTTAGGATTGGTGGAACGGAAGTGAGGCAAAGGATTCAAAGAATCTATGGAAACAACTCCCTGTTGATGTTTTCTGTTGAAGGGTTGATGGATATTCCAGGGAGTTCCAGTAATGAACAATCAAGTTATTTGCCTGGGCAAGACTCTCCTGGAATAGTAAAGTTATGCTAATGAAAATAACGAATACTGAATGTAGACATGTTGATGTAGACAGTAAGCTGTAGGAGAAGGAAGTAAGTAGTTTTGATTCTAAGGGTGGCATGTGTCTATGAATGACAATATAAACAGATGTCCAGCAGAGAGAAAATTCCTCCTTTTTCACACATCTAACAACTCTGGGAAATATTTAAACAAGTGAGTTTTACCTTTGCATGGCTACTTCCACATAACCAAATATAGAGAATCAAGTGTTTATAGAATAAATTGGTAAAATCAGGCAAAGTGTTTTTGAGAAAGCTCAAGAAATCTGGCCAGGCACAGTGGCTCATACCTGTAATCTCAGCACTTTGGGAGGCGGGTGGATCATGAGGTTAGGAGTTCGAGACCAGCCTGGCCAATATGGTGAAACCTCGTCTCTACTGAAAATACAAAAATTAGCCGGGCATGGTGGTGTGCGCCTGTACTCCCAGCTACTTGGGAGGCTGAGGCAGGAGAATCGCTTGAACCCGGGAGGTGGAGGTTGCAGTGAGCCATGATCATGCCACTGCACCCCAGCCTGGGTGACAGAGTAAGACTCCATCTCAAAAAAAAAAAAAAGAAAAAAAAGAAATCTACCCTTGAACCCAAATGATTCAGGTTAAATGCCCAAATTCTTGAAGTTGTGCTCATTTACCACATGTCAAATATTCAGTGAGTTCCTACTATATTCTAAGCAAGCAGTGTACTGTATGAATAATATATCAATGAACAAAACACAAAAAGAATCTGCCCTTCAGAAGTTTACATTCTAGTAATTTCTAAAAGGAAGCAATATAATAAGAAATCAGTAGAGGTGTGACTCAGAAGAAACAAGAAGGCACTATAATACTGCAAGTGAAGAGGTGCTAAAAAAAGACTCTTCTATGGAGGTTATGCTGGCTTGTTTCATAAAGATGGAGAAGAAGCCAGCACGAGAATCATGAGCACAGCAATTACCTGTGAGAGAGTGTTCTCAGCTTGGAAAAGCCAAGTCCAAATGTCTTACGGCAGGAAAGAGTTTAGTTTGTCCAGGAAACAAGGCCTCTGTGGCTAAAATGCAGTAAGTGATGATGGCATTGATACAAAGTGAGTTTCAAGAAGTTTTGGCAGGAATCAAGTAATATCAGGCCTTGTAAGCAAGGTCAGCTTCATCACACAGGGTTCTATGCATCTGCTTTAATCTGTGCTGTTGCTGTCTTGGGATTGTTAATCATGTTTGAACAAAGGATATCTCATTTTTATTTTGCACCAAAGCCTACAAATTATGTAGCTGGTCCTGCTGGTAAATCATAGCAAGGATTTCAATTCACACAGTTTATGAGGGTGAGTTTTTTTTTTTTTTTTTTTGCTTTTGTTTTTCTCCTCTCACATTCAAGAAACCTGTAAGTAATCAGGCCAGGGTTAGTGTGCTCTCTGTGGTACCAGAACCCCCAATTCCTTCAATCTTGTTCTGCAGTACAGGGCTTTCAATCCCAAGAACACCCTGGAGTATAAACTGACTGCTAGAGCTGCAGCCATTACAGTCTCTGTCCAGCTGTGCTCAAGAACACTGCCTAAATTACCATACCACTTCCACCTACATCCCATTGACCCATTCTAGAAAATAATCATGCCTAGCTGCAGGTGAGGCTGAGAAACAAAGTCTTAATTCCAGGAAGCCACGTGCCCAGCTAAAAACTGAGATTTCTTTTCCCATATGAAAAGGAGAAAGAGATGTTAAGGGACTATTACCAGGCCTGCTATATACTCTCACATATTCCTTTGACTGAAATAATCATTCATTTATATATTCATTCAACATTAATTCACCTAAAAATGTTATTGAGAGCCTATTTTATGTCAGGCTGTATACTAGGGACTGAGGAGAGGAAGATGATTAAGAGTTAGGTCTTACAGAATAACATAGGGGGAGGAAGAAAGATCACAGATAATTACAGTACGGTGTCACAAGTACTGGAATAGACTGTCCAAAGAGAAGAGGCCATGAATAACTAACAGGAGGTGCTGATAAAGCTACACAGAAGAGGTAAGGTGAAACGTGAATTTGGTTTTATAAGGATGCAAAGGATGCAGTAGGAGACAAAGAAGGGGAATATACTTCCAAGTTACACCTTCTACGGGAAATGTGATTCTGAAATAATATTTAGGATTTCTGCAGCTTTGTTATAGTTATTAGTCAGACTTGGTAAATAAAGCATGGCCCAGCTGATTGTTTGGTTAAATCATTTCATGATCAGTGTGGGTCCTCACACAACTATTTTGGCGACAGTCATCAGAGCTGTTGCTAAAGAGATGCTGAAATGAATGGATTGGCCATGTTGCAGCTCAGTTCACCAGCAGATATAGATTCAGAGGCAAAGAAATATACTAGCTGACAGCAGAATCAGGCTTTGCCTTTATAGACCATCCCTCTAGTCTCATACCCATCCAAATGACAAATCCCCCATCTGCTCTCAACCTGCCTCCTGAGCCAGTCATATTGCATCAGAGGCCCTATAAGCCAGCAGCTTCCCAAATTGCCCTGGCATTACAGGGGGATGTCTTGCTCTGTGACACCCCATCTAACTTTGGGAGAAAATTCCCATATTTAGTAATGCCTTGCCCATCTTTTCCCAGCAGTTTTGTTTTTTTTTTTTTTAAAGAGTGAGATCTTTAGGAATCATGTTGAGCTTTGAAAAACAAAAGAATTCCTCAACTTGAAAAATAGAGATAAATTCAGATTTTTCAGACTCCTAAGATTCAATCTTCGGAAGCCACAGCCATACCCCCACTGTGGGGATGGCGGTCACTGTCACAATGGTGAGCCTCCTGTTCAGCTATTTTGTCCTGAAACAAAAAAAAAGAGCTCTGTGATAAATCACATCTGCAAGATGTGTTTCATATGTCAAGCACACATAGCTTCTAAATCAAATGCTGATACATGACTTATTCCGTCAAAAGTAAGCAGAATGCTGTAATTTATAATCATCTTGAAGCACACTGCGGAGAAAATGAAAGCAGACCATTAAATTTTAATGCCTGTTCAGCTCTCTGAAAAAGAGTGTTTCTGGCCACTCTGGAAGCAGGGTAGTGTTTCTCACACCATTGTGCACAACCCCAAAAACAGTCTGTGTTTGCCAACATTTGTGGAAACTAATTGAAAAAATGATTTAGCTGTTAAAAGCAGCCATCAGTCAGGAAGTTCTCACGAGCACAGAGGTGCCTGAAGAGGAGCCAGTCCCGTCCAACGCCCCAGTCCCCCTTAGCTTTTTAACAATCGTCTGTTGTTGTGCAAGCCAGCTCCCCGCAGCAGGGCTGCGAGCGAATATTCATTGGGGTGTCATCTCTGCTTAGACTCTCGTCCTGCACACCTATTCATCTGGGTTAAGTGAACAGCAGCATCAGCTCAAATTAAGCTGGCTTGAAAACAGCCACTGTTAATAATTTCTGCTGTGATTCAACTTAGCTTTGGCTAACAGGTGAAGATGTTTCAAAACGGAGGCAATTACAGCTCTGAGAGTGCTTTCCCGCTGCCTGTGTAATCAGAGGAATGGAACACTAGCTCCTCGCGTGCGTGGGGAAGGGCCAGCACAGCCACCATTGGGCTGCATTCGTTATCTGCTAGATTGAACAAGCTGCCTGCCGGGGACAGATGCTTAGCGCAGTGATTAGAATATAAAGCAGTTGCAAAGGCTGAGGGGATTGGAGTCAGCATCCTTTATCTCAACTTACTACAGGCTTTTCTGGTCAGATAACAAGTCTTCCAAACCGTTCTTTATAGACGAGAAATCATATGTATATCAATGCATGAAGACTCATGCATATTCATTAGCCTGTACCCTGTGTGAATTTTCCATTTAGATGGAGAACTGTAAAAAAAAAAAAAAAAAAAAAAAAAAAGAAGGGGAGGTCTTCAATTCTATGTAAGTTTAGTTCCTTTTATAGCCAAATTTTTATGACAAGGAATAAATGGAGGGAGTAAGTGTTAAATATGTACAATAAAAATGCTTGCCAAATTTACTTCATTATTTTCTGAGATTGAAAAGCCCAATAGTTTTACAAATTTCCAAACAGCTTTCATATTTAAGTTTAAAAAAGAGGAAGATAAGTGAAAACTTTGTATAACCCTAGATTTTCACTTACTCTGTAAGGAAAGAAAACTGAAATTATGTGTGGGTTTTGTTACTTTTTAAATTACAGAGATAGCATATTTCCATCTAGAGGGAAATCTATCATTCTAGCACAAAAGTAATTTTTCACGTCAACTGTGCATAACATCAAATTATAGCAAAAACATAGCTGTATACTTCCTAATTGTGGGAATTTTCATACGGTTTATTTCCAGCCAAACATTTTTCCTCTTCTACTAAAAGAAAATCAAGCAGGCTAAATTGAATTTTTATACATTACAATTTCCTGAAATGTAGTTGTTAATGCCTTCTGATGTGCCTGAAGGCATGAATCTTAAACTACCTTTCTCCCCCCAACCAAAGAACTAGGGAAATGAAAAAGACCCTTTCTGCTACTGGTATTAAATTTCCATCGTATACATTAATCTGCTTTCAGAGTATTCTCCTTCAGTGTATTTTCCATTAAGGGCCTATAATAAAGTCCTTGGTATCTTATGTTTAAAGAGCAATTGATTATAGAGCTGTGTATCCCCAAACTATGCATATTTTCTACAAACCACAGAAAAGCAGGGAGGGGTAGCTGGGATGAAGTAGAGGGGGAGGAGAAGATGGAGGAGGGGTTAGCCACATGCTCACTTTTATTTAACAAATCTGTTAAGAGCTTGGAAATAGTTCTCATTTTATAACACCAAGGTTATACTAAGCAATTTATTTCCAGCTAGGTTTTTTAAATAGAGATTAAATAGAGATTGTACTTCTCATCAATTATTTAATAGGCTTTGAGGTTGTGTGTGTGTAAACGTGTGTGCTTAAGAAGTTTTGGGGATACAGGAGTAAATGAGAAAAAAAAAAGGACAATAGAGTTTATAATTGCTAAACATATGATCCAAAGCTGTGTTTGAAATACCTGCTTAACAAGATAGCAAATGACTTGTCTCTTTTAAAAGGTATTTCTTTCTTTCTTTCTTCATTCTTTAGAACCATTCATCTAGACTATCTTGGAATATTCTCAGCAAGAATCCACTGCCTACTGTATCTTCCCCTGACAATTACTGTTGCTCCTTACCCTTGAAGCTTTGAAAGCCTGTGTAACATTAGCCTATCTAGCCCAGTGAAAATGTCTTTACAGATTAGTGTAATGTTAATACTGCTGGCTCCCCGCTTTTGACCTGAAGTGGAATATATTGCACTGCTGGAGCAGATGGAATCAGTTTCACTGGGCTACAGAGATTGGTTGGCTGCCTGCCAAAAGTTCAGTGCTAGTGGCAGTGGAAGCTCCAGCTCAGAATAGCAGGCTTGAATCTATTCTCTGCTCTTGGAGAGAAAACAAAAGTGTCACATAAGTTTGTGTAGAATCAAAATACGTTGGTTAAGATTGTTCATCTGCAGATGTTGACCCAGCATTTGAAAAGTAATTGAATCTTTTGGTGTAAAATGGAGACATCTTTATTCACTTTTGCTGAAAGACATGAGACAAAAGCCAGAGCAAAGAATAAAAAAAGAAATTATCTGAACTCCATTTAACCTTCCAGTTGAATGCCTATCTCACCATAAGAATACAAATGTGTACTTGTAGAGTGTTTAAAGCCTGTCTCCTATTTTATGACTGCAAATAGATCTTAGTCTAAAATAATAGATCAAATTCATAAATGGGGGAAAAAAGATAAGCTTGTATAGCCGAAGTGAAATAATTATCCAAATAGTTCCAAACCAGAATCTAAAACTGGGGATGTGGGGCGGGGAGATCTATTTCCTAAGTTATCCATACTAGCTTTATTATTGACTGCATCATTCAGATAAATGTTCAAAATCCTTGCTGGATTTGTATGAACAGAAAAAGCATACAAATATTTGAAATCATATCTTCCAAAATAGATTTGCCTGTTGATAGCTGTCCTTTCACCTGGAACACTGGGAACACTGATTAAAACCATTAATAACAGCAGCTGAAAACTATGGTTGTCAGATTTAGCAAAATAAATAAATAAATTATGATGTGTGGGGGACTAGGGGGCTCCAATTTGAATTTCAGATAAACAACTCATGATATTTTAGTATAAGAATGTCTCAAATATTGCATGGAATATGGAGCATGCACAATTTGGAATATACTTATACTAAAATATTATTCATTTTTCATTTGAAAGTTGACTTAATTGGGAATCCTGCATTCTACCCGGCAACACTGAAAGATGTACTCTTTATTTTCTTACTTCCTGAATGTACTAAGACATCCTTTCCTTCACACACACACATGCACACACACACCCTAACTTTCAATTAACACAGAGGGGTTTTTTGTATTTATTCATCAGGTTATCTCTAAGTTTATTTTAATCATATTTTCCTCTCAAGTACTGCCTTTCCACAGCAGTAAAACATATGCTGTTTGCTGCCTAAGTAGATGGGTAATGTAAGCTGTGATGTGGAGAGAATTCTTCTCTTATCCGTTCTCTCTGAGGGTGTAGTTACAGAAACATATATATGTGCTTTTATCTGTGATAAGAGCTACCATCTGCTAGCTGCAATGTGCACAGCTTACCGTCTGAAGTGCTTATACATATTATGAAAACACACAGCTTTTGTGTATGTTGAGAATACATATAGACTCTGTTCTAATAAACCAGAATATTAGCTTTTGAATATGTCAGATCGATGCAAAATATAACCATAATTATGGACAAGAACGATTAGAGCTGGCACGTTGCCATGTGTGTATTTATGCCAGTAGCATCTTTGAGATCTTTTAATATTGCATTATTTGCAACCTCTTCCTATGAGATAGTTATTTTAGAAAAATGGACCCTTTTCAATGAGGAAAGGCTTTTGCTTCATTCAAGGAGCAAAGTTTCATGCCAGGGATACCAAATCCCTGGGATATGGGCTCCATATACGTGAGCAACGGGAGAGACTGAGACCGCGCGACAGAACATATAAATCTGAGTTACTTTGACCTTTAATCCAGGAGAGCACGAAGAGAAATGCACTAGGAAGGTTGGTTTGTAGCTGTCTGGAGACTGATAAGCTGTAATAAAGGTGCACTCAGTTGCAATTCATCTAAAGCTTCCATTGCTATCATCCTCCTTTTTCGATTTTTGTTACCTCGAGTACTTATCTAAATCCCTTTCAATGCCAGCTTGAATGCACTTTGTGTTCTCTCCAACTGTGACTAGGGCTGTCTGTGTGCGTCCGTGTGCTACAGCACACTCTCTTTCCCCTTGTTTGACAAGAACCAATGCCAACACCTAATTAAGGATAAGCCACAGAGCTCTCGGCTTTATCTTTGTCAACTGCTCCATTCCTAGCTTTCTGCCTAGTTGAGTTTTTAATGACATAAGCAACAGTTCAGTTCAGCATTCCTCAGGCCCGTTCCAGATCTCAGTGACTAAATATGGCAAGCAGCAACAGCGAAAAGATGCTGGCCCTTTGTGCCCCATGTCCTGTGAACACTGGGGAAATAGGGCCACACTGGCTTCCATGTGTTATCTGCCCACTCTGCACCTGCAGTGCGGACATGCAGGGAGGAAAAATTCACACGATGTCTCTCTCAGAAGTTTTCCAAATCTTCCAGGCACTTAATTTATGAAGAAGTCTCATCTGTTTCAATTTCATATTACATTGTATTAAACATTCTAACTCAATTTTGCAAATGTAAGAGTTAATCATTCCCTAAAACTCTGGTGAAATCAGATTAAGATGCCTGTTACTTCCAAACAGCCAATTCACTGTATATTTTTAAAATAAAGTATGGCGTGTGTGTGTGTGTGTGTGTGTGTGTGTGTGTGTGTGTGTGAGAGAGAGAGAGAGAGAGAGAGAGAGAGAGACAGAGACAGAGACAGACAGAGAGTGAGAGAGAGAGAGAGAGAGAGAACAGAGGAGCTTCTACCATATTTTCCTGTCTATACTTTTCCATTATACTAGTAGAAGTGCAATCCTTTTCCTGGAAGGTGAGATTCATTGTTAGTTTTAAATATGTGCATTTGCATTTCTCTTTGTTCTCTGACCTTGGTTGAAGCTTAATGTTTTAAATGATCATAGAACTGTCACAAGGCATGGAGTTATCTCAAGACAATATTTGCTGAAAGATCATTGAAACAAAATATATCCAAATTGTGTGTATCACTGGTGTTGGTGTGATTTTTGACAATGTTAAAGGCACCTAGATTCAGTGGGGGAAAAATTGATTATTTGTTGCATTTTCTATTGCTGCTTTGCTTCAGCTTTATGTTTTCTTTAAAATTACAAAACATTTTTTGTTCTGACTTCAATATCATCTCTTTTTTCAATTCACTTGGATGTGTTGACTCCATTCAAACTTTTGTTTTGTTTTGTTTAACTTGTAATTTTGGATGTCAAGAGAAAAAAGCACATCAGCATTTTATCTGCAGACATGGAGGAGGTGAAATATTCTTCCAAAAGAAGACGACGTTCGTAAATGCAATTATTCAATAATTCTATTTCACAGACAATTCCGGGTTGGTCCCTATGTGATCCATAATATGCTAGGTATAGAATGAATTTTAAAAAATGATAATCCCCACATGGTAGGAATTTAGAGTCCAATTAAAGATATAAAATATTTTATATCCAACATGTCTTTATGTGACTCTTTGGAAATAGCAGTAAATCTCGGCAAATATTTTAGAGTCTTAAATAGGATATACTTGTTCCCTTTCTTCCTGAGTTGATCAACCCAGTCCTATCTACAAAAGCAAAATGAAAAATTGAGTCTCTTATCTACTCTATTTAAACCAAACATTTGCTTTTGCCCAAGTTATCTGAATATTTCGGATAAAACTTTTGCTCACTCAAGTGATTCAGGCCTCAGTGCTTTCTGCCTGCCAGTAGAGACAGCATCCCTTCTGAATGCGGCCCCAGCACGTCAGAGGCAGTGACACTACCTGCACCTGCCACCGCTCCTTTGGGATTCCAAGCTGATGCTTTTGATGTTTCTTCTGATTAACATGGTTTTTCTGAGTGGTGGTGATGGATTTGTACTAAAACATCTGTACTCTGTTATAAAGCACCCTGGGAGACTGAGGCAGCTTGGTAAGATGACCGTGGAGAGATCTGTGTGCGTTCTATGACCACAAAATTGAGTATTTCTCTTCCCTGCATTAATAGGACCACACTGAAATAATAGTAATCAGCTTTACCTCTGACTAATTCATCCATCTCCTCAAAGCTAATATTCTAAAATACTGTACTGTCAGAAGGTAGCAAATGCAGACTTCTCAATAGTTTAGTTCACCTGAGAGTGTGAGGGATTGGACACAGGCAACATCTTCTATAACAGGCCTATTCCTAAACTTGTGCCTCTCTAGCTATCTAGAGAAAATCAGAAATGTCATGTGATCAAGATCTGCAAATTGCATACGGAATTTCTCAGTTGTTGGGTGGGTCTCTCACCATAGAAATATCCTGTCTAAACTCTGCAATAATAACAGTCTGTCCAGAAAAATATGAATAAAACCTCTTTAAGGGTATTATATTGATCCTAGAATTATTGTACTTCATAAAACAATAAAAAAGCTACAGTCTTTCATAATATAAACTGAGTCTTTGTTGAAATAAATAATTTTCTGATGCAAGTACACTGGGTCTAAACATGTTAGCCAAAAGTGAGCTGAACCAAAAAAAAATGGATATTATAAATTAAAAGTTTGGATTTTGGTCTAAATATGTTAGCCAAAAGTGAGCTGAAGCAAATAAAAATGGATTTTGGAAATTAAAAGTTTGGATTTTGCAAATTAAATGACATATTTTTTCTATAGGTAGAAGTAGCAAATGATGTTTTCTTATTGAACTTTCACATTATAATCATAATGATTTGCTTTTTTACACAAATAAAGCTGGAGTGCCTATTGCATCAGTGGTTAATAGAGAATTGCCTATGTTCTACACATGAAGAGTCCCATTTAAAAAATTCTTATACTGATAAGAATTTTTGATTATGTTAATATCAATTAGAAAATTAAAGTATTTTATGAAAAATGCAAAAGCAATACACATATTTGAAAATTACTTTGAACAAATTACATATAGATTTTTTTAATTGTATACCAAGTATAACCAATATATTTTTCATTTCCTAACATTTATGAGCATACATTGCAGTCTATAGGTTAAGCTAAGCTTCTCTGTACATGGCCTGATGGGTTGTTACACCAGTACACTTTTTCTGTATATTCAGGCTTGGGATTAAGTATTACACAATGCTAGTTCTATATAACCTTTATTTACATACGTGTTCCATTGAATTTACCCAATGGAGTAAACTGAGTTTGGCATTCATAAAAGAGTTCTATTTTCTAAGGATAATTATACTGTTGTTGCTTTGAGACTATACATAAATATTTATTTCATATAATCTAAGAAATTCAAATTTATATTAAAAGTAGATTCACTATTTATAAGGCTACCTTTGATCTGATTAAACACATGCAAGAGTAATCCATCTACTTATAAGATCTGTCTAAAAGCCATTGTTTTAATACAAAAGATGACCTATTTGTTCTGCTAGACAAAAGTATACGTGGTGTAGGTCGATAATTAACTTCCCCAATGTATACATTTCCTAAGTCAGTACCTTAAGCTGCTTATACTCAAAAATAAATGAACTGCATAGTGAAATAAATTGCTATGACTAAAACGTAACATCATGTGTTGTTCATCGCTAGATTGGAAGTATCAGTGCAAATCTTTTATAACGAGAACACCAACATGGAGATGTAGGTTGGTTTCACCTCCAGCTGAATCTGATGTCAGTGTGGTAATTACCAGGACCAGTCAATAATACCTCTCCTCAGTATAATTGCAAATCCAGAACAACCATGACCAGAATGAAATTGCTTCAGAACAATCAATAGGAATCTTCTGATTGTATTCCCAGGTGTATGCATCAAATATAAAGAGGAAAACTGTCCATTCAAGAAAAGGTCAATTTTATAAATAAAAATTCTGTATAAAAGTCATGTTATGTTTTATGTTCTTTCCAGGAAAAAGAGACTAAGTATATTGGTTAGTTGCCCATGGAAGGAAAGTGTGTAGCAGGGAATTCATCAGTGGACAAATAACAATGCGAGAAAAGCAAGAATATTTTTTGAATTAAAGATTTACAAATGGCTGAAGATAAGCTAGCCAATTCAGCAAACATCTTCCTGCTATTTTGAAACACAACTTTGAACTTAAAACTAAAATTCCTGTACTCTTTGGTAAGCTCTCAGTCATTAAAGGGGCTTGTTAACTAATGAGTCCCATAAGCTGTCAGTTTCATTAGAAAATAAGATTAGAGCTATTAATTTCCTATCATAAGCATGTAATAATATAGGTTACTTGAAAGGGCCAGTGTCCCATCTGTTCAGATCAGTGCTCCTTAAACTGGGGGCGTCAGAATTACCAGGGAGAATGAGAAGATTAGAACCACAGAGTTACTGAGCTATGCAAAAAACAAAAATAGCTGTTTGGTGATAATGAACTTAGGCTAAGTTACATTGTCTCACTTCTAGCCAAACAAGAGCATCTTCAGGTCTAAGAATATTGGAACTGGATTCCACACAAGTTTGGCCATGCTAATGGCACCATGATGCTAAGGGGAGAGCGGAGTGGTCTTCCATACCCACTGGTCTCCTGCTGGTTCCCCTACTCCCAGGGCTATGACAGAAACGTTCCCTGATCTTTCTGTTGTAAATAATCTCTCCTTCCTCAGTGCTCCACTTCACTCAGACTCTATTTACAAGTGTCTATTTACTCTTTTAAATATTTAATCGTTTGCTTTTTTTTTTTTTCTTTTACACTTTCTCTATAAAGGCAAGAGTTGTTTCTCAACCATCTGTGCTCCATATACAGCGTGGAGCAGTGTCATTCACATATGGACCCTCAGTAAATTTTGACTGAACAAATGGATGAGTGAATATTTTACACATTCGACATTATGTCTAATGACTCTTCCAAGGCCAAGACTGGGTCTTCCTCATCCACCAACTACTATAATATCTAGCACAGCACCCTCTATATCATGGTAGACAGTTTTTAACCATGCATTGAATTAAGAATTGAAATGAAGCTAATTATCACCAAGAGTAATAACAGCAATAACATGCTGCTACTAAAAAATTAATATGAAAGTTACCTAAAATATGAAATGCATAATCAAGTCTAATGATGCAAAATTTAGAATTCACCATATCTAGAGCTGGCCCTACCCTCCAATGGGACCCTGAGGAAACTACGAAAGAAACTGTTACTCCTAGTTTCAATGTTCTCAAAATGAGGAAAGCTATTTTTGGTATAAAATCACTAGTTTTACCTCACTTTTTGAAATCTTGCTGATATGTCATACATAATAACACAAAATAGACCAAAAGGGTGTAAAAATGCTCATTAGCCTGCACTGACAACTATTTCTTTTGATGTAAGATACATTGGATTTGAGATATTTTTTTAAGTGACCAAATATTTTTAGCAGATGTGAAAGGAAGAAAGAGAAAGAGGAAGCGGATTGAGAGGAGGGAGGGAGGGTGGGAGGGAGGAAGGAATTAATTTAAATGCAGTATTAATTTCTAAAGCCTCAGAAGTAGCATGTGTCTTACGAGAACAGGCCTTGTATAAATCATGTTGTCTGAGCTTCTTTTTACCACCCCACCCCCACTAGCAAAAAGGAATTCTATAGTTGGCATTTTTGCATTAAAGTATAAATGAAAATGTTGCAGTCAAAACAACCCAAAGGCTGTTAAATAGCTGATAATTTCATCAAATCCAAAATGAATGTAACTATATTAGAAGCATAATGCTGTAAACATTTTCAATTACCTCACTTAACCCCTTTAAAAAGCTAACTGGAGAATGTTCTCCGTGAGGTCGTGCTCGAAAGAGCACACTGCAGCCTTCAGCCCTTCCATCACTCCGCTGGAAGAGGACAGCATGGACTGTTGTCCACATCAGTTTTCAATTGCTCAAACAATTGTTTCCTGTAGATTAATTTGTAATTCTAACTTTCCAGGCGAATGAAATGTGAGCCTGTGCCTCCCTCAGGCCATTTCCAGAGCTGTGGCTTTCCTGTAATCTGAGGTGGAGGCAGAGTGGTAACACGTGAAAACAGAAAAACAGGGCTCAGTCAGGGAAGGAGGGAGAAGCAGGAGGAACAGACAGTGGACACAGGGAAAGAAAGAGAGTGGAAGAGAGAGTGGCTGAGACAACAACAGGAGACCCAGGAGGGCATAAACCAGTAAGGGGAGCCGTATCCCCCACCTTCCTCAAATGCATGCCTTGCATCCTTTCACAAGTGGTAATTTTACACAACAGTATCATCCTTGCATGCTATGCCTCGTCTCATAAAAGGTAAGTAAATAAACAAGCAACACATAAATAAATACTCTTGAAGCAGGACTTTGCAATACTAGGAGACACATGTCTACAATGTTCACAGATGGAGTGAGTTTTATTTACTGGTTTTGTAATAAACTAGTTAGTCCTCTCTCTTCATTCTAGCCTTATACAGGTCTGCCACTTTGTTTCGACGCCAAATTACCTGTCACATTGTAGAACAGTTTGGGTCCATGAAAGGAAATGCGTTCTCTAAGTGCAAAGCCTTAGGTAATTACTCTGAGACAGTGGTTTTCACTCAGTCAACATTTGTTGAACAGCCAGTTCTCACAGAAAAATATAGGAGAACACGTTTCTTTAAACAAAATAGTCTTCCAAAGTCCCCAATTTCATACAGAGGAGCTTAACCTTTCATTGAGTCATGGATTCCTCTGGGAATCTGATTTTTTAAAAATATGTATCCTCTTCCATGATAAATGCACGTAAGACTAATTGTACATTAGTACTGACTTTTCCTTCACCAAGTCAAAATAGAAAAACAATATTTCTAAAAATGTGTATGTTGCTAGACTTTCTGCATGTAAATATTTATGGCAACTTTCTAAAGTTAATTTAAATCAGTCCAAAATATGCAAAATTGTATCCATCTAAGTTTTGATCAAAAGTAAATTTCAATAAGAAGTCAGCCAAAGTTTGTCTTTAAGCAGACATTGAAAACATGAAATGGTCTTTGACATGGTAATATGCATGCCATCTTTGAGCCGTCAGCATGTTGTTTTGAAGCAAGAGGTCTTTAAAACCCTCACTCACAATGACATGTAGATGCCAGGAACAGAAGCAGAGTTTCCATAGCTCCCTTTGCCAAACAAAGAGAGACATATCAAAGAACTCTTCTACATTCTGTGTTGCATTATTTTCCTCATCTGCTCAGTCAATAAGGCCATTTTTTGGCAAGCTCTGACTCATCAATATCATCAGTGTTATGTCATTATTGTTATAGGGAAAATAGAATAAAAGATCCATGAGGTCAGAGATTGTGTCTGACTCATTTTCCACTGGACCTCCTACCATGCTGTTACAGAAAGCAGTGTGTCACAATGACTTGGAAAGATTCTTTCTTCATCAAACAATTAACAACTAATATGCAGATAAATAAAACTTTGCTGTATCTGTGCAGGTACCTGATTTTCTCCTACAGTTTTGCTTCACAAGGCATGGAGCACAGCACCTGGTACATAGTAGGCATTTAATGGATACTTTCTGGACAATTTTGTAAAAGTAAGGCAGGAGTACAATTTTCAGGCCATGTCTACATATTGTTTGGTTTCTAATTTTAGGTAATTTATTGGGCATTAATCTATCAATGAGGTGAAAATGAATGTCACACTTTGGGAGACAAATTATTAAAAATTTGGATTCTGTACACTTAATTGGAGTTGACTAAGTAATTGAGATATTTAAAAGTTTGCAAAACATGGGGAACTATTAAAAATATCTTCACAGTTTTCAAAGCTCACTGGCTTTGCAAAATTTCTACTTGGCCTGGAAAATGTGACTTGACCTTATATACACACGTATTTACCAGGCCTCGTCCCACCTCCTTTATTTCCCCCACCTCCATGCACACGTAACTGTCTTTTTAGTTGACCTCTTTAAATCATAAATCATCAAAGCTTTCTCAACTCAGAATACTGCTTTCATTTCTTTTTGGAATACAGAGGAATTGATGAGAATGGCAGTAACATTTTCCCCAGAACAAATGAGCCATGTTTCCTCCAAGACATGGGTGGTACCTGAATGTGACCAGCAGAGCAAGACCCTGTAATGACAACCCTGAATGGACTATTTGTACTTGCACATGTCAGGCTGAAGGCATGGCCTTCCTAACTAAAGTTTAGTAATACGTCTTAGGACTATTTCAATTATTCCATGACACATCTGTCTAGAAACATGTAAATATGATCATGAATTCCAAACTGGCACTGGAAGTCCAGAGAAATATAGGTCCTATTTTAACTATTTAATTGCGTATAGCTCTCTGCCTGATCTTCTTCAGTCTCAGATGTAGAAACCAATCCATTTTTAGCTGACTGCCTTGCTTCTGTGATTACCTAAATTACCCAAAAAATAATTGTTAGTTAAGGTAGAGCTAAGATTCAAATTAGTGGTTTGAAAGACCTGGGTCTGTGTTCATCAGGCATTCTTGAATTACTAAGAAGAGACATTCTCAGGCACCCAGAGTTCATGGGAGTTTAGTCTGTGAACACTGAGAGAAAGAAAGGAACATGGCAAAACATCTCAGGAAGCCTCATGAAAGAGGTAGGGACTAAAAGTCACATAAGTAAACCCCTGAGCAAAGTACACTGACAGTGACTGGGTCTCCTGATAATCTTTCAGTCCAGTCAGTGCACAGCTTACTAGTCTAGAGCTTCACCATCATGGGAGGACAGCTGTCTACAATTAGGTACCCACTGCTGCTAATACCATCAGTCAAGTTCCCTCTACTTTCTTCTCTCACACATGACTTTATTTCTTGCACTTAAAGCTTTTGCTGCTTTACTTTTTTTCCTGTGTGTCACTCATCTTCTAGGCTACTCTGCTATCTGCTGATTCTTTCAAAATGTATCACCTTCAAAAGTCCAAAGAGATCATATGCCTGATTTGGCCAGTCATCTTTTGCCAAAAACTACCCCTATTGATTACTGTCCTTGTGCTCTGCCAAAGCCCATATGTCAGGTGCCCTTAGGACAGGTGCCAGTCTCTTGTCCAATATACTGAAGCCAAGGAATGCAAAACAAACCAGACTAAGGGCAAGGGATCACCCACTGCTTAGTTAAGGAAAAGGTCCCATTTTGAGACTTCTCAAAATGACATCTTGCATACATTCCCCAGAAAGTTAAACATTATGACTTTAATTTCATCTAAACGGTCAAAAAATTTTTTTAGTGAGAGATTATGAAAGCTAATTTTTAACATGTCTTCAAAAATTAATAGTGTGAAATGATACCATTGAGATACTTCCAGTAGAATATGGGGACATCTCCCCATTCTGTCCTGATATTTTCTTTGTAACCAACTCTGTACCATGTTAGTGATTTGCATATAATAGCCTCCTGGCACAGATTAAATAAAACAAGTTCCCATTGCAGCTAATAAACTCACTGTAACAAGTCCCTCAACTTTGCCTGGTCACAATGCTCAGCAGGACTGCCATATGTGGAACTGGATGCAAGATAAAAATAACATTATTTTGTGCTTTCAAACCCATACAACTTTATATTGTTTCTTTGGAAATAAATTTTGTTTAATGACCAGTGATTATCTCCTATCTGCCTTGCTATCATACCAGTTTTGTTTTTTTTTCTTTTTAATCACTAGCGTTATCTGTACTTTGGAAGAAGAGCTACAATTAAACATATTTTGAACAGAAGAGAAAAAGGCAGCAGGGCTCTTTTGGCATCCGTTCGTACAGCCTATCATTCCAAAACATTTCTGGTTTTACACTGGTATCATCAACCAATGTCAGCACAGCTGAGGTGGCTGTGCTAATTAACTGTCCTGCCGAACCAGCTGAGAAAGCTTGTAGAAACTCCATGGGAATATGAGCTATTAGAAAGAAATTCTATCCAGTGGAACTAGGGAGCAAACCCAAATATAGAATCAAAACACAGAACAGTTGCCCTTAACCATCAGGTGATAACATCATCAGTTACAAGATGTTAGAGAGTTAGCAGAGTTGAATACCAGGCTGGTATGACAGAATAAAAATTAATTACACGTAAATAGTTCAAGGCCATTTCTTCTTCTGTTTACAACAAAGCTTTTGGGAATAGCTAACTTAGCATCTCAGAAGAGAGAAAGTTCTCACAATCCAAGAGAGAAAGTACTCAAAATCCAAAGGCACATTCTCAAGGGAAAAACCAGTGCAACATAAGAAAGGCTACAATCTCTAAGGGGCTGCTTGAGATGTGTATGGGGTGGGGCAAGAGTGGGGAGGGTTGTTCTGGGAATATGATGAAATCGTAGGTGTCATGCAGGATAGACAATTAGGGTCAAATGCCTGAAAAGGTGTATGTAACGTGACACATTATTCTTTTTCATTACTTCAATCTCTTTGTTAAATTCATCTGATAAAATTTTGAATTCCTTCTCTGTGTCATCTTGAACTTTTTCGAGTTCCTCAACCCAGCTATTTTGAATTCTCTATCTGAAAGGTCACATATCTCTGTTTCTCCAGAGTTGGTTCTTGGTACCTTATTTAGTTTGTTTGATGAAGTCATGTTTTCCTGGATGGTGTTGATGCTAGTAGATGTTCTTCATTGTCTGGGGATTGAAGGGTTAGGTATGTATTGTCGTCTTCACTGGGCTTATTTGTAGCTGTCCTTCTTGGGAAGGCTTTTCAGATATTTGAAAGGACTTGGGTGCTGTGATCTAGGCTGTATGTGCCTTAGGGGGCACCCCAAGTCCAGTTACGCTGTGGTTCTTGCAGAGCTGTAGAGGTACCACCTAGATGGTCTTGGATAACATCCAGGAGAATTCTCTGGATTATTGGATAAAAACTCTTGTTCCCTTCCCTTACATTCTCCCAAACATACAGAGTCTCTCTGTCTCTCTCTCTCTCTCTCTCTCCCCCCCCCCCCCACCTAACATGGGGGGTGGAGTGATACAAGCACTCCTGTGGCCACCACCACTGTGACTGCACTGGGTCAGGCCTGAAGCCAGCACAGTGCTATGTCTCGCCCAAGTCCTGCTGTAACCATTCCCTGGCTACTGCCTATATTCACTCAAGGCCCTGGGGCTCTGCAATCAGCAGGTAGCAAAGCCAGCCAGGCCTGTGTCCTTCCCTTCAGGGTAGCAAGGTCCCACAGACCCCTAATGGGTTCAGAAGTGCCATCCAGGAGTCAGGGACTAGAGTCAAAAACCTTAGAAGTTTACCTGGTGTTTTATTGTATTGCAGCTGAGCTGGCACCCAAGCTACACGATTCAGTCCTTCCCATTCTTCCCTCCCCTTTCCAAAGGCAAAAGGGCCTCACCCCATAGTCACCACCACCCCAGGCCACGAGGAGTACTGCCAGATTGCCAATGTTCCCTCAAAGTCCAAGGGCTCTTAAGTCATCTTGTCATGAATGCTGCCTGGCCTAGGACTCACCCTAAGGTGAGTCCACCAGGGCAGTGAGCTCCCCTCTGTCCAGGGCAGGTCTAGAAATGCCATCCAAGAGGCAAGTCCTGGAATCAAGGACCCCAAGAGCCCACTTGCTTGGTGCCCTACTGCGCTGTGGCTGTGCAGGCATGTAAGGTGCAAGACAAAATCTCCTTTACCTTTCACTCTGCTTTTCTGAAGCAGAAGAGGTTTTGCCCCATAGCCACCACAGCTGGTAATATGCTGAGTCTCAACTGAAACCAGCAAGTCTCAGAGGCTCACCCAAGCCCCTTGACATAGTACCCTGACATATCGCTGCTGGTTATTCAAGACCCAGGGCTCTTCAGTTAGCAGTTGATGAATGCTGCCAGGACTGAGTCCTTTCCTTCAAGGCAGCAGATTTCCTTCTGGCTCAGGGTGTGTCTAGAAATCTCGTCTGGGAGTTAGGGCCTGGAATGTGGGCCTCCCAGCTCTGACCAGTGTCCTATCCTGCTGTGGCTGAGCTGGTATCCAATACGCAAGACAAAGTCCTCCCCACTTTTCCTGCTCTTTCTCTCATGTAGAAGGAAGGAGTCTCTTTCGGAGCCCTGAGCTGTACAGCCTGGGGTTAGGAGAGGGGTGATGCAAGCACTCCCTTGGCTGCTCCAGTTGGTGTCCCAGTATGCCGCGTGCCCGCCTAGTCCACTGTCATTGGGCCTAATTCAGCCCTAGGACTCACCTAAGAGTTGCAGTCCTTATGGCCTAGACTGCCTTTCAAGCTTACTTAGAGACACAGGGTGATCTCTGTACCATGCAGGGGCTGCCAGGGTGGGAGAGGGATCGCATCAGTGATTCAGGACTGTTTTTTATCTCCTCATTGCCCCTTTCAATGATATGAAGTTAAAACCAGGTACTAGGAGTACTGATTTTTCATTCTTAAAAAATCACCACCACCCCAGGCCACGAGGAGTACTGCCAGATTGCAGTACTTATAAAAGGTGTTTCTTCTGTGTAGCTAGTTGTTAACTTGGTGTCCTCGCAGGTGGGGGGTGGAAGGCAGACATCCAGGGGACTTCCTATTCTGCCATCTTGCTCTACCTTCTCACATGGCACATGAATAAGAAAGATTTTGTTTGAGGCCAGGAAAATGAGAAGCTTCAGGAATTTCAAGAGTTAGGAGAGTTTTAATAAAAGTTGCTATGAGCAATGCACCACTACTACCACCATTTTTTTTAAGTTTGTTCAAGATATATAATAAAGAATAAGGCTCTTTACTGGGCTGTGTTTATCTAAATGTAACACTAAGACAGTCTTGGACTCTATAGAGTTTTAGATTGGTAGGCTTTTGTTGAGAACTGTGAAGGACCTGAGATTTTACCCTGCTTGAAAGCTAACAAGTTAACCTGGCAAAAGACATGAGACTCCTGGGGCAGAAACAAAGGACTTCATTACTCACAGCACAGCAAACCACATGAGCTTCTTGTTCATAGCCATTCCCCTTGCACTCCAAGGCCCATGAGGTGACACATTGCTTCAGGGGGATAAGAATACAGTTGGTTTGCATCCCGGCTGAGGGACATTAAGTGTAGGGAACTCGTATATTTTTTATAATGTGCTACAAGCAAACCTGCCTGGGCCTTTCCCCCAAGGGAAACATTATATTATACTGGACAATAAGCAAACCAGTCGTCAGCTCAAGAGAGATGCCATCTCTATCTTCCATGGCTGTTTGTTATGCAGGTGTCCCTGAAAAGATAGTGCCTCTGCTGGCAAGGTATGCCGAAGCATGAGACACCTATGGAGAATTGTCTCCTGAAAGCCTTATACTAACAGAGGCTACTGACAGTATAAGTCGTGCTCTCTTCCACCCACTGGGGCAATTCCAGGGTGGCAGCCAGTAAACATAATGTGTCCCTACAAGTTCCACTGTGCTCTTGAGGCATGCATATCTAGGCATCTGGGGGCATCTCCTTGGCTGTAGGGACACGGGCAATTGTTAGGGATACCATTCATTTGACCTCAAGTCATACAAAAGCAGTATCAGTTATATAACTGAGTCATTATGTGAATTGCCTTCATACTGAGGAAAATGAATATATATCTCAGCAGTTCTCCTTTTTCTGCCTTTTTCTCTATTTGTTCCCATTCCTGGAATTTCTCAACAAGGCAATAATCTCCCATATCCTCAGGCTCTTGAAGAGAGAAGGGTTTATACTATTATAAATAGCTCAAAATGTTCACTAGTTCTATTAATCGAACGCTTTGGGTTACAGGGTTGAAGAATAACAACTTGGAGTTTCTGATTCCCTTCCTAAATGATGTATAAGTTGAAACTGAATCCAGATTCTCTTAAGAAAACAGAAAGAGTCATAAACAACTTTTCTATTTGAATTCCCATGTCATGATGGCTTCAGTGAAACGACATGGGCCTGGAGTCAGAGAGACTCAAATGCAACTCTATCACTATTAGTATGACCGTTAGTAAATTAAGAGACTTAACCTAGGTCTCAATTTACTCATCTGTAACATAGGGATAAAAATACCTACATCCTAGTGTTGTTATCAGGATTAAAGGAGAAAATATTTGTAATGCATTTTGCATAGTACCTGGCTTTATGAATAATAGTTGTTATTATCAGCTTATCCTGTCACGCCAAGGAAGCCATAAAATACAATGTTGTGAGTGCAGGATTGCCCTTAACTTACTGCCTGTGTGAGATCCATTGCTATAGCTATCAATAAATCAGAAGTCAATGACTACTCTCCACTCTCGCCAACATGGAAATGTGTGGTGCTGTGAGATACTCAATTTGACTTCACTTCTTTGGTGGTGGATGCCACCTTTGTTCATTTGAATACTGGAGTTCAAAGGAGGATGCCAATAGGCATTGATGAGCTGCCAGGAAACCAGGTCTCTACAGAGCTTTATCACCTATGAATATCTTGGATACATCCTAAGCCAGGTGTCTTTTTAAAAAAAATATTTAAAAATCACTGTAGATTTTTAAAATTTCATATAATGTAGATTATAACTGCATTCTAAATTAAGGCTCTCCTAAGCACTTGAGTTCTGAAAAATTGCAACTTAGGCTAGAACTTGAATTGTTAGTGCTCAAGTCTGTAATGTCACCATGTCCTTCACCCCTAATCTTTTGCATCAACAAAGCAGTTAAAACAATAAACCCTTAGAAGACAAAGAAACTGAGCTCAGAAAAGATATTGAGTTGTCCAACTCCCTTTCCATTCAGTAAATTATCTCATCTCTGTAGCTGAGTCATTAACTCACAAGGAAGATAGTTACTGAGATTCCACCATGAGCAAATTATTATCCTGGCCCCTGGTGATAGGAAAGTATTAAGGCCTGATGACCACAGTCAGGAAGCTTCATTCTCTAAAGAAGCCACAAGGCAGCTTTTACATTGCACCTGCCAGAGTCAATGCACAGTGCTGGGAGATCCTGAATACTGTGTAAGGTAGGATTCCTTTGCTTTCAAGTAACAGAAAAAAAAAACCAACTTACTTTCTTTAAAATTTAGAATACTAAAGTAAAACACATCATAACCGGTGCTTCAATCATGGCATCAAGAAAACAGATTCCTTAGGAGTAGTTAATGCAGATCAAGTGCTTTTAACAGTACCCGGCAGCTAAGCATGATGGTTCACACCTGTAATCTCCACACTTCAGGAGGCTGAGGTAGGAGGATTGCATGAGCCCAGGAGTTAAAGACCAGCCTGGGCAACACAGTGAGCTCCCATCTCTACAAAAAGATTTAAAACGTAGCCAGATGGGATACCACATGACTGTAGTCCCAGCTACTTAAGAGGCTGAGGCAGGAGGATCTCTTGAGCCCAGAAGTTCGAGGCTGCAGTGAGATTTGATGGCACTACTGCTCTCCAGCCTGGGTGACAGAGTGAGACCCCCAACTGAAAAAAAAAAAAAGCACCTGGCACCTAGTAAACACTATTTAAATTTTATGTATCACTATTAGCTAGCACATGGCCCTCCACTCCAGACTCTTAAAGGGCCATAGTGGAATTATATATAAAGTAAATGAGAGCAGAGTAAATTTTACCCAGAGAGTGAAGGGCAGGTTTCACAGAGAAACTTACATTTAACCTCATTCTTGAGCCCAGGAAGATTGCCAAATAGGCAAATTAAGTTTCTTAAGGCAGAAGATGCAACATGTGCAGGGTGAGCAAGCTTGAAGGGCAGAGTGACTGGTTAAATAAATTCTGATTCATCTGTACAGGGGTTAATAAGCAACCGTTTAAAAGAATGATATAGAAATGATGTATTAGATGAAATCTTTATGAATGAAAAATTAGAGTGACACAATAGTATGCATAGGAGGTTCTCATTCAATTTTAAGTACCTCTGCATTATTTATCTATAATAAGCACATTATTAACTATTAAAAGATAGATAAGAAAGTATGTTATGAAATCAGAAAATATCAAGCTATTTACTTTAATCACAGGGATAGAGGATCATTAGATGGAATTATAACTGGGAATGAGATTTTATGCTATACAGTCCTAAAGACTTGGAATCTCATGCTCTGGGCTAGATCAGAATGACCAACTACAGCAGTGGGCTGATCCTGGCCCACCACCTGTTTTTGTAATTAAGCTTTATTAGAACACAGTCACTCACATTCATTTACATATGACTATAGCTGCTTTTGCACTACAGTGGCAGAATTAAAGACTTGTGACTGAGACTGCATGGCCCACAAAACCTAACATATTTACTATTTAAACCTTTACAGAAAAAGTTTGTTGACTCCTGCTCTAGACAATAAAAAGACTTCAAAGAAGGGAGTGGCATCATCAAATCTGTTTATAAGATAATATCAACAGAGCCTGGGAAACAGATATAAAAATGTTAATTATGGTAATTCAGACAGACTCTCTGCTATGCCTTATAGAAATTTCTCAATAATTCTCACAGTGCCCTATAAGTAAATATAAATATGATTATGTCCTTTTTATAAAAGAGAAAAATGAAGAAATGAACACATAGCTATTAAATGGTGTCTTCCCTAGTAGAATATATATGCTCCAGGAGGAAGGAAATTCGTCTTGTTCAGTGTGCTATCTCCAGCACCAAGGACAGTGTCTGACACACAATAAGGCACTCATCTAAGTAGACATTTATGAAACAAATGCAAGAAGCATCACTCCAATAAATAAATGAATCAATGGGCACACCAATAAATAAATGAATGAATACGGGGCAGGACTGAGGCAGCCTCTCAAAATTACACTGCAGAACCAGCTATCCCAGCTCCATCATCCTGCTGCTTCAGGCAGCAACTAAAGATCCTCCATGTCACCTTGGGAGCTAGAAACCAGACAAACCAAACCAGAACCTACAGGTTCTCTCTTAGCTCAAGCCTATCTCACTCCTCTGTATTCTACCTGAAGAGAGCTATCACTTCATTTGTCTGCCAATTTGTTTTTGCTGTACAGCACGCCCTATTTTCTTTCAATTTCTCACATCTGGTTAATTTCTGCTCTTTAACCCCAAGCAGTTTTGGGGGTGCTTCCCATTGCTAAAGGGATTCCACTCCCCTCAGCAGGTTACCTCTCCATCATCCATCTGATAGACAGGCTTCACTGTTGTCAAACACCACTGTTGTACAGTTTCCATCTAGTTCTTGGGCTGATCTTTCAGCTGTACCAGCCCTTGAAAGCTGACAGGATGAATTGCTTGCTTTCCAGGCCTTAATGTTTATCTCCCTTCAGATCTCACCATCTGCTGTGATTTGGCAGCTCAGGTAAATGCACTTTTTCTGCTTCTTTCAGTTGCTCAGCCTCCTGCAGGCATTGCCATGTCTGTCCTCCCTCTTTTCAGACATCATCTCCTTGGAAGTGATAGGGTTTATGTTGAAATTGATGGATGTGCCTGGTGCTTTTTTCCTTCCATGCTGTCTGTCATTCTTTACATTGCCTAGTTTCAATCTGGCCACTGAGGCCTGTGCATAAAGAAGAAAAAATCTGTAAAATCAGAATCAGCTGTATCATTTTTTTCATTCCATCTATTATCTATTGTTTCACAATAGTATTTCCCCAAGTTTCTTTTTTTTTTTTCTTTTTTGAGATGGAGTTTCATTCTTGTAGCCCAGGTTGGAGTGCAATGGTGTGATCTTGGCTTACTGTAACGTCCGCATCCCGGGTTCAAGTGATTCTCCTGCCTCAGCCTCCCAAGTAGCTGGGATTACAGGTGCCTGCCACCACACCTGGCTATTTTTTGTATTTTTAGTAGAGACGGGGTTTCACCATGTTGGTCAGGCTGGTCTCGAACTCCTGACCTCAGGTGACCCACTGCCAAAGGTGGCAAAATGGTGGCGGCCAGACCTCTTTGGCTTATTCTGAAAATGACACGAACCTGAAAATTTTATTAAAGAAATGGAAACCTGGCTTCCTTTCTCAATTTGGAAGAAGTGGTATGCTGGGGCTTGTATTTCCCTTTCTCTTTGGCAAAAACAAGCAAGAATGGATTATCAGCTACAGTCCTTTGATGCCATTCATACATTCTAGTTTTCCCCAGTGTATTAGGCCATTCTTGCTTTGCTATAAAGTAATACCTGGGGCTGGGTAATTTATAAAGAAAAGATGTTTAATTGACTCACAGTTCTGCAAGCTGTACAGGAAGTAGGGTGCTGGCATCTGCTTCTGGTGAGGCCTCAGGAAGCTTACAGTCATGGTGGAAGGCAAAGGGGAAGGCAGCACATCATATGATGAGAGAGGAAGCAAAGAGAACAAAGCAGGAGGTCCCAGACTCTTTTAAATAACCGGATCTTACACAAACTGAACTCATTTATCACCAAGAGGATGGTGCAAAACCATTCCTGAGAGATACACCTCCATGATCTAATTATCTCCCACCAGGCCCCACCTCCAACATTGGAAATCACATTTCAACATGAGATTTCAAAGGGACAAACTTCCAAACTATATTGCCTGGTCTCACCATTCCTCCAATTCTCCTTTCCATCTTACCAGCATAAAACATGTACAGTTGCCCTTATGCTTGGCCTTTATAGCATCTGTACTTTTTTGAACTCTAGTGTAAAGCCAACTTTCCAAAATCCTTTCAGAGCAGGGGTCAGCAAACATTTTCTGTAAAGCCTTTGCCGTCCATATGGTCTCTTATTACTCAATTCTACCATTGTAGAGCAAATACAACCATAGATGACAAGACTAAACAAATGAGTGTGGCAGTTTTCCAATAAAACTTTATTGATAAAAACAGGCGATAAAACATATTTGGCCCATGGGCCACAGTTTTCTGACCCTTATTTTAGAACATTACCTCTATTTTGAAACATCCATCATCTATCCAGTTTATAGTGTCTATTCATATAAGGAGTAGTCAAAGTATACTAAATTATTACACCAACTGGTAAAATCTACTTCCATACTGATTAGCTGAGTTCATATATATATAAATGTGGATATCGGTATGTAATTTTAGCAGCTATAATTAAATAATTTTAAAGAAGACTGAATTTGTTTTCTAGATTTTAAACTCATTTATGACCTTTATGAACTTTAATAAAATATTATATATCCACTGCTAGGTATTTTAAATGTTGTTTACACAAGTGAATAATATGCCCTAGTGAGACCAGTGCCTGAGTTATTCTCTGGTTCTAACAGAGTTCCTTTGGGAGTTATCTGCTTCAAGCCACTATGGATCTAAAGCATACTATAACACAAGACAGAGTCACTTAGTACCCTCCCAGGAACCATGTCCTCTGACACTGTCATGGCACCAGGGAAAAATCTGTCTCATATTTGTTTAGCATTCTACATTAATTTCAACAATCAATACAGTAAAAACATAGCTAAGCATTCTGGAGATATTTCTTGATAAACTACTATGTGCCAGGTACTATATATGCAAATGACACTAGGACAGGTTAAGCAGGTGGTCCAAGTTACAGAGCTTAAGTGTCTCTGCCTCTAAAGCACAGCTGAATCATTACGCAATGGCTTCTCTTCATACGGTATTTTCTACGTACTTATTCCCTCTCCTACACCAAAAGAAGAAATATTTAACTTAGTGCTTGGTGCAAGGTTGATGATCAATAAATGCTTCTTGAATAAGAAAAAGTCTTCTCTAACCAAAATTTCGCCCTCTTCTCAGGAATCCTGTCTTAGTTAAAAGCATCACCATTCACTCAATTTATCCAAGCTGAAAACTGCAGAACCATCTATTATTTATTTTCTTCACTCTTAAGCCCTTCATCCAATCGGTCACTGTGATGCTTAATTTTACATGTCAGTTGGGATGGGCCACAGGCCCTAGATATTTGGTCAAGTACTATTCTGGATGTTTCTATGAGGGTGTTTTTTGGATGAGATTGACATTTAAATTGGTGGGCTTTTAGTAAAGCAGATTACTTTCTCTAATATGGGTGGGCCTCATTTAATCAGTTAAAAGCCTTAATAGAACAACAGACTGACCTCCCCAGGGGAAAGTAGAAATTCTGCCAGCAGACAGAGTTCAGGTTTGAACTGCAACATCAACTCTTCCCTGGGTCTCCAGTTTGTTAGCCTACCCTGCTAATTTTGGACTTTCCAGCCTCCATAATCAAGTAAACCAATTCAGATGCACGTGTGCACACGCACACACACACACACACGCACACACTCACCCACACACACACATTCTATTTGTTCTGTGTCTCTGGAGAACCCTGACTAACATGGTCATTAAGTTTTATAAATTCTTTCTCTGACCATCCTCAATTCCCTGCATTGGCTCAAGTTCCAGTCTCTTGCAGTAGCCTTATAATTAGTCTTTCTGCTCCTAGCTTCTCTAATTCTCAAACTGGAATTAGGTCAGTGGCTCCCAAATGCCTGCAGAATCAAATTCAGACTCCTTGGCATGACACGCAAGGCCGCTCACAATTTGGAACCAGCTTTCCTACCCAGTTCCATCTCCCACCCTCAGTCCATTCCAGTCTGTCCCACTCTTTCACACCTCTGGGTCTTGCTGTCTGTGTTGTGAAACGTTCTTCTGAAAATCTGAGCAAGAGTTCCAGTTATTACGTACACAATCAAATGGAAGATTTTTGGCCCCGACTCCTTACTTGGCACTTTGTTGCCCAATCAGTGACTTTGGATCAGTGACTTTTGTGAGTTAAAAGCAAGAAAAGAGTTCAGCCTTCCCTAAGAATTCTTTCCTTATCTCTGTGGATCATATAAATCCATATGTGCCCTGTAAACTGTGTTGACACAATGAAAGAAAAACCAGTGGAAGGTGAAACAATAAATCAGCTACAGTCAACACATTGCCAAGCCACTGTTCTGACTGCTTTTTCGTTCACCTGATGCTTTTCACTTAACTGACACAATATCCCAGTTATGTTTTCATCGGGTAGCCACACCTTTAGCAAATAAATGATGTTAGACAGGGGCCCATAAAACTTCCAACATAATTTTAAAGTCTTTTGTTTCATGTTGTATTGAATTTCATCAGACTGATTTCTGACTACCTGTCATGTATGTTTCCTTTGTTCATTAGAATGTAAGATTCGAATTGCTTTGAAATTCCCTTTGGTGAATTGTTATGCGATGTGAAATGTTATCAAAAGGTCACTGAAATACATGTACCAGCAGCTTTCAAAATTAACAGACAGCATGGCCAATTCTACATCTGGAAAACGGCCCAGTCAGGAATGCAGATATAATACAGCCAATATTCATTCATTCAGCAAAGGAAATTTACTTCCTCTCTACTGTGCTAAGTCTGGGAATATTAAAGTGAATATAATAAACTCTCTATCCTTAAGGGGTTCAAAGGAAGAAGACAGCCAGATTAACAAACCATAACTTTGTGTACTTTAAATAATGCTTAAGAAAAATAAGTTCTATGTACACTTAGGGACTGGTCAAGACAGGATCCACCAAAAAAAAAAAAAAAAAAAAAAAAAAAACCATTTGTGTGTGTGTGTGTGTGTGTGTGTGAGTGTGACGGTGTCTCACTCTGTCATCCAAGGTGGAGTACAGTGGAGAGATCTCAGCTCACTGCAACCTCTGCCTCCCAGGCTCCCAGGCTCAAGTGATCATCCCACCTCAGGCTCCTGAGTAGCTGGGACAACCAGTACATGCCACCACACCTGGCTAATTTTTTTTTGTACTTCTGGCACAAAAGTACAAAAGAAGGAGTTTCCCCACATTGCCCAGGCTGGTCTCAAACTCTTGAGCTCAAAAGATTCACCAGCCTTGGCCTCCCAAAGTGCTGGGATTACAGGCATGTGCCACCACACCCAGCTCTGATTTTTGAGCTGAATTAAATAGTGTCACCTGATAGAAAATCTGGCTTGCTTTAGAGAACTGATTCATAAAATGTGGTCCCCCGACCAATATCTTCAGCACTGCATGGAAACTTGTTAGAAATGCAGAGTCAGGCCCCAATTCAGGCCTCTTGAATCTGATGTTCTGGGGATGTGTTTTAGTAGCTCTCTTCATCATTCTGATGCACCCTTAACTTTGAGAGTCACCAATTTAGAGAGAGATGCACAGCCCAACACAGCTGGTATCTAAGGAGTGGGCTTTTGGGGACAAGTAGTTGAAGAGGGCCACAGAAGATGAGGACTATAGAGTTACAAAGTGTAAAGAAGCCTAAATACCTTGCTTAAAAGTTAAGACTATCCTCTAGGTCATGGGAATACATTAAAGTGTGGTAACTAGGAAACTATAATAATTAGATATGTGATTTTGGAAAAATAATTGGAGCAGCAATTTAAGACATAAATTCAAGATATGTAAGCAGTGAGGGACATAGGAGACTGTTATAAAAGTCCAAGCCAATGGTGTTTGGGGCCTGAGTTAAGTAGCCAGTGGCAATGAGAATGAGGAAGGAATGATGGATTTGAGAGGCTTTTAGAATGTAGAATTGCCAGTACTATTTTTGACTGAATAGATATAGATCTTAGAGGGCAGGAAAAGAATGATCTCCTTAATTGTCTGGTGCATTCTTTCTCAAACTGAATGTCCAAACCATTTTTAAATGGAGTGAAGAAGAGATGAAACTTTGCAAGTTGGTAATTGAAGTGAGAGATGGAAGGAAACTTGAGTGAGAAGTAAGCTTAGGTTTAAATAGCTTGAGGTATCTGTTAAAATATCCACAGCAGAAATAAAATAAAATACATTGCTGTGTCTGTTGGGTGTTGTTTTTTTAAATCTTGCTTTCTTGCAATTTCCTATTAGACTTCAAGAGTACCCCAATAAAAAAGTGAGTACATATTCTGTATAAATGTCAATTCACAATAAAATTCCAGATGAGCATTTGGCTGTTTGTATTACCAATTTACCTGATGGATCTCTTTGGTAACTACTACAGTAAATCACAACTCTGCTCTCCAAACTTTATATCATAATTTTGCTCAGCTGGGAATTGTGTGGACAGGAAGATTACTGATATAATTACTTGGAACTCCTTTAAATATTTTTGTGGGGCCTTTGATTCTGAAGACTTTTAAAAATACTTCTGGATAGATTACTAAAATGTTCAATTACAGAAAAAATGGGGAGAACATTCCTTAGCATCTGTCTTGTTCATCTTCCTTTGAATCAGGAAGTCAATTTCTTTTGTCCACATATGTATTCTCTGGATGCACACAATTCAGCAAATTGGACACAGAACAGGGAGGCAATCATTTCGGCCACTTTGAAGGTCTTTCTGGAAGCCCATGTTGCCAGACTGACTGAGGTACCTACATATCTGTCTTGTGCAAGGATCTGAACTTTTCCTCTTCCCTATCCACCTCCAACATTGACCTACTGGAAGAGGGTGGTAAAACCGAAGTCCCCTGAAATCCGAGTCCCTGCTCTCACAGTCAACAGAAAACAAAGGGACTCCAAAGACTCACTGTCCCCTCAAAGCAGCACTGAACCAGGGGTAGTTGACATGTCGAATTTAGTGACTACCCCATGGCCACATAGAAAAGAGGAGCTTATGTGTTCTCTAATTTGAGCTACAATGCTAGAGTGCTGATTAAGATTACTGAGTGGAATTAGCGTTAACTCTGTTAGCTATTATCTGCATGACCTTGGGCAAGTTACTTAGCCTTGCTTTTAATGAAAAAAAAAAAATGTACCCACAAAACTGTGGGAATGACAGGAGCTAAAGCAGATAAACCATTTTGTATTGCCTTCATATAGTCATTATTATTCTTAGGGTAGTCATTGTTCTGGTCTTCTTATTTTTGATACTGAAGGCTCCAAAATCATGGCCTTACATGCTAGATGGGAAACTGCAATCTGAATTTAGAATGTATTATAAAGAGTTATTTCTTAAAAGAGACATATAGAATTATATCAACCTGTATATTTTATCATTATCCTAGTTTATTAGCTCTACCGTAATATTCCTGATTCACTTGAATATTGGCATTCAACATCATGACCTGCAGTGTTTGTGTTTGCTATTATTTACCTCATTTTAATGGTGGATTTTTAGACTATCTATACAATAGGATGGAAAAATTACAAGCAGACAATTTTAAATGCTTAAAATCCACTAAAATCACATACATTGGGCATTCACTAGTGCTTGGCATTAATTTTTTCTAACATTTGTGTAGAGTAGAGTTTTTCAGTGTTCTCTTACCAAATATCTCACATTTGACTCTCATAACACTCTGGCAGGAAAAACATACTCCAAAACTTTCTTTTCCTTTTACTACAGATTGAAAAATCCGCTATGTATTACTCTTATATTTCAATGACTTGGGTTCTGCTAATGACTACAAATGGTCTCAATTATTTAGAGTTTCGATCCATATTACAAAAGTTGTCCAAATCATTGTTATTATCAATGGATAAGTCAGCCTAATAGTCTTTCAGAATAGGAATGTTTGAAGGCGGTCTGTGTCTCAAATTTGAATATGAAGCTTTTGTTAATTATTGTTCTCCCACTGTGTTCTAAAACGTCCTCCCTATCACTTCCTAGAAGATAATGATACAGTTTCCTTGAGCCGGACCTACTAAACATTTGCTCAGAATTTTTGTGGGGTCAGGATGTAATAATTCATATTTTAAAAAATATTTTCAAATTATTCTGCTATAGAGATAATTGCATTGATACAGAACATAACCAGCAGTTCTCTCCATTCTGCTTCAAGTTAAAGTTGGTTCCTTGGTCTTCAGCTATAGGCAACCTATTTTTGGCTCTTCTTTCTTGAAATTAACCTACTTCTCCTTAAGGAGAAACCCTTTTAATATGGCTGTTAGAAAAGAGCCCTCAAGCATATAACCTTATGGAATACGATGCTCCAAATTGCCACTTTCCATTTCCTAAATATAAATATCATTAAATCAAAAGCTTTAAAGCTGTATCCTAAACCATCTTCCTTTACGATAATAACTATTCTCTTTTCTTGTCTTATGTTTTTTCTTGAATTTTAGACCTCAGATATTATTTTTACAGGGGAAATTCTTAAATGGAAGTTTGTTACCACTTAAAGATAGATGTGTTTTTCTGCTCTCATATGATCCATTTAAACTTACCATCAAAGTGAACTATGGACTCATTTTGAGAAGAAAATATATCCCATAGACCATAATTCCCCAAGACCTTTATTTATTTGATTTCTGCTCCCTGGGATCATGGCCTCATGACATGAAATTCTCAGTTCTGTGAGCCTCCCAGGGAATAGCATTCATAAAAATCATTTCACAGCAGAACTTCAATGCCACCCCAACAATAAAATATTCCAGCACATTCTCACACTGAAGGCAGCCACGGGCAGCCACTGCTCCATTCTTTTTACAGTGAAAAGACACCTTTTGGTAAAGACATCAAAGCCATCTTTACAACAGACCACACAGAAACCTCCTTTTAATAGAGGTGTCCTTGGATGTAAAACTCCAATATAAGATAATTAGAACTTTACTAATTCTAGCTACTAGAGATTTAAGGTTACTATCGACACACAAATCCTCACAATTCTTTTTTTTTTAAAAATAAAGAAGTACTTTTGAATATAAAACTGGAAGGAATTCACATCCATCAAATGCAAGTGAATCTTCAGAGCACCTGGATTCTTCACTCTGTCTCTCAAAGCAAACCATAAAATTATCCCTTTTGTCTCTGGAAGGGAGGAAAACTCCTCCACTTCACATCTTCTCTGCTGAGTTTCTTTCTACTATGGATTTCTGTACCTCACATCCCTCCAATTCCTCCCTCTCCCAGGATCCTAACTCTCATTCCCCTTAGCTTTGAATGTGATATCTTTAAATCGTTCATTAGATGCCATCAAGTTCCACTTTCATTGTGACAGCAAGGAAAAGCTCTTCTGACCTAGGAAGGAGCCTCTACAAGATAATCAGACTTTTGCAAATAGATCTCCTGTCTAAGTACTTCTGTGCTTTACAACGTAAATCACAAACAAACAACACCAGAGTTCTTTTCTCTAACCTCACAAAGTTGAGTGCCCTCTGAGTTTGTTTATTTGAGAGGCAGAAGGCAGTATATTTAATAACATTTTTGCCCTAACGTTTGCACACATAGCCTGAATTTACTGGATAATTTCCAGCAAATTAGTAAATTATTCAACTTGTTATTTATTCTGTCTTTATCTAGTGATAGTCACATATAGAAAAAAAAATGTATTGAACATTTTGCTGTATTTGAAGGGATTGCTAGGAAAGCCAATCTTATAAATTAAGGTCAATGAGGGCTTTATCACATCTATACCTTTGGGCTGTATTAAGTAGCTATAGTATAGTGAAAAGACAGACATACGGTACATTATAGTCCCTGTTCTTACACTAACTGTTTGATAAATTTTGACACACAGCAAAGCCTGTCTAGGCAGTGGTTTCCTTATCTGCAAAATGAACACGTTTGAGTAATAGTCTCTGTGGAATTTATAGATCCAGCATTCTGATTAGAAACTTAAAAAATAATTTGTCATTATGATTTCTCTTAATACCTTCTTTTTACTCTAAAGCTGATCAATTTTTTCTTCCTCTCTGACCATTCAAGTATGACCCAAATCTTCCCATACTAATAAATCAAATCTAAACTCAATTCCAAAGGTTTGATTTCATCCATTTCTGCATAGAATCTGGCAATTGATTTTTTATGATCTTTTAGCTCTCCAAGTATATTTGCAAAAGAATGGGTAAATTGGATGTACATCCATTCAATCATTTAAGAACACTTATTGACTCCTAGTATCTTTTATTTCTATTTTCTTCCCTGAAAAATTTCAAAGTAAATTGTGGCCATTATGATGCTTCCCTTCAGAATATTTTGGCAGGCATTGCTTAAGAAGGACATCTTCCAATATAATCATAACACTATGATCATATAGAAAAGAAGCAATAATTCAAAAATATCTTCTAATATACAGAACACATTTGAATTTCTCCTGCTAGTTCAAAAATGACTTTTATAGGTGTTTTGTTTTTTAATCAAGGTTCACAAATTACATTTGGTTGTTATGTCTTGTCATTTTCTTTTACTCTAGGACAACAGTTAGTAAGTAAACTGTGGCTCACAGACCAATCCTGCATGGTCTGTTCTTGTATCTCAAGCTAAGAAGGATCTTTACATTTCTTAAGAGTTGTAAAGCCAAACTACACGGACAAAAAACAAAGAAGAAGAAAAAAGAAAGAAGAATATACAACAGAGACTTCTATGTGACCCACAAAGCATGACACATTTGCTATCTGCCCTTCACAGAAAAAGTTTACTGATTTCTGATCTATAACATTGCCTTTACCTTCTCTGATTTTAGAACAGTTTTTGAAGATTCCAGGTAGTTATCATAAAGAATATATCACACACTTTGGATTAGTTTCATGTATTCCTCATAAGACTCAGGTTAAAGACTTTTGCCTGGAACATTACAGAATTAGACTGTGTTCTTTTTACTACCTTATCTCAAGGTGCACATATGTCAGGCTGTCCCATGATGGTGGTGCAAAGTTTGAAGATTTTGTTCAGCTGGTGACTGCCAGATGTCTCTGTAACAAGGTACAATTTTCTCTTTGTAGTTAATAAGTAATTGACAAATGATACTTCGAGATTGCATGACTATCTTATTCCTTAGTAATATTCATCCAATAGTATTATTATCTATTGATAATCTTTGCCTGAATCACTTATTACATTGGGGACATGTAAAATGGTGATTTTCTAATTCTATCATTTATTTTAGATTTATTTTCTGGCATTCATCTGTAGAGAAAAATCTTTTCCCTTCTCTCTCTCTCTCTTTCACTATGATTTATTGGCATTTTAATCCATTGTTGTTAATATTATTATTTAAATTCCAAATTGTACATCATTTTCCTATTGGAGGCCTTCAAGCTAGCCCTTTTATTCTTTTGACTTAGCCCCATTTGGATTTGATCACTTCCTTGATTTCTGGCACGTGGTGTCTGAGGCTTACCAGGTACATTCCCTGCCCCTGGAAGAATCCACCTTTCCCCAAAAATGCTGGTTCCCTTTAGTAGACAATGCTATTTAGCAATGAAGATCTGGGGGTTTTGTTGTTGTTGTTGTTGTTGTTTGTTTTGTTTTAAGTTTTTGAGATGGAGTCTTGCTGTGTTGCCCAGGCTGGAATGCAGTGGCACGATTTCAGCTCACTGCAACCTCTGCCTCCCAGGATCAAGCAATTCTCCTGCCTCAGCCTCCCAAGTAGCTGGGACTACAGGCACACGCTGCCACGCCCGGCTAATTTTTTGTATTTTAGTAGAGACGGGGTTTCACCATGTTGCCCAGGCTGGTCGTGAACCCCTGAGCTCGGGCCATCTGCCCGCCTCAGCCTCCCAAAGTGCTGGGATTACAGGCATGAGCCACTGCTCCTGGCCCAAGATCTGGGTTCTAAGTGTGCTCGTGGCTACTTGGGTGTAACTGACGCCAGGCATTTTAATAGACAGAACTGCATCAGGGTGGGAGGCCAGGAGGTAGGGGAATATATTCCTAAGTTTCAAGCAATCACAGAAGCAAATGGCATAAAACTTTAAAATTACTATAAAATGTTTAAATCACAAGTTTGTAAGTACTCATATCGATGCCTCTAATTCAAGTCTACCACCACAGATTCTTCTTCACATTCCCTGTTTTATATTTGTTTCTCTCTGCTTCCACAGCAGACAGTCTGGTTTCCAGCAACATTAATGTATTTACACATTGCATCAATGCAACATAAACACCATTAATAATAGCTAAACTACAAAGTAAGGTGCAAGATTTGATTGCGTGGTTCTTTCCTATGACCATATTTCGCTAAGGATTTATGTAATATTATAGGAAAAGTAACTTAAATACATCATTTTCCCTATGTGTTTACAGAATAACTTGGTATACATTAGGTCCATTTCTTAATATTTGTAATCAAAGAGTTTATGTTTTTCACCATTTTTCATAAATATTTGAATACTTCAAACTTTTATGTGATTCAAAAATCAAACCCATTTAGAAATGTTTTTTCAAGAAAAAATTCCAGTGATATCTCAGTTTCCCTATTTCCACTGGTATCTCAATTCCCCCAGTATCTATTCTTTTGGCAACACAACACTAACTTGATTATTGTAGCTTTGTAGTAAGACTGGAAGACAATTAGTGTTACTCCTCTAACTTTGTTCCTCTCCTTCATTATTGATTTGGTTATTTTGGGTCTTTTGTCTCTCCATATAAAGTTTAGAATCAGTTTGATTATTTCTAAAAAATTATTGTGATTTTGATTGTGATTGCATTGAATCTGTAGATCAAGTTGGGAAGACTGGCATCCTGACAATATTAAATCTTTCCCTCCATGAACATGGAATAGCTCTCCATTTAGTTAGTTCCTTGATATCTTTCAGAGAGTTTTATTGTTTCCTTCAAATAGAATTTGTACATATTGGGTTATACCAAAGTATGTTATTTTGGGAGGGTGTTGTAAATGGTAATGTATTTTTAATTTTGAGTTTCATTTGTTTATTGCTGGTATATAGAAAAGCAGTTGTCTCTTGTATATTAACCCCATATCCTGCAGCCTTGTTAGAATTACTTATTCATTCCAGAAGAGATTTTTGTTTTTGTTTTGGATATGGGGGTTGTTGTTGTTGTTGTATCTTTTGGATTATCTTCACAGACAAATGTTATCTGTAAACAAAGATATATTTACTTATTCCATTCCAATCCACATGTCTTTATTTCAATTTCTTGTCTTATTGCATTAGCTAGGAATTTCCAGTACGATGTTGAAAAGCAGTGGTGAGAGGGGGCCTTCTCAACTTGTTCCTGACATTAGAGGGAAAGCATTGAGTTTCTCATCATTAAGTATGTTAGCTTTAGGTGGTTTTTTGTAGGTGTTATTTAGTTGAGGAAATTCTCTCTATTCCTAATTTGGTAAGAGATTTTATCATGAAGATTATTGAACTTTGTCAAATAATTTTCTCCATCTATTGTTACGTTCATATAATCTTTCTTCTTTGACTTCTTGATGTGATTAATCTACATTAATTGATTTTTGAATGTTGAATCAGCCATGCATACTTGGAATAAATCACACTTGATTGGGGTGTATAATTCTTTTTTTTTTTTTTAACCTTGGTGGGTTCAATTTGCTAATATTTTGTTGAGAATTTTGGATCTATGTACATGAAAGATATTGGTCTGTAGGGTTATTTTCTCTTTTTTGGAAATTAAAAGTTTGTTTTTATTTTTTATTTTTATTTTGCTTTATGTTCTGGGATACATGTGCAGAACATGCAGGTTTGTTACATAGGTACACATGTGCCATGGTGGTTTGCTGCACGTAACAACCCCTCATCTAGGTTTTAAGCCCTGCATGCATTAGGTATTTGTCCTAATGCTCTTCCCCACTTCCCCCCTGACTCCCCAACAGGTCCCAGTGTGTGTTGTTCCCCTCCCTGAGTCCATGTGTTCTCATTGTTCAACTCCCAATTATGAGTGAGAACATGCAGTGTTTGGTTTTCTGTTCCTGTGTTAGTTTGCTGAGGATGATGGCTTCCAGCTTCATCCATATACCTGCAAAGGACATGAACTCTTCCTTTTTTATGGCTGTATAGTATCACAAGGTATATATGTATCACATTTTCTTTATCTATCTATCATTGATGGGCATTTTGTTTGGATCCATGTCTTTGCTATTGTAAATAGTGCTGCAATAAACATACGTGTGCATGTGTCTTTAGAATGATTTATATTCCTTTGGGTATATACCCAGTAATGGGATTGCTGGGTCAAATGGTATTTCTGGTTCTAGATCCTTGAGGAATCACCACGCTGTCTTCCACAATGGTTGAACTAATTTACATTCCCACCAACAGTGTAAAAGCATTCCTATTTCTCCACAGCCTCACCAGCATCTATTGTTTCTTAACTTTTTAATGATCGTCATTCTGATTGGCATGAGATGGTGTCTCATAGTGGTTTTGATTTGCATTTCTCTAATGACCAGTGATGATGAGCTTTTTTTCATATGTTTTTTGGCCACATAAATGTCTTCTTTTGAGAAGTGTCTGTTCATATCCTTCACCCACTTTTTGATGTTTTTTTTTTCTTGTAAATTTGTTTAAGTCCCCTGTAAATTCTGGATATTAGACCTTTGTCAGATGAGTAGATTGCAAAACTTTTCTCCCATTCTATAGGTTGCCAGTTCACTCTAATGATCTTTTCTTTTGCCGTGCAGAAGCTCTTTAGTTTAATTAGAACCCATTTGTCAATTTTGGCTTTTGTTGCAATTGCTTTTGGTGTTTTTGTCATAAGTCTTTGCCCACGCCTATGTCCTGAATGGTATTGCCTAGGTTATCTTCCAGGGTTTTTATGGTTTTGAGTTTTACATTTAAGTCTTTAATGCATCTGAGGTATTTTGGTATAAAGTGTAAGGAAGGGGTCAAGTTTCAGATTTCTGCATATGGCTAGCCAGTTTTCCCAGCACCATTTATTAAATAGGGAATCCTTTCCCCATTGCTTGTTTTTGTCAGGTTTGTTGAAGATCAGATGGTTGTAGTTGTGTGGTGGTATTTCTGAGGTGCCTGTTCTGTTACATTGGTCTATTATGTCTGTTTTGGTACCAGTACCATGCTGTTTTGGTTACTGTAGCCTTGTAACATAGTTTGAAGTCAGGTAGCGTGATACCTCCAGCTTTGTTTGTTTTGCTTAGCATTGTCTTGGCTATATGGGCTCTTTTTTGGTTCCATATGAAATTTAAAGTAATTTTTTCTAATTCTGTGAAGAATGTCAGGTAGCTTGATGGAAATAGCATTGTATCTATAAATTACTTTGGGCAGTATGGCCATTTTCATGATATTGATTCTTCCTATCCAAGAGGATGGAATGTTTTCCCATTTGTTTGTGTCCTCTCTTATTTCCTTGAGCAGTGGTTTGTAGACCTCCTTGAAGTGGTCCTTCACATCTTTTGTCAGCTGTATTCCTAGGTATTTTATTCTCTTTGTAACAATTGTGAATGGGAGTTCATTCATGATTTGGCTGTCTGCTTGTCATGTTGGTGTACAGGAATGCTTGTGATTTTTGCACACTGATTTTGTATCCTGAGACTATGCTTATCAGCTTAAGGAGTTTTGGCAGCGACACAATGGGGATAACTATATATACAATCATGTCATCTGCAAACAGAGACAATTTGACTTCTTCTATTCCTATTTGAATACCCTTACTTTATTTCTTTCTCTTGCCTGACTGCCCTGGCCAGAACTTTCAACACTATGTTGAAAAGGAGTGGTGAGAGAGGGCATCCTTGTCTTGAGCTGGTTTTCAAAGGGAATGCTTCCAGCTTTTGCCCATTCAGTATGATATTGTCTATGGGTTTGTCATAAATAGCTCTTATTATTTTGAGATACATTCCATCAATACCTAATTTATTGAGAGTTTTTAACATAAAGGGATGTTGAATTTTATCAAAGCCTTTTTCTGCATCTATTGAGATAATCATGTGGTTTTTGTCATCAGTTCTGTTATGACTGATGTTATGTGTTGGGTTATGTTTATTGATCTGTGTATGTTGAACCAGCCTTGCATCCCACAGATGAAGCCAACTTGATCATGTTGGATAACCTTTTTGATGTGCTGCTGGATTTGGTTTGCCAGTATTTTATTTTTGCATCGATGTTCATGGAGGATATTGGCATGAAGTTTTCTTTTTTTGTTGTGTCTCTAACAGGTTTTGGTATCAGAATGATGCAGGCCTCATCAAATGAGTTAGGGAGGAGTCCCTCCTTTTCAATTGTTTGGAATAGTTTCAGAAGGAATGGTACTAGCTCCTCTTTGTACCTCTGGTAGAATTCGTCTGTGAATCCATCTGGTCCTGAGCTTTTTTTGGTTGGTAGGCTATTAATTACTGCCTCAATTTCAGAACTTGTTATTTGTCATTTCAGGGATTCAACTTTTTCCTGGTTTAGTCTTGGGAGGATGTATGTGTCCAGGAATTTATCCATTTCTTCTAGATTTTCTAGTTTATTTCTGTAGGGGTGTTCATAGCATGCTGTTGTGGTAGTTTGTATTTCTGTGGGGTCAGTGGTGATATCCCCTTTATCATTTTTTATTATCTGTTTGATTCTTCTCTCTTTTCTTCTTTATTAGTCTAGCTAGCGTCTATCTATTTTGTTAATTTCTTCAAAAAGCCAGCTAGCTCCTGGATTGATCGATTTTTTCAAGGGTTTTTCATGTCTCTATCTCCTTCATTTCTGCTCTGAGTTTAGTTATTTCTTATCTTCTGGTAGTTTTTAGGTTAGTATGCTCTTGCTTCTCTGGTTCATTTAATTGTGATGTTACGGTGTCAATTTGAAATCTTTCCAGCTTTCTGATGCCGGCATTTAGTGCTATAAATTTCCCTCTTAACACTGCTTTAGCTGTGTCCTAGAGATTCTGGTACATTGTCTCTTTGTTCTCATTGTTTTCAAAGAGCATCTTGATTTCTGCCTTAATTTCTTTATTTGCCCAGGATTCGCTCAGGAGCAGGTTGTTCAATTTCCATGTAGTTGTGTGGTTTTAAGTGAGTTCCTTAATCCTGAGTTCTAATTTGATTGCACTGTGGTCTGAGAGCCTGTTTGTTACGATTTCCATTCTTCTGCATTTGCTGAGGAGTGTTTTACTTCCAACTATGTGGTTGATTTTAGAATAAGTGCCATGTGGCACTGAGAAGAATGTATATTCTGTTGATATAGGATGCAGAGTTCTGTAGATGTCTATTAGGTACACTTGATCAAGAGCTGAATTTAAGTCCTGAATATCCTTGTTAATTTTCTGTCTCATTGATCTGTCCAATATTTACAGTGGTATTAAACTTTCCCACTATTATTGTGTGGGAGTCTAAGTCTCTTAATAGATCTCTAAGAACTTGTTTTATGAATCTGGGTGCTCCTGTATTGGGTGCATATATATTTAGCATAGTTAGCTCTTCTTGTTGCATTGATTCCTTTATCATTATGTAATGCCCTTCTTTGTCCTTTTTTTTTATCTGTGTTGGCTTAAAGTCTGTTTTATCAGAGACTAGGATTACAACCCCTACTTTTTTGCTTTCCATTTGCTTGGTAAATTTTCCTCCATCCTTTTATTTTGAGCCAATGTGTGTCTTTGCATGTGAGATAGGACTCCTGAATACAGCATACCAATGGGTCTTGGCTCTTTATCCAATTTCCCAGTCTCTCAATTTGGGCATTTAGCCCATTTACATTTGAGGTTAATATTGTTATGTGTGAATTTGATGCTGTCATAATTATGCTATCTGGTTATTTTGCACACTAGTTGATACAGTTCCGTCATAGTGTCACTGGTCTTTATATTTTGGTGTGTTTTTACAGTGTCTGGTACCTGTTTTTCTTTTCCGTATTTAGTACTTCCCTCAGGAGCTCTTGCAAGGCAGGCCTGGTGGTGATGAAATCCCTCAGCATTTGCTTATATAGAAAGGACTGTATTTCTGCTTTGCTCATGAAGCCTAATTTGGCTGGATATGAAATTCTGGGTTGAAAATTGTCTCTTTAACAATGTCGAATATTGGCCCCCTCTCTCTTCTGATTTGTAGGGTTTCTGCTGAGAGATCCACTGTTAGTCTGATGGGCTTCCCTTTGTAGGTGACCTGGCCTTTCTCTCTGGCTGCCCTTAACATTTTTTTTCTTCATTTTGACCTTGGAGAATCTGATGATTATGTGTCTTGGGGTTGATCTTCTCATGGAGTATCTTAGTGGTGTTCTCTGTATTTCCTGAATTTGAATGTTGGCCCGTCCTGCTAGGTTGGGAAGTCCTCCTGGATAATATCCTGAAGTGTGTTTTCCAATTTGGTTCCATTCTCATCTCTTTCAGGTACTCCAATCAATCATAGGTTCAGTCTTTTCACATAGTACCATATTTCTTGGAGGCTTTGTTTGTTCCTTTTCATTCTTTTTTTCTCTAATCTTGTCTGCATGCCTTATTTCAGCAGGATGGTCTTCAAACTCTTATATCCTTTCTACTGCTTGATCGATTTGGCTATCAATATTTGTGTATGCTTCACAAAGTTTTTGTGCTGTGTTTTTCAGCTCCATAAGGTCATTTATGTTCCTTTCTAAACTGGTTATTCTAGTTAACAACTCCTGTAACCTTTTATCAATGTTTTTAGCTTCTTTGCATTGGGTTAGAACATGCTCCTTTAGCTCAGAGGTGTTTTTTATTACCCATCTTCTGAAGCCTACTTCTGTCAATTCATCAATCTCACTCTCCCTCCAGTTTCATGCCCTTGCTGGAGAGGAGTTGTGATCATTTGGAGGAGAAAAGGCATTCTGGCTTTTGGAATTTTCAGCGTTTTTGTGCTGTTTTTTCCTCATCTTCATGGATTTATCTACTTTTTATCTTTGAGGCTGTTGACTGTTGGATGGGGTTTTTGTGGGGCACTCTTTTTTGTTGATGTTGTTGTTGCTTTCTGTTTGTTAATTTTTTTCTTCTAACAGGCCCCTCTTCGGCAGGACTGCTGCAGTTAGCTGGAGGTCCACTCTAGACCCTGTTTGCCTGGGTATCACCAGTGGAGGCTGCAGAATAGCAAAGATTGCTGCCTGCTCCTTCCTTTGGAAGCTTCATCCCAGAGGGGCACTGGCCTGATGCCAGCCAGAGGTCTCCTGTATGAGGTGTCTATCAACACCTGTTGGGAGGTCTCTCCCAGTCAGGAGGCATGGCGATGGCAGGGACCCACTTGAGAAAGCAGTCTGTCCCTTAGTAGAGCTGGTGTGCTGAGCTGGAAGAATCGCCCTTGTCAGGATCAGCCACTCTCTTCAGAGCCAGCAGGCAGGAAAGATTAAGCCTGGCTGAAGCCGTGACCGCAGCTACCCCTCCCCCTAGGTGCTCTGTCCCAGGGAGATGAGAGTTTTGTCTGTAAGCCTCTGACTGGAGCTGCTGGGTTTCCTTCAGAAATGCCCTGCCCAGTGAGGAGGAATCTAGAGAGGCAGTCTGGCACAGCTACTTTGCTGCACTGTGCTGAGTTCCACCCAGTCCCAACCTCCCAGTCTCTTTAGCACTGTCAGGGGAAAACCACCTACTAAAGGCACAGTAATGGTGGTCGCCCCTCCCCTCACCAAACTCAGGCCGACTCCAGACTGCTGTGCTGGCAGTGGGAATTTCAAGCCAGAGCTTCTTAGCTTGCTGGGCTCCATGGGAGTGAGACATGCTAAGCGAGACCTCTTGGCTCCCTGGCTTCAGCCCCCTTTCCAAGGGAGTGGACGATTCTCCTGTCTCACTGGAGTTCCGGGTGCTACTCGAGTATGGAGAAAAAAAAAAACCCTACAGCTCAGTGCCTGCCCAACAGCCACTCAGTTTTGTACTCGAAACCCAGGGACCTGGTGGTGTAGGCTCATGAGGGAATTTCCTGAGCAACGGATTACAAAAATCCATGGAAAAAGCATAGTACCCCAGGGCGGGTAGCACAGTCCCTCACTGCTTCCCTTGGCTTGGGGAGGTGGAGGTCCCCCAGCTCTGTGCACTTCCCAGGTGAAGCAATGCCCCACCCTGCTTCTGTTCACTCTCTGTGGGTTGCACCCACTGCCTAACCAGTCGCAATGAGATGAACTGGGTACCTCAGTTGGAAATGCAGAAATCCCCCACCTTCTGCATCGGTCTTGCTGGGAGCTGCAGACCGGAGCTGTTTCTATTCACCCATCTTGGCCCTTCCACCGGGTTATTTTCTCACAGTGTCTTTGTCTAGTTTTGGTATTAATCTGGCTTCTTAGAAAGAGTTAGGATATAGTCCCTCTCCTTGTATTTTCTGGAAGACATTATAGATAATTAGGATAATTTCTTCCTTAAAGTTTTCATAGAATACACCACTAAATCCATCTGGACCTTGTGCTTTCTTTGAAAGGTTATTAATTATTGATTCAATTTCTTTAATAGGTACAGGCCTACTCAGACTGCCTAGTCTTTCTTGTGTGAGTTTTGGCAGATTGTGTCTTTCAAGAAATTTGTCCATTTCACTTAGGTTATGAAGTTTGTAGACATGGTTATTATTTATACTATTCGTTTATAATTCCTTTAATGTCCAGAGGATCTGGAGTGATGGCCCCTCTTTTATTTCTGATATTAGTAATTTGGGTCTTTCCTCTTTTTTCTTAGCCAGACTAGAGATTTATTGATTTCATTGGTCTTTTCAAAAAACCAGCTTTTGGTTTTGTTGATTTTCTCTATTGATTTTCTGTTTTTAAATTCATTGATTTCAGCCCATGGTATGCTTTTTTCCAATGATAATTAATTAATTTTAATGTTCTATCCTTTCATTAGGTTAAAAGGCTACAAATAAATTTTCCATTCTTCTCACTTAATGGATTATTTCTTATTACACATTGCCTATTGTGCACCACAAAGTTTGCAAGAGTATATAGGAACAGTCTAATAATAGTCATCTTGCTATTAGCCATTCACAAACATAGATGTAGACTAGAAAACACTGTAGTATGTTTACTGGCTTTGTCCAGCCTGGCAGTCTTTAATCCAAACACAGCCATCCTGTGAGAAGCAATGATGATGGTTTTCTTTGCTGTCTTATTCTCTTTCCTCTTCTTGCTCCATGTCTTTGTTTAGACTATTTTTCCTACAACTCTGCACTTACCCTAACCCTACGCTATTTCCAGGGTCCTGGGATGATGAACTCAGATTTCTTCAGTCTTCTCTTTTGAAAGTGTACTTGGTCTTGAGAGTGCAGCTTCTAAAAGACAGAAACATTTTTCTTGTTGTGTGTGTGTGTGTGTGTGTGTGTGTGTTTGTTTGTTTGTTTTTGAGATGGAGCTTCACTTTTATTGCTCAGGCTAGAGTGCAATGACACAATCTTGTCTCACTGCAACCTCCACCTCCCAGGTTCAAGCAGTTCTCCTTCCTTAGCCTCCCGAGTAGCTGGTATTACAGGTGCCCGCCACCACACTTGGCTGTATTTTTAGTAGAGACGGGATTTCACCATGTTGGCCAAGCTGGTCTTGAACTCCTGACCTCAGGTGATCTGACTGCCTCTGCCTCCCAAAGTTCTGGGATTACAGGTGTTAGCCACCGTGCCCGGCCAGAAATATTTTTCTTAACATTAGTAGCCAAATCTCATTTTAACAGAGGGAAGATGTACAGAACAGAAGACGAAAGGAATAGGCATACTGTCCTACCATAGTAACAGTTTTCAAATTTTTCCCTTTCATAATTTCTAGACTTAAGTAGCAAGGGTCAACAAAAAAATATATATCCCTTTCTTTCCCCCAAAGGATACCTATTCTGAAGATCCAAAATATTTCTTAGCAGTCAGAAGTCTAAAAAATGTGGTGACTGATGGGATCTTTGGCATCTAGATGAGTGTCAGTCTTTAGTCCAGAGAATCTGAAGCAAAGCTCTGTGTACTCCACATCTTTATTTTCTTAGATTCACATTGCAACTATTTTTCTGACAAGAATTAAAGAAAAAAAGGAAGGAAGGATGGAAGGAAGGAAAGAAGGAAGGAAGGGGAAGGGGAAGGAAAGGAAGGGAGGGAGGGAGGGAGGGAGGACTGGTCTAGGGTAGATGAGTGAAGAAGGCAATTACCCACAAATATTAGTTTGTTGTGTCACAAGGTAAGATGCTCAAACATCATTCACACCATCTATCAATACACCTTTATCAATGAATCCCTTGTGACCTCAAGGGCTTTTTCACCCTTAAAAAGAAAAACTTATCTTACAGTAAAAGTGCTTCTGGAAGGACTCCTGTGGCATAGTCAATACAGTCTTTGGGATATAATGAAAAAGGTATGCTTGTGAGCCTGCTGTGGGAGCACAGAGGAGGGCTATTTAGGATGAAGGTAAAATTAACAATAAGGGTTCTGATCATGTGACCAGCCGGTGGCAAAGTGAGGAATAAACAGGTCTTTCATTCTAGTGCTCATTCTTGGGTTCCCAGCTGCCTCCTGGGTCTTATTAAATAGCCAACTTTAAATAAAAACCTGCAGAAAGAGATGTTAGCATTGACCCATTGTGATATGGGATAGAGGAAAAAAGGCAAGGTTATCAAAGCTTGACTTTGCCAACTCTGTGGTCTGCCCTGGAGCTAACCCTGCTGCTACCGTTTTTTGTGTCCCTTCTTCCTCTGATCTAGTTTTCCGTGCTTCCTACCACAACTATCCTCAGACCTATACTGCTATAAGCACATGAGGGTAGAGCCTCAATTCCCATTGCCACTCAACATCCATTTCTCCCAACTCTGATTATTCAAAGGTGCAGAACTAGGGAGAACTTGCCCTATTTCAATGTTCTGAGTGTATACCTGACTGTTTTAGGATAAACACTGAAATCAGCTCTTCTACAGCCTATATTTCTTGCTGTGAATTGCATCCCTATAAACTGGCTACCTTAGGAATGTGTTATTAGTAAGGAGGGAATGTGCCTCTATAGTTGTACTAAAGCCAGGTTTGCATTTGGTGTATGTTCTACGTATTGATTCATCTGTGGTGTTTGTTTTTCAAAAGCAAGGGGTGAACAACCAAAGTCTACACTTTAAAATGGAGAATATCTGACTACTTTTCTCAATTTAATTTAGATTCCGTTTTATGAATTAAAGTGGCTGAACAGGTAACATCCTGGCTAGAGAAAAATCCACTATACTCTGAGCCCCAACTAAACTGAATGACTTACAGTTCCAAAGATCAGTCATCTCCTTGCCTTTGCACACTTTCCTGCACTTAAAATATCCTGTCCCTTTCTTTTTCAAGTAGAAGTAAGGAAGTCAAGTCTCTCAATGTCCCACTGTTTCCCAGAGTGACAGAAATATCACCCTCTGAACTCCCACATCATTTTTTTCTCTGAACAATTCTTATTTTCACCACTAGATTACTAAACCCTTGAAAGCAGATCTCAAAGTATTTAGCTCTAAAACCTTTTAATTACAATGAATTCGATTCTATATAAATGCTAAATAGGTACATAAATATACACATGTGCATAAACATTATCTACATTTCAATCCTTTCCATTGGTTCATCAACAATCTGCAAGAATGCTGATACTTAGGACTTTTAGGAAATAAATATAAAATGCAAATAAAATACCCAAGAGAAGCAAAAATAAAGAATGCAGAATACTGATTGTATGTATCCTTGAGAAAGTAAAACAGTAAAATAGATATTTACTAGAAAGCACTACACAAAATAAACAACTTTCCCATATATTACTTTGCAATATCAAACTCATTCACTATTTTTTATTTTAAATATCTACCACAACCCCCATATTTTTGGAGATTTTTATGAACATGCAAAAGAAATAATAAAGTCTGCTATGAGCATTGAGGCAACGTTAACACAGACTTTTGTGTGTTTAAACGTCAAGGCAAATTTGGTAAAGAAGTGTCCAGAGAATCTGAGAGCAACAATAACCTCAAGTTCATTGGAAATTTTGAAATTCTGTGCATTGTCACACACATTTAGGTGAAATCTCCCTTATTGTCAAGAACCTACAAAAGGTGAAATGGGTCTTAAAGAAACATAGGATTCACAAAAAGCAGGTTATTGGTTCATGTTTAGTAAGCGTGACATAACACTATCTGCCTTTTTTAATGCTAACGATAGGAAATATTAATATAATAAAACACACTCCTATCTCTGAGGAGTTCAAATAGGGTGAGACGTAAAGTCACGCCCTCATCACGTGATAATATGGTTCCCCAAGGCCACAGAGGAGATCTGATCAATGTGTTTTCCAGAATACAATGGAAAGAGTGCTTAGTTCTAAAAGAAGAGACTGTTGTGAGATTAGGTGACTTTTGGAGTATAAGCAGGAGATGTTTGCCCATGAGATAACGCAGAGAGGATAACAAAATTCAAGGCCAAGATTGCAGCATAGGCAAAAGCAAGAATGCATGTAAACACCTGGCACATTCTATAAACTGCTAAAAATCCAGGTGCTAAGGACCCAAGCTTCCTGGGATCAGAATGAAGTGTTTGATCTGATTGTAAGGTTAACTCTACTTATTCACTTACCAAGGGAAGAAAAACAAAATTAAGAGACAGAAGTTTAAAAATCTGTTAAAATCCCCCGGGTTAGCAGAGAGGTTCTATAATTCAGAGAGGTTTGCAGTTCATCAACTATAGTTTATCGCCTTGAGAAAGTAAGAAACACGTTGAGTGTGTGTTTTCACAAGCTGCCACTTTCTGTATTCAACGTGATTTTCCAAATGGGGAGATATGATATTTTTCACAAAGAACAGGCTTCAGGAACAAAATCTTTTTAGCAAAGAAAACATTTTCAAAGTTACCATTTCACCAAACTCCCTAGGCAAATGAATATATACACCCACCTCTTAACCTCGTAGTTTCCTTAGAAATGTCCAGTTGAAAGGACTTAATGAACAGTTGTGGGAGTGCACAGTTAACGACACTGGTTCTCACTCACCCACTGATATGCTTTGGCTGTGTCCCCACCCAAATCTCTTGAAATGCAGCTCCCATAATTCCCACGTTTTATGGGACGGGCCTGGTGAGAGATAATAGAATCATGGGGCCAGTTTCACCCATACTGTTCTCATGGCAGTGAATAAATCTCACGAGGTCTGATGGTTGTATAAGGGGTTTCCCTTTTTGCTTCACTCTCATTCTTCTCCTGCCTGCTGCCATATAAGATGTGACTTGCTCCTCCTTGCCTTCCACCATAATTGTGAGGCCTCCCCAGCCATGTGGCACTGTGAGTCAATTAAACTTCTTTCCTTTATAATTATCCAGTCTCAGGTATGTCTTCATTAGCAGTGTAAGAACAGACTAATACACACACAGAGCTAGGAAGCCAGTCTAGCACTCAGGAGTCCAAGTGCTATGCAGGCTATTGTTAAAGTGACTGTTAGAAGCAAAGCTCCACAGGTGAATCGCCATATAACTCTCTGTGAGGCAATAATGAGAGCATTCTCTCCTGTTCCCAGTAGTCTTGCTCCAGTCCTTCCTTTTGTCCTCCACTCTCAATTTTTCTCTTCCAGAATATCTCCCCTAATGAACCTGATCCCACTGGATATCCCTCAATTATCCATCTGGAGCTACTTACTGGCACTGTTTGCTTCATCTCTGCTTGTCATTTTCATGCATTTATATTGTGTCTCCCAACTGGACCATAAGTATTTCTGCATCTTACCTTGGCCTTTCCTGTTCACGCAGTGAACATTCAATAAATTCTCTCCATTGTCTGTTTCATGAGCTGTCTTATAAGACAGATCTAAGAAATAGAGGAGTCTAGGGATTTCAGAAAAATGTATCATAATAAAAAAAGCTCCAGTAGCTAACAGCTGGAAAAATTGAGGCTGCTAGCAAAAAAATATTGTGGCAACAGAGGGAAGACTAGAAAAGAAAACAAAATATGATTAGAGAGTAGCCTGAGTAAGAAAGGGGAGGGAGGGACCAATAAATGCTCACTCTCTGAGAGACTGATCACACCATTGCTATAAGGCTAGGAATCTAATTATTTGTTTTTAGGAATGTTGGACCACAACTTTCAAAACAATTTCCTTGGAAGACATGTGATAATACCAAGTAACTTTCCTTGATTTTTAAAATATTGTAAAAGTGCTTAATGTGCTTTATAAACATTACCAGAATATTTTAAATAAAATGTCACTTTGCCAAGCCACAACTCCTTTTGGCCCCATAACTTACATCAGCACAGCCTGGATTCTGGGAAGGCCCACCAAGATTTTGGTGACAGATTTCCATCACTACAAAACAATGGGGCCAGCTTGAAAATGAGATGAAGACCAACTCATCCCAAGAGAAAACATGACAGCTGAGACATGACGAGCTTGGTCTTTATCCTGGACTTTGGTTGCCTGGTGAGCATATGTAGCCTGGCATTCAGCCGCATGGAAAGCTGAGGAAAGTTAGAAAGGATACTAATAATGTCCAGTGATAGAGAAAAGTGTCTCAAGCCCAAACAGCACTGAGGTTTCTTTAACACCATTACTCACCTGCTGTTATATATTGATGAAATGTAATGACAATATTCGTTTATAAGCATATCAATAGGTTCAGAACCAGGAATAACTAATACAGATGGAAAAATGTAAAAGTGGATACAAATGGAAAAATAAAGACTGTCTTACTCTGATATGTTGCATGTCTACTCAGAAAAGTTGGACTAAGGTGTTGCTTTGGCAACATGAAAACTGTAGGAAAGACCTCTCCCCAAACAATCCTCCTTCTCCCTAACCAGTTGTCTTCCAACAAGAATCTTTGCTTTTTCTTAGTCATTTCTCTTAGGAGAGGAGGTTTAAAGAAGATCAGTAATTTACTTTTCATGCATAGTAAGAGAAATAACAGGAAGCAGAAGATAAATGAGGAAAGGCCCTCAGAGTAAGAAAGAGGGACTAAGAGAAGGGAAGTCACTTCATTCGTTATTTGGTCTCAGGATTTGCCTATGTCACAAAGAAAGAGAGAGGAGAAAGCCGGTCCAGAGAAAGATAGATCAAAGAACTTGAAGGCAGACCAGGAGAGAGACTACTACCAAAGCCATGCATGAGGAGAGGTTTGTTTTTTGTTGTTATCGTTTTTTGTTTTTCTTTCTTTCTTTTCCTTAAGAAGAATTATGGACAAATAAATCCTACGTAGGCAGATCTTTCATAAACACTTACTCTCTGTCACGGTATCCTGTTTATTTCCTTCATAGTACTTATTGTAAGTGGCAATTAAATGATCCATCTCTGCTTTACTTCATTTCCTGTTTCTCTCAGAAAGTATTGCTGAGAAGAGGGAACTTGTCTTTTGAACAAATCGCTAGGATGCATCAAATAATATTGTTGAATGACAGAATAAATGAAAATGAGAGTGCTGCAGCGAGTTTAACCAGAATGAGCGGGGGAAGTGTGGCTACAAAGGAGCAGCGGCATTTAGGAGGACCTAATAACTTCTAGGGGAACAGTTTCAGTACAGTTGTGTAGGGCCTAAGAGAGATCTTAAACTGGTTCTCAAAGGTGGTCTTGCATCACGCACACCATGGAGTTTTTTTTTTTCTTACTGTGTGGAGTCCACATCAGCTCATTACAAAACAGGGGAGCACTGTTCACTCATTTTCCGTGTCAGAACCACACACACTATTACCTCAGGAATGCTAAGAGGGACGCCTGTGTCATTGTGGACATTTACCACTCACAACTCCCTTCTCCCGGAAATATTTCTTCACAGCCACAGCCCTAGCGGGTGTTGGTCGGGGAGTGTGTGTGCCATCCTGGTACTCCTAACCATGATGGCAAAACATAATCCGAGATGGACCAACCCCAGGGCTCCTCACCCTACTGTTTGTCACCCCTCCAAATCCTACCTGAGGTTGATAGTAGCTGCTCCACACATGCTCATATAACCCAAGCCAGAGAAATGAGAGTGCTTTCTCCGAATGTTTCAAGCGTTTCCTGGAGAAAATAGTGCTTTCCTCTCTGATCACGTTGCAATAAGGATGTGATTCAGAGACTGCCCATGGCCCTGGCTCCCATCACATACAGAACGCTGTTAAGAGGCTGGGCACAGTGGCTTACGCCTGTAATCCCAGCACTTTGGGAGGCTGAGGCAGGCAGATCCCTTGCGGTCAGGAGTTTGAGACCAGACTGGCCAATATGGTAAAACCCCATCTCTACTAAAAATACAAAAATTAGCCAGGCGTGGTGGCGCATGCCTGTAGTCTTAGCTACTCAGGAAGCTGATGCAGGAGAATGGCTTGAACCCAGGAGGCAGAGGTTGCAGTGAGCTGAGATTGTACCACTGCACGCCAGCCTGGGCAACACAGGGAGACTTTGTCCCAAAAAAAAAAAAAAAAAAAAAAAGAAGAAGTGAAAACTCATAAAGAGGCAGAAACATGAGTAGATTTGCAGGGCCACTCACGGTCCCTGGCTCAGGTCAAGTCTGGGTTACTGAGTTCTCCCTGTGAGTCTCTGTGTTGCTCCAATATTCCTCCCCTCCCACAAATCCTGTTTTGTTTAAATCAGTTTGAAATGAATTTCTGTCACTTGTACCCAAGAGAACCCTAAAACAGGTAGTTATGCTTCCTTTAAATTTCAAAGTAAACTAGGAAGTGTCTTGGATAATTATTTTCCCCAGGCTTGAACTGGCAGCTAAGAGTTAATTGTCAACTGAGAGGCTGCCCTTGGAATAAAAGAGTTACTTCTCTATATTACCTTTTTCTGCTTACTTTTGGTCTACCTCAGAACAAATAGAGGACCAAACTTACACAAAGAGTAAGAGGAGTGAGAAGATTAACGGCTAAAGACACGGGCTTTCTCCATTCCTATATTTACTCATTTAGCTAACTGGCTAGATTCTGCAGAATTATACTCTACTGACTCTCACCCTTCACCCACTGAGCTCTGGAGTTTTAGTCTGAGGAAATAATTCACCATCAGTAGGTCAAAACACAAAGCAGTGCATTTGTTATACAAGAAAAGAGATTTTGCAAGTGAAATGCATTACAATTTGGTCTTTGTCCTTTTCCTTCCCTCTTTTTAATTTCTTCTCCTTGCTTCTAAGCTTTTGCTGTTTTCCCTTTTGCATGTGTAGAATAGTATATTTCATAGTGCTCACTGTACTCAGGAAGAAAATATTGCAATAAAATGTGCTATTTTAAAATATAAAGAATAATGTATCAATATTTGAGAACATTTCAGCTGACTTCATAGGTCTAAACACAGCAGTAGTGACCTCTGTAAACATGACTTAAGCTTTGAACAGTTATTAAGTGTGGCAAACAGCTATCCCTTTCTCCGACCCTCCCATCCCCCATCCAGCCTCATTATTCCTTACTAACAAATCTCTTTGTACAAGCAGTATTAAGCAGAAAGCCAGGATAATTGTGGTTCACATAAGCCAGTCATGATGAGTTCTTGCCTTTTTGCCAATGATTGGTCTAAGGGCGACCCTGTGGTCCAATTCCAGCCTAGATAAGACAGAAGAAGACTGTGAGGTTTTCCAAGATTCTCCCAAAAAAAGGTGAGATTCATGCCTGCTGGGAAGCCTGTAGGTATGACTGTAAGAAAGATGTCATAGACTACTACCCAAGGATGGAAAAGTAAATGAATGGAAGGAACCTGGCTCTTCTGGAATTTATGTTAAGTTAGCAACTGTCTTTATGGCCAATACCACTATTAATGCAATTATTAGTTATTTATGACTGAATATATCTTAGCTGATACATTATGAAATGGAATTAAAAGTACATTTACGTTCATCAAATTTTATTATGATAGCAAGGGGATAAGTACTAATCGATAAATATTTTAAACATGAAAAAGTCGGGATTTTTTCACTACAGTACCATAAACTCTTGGCAGATAAATTCTGGTGTAAGTCAAGACTACACGACTATAGGAAAATAAAACTTGTAAGTGGAAGAAAGTAAGAATTTAGTTTTACATATGCGAAAGTACACTTGGTCTGGTTTTACTTTATGCATCATTTCTCTCATGTACAACTTTAGCATTTACAGATATGATTAAAAACAGATTAGCTGAACAGAATGTGTAATGGTCCTCAGCTGAGTATCAGAAAATTAAAACAGATTTGAAAACTCTTCTGCAACACTCAGAATTTAAATACATTGAATATGTCAGCAATTTTGTACTCTCACAGCAAGAGATAAAAGAAGCAAAGATAAAGGGATGCACAGAATAGGAAAGTCTTTGGGGATATTAAGGCAATTAAGAGCAATATGGAAGTAATCAAAACTTGGTCGACAGACCAAATAAGACCTTATGAAATAAAAATATGGGCCAACATTTGCAAAATGTTGCATGCCTTCAGATTACATATGTCTACAAAAGAAATCAAGGGTTAGATTCAATGTGCAGATATGAAACATTAGCAATGGTTGAAATGCAAAAGGATTTCCAAGGCTTGAGCATAGACAGGCATGCTGAAGTTTAAATCCTTATATAGCCACTAGCCAAGTTTGGAGGGTTAAAGCAGTGTTTTTCAATCATTTTATCATGAAATGACAGAATAATGCACGAGTAGAAAATATGCAAAAGTCAAAGAAACAGTGAGCTTGGGTTGTTCATCGTGAGAAGTTCTGTTTTAAATCAGTGTGATATATTCAGGAAGTAGGTTTATGTTTTTATCAAATTTTTTCTGATATAATAAATGTTGAAAGACATATGTAACAAACACACCCAATATCCTAGCATGAAACATACAGAACTGCCTGAATGTGGGCACTGGCTGTTGATTAATAAAACCAAGCAAGATTCTCACATCAGGGGATACTGGGCTTCTCTGGAGACTTCCCTGTGAGAGAAATAAGAGCCGCAGACATAGATAAACATGGGGTTTAAACTATCAGTCAATGCAGATCTCATGAAGATGAGAATGCAGCCAACAGATGTGACCCAAACCGCACCAGACAGGGAAATCACAACGAGGCAGACAAAAAGCTATGTCTCTGTCTGGATTGTATGTGATGGGTTGGAAACTGACATATTACAATCCAGATTTCACTGCAGCAGCTGTCATGTTGCTGATCCACTTGTGTATTTCTTTCAGCTCACTCAGCCTCCTTTTGTGGTTCTTCAAATGTGGCGGGATCCTAAAAAAAGATTAATTTAATCGTATCAAAGACATTTGAACTTTAAATAATAATGCCACAAAGGAGAGACAGAGCTGGTGCTTCTGTTGCTAATTTGTTTCATTGCTTCTTACATTTGCTGCTTCCCTACACTCAGGCAAACCTCCCGTGTTTGTACTGCGGCTCTGATTGTTAATGGACTGTCTAAATGCTTCTCCCCTTCCACCCCAGCATATCCAACTCCCATCTTTTTTCTTTGGCTGAAAAATCTGAGGCCAGATGAAGACTATTGTTTCCAGCAAAGACAAGTTTCTGCTAGTTTTCTCAGAGAGATGTTTCCTTACAGTCCCCCTAATAATTGTGGAAATCCCATTTGGAACCTAGTAACTATGCCTTATGTTTTTACACACCAAGCAGAGCCACAGGATGGAGGATCCACTAATTAGCCACTTTGAGAACTTGCCCATAAATCGGAAGACAAAACACCTGGAAATTGTAGGGTTATGTGACAAATCACCTTTTCCACCAGTGTTTACAAATGGAAGAAAAGAAGTCTCTGGGTAAGGCAATATTTTCAAGTCCAGGGAACATTCCATAACCACGAAGGGCTATTCCAGAAATAAGTTAGCAACAAGAGCCTCTTTGGCTTTGAAGTATTTCAAAATACACTGGACATAAAATTGGAAAGCATCCTATGAGTCAACAATACTTCTAGGAAATAGGAGAGATGGAGACGCCAACCTTTTTCCTAACTCTTTCCTGAGTCTAGGGATGGAATAGACAAGAAAGCTGTTGTGCAAAGAATGGAGAAGATATCCAAGGTACAATGATCAATGGAAACTCTTCTTGTAAAGAATGGAGAAGATATCCAAGGTACAATGATCAATGGAAACTCTTCTTGTCCACTCACTGCACAGTACAAAAGGAAAGGTTTAGTGTGTGCTCAAAGGAACTCAGGCTCAAGGGACTTTTTCGGACTTGATATTCAGTAACTACCACAGAGAACAGATAACTTGAGAGCTGCATCTCCAAAATGAGAGGCTGGGCTAAATGACCTTTATGATCTCATCCTCTGTCAAACAGGCAGGGGCCCAATATCTCTAAAAGTGAGACAAATGGATATCAAGAACAAAAAAGAACCAACCACCTCTCCATAACATTCTTCTGCCAGTTGAGAGCTTGTCATCTTCTCTTTTCCACATCTAAACCTTGAAAGCTCAGGATGCACATTTCATAGGTGAGGATTAGGAATAGGAAGCTCTTCTGTTTGGGAAAGCACTTGAACAAAGTAAACAGATGAGAAACGGGGACCTGTTGAGTGCTGTGAAGTACTAGAATTCACAGTAGATAAATTGTCTTTTGGAAAATGGGGATTTACACTGTAATATCTTTAGGGATAAATTATATATATATATTTTTCAGACAAATAAGCATGGTCCTTTTCTAGTCCACTTGACTCAAACTCCAGGGAATGAGCTGCTGTGGTCTATAGTGTCCTGGTCAAAGGAGATGGAAGGACTGGGTTCCTGGGCCAGACCTGGGAATTAGATTTCCTTAAAAAGGTCTGATATGGTGTAGACTGACATGCCAAAAAATAGCTAATAGTTAGCAAATACGTAGCCTTTCTATGTATCAATACAAACGTATGCACATGACATATATGACTCATTTAATCCTCTCAACAATCCTATAAAGAAGGTGCTATTATCACCACCTTGCCCATGTGGATGCTGCCCAAGGTCACATGGCTGGTAGTGACTATTGAATGTTACAAAACAAATCCCTCAAAACGTAGTCGCTTAAACCAATAATAATAATTTATTTATATATTTCATGGTTTCTGTGGGTTGGATATTCGAGAGCAGTGTGGCTAGGGGATCCTGAGTCAGAATCTCTCATAAGATGTCAGATATCACCTAGAGCTGTAGCCACTGGAACACTTAACTGGGGCTGGAGGATCAGTGGGTGCCACGTTGGAGCTGCCATGCCCACAGCTAAAATGTGACAGAAGCGCTAAGCCACCCCAGACATCTGGCTCCATAGTTCCTGCTCTTCACCACTCTACAACGTCACTTCATGGCTGGAGAGATGCCTTTTCCCTGTGGCCGGGGAGGAAGGGAGGAGCACGAGAGAGGCAATACTAGGAACTTGGGTATCTTTGGATGAAAAGTTCAAATTTTCTTTCTTTTTCCCCTTGGAACCTTCAAAGTCTTATTCAAGGTCCAGTTTTAGGTTGATAATTTCCTTTAATTTGCCTCCATGAAACCACTTTTGTGTTGGCAACATCGTCCCATTGGGAGAACCTAGGCCTGGAGTTCTTTTTTTTTTCTTTAAATTTTTTTTTTTTTTATATTTTAGAAACAGAATCTCACTCTGTCTCCCAGGCTGGAGTGCAGTGCCTGAGCTCACTGCAGCCTTGAACTCCTGGGCTCAAGTGATCCTCCAGCTTAGCCAGCCGAGTAGCTGGGGCTACAGGCACATACCACCATGCCCTGCTAGGCCTGGAGTTCTAACTGCTGGACACCCAGGAAATGGTAGAGATCCCAGGTGGAGCTTCTCAGAGGTGAGACGAGGAGCCAGGTGGCAGGAAGAAGCAGGGAGAAGCAGGGAGAAGCAGGGAAGCAGTTTGGGCTAGCTCCTTCTCCCGCTAGATGTCTAGGGAATAAAGGAGAGGATAGATCTTAAATTTGTATCAAGAAAGCCTGTGACAGACATGGGTTACGAACTAGGAGAGCTGGTAGTTATCGATGTGTGTCTTCTACTGCAAATGAATCAGATTCTAGGCACAAAAAAAATTTTCAGATGTGAAGGTGAATATGTGAGAATGGTCCCCAAAGAAGCAAAGTCAAAGAAAAAGTGGTGATTCTGATAAACAGCCTTGGATATCAACAAATAACTTATTTCAAAATTTAGAAATTACCAAGTAAAGCTGAAATTTAATCACATTAGCATTCAGTCTTCTCACAATTTGGATATAGTCTTCTCAAGAATTTTATATAGAAATCTGAGCAGGGCTTTCCCCCAAGCCAGACACTGGTAATTCCTGAATAAAAGGCAAAATAGCTAATATACATATGAGAATTTCCCTCAAACTTTTAGTAAGCAGAGAAATTCAAATTAAAACATAAGGGATTATTTTTCACTTATCACCTTGACAAATTTTTAAATAATAATACATAGTGTTGGAAAAGATCTAGGTAATAGAGACACTAATACATTATTAAGAGGCGTGAAATTAGTTCAGCATTCAAGAGTGAAATTTGCTGGTATTTATTACAATTCTGCAATGAAGTGCTATCTTACAGAAATACTTCCACTTGTTCCTAAAGAGGCACATATGAGAAAACCCATTATCAAACAGTGTATAACATCAAAAAATTAGAACCTCAGTTGTTCATCTGTAAGGCATGGTTAAAAATAATTATGTTATATGCATAGTATAGAATATTACCCAGTAGTTTAAAGGAGCATGGAAAATCTATAAACAGTCATGAAAACTTTTCCAGGTCATACTGTTAACAGAAAAAAAAGCAAGTAGAAAACAGCTTAATCCTATGTATACAAAAATAATTTAAAACTATATACTATGTAGGTATGTATCTATAAATAAATCAATCTATATAAAAAAGTTCAGAAGGATGAGACTCTTTATATTTATATGAATACAAGGAAGAGAATATACAGGTAGAGAAGAGGCTATTAAAAAGAAAATTACAAACTTTTTCATCAAGAACTTATTCATGTATTACTTGTGTTAAAAAATATAGAGAATGTTTCTATTCATTGAACCATTCTCGATCAAGTACCTAGTGCACAAAACCATTTCATAAGAACACACAATATCGTCCTTGTTGTGATCACGTTCTCAGAAAATCAAGCCTTGTTTGCCTGAAACTCTAAGCAATAGTGGACCAGGTGTTTGAAAAAATGAGGAGAAATAAACCCATCTATCTCTGTTGTCTGCTTTTAGTTTTTAGCGTGACCTTCTTATGGTTTCTGTCTTGGTATCCTTTTTATGATCATTGCTTCCCCTCAAACTCATGTAAAAGGTCTGAAACATAAACGATCAGTTCAACTGGAAAATTGGATATGAAAGGATGGCTTCATGAAAGGCCAGTTTCCACATTTAAGGCAAACTTACTTTTCAAGGCGAAAATTGCAAATAAAAATAGATCAAAATTCATGGTTTTTTCCAACATGAGAAATAGATATTTACCACCCAAATCTCAATGAATACTCTGTTTTCTCTCCAAATTAGTCTATATAACTACAATATAAGCTACCTACTGTCTATAAATGCTACCAACAGAACAAATATGAAATTATTCAATAGTTTCCCTGTTCATCACACCTGGTTCCTTGGAGCAAGATATTTACATCTGCTCTAAGCTTCTAACTACTTTTAGCTGTCAGAACTCCATCACAGCTATCTTCCTCCCTAGACAGCAAACAGCTTAAGGGTCAGAGTGTGTCTAATTCTCCCCTGGATTAACCATGGCACAACATCTAGCTCAGTGATGAGTCAATAAAAAGCTCTTCAATATTATTGTTTATGAAATATCCAATTGATTTTTAAATGCTATGTGTTAAACAGAGCAACTATAGAAGAAATTTCTATTCCTGTGATTTATTACAAGTCACGAAAGGAAATATGCAAAACCATAAGGTACAATTCCAAATGTGATCCTTTGAAAAAGAAGTAGAACCATGTAGTAGAATCTGGGAGCTGTAGTGGAAATTTGAGCACTGCAGTTCCTTCAAGCCAGAAACTATATCTTCTATCTCTATGTTTCTACATCCAACACTGTGCCTGATGACCCAGTGGGTGCTCAAAGATATTACTGAATCATGATTAAACCCCTGAGCAGCCTTGGGCTTTGAAGGCAGACAATCTTGTGTGGAGTCTCGGCCTGATAAATTTTAGCCACGTGACCTTAAATTTTCTGTTACTTTGGATCCTTATTTGTAAAACTGAAATTAAGAATTTCATAACCACCAGGTTGCTGTGACTATTAAATAGGTAAAATATCCATGGCAGTGCCTGCTTCTTGAAAAACAGTATTTATGTTCCTGTTCACTTCTATCAAGATAGAAGCTGAGTTTCATCTTGCGTGCACTCTAGAGGAAAAAAAATGTTAAAATCAATGAAAGAATTGTCCTGGGCCAGTTTGAGCCTTAGCCACCACAAGTCTTTGTCATCTTAAGTGATATTAATATGATGTGAATTAAGTTAGAAGTTTTTAAGTCTTTGCAATCTCTTTCTCATTTCTCCCCAACTGTCTCCCCACCTTCACCACCTAAATAAAAGCTTTCTTTTTCCACTTTTTCCACTGCCCTCATCTTTGCCTCCCAAGACAGAAGCTGAATTTGTGAATTCAAGTCTTGAAGCTTGATGGGGAAGACAAGAGAGAAAGCAAGAACTGGAGAAGCAAAGAAGGAAATTTGCAAAGGAAAAAATCAAGGTTAGTTCAGGGGAGAATAGAGAAATCATAGGCAAAAGCAAAGAGGAAGGAAAGTAAGTCTTTTGAGCTAAATTTGGAAAAGGGTGTTGGGTAGAGATTTGATGAAGAATGTTGCCTAGAGAGAAGCTTCTGGGTGCCTAAGTGTAAGAGATAAGTTAGAAAAAGAGGAAAGATTTTTAAAAAGCGATTGCAATGAGTTAAAAATTTGATATATTTAAATGTTTTCCAACAAATTTAAGTAAAGATTGCAGGTATGTTTAGTCATTTGGGGATGCTGATCTACACATCTTTATGTACAATACCATGTAAAAGCTGGGTCTCCTAGTGCCCTAGGCTTTTTTCAGGAGTTTCTAAAAATTAAACTTGCCCTTTATACAGGAATTAATAATGAAAGAGACTGCAAGTGGCATACAGAAAGTTATATGTAGTTTTGTTAAGAACATTACACATAATAAGTGGAGACCAAGAGAGGCTAGGGCAAGCCAGTTCCACACGGAGGGCAGAATCCAGTGTGGCACTTGCCAACAGGCCTTGGGTAAGCAAGACTGGATTCTTCTTCCCAAAAGGACAGAAAATGCATATGCATGTACACAAGTTTAAGCTCCTATGCTTCTTTATTGTAGGTAAGTAAAATATCTAAAATAGATCAAGTTAAAATGATCTTTATATCATTGTCAACCACTTGTTAGATGCAGGGTAGCCCTCTCATGTAAACTCTACTGAAATATAGAACATATACAGAAATGTGTATGTCTTAGTTTCCTAGGGCTGCTGAAACAAGTTACCACAAACTTGGTGACTTAAAGCTATAGAAATGTATTCCCTCACACTGCTGGAGGCCAGAAGTTCTAAATCAAGGACCTGGCATTGCCACAGTCCCTCAAGATGCTTTCCCAATGAGAATTCATTTCATGCCTCTCTCCTGGCTTCTGGTGGTTCCAAGCATTCCTTCGTTTGTGGGCACCTCACTCCAATCTCCGCCTCCATCTTCACACTGCTGTCTTCTCTGTGTATTTAGCCTGTGGACCCTCCACTCTGCCTCCTATTCTATCTGTGTGTCTCTCCTCTTTGTGTCTTTTATAAGGACAATTATCACTGAACTTAGGGCCCACCCAAATAATACAAAATGATCTCCTCATCTGAAGATCTTTAATATGATTACATCTGCAAAGACTCTTTTTCCCAATGGGGTAATGTTCACAGATTCCAAGATATGACATGGACCTATATATTTATAGGGACCAACATTCAATTCACTACAGTGTATGTGTCATAAGTATATAGTTCAGTGCATTTTCCTAAAGTGAAATAGCCATCCCCTAAATCAAGAAATTAGCAGCAGCCCAGAAGTCCCCACATGCCTCTTCTTATCACAGCTACCACTTCTAGGATAACTATTAGTTTTGCCAGTTTCAGAAATTTATATACATGAAGTCATTGTGAGATCACATTGTGAGTCATTCATCATTGTAAGATTCATGTAGATATAGATCATTCTTTGTCATTGCTTTGTGGTACTTCATTGTATAACAATATCACAGCTCATTTGTCCATCTATTGAAAATGCACATTAGTATTGTTTCTAGTTTTTGCAATTAAGAATAATACTTCTATAAATAATATTTCTAGAATAACTATATTATTCTAGAAGATTATTCTAGAGTAACTATATTATTCTACAAGATTATTCTAGCTTAACTATATTAGTCTAGAAGATTATTCTAGAGGATATTAGTCTAGAAGATTATTCTAGAGTAACTATATTATTCCAGAAGATTTTTCTAGAGTATATTATTCTAGAAGATTTTTCTAAAATAATTATATTCTAACATGTCTTTTGGTAAATGTATACAAACGTTTCTGTTGAGTATACACCCAAGAGTGAAATTGTTGAATTGTAGAATATGTATATGTTTTGCTTTGCAACCAATTTTCCATAGTGGTTGTAATTAGGGCAGCGCTGAAACTTAAACTCTCAGAGTCATTAGCTAATATCTACTGAAGTCCCCAAAAAACCCCTCTGAGGTTAAACTTATCACAGTGTTTCCAGTGTTTTGATCAGGTTTAACTCCAGAATTAGTGGAGCTCAACTTTGTATAAATGGTTTGTTAAGTAAATTCATAGTCTCTACAAGATTGTGGAGAAAATGCTTCATCTTCTTACAAAAATAAATGGAAACACTTGAACTTCATTTATATACATATACAGCCTGGGTGAGACCACTGCCCCCTAGGTAGCCTGGCACCGTTTGTACAGTCCTTAGGACTCCTAGGTCTGTCCAAGTTCAACAAGCTCATTCCCAAGATTTGCTGCAAATTCCACAGCTCTGCTTTCTAAGCATTTTATTCACTGGATGCTTTTTTCTCTACTGTATTGGATAAAACTAGAGGGGAAATGCAACCTATTTTCTGGGTTCCAAAAGCAATCCACTCTCACCAGTGATTTCATGAGTTTTAATCAATGTTGCTGAAGATTGGTGGGCCACAAAGAGAAAAACATTATGGAGAACGTGGTTTACCATTACCCAGGCTCTACTCCCTTCCTGTTGGATCCTCTGGTCCACATACTTTTTCCTCCATTATGCAAAGCAATTCAGTGCCCCCAGCTTGTATCCACAGAGCTGCATATCCAAATCTATCAAGGGATTCAGCACAACAGGGCCTTCTGTATAGCTGAATCTAGACTCCATCAGAGACAATTAGAGTAATGAATAGAGAAACCTGGGGAAAAGCAACAACCACAAAAAGAAGTAACTGCAACATATGTCCATGCAATGTTCCTTGGTTCCTTGAAATCTTTATGGAGTGTGTGCATCTGCTAGTAATGTTGACTAAACTAGGTAGGGTCATAAGAGATTTGAGAAACATTTCTAAATGGAGCCACATTACTATTCAGAAGGCTTTTATGCATCCTCTACAATGAATGCTTCCACTTAAGGAGATGTTTACAAATATTGGACCCATTCAACAGTGACATGGTCATATGATAGCATCATTTCCTGTGGAAAAAATGCAGAGTCAGTGCCCAGAAGTTCCTAAGCAGCATCTCTGACTCCAACTTGCAGAGTCTGGAAAGCCAATTACCTCACAGGGGGATTACTGTGTCAATACAAATCGGTTTCAAAGTTCACTCAATTCGCTCTAGCTTAGGAGTGGTTCAAAAGGAAGGGTGCACAATGGAGAAAGCCAATTCTCTAAAATCTTACTTTGCTTTTGATTATAAATCTCTAAATTGATTTTTAGAGCACTATATAAGAGAATTGAATAAAACATTTTAAAAGTGCAACATTCTTCCAGAACATGGTGAACATTGGCAGATACTTTCCCCAGCAATGTTTTTTCTCTCCACTTTTTGCAGCAATAACTCACTTTTCCTAGATATGTGGATCGAATGAATTTAATCCAGGGTTATGATGGTGCTATGGTATAAATGTTTGTCCACTCCAAAATTCATGTTGAAATTTAATTGCAATTGTAACAGAATTAAGAGGTGAGACCTTTAAGCAGTGATTAGGCCATGAGGCCTCTGTCCTCATGGACGGTGTAATGCTGTTATCATGGGAGTGTGTTTATTATGAAAGAGCAGGTTCGGTCCCCTTCACTTTCCCTTGCCCTTCAGTCATGTGAGGACACTGCAGCAAGTTACCATTTTTGTTTTTTTATGTAATTTACAGAAATCACTCAGTCCTTCATGGTTAAACCACATACTTTCTTCAGCACATCATCTTGCCCAATATATACGAGCTCTAAATCTGCCAGCAGTAAGCAAAAATAGGGAGAAAAACCAAGAATATAGGTTTTAAGAATAAAAGAAAAAACAACATTTATTAAGGTTTCTAATATCTGAGAAAAGAACGAGAGTTCTGAACTGTAAAAGTAGAACAATTAATTTAGTAAATATGTACCATTATTTCTGAAAAACACTGGTTTTGTGCTGTAAACTTCTCATCACCACTGGACTCAGGCTCTCTCTGGAGCCCATCAGATTCTGCTTTACCTCCCTATAAGAACTCTTACTCTGCTTCATACTTTCCTAGATCCTTTTCTGTCCCCCCTACTAGGAGATCAATGCCTTATAAGCTCTCCATCTAACAGTGTTATGAATAATATTTGCTGGATGAATAAATGAATACAAGTCAAACAAATCAACAGTCCTCAAAAAGTTCATAATCTATTATGGTGAGATGATAAGGCAACTCCCTTGCCTATTCACCTAGTAGTGCCTCAAATCTTTCCACATCTCTCGCTTCCACCGCCATACCCTAATCCAGTTAGTTATTATTTCTCATTTTGATGACCTCAGCTTTTTCTTGCATTCAGTTTTTTCTAATCTACTACCTACCTAAATGTGTCTACACCCCCAAAATGATTAAATTATTTTCCTATTGAAAGCCCACCAATCACTTTCCATTGCCCTTAAGATGACAACTAGATTTCCTTAGCATGACTCTTGATAATCTCTTTGATATCTCTCCAGACCTATTCTGCTTTGTCCCACTCCCAGACACTCAAGCTCTAGGCTCTCGCCACCTGGAATTTCTCTTACACATGCCCTCTCATTTCTGATCCTTTTCACAAAAAAAATTTCCTGCCAAGAATATTCTTTCTGCCTAAATCCTCTTCATCCTTTAGTGCTTATATTTAAAAATCACTGCCTGGAGGAAGTGTTCCCTGGCCTCCCCGATAAGATTAGATGACCTTGCTATGTTCGCTCATTGCTCCTTGTACTTCTGCCATCATAACTATTGCCATACTTCTTTAATCCTTTAGTTTTCAGTCTCGCTCTTAAAAGACTCCAAGTCCTTTAAGGAGAGATTGTCTGTCCCCTCTCTCAATGTTAGATCAAAAGCATCTAGCCCAGGACTAGGTACTTTTTGATACTGAGTAAATATTTTTTGAATGAATGAATGAATGGACAGTCTCCATGTGGGGTGGGGTTATAATAGGGGAAAACATAGAAACTAATCAGTAGATTTTTGTAGTAGTGAAAGAGAAAAGCAATAAAAGCCTGCAATAAATGATGGGATGGCCGTGAGAAGAGAAGTAAGTTGTGGCCAGGCAGACATGATGGAAGCCGGAAGTTACAGAGAATGGAGAGAGAGAAAAGGAGAGCTAGAGAAGACGGTTCATTGCACTGATATATTTTAAAAGAAAATAGGCGAGGCTGAGGCGGGTGGATCATGAGGTGATCGAGACTATCCTGGCTAACACGGTGAAAGCCCATCTCTACTAAAAATACAAAAAAACAATTAGCCGGGCGTGGTGGCGGGCGCCTGTAGTCCCAGCTACTTGGGAGGCTGAGGCAAGAGAATGGCGTGAACCCGGGAGGCAGAGCTTGCAGTGAGCCGAGATTGCGCCACTCCACTCCAGCCTGGGCAACAGAGTGGGGAGACTCTGTCTCAAAAAAAAAAAAAAAAAAAAAAAAGGCATGTACACACATATAATTTCAAGAAAAAGGGAAAATCTTGTTGCTTGGTTTTTAAAGTGTGGCAAGATGAAATTCTCAAGTAATTGCACAGTGTTTCCTTCAGGCATTCCTTTCCTTTCTGGTTTCTTGCTTTCTGAACTCATAGCAGAGGCAGTGGCCTTGAGTATCAAAGATCAAGCTCATTAAGATATCATTTTGTCCAAACATGTGCCTTTGCACATCAAGATTAGGCACCTAAGGGACTCACAGAACAAGAGTCAGGCCATAAACGACTTGAGAGAATGTAAGATGACATGAGTACAGTGTTCTAACCTGAACAGATATAAACATTCAGCCAGCTGTGAAGGGAATACTCAGAGGGCAGGCCTGGGGATCAGAAGCTGGGAGCCTAGATCTCTGCTGCTCTCTCCCCAAAGTTGAGCCCCAGAACAAAGGGTTCCATAAAGAACCAAAAGAGGTTTGGGGGTGGCCACCAGAGAACAGACTTGTATCTTGCTTCTCGGGTGAGATTTAAGATGGTGGTGACACCCACTCAAAAGCCCCCATTTCAACATCATGCTGGCCTTCAGAGAGGAGACAAGGTGGGAACCTAATTAGGCATAGCTCATAAATGCTTCCAATGACACAAAGATATGACAGTAATAGAGGAGACAGCATATTTAGACATACATACAGCTACAAAGATATAGAGATATTCGAATCAAAAAGGAAAAAAAAAAGAGAGGGCCTAAGAAAGTAGCCACTCACCCTGAATTGTTCACCCACCTAGTGGGCAGTAAGAGAGTGTCTCTTCTTTTCCTCAGTTTCCAAGAAGAACAAGGAATTAGCTGAGCAGTTGGTGGACCTGACATGAACACATTCATAGTCAAGACAAGCAGTACATGAAAGGAATTTCACGGTCCAGTGACTAGAGAAGAATGGTAACCATGGACAGATCAGCTGTAGACATAACAGGGATACATGATCTAAGAGCAAAGAAATGTTTGCATATCAGTGGAAACCATTGGGATTGGACGCCAATGACGTGAACCACATGTCCCTTCCCCAGTGTCATATAACCATCCTGGAACCAAAGCAAAGGGAGGCAGAAGGTATCCATGAGGGTATCTTGAATAGATAAATATTTTCCCAAAAGGAACTAACAAAAAACAGAAAGTGACATGCTTCATGTTGTTTTATTTTTTTTATTTTTATTTTTTTGCCATGAGAGGGTATGGGGCCAAAAGGCAACTTTAGTGCACCTATAGAGAAACTTTTCTATCATATTTTTGCATGCCTGAGTCACACAATTTATGAAATATGCCCTACCATAATAGCAGTACTTTGGTTGGACACAGGTGGAATTTATGTATTTCCAACCCATGTGGCTACCCTCTTGTAGATATATAAAGGATATACCATGTGTGTACACTTCAAGAGAAAAAAAAAAGGTGCTCTCATTTCTTACCATTTTAACGGAAAACTTTTAACTTAAAATGCTCACCCATGTCCATATTTACATATTTAAACATGCCATGTGAAAACATTTGAAAAGTATTATTTTTATTCCTCCTCCAAATTAGAAATATTATGAGGAATCTATTATTTCTTGCTACAGTACCATTTAAAGAGCTATAATTTCCAACTAACTCTACCATAGTAGTGACTGGATACTCATGCTGGGTAAATCAGACCATATAATTAGTGTGATATTAAATTATTATAAAAGTATATATGTGGTTATCTTGTTACATATCTGTCCTTGCATTATGTAGTTACTAGGTTATACACATGTGTAATCCCATTGTGTAATGTATATAGCATCAATATGTTTCAGATGCATGGAATCAAATAGTCCCAGCATTTAAAACTTGGAACAACTCTAGAAATGATCCAGCTCAACAATATCCTTACACAAATGATTGAGCTGAAGCCAAGAGAAGTTAAATAATCTACACAGTCACATTGTCTCCATTAATGCTGCAGCTAAAATGAGACCCCTGGAATAGCACTGCTCTGATAACTTTAATTAATTTCAAGGTTAATATGCTTCATAAATTGGTATATCAGTTAAGACACCTTAAGCAGCAAATAACTAAAAATGCAATTGAAAATGGTTAAATGATAAGGAAAATGTATTATCTTGAATAACAGGGAGCATGAAGGTATAGTAATTCCAGGGTTAGTTAACTCTATGGTTCAATCACATCATCAAAGGCCTGGATTTCTTTCCATCTTTCTGTTCTCTCATCCTCAGGCTGTCCTTAGATGACTCCCCTTATGGTCATGGGACAACTGCAGCAGTACGTACAGGCACCTCAAGAGCTAGCACAAAAAGAAGGCAACTCTAAGTGTTGCTTTACGAGAACAAAGGCTGTTTCCTGGAAGTACATCCAGAAGACTCACCTGAGTTTCTTGTTGACCAGAGCTACATCCGGTGCTCATGGAACAGGACACCCATAAGAGGCTTAATCAGGACATTAGACAAAGAAATGTGTCCAGCTTCCCCTAAAGTATATGGCCACTCTTAGAAATGTGGATACCTGCAGGAATTAAGAGTCAAGGATGAAAGGGAAAGAAGAAGAAATAATTGGAAAGCAACCAGTAGTGCCTGTCACAGCTGGAGCATGTTCCTAGGTGTAAATCAAATTTGGCTCTCAACAGTACAGAGGAGTATTCCCATGATCAAACTGAAAATCCTTAATAAAGCAAAGAACTATTTCATTAATCATGTGTCCTTAATATAAACCCAGATCATCATATATAAGATTTATTTAAAAAGCACAACTAAAAAAGCACAATTTATTCAGTTGGTTACAATCTACATCAAAGTAACAAACTTTGGGAATTTTTCCTCTAAATTATCCCTTGGCAATTAACAACCTTATTAATTAGAAACTGTTAACACTCCACAGATGAGAAAATTTAGGCTCAGATAAACTGACATTTGTGATTCTCAAAGTATGGTCTCTGGATCAACAGTATTAACACCATCTGGAAACATTAAAAATGCAAATTTGGGGCTCTATCTCAGACCCACTTAATCACAATCTTTGAGAACAGCGCCTTGTAATCCATGGTTCAGCAAGCCTTCCAGGTGATTCTAATACACTAACAAGTTTAAGAACCACTGCCCCAAGTAGCAATTGGATTTGAACACAGGTTGTCTCATTTCCACAGCCTGTTCATTTAATCAGTTTGCTAAACTGCCTCCCAGTAAACACAGAGAAGCCTAAATAAAACAAATTAAGAGAGAATGTATTATACTTCTCTCCATCATAAAAAAGAAAAATAATGGACTGGGTAGAAAATCAGACTAAAGTAGAAAAAAACAGTACCATTTTCTGTATCCATATTTCACTATTGATCCTATTCGTTGCCATCATAAACATGATCCATGTTAATTATTAAGAAAGGGGTAAATAGTAATAACCTGGCCACCCTATGACCTGATTGCTCTGGCCTTACTCTAGGGTGTCAAGCTGAGAGGTGTGGAGGGTAGAATTCTTAAGCAAACTAGACCCTTCAATTAACGGAAGAACTTCTTTTGATAATTTTATATTTAAATGATCTGATGCAGAATTAGATGAAAGTAATGAATCATGAGACAGCCGTGGGTTACTTGAATAGATATTTTTATAATAATTACAGGCATACACAACACCAAATTCTTGAAATTATATTGCCTTGTGTTACAAAGAGCTCATTCTTCCTATAATGGCATCTTGATAGAATGTGGGTGGGCTGAATAGTTCCCAGGGCATTAGCAAAGCAATGACATAAAGTCATTGTTTTATTTTCTGTAGCTCCTCTGGATAGCTTGAAGGAAATTATGTGACTACTCTACAAATGATGGGTAACTGTGAATTCCAGAGAAATTAGTCAAGGGATCGCATGACATCATAAACTAAGAAAGGACAGAGTTTGAGTCCCATTTCATGCAATCAGGACCCTGCAGTCTATTTTCTTTATACTTTGCAGATGTCTCCTCTGTGAGCTATATAATTATTTTGGCTAAAGTTGTACTCTTCTTACTTTTTCATCCTTTCCATTTTCACGCTGAAATTATGAGAAGTAAACACTCTTTTTAATACTTAATATTACATAGAACAACAGCAAATTGAGAGTTTAGGTGTATACATAACCAACCATTTAGGTTTTATTTAATTGCACATTATCTGCTTATCTGAAAACCAAACTGATATCTATTCAGTGTGATTAGCAACACCCTGGACATGTGAGCTCCACATACACAAGTGACTCTGAGTAAACTACAAAATGCCTTTAAGCCCCACTTAACCCAGTAACTGACTCACAGATAGTAACCAATGTGTGTGTATTATGGTTTTTGTTCTTTTCTCATTGCTCATTGTCATGGTAAAAATAATTTGAAAAATATACAGTTGGCATGCATTTTAAAAAGTTTTTGGACAAATATTCTCTGAGAAGTTCTGTCACTTTTAGAACATTTTTAGAAGAGTCTGACTTTTAACAAAAATGATAAGTGTCAGAGCAAAACTTGTATATTAATCACCATATACTCAAGAATGAGTATAGTATATAATGTTTAAAAAAATGTGAACAACTAAATTAGCTTATCTGAAATTAATTGCTTTTGAGGAACTGTACTAGAATACTCTTTTATGTTTTAAATATAGAATCACAGATTTTCTTTATAGTTGTAGATCTAGATGTTTCTTTTTGCCAATTTTTTTTTTTTTTTTTTTTTTTTTTGGAGACAGAGTTTCACTCTTGTCGCCCAGGCTGGAGTACAATGGCACGATCTCAGCTCTCTGCAACCTCCGCCTCCCAGGCTCAAGAGATTCTACTGCCTCAGCCTCCCGAGTAGCTGGGATTACAGGCATGGGCCACCACGGAAGGCTAATATTCTATTTTTAGTAGAGATGGGGTTTCACCATGTTGGCCAGACTCCTGACCTCAGGTGATCCACCTGCCTCAGCCTCCCAAAGTGCTGGGATTACAGGTGTGAGCCACAGTGCCCAGCTTGCCAAATGTTTTCTAAGCAAGATATGTTAATTGCTTTTTTTTTTTTTTTTGAGACGGAATCTCGCTCTGTCACCAGGCTGGAATGCAGTGGCGCAATCTTGGCTAACTGCAACCTCTGCCTCCCAGGTTCAAGTGATTCCCCTGCCTCAGCCTCCCAAGTAACTGGAACTACAGGTGTGCACCACCACGCCCAGCTAATTTTTTGTATTTTAGTAGAGATGGGGTTTCACCATGTTGGCCAGGATTGTCTCAATCTCCTGACCTCGTGATCTGCCTCGGCCTCCCAAAATGCTGGGATTACAGGCGTGAGCCACTGCGCTCGGCCTGCTTTTTTAAATTGTAGCATTTTGCAACATTTTTTTATTTTATGAAGACCTGAAATGGAAAACACTCCAAAGATAACATTGACATTACAAGTGCATTTTTAACCGGCATACTGGCTAACTCTAGATATGCCTTGTATGCCTAGACCTACACAGCTGGTTGTTTAGAATTAGGCTGAGATTGTAGGTTCTACTTTATATCCCTAATTACTTCTCTCCCCCCAGATTGGCAAACTCATTTAGTCTAAAATGTCACCTTGGCAATGAATGAGGTGGGAGGGTTTGAAAAGCTCCGTGGTCACAGCCAAAATGCTGCCTCCAAGAGTTTGTACTTTTTCAATCACTCGGGATTTTTATACTGTGCATTTTAGGGCAGGACATTTTAAAAACAAAACCAGGTTGTTTTCTTTTCTCAGGATTACATGAGGGGTATTATAAATACTTAACCTTGGTAACTGTGGGTTCTCAACCAATGTGCCAAGGATTCGTTTTAGGCTGAAATGATTTTGTGAAGTATCATCACAGGACAATGACGAATATTAATCACCTCTAGTTAAAATAAAGAATGCCATGAAATTAACTGTGATATTTAAGCTTAACTTCTTTAAAAACTTTTCTAGATATTCACTGGAATTTATCAGAATGAATCAAATAAATTCAACAAACTCAACAAGATTGATGTGATGGTTAATTTTCTGGGTCGACTTGAACAGCCATGGGGCACGCAGATATTTGGTGAAACATTATTTCTGGGTATGTCTGTGACTGTGTTTCTAGATGAGCATTTGAGTCTGTGAGTACAGCAGACTGCCCTCCCTAATGCGGGTGGGTATGAATCGAACAAAAAGGCAGAGAAAGACACAATTTGTTTTCACTACCTGACTGTTTGAGCTGGAACATCAGTCTTTTCCTGCCCTTGGACTGGATTTACACCATCAGCACTCCTGGTTCCCAGGTCTTCGGATCTGGACAGTGTTTATGCCATCAGCACTCTTGGTTCCCAGGCCTTTGGATTTGGACAGGGCTTACACCATCAGCACTCCTGGTTCCCAGGCCTTTGGATTTGAACAGGGTTTATACCATCAGCACTCCTGGTTCCCAGGCCTTCGGATTTGGACAGGGTTTATACCATCAGCACTCCTGATTCCCAGGCCTTAGGATTTGGACGGGGTTTATACCATCAGCACTCCTGGTTCCCACGCCTTAGGATTTGGACACGGTTTACACCATCAGCACTCCTTGTTCCCAGGTCTTTGGATTTGGACAGAGCTTACACCATCAGCACTCCTGGTTCTCAGGCCTTTGGATCTGGAGAGGGTTTACACCATCAGCACTCCTGGTTCCCAGGTCTTTGGATTTGGACAGAGCTTACACCATCAGCACTCCTGGTTCCCACGCCTTAGGATTTGGACACGGTTTACACCATCAGCACTCCTCGTTCCCAGGTCTTTGGATTTGGACAGAGCTTACACCATCAGCACTCCTGGTTCTCAGGCCTTTGGATCTGGAGAGGGTTTACACCATCAGCACTCCTGGTTCCCAGGTTTTCCTGGGTCCCCATCTTGCAGACAGCAGAGTTTGGGACTTCTCAGCCTCCATAATTATGTGAGCCAGTTACTTATAATAAGGTCTACTTATTATATCTAATAGTTCCAACTTTTAACTTCATAGTTAACTAATAAGTAGTTCACTTTCATTTTAATTAATGCACTTTTTCCTAATACAAAAAAAGTATACTTTTTTCTTAATACAAAAAGCAGAAAGTAAAAACTCATAATCCCACCGTCTGGAGGTAACATTTATTAACATGTTGTTTTTATACTAACACCGATACATATACATCTTTAATGGAAACAATCTTACATAGATGCTGGTTTTAGACGTTTATCAATGCCTTTTTTGTAAACTTTTTATTGAAGTATTGACATACATACAAAAAAGTGTACAATTCGAAGTAAACATACCCATGTATATTTCAAGAAACAGAACACTGCCAGTATCCATGAAGCCCTGGCAGGCCTACTCTCCGTTACTACCCTCCCCCAAGAGTAGTCCTCAACCAAATATGTAACATCATAAATTTCCTTTGTGTGTTTCAGACTTTTGTACAGTTGGAATCGTGCACTGTGTATTCTTACATACCTCACTTTTTTCTTTGCTCGATATTTTGTTTGTGAGTTTATCTAGTTGCTGTGTGAGGTTGCAGTTGATTTCTTTCTATTACGGTATAGAATTCCATTGTTGTACCTACTGTTTTTAACTGACGGTTTACCTAATTACAGTATTTCTATGGAAATACATATTCAACAAGCATTTTTCAGGTACCTATTATTTTCCTCATTCTGTACTACATATTCTAAATGAATATTACTCATTCACTCTAAATATCTAGTACACAATATTATCTTAAATCTCTGTAATACTTTTTTCACTATATAAATGAACCATTCACTTTGTTTTTAATGATCCTTAAATGTGGTAAAGAAAAAAAATGTTGTGCTTCCATATTTAGAATTGTAGAAAGGAATTTGTGGTTCAGTGAAAAAACTACATTGTCTAGACCCTAAAGGATACCCCACAGGGCTATCTGATCGAGATTCCACAGACATGATTTTACAACTCTATAAATTGTAAGAAACTTACAGCAAAAAAAAAAAATCTAATCTATAGACGTGCAAATTCTGTCCTACTGGAGATAAACAAATAACTTCTCTCTCCATATACATATATATTTATATTTATATATTTATATATATTTATATATATTTATATTTATATATTTATATATATTTATATTTATATATTTATATTTTTATATATTTATATATTTAATTATATTTATATATTTATATATTTATATTTATATATTTATATATTTATTTATATATATTTATATATTTTTATATTTATATATTTATATTTTTTAATATATTTATTTATATATTTATATATATTTTTATATATTTATATATTGATATATTGATGTATATTTATATATTTATATATATTGATATATATATTTTTATATATATTTATATATATTGATATATATATTTATATATATTTATATATTTGTATATATTCATATATATTTATATATTTGTATATATTCATATATATTTATATATTTGTATATATTTACATATATATTTATTTTTTTATATATTTACATAATTTATATATTTATATATATTTACATATATATTTATATATATACTTATTTTCCATTGCAGTTTCTGTGTTGAGTTAATTATAACATTTGCCTCAATTCACACATTTATTTTTGTGTCTGTATGACAGTCATGATTTTCTTTTTCTGAAAATCCTCTTTTCACAGAATTGTACAGTTTCCTTCAGTAACAAATTACTTAAGTGATGCTACAAAATGTACAAAGACTTTTCTTAATTCTAAAAATAAAGTAACTGCCTGAAGGTAGGGCACAGGGGATCTGTTTAACCTTGCTGGCTTACATATTTTTCCTATTTTATGGTCTATCATGGTTGGTTGAAATCAATTGGAGTATCTTCCACCTATTACCTGCAGAATTCACACAAGTCACACATTGAATTTTTCACTTGAGACATTTCACCCATTCTTTCTTACCTGATGCACATTCCACTTCACATCATTGTATATTGATTACTCCCTGTGTCAGGAATTCAATCTCAGATTCTATCAGCCATCCCCATTACTACAAATGGAATTTCCTTGTTCTCCTTAGCTTCTCTCTGATGTGACTCATTCCAGTCATTGTTAGTTTATTATATGCTTCCCATGTTAAATTCTCTAGATCTGCCCCAGCACGGAGCTTGGCACACAGTAACCATTTAACACTATTTTAAGACTGGATGAATAAATGTTAACATTGTGTTAGAGTCTGAATGTGTCCCTTCCAAAATTCATGTTGAAATTTAATCCCCATTGTGGTGGTAGAAAGAGGGGGGGCCCTTTGGGGAAGGGATTGAGTCATAAGGGTTCCACCCTCATGAATGGATTACTGCCTTAAAAGGGCTGGAGGGAACTAGCTTAGGGCCTCTTTTGCCCTTCCACCATGTGAGAACACAGCCTTTCTCTCCTCTAGAAAACGGAGCAACAAAGCGCAATCTTGTTGGATGAAGCAGAGCGACAGGGCCCTCACCAGACACTGAAACTGCTAGCACCTTGATTTGGGCTTCCCTGCCTTCAAATCCATGAGAATATTTATTTCTGTTATTTATAAATTGCCCAGCTTAACGTATTTTGTTACAGCAGCACCAATGAAGTAAGACACGTTACTACCAATTTGTTTTTCTGCCAACACCAGTTATTAGATATGGAAGATTGTATAATGATTTCTAGAATATGGCAAGTGAGTTCATGAAAAGTTTCTGAAATAAATTTGTGAATGTTCAGTTAATGTAGCAAATACATATAAAAATAAATCAAAATATTATTAACAGTTAAAGAAAAGCCTAGCCATAATCACTTTTAATTCAATATTTAAAAGCTATCAAATCCACCAAATACTTATATTCTGAAACTTTAATATGAACATAGGGTTGCTTACTTCTTCTCATAAGTTTATTGGTGAAAATGCAGCAGATATATTAAAAGTGTTACTTAATATGTCAGAGTAATATGCGGGGGGAGGATGGTCTATATATCACAAGCTCATAGGAAGGAACCTTCCATAGGTATACTCTTTGACCAACAATTGGTGGCCTCCTGAAGGGGATCAAAGCAACTCTGCCTTCAGTTTCAATTCCCAACTTCAAGAGGTTGGATGGTTTCTGTCCCCTCTTGGTCATTGACCAGCAAAAACTGCCTTAACTTTTCCTGAACCTTCACAAAGTAAAGCCAAGAGTGCTTTAAAGGCCTGACTTGAAAACTAAATCAAAATAGACTCAAAACAATGAGAGAGACCCATGACAATTCTCAGTTTCAAAGGTCTCAGTTTCAAAGATCTTTATTTTCTTCATTCTGATCTGCATGTCTTGGTAAACAGACATCTACTTAAGGATCCTGCCTCTACTTTCCATTCCCATCAGGCAAGCCTTTAACACATGATCATGCCTTCTCCCTTAATCACTTCATAATGTGCTGAGAACTTTTGTTCTTTCTGGATAAAACTGGCAAGAAATTTTTCTTAATTGCATTTAAATATTCATCCAGAAGGGTGAGAAACCCCGATGGGCTACAATAGGGGTCAATAAACGTTTTCTGCAAAGGGCCAGACAATAAGTATATTTTTATCTTTGCAGGCCATACAGTTCTGTCACAACTACCTGTAGCATGAAAGCAGCCACAGATAATATGTCAATAAAGAGACATAGAGACATGACTTTGTTCCAGTAAAATTTCATTTACAAAATCAGCGTTCCAGATTTGGCCTATGGGTTATGGTTTGCCAACTCCTGAGCAAGAAGACTTTAGAAACCAAAAACCTTGGTTCAACAGATACGTAGGTAGACATATAATTATGTAAATATACAAGATGTATTTATTACACCTTGTGACCTGAGCCACCCTGATGGATGTGAGTAGTTGTATATGGTTATGGGGTGGGGGGTATGCCGTGACGTTTACCCCACTGCTCTCAATTAAGACTGTAACAAAAACAAATCTCTTACTACATTCTGTCACACTCAGATTTATTAGCAAGTAGGCACATGCAACCTTGACAAAATCCAACGTCTATGTCATTTTGGCACTCAATAAAAAGAAAGAAATATTCTGAAGACTTCACCTGAAGCAAATGTGATAATTTTACAGCTGCAGGATGCAAATGATCATCTATTAGAGTTAGGAGACCAAAAACCCTCCAAATCAGTGGTGGGACACAGGATTATTTGAAAATCAAGGTGACCAACCGATTTGCATGACAAAATTATGCCTGGGGCAAGGGTGGGGGTAATGGGGATAGGTGTTTCTACATTATCTTGAATACTGCTAAATTCACCAATGAGAGATTATTTCAGATACCCAGTTTGCTAATTAGTAGGTTGGTGCAAAAATAATTGCAGTTTTTGCCATTAAAAGTAATGGCAAATCCTTAATTACTTTTGCAGCAACCTAATAACAATCCACTAATTTTTATCATTGATAACCAATTTCCAACTTTCATTATGCTAATTAGCTAAGTTCCTGGTATACATTGGTTCTGAGGAGAGTGAAAGCACTTACAACTCTTTAGTGATTTATAGACATCATAACTCCCATTTTTTTAAACTGACTTTTTCCATTTAGGACACATTATAGCTAGATGGGTTCTATTTGAGTTTACCCACTGGTAGAATGTTAAAGTACCCCCAAGGGCAGGCTGGGAATGGAAAAGGACCAAACCCAGGGAGGAGAAGGTGGTATCATAAGTGTGGCAAAACCCACCCAGGACCAGGCCTGTTTGGGAGGATACAAAGGCGGATTCCAATCTAGAGGAACAAAACTAGATTGTGGTTTCAGATATACAGAGTGGATACGGGGAGGTGCCTGGTTATTCCAGGAAATCTATTCCAATAGAAAAAGAACATCCAGGGCAGGGTTTGAGCAGAACAAAGTGGGCTGCTAGTGCCAGGAAATCAGGTGGCTCCTGGAGAGATTCCGTGAGACAGAGCGTGTAAGGAATAGAAATGAGAGAAACTGGCATCTAGAAGAGACAGGAAGCAGCTGTCTCTCAAGTGCAGAGGGGAAGAAGAACAACTGAAGAAAAAGTGCTCTTGGTATAGGGTCAGCTGCCTTCTCCCTGGTCTAGGTGTGGAGCAAAGAAACTTGCTAGACCCTTAAATTTGATTTACATGAGCTAGACTTGGATCAGATAGGGTCTGCCAAGCACAGAAAAAAAAAAAAAAAGATGACTACAGACTTTGAAGATAATTTATTCTGAGTTAAGAAGATTAAAAACGAGGTCATGCCAGGTAGAATTGCGGGCTCAATAGCTTTTACAAAGACATCTTCAAATCTTCATCTCTCCCCCAACTTCTTTAAATCTGTCCACTGTGTTAACCATTCTGCTTAGGTCACATCTGAGGTAACTCAATGTTTGCAGTGCTCCAAGACTGCTTTCAAAGTGTGTTGACAGCTTTAAGGGTTTGCCACTCTAAGAAAGGACCCAGTTGGTCATTTATGGATGGCAATTCTAGAAAGTAGTTTTCCTTGCATAAGCCATAATCAAAACTTGGCAAATCCCAGTACTACACAAATACTACAGTTATAAAAAGAATCCCAAAAGCACTCACTTCAAACAATGTTTCATGCAGTAAAACTCAAGTGCAATGAAAAATTTTGGACATTTTGTTGAAGGTATTTGTAACTCTATTTGAACTGGGTATAATACATACCTCCAAACAAATAGGAAGTGAACAGATCATCAAACAATGCATTCTTTAGGTGACGATTTTTTAAAATAAATGTTTATTAAAAATTTCAAAAGTACACATATAGAAATAATAATACAATCAACCTCCATGGTCCCAGCACCCAGATCCAACAATTATTCAAGATTTTGTTGCACTTACTGTGTCTATCCTTTTTTCTTTTTGTTGAAGTTGGTGACATGTTTTTGAGACTAAAAGTAGAGTCAATATGTGTCAATATTTAGAATTAGTTGTTTTTCTGAATGTGTCTCTTAAGAAAGCACTTCAGTGTTTTTATTTGTTCACCTACTTTGAACCGCTTGCAACAAACGTTGAATGCCTGCTTTGTGAAAAGCTCGATGTGCTTGAAATTCTTCTGCCTTCAGTTCTTAAAAGTGTCAAAGCCGTTCTGGGAATGTCAAACATCTTTCTGGATTCCTTTATTTCCTTGTATACATGGCTTACTCACGGCAGGAAAACAGAAAGTAATCTAGCCATGTTGTGTAGATAATATGCCAGCATATTGGGACTTAATTTCTGTTTAGGAGCTTTTGCTTTCTACCACTTTCTTCCAAAGCAGTATTGTGTTGTTTTAATAATGTTAAATTAGGGCAATAAAAGATATTGCTGATTATTTTGTATTTTGTTTGCATATAACTGTGCCTTGTGCCTATAGAAAAGGAGCTAATAGTTAGAAGCCACAAATGTAACCACAGTTTGGAATAAAATAATCCCCAGCTCTTCCTAACTGCTTAGGACCTGGTCCAGGATCCATGTTGCTGCCTCCTGTGGTTTGCTCCACTTTGAGAGTTGCGCCTGCTGGTACTGCTGGAGTTAAGAGTCTGTCAGCATCCCCAGTCTGACCTCTTTATTCTTGGGTTTGTAACTCAGCTGCTTAAACTTGCCCTGAGCTAGAACTTGATATAGAGTTTTAACCTGAGAAACACAGCATGACTTTACATGTCTGTGATCATATTTATATTTTTTCCTCTTTACAATAAATTTACTAACAATATATATGTGCATGACAACTTCACTGTTTCAGAGCAATGACAAAAATTTTGGAGAATTTGCTCTGAAGTTGGTTGACTTTTACAACTACATTAATAATATAATTTAAGAAAGCCTTTCCTTTAAAGAGAAAATTCTAACTCATAAGACCAGGAAATTAGAGACTTTAAAAAATAAATTTTAAAAATAGAAAATGAAGTGCTGACTTCTGAGAATTTGAAAATGAGCTCTTATTCATCTGGTATTTCACTATGCCTGTTTATCATAAGAGCTCTTTGAAATTGGGTATAATGACATTAAATAACCAAAATTGAGACAAACATTCTATAAGGGATTGTTATGGGTTGCCTCTAATGTGGTAATAGATGTCATTTTAAAAATGCAACTGTACCGTCTAGATGAAAGACGGTGACTCCTAACACATTGGTTACAGACAATTGAATATTACAGCTGTCTTTCCTCCTGACTTGCTCCTATCATTTTATGGAATGCAACCAGTGTTCAATTGGCATGGAATTCTTCCAGGATCAAGTAAAGCTCTCATTCAGAAAACTTTGGCATTCACTCTGAAATAGGTAATAAATCTACACGGTTAAAGATATACTTGCCCCTACTGTGGAGAAAAAAAGAAAAAGAACCCTTGTAAACACATTTCTGAAATCTGGTGGGTCTCTCTGAGTTTAAAAGTGCACTCAACTTCTTTTTTTCTTTTGTTTTTGAGACAGGGTCCGCCTCTGTTGCCCAGTCTGGAGTGCAGTGGTACAATATCAACTGTAACCTCCGCCTCCTGGGTTCAAGCGGTTATTGTGCCTCAGCCTCCTGAGTAGCTGGAATTACAGGCAAGCACCACCAAGCCCAGCTAATTTTTTGTGTTTTTAGTAGAGATGGAGTTTCACCATGTTGGCCAGGCTGGTCTTGAACTCCTGACCTCAAGTGATATGCCCGCCTTGGCCTCCCAAAGTGATGGAATTACAGGTGTGAGCCACTGTACCCAACCAGCTGTACTCAATTTCTCTAGACCACAGTCTCCTTTTCTGCCAAATGGGGATTCTAATATCTCACAGAGTTCTTATTAAAGGCAAATGTGCTAATATGAAGAAAGAGCCTAACTAGGACCCCGTAAACAGAAAGTGCTCAATAAATGTCAGTCACTGCCGTTTTGAATGGATGACACATTAACTTTAGGATTCCCTTTCACCTTAATAAGTGGTCTCTTTTCTGTTTAATGGTTTTACTCCTTCCTAGATTATTATCATTGGGCTCCTGAATAAATGGAAGTTTTCTAATGTCTTCCCTGCTGGAAGCTCATGCCTTGTAGTACTCAAAAGATCAAACCTGAATGTTAAATTGCCTACAAGTTTTTCATCTTCTGCAACAAAAGTAAAGAATCTTACTTTCCATATGTACTGTCAGATGGAGAGAAAATAATAGCCTCCTGAAGATAAAATTATTTAACCCCTATAATATACTTGCCACATCAAAGTCTGATTTTTCCAGAAACTTTTGAATGTTTCTTTAGTCCTCTCAATATTAGCTGACATTTGAAAGAGATTAATCTATTGGCTATGAGTTCTTCTTAACACATATTTTATGCCAGCCTTTATTTTCAATAGATTTTTAAAACCATTTGATGATCAATTCTACATTTTGCTTTGGTTATATTTGAAGAGAGTTTTTCATATTTAAAGCTAATGACTGTCCACCTACAAATGATGTATATCACTGCTCTTGCCAATGATAGTTTAATAATCAACAGCTATGTATTGAATATTTACACTCATCCATGTGCCCACATCCAGATTGACGTTTTGCCGTAGTTAATTCAAATCTCTTTTCTCCCTCACCATTTGTAAACGCTATCCTGAAGCTGGTTATATCATCATCACGCACGCTTTAATACTTCTTATATACTACATGATGCTTTTTACAAATACCATGATAGTAAGTAATACAAGACAGGGCACCCAGTTTTCAGATGCATCAGAAGAATGGTACTCACAGTACCACTTAGTTCAGTACCATTGTACTAAGAAGCTCCAAAGTGTTGTAGGCTTAGTAGTTCAGGGAAGATGTGTTGTGCTGGGCCTTTAGTGGAAGTGAGTTTGAGATGGCCAAGGTGGATGGTGGATGGCATTCCAAATGGAGGAAAAATGGGAGCAGAGGCACAAGTGTAGAAATATAGATCATGCATTCACTTCGTTGTCTATTTCCTGCTTCATGAAAATGTGATTAATTTGTGTTGAATTAAGTTCTTATATTGCATCCTGCACTGTTCTGAGTGCTATAGAAATAACAAAAGGTTTATACTGCAATCTCCTGAATGTAATTGCATTAAACCTATACCTTAATGTGAGATAAACTAATGAATCTGCATCATTTAGCAACTCTGCTTCCCCTAATCCTGAACTACTGTTTGGCTTTCTATCTATTCAATTATTTCATATTACTTAGAATAGTTTTTTTTTTTATCACTTTCTGGATAGAAGTTTCTTAGAAATGCAATTCCCAGAAGATCTGTGGTTTTCATTTTATTATCAATGAAATTTCTTTTTTCTCACTATATTTTCTAACTGCATAATATTTGTGTAATAGAATTCTCTAGGTATTTAGATATTTACCTTGTATTTAGGCACTTAGCTGAGTCTTACAAATCACAAAGATCTTTCAGCTAATTATTTTTGACATTTCTAGGTAATAATCCTCTTTTGTATTAGTTATACTTTTTATCTTTGTTTCATGTCTTATTGTGTAGGTCAAAACTTCTAGAACTGTAACAAGGAATACTGACGAAAATGAGCAGCCTTATTTTACTCCAGTTTGAGGAAATGCCTCAAGTGTTTAATATTTAGATATTATAATGGCTATTGGTTAGAAATAGATTCTCATGTAAAAGAAAAATTCTACCATTCTATCACCTACATTTGTGCTCAGACATCACCATCATGTAAAACAAGGTATCATTGAACCTCACAATGAAGGCCCCTGATACATGCTGCCGCGGAAGAAAAGTGGTTCTTCCTACCTCTCCATAAAAGGCCCTCCCATTTCCTGACCAAGGTAGGAATTTTCAGTTTTTTCAGAGGGAAAATTCGTCCCTACTTAAATCAAAAGGATGAGATAGGTCTCCACAGTACCACATTCCCAAGCTCTGGAATCGTCTATGCTGAATTTCACCAGGCCTGGTGCCCCATCCAGACAGGACTCTCTACCAAGTCCACCTTGGATCCTTCTCACAATCCTGTCTATAAATGAAATAATACAGGTTACATTTCCTGCTGGAGTGCTGGGGCCTCACACACATCTCCCAAAAACAAACAAGTTTAAGGTGAGTCCAGTCTAAATATATATTTTAAAAGGAAATGGTGTCTAAATTTAAAGAAACATCCACTTTGCAATACTACAAATAACATTTCAAGGTAACCAGCTGCTTTCAGGGTGATGATGAGTTTAAAGATTTTGTTCAACAGAAAGAGGGGAACAACAGACACTGGAGTCTACTTGAGGGTAGAGGTTGGGAGGAGGGAGAGGAGCAGAAAATATAACTATTGGGTACTGGGCTTAATAACTGGGTGATGAAATAATCTGTACAACAAATCTCCAAGAAACAAGTTTACCTATAACAAACCTTCTCATATACCCCCAAACCTAAAATAAGAATAAATAAATATTTTGTTCAAAAACAGCATGGGCATATATGCTATGTATTCAGATCTACAGGACACCCTGGTGCTCCCTGTCCCCTCCCTTACCTGAACATCCTTCCCTGGGCACATATCGCTGTCTAAGACATCACATAACTTAATTATTACAGCATTGTCTCTCTCCCCCATCTAAATGTGACCTCCACAAGGGCAGAGATCTTGTCTGTTTTGTTCACTAATGAATTCCAAGGATCTAGAACAATGCTCAACATAGAATAGTTGCTCAATACATTTTTTTAAAATCAATGAATGAAAAAAATCAGACTGTGGGATACTTTTGCAAAAAAAAGACAACCTATTATAAAAGGAAGTTCATGTTATCATCTTTAGAAGCAGAAAACTAGTAGCAATTTTCAAATTATTTCTCTCCAACTTTTAAAGGTAAAATTTCATCTCTTCAGGCATGTTATATTAATATATTTAATACTGTAGGTTGTTGACCAGGAATACACAATGAAGAAAGTAGTTTTTTTTTTAAAAAAGCCATATATGGTGATGAGATAGTGAGGCCCAGAGGTGGAAACCATTCCTCATATTCCCAGAATGACGCCAGAAATGTAATGAATGTTTCATAAATATTTACTAAATAAATGAGTGGGCAAATGAATAAACAAACAAATACACAAATGAATAACATTCTAATGATGTAAAAAAGCCATGTGTGAGAATGTTCATGAAATTCCTGAAGAGCTAATGCCTTTCCCCAAAGAAATAAAGCTTTCAAAGGCAGTTTAGGATTGGAGGTCAGGAGAGGACATTGCTTCACAAAATCATTCTAGGAAATTCAAATTACCCTGGAGATATACTAATCATACACTGAGCCTGCATCCCAATGATGAAAGAAGCAAAACCGAACCCAGAGTTGCACACTCATCAAACATCCTGGCCATTCCTACATTGCCAATTTTCCTTCCCCATCTTCCATCTCAGCAATCTTGAATTTAAATTTGAGTATGGGGGTGTGTGAGTACAGGAAAAGAAAATCTGCAGCACTTACCCATTTACATTCAAGAGCCTCAATTCCTGCAGGCAGAGAATCTCATCTCTTTCCCTCAGTGACCGTCACTGCCCCCATACATTAGGGTGCCAAATGCAAGCTACCTTGTGATTGTGATTCAGAATTCCTGGCGTTTACTATCCAGCTAATTGTAGCTTTCAATTAGTCTCTCCTGATAAGGAGATGCGGTGCTTCTTCACCGATGTGATCTCCTGCTATACACAAATTGGTGTTCGGAAACAGATTATAGGTTTGTGCCGAGGCAGCATTCTATTAAACTGAATCTGAAATCAGAAGGGAGTTTTCAGCCCTGGGTTTTTTCAGTAATGCTTCAACCTTAATTTTGCAACTTACCACACATCAGTGCTTATAGGGAAGAAGTATGAATCTTCAATGTTGTGCCTTCTTCGTTAATTTCACTGGGACTACCCAGCAAATGGCTTTGATATTTCACAGCAATACACATTAGATCAGGCAGAGTCACTGTGTTCTACATACACATATATTCAACAAAAAATTTACAGCTCTTTCAAAAGCCAATTTCAAGGGCATTTAGGAGGGATCTTTGTTTAAAAAACACGAGCTTCCCAAGAGGTTTCCTATTGTGATCTGACACCAAATACAGTGGTTCCCAAAGCATGGTTCCCAGGTGAGCGGCATAAACATCACTTGGGAACTTGTTAAAAATGCAAATTCTCAGGACTCCTGAATCAGAATGTTGAAGAGTAAGCCAGCAATCAGTGCTTTAACAAACCCTCCCAATGATTCTGATACAAGATCGAGTATAAAAATCAAAGGTTTGAAGACGTCATTGAGGGGATGCTGCCATAGACCAATGATTCTCAAACTTCAATGAATCAGAATCACTTGGAGGACTTATTAAGATGCTGATTGCTGGGCCCCATCTTCACATTTCTAAGTCAGGAGATCTGGGATACTGCCCAAGAATTTGCATCACTAAGTTCCCAAGTGATGCTGATGCTGCTGGTCTCGGAACCACACCTTGAGAAACACTGCAGAAAGTTTCACCATTTACTTATTTGCCATCTGTTGTAGCACTACCCTAGGTCTACCTGTTAGGTTTTGTTTGGTTTGAAAAATTTCAGTCTCAGAAATTTTTAAAAATTACTGAACTAAGCGGAAAACATCAAAAATTTCAAGGAGTCAGAAAGGAGACTTGCTTCTGATGCTCTAACTTTGAAAGAGATCCTAGGCAAATTGTATAATCTGGAAATACACAGTAAGCTTATGTGTGACAGAACATGGACGCCTACTTCAACTTTTTGCCAGGCTGTTCATACTGGAGAAATACGCTTCTACCCGAAGAAGAGGAACCATAGCAGTATACGATTACAGAGAAGAGAATACCGGGTAGTTACTGAGAAGACGACCCTCGTTGCCGTGCTATCACTAACTTACTTGATGAAAAAGTTTTTACCTCCTAAGGAATCAGTTTCTCCTTTTTTAGATATGCATTGACTCACTCATATGTAAAACACCAAACTTCATGTTAAAGAGACAAAGATGAATTAGACATCATTCTTAAAAAAAAGTCATGCATGTAAATAGCTATAGTACAGTGATGGGGAATACCACTAAGAAAAGCACCATAAATACTATGAAATGATTGCTGTTATCACTACATTGTAATGATTCCTCCATTTCCTGGAGCCTGGGCTTGACAATTTAAGAGTCATTTTCCCTTGTCTCCTCTATTTCCCCCTAGCTCCTCAAATGCCTCCTGATTCTCCCTTTGAAATTTCTCTCAACAGTATCATTTCTTCTCTTTCCCCACAGCCTCATGCCCCTCTCAGTCCGTCACTTTATTGCACACTTTCTGCAGTAGCCTCCACACGACTCTAGTGAGCTGCTGTCTTCCTTCCTTCTAAGACATCCTGCAGCTTGTTATCAGATTCAGCTTCCTAATATATGTGAAATCTACCATCACAACTTTGCCTCTCTTTATTGGTTCCTGCCTGCACTGCTCCATCTGCCATTCAGGCACCTCATGGACTGCTTCCTTCTCACATCCACCATGACCTGCCTTTCCCCCACAGCACAACATATCCAGGCTACTAGCCTAGCTCTCTCCTGTTTCACCAACACACTCCATCCATCAAAGCCATGGGCCTTTGCAAACATTCCACCAACTTCTTGGAAGACTCTGCCCTCTCCTCCACCCATTTACATTTGGTCATCAACCAAGACCCTCGCTTGAAGCACTTTCTCTTAGTTCTCCAATTATAGTGTTTCCTCCTGCTCTGAATTTTGACCACCTATATCAATGAGTTCATCACAGAGTCCTTTTTGCTGATTGTTTTTAGAGTCTACAGATGTCTCTCCATTGAGGAGAGAAATGAGGTCTTTTACTTTTGGATCTCTCCTGTCCTGCTGTGCCTGTTCCCCATTCCCAGTCACGCACACCCTCTCTTGCTCGTCCACAGTCAGTGCAGAGAATGCAGCAGAGACTCAGGAAATGTTTGGGGGATGCGTGAAGTAAGACTGGGGACATCTGTTGTTTTCTTTTTGCCAGGCTGGCATGCATCCGCTTTCTGATTCCCATGCTCTCTCTCCTTATGGTTCTGGTGCTGCTGGGAAATGTGGCCCAGGCCTGGCTAACCGAAATTCCGGCTGCCCTGGTCATCCATGATCACTCAGCACTCATGGATGATTAAGTGTATAAGCCAGTCTAAGTAGTACTAATGAGACTCACATTTGAAGCCCTTACCAGAACTATAAGAAAAAAGAAACTCTCTACCTACTGTTCTTGAAGATCATTGGATATTTACCTGGAAGTACTGGCAGACATCTTAGCAGAGAAAGCCTGCCTCAGAAACATGTCAACCCAGAGGAAAGAAGAGTAGAGACATGGAAAAAAACAGATTGCCATTACTGACCACCTGAATTTGGCTGTGCCTGAAGCCAGTGCCCAAAACTTTTCATAAGCCAATAAAAGCCTTGTAATCCTTAAGCTAGTTTGATTTGGTTTCTGTCATTTACTGTCAATAGAGATCAACTGACTTAAATAAAAATAATAAAAACTGACACAAATAGAGAATTTACTAAGTACAAGGCGCTATGCTAAGTACTTAAGGAAACATGCATTTAATCTTTTGATAAAAGACCACCTCTAAGTAATTGTGGTGAGTTAATAATAGTGGATGAATTTTTCTGGTTGAAATAAGATACTGATGGCAAATTTTATATACCAGACAGTATTACTGATCTGTCATGATAGATTGCCTAATATTTAAATGTGGAAAAGTATTGGAGAAAATGTAATAAACTACATTTGTAGCGACTGAACTATACATGTATTATAGCACTTATATATATAGCATTTACTGAGCTATACACATATTAGAGCTATATATGTATCTGCCAATCACAATATCTTTACTCCATAAATAAGACCATTTAATTCTGTAAGAGTTATGAACATGCCTTATGAAATATATGAACATCTCCATAGCTAATTTTTTCTAGATATAATTACTTCGTTAAGCATATGAAGGTTAATATATTTTTATTTTTTAAATAGCATAGAAATATTTTACAAAAATTTATAGAAGTTGATATATAATTATTTTTTCAGAATATAACAGGAAGTCAAATAAGGTTTGGTTGTGAATGTGATTTGAGATCTTCAGGTACAAAAGCCAGAGGCAAACACCTGTATAAGAGATTGCCAGCTGGAACTGGTACACATACAGAAACACAAATTTGAGATTATAAGAAGTGTTTTGGTAAACAGGGAGTCTTGAATTCCTGCTATGTTTATTGCTGTAATTACTTTTAGACCTGAGTTCTATTCGTAATCTTTTAAAATGTGATGGGTCTACACACATGGACATGTAGCATAAGTGGGCATTCATCTAAAAATGGAAACAAGGTCTATGACTTGGATTTTAATTACACAAAACAAGATATTTTTTTCCAGGAAAAAGAAAAAGTTTGGATACAACGTCTTTAACCCATGCTCAGTGAATTACCAGGGTTTGGGGGTTTAGTTCTTTATAATGAAACAGTTTGCAAACTAAAGAAGCCCCTATTTGTCTTATGAAAACCACGTTGTTTGTCTAATAAAAGTTTGTTGTCACATACCATATTAATTTTGAAACTCAGGATCAATTCACTTGTCCTAATTCAAGGAAAATTGTATCTCCTTTGTGAGGATGCCATTTCTAATTCTTGTGGAGACCTCAACCTGGGTGACCGCAACTCAACCTCCTGAGAGGAGCCCTGTTTCATCAGAGGAAGATGCCCATACCCAGATTTGTGAAAAAGAAAAAAAAAATCAAAAGAAAAATAAACATTGAGGAAAGGAGGGAAGAAAAGTAGGAGGAGAAAAGAGAGATAAAGGACAGACAGTACCTTGTTGTGAAAAGACAGGGAAAGAGCCCATGCCTCCTGGACATTTCTTCCATGGGCTAAGAATTCCCTCCTATCCCCTCGCCCATCTGCACTTCTCCAGTTTCCACTGGTGTCCAGGTAGAGGCAAGAATTTCATGCAGAACAATCACAAAGACCTCTGAAAAGATCTGCTGTATTTACTTTATGTTAACAAGCCTAGGGCCAGCATAAATTCTTTCACCTTTAGAAGAGAAAAGGAACCTGATGATTATGGGAAATCTAAAAAAGGTTTCCTTGCCAAAGGCATTCAAAAAGGCCAGATTTCTCCAACGAAACCAGGCTGGGAAGAGAAAATGGAAACTTTTCTGAATCGTGATCATGCACTGGCTGTGAAATGTAATTTTAGAGCAAGCCACAAAGAAATAATTAGAGACATGTTTGCAGAAGAGATCAGTGACTTTGAAATTTCCCAAAGACGCCAAATGCAAAATGACATTAGCCTGCATGCAGTTCCGGACACGGCATATCAGGCAGCAGTGTTGAAGCAGCAGAATTTGGACACGGTGGTTGAGCATGTGGAGGAATCCAAAAGAGTGGTTGTCATTTTGTCAGAGCCAGGAAAATAATGACAGAAGAGAAGCACAGCCACAGATCAGAGAACAGCAGCTGAGGGAAACAGGCACATGGAAGCCAGTCTGCATCTGCCATGAAGAAGGTTCACCTCTGGAACACGAATGCTTGAAACCAATCATGTATTTGAACCGCAAAGATCCACCATGAGGAATCTCTTGTTTAATGATCCTCTGTCTGAAAAGTCAGCTGCAAAACCTGGTCCTGATCCTAAGAATGCAAAAAAGTGGTTGCCCTTGAACTTGACTCAGGAGAAAATACTTCTCAATCTTTGAACTCACATAGAACTTACAAATATTTACTCATATTGTGTCATCTCTCTCGAATTGTCATTGTACAAGAATAGAGTAAATGGTAGAGCACTGGGCGTCACTAGCCCATAAAATGTGCACAGAGAGTTTATATTAGCAGCAAATATACAAAACCTGTCTAAAGCAATGACAAAGATTTTTATATCTTTATTTTTCAGATAAAAAAGATCAGAATCAAAAATCTCAAAGGATATAATGGCAGTAATAGAACCCACTAAATAGATTCCTTCAAATTTTGCTGTTTTTCACGTGCTGGAAACTACAAAGAGCTTGATTTTTTCTGGGGATACAAGATACACACAGAAAGTTAATCGTTAATGGTCGGGCACAGTGGCTCATGCCTGTAATCTCAGCACTTTGGGAAACTAGGCAGACGAATCACCTGAGATCAGGAGTTCAAGACCAGCCTGGTCAACATGGTGAAACCCCTGCCTCTACTAAAAATACAAAAATAAGCTGGGTGTGGTGGTGGGTGCCTGTAATCCCAGCTACTTGGGAGGCTGAGGCAGGAGAATCACTTGAACCCAGGAGGTGAGGGTTGCAGTGAGCCAAGATTGTGCCATTGCACTCCAGCCTTGGCCACAGAGCAAGACTCCCCACACCTCAAAAAAAAAAAAAAAAAAAACAGTTAAGCAGTCATTCGAAACCACAACTCAAGTAATGGCACAAAGATGAAATTAATGCCAAATTGCAATAAGTCAGGTCAACCAGTGTCCTGAGTTTTACAAATAAGAAGCATGATGTATAGAATCTATAAAGTCTGCTGGCTTTTTAACCTTAAAATCTTTATAATCCAGTAAGTACTTAATAATTAAATTTGAAGGCTGAATAAAGAAATATGATTCTTGATAAAATAAAACAGATAACACAGAAATTGTTTCAAATATAAAAATGTATCATGAAAAAAAATTTTATTGTTTACCATGGTATCTGCCGCTAGAGTCCTCAGATTTTAAACTGCACAAATGATGATTGCCAATGGCAACTTATGTAGGTCTCAAACAATACTCTGTCATTCAAGAACAAAAATGGGAGCACTGTTATTCAATAGTTTTAATTCTGTTAAGCAAATATTTTGGCTTTTATTTCAGGGCCGACTCTATGGCATTTTAAACGTAGCTAGTACCTTCAATTCATTATATTGACTCCACTGAAATAATGTCTTTCTTTCTTGCACTGATTCCTTCCTCTTTTTCTTTCACTGTAATTAACTAATAGATTTGATCAAGTTGAAGTGTCTATTTTCTTTTTTCTTACTTGCACTTAAAATAATAGTAATGAGATTGTATGCATAATGCTACATGAGGAGATACTCATATTTTTTGTATTGCACTTCTCTCAAATAGTCATTGTGCTAGACTACAGTAAGTGATAGAGTGCTGGGCATAACTGGTCAATGAAATATGTCCAAAGAGTTTTTTATCAGTACCACATAAAAGAGCAAATTGAGGAACAGAAACTTAAGGGCACTTAACAAAGTGACTCAGTCTATCTTCTTTAGGAACATGCTAACTTTGGGATGACACAGCAAACCACCAGAATCGAACATCATGCTTTAACTTTCTAAACACCAACAACTTGGCAAATAATTTACAGAAGAGGCACATGACTTTAAGACATAACTCTCATTTCATACGAATCATTTATCTTTGTGTGTAATTTGTCTTTTATTATGGAACATTTTTAACTAGAGTACTTCCATTGATCAGGGTAATTGCTAAGTGTATTTGCTATCTCTGGAAAACACACTGGCTTTGGATGTCATATTGAAGAATTAGAATGTCACATAACTAATACTAATTGAGCACAGCTTTCACTTTAAAAGTTCAAGGCAAAAAATAATTACATAAATATATAAATAGTTCATAGGTAGGTAAAAGAAATATATCAAGCTTATTGAATTTAACCATAACTGTTTTTTTAAAGTCTTTAGGTTATGTTATTACATTTTACAAAGCCTGCCATATCTTTCTATCTATGCATCTTTGAGTTTTATATACCTCTAAGCATCTCTGCAGTAATTTTAAGTTGGGCAATGTGAACTATGTTATGGAGAATTTATGGGTGATATTTATTGGAGTCACTGAACTGCCTCCATGAGCTTTCCCACAACTGTAAGATCACAAATGATCTATAAGATTTGGAGTAGACAAGAATCTCAATTGCTAGAATCCTGAAAGGTTTCTGAGATACAGTGAAAGTCAAATATTCAGATTCAATAGTATGAGATGCATATTTGACTATAGAGATACAATGAATAATTGTATGTGTCAACTTGACTGAGCCACAGGATGCCCAGATATCTGGTTAAACATTATTATGGGATGTGTCTCTGAGGGTGTTTCTAGAAGAGGTTAGCGTTTGAATTGTTAAACTGAGTAAACCAGGTCACACTCCCCAGTGTGGCTGGACATCCTTCAATCTGTGAAGGACCTAAAGGCAGAGGAAGGTCGAATTTACTCTCTGCCTGACTGCTTGAACTGAGACATTGTTCTTCTGCTCTTGACACTCTTGGTTTTCAGGCCTTCAGATTCTGAGTGAAATCTATATCACTGACTCTTTCAGGGAAGCTTGTGGTGTAGTTCAAAGGCCTGAGAGCTAAAGAGCTTGCAGATGGCATATCATGGGACTTAGCCTCTATAACCACGAGAGCCAATTCCTTAGGATACACACACACATCTATATCTTCTATTGATTCTGTTTCTCTTAAGAACCCTGACTCATACAAGAGGAATCTGCTTAATATAAAGCTATGTCATGGAGCTTCCTAATTTGCCTAGAAGATAAAACAGGTCTCACATGGTAAAACAACATTCTGCCTCCCCAGCAAATATGTAGTTTGTGCATTCAGTAAGCTTACTGTTGAGAATCTACCAGAAATCATGCTAGCCACTAAGGATAATGAGAAAAAAGACATAGTGGCTGCCTTCAATGAACCCACTGTCAGATCTGGTTCTAAGATGACCCATGCTCTGCTTTACTTGAGGGTGATAGAGGAGGTATTCATTCATCTTGTCATTCAACAAAATGTATTGGCTACCTAATATATTAAAGACACTTTTGCTATGTGCTATATATAGAGTACTAAACAAGGCAGATTTGGCCTTTGCTCTCATAGAGTTTACCTTAAGGGATAAAGCAAGAATTTCATCACCATTGTTAGGTGTGTTAAAGGGGAAGAACAGGTTCTATGCGAGGATGTATAGAAAGATAGCTCGTTGACTGGGAAGAGGCAGCTGAGCTAGCTAAAGGGTAAGCTCAAAGTGACATGGGAGAAGAGAGGGATTTGGGAGAGACCATTTAAACCAGCCTGGAAAGCATTTCCAAAGGCCATGAGGCAAGGAAAGAGCACGGCTTGTCTGAGCAACTCCAAGGTCAAGATGGCTGAACCAAAGAGAGGAAGAGAAAGTCCTTTGAAATGAGAATGGAAAGAGAAATGAGGCCAGCCTGTGCAAAGCCTCCCAGGCTGTGTGAATAAGGATTCTTGTCTTGATCCTAACCGTCTCTGAAGGATTTCGAGCAGAGACTGATGAGATAAGATTTGCATTACTAACAGAATTTTATGCCTGCTTTGAGGAAAATGGATTCGAAGTCAGAGGTACAGAGTTATCATAGAAGTCCAGATAATGGTGGTATGGTAAAGATGGAAAAAAGCTGACAGATTCAAGAGATATTCTGGAGAGAAAATGGACAGAAGTGGGTAAAGGATTGAGCATGAAAGGAAAGGGAGAATCTGATAAATTCTAGGTTCCTGGCTTGTGCGACAGAATGGTTGGTGGGACCCTGCACTGAAATGGGGGAAAACAGGAAAGGGTCAGGTGGAACTGGGGCAAAATGAGCCACAACAAGTCAAGGAGAGGGTGACATTGAGCATGACTCAAAATTGTCTAACCTGGACAACCGTTGCACTTAGTTGGCAGAAAAGACTCTATGAATATGTGCCTATGCCTGTTGGGGGAGGGTAGACTTTCAGCCATTGTGAAATATGGCAATATTGTTTTAAAAATGGTGTGCATTCATTACTCTACCATACATCAAGGATTTAGGACAAATATAATCTAATTAGTAGCATGGCAATATTCACCCCTCAACTAGAATATAACTTTGTTCATTTACTCTCTCTCTTCCCGTGGCCCACCTCTCTCCTCTCTCAGATTTGCTTCTCCACAATTTGTGTCATCATTTTATCTGGATCATGATAGAGAGAGGGATGGTGAATGGGGTCAGACTCCATTGCACAAATCCAGGTGCTACCACCTTGTTGCATGACTGACAAGTTGGCCAAATTCTCGGCATGTTTTTTCATCCATTATATTATGCACCCAACACAATACCTACTTGAGGAATTTTGTGCAATGGGAAATCAATCTAAAAGGCCTGGTACAGTACCTAGTTTATGGTAGATGCTTTTTTAAAAATGGCTAATTCCCTATAGTTTCAGAGTTTTTTTAACCATTATCCTGACATCTTTTCACTGAACAAACCAGGGGCAAAGGAGTAGATGTAACTCCTTTGCCCCACCCTTTGGGGAGAATTGAGGAGGGATCCCATCCTACTTTGAGCCCACTATGTGTATCCCATTCAAAGGGAGGCCTCTTTACCTCTCTCACCTACGGCTTGGCCTGTCCCCTCTACAAAATACATCACTCCCTGCCCCCGCCTCCCCACACACACATACCACACCAAGACAACTGCTGAGGCCAAGAATTACGCTCTTATATTTCCTCTTATTTTCCTTAAAAGTGAAAGGAGAGGAGCTCTCTTTTCGTATAGGTGGGATATACTGCAAATAGGAGAGGCACATAAGAGTTTTCCTCAGGCTCCAATTTTGCGGCATTGGAGATAAGCCCCTGGCTGTGGTGCTTTCACTTTCAGAAGTGTGCAGACCCAAAAATTATGTCCTGGCCTTTGGTGTTCCAAAATGCTTTAGACTAAAACACTTGAGTAGTTGCTTATGTGAGCACAGTGTTAGTTTCAGCTGCCAATTTTAGAATTAAATGGCTTACATTACTACAAACTTTTAGCAGAACATGTTTTCCAAAATAAATGTCTTTAAATCTACACTTCCACCAACTGATTAGAGACTTGAACTCAGAAAATATGGCAAAAACAGCAGAGCAGCAAAAGTAAGAAAAACACATGCTCACTTCATATGGTAAAAATGGCTCTTCCTTCCTCTCCCAAAGGCACATACACTTGGCATATGCGCAA